>NC_000001.11:158184587-159434587 GCF_000001405.40 Homo sapiens
AAAACTGGAAATCTGGATTTTCAGCGAACATGCCTGATTTTAAAAGGTTGACTCAAGTTTTTACAAAATACTATGTGGGACACCTCAAATACATACCTACTGACTGATGACAAACCCAGGAGTTTGTGTGTCTTTTATAAAAAGTTTGCCCTGGATGTCATATTGGCAGTTGGAGGACACAGTTTCTATTGTAAATTTGGATTTACGACTGAAGAAGGACATTTTCTCTTTAAAAGAAAGTTAGGTTATAAGAAACAGAGGCGTCTCACATTTTTACTTGGTGTAATTAATAAACGAAGATAAATCATAGTGTATGTGTATTATGTTGAAAAAAACTACTCTGAGTAAGGATATTTCTCTCAAATGGTCATCACTTTTTTTCCTTGGAGGAAGATTGTCATGAAGGCATCCCTTCCTTCCCAAAACGACAACGGCAACAACAACAGTCTCCTTTACTTACAGCTATTAAAAGAGACAATGTAGGGAAAGGGCCAACACCACTTGGGCAAGCATGAGCTGCAGCGATGATGGTGATGGTAGCCCAGCCATGCTGTGTTCTTATCTTAGAGAGGACAGAGCAGGAAACTTACAGGGGTAGCAGACCTTTCTGATGCCAAAGAAATAAGGAGGCCAAAATCATGTTTGCCTAGCTGGGAGGTAAATCTCTTGGCAGTCAGGGTCCCTGAACACCCAGAAAAAATAAGTGAGACTTAACGGTTGGAGAGTGTTTGCTTGAGAAAAGTAACATTTCACACTCTCTATACTAGACTTGCACATATGAATTTAGGATGTGCGTGAAGATTCTGCTAGCTTCAACATATCCCAAAGCACTTGGATATGCCTATAATCCAAGTGCTTTGGGAGGCTGAGATAGGAGGATTGTTTAAGGCCAGGCATTTGAAATCAGCCTGGGCAACATAGTGAGACCCTGTCTCTACAAAAAATTAAAAAACTAGCCACCCATGGTGGTGAGCGCCTGTAGTCCTAGCTACTCTGGAGGCTGAGGTGGGAGGATCCCTTGAGCCCATGAATTCCAGGTTAGTGTGAGCTGTGATTGTGTCACTACAGTGTAAGGATGACAGAGGGAGACCCTGTCTTAAAAAAAAATTATGCTAGCTTTTAAATCAATGGTTCCCAAATTGTAGTAACCTGACCAACAGCCTCAGCAGGACCTGGGAACTTGTTATAAATGCAAATTGTTTTGGGCCTCATCCTATACCCGCTGAATGAGAAACTCTGAGTCTGGAAGCAGGCTCAATAGTCAAGCCCCCTGGTGATTCTGATGCTTAGCTAAAGTTAGAGAACCACTGTTCTTAGACATTGTGCAATGTTATACAACAACTTCCTCAAAGTGCTAAGTGAAAAGGACATTGGCCTGGCGTTAGTCAGGGAAGGCGTCCTGGAGGGAGGGGAATTTGAAGCAGAGCTTTGAAAAACAAAGGCAGTGAGGTGAACCAGCAAGTGCACTGGCTGAGGGGACTGGAGTTCTAGCCTCTGAACCAGTTTCCTCCTGTGCCAAAGGAGGATAATAATTATCTATTATTGATTATCTCCTAGACTTGTGGAGTTCAAGTGTGTAATGCCTTAAAAGATGTGGAGGCTGTTGCTGTGTTTGGTACCACATTGCCCACCCTCACGTGGCGCTCTTCAGCTTAGGTTCCTCTAGCAGTGTCAAGTTTGTGAACCAACCCCACTGGCCTTCTGCATTCTGAGGGCACGTGTGTTAAAGTCTCTACTGATGTCCTTTTGGAAATGCCTCTGCATGAATTTATGGTAGCTCTGACTCATCTTTAAACAATTTTAATTTATTTAGAAAATAAAGGCTTATCTCTCCAGGAAATTTTTTCTTCCTTCAAATAAATACTCAGTTCCAAATATCTCAGAGAATCCTGAGAATTCATTTTAGAACATGTTAATACTCTTTTTATGAGTATCATGTTTCTTACTGAGTGTTGTGCTGATTGTGAATTTATTACCACTCTGCTCCAAATTCATTCTTCATAATAGGCTCAGTGACAATGAACAGAGTTCCTTTAAAAAGTCAGCACATTGTTAAGCTTTTTCAGTAAAGGGCCCCGGAGGGACACAGCAGGAGGAAGGGGCTCTCCTGCAGCTTCCAGCTACTGCGTGGTGGGTCAATGAAGTGGGTGGGAAGACATCCTGTGTGGCGCTGCCTGTGGTCCCTGCCCCTCCAAGTACCCCATTCTATCTGCAGACCCTCGCATCTCCTGTGCTTAATCCACCCACTGCCTGGAGGTTTCCACTGAGCAGTACTTCCTCTGCAAGCCCCTGCCTCAAGCCAGGAGGGTTTCTTCCAGCTTATCTAGCTACTTCAGGCCAGCTTTGGCCTGGGTAAACCTGTGAATGTCTCTGCTACCCAAGGTATGGGACTGAACCATACCTTCTCCAATAAGATCTGCGCCCCAGCCTTGGGGAGGAGTCACACTTCCGAGTTGCTCTTCTTTGGATATTCTCCTTCCACCCTAGGGTTTTTTGCTGAGTTTTCTTACATATTATAATTATTTTCTTATTATGTTTAATAATTCTGTTAAACTTCCTCTGTTAAACTCATGGTGGAGTTTCTATTTCCTGATTGGACTCAGGAGGATACATGTGTCTTCTCAGCTATACACAGAAATCTGTGAACTTTCCAAAGCTACTACTTGAATTTGCTTTTTGCTCATGAGTCTATGGCATGGAGTTGGTTTGCTTTGCTTTGCGGTGTAGCTCTTTCTTTAAGAGCTGAGAATGGATGTTCTTTTTTTGCCAAAACCATCCTCGGAAGTGCCTGCTCCACTTTTTTTTTTTTTTCTTCAATTATTTATTTATTTATTTATTTTAGATGGCATCTTGCTCTGTCGCCCAGGCTGGAATGCAGTGGCGTGGTCTCGGCTCACTGCAACCTCCACCTCCTGGGTTCAAGTGATTCTCCTGCCTCAGCCTCCCAAGTAGCTGGGATTACAGGCGCACACTACCACACTCAGCTAATTTTTGTATTTTTGGTAGAGATGAGGTTTCACCATGTTGGCCAGGCTGGTCTCGAACTCCTGACCTCGTGATCCACCCACCTCAGCCTCCCATAGTGCTGGGATTACAGGCATGAGCCACCACACCCAGCCTCGACATTTATTATAGGTTCGAGGGATACATGTTTAAGTTTGTCACAAAGGTATATTGTGTGATGCTGAGGTTTGGAGCACAAATGAATCCGTCTCCCAGATAGTGAGCATAGTACCCAATAGGTAGTTTTTCAGCTCTTGTCCCCATTCCTCCCTCCCCATTCTTGTGCTCCGCAGTGTCTATTGTTCTCATCTTTATGTCCATGTGTACTCAGTGTTTAGCTCCCACTTATAAGTGAAAACGTGTGGTATTTAGTTTTTTGTTCCTGCGTTAGTTCGTTTAGGATAATGGCCTCCAGCTGCCTCCATGTTGCTGCAAAGGACATGATTTCAGTCTTTTTAATGGTTGCCTAGTATTCCATGGTGTATATGTACCACATTTTCTTTATCCAATCTGGAGTTGATGCTGCCCCACTCTTAGTGTATCCTCTCCTCTCATTCCCTGGGGTCTCTGTTGCTTAGGGTAACTGTAATTGAGAGGGTGTACTTAATAATTAAGCAGGATGACAGGTGTAAACTGAGACTGGCTCAGACAAACTTTGCTCATTTATTCTTTTCTATTTGTGCTGTGCAGTTGCTTAAACTGGCTCTTCTTCCTTTGTGGTCTGGACCCTATTCTCAGGCCACATATGTCTTCTCACTTCTCACTCCCTGTGATGTGATTTGAAAATTGCCTCTAGGTGGAAAGGCAGGGAATAATTAAAGACTCACCTAGATTATTTTCCCATACTCAGTATCACAACACTCACTTTCTGTTTTTCTCAATGTCTGAAAACACTTGTTTAATATATTTTGATGAGTTTCTACATGTTTTTTGTTGTAGGACAATCTCTCTCTCTCTCTCTTTTTTCTGGAGATAGGCTCTTGCTCTGTTACTCAGGCTAGAGTACAGTGGCAGAATCAAAGCTCACAGCAGCCTCGAACTCCTGGGCTCAAGAGAGCCTTCCGCTTCAGCAGAGGATAATATTTTGACATTTTAACATATGTATTTATTTCTTTTCTTACATTTTTCCTCTTTTCTCCTCCTTGTCTATGCAAGATATTTACACATTTCTCTTTGCCTCAGGGGAAGAATGTGGCAAGATAGAAAACAGAAATAGCTTCCCAGTCATTCTGTGTTATTTCCAGCAGCACTATCAGGGAGGGGACAAAAACCCAGAGAGAACGACTATAAGGTTCTGCTGGACAACAGGTCACGGGTAGCCTTAGCAAAACACCCATACCTGTAATTGTGGCACAGAAATATCAGAAAGGATACTGTGTCTTAAAAGGCTGTGCAGAAAGTGATATGTTTATTTCAGGGATAATCAGTATGGCTTAACAAATGAGTGTCAGTGAGTATAAGGTTAGAATTCTACGGATTGGGGGCAGAAATCAGGAAAAACTAAAATTACATGTTTTCTACCACTGGACCAATGATGCTCAGAGTTAGAAATTATGTTAACTAATGGAAAATAAAGAGATATCCAACATATTGTCTAAGATTCACATGTATTACCTGTGGGATTTGTGTGGGATTACCAAGAATTATTTTACAGAACATGTCTATCTCCTGGATAAATCATAACCTCTAGCACTGGAGCCAGTACATTTTGAGACAATTGCTGTGACTGTGTGGGGACATTTATTTGAAGTCTGGAGATGGACTTAGAATTTAATACTGATTCCTGAAATTTCTGTGGACTATAGTAAACACAGTTTGCAAGATGACTATAGTATGATCAATAGCCCATAGTGGACACACGGTGATTGGAAGATGAAAAAAACAGGATAAAACCAGTCTTGTTAGAATTTTCTGAGAAGATTAAATTCTGTTAGTTTCAGAAAAATAACTAGAAATGAAGGAAAGTGGAAAGTTACATAAATGGCCTGTATTTCAGACTCTACATTTCAACAATAGTAACAATAGTAACACAGCTATCACAGCAACATCAGCTTCTTGGTAAGAGATGGGCACGGGCCTGGAGAAATTTCCACTGAAAAATGTGAATCTGGCTCATAGGGAACAGTTTTGGGTAGGTGTAAAATCGTATTGCCTTATAGACCTTCAAAGAACTGAAGCTCATAAAGGAGAAACAGAAGTGAAGTTGGTTTCTCACCACCATGATCAAAAGAAACTTGACACAGTTAATGTCATGTTGGTGGTATAATTCTAGACCAAGTGAGGTAGTTAAAAAATGTGGTGGTTGAAATAGCCTACTGACTTTGCAGCCTTTGGGGAGCCAAGCAAAAGCAGCCTTCTATTGGGCCTGAGAGCTGGCTGTTAAGGCAAAGGGACCATCATGTCACCCACGCATGGAAAAGGAATAGATACACTTAGCTCTTTTCACTGATGATGTCACCATATACCTGGAAAACCCAAGCAACCTTATTTGGAAAAACAAATACTAGAATTTATAAGGGAATTTCAGCAGGTAAAAAAGATGAATATATGAAAATCAAAGCTATTTTTCCTGTTAACAATAACCAAGTAGAAATGTAAATGGGAAATAATAGTCTATTAATAGTCCATTAAAAAAAGACAAGAATTTTAAAGACTTAAGAATACCTTTCACAAGAATATTGTCGACCCATATGAAAAAGAGTATAGAGACCTCTGAAAGACAATAAACATGTTCTGAATTTATGAAAAGCCATGCTATAGTCTTAGTTTAGAACATTTAATATAGTTAAATATTAATTATCTCTTCAAATTTGTAAATTAAATAAAATTCTAAGTAGTATTAAAATGACCCCAACATATAAAAAATAGTACAAATGGGGAGTCTGCCATAATAGATATTAAAACCCAGAGCCAATGTCATCAAAACATCATGGTAATAAAATAGAAGTTGACAAATAGAAGAATAGAGGAATAGAATAGAAAGCTAAGAAATAGATCTCAGTATATATGGAAATTTATGTATGAGATGCTATTGCATATTACTGCAAAGAATAATTAATGGATGGACTTCCTATTCATGTAGAAAAAAACTAATTGGAACTTTGCCTCATAGAATAACCATAAATAAACTCCAGATGTATTAAAGACGTGGAAGTTTTGAATATTTTTAATCAAAACAGAAATACAGAAACTATAAATAAAATATAGATATACTAACAAATAAAAAGTTTTTAAGGCAATAGATGGCATAAACCAACTATAGATTGGGAAAATATCTATATTACAAATGACAGATAGTGTTAGTTAATATTAATAATGAGCATAGTCACTCACAAATTTATAAGAATAAGTTCAACATTCAGATAATAAATGGGCAAAGACTATGAAAAGATAACTCATGAAGAAAAATTTAACATTGCCAACATAACAAAGATAACTATTCTCATTAGTAGTCACAGAAGAATCATGAGATATCCATTCTAACTTATCAAATTGATAACAATGAAGGAGGATAATATATTATTTTTTTAACAGCTTTTTGAAAGCTTTTTGGCAAAAATCTCTTTACATGAAAAATTAATGGGCCCTTGAACTCAAAAATTCTACTTTTGGGAACATATTTTATTAAAATGAAAGCACCAGTGTTTGAGGATATATGTACAAGATGATAGTTGCAGCCCTTTATGTATATATGTGTATATTTTGTAGTGGCCAAAAACTGAAAATAGACATTAATTAGGAATAGGTGCAGTTGCTTAAAGCAAAAACAGCCCCCCAAAAAAGAGACTTAAACAAGTAAAAGTCTTAAACGAGACTTCTATTATCCTACAGAATAGAAGTCCAGACATAAGCACTCAAAGGCTAGCTTCCTGAGGTTAATAGGGACCCGGCTTTGTCGAGCTCATTGCTCTGTTACTCGTTGTTATGCCCCATGTTAAATGCTAAAGTGTGATCCATCACAAGAGTTTTCTGGGTAGCAGGATGGAGGAAGAAAAAAGGACACCGCCTTTATCCCCACTTTTAAAGTGAATTAACAGAAGTAGGATACATGAACACAAGCCTTCTTCTACTGTCTTGATAAGAAGCATTCATGCGACCACATCTACATGCCAGTGAGGCTGGGATATCTAGTATTTAATCTAGTGAGAATACGCCTAACTAAAAATCAGGTTTTGTTGCTAATGAATTTGATGAGGCAACTTGCAGTTTCTGTCACAGGCAAACCATGGAACAAGGGGCAATCATTGAAAGAAATGAGTTAGATATATTAACTTTGACTTGAAAGAACTAGAACAACTTTACTAAGTTTTGAGAATCTGTAAACCAATTTATTTCTCTTACATTTTCTTTTGTTTATTCACAAAAATTATATATAATTAATATGCTTGTCTAAAAAAGTTCAAAAGACCACTTGAAAAGTTAAAACACAAAGAGATAAAAATATTGTGTTGGTTTATTTGACAGTTTTTTTCTTTTCTTAGTGGTACATAAAATATTTGCATAATTACAATTGGTTACATCTTAGCATGATGAAATATGATACCATAATTTAAATTAATATGAAAGTATGATAAAACATTAAGACAATAGATACCATATGACTCTGATAATACCTCCGTTTACTTTCCTAAAATTTTACAAAATTTTTACTCTTGGTTATCTGTTGCGGGAAGTCAGGGACCCCAAACGGAGGGACCGGCTGAAGCCATGACAGAAGAATGTGGATTGTGAAGATTTTATGGACATTTATTAGTTCCCCAAATTAATACTTTTGTAATTTCTTATGCCTGTCTTTACTGCAATCTCTAAACATAAATTGTAAAGATTTCATGGACACTTATCACTTCCCCAATCAATATCCTTGTGATTTCCTATGCCTGTCTTTGCTTTAATCTCTTAATCCTGTCAGCCGAGAAGGATGTATATCGTCTCAGGACCCTGTAATAATTGCGTTAACTACACAAATTGTACAGCATGTGTGTTTGAGCAATATGAAATGTGGGCACCCTGAAAAAAGAATAGGATAACAGCAATTGTTCAGAGAATAAGAGAGATAACCTTAAACTCTGACTGCCGGTGAGCCGGGCAGAACAGAGCCATATTTCTCTTCTTTCAAAAGCAAATGGGAGAAATATCGCTGAATTCTTTTTCTCAGCATGGAACGTCCCTGAGAAAGAGAATGCGCACCTAGGGGTAGGTCTCTGAACTGGCCCCCCCGGGGCGTATCTGTCTCTTTTGGTCGAGATTGCAGAGGTGAAATAAACTCCAGTCTCCCACAGCACTCCCAGGCTTATTAGGAAGAGGAAATTCCCGCCTAATAAATTTTGGTCAGACCGGTTGATCTCAAAACGCTGTCTCCTGATAAGATGTTATCAATGACAATGGTGCCTGAAACTTCATTAGCAATTTTAATTTTGCCTCCATCCTGTGGTCCTGTGATCTCGCCCTGCCTCCACTTGCCTTGTGATATTCTATTACCCTGTTAAGTACTTGATGTCTGTCACCCACACCTATTCGTATACTCCCTCCCCTTTTGAAACTCCCTGATAAAAACTTGCTGGTTTTTGTGGCTTGTGGGGCATCACGGATCCTACCAACGTGTGATGTCTCCCCCGGATGCCCAGCTTTAAAATTTCTCTCTTTTGTACTCTGTCCCTTTATTTCTCAAGCCAGCCGACGCTTAGGAAAATAGAAATGAACCTACGTGATTATTGGGGCAGGTCCCCCGATAGTTATCACCTCAAAAGAATAGGTAAAATATATATTTTTTTCCTTTGGAGACAGAGTCTCACTCTGTCCTCCAGGCTGGAGTACAGTGGTGCAGTCTCGGCTCACTGCAACTTCTGTCTCCTAGGTTCAAGGTTCAAGCGATTCTCCTGTCTCAGCCCCCCAAGTAGCTGGGATTACAGGCGCCCGCCACCACGCCTGGCTAATTTTTGTATTTTTTTTCATAAAGATGGGGTTTGGCTATGTTGACCAGGCTGGTCTTGAACTCCTGACCTCAGGTGATCTGCCCACCTTGGCCTCCCAAAGTGCTGAGATTACAGGCGTGAGTCGCTGTGCCTGGCCGATAAGTAAAATCTTAACGCATGGCTTTGTGCTACCACAGCACATCTTCCTGACTTCTGGTATCTAACTCCCTGGAGACCATTTTTTGGGCTCTACTCCTCACCCTCCTGGAATCTATTAATTCTTTGTTAGCTCCCCTGATCAGTGTGCTGGCTCTCTTGCTCCAAAATCTATTAATGAATTGCAGGTCATTCAAGGGCTTTTCAAAATGGAGGAAAAATAGTTTATTTTGTAGAGATACCATTTTCTCTTTTCTTTTCCAAATTATTGGAATCTAGGTGAAGAAATGCTTCATCTAAAATGCAGGGTCGTGGATGCTATGAATTGGTTTGCTGAAACTGGAAAGGTAAAAGTACATTTCTCAGACTACTTTTCATTTTCAGTTTTGGATGTATATTTGGTTTTAACATTTAGATGCAGTCTTGGGACATTTTTAGGCAGGCTTTTAACTACAAATGCACTTTTCTTTAGCAGATATAGAGTTATTCAACAGCTCTGATTAAATGAATAAACACCTTGAAAAACACAGACTACCAAAGTTCACTCAAAAAGAAACAGATGGCCAGGCGCGGTGGCTCACGCCTGTAATCACAACACTTTGGGAGGCCGAGGCGGGTGGATCACAAGGTCAGGAGTTCAAGACCAGCCTGGCCAAGATGGTGAAACCCTGTCTCTACTAAAAATATAAAAATTAGCCAGGCACAGTGGCTGGCGTCTGTAGTCCCAGCTACTCGGGAGGCTGAGGCAGGAGAATCGCTTGGACCTGGGGGGTGGAGGTTGCAATGAGCCAAGATTGTACCACTGCATTCCAGCCTGAGTGACAAAGTGGGACTCTGTCTCAAAAAAAAAAAAAAAAAAAAAAAAAAGAAATAGATAATCTGAATAACTTTTTCTGATATTGATAATTTGTATTGTTCCTCTTTCTCCACAGATTAATCAGGCTAGAGGTTTGTTGGTTTTATTAATCTTTTCATTGATTTCTTTCTTCTGTTTAATTTGGGTTTAGTTTGTTCTTTCCCCCCTAGCTTTTAAAGATAAAAGCTGAAGCTGTTGATTTGACATCTTTATCCATTTCTTTAAAAAATAATTAATAGCTAGTTTAATTAGTGACACAAAGAAAATAAATTGTGCCTCTTCAGCAGATAAGTCCTGATGACAAAAATCATGTAACATACATATGATTAAAAATTCAAACAAATGCTGACAGAAAAGAAAATTAGTATCCCTTCCTCTCCGCTTCCCATTGTCCCTCTCATAAAGAATAACCTCTCCTATTTACTTTTTAAAAAATTCTTAAGTTGATACATAATAATTGTATGTATTTATGGGGTGCATGGGATATTTTGATACATGTATACATGTGTAATGATCAAATCAGAGTGTTTAACATACCCATCATCTCAAACATTTACCATTTCTTTGCGCTTGGTAACATTTCAAATCTTTTCTTCCAGCTATTTTGAAATATACAATATGTTAACTATAGTTACCCTGCTATAGTATTGAACACCAAACTTATTCCTTCTATCTAACTGTATGTTTTTATGCATTAATATGGCCACACCACATTTTCTTTATTCATTTATCCATTGATGGACTTAGATTGATTCCATATGTTGGCTATTGTGACTAGTGCTATTGTTTTCCATAATAGCTATACTAATTTACATTCCCATCAACAATGTATAAGAGTTCCATTTTCTACACAACTTCGCCAGCATTTGTTATGGTTTTTTTTTTTGATAGTAGTCATTTTAACTGGAGTAAGGTGATATCTCATTGTAGTTTTGATTTGCATTTCCTTGATGGCTAGTGATGTTGAACATTTTTTGATATACCTGTTGGTCATTTGTATGTCTTCTTTTGGGAAATTTCTATTCATATCCTGTGCCGAGTTTTTAATGAGATTTTTTTTTTTAATTTTTTTTGGCTGTAAGTTTATTTAATGCAAAATAATCCTCTCCAACTTTACTGAGGTGGCTGACCACCTCCACAACCAAATCTGCCTCTAAACTGGAATTCCGTCTCTGACCCAGCCCCAGCCTCAGCCTCAGCCTTCCTGTCGGCATCAGGGGGCACAGCAATCTGCCTGTAGGTATCTCTGTCGGCTTCCCCTCTTGTGAGTCTTGCAGGTCGCTCACCCTTCAGACCTTTAGGCTGAGGCCTGCCAGTCTCAGAATGGCTGCGGCGTAGGGTGGCAGGCACAATCTCTGGGGCATATGAAGGTAATCACGGAGATACTGGATGCCCTCATTGGTAAGGTAGCAGTAGAGATGTCTCCAGGCAAACTGTACCTTCACTTAGCCTCGGGACTTGAGAGGCTGCATGGCCTTCATGACATGATGGTTGGGCACATTCTTGTCTGCCAGCTCCAGGTGCTTAGGCATGTGGACATCCTTCTTGGCCACCATGACTCTCTCCTTAAAAAGGAGTTCATAAATGGGAATCCAGTTCTTCTTAGGCATCAATATCTCGGCGGCTGTAGGGTAGGGGTCTGGGGCTGGAAAGCCCGCCCTCCGTCCCTTCCTTCCTTCCTTCCTTTTGCTGTTGTTTGAATTTCTTGTATTTTGTGGATATTAGGCCCTTACCAAATGAATAATTTGGAAATATTTTCTCCCATTCTGCAGATTGTCACTTCACTCTGTTGATTGTTTCCTTTGCTGACCAAATAAAGCTTTTTAGTTTAAGATAGTCCCATTTGTCTTTGTTTTTGTTGCCTGTGCTTTTGGGGTCTTAGCCATAAAATCTTTGCCTAAACAATGTCCTGAAGCATTTCCCCTGTGTTTTCTTCTGGTGGTTTTATAGTTTCAGGTCTTACATTTAAGTCTTTATTCTGTTTTGATTTGATTTTTGTATATGGTGAGAGATAGGAATCTAGTCTTATTCTTCTGCATGTGGATAGCAAGTTTTCACAGCACCATATTTTATTTTATTTTAGTGCATCATACTGTACTTGATTTATTGACATTAGTTAGTGATTTATTGGACAAAGGCCAAACCTTTTGTTTCTTATTAAGCACCTTCCACAGTACAAACTGTCATGAATAATATCTGTACAACTTAACAGTTTCAGTAGCTGTTCAGATACAAATTGATTTCAAACAGATAACTGGCAAACATAATTAAAGTCACAGTTAGACTACCCAAGTCTATAAACTTGGGTATAAAACTTGGCTATAAAACATTAGTATATCAGTAATTTACAGTGTTCAATTATGGTTGGTAAAATTAAGTTGGAGTATGGCTGGGAATTACTATTATAATCCCAGAAAGTCAGAAGTTTTTAGACACCAAAGCATCCTGCTATAAATTAGTAGGCACAATTTAAAGGTTGTATGCATATTCAAAGGCCATGATCTCTCGAGGAACTTGTATATTAAAAATGCAAAACAACAAAAAATATATTCATTCAGAAAGAATTTCCTTCTCCCCTCCCCCATTACTTCCCCTGGGCTCTCCTAACCTATCTGATATTAAAGCTGTAAGATAAGGCATGAATAAAGTTAAATGACTTTCACATCCACCTTAGAAATGAAGGCTTAGTTTTTACGCTTTGAGACTCAACTTTTCAAAAGCAGAAATTAACTTAGTAAAATGTGAGAGGAGAAGATGTACTTTTAAAATAAGGAAAATAAAAAATGAAAAAGCAAAGCCAACCCAACAACCAAATCACATACACACACATTGATCCCACACTGTTTTCAATACAAAGGACAAAGTAGAGCCCAATGACCTTCCAAATAGTAGTAGAGCCAGCTCCATTTATTGAACAGCATGTCCTGTCCCTAATGTATGTTCTTGTGCCTTTGTCAAAAATCGGTTGGCTGTGAATGTGGACTTATTTCTAGTTTCTCTCTCCTGGTCCGTGTGTCTGTTTTTATACAAATACTAGGACGTTTGCTTCCTACGGCTTTGTAGTATATTTTGAAGTCAGGTGGCGTGACGGGCCTCCAACTTTGTTCTGTCTGCTCAGTATTGCTTTGGCTATTTGGGGTCTTTTGTGGTTCCACACAAATTTTAGGATTGTTTTCTCTATTTCTGTGAAGACTGTCATTGGCATTTTGATAGCAGTTACATTGAATCTATATTTTGCTTTGGGTAGTATGGATATTTTAACAATATAATTCTTCCATTCCTTGCAGATGGGATGTTTTTTCCATTTGTTTGTGTCATCTTCAATTTCTTTCAATAATGTTTTGCAGTTTTCCTTAGATATCTTTCACTCCCCTGGTTAAATTCATTCCTAGGTATTTTATTTTTTTGTAGCTATTATAAATGGGATTGCTTTCTTGATTTCTTTTTCAGCTACCATGTTGTTGGTGTATAGAAATGCTTCTGACTTTTGCATGTTGACTGATTTTGTATCTTGCAACTTTACTGTGTTGATCAGTTCTGAGAGTTTTTGGTGGAGTCTCTACATTTTTCTAGATATAAGATCATGTAATCTTCAAAGAGGGGGCAATTAGACTTCCTCTTTTCTAATTCGGAAAACCTTTATTTCTTTCTCTTGCCTGATTGCTTTAGACAGAACTTCTAGCACTGTGTTGAATAAGAGTGGTGAAAGAGAGCATATTTGTTTTGTTCCAGTTCTTGGAAGAAAGGCATTCAGCTTCTCCCCATTCAGTATAATGTTAGCTGTGGGTTTGTCATATATGGCCTTTGTTATGTGGAAATATGTTCCTTCTATGCCTAATTTGTTGCCAGTATTTATTATGAAGGGATATTGAATTTTATCAAATGCTTTTTCTGCATCTATGGAGATGATCATATGGTTTTTTTTGTTTTTTATTCTGTTGATGTGATGTATCACATTTATTGATTAGCATATGTTTTATGTAGCAGGAGCTCCTGGGCTCATGATAGAATGATGGAATTTTAGATCACATGGAATTTTAAACATAATTACATTTTATAATCCTTTCAACCTAGAAGGAGATAATTATGAGAAAGATTAGATCAGTTATGAACAAAATAAAGAAACCATAATTTTCTTTGCAATTTGGCTATGATTTAAACACAACATACAATTTTCTGTGTAGCGTGTGAAAGGATGTGGAACACATTTGCTCCTATGGTAACATAAAAAAACCCCCACCCCTCAGATGTTATAAAACTCTTACTCATTTATGAAACTACTGAAGAATGGTAGTTGCAAGAAAAGTCCAGAAGGACTAATTTTCAGAGAGGGGAGCCCTTTGTGAGTGACCGTTAAGCAGTGGCAGTTTGTGGAGGCAAAGGCGGAGAAGAAAGCCTGCCAAAGACTGAGATAGATGAGCTGTTGGCACTTTGGTGGCCAGGCAGGGACACTGGAGTCTAGAAGACTCCCAAATGCAGCAATAATATACTTAACTCAGAAATGCTTTCTGGCGTCCCATTCCCATTTTACTGAGAATAGGGTGAGGCTAAAAAGCAGAAACAGGCCGGGCGCGGTGGCTCACGCCTGTAATCCCAGCATTTTGGGAGGCAGAGGCGGGCGGATCACGAGGTCAAGAGATCAAGACCATCCTGGCTAACACGGTGAAACCCCATCTCTACTAAAAATACAAAAAAAAAAAAAAAAAAAAAAAAAATTAGCCAGGCGTGGTGGCGGGCGCCTGTAGTCCCAGCTACTGGGGAGGCTGAGGCAGGAGAACGGCGTGAACCCGGGAGCCGGAGCTTGCAGTGAGCCCGCACCGCGCCACTGCACACTCCAGCCTGGGTGACAGAGCGAGACTCCGTCTCAAAAAAAAAAAAAAAAAAAAAAGGAAAAAAGCAGAAACAACTTTCTAGTCTTACGTATTCTTGTGGTGCCTGGGAACAGAGTTCTGCTCCTACTGATTCAAAAGGTAAAACGCAGGTCCAAGACACACTAGGCTCCAGGATTGAACATTGATAAGATCAAAGACATTAGGCTTTGGAGGCCGGGCGCAGTGGCTCATGCCTGTAATCCCAGCACTTAGGGAGGCGAGGCGGGCGGATAACAAGGTCAGGAGTTCGAGACCAGCCTCACCAATATGGTGAAACCCCATCTCTACTAAAAAATACAAAAATTACCCGGGCATGGTAGCGGGCACCTGTAATCCCAGATATTCAGGAGGCTGAGGCAGGAGAATCACTTGAACCTGGGAGGCGGAGGTTGTAGTGAGCCGAGATCGCACCATCGCACTCTAGTCTGGGCAATAAGAGCGAAACTCCGTCTAAAAAAAAAAAAAAGAAAGAAAAAAGAAATTAGGCTTTGGTAGAATCAGCTGTGGCATCAGGAGGAAAGCCTAACCAGTGATGAATTCAATCTTAAAAATTGCTGCTTAGTTCAAGATTAACCCGATACTCAGTGAAATATGAATAATCACTTTCCTACTTTGGCAGCCACACATAGAAGAGATTGCGCATGCCCGGAAATAAAAACAAAGCAAAAGAGTTGCGTAAGTCAGTCTTCACTGTTATCCATGTACTACGTTCAGTATACCATAAAACATGACCACAGATGTAAATACTGTGTTCAGTATGACATAAAACATGACCACAGATGTAAAAAAAAGGGACCCATAAGAAAATCAACAAATCAAAAGCAACAAATTCACAGATAACCCAGACATTGGAACTGACAGAAAAGGATTTTAAAAACTAGTATTATAAATATATTTGGGAAATTATAAGATAAAATGAATGGATGAATATATGAAGAATCTTGTAAAATAAATAAAAATTAGAAAAGAAACTCATAGAATGAATTCTGAAAAACAAAAACATACCTGGTGGCCTTAACAGTAGAACAAGCAATGCAGAAGGAAGAGTCAATTGTCTTGAAGAAAGGTCAATAGAAATCATCCAAAATAAGACATAGAGAAAAAATACTGAAATATTTATAAATCTATACAGTGTCTACAACTTTTTAAAATAATAATTAGACTCGGGCAGAAATAATCTTTTAAGAAATAATGACCAAATTTTCCCTAAATTGAAAAATATTAATCTATAAGTTCAGAAATCCTAGTGAATTTCAAACAGAATAAATACAAAGAAACTATGCCATGGCATGTCATAGTCAAACTGCTGACAGAGCAAAGCATAGAGAAACTTTTCAGCATAGATAAGCTGCTGAAAACCAATGATAAGATAATTTTAAAAACAACCATGAAAAAAGACAGCACATCCAGGGGAACAATGGGAAGAATGGCAATTGACTTCTTACTAGAAATGGAAGCCAGAGAAGAGGGAATAAAACACATCTTTAAATTACTAAGAACAAACAAGCAAGAAGAAACAACCCATCAACTTAGAATTCTACTTGCAGCAAAAATATCCTTTACAAATAAAAGTGAAATAAAGACATTTTGAAAATGAAAATGAAAGTGCAGGGAATTTGTTGCCTGTAGACCTACTAAGAAATGCTAAAAGAAGTCTGTCAAGATGAAGAGAAATAATACAAGTTATAAACTCAGATATAAAAGAAGGATGGAAAAGAATTGAAAATAGTAAATAAGTGGAATACTTTATAATAATAAATAAATTAATCAGTTCACAAAGAAGAAATAAAAATTATAAATGGCAATGCACTTAATAATAACATTTCAAAATTAATGATAAATAGATTAATAAAAACAAAGTAAAAATTAAATCACAAACATGGTTGGAGATTTTTAACACACTTTCTTTCAGCAACTGATAAACTGAACAGAAATCAATAAAGATATAGAAGATTTGAACAATACTACCAATCAATATGGCCTGATATACACCTATTGAACATTACATCTAATAACTTCTGAATATATGTGTTCTTTTCCTGCACACATAGGACATTTACCATGGTAGACCACATGCTGAGCCATAAAAAAGTCTAAATAAACATGAAAGAACTGAAATCACTGAGTATGTTCTCTGATCACAATGGAATTGAATTTAGAATCAATAACAATAAGAAATCTAAAAAATACTCAAATATTTAAAAATTAAGCAACACAATTCTAAATATTTCATGGATTAGTAAAGAATTCAAAAAAGAAATTAGAAAACATTTTTAAATAAATGATAATAAAGATACAACGTATCGAATTATGTGAGACACTTTAAACGTGGTGAAAACAGGAACTTCAGAGCTTCAAATATTAATGTTATAGAACAACAAGAAGGAATGTTTAATATCAGTGAGCTAACTTCCACCTTAAAAAGCAAGAACAAAAAGAGCAAAGTAAACCCAACATAAATAGGAGATAATAATAAAGATAAAGAAGAAATCAATAAAACAAAACAAACAATAGAGAAAATAACGCCAAATGTTTAGTTTTGAGATTAATAAAATTGATAGCTTCCTAGCAAGAATGATCAAGAAAAAAGAGAAAAATAACAAATTACCAGTATTAACAATAAAAAAGAATATTATAACAAATCTTATTATTAAAGAGATAAGTTGAAAATTTAATGAAAAAATTTATACCAATATATTTGAAAATGTACTTTTAAATGAAAAAAATCCTTAATGAACTCAATTTACTGAAAGTGAGACAGAAAGAACATTTGAATAGCTCTATGATGATAATTTGTTATTAAAATAACAAATAAATAGTAAATAATAAGTACAATAAAGCAAAAATAAAATAATAAATAACAAATATTAACATATTTTGTTTTAAAAATCCCTCTTATAAAGACAAAGCATCACCCAGAAGGCTTTGTGAATTCTATCAAACATTTAAAGAAGAAAAAATATCAATCTTACTTAAAATCTTACTTTAGGAAGATAGCATATTCCTAATACTGAAACTTTATAAACAAATTACAAGAAAAGAAAATTCAGAATAATATTACTCATAAAGTTAGACACAAACATCTTTAAATAGTTTAATAAAATCTAGCAATATATAAAAGATTATTAAATCATGATTATGTGGGGTTTATCACAGAAAAGAAAGATTGTCTTAATATTTGAAAATTAAAGTGTAATTAATCTCAATAATTTGCCGATACTTTATTCCTATATTCTCCTATATTTTGTTCCTATATAATTCCTATATTCAAAATATAGGAGAATGTAGAGAATTATAGAAAAATAATCATGTGTTTATTTGAATGGATAAACAGAAGTTTCGAAACATTCAACATCTGTTTATGACAAAAAGCTACTAGTAAATTAGAAATAAAAAGGAATTTCCTCAATTTGACAAAAAGCAACAACAAAAAGTTATAGCTAACATAACACTTAATGGTGATATTGTACACTTTTCTTATGTTGGGAACAAGGCAAGAATGTCTGTGCTCTGCATATCTATTCAGCACTGTACTGGATGTCCCAGTCTCATTAGTTAAGAATTAATTAGGCAAAGGCAAGAAGTTAAAGTCATAAACTGGAAAATAATAAGTCTACTACATTTATTTGTAGGTGACATAATCATTGTCTATACAACAAAGAACATTTAATTCCATTCTATGCTTTTTACTCAGTCCCTAGCCTGCATAAATAGTATACAATTTGCAAAGTTGGTAAGAGAACCAAATTAGCAATATGGTAATCCAATTCAGGACAAAGGACAATCATGGAAATTTGATTAGAAATGCATTAATGTGTTAACAAGCTACCTTTGCTCTATCTAAAACTTTAAATAAATATGAATAGCAGCAAAACCAACACAAACTATGATTTATAATGGATTATAATGGATAAAATGTCATATAGAAACATTGAAATCAATTTGGAAATCTAGAAAAATTGAATTTTTAAGAAATAATGGGTACAAAAGAAAACTCACAAATGCAAACCCTTTGTATAGGTGAAATTCATATTTGATTCACCAATTAGTTTTTTTTCACCATGAATATTTTTTTCATATGAAAAAGACTTGATGCTAATGAATATACTTTTAATACAACAAAGATAAAATGAGAAAAACATTATTTAACTTTGGTTTTATAATAATTAACTTGGCTTAATGGAATTCATTTGGTATACTTTAATTTGGAGATTTAAGTAAACACTGACTCCAGGAGGCTAGAGAAATTAGGATTTTTAGATTACAGATGCAATATGGAGATCTCATTTAACAATGACGGTAACTTTGAGATAAAATACGGGGGAAGTAGCCCAGAGGCAGCTAAAATTCTCCATATACAGTGAGGTCTTATCTACAAAGCTCCCCACATCAATATAGTTTACTTACAAGTACCAAATTGAGTTTGTCTGCTCTTCTGAAAGTGGTGAGTTAAGATAAGGGTCCCAACAGATGAACAGCTGTTACTGCAGGTGAGTGTTCTACATCAGGCACGGGATTTTCAACTCATAATGGAGTGACGTTGAACCACATACAATATTATGAGGATTTTCCCTTGAAACCGTTAAAGAGCTGTAACATGATGCTTGTGAATGTCACCACTAGGTGGCACTGAAAGTTAAACAGTTATTGAACAGGCTGTGGAATATTGAAGTTTTCCTATGGAAAAAAATTTGATTTTTTATGTTGTGTCTATATATTCTTCATTTGACCTTAAAACATAGCAGTAGCAGACATCTCTTGTACCGTGCCTTACACCTCAGCCCATTTGTTTTCCTCCAGCCCTTGGTGAGGCTCTTGGTTACAGAACCTCAGCTCAGCTCACTGCATATCCGCTGCTTTTTTGCACTAAGTCTTTATTCACAATGTGGTTGGGACACCTGTGAGAAGCTACTTAGCATTTATGAATGCTCAAAACTGAAAGTGTGGGGGAATTAAGACCCAATGGGCAATCCGTGACTATTAGGGGATGGGAGTCAGGGCTTTGTGTTCCTTTCATACCCCTCAGGTGGACAATTCTGAGGCAAGATCTTCATTGCTCATCAGAGGATTCCGGCGAGGTCAGATCCAGTTTTCCATAGTGGCGACCAGCTTGATAGTACCACTCTATTGACTTTCTCTCCTTTCTTGTTTTATTCTTTCCAATATATTAGCCTTAGTATCTGATAACATGCCCCAAAGTAAAGTCATTTATAAAGCTCCCCACGTTAATATAGTTTACTTTGGCTTTCTCTCCTTTCCTGTTTTAGAGTCGGCTTCCTGTAAGAAACCCAAGCATAACCTACTACCCTGATAAAGAACATTTTCAGCACCCAGAACTCTCCTTCATGGCTCCTTTTCCCATTCAACGCTCTTTAAAAGAGAACTAATAATCTATTAGTTCTATTTTTGAACTTCACATTACTGGAATCTTGGCCAGTACTATTTTTTGTTTGCCTTCGTAATTTCTTTTTTCTTTTCTTTTTTTTTGAGACAGGGTCTCGCTCTGTGCAGTGGTGTGATCTTGGCTCACTTTAGCCTCAACCTCCCGAGTAGCTGGGATTACAGGTGGGTGCCACCATACCTGGCTAATTTTTGTATTTTTTGTAGAGATGGGGTTTCACCATGTTGCCCCAGCTTGCTTTCTTTCATTCAACATTATTTCTGTGAGATTTATCCATGTTGTGGCATGTAGCAGTAGTTCACTCTTTTTCATTGTGGTGTAGTATTCCATTGTGTAAAATGTACCACAATTTATCCATTGTACTTGGGGTAGTCATTTGAATTGTTTCCAGATTTTAGCTATTTTTAATAATGTTGCTTTAAATACTTTTGTACACGTCTTTTTGTGAACATAAACACTCATGTCTTTTGTGAATAAACATAGAAATAAAATTGCTTGGTGATAGGTTAGAAATATTGCTTACATTTAATAGATACTGGAGAACAGTTTTTCATAATGGTTACACCAGTTTTGCCTTCCATCTTTTCTGCATCCTTGCCAATATTTGGTGTTACTAACTCTTAACTTTTGCCACTCTGATGGGAGTGTAGTGTATCTAATTGTTGTTTTAGTTCATATTTCCCTGTTGATGAATGGAACTTAACATGTTTTCATATGCAGTTAAACCATTTGGATATATTCTTTTGTGAAATGCCTGTTTAGGTTTTTGGGTTTTTTTTTTTGGGGTGGGGGGTGTCTATGTTTTCTTTATTTGAAGTTCTTTATATTTTGTGGGTACTAGTTCTTTGTTGGATACATGTATTGTGATTATATATCTATGTACATATTTTTTCTTTACCAATCTGTAGTTTTCCTTTTACTCTCTTAAAGCTATATTTTGATAAAAAGATTTTCTTCTTAATGGGATATAGTTTATTGACATGTTTCTTTATGGTAATTGTTATTTACTTGAGTAAATTATTTACTCTTTCTCCAAGGTTATGAAATATGCTCCTTTATCAGGGACTCTCAACTTAAGTGGGCATCAGAACCACCTGGAAGGCTTTTTAAAAATCATTGGGTCTGGAGTTTCTAATTCTTTGGTTCAGGGATAAATTCAGGAATTCGCATTTCTTACTATTCTCCAGATGATGGAATGGAGGATTGGTATTAGATCTTCTTTAATGTTTGGTAAAGAATTCAGCTGCAAAGCCATACGGTCCTGGGTTTTTTTTTCTTTTTTTTTTTTTTGAAGAGACATTTAATACTTGTTCAATATCTTACTTGTTATTGGTCTATTCAGATTTCTGATTTCTTCATAATTCAAGTCTTATTGGGTTACGAGTTTCTAGGAATTTATTTCTTCTAGGTCATCTAATTTCTTGTCGTATAGTTGTTCATAGCAGTCTCTTGTGATCCTTTGTATTTCTGTCTTATCAGTTGTAATTGCTCCTCTTTTTTTTGGTGAAACTGAGTCTCACTCTTTTGCCCAGGCTGGAGTGCAATAGTGTGATCTCGGCTCACTGCAAACTCTGCCTCCCAGGTTCAAGCGATTATCCTGCCTCAGCCTCCCCAAGTAGCTGGGATTACATACACCCGCCTCCTCACCCAGCTAATTTTTGTATTTTCAGTAGAGTTGGGGTTTCACCATGTTGGACAGGCTGGTTCTTGAACTCCTGACCTCAGGTGATCCACCCGCCTTGGCCTCCCAAAGTGCTTGGATTACAGGCGTGAGCCACCGTGCTCGGCCTCTTTTTTTTTTTTAGATGGAGTCTTGCTCTGTTGCCCAGGCTGAAGCATAGTGACACAATCTCAGCTCACTATAACTTCTGCCTCCCAGGTTCAAGTGATTCTCCTGCCTCAGCCTTCTGAGTAGCTGGAATTACAGACACCTGCCACCACGCCCAGCTAATTTTTGTATTATTAGTAGAGACCAGGTTTTTCCATGTTGGCCAGGCTGGTCTCAAACTCTTGCCCTCAAGTGATCCGCCTGCCTCTGCCTCCCAAAGTGCTGGGATTCCAGGTGTGAACCACCACGCCCGGCCTCCTGTTTCATTTTTTATTTTATTTATTTGAGTCTTCTTTCTTGCTCTTTTTTTTTTGTTTTTGTTTTTTTTTTTTTGCTTAGTATAGCTAAGGGTTTGTCAATTTTGTTTAGCTTTCCAAAAAACCAACTCTTAGTTTAGTTGACCTTATCTATTGTTTTTCTAGGTGTTACTCTGATTTTTGTTATTCTTTCCTTCTGCTAACTTTGGGCTTATTTTGTTCTTCTTTTTCCAGTTTCCTTGAGGTGTAGTGTTAGGTTGTTTATTTGAGATCTTTCTTCTTTTTGGATGCAGGAATTTATTCCTTTAAACCTCCTTCTTAGAACTCTGTTTTGCTGCATCCTACACATTTTGGTATGTTATGTTGCCATTTTCATTTGCCTCAAGATATTTTTATTTTTATTTTTATTTTATTTTTTTTTTTTGAGACGGAGTCTCGCTCTTTCACCCAGGCTGGACTGCAGTGGCGCTGTCTTGGCTCACTGCAAGCTCCGCCTCCCGGGTTCACGCCATTCTCCTGCCTCAGCCTCCCAAGTAGCTGGGACTACAGGCGCCCGCTACCACGCCCAGCTAATTTTTTTTTGTATTTTTAGTAGAGACGGGGTTTCACCGTGTTAGCCAGGATGGTCTCGATCTCCTGACCTCGTGATCCGCCCGCCTCGGCCTCCCAAAGTGCTGGGATTACAGGCGTGAGCCACCGCGCCCGGCCGCCTCAAGATATTTTTAAATTTTCTTCTTAATTTCTTCTTTGACCCAATAGTTATTCCAGAGCATAAGGTTTAATTTCCACATATTTGTTAATTTTCCATAATTTATTCTGTTATTGCTTTCTAGTTTTATTCTGTTGTAGCCAAAAAGATAATTGTTATAATTTCAATCTTCTTAAATTTATTAAGACTTCTTTTGTGGCCTGGCATATAATCTATTCTGGAGAATTTTCTATATGTATTTGAAAATAATATGTATTTCGTTGCTGTTGGGGGGAATGTTCTATATATTTCTGCTAGGTCTATTTGGTCTAAAGTGTAGTTCAAGTCCAGTGTTTCCTTATTATTGTTTTATGTCTGGATGGTATGGCTATTGTTGAAAGTGGGTTATTGAAATCTTCCACTACTATTGTGTTGCAGTCTGTGTCTCCTTTTAAATCTATTAATGTTTGCTTTACACATTTAGTTGCTCCAATGTTGGGTGCATATATATTTACAATTGTTATATCCTTAAGGTGAATCAATCCCTTTATCACTCTATAATGACCTTCTTTGTCTCTCTTCATAGTTTTTTTGTTACCTAAGGTCTATTTTGGCCAAAATAAGTATAGCTACTTATGCTGTCCTGTGATTTCCATTTGCATGGAATATCTTTTTTCATCCCTTTACTTTCAGTCTATAAGTGTCCTTTAAGGTGAAGCAAATCCCTTCTAGGAAACATATTGTTGGGTAGTTTTTTTTTTTTTTAATCCACTAAGCCAGTCTATATGTTTTAAATGGGAAATTGGATCTACTTACATTCAAAGTTATTATTGGTAGGTTAAGACTTATTGCTGCCATTTTGTTAATGGTTTTCTGGTTGGTTGTAATGTCTAGCAATTTGAGATTTGATGCTAAACATTATGAATTTTGTGTTGTTAAGCTCAAGATTTTGTTTTCTTATTTTAAAGTGTTGGACTTTGTTATGGCATGCTGTTAAATTATTTAAGGATCAGATTGAGCTTTACAAGGCTTGTTTTGAAGCTTTATTAGGGTAGGTGTAAAATAGTCTATTTTGAGGCTATGTCATCATATTACAAGTCATTATGATCTTGGAGTTATTATTGAATGCCCTGGCTATTCCACTAAGACTCCCCATTCTAATTATTCAGAATTCAAAAATTTTCCTACTCTGTGTGAGTTCAGGGGATTTTGATTTTACAGCTCATGAAACCTTAGTCATTCTTTGCCATGCCTTGTGAAATTTTGTAGTATGTGTGGACAGCTTTGTATTTGTCAACAGACTCAAGGGAAGTCCTATGCAGTCTTTGTGTACCTAAGTGCCCCTTTTCTAGTACATTGTTTTACAAATGACAGCCACCACAGCCTCCCCAAACTCCCTCTCTATCTCCTTAACTCAGCATGCATGTCATGCTCTCTTTGAGACTCTTTGTCCTCCAACATAGTAGTCTGGAAAGTGCATCTGTGCATTGAACTACAGCTGTCACATGGCTGATTTTGTTTGTTTCTATTCGCTAATGGATCATGGTTAATATCTGAAACCAGTTGTTTCATATTTTTTGCCATTTCCTAGTTGTTTATAGTGGGAAGTTAAGTCCAGGTCTAATTAGTTCATCATGGCTGTAAGCAGAATTCTGCATAAACTTTATAGGAGTAATTGGTGGCCAAAAAATCCTTTAGTTTTAAAAGCAACTATTTTTATCTTTTCTGTAGCTTTTAAATTCTCCTTTTTCTTAGCCATGTGATACTAAACTCTTGTGGTTTGAGTCTTTAAAGAGATATATATTTTGTCCTCTCAATTAAGGGGAAATATGACATTGGGCTTTATGATGGCTTCAGTGATTGTTGTGCTCATGCATCCAAAGAAACGTGAATTTCTCATCCCTATCCAATGATGGGTATTTATATACAGGTACCTGCTGCTTCATTGTGGATGAAAACTGGAATTCATATGTGAAAAGGAAAGCGAATGAAGAAGGTAGAAAGTGAGAGGGAGAGGGAGAGAGATGGTTTAGTGGAAGAATTCGGAATTTGTGTGACCAAACATATTGAACTTTGGTTCTTGACCTTTCATATGGGAATTTGTCAGTAGAGTGGAGGCAAAGAAAAGAAAGAGAAATCTGCTGTACTAGCTAAGACATATATTCCATTAAGAATAGAGTTTTGGTCCTTGTAAATTCATACATCTTTATATTCTCATATATTTTCATTTTGTTTTTCCTTTCTAGTTTTTCTGTAACTCTCATCAAATATCCTCAAATTTTATCTTATTTTATTTCAATAGTTTTTGGGTAATAGGTGGTTTTTGGTTACATGAATAAATTCTTTAATGGTGATTTCTGAGATTTTGGTGCACTTGTCACCTGAACAGTGTACACTGTACTCATTATGTAGTCTTTTATCTCTCAGCCTGTTCCCACCCTTCCCCTCAAGTTCCCAAAGTCCATCATATCATTCTTATGCCTTTGCATCCTCATAGCTTAGCTCCCACTTATAAGTGAGAACACACAATGTTTGGTTTTTCATTCCTGAGTTACTTCACTTAGAATAATGGTCTCCAACTCCATCAAGGTTCGTGCAAAGGCCATTATATCATTTCATTTTATGGCTGAGTAGTACTCCATGGTGCATATATACCACATTTTCTTTATCTACTTGTTGGTTGATGGGTATTTAGGTTGATTCCATGTTTTTTCAATTGAGAATTGTGCTGCTATAAACCTGTTCATGTACGTGTCTTTTTTCTATAATGACTTCTTTTCCTTTGGGCAGATACCCAGTAGTGGGATTGCTGGATTGAATGGTGTTTCTACTTTTAGTTCTTTAAGAAATCTCCATACTGTTTTCCAATAGTGGTTGTACTAATTTACATTTCCACCAGCAGTGTAAAAGTGTACCGTTTTCAACACATCCATGCTGACATCTAATTTTTTTTTATTTTAAAATTATGGCCATTCTTGCAGGAGTAAGGTGGTATCTTATTATGGTTTTAATTTGCATTTCCCTGATCATTGGTGATGTTGAGTATTTTTTCATATGTTTATTGGCTGTTTTTATATCTTCTTCTGATAATTGTCTATTCATGTCCATTGCCCACTTTTTGATGGGATTATTTGTTTTCTTTCTTGCTGATTTGTTTGCATTCCTTGTAGATTCTGGGTATTAGTCCTTTGTCAGCTGCATAATCTATGAATATTTTCTCCCACTTTGTGGGTTGTCTGTTTACTCTGCTGATTATTTCTTTTGTTGTGCAGAAGCTTTTTGGCTTAATTATATCCCTTCTATTTATTATTGTTTTTGTTGCATTTGATTTTAGCTTCTTAGTCATGAATTCTTTGCTTAAGCCGATGTCTGATTTTATCTTTTAGAGTTTTTCTGATTTTATCTTATAGAGTTTTTATGTTTTCAGGTCTTCTATTTAAGTCTTTGATCCGTCTTGAGTTGATTTTTGTATAAGGTGAGAGATGAGGATCCAATTTTATTCTTCTACATGTGGCTTGCCAGTTATCTTAGCACCATTTCTTCAATAGGATGTCCTTTCCCTACTTTGTGATTTTGTATGCTTTGTCAAAGATCAGTTGGTAGTAAGTATTTGGCTTTATTTCTGGGTTCTCTATTCTGCGCCATTGGTCTACATGCCTATTTTTATACTGATACCATGCTTTTTTGGTAACTATAGTTATAGTATTGTAGTGTAATTTGAAGTCAGGTAATGTTATGGCCCCAAATTTGTTCTTTTTGCTTAGTATTGCTTTGGCTATGCAGGCTTATTTTTAGTTCCATATGAATTTTAGGATTTTTTTTTCTAGTTCTGTGAAGAGGGGTGATGGTACTTTGATGGGAATTACATTGAATCTGTAGATTGCTTTTGGCAGTTTGGTCATTTTCACAATATTGATTCTACCCATTCATGAGCCTGGGATGTGTTACCATTTGTCTGTGTCATTTGTGATTTCTTTCAGCAGCATTTTGTAGTCTTCCTTGCAGAGATCTTTCACCTCCTTGGCTAAACATATTTCTAAGTATTTTATTTTATTTTTTGTAGCTGTCGTAAAAGGGATTGAATTTTTTAGTTGATTCTCAGCTTGGTCATTGTTGGTATATAACAGTGCTACTGATTTGTGTACATTGATTTTGTATTCTGAGACAATAGTGTATTCATTTATCAGATCTAGAAGTTTTTTGATGAGTCTTTAGTATTTTCTAGGTCTATGATCATATAATTGGCAAATAGTGACAGCTTGACTTTCTCTTTCTGTTTTGGATGCCCTTTATTTCTTTCTCTCATGTGATTGCTCTGGCTAGGACTTTGAGTGCTATGTAGAATAGAAGTGGTGAAAGTGGGCATCCTTGTCTTGTTCCAGTTCTCAAGGGGAATGCTTTCAACTTTTCCCCATTCAGTATGATGTTGGCTGTGGGCTTGTCATAGATGGCTTTTATTACTTTATGTCCCTTACATGCCAGTTTTGTCAAAGGTTTTTAATCATAAAGGCATACTGGATTTTGTCAAATGCCTTTTCTGCGTCTGTTGAGGTGATCATATGATTTTTGTTTTTAATTTTGTTTATGTGATATATCACATTTATCCTCAAATTTTTGATGAGCTGATTTTGGCTGTGCCTCTGAGTGGCTAGCAATATGTTACTTATGGAAAGTCATTTTGATATCCTTTTGATGGCAGTGGAGGGCTGCCTGGAGTGGCCACTGCCATCATGCCAGCTGCAGTGGGAAGGCATGATTGGTGGCAGCAAGAGGGGCTGCAGGAGCAGCAATGGTGGTGGTGGGTTCTCTGTGCCTGTATCCCCGTGATAGCCAACTGTGCCACCCCCATCCTTGTGCAGCCAGGTGGGACCTGCTCCCAGGCCCGGAGCCTCTGCCGCTCTGGATCCTGGCTCCGCCTCACTGTTCTCGCCCACCACTGCTGCGGGGAGGGCATGGGGAGGAGGCAGACAGTCCCTGGGGCCCGCCCCTAGGATCCTCCCATGGAGCCCTCTGCCCTGGGAGCCGCTGCCATGGGACTGGGCTGGGTTACCCACCAGCGGGGGAGCAACTTGATTGGCTACAGAGGAGCAGGCAGAGAGGAGCCCCGAGGTGGAGCTGGATCTGGAGTGATGTAGCACTCCACAGAGCCAGCAGAAGCCAGGAGCAGGCAACAGCCCTGCCCTCCTGGGCCTGGCTGCAGCTTCCCAAACTGCAGCTGTGGACCCAGGCATCTCTGCACTCTTGGAGGCCTGGGAAGGTCCCCCAGCCCTTGCAGGCTCAGAAGTGCCTGCTCCTCCTGCCTGCGTTTTCCCTGCTGTCAGTGCCTGCTCTGATCTAAGAGCAGTGTGGCGCTGAGCCGAGGCACTGTCACAGCCTGGCCAATGGTGTACATGCTCAGGCAGCCCTGACACACCAGCCGCCTGCTGCCTCATCCTCCTCTGGACTTTGGGCTCTGACAAGCATGGGAGGGAGGCCGAGGGAGAGCTGAGGACAGACTGGTGCTGGCCTTCAGGTGCCTCTTGGCATAAACAGCCTGGGTGCCATGAATGGCAGTAGGAGGCAGAAGGGGGTGCGTCCCCATTGAAGCCCCACCTTCAAGCCACGGAAGGCCTGAAGCTTGGGGGATGGTCTGCCAGTTCTACAGACCACAGGGGGAACCCATGGTGCTTTATCCTGGGCCCGCTGATGGCCACCCGTGGACCAATCAGCATGCACTTCCTTCCCTTTGAGGCCCGTAAAAACCCTGGACTCAGCCAGACTCCAGGAGAGGATGTAGAGATGATAGGGAGATGGCAGGACAGGACGATGAGCTGCAGAAAGGATCTGCCCACCCCAGGGTCTCCTCTCTGCTGAGAGCTGAGGAGATGATGAGATGACCAGCTGCAGAGGGAAACTACCTTCTCTGCTGAGAGGTGGACACTTGTGGGGATGACCTACCCAGCAGAGAAGAGCTACCCTCTCTGCTGGGAGGTGAAAACACCATTGGCACACACTGGCTATGGAGAGGAGCTGCCTTCCTTTGAGCTGTTCTATTGCTCAATAAAGCTCATCTTCATCTTGTTCATCCTCCACTTGTCTGCATACCTCATTCTTCCTGGTTGCAGGACAAAAACTCAGGAGCCACCAGATGGCAAGGCTAAAAGAGCTGTAACACAAATGGGGCTGAGACATGCCCCTTACTTGAAACATTGTGGGTGAGGAGAAGAAGAGAAGAGCTGTGGCTCTTCGGGAGCCCAGACCTAAGAGCCCCCCATGCCAGGGCTGTGGCTTCCTTTTTGGGGTCCTGCAGTTCCTGGTGTCTCAAACCTTCTGGGTGCCACTGCATTCCCTGGTGCTAGCCAGGGAAGCTTCTTGCAGTGCACCTGATCCAGCCACAGCCTTGCAGAGAGCCAGCATCCATGCCAGTACCTGGAACTGCCCACCCCGTGGCAGCAGCTGGTGTGTCTGACTGTGTACAGTGGCTGGATCCCACACTCTCTCACACACCTCTTGTCACTGTGCACCTGGCTCACCCTTGGCAGGTGTGGGATCCAGACTGGTAGTGTGAACCAAGTGCAGCCTGCCAGACCAAGTGGGTGGAATGAACCCAGCAGTCTCTGAGCAAAAGTTGGATAAAGGTGCCACTGGCCGCAGAAGATTCCAGCCAGAAAATTGACACCCCAAAGATCCCGTAACACTTTCACCCCTTAAATGGATAAGGATAATCTAGATTTCTGGTTGGGAACATCCCCTTTATCATTTTCTCAAAAAGTATTTCTTAGTTCTTGTGTATAAACTAAGTATTCTAGTCATTTATGTTATTGATAGAAGTCTAAAATATTTTATATAGAATATTTGGAAGCCAATCCCAAATGACAGAAGCCCACTGGGTCTAGGCTGGTTTGTGGATTCTTGTGAATCTCTTAAGAGCATGAGGTGGTAGAAGGCAGATTGAAGTTTCATGGAAGGAGTCAACTCAAGCACAAAGACCATAGCAGGACTCATAATCTCCATCACTTAGAAATATACAGGTAGATTCTTTCAGTGTCTAGAACAAGGAGATACCATAAATGTACATGGACAAGAAAGAGACGAATTCTCCCTTTTGTGTGATGTCCCTCTGTGGATCTTCATAGGCCTACAAATCATTGCTCTGCCAAAGTATATTCTAGTAGGTACATAAAGACTTTATATATACCTAGTAGGTACATAAAAACTTTCAAAGGGGGTATAGGGATGGACAGTATTAAGGGGATAAATTTCCAAATTTTATACATACTCTTCACCAAAATTCACATGCTTAGGTAATTTTCTTGATGCTTCTAACTTCCCATGACCCTTTTCATAATTGGTTTCCCATGAGGAAAAGCATATAGCTCATCCCTCAAAAGCTTATTTTGGTGTATTGTCAAGGAATGATGCTAAACTTCAGGGGTTCTAAACAAAAGAACAATTTGAAACATTGCTGATGTGGTTGAGAAAGTAAGTTCTTCTGTTGGCTAGATAAGAAATCCCTTTTCAAATTAATTGGAGTTACTTTTTTTAATTTAAAAAACTGAAATAAGATCTAAGTGAGTTTTCATCTGTGTAATTATTAAAAATAATTTTTGGTGATATATCATTATATGAATTTTGAGGTACAACTTAGCTGGAATTCAAGAAATTATGTAACATTGTATTTAAAATTCTTTTTTTTTTTTCCTACACACCACTATGTTCTGGGTTTTTATTTCAGCAATAGCATGTCATCAACAAAAACGTTTTTAAGCTTATCTTTTTTCCAAAAGAAAAAAAAATGCATATAAGTAATATAAAACATAGCCAGGTCTAAAAGCAGTGGAGGTGCCTAAGATGGAAAATTTAAGGAGGCATTTACTGTCACTTGCACAATCTTAGTATGAAATGTACCCTTGGTGCGCTGAACACTAAACTGACAATAAAAGCTAGTTAATTTAAGATACAGTGGCAAAATAGAATGTTGTGTTTCTTACTTTCATGGTTTCCTTACACAAGAATGAAAGTACTTTCAGTTTAAAAGGTTTTATTTGAATGTATTACCTCATTTAATCTTCAAAATAAGTCTTAAAATTAAGTGTTATTATTCATTTTATGAATCAGAAAACTTAGCTATTTTAGTAAACTGTGACTGAATACATTAGAAATATTCTTTGAGTGTGGAATAACATTTGTAGTTTATAAATATTAAAAATAAAACTTTTTCTTACAAAAGTGAGTTGATTTTATTTTATTTTTATTTTTATTTTTTTAAATTTTATTATTATACTTTAAGTTTTAGGGTACATGTGCACAACGTACAGGTTTGTTACATATGTATACATGTGCCATGTTGGTGTGCTGCACCCATTAACTTGTCATTTAGCATTAGGTATATCTCCTAATGCTATCCCTCCCCGCTCCTGCCACCCCACAACAGTCCCTGGTGTGTGATGTTCCCCTTCCTGTGTCCATGTTTCTCATTGTTCAATTCCCACCTGTGAGTGAGAACATGCGGTGTTTGTTTTTCTGTCCTTGCGATAGTTTGCTGAGAATGATGGTTTCCAGCTTCATCCATGTCCCTACAAAGGACATGAACTCATCATTTTTTATGGCTGCATAGTATTCCATGGTGTATATGTGCCACATTTTCTTGATCCAGTCTATCATTGATGGACATTTGGGTTGGTTCCAAGTCTTTGCTATTGTGAAAAGTGCAACAATAAACATACATGTGCATGTGTCTTTATAGCAGCATGATTTATAATCCTTTGGTTATATACCCAGTAATGGGATGGCTGGGTCAAATGGTATTTCTAGTTCCAGATCCCTGAGGAATCGCTACACTGACTTCCACAATGGTTGAACTAGTTTACAGTCCCATCAACAGTGTAAAAGTGTTCCTATTTCTCCACATCCTCTCCAGCACCTGTTGTTTCCTGACTTTTTAATGATCGCCATTCTAACTGGTATGAGATGGTATCTCATTGTGGTTTTGATTTGCATTTCTCTGATGGCCAGTGATGATGAACATTTTTTCATGTGTTTTTTGGCTGCATGAATGTCTTCTTTTGAGAAGTGTCTGCTCATGTCCTTTGCCCACCTTTTGACGGGGCTGTTTGTTTTTTTCTTGTAAATTTGTTTGAGTTCATTGTAGATTCTGGATATTAGCCCTTTGTCAGATGAGTAGGTTGCAAAAAATTTCTCCCATTCTGTAGGTTGTCTTTTCACTCTGATGGTAGTTTCTTTTGCTGTGCAGAAGCTCTTTAGTTTAATTAGATCCCAATTGTCAATTTTGGCTTTTGTTGCCATTGCTTTTGGTGTTTTAGACATGAAGTCCTTGCCCATGACTATGTCCTGAATGGTATTGCCTAGGTTTTCTTCTAGGGTTTTTATGGTTTTAGGTCTAACATTTAAGTCTTTAATCCATCTTGAATTAATTTTTGTATAAGGTGTAAGGAAGGGATCCAGTTTCAGCTTTCTACATATGGCTAGCCAGTTTTCCCAGCACCATTTATTGAATAGGGAATCCTTTCCCCATTGCTTGTTTTTGTCAGGCTTGTCAAAGATCAGATAGTTGTAGATATGTGGCATTATTTCTGAGGGCTCTGTTCTGTTCCATTGGTCTATATCTCTGTTTTGGTACCAGTACCACGCTGTTTTGGTTACTGTAGCCTTGTAGCATAGTTTGAAGTCAGGTAGTGTGATGCCTCCAGTGTTGTTCTTTTGGCTTAGGATTGACTTGGCAATGCAGGCTCTTTTTTGGTTCCATATGAACTTTAAAGTAGTTTTTTTCCAATTCTGTGAAGAAAGTCATTGGTAGCTTAATGGGGATGGCATTGAATCTATAAATTACCTTGTGCAGTATGGCCATTTTCACGATATTGATTCTTCCTACCCATGAGCATGGAATGTTCTTCCATTTGTTTGTATCCTCTTTTATTTCCTTGAGCAGTGGTTTGTAGTTCTCCTTAAAGAGGTCCTTCACATCCACTTGTAAGTTCGATTCCTAGGTATTTTATTCTCTTTGAAGCAATTGTGAATGGGAGTTCACTCATGATTTGGGTCTTTGTTTGTCTGTTATTGGTGTATAAGAATGCTTGAGATTTTTGCACATTGATTTTGTATCCTGAGACTGCTGAAGTTGCTTATCAGCTTAAGGAGATTTTGGGCTGAGAAGATGGGGTTTTCTGGATATACAATCATGTCTTCTGCAAACAGTGACAATTTTACTTCCTCTTTTCCTAATTGAATGCCCTTTATTTCCTTCTCCTGCCTAATTGCCCTGGCTAGCACTTCCAACACTATGTTGAATAGGAGTGGTGATAGAGGGCATCCCTGTCTTGTGTCAGTTTTCAAAGGGAATGCTTCCAGTTTTTGCCCATTCAGTATGATATTGGCTATGGGTTTGTCATAGATAGCTCTTATTATTTTGAGATATGTCCCGTGAATACCTAATTTATTGAGAGTTTTTAGCATGAAGGGTTGTTGAATTTTGTCAAAGGCCTTTTCTGCATCTATTGAGATAATCATGTGGTTTTTGTCTTTGGTTCTGTTTATATGCTGGATTACATTTATTGATTTTCACATGTTGAACCAGCCTTGCATCCCAGGGATGAAGCCCACTTGATTACGGTGGATAAGCTTTTTGATATGCTGCTGGATTCGGTTTGCCAGTATTTTATTGAGGATTTTTGCATCGATATTCATTAAGGATATTGGTCTAAAATTCTCTTTTTTGCTTGTGTCTCTGCCCGACTTTGGTATCAGGATGATGCTGGCCTCATAAAATGAGTTAGGGAGGATTCCCTCTTTTCTATTGATTGGAATAGTTTCAGAAGGAATGGTACCAGCTCCTCCTTGTACCTCTGGTAGAATTCGGCTGTGAATCCATCTGGTCCTGGACTTTTTTTGGTTGGTAAGCTATTATTTATTGCCTAAATTTCAGTGCCTGTTATTGGTCTACTGAGAGATTCAACTTCTCCCTGGTTTAGTTTTGGGAGGGTGTATATGTCGAGGAATTTATCCATTTCTTCTAGATTTTCTAGTTTATTTGCATAGAGGTGTTTGTAGTATTCTCTGATGGTAGTTTGTATTTCTGTGGGATCGGTGGTGATATACCCTGTGTCATTTTTTATTGGGTCTATTTGATTCTTCTCTCTTTTCTTCTTTATTAGTCTTGCTAGTGGTCTATCAATTTTGTTGATCTTTTCAAAAAACCAGCTCCTGGATTCATTGATTTTTTGAAGGGTTTTTTGTGTCTCTATCTCCTTCAGTTCTGCTCTGATCTTAGTTATTTCTTGCCTTCTGCCAGCTTTTGAATGTGTTTGCTCTTGCTTCTCTAGTTCTTTTAATTGTGATGTTAGGGTGTCAATTTTAGATCTTTCCTGCTTCCTCTTGTGGGCATTTAGTGCTATAAATTTCCCTCTACACACTGCTTTGAATGTATCCCAGAGATTCTGGTATGTTGTGTCTTTGTTCTCATTGGTTTCAAAGACCATCTTTATTTCTGACTTCATTTCATTATGTACCCAGTAGTCATTCAGGAGCAGGTTGTTCAGTTTCCATGCAGTTGAGCGGTTTTGAGTGAGTTTCTTAATCCTGAGTTCTAGTTTGATTGCACTGTGGTCTGAGAGACAGTTTTTTATAATTTCTGTTCTTTTACATTTGCTGAGGAGTGCTGTACTTCCAACTTTGTGGTCAGTTTTGGAATAGGTGCGATGTGGTGCTGAAAATAATGTATATTCTGTTGATTTGGGGTGGAGAGTTCTGTAGATGTCTATTAGTTCCGCTTGGTGCAGAGCTGAGTTCAATTCCTGGATATCCTTGTTAACTTTCTGTCTCGTTGATCTGTCTGTTGATGGTGGGGTGTTAAAGTCTCCCATTATTATTGTGTGGGAGTCTAAGTCTCTTTGTAGGTCACTAAGGACTTGCTTTATGAATCTGGGTGCTCCTGCATTGGGTGCTTATATATTTAGGATAGTTAGCTCTTCTTGTTGAATTGATCCCTTTACCATTATGTAATGGCCTTCTGTGTCTCTTTTGATCTTTGTTGGTTTAAAGTCTGCTTTATCAGAGACTAGGATTGCAACCGCTGCCTTTTTTTGTTTTCCATTTGCTTGGTAGATCTTCCTCCATCCCTTTATTTTGAGCCTATGTGTGTCTCTGCACGTGAGATGGGTTTCCCGAATACAGCACCCTGATGGGTCTTGACTCTTTATCCAATTTGCCCGTCTGTGTCTTTTAATTGGAGCATTTAGCCCATTTACATTTAATGTTAGTATTGTTATGTGTGAATTTGATCCTGTCATTATGATGTTAGCTGATTATTTTGCTCATTAGTTGATGCAGTTTCTTCCTAGCCTTGATGGTCTTTACAATTTGGCATGTTTTTGCAGTGGCTGGTACTGGTTGTTCCTTTCCATGTTTAGCACTTCCTTCAGGAGCTCTTTTAGGGCAGGCCTGGTGGTGACAAAATCTCTCAGCATTAGCTTGTCTGTAAAGTATTTTATTTCTCCTTCACTTACAAAGCTTAGTTTGGCTAGATATGAAATTATGGGTTGAAAATTCTTTTCTTTAAGAATGTTGAATATTGGCCCCCACTCTCTTCTGGCTTGTAGAGTTTCTGCTGAGAGATCAACTGTTAGTCTGATGGCCTTCCCTTTGTGGGTAACCCGAGCTTTCTCTGTGGCTGCCCTTAACATTTTTTCCTTCATTTCAACTTTGGTGAATCTGACAATTCTTGGAGTTGCTCTTCTCGAGGAGTATCTTTGTGGCATTCTCTGTATTTCCTGAATTTGAATACTGGCCTACCTTGCTAGATTGGGGAAGTTCTCCTGGATAATATCCTGTAGAGTGTTTTCCAACTTGGTTCCATTCTCCCTGTCACTTTCAGGTACACGAATCAGACGTAGATGTGGTCTTTTCACATAGTCCCATATTTCTTGGAGGTTTTGTTCATTTCTTTTTATTCTTTTTTCTCTAAACTTCTCTTCTCACTTCATTTCATTCATTTCGTCTTCCATTGTTGATACCCTGTCTTCCAGTTGATCGTATCAGCTACTGAAGCTTTTGGATTCATCACTTAGTTCTCGTGCCATGTTTTTCAGCTCCATCAGGTCCTTTAAGGACTTCTCTGCATTGTTTATTCTAGTTAGCCACTCATCCAATTTTTTTTCAAGGTTTTTAACTTCTTTGCCATTGGTTCAGACTTCCTCCTTTAGCTCGGAGTAGTTTGATCTTCTGAAGCCTTCTTCTCTCAACTCATCAAAGTCATTCTCCGTCCAGCTTTGTTCCATTGCTGATGAGGAGCTGCGTTCCTTTGGAGGAGGGGAGGCTCTCTGATTTTTAGAGTTTCCGGTTTTTCTGCTCTGTTTTTTCCCCATCTTTGTGGTTTTATCTACCTTTGACCTTTGATGATGGTGACGTACAGATTGGTTTTTGGTGTGGATGTCCTTTCTGTTTGTTAGTTTTCCTTCTAACAGTCAGGACCCTCAGTTGGAGGTCTGTTGGAGTTTGCTGGAGGTCCACTCCAGACCCTTTTTCCCTAGGTATCAGCAGCGGTTAGCTGCAGAACAGTGGATATTGTTGAACTGCAAATGCTGCTGCCTGATTGTTCCTCTGGAAGTTTTGTCTCAGAGGAGTATCTGGCCATGTGAATTGTCAGTCTGCCCCTACTGGGAGATGCCTCCCAGTTAGGCTACTCAGGGGTCAGGGACCCACTTGAGGAGGCAGTCTGCCCGTTCTGAGATCTCAAGCTGCGTGCTGGGAGAACCACTACTCTCTTCAAAGCTGTCAGAGAGGGACATTTAAGTCTGCAGAGGTTACTGCTGTCTTTTTGTTTGTCTGTGCCCTGCCCCAAGAGGTGGAGCCTACAGAGGCAGGCAGGCCTCCTTGAGCTGTGGTGGTCTCCTCCCAGTTTGAGCTTCCAGGCCGCTTTGTTTAGCTACTCAAGCCTCAGCAATGGTGGGTGCCCCTTCCCCAGCCTCGCTGCCACCTTGCAGTTTGATCTCAGACTGCTGTGCTAGCAATGAGCGAGGCTCTGTGGGCATAGGACCCTCGAAGCCATGTGCGGGATATAATCTCCTGGTGTGCCATTTGTTAAGCCCGTTGGAAAAGCACAGTATTAGGGTGGGAGTGACCCAATTTTCCAGGTGCCATCTGTCACCCCTTTCTTTGACTAGGAAAGGGAATTCCCTGACCCCTTGCGCTTCCCTGGTGAGGTGATGCCTCACCCTGCTTTGGCTCACACACAGTGCACTGTACCCACTGTCCTGCACCCACTCTCTGGCACTCCCCAATGAGATGAACCCGGTACCTCAGTTGGAAATGCAGAAATCACCTGTCTTATGCATCACTCATGCTGGGAGCTGTAGACTGGAGCTGTTCCTATTCAGCCATCTTGGCTCCACCTCCTGTCTTAAAATTCTTTCATTACTATATGTTAACTTATGTGAACATGATATCTCTCTGTTTTCATCCATAAAAATTAAAAAATTAGAAAAAAGTTGGTGTCAAACCCTGTCTTATTCTAGCAATAAGTAATATTCATCCATAAATATATGACTAATTGAAGATAATTTCAATTTCATTCATCTCATTAAGAGATGTATTTTCAATGCAATTCTATTTTATACACAATAATAACATTAAAATTTGTGATATATTTTGGCTGTTTTTATCAATCTTGAATTTATAATAATAATAATAACTTCATCTAGAGGAGAGCTTTTAACATATGGAGGTTAGAGTCACAGAAAATTAAGTTTTTTAAAATTTCAATTGGTATAAATTTTTTATTGGAGCAAAGTATGTGTGAGAGGGTGATTAATAAAAGATTTTCAAGCATAAAACATAATAAATTACCATAAAATTATGTAAAGAAAGTGAGGTGAAAATATGAGTTTAAGGTGTGATATGATTTGGCTGTGTCCCCACCCAAATCTCATCTTGAATTTTAACTCCCACAGTTCCTCATAGGAGGAACTTGTTGGGAGGTGATTGAATTATAGGGGTGGGTCTTTTCTGCATGGTTCTCAGGATAGTGAGTGAGTCTCACGAGATGTGATGGTTTTAAAAATGGGGGTTTCCCTGCATAAGCTCTCTCTCTCTTGCTCTCTCTGCGCCTGCTGCCATCCACATAAGATGTGACTTGCTCCTCCTTGCATTCTGCCATGATTTTGAGGCCTCCTCAGCCATGTGGAACTGTAAGTCCAATGAACCTCTTTGTTTTGTAAGTTTCCCAGTCTCGGGTATGTCTTTATGAGCAGCATGAAAACAAACTAATGCAGTAAATTGGTACCACTAGAGTGGGGCGTTGCTGAAAGTTTTTGGTGATACATCATTATATGAATTTTGAGGTAAGACTTAGCTGGAATACAAGAAATTATGTAACATTGTATTTAAAATTCTTTCATTGTTGTATGTTAACTTATGTGAGCATGTTATCTCTCTGCTTTCTTCCATAAAAATTAAAAAAATTAATTAATCCTGAAAGTGTGGGAATGACTTTGGAACTGGGTAACAGGCAGAGATTGGAACAGTTTGGAGGGCTCAGAAGAAGACAAGAAGATGTGGAAAAGTTTGGAACTTCCTAGAGACTTGTTGAATCATTTTGACAGAATTGCCAATAGTGCTATGAACAATAAGGTCCAGGCTGAGGTGGTCTCAGATGGTGAGAAGGAACTTGTTGGGAACTGGAGCAAAGGTGACTCTTGTTATGTTTTAGCAAAGAGACTGGTGGCATTTTGCCCCTGCTCTAGAGATCTGTGGAACTTTGAACTTGAGAGAGATGGCTTAGGTATTTGGTGTAAGAAATTTTTAAGCAGCAAAGCATTCAAGAGGTGACTTGAGTGCTGTTAAAGGCATTCAGTTTTAAAAGGGAAATAAAGCATAAAAGTTCAGAAAATGTGTAGTCTGACAATGTGATAGAAAAGAAAATCCCATTTTCTGAGGAGAAATTCAAACTGGCTGCAGATATTTGCATAAGCAATGAGGAGCTGAATGTTAATCACCAAGACAGTGGGGAAAATGTCTCCAGGGCATGTCCAAGAATTTTGCAGCAGCCCCTTCCATCACAGGCCCAGAGGTCTAGGAGGAAAAAATGGTTTTGTGGGCTGGGACAAGGTCCCCATGCTGTGTGCAGTCTAGGGACTTGATGCCCTGCATTCCAGCCACTCCAGCCATTTCTAAAAGGGACCAAGGTACAGTTTGAGCCATGGTTGTGGAGAATGCAAGCCCCAAGCCTTGGCAGCTTCCACATAGTATTAAGCCTGAGGGTGCACAGAAGTCAAGAATTGAGGTTTGGAAACCTCTGCCTAGATTTCAGAGGATGTATGGAAATGCCTGGATGTCCAGGCAGAAGTTTGCTGCAGGGATAGGGCTCTCATGAAGAACCTCTGCTAGAGCAGTGTGGAAGGGAAATATGGGGTTGGAGCCCCCCCACAGAGTCTCTTCTGGGGCACTTCCACCTAGTGGAAATGTGAGAAGAGGGCCACTGTTCTCCAGGCCCCAGAATGGTAGATCCACAGACAGCTTGCACTGTGTATCTGGAAAAACTGCAGACACTCAACACCATCCCATGAAAGCAGCCAGAAGGGAGGCTGCCCAAGACCATGTGAATCCACCTCTTGCATCAGTGTGACCTGGATGCAGGACATGGAATCAAAGGAGATTATTTTGGAGCTTTAAGATGACTGCCATGCTACATTTTGGACTTGCATGGGGCCTGTAGCCCCTTTATTTTGGTCAATTTCTCCCATTTGGAATGGCTGTATTTACCCAATTTCTGTACCCCCATTGTTTCTAGGAAGCAACTAACTTGCTTTTGCTTTTACAGGCTCATAGGCAGAAGGGACTTGCTTTGTCTCAGATGAGATGTTGGACTGTGGACTTTTGGGTTAACACTGAAATGAGTTAAGACTCTTGGGGACTGTTGGAAAGACATGATTGGTTTTGAAATGTGAGGACATGAGATTTGGGAGGGGCCAGAGTTGGAATGGCATTGTTTGGCTGTGTCGCCACCCAAATCTCATCTTGAATTGTAACTCCCACAATTCCCACCTGTCATGGGAGGAACCTGGTGGGAGGCAATTGAATTATGGTGGTGGGTCTTAATGAGTCTCATGATATTTGATGGTTTTAAAAATGGGAGTTTCCCTTCACAAGCTTTCTCTCTTTGCCTGCTACCATCCACGTAAGATGTGACTTGCTCCTCCTTGCCTTCTGCCATGATTGTGAAGCCTCCCCAGCCATGTGGAACTGTCCAATAAACTTCCTTTTTTTTGTAAGTTGCCCAGTCTCAGGTATGTCTTATCAGCCACTTGAAAATGGACTAATACAAGATGAAAAATGAATTATGTATTTTTTTGTCTAAAAATGTTTGCTTATGTATTTTTTAAATGGATGATGCTAAATATTAAATTCTCATATTTAGATTCCCATAGATATACTGAAAATGGTGATATAACAGGTTCATTTTAAAGTGTCAATATCTACAACATACTAGAAATTGTATTGTTTGGAACTACTTAAATTTATGAGGAAAATTTTAGATGTTGGCTTAAAAGTATGTAGTACGGTTATGCTGTTGTTTGAAATTCTTTTGTGGGTGGGGTTTGCAAAAGCACATTCTTAGAATGCTATGTGAAAGACCTCAAGATTTTCTGATAGTGAACATTTTCTAGGATGTTGAGGATACTAAGAATTATAGAATGAGTACATGAATCATTTGTGTGCTGGGAAGAAGGTATTAACAGTCTTCATCACAGAGATTGGGCTTTGTGGCAGATTAGTATAAGCATGAGTTTGTTGTCTGGATCACAAAGAAACTCCACTTTTAAAAAGTATTTCTCACTGGTGATCTGTTTGCTTGTTCTTAAGGGATTCCCAGGAGCAATGAATTTTTTGGAAATAGGAGAAGATATTATGTGCCATCTCAATAGCCTCCCCACTCTACAATATATTTGATTCAGAACCCCCCAGAATAGAATCACACACACCTTTCTCAGGTCATAAATCATCCATATCAGAAATATGTATAATCTAAATTCTGTAGAATGGGGTTGTTTTGTCTTAATTGAAGGTTGATTGATTAAAGAGACCTTTACAAATAGCCATAACTTTTCTTTTCACTTATATTTAACATTTTCAGCTCTTAACTAACATATATTAAGCTGCTCATATTTAATGTGTACAATTTGATGTTTGACATATGTACACACTCATGAAACTATCACCACATCTAAATAATGAACATATCCATTATTCTTTAAAGTTTCCAATTCACACATTAATGGTTGTTAGGTTTTCAAATGAGTTGATCCATTTATCATCATAAACTGTCCTTTTTCTATCTCTGATAATATTCTTTGTTTTAAAGTCTATTTTACATGATATTAGTAAAACCAGTCGAGTTTTTAATGCTTAATATTTGTATCATTTTTCTTTTTCAATCAATCCATCCATCTGCTCTCACATTATGTGCCTTTAAGTTTAATGTGGGTTTTTTTGGTAGATAACATATAGTTGTGTCTTGCACTTATATCCATTCTGACAACGTGTACTTTTTAATTGGTGTTTAGTCCTTTAACATTTATTATAATTATTGATAAATTGGATTTAGATCTATTGTTTTACTATTTGTTTTCTGTTTGTTCTTTCTTTTTTTGTTATTCATCTATTCCTCTTTCTTGCCTTCTTTTGGATTAGCTGATTAATTTTGTTATGTTTTCTTTTGAAACCCCACCTCAGAGCCTTCCACCTCAGACACCCAAATGGCTGAGCCTGTAGGCACACACCACCACACCTGGCTAACTTTTGTTTTAGTCAATATGGGTTTCTCCATGTTGCCCAGGCTGGTCTTAAACTGCTGCACTCAGCTTGCCTTGGCCTCCTAAAGTGCTGGAATTGCAGACATGAGCCGCTCTGCCCAGCTGTAACTTTAAAAATTATACAACTTGATAGAAGGTGCAGCAAGATGGCCAAAGAGAAGCCTCTAGCATTCATTTTCCCTGCAGAAAAATCAAACTGAACAACTATCCACACAAAAAGCACCTTCCTAAGAACCAAAAATCAGGTGAGTGGTTCACATCACTTGGCTTTAATATCCTATTAAGGAAAGAGGCACTAAAGTGGGTAGGAAAAACAGTCTTGAATCACCTACACCACCCCTCCCTGATTCCACAGCAGTAGCTGCTTGGCATGGAGAGAGAATCTATGTGCTTAGGAAAGGGAGAGTGCAGTGATTGTGGGACTTCACATTGGAACTTGGTGCTGACCCATGTTGCTTTTTTACTGGAAAACATGGGGCAGAACCCGCAGAGGGAGCATATTTAGATTAGCCCAAATCAGAAGCAGATCATTCTGGTAAGCCCTGCTAAAGCCCTGGACTAAAGTGCTATGAGGTCTTAAGTAAACTTGAAAGGTAGTCGAGGCCACAAAGACTGCAATTGCAGAGCAGGTCCTGGTGTTATGTGGGGCTCAGAGCCAGTGGACTTTGGGTACATGCAACCTAATGAGACACCAGCCAGAGTGGTTGAGGGAGTGCTTGCATCACCCCTCCCCAACTCCAGGCAGTGAAGCTTACAGCTCCAGGAGAGACTGCTTCTCTCTGCTTGAGGAGAGCATGGGGGAAAGCAAAGAGGACTTTTTCTTGCAACTTGGATATGAGCTCAGCTGAGGTGGGAAATTAAAGAAAAATAAAATTAAAAAGAAAGAAAAATAAACTTTCCTGTATTAGGCTCACTTGTCCCAGAGGCAGCAACAGGCACAGCCCAGACCCAGGAAAAGTCTTGATAATATTATCTAATGTGCTCTGGAGACTCTCCCAGCACTCCCTCAACATAGGGAGAAGAAAAACAAATTTTCCTTTGTTTTATGGTATGAGTTTATAGATCCTTGTTCTCTGTAACTAGTAACTTCAAGTATTCTGTTTTATCTAAGAAGTACAGCGAAGGTCATGAGAAGCCTAAGCGGGCCTGAACTCCAGCTGTCTAGGCACCATAGTGAAGGTTATGGGATAAGCCCGTGCCTAGGCAAACCTAGATAATGGACATCTGGGTTGCATAGCAATGGTGGTATGCAATCCTGAGTTATGAACCTGTTACAATTTGATTAACTGTCTTTGTCCTGACTCTGTATTCCTGCTTTCATGCCACTGTAAGCTTGCTTCAAGTTATCCCACCCCGTTTTGTGAAGTGCATATAAAAGTCAAGTGCTGTCTTTGTTCTGGGCCTGGTCTTTGGAGGTGAGTCTGCTGGGCCCGAGTGCACTCAATAAAAGATTCCCCTGTTTTAACCCAAGGTCTCTCTCATCCTCATAAATCCCACAACACAGCCACAATAAATAGAGCACCAGGAAGAGCGCTGAGGCCTCCATCTCAGGCCTTAGCTCCTAGAAGACATTTCTAGACACATCCTGGGCTAGAAGGAGACCTACTGCCTTGAAGGGAAGGACCTGTTTTTGGCAGGATTCTTCACCTGCTGACTAAAGAGCCCTTGGACCCTGAATAATCAATAGTGGTAGCTATGCAGTACATTTTGCAGGCCTTGTGAGAGATTCAGAGCTGTGCTGGCTTCAGGTGTGACTTAGCACATTCCCAGCTGTGGTAGCCATGGAGAGAGACCTTTCTGTTTAAGGAAAAGAGAGGGACAAGTAAAGGGGACTTTGTCTTGCAACTTGGGTACCAGCTTGGCCAGTGGGGCAGAGCACTAAGTGGTCACTTGGGGGTCCCCGATTCTAGACCTTGGCTCCTGGATGGCATTTGTGGACCTGCCCTGGGCTAGAGGGAAGTCCCCTGCCATGAAGAGAGACACTCAGGTCTGGCAGCATTCACCACAAACAGACTGAAGAGCCCTTGTTCTTTGAGTAAACATCAGCAGTAGCCAAGCAGTACTTGCTGTAGGCCCGGGGCAGTTGTGGCCCTGGGGAGAGACCTCTGTGCTTGAGGAAAGGGGAGGGAAGAATAGGAAGGATTTTGTCTTGTGGTTTTAGTGCCCAGTTCAGCTGCAGTAGAATACAGCAGTAGGTAGATTCCAAAGGTTCTCCACTCTAAATCCTGGCTCTCAGGAAGCATCTCCAGACCTGCCCAGGGCTGGAGGCAACTTGCCACTCTGAAGGTAAGGACAAACCTGGTTAGATTTGCCACTTGCTGATTTGAGAGCCCTAAGGTCTTGACTGAATACAGACGGTAGCCAGGCAGTGGTCACTGTGGGTCTTGGGAAAGACCAAGTGCTGTTATGGCCTCAGGTCTGACAGAGCACAGTCCCAGTGGTGGTGGCCACAGGAGTGCTTGTGTCATCCCTCCCCCAGCTGCAGGCAGCTCAAGGCAGAGATAGAAAATCTTTTCTTTTGTGGGAAAGTAAGGGAAGAGAACTTGAGTCCCTGCCTAGCAATCCAGGGAATTCTCCTGAATATTACCCAAGACCACCAAGGTGGTACCTCTATGAGTCTGCAAGAGCCACAGCATTACTGGGTTTGGGGTGTCCCCCAAAGCAAATATAGCTGCAATAACCAAATATTTAGATCATAATACCCAAGTTCCTTGAAATATCTGAAAAGGTTTCCCAAGAAGGATGGGTAGAAATAAGCCCTGACTGAGAAGAGTATAATAAATACCTAACTCTTCAATGCCCAGACACTCATGAATGTCCATAAGCATCAGGATCATCCAGAATAACATGACCTGACTAAATGAACTAAATAAGGCACTAGTGACCAACCTTGGAGAGACAGAGATATGTGACCTTTCAGGCAGATAATTCAAAATAACTGTTTTAAGGAAGCTTAACAAAATCCAATATAATGCAGATAAGGAATTTAGAATCCTATCAGATAAATTTAACAAAGGGATTGAAATAATTATAAAGAATCAAGCAGAAATTCTGGAGTTGAAAAATGCAATTCATATACTGAAGAATTCACCAGAGTCTCTCTGTCTCTCTCTCCCTTATTGGAGATGGGTCTTACTCTGTCACTCAGGCTGGAATGCAGTGGCACAATCATAGCTCATTCCAGCCTCGACCTCCTGGGATCAAGCAATCCTCCCACCTCAGCCTTCCAAGTAGCTGGGAACACAGGCACATGCCACCATGCCAAGCTAATTTTTAAATATTTTTTGTAGTGATGGTGGTCTCCTCAAGTTGTCCAGGCTGGTCTCAAACTCCTGGGCTCAAGTGATCCTCCCACCATGGCCTCCCAAAGTGCTGAGATTACAAGCATGAGCCATTGTGCCTGGTCCACATCAGAGTCTCTTAACAGCAGACTAGATCAAGCAGAAGAAAAAATTAGTGAGCTTTAAGACAGGCTATTTGAAATACACAGTCATAGAAGACAAAAGAAAAAGAAATAGAAAAAGAATAAACAATGTCTACAGGATCTAGAAAATAGCCCTCAAAAGGGCAAATCTAAGTGCTATTGGCCTTAAAGAGGAGGTAGAGGGTGTAACAGAGAACTTCTCAAACCTAGAAAAAGATATTAATATTTAAGTACAAGAAGGTTATGGAATCCCAAGTAGATATAACCCAAACAAGACTAACTGAAGACACTTAATAATCAAACTCCCAAAGGTCAAGGATAAAGAAAGGATCTTAAAAGCAGCAAGAGAAAAGAAACAACAGAAAGAAGCTCCAATATGTCTGACTGCCGACTTCTTAGTGGAAACCTGAAAACAGGACCGGATAGAGTGCCATGACATACATAAAGTGCTGAAGGAAAATAACTTTTATCCTAGAGTAGTATATTCAGCAAAAATATCCTTCAAACATGGAGGAGAAATAAAGATTTTCCCAGAGAAAGAAAAGCAGGGATTTTATCACACCAGACCTATTCTACAAGGAATGCTAAAGGGAGATATTCAATCTTAAAGAAAAGGATGTTAATGAGCAATAAGAAATCATCTGAAGGTACAAAATTCACTGGTAATAGCAAGTGAACAGAAAAACACAGACCATTATAATACTGTAGTTATGATGTGTAAACTACTCATATTTCGATTAGAAAGACTAAGCAATGAACCTATCAAAAATAATAATGAAAACAACTTTTCAAGACATAGACAGTATAATAAGTTACAAATAGAAATGACAAAAAGCTAAAAAGTGGGAAGATTAAGTTAAAGTATAGGGTTTTTATTAGTTTTCTTTTTGCTTGTTTATTAGTTGGTTTATGTAATCAGTGTTAACCTGTCATCAGTTTAAAATAATGGGTTACAAGATAGTATTTGCAAGCCTCATGGTAACCTCAAATAAAAAACATACAAAATATACACAAAATATAAAAAGCAAGAAATTAAAACATACCATGAGAAATTCATCTTCAGTAAAAAGAAGACAGAAAGGAAGGAAAGAAGGAAGAGAAGACTACAAAATAACCAGAAAACAAATAATAAAATGGCAGGAGTAAGTCTTTATTACAAATAATAACATTGACTGTAAATGGACTAAATTCTCCAATCAAAGGCACAGAGTGGCTGAATGGATGAAAGAACAAAGACCCAACACATCTGTTCCTTGGAAGAAACACACGTCACCTATAAAGACACACGTAGGCTGAAAATTATGAGATGAAAAAGATATTCCATGCCAATGGATACCAGAAAACAGCAGGAGTAGCTATATTTATATCAGACAAAATATATTTCAAGGAAAGAAAACTATAAAAAGAGACAAAGAAAGTCATTATATAATCATAAAGGGATCAAATACAGCAATGGGGTATAATAAATGAATATATATGCACCCAACACTGCAACACCCAGATATAAAGCAAATATTATTAGAGCTAAAGAGAGATAGTTCCCAATACAGTAATAGCTGAAGACTTCAACTGCCCACTTTCAGCACTGGAGAAATCATCTGGACGGAAAATCAATAAAGAAACATTGGACTTAATCTGCTCCATACACCAAATGGATGTAATAGATATTTAAAGACATTTCATCTGCTGGCTGCAGAATACGCATTCTTCTCCTTGGCACATGGATCATTTTTAAGGATCGACCATACGTTAGGCCACAAGACAAGTCTTAAAAAGATTGAAATCATATCAAGTATCTTTTTTGACCACAATGGAATAATACTAGAAATCAATAACAAGAGGAATTTTGAAAACAATACAAAAACATGGAAATTAAACAACATGCTTCTGAATGAGTAGTGGGTCAATGAAGAAATTAAGAAGGGAATTAAAAAATTTATTGAAACAAACGAATATGGAAATACCACATACTGAATTCTATGGGTTACAGCAAAAGCAGTAGTAAGAGGAAAGTTTATAGCTGTAAGTCCTTACATCAAAAAAGTAGAAAAACTTCAAATAAACAACCTAATGTTGCATCTTAAAGAACTAAAAAAGCAAGCTCAAACTCACAATTAGTAGAAGAAAAGAGATAATAAAGATCAGAGCAGAAATAAATGAAATTGAAATAAAAAATACAAAAGATCGATGAAATGAAAAGTTGACTTTGGGAAGATAAACAAAACCAACAAAGCTGTGGCCTAACTAAGATAAAAGAGAGAAGGCCCAAATAAATAAAATCAGGAATGAAAAAGAAGACATTAAAACTTACAATACAGAAATTCAAAGGATCATTAGTGGCCACTATGAGCAACTGTATGCCAATAAATTGGAAAACCTAGAAGAAATGGATAAATTCCTGGACACATGCAACCTAAAAAGACTGAGCCATGAAGAAATCCAAAACCTGAACAGACCAATAACAAGTAATGAGATTGAAGCCATTATAAATAGTCTCCCAGCACAGAAAAGGCTGGGACACAATGGCTTCACTGCTGGGCTTGACCAAATATTTAAAGAAGAACTAATACCAATCCTACTTAAACTATTCAAAAAGTAGAGGAGGAGGGAATACTTCCAATCTCATTGTATGAGGCCAGTATTATCCTGATATCAAAACCAGACAAGACACATAAAAAACAAACAAACAAACAAACAAACAAACAAAATACAAGTCAATATCCCTGATGAATATGGAGGCAAAAATCCTCAACAAAATACCAGCAAACCAAATTCAACAACTCGTTAAAAGATCATTCAACATTACCAAGTGAGATTTATCCCAGGGATATAAGGATGATTCAACATATGCAAATAAATTGATTTGATCCATTAATCATCAATAGAATGAAGGGCAAACATCATATAATCATTTCAGTTGATGCTGAAAAAGTCACTGATAAAATGCAACATTCCTTAATGATAAAAACTCTCAAAAAACTGTGTATGGAAGCAACAAACCTCAACACAATAAAAGCCATATATAACAGACCCACAGCTAGCATCATACTGAATGGAGAAAAAGCTGAAATCCTTTCCTCTAAGATCTGGAGCAAGAGAAGAGTGCCCATTTTCATCACTGTTATTCAACATAGTACTGAAAGTCCTAGCTAAAGCAATCAGAAAAAAGAAGGAAATAAGGAGCATCCAAATTCTAAAGGAAGAAATCTAATTATCTTTCTATGCAAATGCTACGATTTTATATTTGGAAAAACCCAGAAATTTTGCCAAAAAACTATTAGAAGTGATAAACAAATTCAGTAAAGTTGTAGGATACAAAACCAACCAACAAAAATCAGTAGCAACCCCTGCCTTTTTTTGTTTTCCATTTGCTTGGTAGATCTTCCTCCATCCTTTTATTTTGAGCCTATGTGTGTCTCTACACGTGAGATGGGTTTCCTGAATACAGCAAACTGATGGGTCTTGACTCTTTATGCAATTTGCAATTTGCTGGTCTGTGTCTTTTAATTGGAGCATTTAGTCCATTTACATTTAAAGTTAATATTGTTATGTGTGAATTTGTTCCTGTCATTATGATGTTAGCTGGTTATTTTGCACATTAGTTGATGCAGTTTCTTCCTAGTCTCGATGGTCTTTACATTTTGGCATGACTTTGCAGCGGCTGATACCGGTTGTTCCTTTCCATGTTTAGCGCTTCCTTCAGGAGCTCTTTTAGGGCAGGCCTGGTGGTGACAATATCTCTCAGCATTTGCTTGTCTGTAAAGGATTTTATTTCTCCTTCACTTATGAAGCTTAGTTTGGCTGGATATGAAATTCTGAGTTGAAAATTCTTTTCTTTAAGAATGTTGAATATTGGCCCCCATTCTCTTCTGGCTTGTAGAGTTTCTGCCAACAGATCCGCTGTTAGTCTGATGGGCTTCCCTTTGTGGGTAACCCGACCTTTCTCTCTGGCTGCCCTTAACATTTTTTCCTTCATTTCAACTTTGGTGAATCTGACAATTATGTGTCTTGGAGTTGCTCTTCTCGAGGAGTATCTTTGTGGTGTTCTCTGTATTTCCTGAGTTTGAATGTTGGCCTGCCTTGCTAGATTGGGGAAGTTCTCCTGGATAATATCCTGCAGAGTGTTTTCCAACTTGGTTCAATTCTCCCCGTCACTTTCAGGTACACCAATCAGATGTAGATTTGGTCTTTTCACATAGTCCCATATTTCTTGGAGGCTTTGTTCATTTCTTTTTACTCTTTTTTCGCTAAACTTCCCTTCTCACTTCATTTCATTCATTTCATCTTCCATCACTGATACCCTTTCTTCCAGTTGATTGCATCAACTCCTGAGGCTTCTGCATTCTTCACGTAGTTCTCGAGCCTTGGCTTTCAGATCCATCACCTCCTTAAAGCACTTCTCTGATAAAACGTACTTTAAACCAACAAAGATCAAAAGAGACAAGGCCATTACATAATGGTAAAGGGATCAATTCAACAAGAAGAGCTAACTATCCTAAATATATATGCACCCAATACAGGAGCACCCAGATTCATAAAGCAAGTCCTGAGTGACCTACAAAGACACTTAGACTCCCACACAATAATAATGGGAGACTTTAACACCCCACTGTCAACATTAGACAGATCAACGAGACAGAAAGTTAACAACGATACCCAGGAATTGAACTGAGCTCTGCACCAAGCAGACCTAATAGACATCTACAGAGCTCTCCACCCCAAATCAACAGAATATACATTTTTTTCAGCACCACACCACACCTATTCCAAAATTGACCACATACGTGGAAGTAAAGCTCTCCTCAGCAAATGTAAAAGAACAGAAATTATAGCAAACTGTCTCTCAGACCACAGTGCAATCAAACTAGGACTCAGGATTAACAAACTCATTCAAAACCACTCAACTACATGGAAACTGAACAACCTGCTCCTGAATGACTACTGGGGACATAACGAAATGAAGGCAGAAATAAAGATGTTCTTTGAAATGAACAAGAACAAAGACACAACATACCAGAATCTCTGGGACACATTCAAAGCAGTGTGTAGAGGGAAATTTATAGCACTAAATGCCCACAAGAGAAAGCAGGAAAGATCCAAAATTGACACCCTAACATCACAATTAAAAGAACTAGAAAAGCAAGAGCAAACACACTCAAAAGCTAGCAGAAGGCAAGAAATAACTAAAATCAGAGCAGAACTGAAGGAAATAGAGACACAAAAGATGCTTCAAAAAATTAATGAATCCAGGAGCTGGTTTTTTGAAAGGATCAACAACCAGAAAGAGTCAAGGACCAGATGGATTCACGGCCAAATTCTACCAGAGGTACAAGGAGGAACTGGTACCATTCCTTCTGAAACTATTCCAATCAATAGAAAAAGAGAGAATCCTCCCTAACTCATTTTATGAGGCCAGCATCATCCTGATACCAAAGTCGGGCAGAGACATAACCAAAAAAGAGAATTTTAGACCAATATCCGTGATGAACATTGATGCAAAAATTATCAGTAAAATACTGGCAAACCGGCTGGGCGCGGTGGCTAACGCCTGTAATCCCAGCACTTTGGGAGGCCGAGGCAGGCGGATCACGAGGTCAGGAGATCGAGACCATCCTGGCTAATATGGTGAAACCCGGTCTCTACTAAAAACACAAAAAATTAGTCGGGCGTGGTAGCGGGCGCCTGTAGTCCCAGCTACTCGGGAGGCTGAGGCAGGAGAATGGCGTGAACCCAGGAGGCGGAGCTTGCAGTGAGCCGAGATCGCGCCACTGCACTCCAGCCTGGGCGACAGAGCGAGACTCCGTCTCAAAAAAAAAAAAAAAAAAAAATACTGGCAAACGGAATCCAGCAGCACATCACAAAGCTTATCCACCGAGATCAAGTGGGCTTCATCCCTGGATGGAAGGCTGGTTCAATATATGCAAATCAATAAATGTAATCCAGCATATAAACAGAACCAAATACAAAATCCATATGATTATCTCAATAGATGCAGAAAAGACCTTTGACAAAGTTCAGCAACCCTTCATGCTAAAAACTCTCAATAAGTTAGGTATTGATGGGACATATCTCAAAATAATAAGAGCTATATATGACAAACCCACAGCTAATATCATACTGAATGGGCAAAAACTGGAAGCATTCCCTTTGAAAACTGACACAAGACAGGGATGCCCTCTCTCACCACTCCTATTCAACATAGTGTTGGAAGTTCTGGCCAGGGCAATCAGGCAGGAGAAGGAAATAAAGGGCTTTCAATTAGGAAAAGAGGAAGTCAAATTGTCCCTGTTTGCAGATGACATGATTGTATATCTAGAAACCCCATTGTCTCAGCCCAAAATCTCCTTAAGCTGATAAGCAACTTCAGCAAAGTCTCAGGATACAAAATCAATGTACAAAAATCACAAGCATTCTTATACACCAATAACAGACAAACAGAGAGCCAAATCATGAGTGAACTCCCATTCACAATTGCTTCAAAGGGAATAAAATACCTAGGAATCCAACTTACAAGGGATGTGAAGGACCTCTTCAAGGAGAACTATAAACCACTGCTCAAGGAAATAAAAGAGGATACAAACAAATGGAAGAACATTCCATGCTCATGGGTAGGAAGAATCAATATAGTTAAAATGGCCATACTACCCAAGGAAATTTATAGATTCAATGCCATCCCCATCAAGCCACCAATGACTTTCTTCACAGAATTGGAAAAAAAGTACTTTAAAGTTCATATGGAACCAAAAAAGAGCCTGCATCTCCAAGTCAATCGTAAGCCAAAAGAACAAAGCTGGTGTCATCACGCTACCTGATTTCAAACTATACTACAAGGCTACAGTAATCAAAACAGCATGGTACTGGTACCAAAACAGAGATATAGACCAATGGAACAGAACAGAGCCCTCAGAAATAATGCTGCATATCTACAACTATCTGATCTTTGACAAACCTGACAAAAACAAGCAATGGGGAACGGATTCCCTATTTAATAAATGGTGCTGGGAAAACTGGCTAGCCATATGTAGAAAGCTGAAACTGGATCCCTTCCTTACACCTTATATAAAAATTAATTCAAGATGGATTAAAGACTTACATGTTAGACCTAAAACCATAAAAACCCTAGAAGAAAACCTAGGCATTACTATTCAGGACATAGGCATGGGCAAGGACTTCATGTCTAAAATACCAAAAGAAATGGCAACAAAAGCCAAAATTGACAAATGGGATCTAATTAAACTAAAGAGCTTCTGCACAGCAAAAGAAACTACCATCAGAGTGAACAGGCAACCTACAAAATGGGAGAAAATTTTCGCAACCTACTCATCGGACAAAGGGCTAATATCCAGAATCTACAATGAACTCAGACAAATTTACAAGAGAAAAACAAACAACCCCATCAAAAAGTGGGTGAAGGACATGAACAGACACTTCTCAAAAGAAGACATTTATGCAGCCAAAAAACACATTAAAAAATGCTCACTGAAGTAGTTCTCCCAGCACGCAGCTGGATTTCTGAGAATGGGTAGACTGCCTCCTCAAGTGGGTCCCTGACCCCTGACCCCTGAGCAGCCTAACTGGGAGGCACCCCCCAGCAGGGGCAGACTGACACCTCACACGGCAGGGTACTCCAACAGACCTGCAGCTGAGGGTCCTGTCTGTTAGAAGGAAAACTAACAAACAGGAAGAACATCCACACCAAAAACCTATCTGTACATCACCATCATCAAAGACCAAAAGTAGATAAAACCACAAAGATGGGGAAAAAACAGAGCAGAAAAACTGGAAACTCTAAAAAGCAGAGTGCCTCTCCTCCTCCAAAGGAACACAGTTCCTCACCAGCAACGGAACAAAGCTGGATGGAGAATGACTTTGACGAGCTGAGAGAAGAAGGCTTCAGATGATCAAATTACTCCGAGCTACGGGAGGACATTCAAACCAAAGGCAAAGAAGTTGAAAACTTTGAAAAAAATTTAGAAGAATGTATAACTAGAATAACCAATACAGAGAAGTGCTTAAAGGAGCTGATGGAGCTGAAAACCAAGGCTCTAGAACTACGTGAAGAATGCAGAAGCCTCAGGAGTTGATGCAATCAACTGGAAGAAAGGGTATCAGTGATGGAAGATGAAATGAATGAAATGAAGTGAGAAGGGAAGTTTAGCGAAAAAAGAATAAAAAGAAATGAGCAAAGCCTCCAAGAAATATGGGACTATGTGAAAAGACCAAATCTACATCTGATTGGTGTACCTGAAAGTGACGGTGGGAATGGAACCAAGTTGGAAAACACTCTGCAGGATATTATCAGGAGAACTTCCCCAATCTAGCAAGGCAGGCCAACATTCAGATTCAGGAAATACAAAGAACACCACAAAGATACTCCTCGAGAAGAGCAACTCCAAGACACATAATTGTCAGATTCACCAAAGTTGAAATGAAGGAAAAAATGTTAAGGGCAGTCAGAGAGAAAGGTCGGGTTACCCTCAAAGGGAAGCCCATCAGACTAACAGCAGATCTGTTGGCAGAAACTCTACAAGCCAGAAGGGAGTGGGGGCCAATATTCAACATTCTTAAAGAAAAGAATTTTCAACCCAGAATTTCATATCCAGCCAAACTAAGCTTCGTAAGTGAAGGAGAAATAAAAAACTTTACAGACAAGCAAATGCTGAGAGATTTTGTCACCACCAGGCCTGCCCTAAAAGAGCTCCTGAAGGAAGCACTAAACAAGGAAAGGAACAACCGGTACCAGCAGCTGCAAAATCATGCCAAAATGTAAAGACCATCGAGAGTAGGAAGAAACTGCATCAAATAATGAGCAAAATCACCAGCTAACATCATAATGACAGGATCAACTTCACACATAATAATATTAACTTTAAATGTAAATGGACTAAATGCTCCAGTTAAAAGACACAGACTGGCAAATTGGATAAAGAGTCAAGTCCCATCAGTGTGTTGTATTCAGGAAACCCATCTCACGTGAAGAGACACACATAGGCTCAAAATAAAAGGATGGAGGAAGAACTACCAAGCTAATGGAAAACAAAAAAAGGCAGGGGTTGCAATCCTAGTCTCTGATAAAACAGATTTTAAACCAACAAAGATCAAAAGCGACAAAGAAGGCCATTACATAATGGTAAAGGGATCAATTCAACAAGAAGAGGTAACTATCCTAAATATATATGCACCCAATACAGGAGCACCCTGATTCATAAAGCAAGTCCTGAGTGACTTACAAAGACACTTAGACTCACACACATTAATAATGGGAGACTTTAACACACCACTGTCAACATTAGACAGATCAACGAGACAGAAAGTTAACAACGATACCCAGGAATTGAACTGAGCTCTGCACCAAGCGGACCTAATAGACATCTACAGAACTCTCCACCCCAAATCAACAGAATATACATTTTTTTCAGCACCACACCACACCTATTCCAAAATTGACCACATGGTTGGAAATAAAGCTCTCCTCAGCAAATGTAAAAGAACAGAAATTATAACAAACTGTCTCTCAGACCACAGTGCAATCAAACTAGAACTCTGGATTAAGAAACTCACTCAAAACTGCACAACTACATGGAAACTGAACAACCTGCTCCTGAATGACTACTGGGGACATAACGAAATGAAGGCAGAAATAAAGATGTTCTTTGAAATGAATGAGAACAAAGACACAACATACCAGAATCTCTGGGACACATTCAAAGCAGTGTGTAGAGGGAAATTTATAGCACTAAATGCCCACAAGAGAAAGCAGGAAAGATCCAAAATTGGCACCCTAACATCACAATTAAAAGAACTAGAAAAGCAAGAGCAAAACATTCAAAAGCTAGCAGAAGGCAAGAAATAACTAAAATCAGAGCAGAACTGAAGGAAATAGAGACACAAAAAATGCTTCAAAAAATTAATGAATCCAGGAGCTGGTTTTTTGAAAGGATCAACAAAATTGATAGACCACTAGCAAGACTAATAAAGAAAAAAAGAGAGAAGAATCAAATAGATGCAATAAAAAATGATAAAGGGGATATCACCACCAATCCCACAGAAATACAAACTACCATCAGAGAATACTACAAACACCTCTACACAAATAAACTAGAAAGTCTAGAACAAATGGATAAATTCCTCTACAGATACACCCTCCCAAGACTAAACCAGGAAGCAGTTGAATCTCTGAATCACCAATAACAGGATCTGAAGTTGTGGCAATAATCAATAGCTTACCAACAAAAAGAGTCCAGGACCAGATGGATGCACAGCCAAATTCTACCAGAGGTACAAGGAGGAACTGGTACCATTCCTTCTGAAACTATTCCAATCAATAGAAAAAGAGAGAATCCTCCCTAACTCATTTTATGAGGCCAGCATCATCCTGATACCAAAGTCGGGCAGAGACACAACCAAAAAAGAGAATTTTAGACCAATATCCGTGATGAACATTGATGCAAAAATTGTCAATAAAATACAGGCAAACCGAATCCAGCAGCACATCACAAAGCTTATCCACCGTGATCAAGTGGGCTTCATCCCTGGATGGAAGTCTGGTTCAATATATGCAAATCAATAAATGTAATCCAGCATATAAACAGAACCAAAGACAAAAACCACATGATTATCTCAATAATGCCGAAAAGGCCTTTGACAAAATTCAACAACCCTTCATGCTAAAAACTCTCAATAAATTAGGTATTGATGGGACGTATTTCAAAATAATAAGAGCTATCTATGACAAACCCACAACCAATATCATACTGAATGGGCAAAAACTGGAAGCATTCCCTTTGAAAACTGGCACAAGACAGGGATGCCCTCTCTCACCACTCCTATTCAACATAGTGTTGGAAGTGCTGGCCAGGGCAATAAGGCAGGAGAAGGAAATAAACGGTATTCAATTAGGAAAAGAGGAAGTCAAATTGTCCCTGTTTGCAGATGACATGATTGTATATCTAGAAAACCCCATTGTCTCAGCCCAAAATCTCCTTAAGCTGATAAGCAACTTCAGCAAAGTCTCAGGATACAAAATCAATGTACAAAAATCACAAGCATTCTTATACACCAATAACAGACAAACAGAGAGCCAAATCATGAGTGAACTCCCATTCACAATTGCTTCAAAGAGAATAAAATACCTAGGAATCCAACTTACAAGGGATGTGAAGGACCTCTTCAAGGAGAACTACAAACCACTGCTCAAGGAAATAAAAGAGGATACAAACAAATGGAAGAACATTCCATGCTCATGGGTAGGAAGAATCAATATTGTAAAAATGGCCATACTGCCCAGGGTAATTTACAGATTCAATGCCATCCCCATGAAGCTACCAATGACTTTCTTCACAGAATTGGAAAAAACTACTTTAAAGTTCATATGGAACCAAAAAAGAGCCCACAACGCCAAGTCAATCGTAAGCCAAAAGAACAAAGCTGGAGGCATCACACTACCTGACTTCAAACTATACTACAAGGCTACAGTAACCCAAACAGCATGGTACTGGTACCAAAACAGAGATATAGACCAATGGAACAGAACAGAGCCCTCAGAAATAATGCTGCATATCTACAACTATCTGATCTTTGACAAACCTGAGAAAAACAAGCAATGGGGAAAGGATTCCCTATTTAATAAATGGTGCTGGGAAAACTGGCTAGGCATATGTAGAAAGCCGAAACTGGATGCCTTCCTTACACCTTATACAAAAATCAATTCAAGATGGATTAAAGACTTAAATATTAGACCTAAAACCATAAAAACCCTAGAAGAAAACCTAGGCATTACTATTCAGGACATAGGCATGGGCAAGGACTTCATGTCTAAAACACCAAAAGCAATGGCAACAAAAGCCAAAATTGACAAATGGGATCTAATTAAACTAAAGAACTTCTGCACAGCAAAAGAAACTACCATCAGAGTGAACAGGCAACCTACAAAATGGGAGAAAATTTTCGCAACCTACTCACCTGACGAAGGGCTAATATCCAGAATCTACAATGAACTCAAACAAATTTACAAGAAAAAAACAAACAACCCCATCAAAAAGTGGGCAAAGGACATGAGCAGACACTTCTCAAAAGAAGACATTTATGCAGCCAAAAAACACATGAGAAAATACTCACTATCACTGGCCATCAGAGAAATGCAAATCCAAACCACAATGAGATATCATCTCACACCAGTTAGAATGGCGATCATTAAAAAGTCAGGAAACAACAGGTGCTGGAGAGGATGTGGAGAAATAGGAACACTTTTACACTGTTGGTGGGACTGTAAAGTAGTTCAACCATAGTGGAAGTCAGCGTGGCGATTCCTCAGGGATCTGGAACTAGAAATACCATTTGACCCAGCCATCCCATTACTGGGTATATAACCAAAGGACTATAAATCATGCTGCTATAAAGACACATGCACACGTATGTTTATTGCGGCACTATTCACAAGAGCAAAGACTTGGAACCAACCCAAATGTCCAACAATGATAGACTGGATTAAGAAAATGTGGCACATATACACCATGGAATACTATGCAGCCATAAAAAATGATGAGTTCTTGTCCTTTGTAGGGACATGGATGAAATTGGAAATCATCATTCTCAGTAAATTATCTCAAGGACAAAAAAGCCAAACACTGCATGTTCTCACTCACAGGTGGGAATTGAACAATGAGAACACATGGACACAGGAAGGGGAACATCACACACTGGGGACTGTTGTGGGGTGGGGGGAGGGGGGAGGGATAGCATTAGGAGATATACCTAATGCTAAATGACTAGTTAATGGGTGCAGCACACCAGCATGGCACATGTATACATATGTAACTAACCTGCACATTGTGCACATGTACCCTAAAACTTAAAGTATAATAATAATAAAAAAATCAGTAGCATTTTATATGCCAAAAGAAAACAATTGGAAATATAAACCAAGAAGGTGATCTCATTTACAATAGCTAAAAAATTCCTAAAAATAGCTAGGAATTAAATTAACCAAACAAGTGAAAGATCTCTACAATGAAAACTATAAAATATTGATGGAAGAAATTGAAGTAGACACACACACAAAGAAGATATTCCGTGTTCAGGAATGGAAGAATCAATACCATTAAGACATCTATACTACCCAAAGTAACCTACAGATTCAAAGCCATCTCTATCAAAATACCAATGACATTCTTCACAGAAATAGAAAAAATAGTACTAAAATTTATATGATACCATAGAAGATGCAGAAAAGCCAAAGCTATCTTTAGCAAAAAGCACAAAACTAGAGGAATCACATTACCTGACTTCAAATTATGCTACAGAGCTATAGTAAACAAAATAGCATGGTAATGGCCTAAAAACAGACACATAGATCAATGGAACAGAATGGAGAACCCAGATGTAAATTCATAGATCTACAGTGAATGCATTTTTGACAAAGGTACCAAAAACATACATTGAGGAAAGCACAGTCCTTTTAGTAAATGGTGCTGGGAAAACTGGATATCCACATACAAAATAATGAAACTAGACCTGTATCTCTCACCATACACATGGATTAAATGAAAATGGATTGAAGAATTAAATGTAAGACCTCAAACTATGGAACTACTACAGGAAAACACTGGGGAAACTCCCTAGGACATTGGACTGGGTAAAGATTTCTTGAGAAAAATACCTCCAAAACATAGGCAACCAAAGCAAAAATGGACAAGTGGGATCATGCCAAGTTAAAAAGCTGCAAAGCAAAGAAACAACAAAGTGAAGAGACAACCCAGAGAATAAGAGAAAATATTTGCAAACTATCTACCTGACAAGGGATTAATAACCAGAATATATAAGGAACTCGAACTACTCAACAGGAAAAAATATAATAATCCCATTAAAAATGGGTAAAATATCTGAATACACATTTCTCAAAAGAAGGCATACACATGGCAAACAGGTATATGAAAAAGTTCTCATCATCATTGATCTTCAGAGAAATGCAAATCAAAACTGCAATAAGATATCATCTTACCCCAGCTAGAGAGGCTTTTATATAAGAGACAGGCAATAACAAATGCTGGCAAGAATGTAGAGAAAAGGGGACCTTCATACACTGTTGGAGGGAATGTAAATTAGTACAACCACTATGGAGAACAGTTTGGAGGCTCCTCAAATAACCAAAAACAGAACTACCATATGATTCAGCAATCTCATTGCTAGGTATATACCCAAAAGAAAGGAAATCAGTATATTGAAGAGATATCTGCACTCCCATTTTTATTGTAGCACTATTCACAATAGCCAAGATTTGGAAGCAGTCTAAGTGTCCATCAACAGATGAATGGATAAAAAAATGTGGTACATATACATAATGGAGTACCATTCAGCCATAACAAATGAGATCTTGTCACTTGCAACAACATGGATGGAACTGGAGGGCATTATGTTAAGTGAAATTAGCCAGGCACAAAAAGACAAACATTGTATGTTCTTACTTATTTTGGGAGCTAAAAAGGTAAAACAATTAAGCTTATGGAGGTGGACAGTAGATTGATGGTTACTAGAGGCTGGAAATGGTAGTGGGGTTGGGGGAAAGTAGAGATGGTTTTGTACCCACTAACGTGGGTACAAAAATAGATAGACTGAATAAGAACTAGTATTTGATAGCACAACAGGGTGACTACAGCCAACAATAATTTATTGCACATTTAAAAATAAAAGAGTATAACTGGATCGTTTGTAACACAAAGAAAGCATAAATGCTTGAGGTATTGGATACTCCATTTACTCTCAGGTGATTATTACACATTGTATGCCTGTATTAAAATACCTCATGTGCCCCATAAACATGTATACCTACTATATAACAAAACACAGAAAAAAAGGAAAAAATTGCATAATTGTAGTAATAGGGTAGTATTATTTTAGGCGATAGATCTTCAAATTCTTTGCTTAAATAAGTAATCTAGCAGTATCAAGGGTTTTAGTTATTGTTTCTGCAATCGTGAAAAAGGGGAAAAATATAATATTCCTTTTGGGCTTAAAGAAAAAAATCAGAATTGATTATATATATTAGAAAACAGAGATGTTAAACATAAATATTATGGCAACAATTATTAAAAAGAAAACGGTATGGAATTACAAACATTTTTGAAAGCTAAAGGTTATTTTCATGGGCCTTAGCAAGATCCTTTGAAGTCTAGATGTCTGTAAGACACTTCTGTTTTAAAAAAAATTTTGCAAGCCTAGCTTCCAAAAATGGAGAAGAATTTGGAAAGGGAGCATGTCCCATGTTATAGGCTGAATTGTGTCCCATGATGATTCCATTGTTGGAGCCCTAACTCCCAGTTCCTCCGAATGTGACTACATTTGGAAACAGAATCTTTAAAGAGATAAAGACCAGATATAGTCTCATAGACAGAGGGAAGACCATGTGAGGGTGGAGCAAGAAGAGGGCCACCTGCAAGCAAAGGAGGCAGGCCTCACAAGAAACCAATTTCTGTTGTTTAACATACCCAGTCTGTGATTTTTTAAATGACGGTCCTGTAAAGGAATACATCCACTGTTGGCAAATTTTTCGTCTAGGAGAGGATTAGTCGTTAAGCAAGAGAGCAAACACGCATATAACAGGCATTGCAAGATAAGTAAACATTTACGCAGCATTTTCAGAACATATTGGGAAAATAAAAGTCTTCCTAGCATAATATTTGTAAAGAATCCTCTTAAGGAGAACGTTGAGCAATCACATAGCAAAGCGTGTCTTCACCTACTTTCTGTATGATAATAAGGGCCCTGACAAACAAAAAAGCAACATTAATTACAACTGATACAAGAGTACCCCTGGCATCTCCCAAGTGTGTTACCTGTTATCCTTTAGTTATTGCTAGAACTGGTGAGAACTACTAAGCATGGCTAAAAAGATGTTGTCTGATTGCCCAAGAATTCTCATCAGCTTCTCACTGAGGAGTTAGGAGAAGTTGATACCTGAATGAGGTGTCATATGTGGTGCTCATTATGTCCAGGCAGTTTTAATCCTTTTTTATACCTTCATACATTCCTGAATTAAAAAATCACTTGAGATATTCTCACGAATATATGGTCTCACTGTCTAGGTCCTGCCTGATTATTGCAGACAAAAGTCTTGTGCTCAGAGTGAGCAAAGCCCTGCAAACAGTGAAAATATGGAGAAGAAAGATTTAATCAGGTTCATTCATTTCCCTATACTTTCTCTCATGAGAGAATTATCACACTCTATGACTGATTTACAGGTTTCTTTCTGTAGAGTTTGAGCTTTTATCTGTCTACTCTTTGTAATCTAAGTGTTTAGCATAACATTTGATATTTGTAGATGATTGTTTATAACTGAAATATAATAACTGAAATATAATAAAAAGGAACTTTGCTTTCTATTGTCTTATATTCTGAGTTACCTACATCTTTAAGTTTTTTTCTTCACTATGAAAAATAAAGATTATTTTAAAAACTCATTAATTCTGCTTTGGTGCTTTTGCCTTTTCTGAATCTAAACATTCATGTCTTTCATTATTTCTGGAAAATTTTCAGCCATGCTTTCTTTAAATATTTCCTCTTCCAATTGTGTGTTTTGTCTTTTAATGAAATTCCTATTGGGCTCATATTGGATTTCATACTAATTTTCATATATCTTAACTTCTTTCGTATTCAACACTTCTTTATCTCTATATTGCATTAGAGGAAATTCTTCAGCTCTCCCAATTTAGAAGTCTTTTTAAATTGCTTTCTGTCTTTGTTGTTTAATCTACTCATTGAGTTTTTATAGTAATTAGCGTTTATATTTCTAGAAGTTTAATTTGCTTTAAAATATGTTTGATATTTTTTGATAATGTCTTTTCAAACCTTTTGACTTTAAGGTTTTAAAATATAAATTCCTCTATATGTGATATCTTAGGGAAATGAAACTATTTATTCTGTCTGCCAACTTTCCTTCATCATGGAATCTTTCTCCCTGTGCTAAGTTTGGATGGTGACCTCATCTTAGGAAAGGCTTTTTGTGAAATATCCTTTGCAGCTTGTATTGAGGGTGGTTCTCTTGAGATAACTTTGCTTTAAATTCCACCAGGTGGCACACCTGGAATTACATTTGTTTTGTTTTGTTTTGTTTTGTTTTGAGACAGAGACTTGCTCTGTCGCCCAGACTGGAGTGCAGAGGCGCGATCTTGGCTCACAGCAACCTCCGCCTCCTGGGCCCAAGAGATTCTCGTGCCTAGGCCTCCTGAGTAGCTGAGATTACAGTTGTGCGCAACCACGCCTGGCTAATTTTTGTCTTTTTAGTAGTGACAAAGTTTCGCCATGTTGGCCAGGCTGGTCTGAAACTCCTGAACTCAGGTGATCCGCCCGCCTAGGCCTCTCAAAATGCTGGGATTATAGGTGTGAGCCACTGTGCACAGCATGGAATTACTTTTAAAATTAATTTCTTAGTTTGTGAATTTCAGGCTCATGCAAGTAGATACTTTTGAACTTCAAACTCAGACCTGTGATTAGCAATTCTCAGAAGGAGAAAAACCAAAAAACAATCCAATCCATATAATTGGATGGATTTTTTTTCTACTCTATTTGTCCATTCTATCACTGAAGTGAGGATATAGCAGAAGCCTCAGTTGCAAGTCTTATTACCTATTTTTTTTTTTTTAAATCCTAAGGCCTTGTTTCCTGATCCAAGTGACTAACAGTAGCCAAACTCCTAGGGATCTATACAAGACAATGCTTAATATGTCCAGGTGTGGATCCTGTTTGCCTTTCTGGGTTTCCATTTCTTTGCCCCCTAGAGAGCTTTCTTTATTTCATTGTAAATGCAGCTATGCATTTAAAAATAATTTTTAAAAATCTTGCATTTCTGGGTGTTTTGTGTTAGTATGTCTTTGCAGGTCATGTAGTGTGCTGTCTTTCCAGAAGCAGAATCCCTGGCTGTTTTATGTGTTACGCACAGAAATCCAAGGGTCATGTGACAAGGCAATGCTTCAGGTTAGGAAAGTGAGTCCAGGAGGAGGGACTGAGGTTAGATTGAATGGATAGGAAGTATGAGAAATTGAAGAGGAGGCTCTGGGAGCTGAGATAAAGGCTAAGGGAGGATGACAGTGAAGACAGAGAAGAGAGAGAAAGGTGGAGGAAGAACACATGTATGGGAAGGAACAGGAGCACAGTAAGACACAAAGAATAAGCCATAGTGATATTAGAGACTATTCAGTTCTTTCAATCTAGTTATTTTACAGATAAAGAAACTGAGGCCAAAGTGTTAAGGATCTCTCCAATTCAACACCTCCAACAGGTGTCCCATGTGGGGGTTCATCTTGACTCAGTCTACAGCTCCTTTTACTGTAAGAGATGTGCGTGAGAGGCCAGCAGCACACAGGCAGATAAAGCGAGTCCTTCCAGAAGCCAGAATGGCAAGGAAAAACTTGAAGCAGAGTGAGAGGGAAAATGAGAAGCCCAGAAAAGGCATGTGGTTATGAGAGGCAGTGGTTTCTGTGGCCAGGAAATTGAGGTTTCTGTTAGTGAAGAGGAGGAAGTCAGATGAGATGAGACCATGTGGGGAGGGGAGCTTTCATATCTGGGTTCTGAGGAGAGCTTCAATGGGGAAGGAAGAATTTAGGAGCCATGTTTGCGTTTGGAGGAGCAACAGGTAAGTGCTGCTACAGTGAACAGGAACATGCTTTTGGCCTGAACACCAATGGTTCAAGAAAGTGGATCCTGGGGAAAGGTTTGGTGGCAAAGGGAAGAATATGGACTTGCCTAGGATAGCTGGGACACCTGTCTGATTGAGTTCTAATCAGGGTATATGTTATTCACACTAGTTTGCTTCTCTGGGGTTTCCTGTGTCCAGGGAGTACAAAATTATCAGTGATTAGTGATAGCCATCCCCTTCTCTCTTAATTATTTTCCTTTTCTCCAGTTCTGGTCACCTTCCTTACCTATTTTATCTCTTGATTTTTCCCTAGCATTCTGCTCTTTCTCAGCCCCCACCCCCAATTTCTCAGCACCCCCAGCCAGCTCCCAAGAAGCCCTGTTCCCTTCTGTTCCCTCCTTCAGATCCTGCCCTGTACCCATCATAGCTGAGTGAACACTCAGGAGTGGAGTTGGCTGGGAAAATTGCAGACCCACAGTAGGACTACAGCTCTCACCAGCTGCTGCCTGCGTCTCTGATAAAGATCAGCTCTGCCCACAGAAAGCTGGGGTGGAGATACTTGTGGCTTGGCTCCACTTCTCTTTCCAATCTGTGCCCAACTTCCTCTTCTCCCGCTTCTTCCTTCTTTAGCATCTTTTATTTCCCTGGTGTTTCTGATCAGCTCATAAAACTTTGGTCCCAGAACTCCATTTCTCAATTAGTTAATTCTCTTTCTTTTCCTTATCAAACCTAAGCTGACTCCTCTTTGCTTTTCTGACCCCATATTCAACGGTGTAGGCCACATAATTTGTGGCGTTGTGCAGAATAGAAATCTGGGGCCCTGTCTTTCTCCATTCAGGCTGCTACAACAGAATACCACAGACTGGGTGGCTTATAAACAACAGAAATTTATTTCTCACAGTTTCGGAGGCTGGGAAGTCCAAGATCAAGGAAGATTCAGTGTCTAGTGGAGGCCTGCTTTCTGGTACATAGAGTACACTTTCTGGATGTGTCCTTACATGGTGGAAGGGGTCAGGGGTCTCTCTTGGGTCTCTTATAAGGGAACTGATCACATTCATGAGGGCTCCAATCTCATAATCTAATCACCTCCCAAAGGCCCCACTTCCTAATAACATAACATTGGGGGTTAGAATTTCAACATATGAATTTTGGGAAGACACAAAGATTCAGAACATAGCAGGTCTGTATTCAAATAGGCAGGAGAAGAGTGCTTTTAAAGGTATTAAAATATAAAACTTTTTCATTCCTTCTGAAGTTTCTCTCTCTTTCTGTCTCAACCTGTTATGGTGTTTTGTTTTGTTATTCTTGTTTGTTTAATTTGCTAATGTTGTACCCCTTGGGCACAGGGATACTCACAGTGTGAGCACAGAGGCTCTTAGGTGCCTGGGGGCCGCACTCCATGACTCCGGCGCATGCAAGCTGCCCACTGGCTGCTGGGTTCCCCTTGCTGGGAAGAGGAAGTCAGTCTCTCCTTCCCACAGTGGCCACTCCAACCCTCCACAGATGGGTGACCACCATGAAATTGCAACCACTGTATGGAGATGCACTTGATTCTTGGATCAAGGGTGGGAAAGCATGTCGTCCTGATCTGTCTCAAAACACTCTGTGGTGCAGCCTGGGTGGGGATGGCTAAAGCCAACCTCTGTGCAGACACTGTGGGATGCATGCCCCCAAATCTTATTCTCCCTGTGTCCCTGGCAAAAGCAAGGGAATTGTGAAAGGTGATGGCAGAAGGGGCCACCTCTGCTGATGAGATCAGACGGCTGTATGGGCAGACAGTGGCAGGGTAGTGGTGGACAGGAGGGCAAGAATTGCCTGTGGCCCCAGACATTGGGGAGCAGATGGCAGAGAATCAGTGCTGGGGAGGTGAAGTGATGGGAGCCAAGACCACATGTCAGCAAAGAAGCCCTCACACAAGTTTTTTTTGGCTCATTTGACTTCATTTATAAAACACACATTAAGATAAAATTATGAAGAATTTAAGGATGATGATCATAGGGCATCAACTATGATGCTGCATTGGTTGCGTGCCCCATGAAGCAAGCCCGGGATATACAATACACCGATTAACTCACTATTTGGGGGATGATCCTGACTTTGTCTCTTTACAACCTTCGGAAAATTTTGCCTCTTTCAGACTTTCCATCCTACAACTCTGGTTAGCTCAGTCTTCCCCAACCATTTCTGCCATCTTCCACCTTGGTCTCAGTCATGCGGATGTCTTGTGCCTGATCAGACCAATGTTGGTCCTCTCTTCCTATCTCTCTCACCTTTTCATTCCCTGCTCTTTGCATTAACTTGGGAAACATTTGTGTGTGTATGCTAGCTTTAGTGCCCTCATTTTGTTACCTTGGCGTGAAGTCTGCCGTCCCTGCAGCTCTATTTCATTTGAATGAGGGAGAAGCCTCATAAAGTTTTAAAAGAGCTTTTTAAGGATTACAGTCCCTATATCTCTAAGGTTTTCCCAGGACCCATTCCACATGAGAAATCAGGATAAGCTTGCTAAACTTGTACAGCTGACCCTTGAATAACATGGGGGTTAGGAGTGATGACGGCCCCGTGCAGTCAAAAATCCATGTATAACTTTTGACTTTTCCAAATCTTAACTATGAATAGCCTACTATTGGCTGGAAGCCTTACTGCTAACATAAACAGTTGATGAACATATATTTTGTATGTTATATGTATTATATATGATATTCTTAAAGTAAGCAAGAGAAAAGAAAATATTTTAAAGAAAATCAGAAGGGAGAGAAAATATATCTGCTATTTATTAAGTGGATCATCACATGTTCGTCTTCATTGTCTTCATGTACAGTAGGCAGAAGAGGAGGAGGAAGAGGAGTTGCCTTGTCTTAGTGGTGGCAGAGTCAGAAGAAAATCCACGTGTGAGTAAATGCACACAGTTGAAACCCATGTTATTCAAGAGTGAACTGCAGTGTGAGGGTTTGAGTCAATCTAGTCTGGAGCTAACTGGGTTTGCTGTTTTGCTGTTGCTGCAATAGTCTTCAAGTTCCTCTACATTGCTCTGTTCCTAGGGTGGGGCTGGTTTGCCAGAAGGTTTTGTTAATGTCTCCACTCTCAGGTTTTGGTGTTTCCTTTGTGAAATATCTCTAGAGGACCTACCTCCATGCTTTCCATTCTTCTAGCTGCAGACTCGTCTTGTAATTGATATTTATGATACTGCTTGGGAGAAGGAGTAAGAGCACTGTCTTTTGTTCTGGTGCAGTCTCATTCTTAGGCAGGTCAGTTGTTTTTGAATTTTTTGAAGTTTTGTCATGTAAGTGTTCCTGCCTTTCTTCCAGCAGTTTGGGACCTCTAATAGTCTGGAACCAGGATGTTTTCTCGTTCTTTCCCATTGTTTTTCTTCTCCTCAGCTGCAGTGGGTTTTCACATATGCCCTGAGGGCAGCAGGGCTTTCTGCCCTTTCCCCACCAGGTTAGGGCTTTTTTTTTTCTTTTAGATGGAATATTGCTCTGTCACCCAGGCTGGAGTGCAGTGGCGCGATCTCGGCTCACTGCAACCTCCGCCTCCCGGGTTCAAGTAGCTGAGACTACAGGTGTGCACCACCACAACTGGCTAATTTTTGTATTATTACTACAGATGGGGTTGCACCATGTTGGCCAGGTTGGTCTCGAACTCCTGACCTTGTGATCCGCCCACGTTGGCCTCCCAAAGTGCTGAGATTACAGGTGTGAGCCACCGCACCCGGCCACGGTTTTTTTTTTTTTCTATGTTGCAATAGAGGAGATGGGTCTGGTTGGGACTTACTACCCTTCCCATGCAGTAGCTGTTCTCATACCTCAGGCCCGCATCATGAGAGAGGATTTATCTGGTCTACATCTCTGACCCTAATGTTTCAGAAGACCCTGGTGAGGTTCATAGAAAAAGGCTTAGAGACTGATGCGAATTTCCCTGTTTTTGTGACTCCCAGGGCTTCTATATACTCATGCTAGCCTTTACTAATTTGTCTAAAATTTTAGCTGAATTCTTATTCTTACTGGCTTGTATAATATCTGGCATCTGTCCCAAGTAAACAAGGGTTTGCATTCCATCTGTCCTTTGAGGAGTCTGTCTTTCTTTATATTTTGGGTTAACTGGTTGCCTTGATATTTCAGTTCTTTGATAAATTCAAGTTATGATTTTGATAATCTGGCTTCAAAAAATTATAAGTATGAAAATGAAGCTCTTTCCAGCTTTTTGCATGCTAATCTTAACTTTAAAAAAATTATCTGTAATCCCAGCACTTTGGGAGGCTGAGGCAGGTGGATCATCTGAGGTCAGGAGTTTGAGACCAACATGGTGAAACCCCATCTCTATTAATAATATCAAAGTTAGCCAGGCATGGTGGTGCATACCTGTAATCCCAGTTACTTGCAAAACCGAGGCAGGACAATTGCTTTAACCTGGGAGGCAGAGGTTGCAGTGAGCTGAGATCATGCCACTGAACTCCAGCCTGGGTGACAGAGTGAGACTCTGTCTCAAAACAAAACAAAACAAAACAAAACAAAAAACAAATAAAAAAATTATTTGCAGGCCATGCCTGGTGGCTCATGCCAACAATCCCAGCACTTTGGGAGGCTGACACAGGAGGATTGCTTGAGGCCGGGAGTTGGAGGTTACAGTGAGCTATGATTATTCCACTGCACTCCAGCCTGAGTAACAGAGTGAAACCCTGTCTCAAGAAAAAAAATTTTTTCCCCCTAAATTAGCTTCAGATACTTTTTTTTTGAAAACCAAAAAATAGTAAATAGCCCAGACACATTTATATGGATGATATCTACAAAGCACAAACATATATTTAGAAGCCCTTCAACAGTTACAAGCAGCGTAAAAGAGGAATGTAAATGTGTCCGGCAAAGACTCATTTATAACAAAACAACCCTGAAACATCCAAATAGGACTAATAAAAAGGGATCCTGGGATAAAGACTTTGGAATACTCCATTAACTTCACTGCTCACAAGTTCTGACTAGTTTCTTATAAGTAATAGGACATTTATAGCAGGATCTTTTATGTAAATCTCATGCCAGTAACTTGTACTTTTATCCTAAATAAAACTGTATGAGATTCTCATCTCACTACATAGGGTTACAAGTAACTTTTATGATATCTTTAAAAAGTTTCATGTTGAATATCACCTCCATAATTAAAAAATGGATGCATAGACTGAATTCATTCATTCATTTGACAAATATTCACTAAGCACCTACCACTTGTGAGATACTCTGTTAGGTGGGGATACAGTATGATAACTGTATGGAACTAACACTCCAAGTCAAACATTGAAGTCAAAATTCTGGGCTGGCGTACATTAGTTAGGAGCCCCCATTTTAGAAAATATTATTTCAAGCAGGCCTTGTTTTTATCCAGAGAGTGTATACAGTATAATAAAACTCAGTACACCAAGATTTATATTTCATGGCGTGTTTTTCTCCCTAAGTAGAGAAAAAGCTCCTTCAGTAAAGTGATTGTGTTGTCAACCACTGCATATTCTTAAGTGTACCAAGATGCTTGACTCCAGGCAGGTGCTAAGAGAGACTGTTGGGTGAGTGAATGTATATCAATGAAAATCAAACAGAGGAAATTTTCTTTATATGTTTTAGTGTTCCTGTGGTTTTTTTTTTTTTTTTTTTTTTTTTTTTTTTTTTTTTTTTTGTGATGGTTACTGGCTCTTCTCTAAGAATAATGGAGAAAAGGTGTTAGTTTGTACTGTCGCACAGGGCAGTCGTAGGAGACTCTGAAAAAGCAAATAAATCAATGTTAAATCAGAAATGTGAATGTAGTAAGGGGCTGAAGAGACAGGGGAAGAGAATACATGGGAAAATATTGAAAAGGACAGAGTGATCAAAAAGAGCAGGGACATGGGAGCATTGGGCAGCACACTGGGAGCCATTTCACTTTATGCTCTTATTGTATGATTGAGAAAAAAATGTCCTTAGTGGTTAAGTGGCTTTTCAATGCCACATCAGACTTGTTCCATAGCAGTTGAATTAGGGGAAGGTGAATAAGTTGGAGGTTGGTGACAAGGAGAGAAGCTGGAACAGAGAGGAGAGTCAGAACCAGAGGGAAATGAGAGACTGAGTAGGCATCTCAGGGTTTTTGAAGGAGTGGATTTTCTTTGTTGCAGTCAGGGGAGGTTTGTCTGTTGGCTGCAGAAAGAAGTCAGAATAGAGATATCGTGGGGTAGGTTTGTTTGGAACAGAAATCAAAGACCAATTTTTCTGAGAGAAGGAAATAACATCTGCAAATGATATGCTGTTTTTGCTACTTCCATTGTTAGCTGTTCTCCCAGGTGATGGCAATGCAGACGGTAAGAACTCTGACAACTGCCCAGTTGGGTGGTGGGTGAAGGTCTCTCTCTCTCTCTCTGTGTGTGTGTGTGTGTGTGTGTGTGTGTGTGTGTGTGTGTGTGTGTGGTTTCCCTAGCATATACCTGGAAAGTGAGAGTGCCAGGCTGGTTCCATTCTGACTATCCATGACTCCAGGTCCCTGAGCTCTTATGAAGGTGGTTGATAAGGCATGGGACTGTGTGGCAAGTGAATGTCTGCTAAGATCATGATGGATCCCCTTTTCTCCAGATTCTGAGTTCCCGCACTCTGGCACCTTTCTCTCTCCATCCTCTTTCTCAATGTCTTTCTCCCCATTCTATCTGTTCTTTTGTCGCAGGGCTCAAGGAGCCTCTCTCCTTCCATGTCACCTGGATCGCATCCTTTTACAACCATTCCTGGAAACAAAATCTGGTCTCAGGTTGGCTGAGTGATTTGCAGACTCATACCTGGGACAGCAATTCCAGCACCATCGTTTTCCTGTGCCCCTGGTCCAGGGGAAACTTCAGCAATGAGGAGTGGAAGGAACTGGAAACATTATTCCGTATACGCACCATTCGGTCATTTGAGGGAATTCGTAGATACGCCCATGAATTGCAGTTTGAATGTGAGTTCAGTTTTCTCCATGGAGAGTGGTGAGGTGGGAGAGAGGGGTTGTCTCAATGTTTCTTATTCCTTTAGGAAACAGCCTGACTCTCTTCTGTATCTTATTCTATTCTTTCCACCATAAAACTGCAATTGCATACTTTTGGGCAAGGGCTATCATCCAGACCTTAATTCTCCAAACACTTCTGCTACTTATGAACTCCTCTCTCATTGATTGCAGGGTTGTGCATTATTATCTTTTCTTACAGGTATCCCAGGACCACCCTTCTGCCTGCCCTACAACCAGATACCTTCAGCTTTCTCACTTTCTCATTCATTCTCTTCAGCAGTCTCTCTATATATACTCAATTGTAACCCATTGCATTTAATTCAACCTAAGTTGTTATAATCCCAGTTCTCTTACACCAGGTCCTTGCTCACCCACAGCATTCACATCACCTTCTTTGACCAGTTTGCCCTCTTCCTCATGTTATTAATCTTTTCCTCCACCTACAGCTCCCACCAATTCCTCTTTCTCTGAATCCCTGACCAAACCAAATTTTATTCCATTATGTCAAACCCTGCACACTTCCCCCTTCTGCTTCTATAATCTTTGCTTCTACTCATTTCATTTTATATTTTTTTCTCCCTCTTTCCTCTATTTCATAACCCCAGATCCTTTTGAGATACAGGTGACAGGAGGCTGTGAGCTGCACTCTGGAAAGGTCTCAGGAAGCTTCTTGCAGTTAGCTTATCAAGGATCAGACTTTGTGAGCTTCCAGAACAATTCATGGTTGCCATATCCAGTGGCTGGGAATATGGCCAAGCATTTCTGCAAAGTGCTCAATCAGAATCAGCATGAAAATGACATAACACACAATCTTCTCAGTGACACCTGCCCACGTTTCATCTTGGGTCTTCTTGATGCAGGAAAGGCACATCTCCAGCGGCAAGGTCAGTCCTGCACTCTCCCTCCAAGAAGTTTTGATTTGAAAATCATACCCTTCCACCACCTCCTTCCAATTTAGAATAAGGAAGAGCCACCCAGAAGTGGGAAAGGCTGGGTGCAGTGCCTCACATCTGTAATCCCAGTACTTTGGGAAGCTGAGGCTGGAGGACTTCTTAAGGGCAGGAGTCCCAGACCAGCCTGAGCAACAGAGTGAGACCAGTGTCTCTAAAAAATAAAAATAAGTTAGCCAGTCATGGTGGTACACACCTGTAGTCCCAGTTACTTAAGAGGCTGAGGCAGGAGGATCGCTTGAGCCTAACAGTTTGAGGTTACAGTGAGCTATAATTTATAATTATGCCACTGCATTGCAGCATAGTGACAGAGTGAGACCCTGTCTCAAAAAAAAAAAAAAGAGAAATGGGAACAATGTGTCTATCTAAACTTCTAAACTGTTGTGGAGATATGAAACTCCAAGTCTGTATTTGAATATCTTTTCTGTCCTTTGCAGTGAAGCCCGAGGCCTGGCTGTCCCATGGCCCCAGTCCTGGCCCTGGCCATCTGCAGCTTGTGTGCCATGTCTCAGGATTCTACCCAAAGCCCGTGTGGGTGATGTGGATGCGGGGTGAGCAGGAGCAGCAGGGCACTCAGCGAGGGGACATCTTGCCCAGTGCTGATGGGACATGGTATCTCCGCGCAACCCTGGAGGTGGCCGCTGGGGAGGCAGCTGACCTGTCCTGTCGGGTGAAGCACAGCAGTCTAGAGGGCCAGGACATCGTCCTCTACTGGGGTGAGAAAAAGCTAAGGCCCAGGCTGGAAATGCCAGGAAGTGGACCTCAGGCATAGAGGGAGGGCAAGCTGAAAATTTTAGGATTTTAGGGATTATAGCCCAAACATGAATAAAAATAGATAATCTAAGAAATGGAAATGTTGAAAATGAGGGCCCTGTAGATGCAGGAGGATGCTGAGGGTTAACTGAAGAATCCATCTCTGAGCAGGGATGAGAGAAAAACATAGAAAAAAAGGAGATTGGTAAGTTGGATACTCAAATGAAAAAAAGAAGCCCAGGGAATGCAGTGAAATAGGGAGTGGATGAGGTAAAATGGGATGGATTATAACATCCTTGGTGTCTCCCCAAATTCACAGAGCATCACAGTTCCGTGGGCTTCATCATCTTGGCGGTGATAGTGCCTTTACTTCTTCTGATAGGTCTTGCGCTTTGGTTCAGGAAACGCTGGTGAGTTCTTTGCATGTGTCTTTCCTACTCTTAGCCTCTACCCCACTTTTCTTCCCATGTTTTTTGTTTTTCTCTCCTCAGTTCTTCTCTCCCCAGTCCCCTTCCCTCTTGCTCCTCAATTCTCAGCTCCACCTTATTCAGAGTGACTTCTATCTCTGTTCTCATCCAGTTTCTGTTAAGACACACCATGAGCCTCCTCGTCACCCTTCTCCTTTTGGGGTGAGAGACCAGCAGCCCAAGGGCTCCAGACACACCTGAACACATCGTGATGATGACGTCCTCTCAACTCTCTTTGTAAAAATTTTGTTATTTTTGCTTGTTTCTGATTAATGATTGTTTGTCAATATAAGCTCAATTTAATTTTGCAGGATTTGTTGTTCTGACCTGGGTTCTGGGACTTTTAAATTCAAATTTTATCTCCAGATGGAATGGGGTCCTAGCAACCTCCACATGTTCAACTATTAATGGATCATCAGGCCTGTTTTAGATATCCCTTACTCCAGAGGGCCTTCCCTGACTTACAAGTGGGAAGCAGTCTCTTCCTGGTCTGAACTCCCGCCACATTTTAGCCGTACTTTGCTAACTGTGCTCCTCACTTCCTCTTCTTCATTGCAGTTATTTAGATCCCCCCTTTCCTTCTAATTTTTCAGCTCCTTCAATGCAAAGTACATGTATTTTTAATATATGCATCCCTGGTGAAGGATCTTGCCTGCATGAAACATGTTCTCAATAAAACTCTGTGTTGAATTTATGCCAAATTTGTAGTGTTTTCTTATTCTTTTCCTTCCTGGTGCTTTTGAAGTAGTTGAGACATTTGATACTCTTCTGCTTAAAAGTCTTCTCACTTGGAGGAAATTTTACACATTCCTAGTTCTATAGTTTGTTCTCTGAGCTCCAGAGGAGAAACACAATTTTGCCTCTTACTACTCCTATCATTCAACTATAGAGAGCTCTTCGAGTTAAATTATTGTTCCAGGTATGCAAGGCAGGATGTATATCTTTACTATTCAGTGGTTCAGGGAAAAGCAGCAGAGTTCTCACATTGGAGCTTGTTAGAAAGGTAGAATGTGGGCCTCACCTTAGGTTTACTGAATTATAATTTGTGTTTTGGAAAATCAGCAGGATACTCACATGTCCATTAAAATTTGTGAGGCACTGATGCTGGTGATGCCTGAGATGTAGTACAAGTGTGTCACTGAATTGAAAATGATCAAAAAAGGGAACAAGAGTGTTACTCCTGAAGATTGAAGTGAGATCAAGGCAAGTAATGTACCTACTGCACCTTCTCATTATTCATGGCAGTTATGTTGTGTGCAGTTGCTGCAAATACTGAATTTGTGAGCAATGAGCCATTGTTCCCAGGGGAAATACAGGTGTTAGGCTCTTGTGAGATTTTTCACAACATTTTTGTCAACTGGTGAATACATAAGCTGGTTTTATGTGTGTTTCTGTTTAAAAACATCTTATTTTATATATGTATATATAATTAATTCATTATATGCAGTATTTCTTTATAATAAAACACTATCTACGAAGTGTTTAATATATTCCTGACCTTGGTTAACATGATCACAAATTTCTTTGGTTTTCAGCTTCACAACATTGCTGTCCACTACACTTAAAAAAAATGGTTGTCATTTCATGAATCCACAAATGTAGCTATTTTCCCATAGCTTCAGCATAGCATTATAGATGTTACTTTCCCAAGCAGCCTCACCTACAGATGGGTGAATTTCCTCCCCCTTTTCCTGCATGTACTGCACTGTTGATTTATTTTTATTTATTTATTTATTTTATTTATTTATTTATTTATTATTTTTATTTATTTATTTATTTATCTCTGTAAGGCATGTCACAGCTTTCTTATGCTTAGGAAAATGCGACAGCACTTAAGCACTACACTTGGGACCATTTAAGATTGTGAAATCACCAACCAAAAACCCAAAAATGTGCAGAAGTTGGCACTATATAGACTACAAAAAGGACACTTGTTTACTGTGTGAGAGCTGGAACATGAAGACAAAGCACCACCTTTTTCGACCTTAGTTAGGAACATGTTCTTTGGGGGACTCAAATTTTGTACCTCACTGCATATATTCATGAATGATTGTGAATATGCTATGAATATATATCTAGGGGTTACAAATAAAATTTGGCAAGTAGACAAATTAGCAAATATAACATTTTTGAATGATGAGGATTGACTATTGACCCCAGATGGTAGATGGTAGTATTTGTCAAGATATCCATAGCTAGACTTCAATTACTTTAGGATTCATGAATTCAACAAATATTTCTTATGATTCTGCAGGTTGCCACTTTCATTTCTTGTTGTTTATTTCTCAGTTTTCTAGTATAGTAACTTATTAGAGTTGAACTTGGGGAAAAGGACTTAGCTCTAATTTGTTTAGGATACTGAGAAGAGGGGCCCAAGGCAAGGGAAACATCCAGGCAGACCAGGTGCAGTTGGCAGTGGCTGCGTATATGGAAATTTTTGGAAACTGAACTTGTAATGGGTGAAGGGGAAAAGAAAAATATGGGATAGAGGAGAGCAAAGAATGGGACAGCTGCAGTCTTTTTACCTGTGTTTGACATGATTGGTTCCAACCCATTTGGGTTTGAATCCACCTTGCCACATTTGCATAGTAGTCATCTGGCTTTTGGTTGGTTGATACCACCTTCAGCTCTAGTGGTCAGCCTAAGGCAATCATGATAACTCATTCTTTACAATGTGATAGGCTAAAGGATGGAAGGTAACCTGAGATTTAAGCCAATCATCATATAGATCCCACTTACCCTTGCTCAGAGTGGTGGTTCAGGGCTATGTACTTGTTCTAAAATGACACTGTTTACATGACGCCTGATTCTTGTGTTTGACAATAGGGAAAAGAGAGGCTCTCTCTTGTCCTGGATGGTATGGTGTGAGGTATAGAGCTTGAAACAGCTCAAGTCATTTTTTTTTCAGCACCAGAGAAATCACACAGGCAAGAAAGTAGAGGCAACGGACTCTCAGAAGAGTCCAGATTAAACTGTATCCAAAGCCTGAATGAACCCTGGACTTCTCAGTGATGTTAGATGATACATTTCCTTTACTGTTTCAGCCTATCAAGTTGGGTTTTCTCCTGTTTGTGCTTGAAAGCATCCTATCTGATGTACATGGACCCTAGGGGACACTTAGCTGATTTTACTCTTGGTTGAAGTATTCCTCTTTATTTCCATCTTCCTCCTCCTCCCTTCTTGGGATTGGCTATACTTTAAAATTGATTTCTTTTCTTTCGCAGGTTGAGTATTCTTTATCTGAAATGCTTGGAATCACAGGTGTTTCAGATTTCAGATTTTTGGGGGGGCTTTAGAACATTTCCATACACCCACCAGCCGAGCATCCCTAATCTGGAAATCTGAAACTTGAAATGCTCCAACGAGCATTTTCTTTCAGCATCGTGTCAGTGCTCAAAATGTTTTAAATTCTGGAGCATTTTGCATTTCAGATTTTCACATTAGGAATACCTGACCTGTAGTTTTTTTCTTATATGTGTGCTTATCTTTTTAAACTCTTACACTGTCCTGTTTTTAACTATGCTGCCTGAATTAATTACTCTCTTGAACTTTTCATATATTTCTGACCAGGAATAAAAGTGCTGCATCTGCTGCTAAGTGAGTGACTTTGGAAAGGTTCCCTGATCTTCCTTCTTTTCTTTGGTTAAATGGAGGCAAAAATATATACTCTTAGGATTTTCATAGGAATGCAAAGGCAACCTAGTGTTATTAAAATGCCAGGAGTTTGGTCTACGGCCTGCTGCTTGCCACATAAAAACCAGTTACCGAGGCAATGAGTATTGCCTTTAATTGACTGCTGCAGCCGAGGAGATAGGAAATCAATCTCAAATCCATTTCCTTGATTGACTAAAATTAGGGATTTATAGGGCAGGGAAGAAACAGAACCCTGTGTGGCAAAATAGGAATTAGGGAGAGGTAAGGAAGAAGAATTGGTCAACAGCAAGCAGGTGGTTGCTTAAGCAATCATGATGGGTGAGGAGTCTGGCATCTCGTTGTCCAGATGCGGTAGATTGGTAGGTTTTAGTTGTTTTTGACAAGGTTTAGTTCCCTGGCTGGGAATGTATTGCTAGTAACTTGGCTGCTGTGGGCAGGGAGAGTCTCAAAAGTCCTCCTAAGCAGCTGCCCAACACTTTTTTGGCTACAGGTGGGTGTTGGTTTTTCTTTCTCTGGCCCTACCTCTGCCAGCCCCAGCTGTGTTTCTGATTGCCTAGGAAGAGCAGCCTTTGAAATGTGTCATCTGAGTCTGGATGGGTGAATGTCTTTTGTGGGTACCAGACAGTGGGATCTTCTCCTCTCAATTTGGGGAATTCTGGAGGAATTTCCATTTGCAGGTTGAACAAGCCCAACTGATTGATATTGGAACTCGTTGGTTGCTGCAGCAATTGGACAGTGTTTTAGTGATTGCTTGTTTATTTGTGTGTGTTAATATAGTCACAGGAAATCAGAATTTGATAAACTGATAATATTTTGTAGCACTGTTTGGCTTCAGTGTTCTTTGGAATCTGGAGAAGTTTGGCTTCTCCATGGGTCATGCTGTTGAGTGAGACAGTGGAACGGTGTTATGGTGTTACATGTATCTAAGCTTTTAGGCTGCTGTTCTAAGCAGGGTTGGACCTGGTTAGTACATGATGTTCTTCTATAGTGCTGTTTGGCCCTAGTGGTCTTTGGAGCCTGGGGAAATTTAGCCTTTAATAATCAAACGGCCATGGAAACTGCTTTACCCAAATTTTGGTTCAAAGCTTTCATTGGATTACATATTGGGGCAAACAAACTTGAGCCATGTGAACATGTTCCTAAACCAGTGGTTTGGTATTGCTATCTCATGGCTAGAGTTCCAAGGTAAAAGCTATTGGATCTTTGTGTGTGTATGTGTATACATGTTTATATGTGTTTATGTGTATGTACATTTATTATGTTGTATGTTGTGTCTACCAAATTGGCTTATAAATAAAAGAGCATCTTATACACTAAATAAATAAATCTAAGGAATTTTCAATTTTATGTGACTTAAGTAAATGTTTATTTAAAAAGCTGGCTTTAAAGTCATTAGTAATAAAAAAATAAGAATGTCTTAACAGTGTTAGAATACATTTTCGTCTGGGTTTTATAATTGTCTTTGCTAGATACTTTGAGGTGTCAGTGTTTGGCACAGAGGGTTATAAAAGTATAAACCCAGCCAAAACAAAATGATCTTTGTTTGTGTGCCTTCTTTGGCAAATAAGACTAAGTAAATGTTGTTAGTTTAATAAAAACAGTTGAATCTTCTAAGTTATTGGCAAAAATACCTATGTATTTAAGTTGCTTACTTAGGTGAGCACCTAATATTCATAGGCTACAAATAATGGTCAACAGAGCAATAACCTGAAATGACGACTACCTTTGTCTAATATCTCAGTTTTCAGAACCCACTTATATAAATTTTTTTTTTTCTTTTTTTGAGACGGAGTCTCGCTCTGTCGCCCAGGTTGGAGTCCAGTGGCGCGATCTCGGCTCACTGCAAGCTCTGCCTCCCGGGTTCGCGCCATTCTCCTGCCTCAGCCTCCCGAGTAGCTGGGACTACAGGCGCCCGCCACCAGGCCCGGCTAATTTTTTGTATTTTTAGTAGGGACGGGGTTTCACCGTGTTAGCCAGGATGGTCTTGATCTCCTGACCTCGTGATCCGCCTGCCTCGGTCTCCCAAAGTGCTGGGATTACAGGCGTGAGCCACTGCGCCTGACCTATAAATTGTTTAAAAAGATGAAAGAATTGAATACATGTAAATGGGATACATGCTTGTAGGTGAGCTTTTTGTGTAATTTAAAATCTTAAAATTATTTTTGATGCTTCTTGGATGTCTGGCTCATTTCCAGTTAAGAAAGGGTTATGATATGGAGAAACATGTTTTTATAAATTGTGGAATGTTTTCATCTATAAAATGCAAATATTTGATAGACAGTTAAAGATTTCTTGCTTCCTAGTTTTCACTAAAATTTAAGGTTACTAAGAATAAGAATTGTAGTTAATATATAATTTAGTATATAAAACCTGCCAAAGAAGGTGTTTTCTTATTGAGAAATGGAATAATTTTGTCTAATTCAAATGTTTTCTAAAGTTTGATCCCAATTATGGACTCGAAAAACTTATTTATGAAATAAGGTAGAAAGGAACCAGCAAGTAGGGAAGAGAGATGTGAAGAAAGTTAAGAACATAAAGATGTATTTTTGGCAAGAAAGGTTAAAAAGAAAAGAGGATAATTTTATACAAGTATCTTTTCTTTTAGACTTTTATTTTAGGTTTGGGGTACGTGTGCAGGTTTTTTATATAGTAAACTCATGTTGTGGAAGTTTGTTGTACAGATTATGTCATCACCCAGGTACTAAGCTTAGTACCCAATAGTTATTTTTTTCTGCTCCTCTCCCTCCTCTCATCCTCCATCCTCAAGGAGGCCCCAGTGCGTGTTGCGTGTTGTTTTCTTCTTGGTGCTCATGAACTCTAATCATTTAGTTCCCACTTAAAAGTAAGAATATGTGGTATTTTGTTTTCTGTTCTTGCATCAGTTTGCTAAAGATAACGGCCTCCAGCTCCTTCCATGTTCCCACAAAAGATATGATCTCATTCTTTTTTATGGCTGCATAGTATTACATGGTGCATAGGTACTACATTTCCTTTATCTAATCTGTCGTTGATGGGCATTTAGGTTGAATCCATGTTTGCTATTGTGAATAGTGCTTCAGTGAACATTTGTGTGCATGTGTCTTTACGGTAGAATGATTTATATTTCTCTGGGTATATACCTAGTAATGGATTGCTGGGTTGAATGGATATTTCTGTTTTCAGCTGTTGGAGGAATCACCATACTTCTTTCCACAATGGTTGAACTAATTTACACTCCCACCAACAGTGTATGTGTGTCCCCTGAGAAAACAATCTGACAGCATTTTTTTTTTCCTAAAAATAAATGAATTTTTTAAAAAAAATTTAGGACAAAACAGAAAGTTCAAGCATGACACAGATGCCTTGTTGAAGTCATATGTTGTTTTCTTTCTGTTTCTCTGTGTGTTTATCTTCATGTACATAAACAGAAAATAAAAAGTTGAAAAGTTTATATAGTAAATATCCTTTAAAAACTGATAGAAAATTGGAGACATTTGACTAATTAACATTGTTCACCGTTAAAGCTCTTAGTCTTGATGAAGGTACAATAAGAATTATTATAAATAAATACATTGGCAGTTTGATAATTCTTTTTAAATATAGTTAAGCCTGAAGCCAGATTTAACATGGAGTCAAATTTTACATAAATGCTTGCATTGCTTTGTTTCACACTGTATTTGTTATTCTACATAGAAAGTACTAGCACTAAGGTACTTATTGGTTACATGCCTAAAGTGAATTTCTTAATTGCACAAAATGTAGAGTGGTACTGGTGGACTTAAACACATTAATTAGTATATCAGAAACAGAATATCATATTTTTTTAGGCCCTGGATAACACTGTAGACTCCAAGGTAAACTAAGTAAGAGAAAATTTGGGAGTTATTTTCCTGTTGGTTTTGCTTTTAATTTTCATTTATTTGCTGTTTGTTCTCCTTTGGGTTTTACTTATATTTACATACATATAAAACAATTGGTGTTTTTTAGTTTCTACTGTAAGGCTTGTATTTGGTTCTATGAATAGTCATTTTGTTTCCTATGCATTTCCAAAGGCTTATCATTTGCTCTATTTATCTAAAATTCCTAAGCTGTCTTTGTCAAGCTTCCAAAAATTGGCAGAGGACAGCAGCCATTTAAAATTTGGACTGGGGCTGGGTGCAGTGGCTCATGCCTGTAATCCCAGCACTTTGGGAGGCCAAGGTGGCTGGATCACCTGAGGTCAGGAGTTCCAGTCCAGACTGGACAACATGGCAAAACCCTGTCTCTTCTAAAAATACAAAAATTAGCTGGGGGTGGGATTACAGTAATCCCAGCTACTCAGGAGGCTGAGGCAGGAGAATAGCTTGAACCCAGGAGATGGAGGTTGTGGTGAGCCAAGATTGCACCACTGCACTCCAGCCTGGGTGACAGAAGTGAGACTCTGTCCCAAAAAAAAATAGTTGAATTTTACTTTGTAAAATTAAGAATTTCTCTTCAACAAACTACACACTGAGAAAAATTAATGCGTAGACAATTAAGAAAACTATTTGGAATTCTAACAATAAAATGGGTATATATAACATATATGAGATATACACCCATATATGAATTTGGAGATGTTTGTTGATTAAGTATACATGTGTAGAAACAACAGACCAGACTGTTGCGAAGGTCTTCAAGAAAGTGCTGAATGCAATGCATCAATACACGAAGCATACAGTACAATACCTGTATTGCAATTAGAGTTGTACACATCAAATAGTACCACTTTTTTTCTTTTATAATTGAGATTTTATTGGTTGTGTTGAGGGTCAGTACACAGATATTTCAATTCTTAATATATGTACTGAAAATCTAAAAAGCCATGTATTGTAATTATTTTTTAAAGTTGTTCCAGTAACTTTCCTGCTTAAAATTTGGAGGCAAATTTTCCTTAAGAGGCTACCAAGTACCAGTATCTTCACATGTTGATAAGCTGTTAACAGATGTCCCACCAACTCACAATTGAATAGCATATACACTACACACTCAAATTTTTAGTATTTCACAGCATGGTAACAAAGTTATTAGAAAAACAGGACTACCACCACCAAAGATGTTACAGAGTGCACACAATTCTGACAGGGAGAGCCATTATGAAGGAGTGGTTTCCTTTAGGAAACAATTCTACTGACAAAAAACATGGGACTAGAAGTAATTTAAAATGTTCAAGACATTAAAGGCAGGACTGTGACTCCACATTGCCATTTAGTACGCTTTGTATTATAGGATATAAAAGCTAACCCCCCATCCATGGAATGTTAAGCTGACACCCAAGACAAAGCCTCCCATAATTCGATATTCCATACTATTTTCTGGTACCAAAAATAAACAACCAGAGAATGATTTCACCTTTAAAAAAAAAGCACTTGCACTTAAAAAATGAGGTGAGATGGGATTCACTCTTTCTTAAAAATGTTTCTAGAGCTACTGAAAAACTTTTGTTTACAAAATAGTTCATAAAAATATTCCCCCAGGTTGTACAAGAAGGGAGACAGGGAAGACCGATAAGACATGGAATGTAATACTAATCAGACTTGGCTTCTTTCTCTGCAGCTTCAGAGGCTGGACTCTCCTCGATTTTAGTTTTTCCGTTTTCTGAAGTAAATCTTTAGTTTCTTGATTACCCACGTCGGCCTGTTTTCCCTTTGCTCCTCTTTCCCCTTTTGTTTGCAATTTTTTGTCTGAAGATTTGTCCTTTTCTTTTTCTTTTTTTTGACGAAGTCTTGCGTCTCGCTGTCACCCAGGCTGGAGTGCAGTAGTGCGATCTCGCCTCACTGCAACCTCCGCCTCCCGGGTTCAAGCGATTCTTCTGCCTTCGCCTCTGGAGTAGCTGGGATTACAGGCGCCCACCACCACACCTGGCTAATTTTTGTATTTTTAGTAGGCACGGGGTTTCACCATGTTGGCCAGTTTGGTCTCAAACTCCTGACCTCAGGTGATTTGCCCACCTCGGCCTCCCAAAGTGCTGGGATTATAGGCCTGAACCACCACGCCTGACCTCCTGCTGCCTTTTCCGGCTTCATTTCCACTTTTGCAGGAGAAGCTTTAGCTGCCAACGGCACTGATCTCCTCTTGGGCTCTTCCTTCATGGCTCCTTCATCCCGGTGGTGCAGAACGTGTGTGCCAGGTGCCTGCGGCCGCTGCACGTAAGAGCCCTGGTGAAGCTAGGCTGCCTGGCCACTGCCGCTCCTCCCGCCTGAGCTGCTGAGACCCCGACACCATGTGTTAAAAGAACACATAGGCACAGAAGGATGACACATTAATACATTAAAATGTGGGGAAGGGAAGGAAGTGGGGATAATAAGTAAATAAAATAATATACAGAGGAAGCCCGCTCAGGCCAAATGATATCCACGCCATGAATAGAAGAGAATGAACTCAACAATCTATACTTAAGATTCCAGAGAAGCATGATTTATACTCATTTGGGTATATACCCAGTAATGGGATGGCTGGGTCAAATGGTATTTCTAGTTCTAGATCCCTGAGGAATCGCCACACTGACTTCCACAATGGTTGAACTAGTTTACAGTCCCACCAACAGTGTAAAAGTGTTCCTATTTCTCCGCATCCTCTCCAGCACCTGTTGTTTCCTGACTTTTTAATGATTGCCATTCTAACTGGTGTGAGATGATATTTCATAGTGGTTTTGATTTGCATTTCTCTGATGGCCAGTGATGATGAGCATTTCTTCATGTGTTTTTTGGCTGCATAGATGTCTTCTTTTGAGAAGTGTCTGTTCATGTCCTTCGCCCACTTTTTGATGGGGTTGTTTGTTTTTTTCTTGTAAATTTGTTTGAGTTCATTGTAGATTCTGGATATTAGCCCTTTGTCAGATGAGTAGGTTGCGAAAATTTTCTCCCATGTTGTAGGTTGCCTGTTCACTCTGACGGTAGTTTCTTTTGCTGTGCAGAAGCTCTTTAGTTTAATTAGATCCCATTTGTCAATTTTGTCTTTTGTTGCCATTGCTTTTGGTGTTTTGGACATGAAGTCCTTGCCCATGCCTATGTCCTGAATGGTAATGCCTAGGTTTTCTTCTAAGGTTTTTATGGTTTTAGGTTTAACGTTTAAATCTTTAATCCATCTTGAATTGATTTTTGTATAAGGTGTAAGGAAGGGATCCAGTTTCAGCTTTCTACATGTGGCTAGCCAGTTTTCCCAGCACCATTTAGACACATGCACACGTATGTTTATTGCGGCACTATTCACAATAGCAAAGACTTGGAACCAACCCAAATGTCCAACAATGATAGACTGGATTAAGAAAATGTGGCACATATACACCATGGAATACTATGCAGCCATAAAAAATGATGAGTTCATATCCTTTGTAGGGACATGGATGAAATTGGAAACCATCATTCTCAGTAAACTATCGCAAGAACAAAAAACCAAACACCGCATATTCTCACTCATAGGTGGGAATTGAACAATGAGATCACATGGACACAGGAAGGGGAATATCACACTCTGGGGACTGTGGTGGGGTCGGGGGAGGGGGGAGGGATAGCATTGGGAGATATACCTAATGCTAGATGACACATTAGTGGGTGCAGCGCACCAGCATGGCACATGTATACATATGTAACTAACCTGCACAATGTGCACATGTACCCTAAAACTTAGAGTATAATAAAAAAAAAAAAAAGAAAAAAAAAATAAAAATAAAAATAATTTCTTACTACTGTTAAAAAAAAAAAAAAAAAAAAGATTCCAGAGAAGACAGAACACAATACAACAAATCAAAAATTGGAAAATTATGATGCATAGAATGAAGAAACTGAATTGGGATAAAAGGGTCGCACCATGGGTAACTTCCCAGGGAAAAATAATAAAAATGCATGATATTGTGTAAAATACTTCTGTGTCTAAGTACAGAATCAAAATATCTGCAACATTAAAACTCGGGTTGAAAATGTCAGGGTTTTTCACCCTGATACCAAAACCAGGAAAAGACAATAATAATAATGATTTAAAAAAAACTGCAGACCAATATCCCTAATGAACGTAGGTGCAGAAATTCTCAACAAAATACTAGCTAACCGAATCCAACAGCATATCAAAAAGTTAATATATCATGATCAACTGGGTTTTGTATCAGGGATGCAGGGATGGTTTAACATATGCAAGTCAATAAATATGATACATCACGTAAACAGAATTAAAAACAAACATATGATCATCTCAATAGATGCAGAAAAAGCATTTGATAAAATCTAGCATTCCTTTATGATAAAACCCTCCAAAAAATAGGCATAGAAAGGACTTACCTCAAAGTAATAAGAGCCATATATGACAAACCCACCGCCAACATCATACTGAATGGGGAAAATTTGAAAGCATTCCCCTTGATAAGTGGAACAAGACAAGGATGCCCACTTTCACCACTTCTATTCAATATAGTACTGAAAGTCCTAGCCAGAGCAATCAGACAAGAGAACAAATAAAGGACATCCAAATTGGAAAAGAGATCAAACTGTCACTGTTCGCCCACGAGTTGATCACATACTTAGAAAAACCTAAATACGCATCCAAAAAGCTCCTAGATCTGACAAACAAATTCAGTAAAGTCTCAGGATACAAAACCAATGTACACAAATCAGTAGCACTGCTATTCACCAACAGTGACCAAGCCGAGAATCAAATAAAAAAACTCAATCCCTTTCACAACAGCTGCAAAAAATAAAATAAAATACTTAGGAACATTCTTAATAAAGGATCTTGAAAGATCTCTACAAGAAAAACTACAAAACACTGCTGAAAGAAATCATAGATGACACAAACAAATGGTAACACATCCCATGCTTGGGGATGGGTAGAATTAATATTGTGAAAATGACCTTGCTGCCCAAAGCAATCTACAGATTCAATGCAATTCCCATCAAAATATCTTTATAATTTTTCACAGAACTAGAAAAAAGAATCCTAAAATCCATATGGATCCAAAAAAGAGCCCACATAGCCAAAACAATACTATGCAAAAGAACAAATCTGGAGGCATCACTTCATTCAACTTTAAAGTACACTACAAGGCTATATTTACCAAAACAGCATGGTACTGGCATAAAAATAGACACGCAGACCAATGGAGAGCATAGAAAACCCAGAAATAAAGCCATATATTTAACAACCAACTGATCTTTGACAAAGCATACAGAAACATAAAGTAGGAGAAATGACACCCTATTGAAGAAAAGGTGCTTGGATAACTGACAAGCCACATGTAGAAGAATGGAACTGGATTCCCATCTCTCAGCTTATGCAAAAATGAACTGAAGATGGATCAAGGACTTAAATATAATATCCCAAACCATGAAAACTCTGTAAGATAACATCAGAAAAACTCTTCTGCACATTGGCTCAGGAAAATAATTTATGACTAAGGCCCCAAAAGCAAATGCAACAATAACAAAAATAAATATATGGAACCTAATTAAACTAAAAAGCTTCTGCACAGAAAAAGAAATAATCAGTGGAGTACACAGACAACCCACTGAGTGGGAGAAAATACTCATAGACTATGCATCTGACACAGGACTAGTATCCAGAATCTACATGGGACTCAAATAAATGAGCAAGAAAATGACAAAAATTCCACCAAAAAATGGGCAAAGAATGTGAATAGACAATTCTCAAAAGAAGATATACAAACAGCTAACAAACATTAAAAAAATGCTGAACATCACTAATCATCAGGGAAATGAAAATTAAAACCACAAAGAGATACCACCTTACTCCTACAAGTATGGCCATAATTAAAAAGTAAAAAAACAAAAGATGTTGGCCTGGATGTGGTAAGAAGGGAACACTTATACACTGTGGTTGGGGATGTAAATTAGTACAACCACTATGGAAAACAGTATGGAGATTCCTTAAAGAACTCAAAGTAGAACTACCATTCGATCCAGCAATCCCACTACTGGGTATCTACCCAAAGGAAATGAGACCATTATATGAAAAAGACACATGCACATGCATGTTTATAGCAGCGCAATTCACAATTGCAAAGATATGGAACCAACCTAAGTGCCCATTGACCAATGAGTGGATAAAGAAAATGTGGTAGATATTTACCATGGAATACTACTAAGCCATAAAACAGAACAAAATAATGTCTTTTGCAGCAACTTGGATGGAGCTGGAGGCCATTTTTCTAAATGAAGTGATTCAGGAATGAAAAATCAAATATTGTATGTCTCACTTATAAGTGGGAGCTAAACTATGAGGACACAAAGGCATTAAGAGTGATATAATGGACTTTGGATACTTAGCAGGGGGGAGATTGGGAGGGGGTGAGGGATAAAAGACTACATATTGGATACCGTGTACACTGCTGTGTGACGGGTGCACTAAAATCTCAGAAATCACCACTAAATAACTTATCCATGTAACAAAAAACCACCTGCATCCCAAGAACTAATGGAAAACAAACAAAAAACAAATTTTTGTATTCTACCAGTAGATGACATTAGAGATTAAAATGCCATTTCTGCATATGCTTGTTATTAAAAATTTTGTCTTATGGCTTCCCCCAAATCACGCAGCAGCTCAGAAACCTATCCTTAAATTCACAATAACTTTTTGGCTCTAAAATATTAAAAATATATTGATAACAATCCAGGAATAGAATCCAGGGTAATATATGGCCAATAAAATAAGATGAAGCCAAGAACAGTGTAAATTTTTAAAGAAGTGCCACGATACCCTATACTCTGGTTAGATGTGGGTCACACATTGTTGGAGGTCCATGATAATCAAGACAGGATCAGTTACATACTTGCAGTGTCTAGAAGATAGACAATGGGCTGTTTAGGAGAATTATAGCTATTCCTGGTCCTGAGGCCACAAGGACATTTCTTCCATCAGAGGAGAAACTGCTTAACGCAGTGAACAATGTTCTCAGGAAAGTCCTTTCAGTAAATTTTATGAGGTCCATAGGTCTTTTTGTGATTAAGTCTCTTAAAGTAAGATCATTATGTCAGCCTATGACAAAGACTGGGAAAAGTAATTCTACACAGCATAACAGGATCTAGTCCAGACATGCAGCTTTCTGATGTTCTAGCAAACCCAAGGGTAGATTTTGTTATCTGTAGAAATGAATAGATTCCACATCTTTCAAAGATACTGTTTATATTGAACTGATTTAAATTATTTTTGAAGCAGCAGCAACATTTAGATTATGTATTCTAACATATACCGGATGTAAAACTATTTTCTATCATCTGTTAAATACAGAACAGTAACTTTGACAATAGGTTGACTTACAAGTGGAATTGGAATTGGAAATTTCTTGTGGCTTCTGCAAATATCTACTCAAGGACTTCTGCTTGAATCTGAGGCTTGCTCCCGGAAGGCTGATAGCACCCATAGAGAGCACCAAGATTCTTCTTGTAATATAATTTTGTTTTTTTTTTCCAAATACAAAGGCACTAGTTGACATAACTACAACCCCCCTCATCCCAATGCACAACCAACTGTACTTCATAGAGAATGCCAGATATGGCTTTAGACAGGAAACTATTTGAAACAGATATGAATCTTAATATGAGTTTAAAGTGAGAAAAAAGAATACTATGAGTATGAAGTAAGAAAAGCAGCCATGGGTCCTTGAGCTATTTCCAGATTGCCCATTCAAGTAAAACTGGTTATTAACTATACACCTGCATAGCTAAATAAATAAATGACTTGCCAAATGGGCTATATGGCAGAGAACACTGGTTTTCTCCCAGTATATGTTTGTCACTTCCTCTAGAATAACTGAAACCTGCTGATTATTAGCTGGGCAGAATAAAAGCTATGTTTCTTGGCACCCTTTGAGCTGATTGTGGTCATGTGATTACAACCTGCCAAATGTGATGTATAACTTCTGCAGAAAGCAGCTCTGAAATCATGGGAAGTCGATGTGCTCACTTCTTCCCTTCCTCTTATTGGCTGGATGAAAGGTGGATTTGATGGAAAGAACTCTGGCAGTCACCTCAGGGTATGGGAAGACCACTGGAATGAGGACTAACTGTGGTAAAGACCAAAACAAAACAAAAAAATAAAAACTCTCCCCCGCAAAAGAAGGAAATTGGAAACTGAGTTCCTGACACCATGGAATGCCACATCAACCCTGCATTGCCTACTCCTGTCTTTTTATAAGAGAGAGAAATGTGGTTGCATTTTTATTTATTTATTTAATTATTTTGAGATGGAGTCTTGCTCTGTAGCCCAGGCTGGAGTGCAATAGCGTGATCTCGGCTCACTGCAACCTCCACCTCCCGGGTTCAAGCAAGTCTCCTGCCTCAGCCTCCTGAGTAGCTGGGACTACAGGCACATGCCACCATGCCCAGCTAATTTTTGTATTTTTAGTGGAGATGGGGTTTCCTCATATTGGCCAGGCTGGTCTCCAACTCGTGAGCTCAAGTAATCCACCCACTTCGGCCTCCCAAAGTGCTGAGATTACAGGCATGAGCTACTGTGCCTGGCTCCATCTTTTAAAAGATACTGTCAGTTTGAATTTTCTGTCACTCACAACCAAATTTAACTAATTCAGGATGTCAGCTGAGTATCAATTAATCATCAATAGCATTGGTCTATGAAATGCTTATTTGAGGCTCTTTATTTTTCTCATTATGATGACCTGTGTGGGTTACTTAATTTTTGCTAAGACAAAACCAAATTTTGATAATAGCACCCAAGTTATTTGTATTTAAGTTCACTTTCACTTTTGTCTTTATATTTTCTAAAGCAAGGGAGAAAATGCAACTAGCCGTTCCAAAATTTATATGAAAACAAACTTGTTAGAAATCAGAGGGAACTTCTGGGAAAATGATAGAGTGAAATATTTCATAACCCATTTCACTTAGGTAAATCCCAAGTAGAGAAAGAAACTTCATCTATACTGAATCTAGTAAAGAGCTATAACTTACAACAAAAGCCAAGGAGTTTCTATTTTTTATGTTTTCACCCTTTCTACTTTGCCAGAAACACTGAATAGAGTTTTGTCTTTCTGATTTAAAGAGAGGAAGAGAGAAAAAAATGCCAACTCTGTAGACACCTTCAGAGTTCAGTTTTATCATAAAAAACTGTTTGAATAATTAGACCTTTACATTCCTGAAGATAAAATAAACATGTAATCTTTTATCTTATTTTGTTCAACAAAATTGTTCAGAAAATCAAAGTGGTAAAAACAATGTAAAATTTAACATTTTAATACCGATGTTGTACACTGTTTTACTTAACATTTTGGAGAGTAATTGCCTTGCTCTTCAACTCAGGAAAACACTTTTTTTGTGGCTAATGTAATTGGTTTCTGTAACAACATCAGCAAATAAAAGGATGCTGATTATTGAAAAGAAAGTTATAATAAAAGTTGGTATAAATTTTTAGCACACATTTTTCTGATTTTGAGTATGATGAAAGGTTGATATCTACAGTTTTAATAGAAAAAGTTCAATTCAGGAGAGCGTAAACAAAGCTACTAGGACCTTTGTTAGAAGACGACTATAGGGAATAAAGTATTATGGAAATGGAGAATAAAATAATTTGGGAGGAATCTTTTGGTGGAGCCAACCTTTAGAAAACAGGCTGTGGCCATGAGTCTTTGACCTTGTTGGTGTGCAGTGGCCTATGTCGTTGAATACGACTGGCTTTTATATGCTGTGCGACTGCCTCCTTACCACTGTGGTCTGAACAGGCAGCTGTAGGACTTTGTTTCTAGTGGCCATTTGAGGTTTTTATTGTGGTAAGTTGTGGCTGTTTAAGATGGGTTTGCTTAAGATGAGTGTTAAGTGGCTCTATGTAGATGAGTGTCTCAGGTCAGTTGCCGAGGAAACACTCAGATGAGCCTCGGCCTGCAGAATGCTTACTGGGGAGTGTTCTATGAAACAGCACTACCAAAAGAAAGAGGGAAGCAGGACTGAGCAGTGAGACAAGGAACTGTGATGCAGTTGTAACAGAGGATCTAACAACCTCATAGAGAGTTCTGGAGCTAAGATGGCCCTTCAGAGGTTTTCTGAAATGAAGTAATGGGCTCATACCTTTGTACTTCTATATTCGATGTGGGCTTTCCCTAGGGAAAGAATGTCCCCTTAGGCAAAGTGGCTCCCTTCTACATAAGGCAGTTTTTAGAAGGACACATCTGTGAGTAGTCAGCAGCCAACACTCCCTGAAGCTGAGGAATAAGCATCTTCTTCCTGAAGAGGCTGTATTGCTGGCTGACCACAGCACCCACTAGAGCAAGGGTATGTCCTTATGGAAGTATGGATTTACTTGCTGGACCTTAAATAAATGCCTCATAAACGGTGTCAATATTGTAGACACAGGCCAAGGCCAGAGCAAATCTTAGGAAATATGCATGGGATTCTACAAGCAGTAACCTTAACTAGGCTGCCTCAGCATGATGGCTAAAGCAAAAATTCTATTAATGGAACCAGAGACCTCTTAGATATCAGTTCTTCTTCTTCTTCTCCTTCTCCTTCTCCTTCTTCTTTCTTTTTTTTTTTTGATGGAGTCTCTCTCTGTCGCCCAGGCTGGAATGCAGTGGTGCAACCTCGGCTCACTGCAATCTCCGCCTCCCGGGTTCAAGCGATTCCCCTGCCTCAGCATCTCGAGTAGCTGGGACTACAGGCAAGCACCATCATGCCTGGCTAATTTTTTGTATTTTGTAGAGACGGAGTTTCACCACGTTGATCACGATGGTCTTGATATCCTGACCTTGTGATCTGCCCTCCTCACCCTCCCAAAGTGCTGGGATTACAGGTGTGAGCCACCGTGCCGAGCTGACATCGGATCTTCTAAAACACCAGGCAGCAAAATAATTATTGCCAGTTTTTGCCTTGATTTTCAGTCCAGACTGAAAGGTCTGCAGTCTAGATGAGATACCTCAAATTTGGTTTGTCTCCTACATTATTTTAAACTGGTTTCAGGGTCAAGAAGGAGTCCCAGGAATGAACTCACCTTGACTTTATGTGGCTTGTACGGAGGCCCAGGAATCATCTCCCACTACATAGGTTCAATTTGCCTACACCTGTTATTGCTTAGATCTTTGAGACACAAGTTGTGGCTTCACACATATAAGGATGGTAAATTCTATTAATAAATAACTAAAAAGGAAATAGAAAGACTTCTTTTTTTTAAATTATACTTTAAGTTCTAGGGTACATGTGCACAACATGCAGGTTTGTTATGTATGTATACACGTGCCATGTTGGTTTGCTGCACCCATTAACTCATCATTTACATTAGGTATTTCTGTTAATGCTATCCTTCCCCCATCCACCCACCCCACAACAGGCCCCAGTGTGTGATGTTCCCCGCCCCATGTCCAAGTGTTCTCATTGTTCAATTCCCACCTATGAGTGAGAACATGCGGTGTTTGGTTTTCTGTCCTTGCGATAGTTTGCTCAGAATGATGGGAAACAGAAGTACTTCTGTTTCTAGAAATGTTATACTACATAATTTGGACCAACTCTCTTATCAAGGATGTCTAGAAAAAACAATAAAAATATAAAATAAAACCTGCCTCAAGGCATCAAAGAACCCACAAAAGGGAGATGGATTATTGGGTTAATATCTGGGAGAAGAGAGAAACTCATAGTGATGAACCCTGTATTTGGGGCTGCTTTTCTCCCCAGAGGCATCTACTGATTCCATGAGAGGCACTAATGAGACTGAAAAGCTAAGCTTTTAACAGACTTGTAAATCTTCAAAGATATAATTGAAGCCCACATTTTAAATTGGGAACTTAAGGGGTTAATTCCAGCAGTAAGTATAAAACAGAAGGAGAATAACCTGTGCAGGGATTACAACACAGTTCCAAATTATCTTAATCTCTGAAATTAATAAAGCAATTTTGATCCAATGCCCTTAAATAAATATAGAGCAAGATAACAGCATCCTGGGTCCCAAATTATTTCTACATTTTTTAAATTTTAATTTTAATTTATTTATTTTTTTATTATTATACTTTAAGTTCTAGGGTACATGTGCACAGCATGCAGGTTTGTTATATATGTATACATGTGCCATGTTGGTGTGCTGCACCCATTAACTCGTCATTTACATTAGGTATATCTCCTAATGCTATCCCTCCCCCCTCCCCCTACCCCCCAACAGGCCCCGGTGTGTGATGTCCCTCTTCCTGTGTCCATGTGTCCTCATTGTTCAATTCCCACCTGTGAGAACATGCAGTGTTTGGTTTTTTGTCCTTGCGATAGTTTGCTGAGAATGATGGTTTCCAGCTTCATCCATGTCGCTACAAAGGACATGACCTCATCATTTTTTATGGCTGCATAGTATTCCATGTTGTATATGTGCCACATTTTCTTAATCCAGTCTATCATTGTTGGACATTTGGGTTGGTTCCAGGTCTTTGCTATTGTGAATAGTGCCACAATAAACATACGTGTGCATGTGTCTTTATAGCAGCATGATTTATAATCCTCTGGGTATATACCCAGTAATGGGATGGCTGGGTCAAATGGTATTTCTAGTTCTAGATCCGTGAGGAATCGCCACACTGTCTTCCACAATGGTTGAACCAGTTTACAGTCCCACCAGCAGTGTAAAAGTGTTCCTTGTTAAATTGATCCCTTTACCATTATGTAATGGCCTTCTTTTTCTTTTGATCTTGTTGGTTTAAAGTCTGTTTTATCAGAGACTAGGATTGCAACCCCTGCCTTGTTTTCTTTTCCATTTGTGTGGTAGATCTTCCTCCATCCCTTTATTTTGAGCCTATGTGTGTCTCTGCATGTGAGATGGGTTTCCTGAATACAGCACACTAATGGGTCTTGACACTTTATCCAATTTGTCAGTCTGTGTCTTTTAATTGGAGCATTTAGCCCATTTACATTTAAGATTAATATTGTTATGTGTGAATTTGATCCTGTCATTTTGATGTTAGCTGGTTATTTTGCTCATTAGTTGATGCAGTTTCTTCCTAGCATTGATGGTCTTTACAATTTGGCATGTTTTTGCAGTGGCTGGTACCAGTTGTTCCTTTCCATGTTTAGTGCTTCCTTCAGGAGCTCTTGTAGGGCAGGCCTGGTGCTGACAAAATCTCTCAGCATTTGCTTGTCTGTAAAGGATTTTATTTCTCCTTCACTTATGAAGCTTATTTTGGCTGGATATGAAATTCTGGGTTGAAAATTCTTTTCTTTAAGAATGTTGAATATTGGTCCCCACTCTCTTTTGGCTTGTAGAATTTCTGCCGAGAGATCAGCTGTTAGTCTGATGGGCTTCCCTTTGAGGGTAACCCGACCTTTCTCTCTGGCTGCCCTTAACATTTTTTCCTTCATTTCAACTTTGGTGAATCTGACAATTATGTGTCTTGGAGTTGCTCTTCTCGAGGAGTATCTTTGTGGTGTTCTCTGTATTTCCTGAATTTGAATGTTGGCCTGCCTTTCTAGGTTGGGGAAGTTCTCCTGGATAATATCCTGCAGAGTGTTTTGCAACTTAGTTGCATTCTCCCTGTCACTTTCAGGTACACCAATCAGATGTAGATTTGGTCTTTTCACATAGTCCCATATTTCTTGGAGGCTTTGTTTGTTTCTTTTTATTCTTTTTTCTCTAAACTTCCCTTCTCACTTCATTTCATTCATTTGATCTTCCATCACTGATACCCTTTCTTCCAGTTGATCAAATTGGCTACTGAAGCTTGTGCATTCATCACATAGTTCTCGTGCCATGGTTTTCAGCTCCATCAGGTCCTTTAAGGACTTCTCTGCATTGGTTATTCTAGTTAGCCATTGTCTAATTTCTTTTCAAGATTTTCAACTTCTTTGCCATGGGTTCGAACTTCCCTCTTTAGCTCCGAGAAATTTGATCATCTGTAGCCTTCTTCTCTCAATTCATCAAAGTCATTCTCCATCCATCTTTGCTCCATTGCTGGTGAGGTGCTGCATTCCTTTGGAGGAGGAGAGGTGCTCTGATTTTTAGAATTTTCAGTTTTTCTGCTCTGTTTTTTCCCCATCTTTGTGGTTTATCTACCTTTGGTCTTTGATGATGGTGACGTACAGATGGGGTTTTGGTGAGGATGTCCTTTCTATTTGTTAGTTTTCCTTCTAACAGTCAGGACCCTCAGCAGCAGGTCTGTTGTAGTTTGCTGGAGGTCCACTCCAGACCCTGTTTGCCCGTGTCAGCAGTGGAGGCTGTAGAACGGCGAATATTGGTGAACAGCAAATGTTACTGCCTGATCATTCCTCTGGAAGTTTTGTCTCAGAGGGGTACCCGGCTGTCTGAGGTGTCAGTCTGCCCCTACTGGGAAGCCTCCCAGTTAGGCTACTTGGGGGTCAGGGACCCACTTGAGGAGGCAGTCTTTCCCTTCTCAGATCTGAAGCTGCATGCTGGGAGAACCACTACTCTCTTCCAAGCTGTCAGACAGGGACATTTAAGTCTGCAGAGGATTCTGCTGCCTTTTGTTCAGCTATGCCCTGCCCCAAGAGGTGGAGTCTACAGAGGCAGGCAGGCCTCCTTGAGCTATGGTGGGCTCCACCCAGTTTGAGCTTCCTGGCCACTTTGTTTACCTACTCAAGCCTCAGCAATGGGGGGTGCCTCTCCCCCAGCCTCACTGCTGCATTGCGGTTAGATCTCAGACTGCTGTGCTAGCAATGAGTGAGGCTCCGTGGGCTTAGGACCCTCCGAGCCAGGTGCGGGATATAATCTCCTTGTGTGCCATTTGCTAAGACCATTGGAAAAGTGCAGTATTAGGGTGGGAGTGACCCGATTTTCCAGGTGCTGCTTGTCCCCCCTTCCCTTGGCTAGGAAAGGGAATTCCCTGACCCCTTGCACTTCCCAGGTGAGGCAATGCCTCGCTCTGCTTCAGCTCACACTCGGTGCACTGCACCCAGTGTCCTGCACCCACTGTCCGACAATCTCCGGTGAGATGAACCCAGTATCTCAGTTGGAAATGCAGAAATCACCCATTTTCTGCGTCACTCATGCTGGGAGCTATAGACTGGAGCTGTTCCTATTTGGCCATCTTGGAACCACCCCTATTTCTACATTTTTAAAGTAAATGAACTATATGAAATTATTGACATATGTGAATGACATGTGATATGAGTGGTTCAGTTTTTGGCAGGACAAAGTCAGGAATCCAGAGCATCATCCAAGAAAATGTATTACTATTGTCTTCACTTGCAAATATCACAGCAAATTATGGTGGAACATTTGTATAGATGACTAATATTACCATCAAATAATATAGCATATTACTTAGGGTATAAAATACAAAACTAAACAATTAGGATTATGGTAGATATGATGAATCAAGTAAATTTAATTAAAGTAAGAAATTCTATATATTGTCCACTAAGGTTTGACGACATATCCTCAAATATAAGCTAGGTATAGCAGATTATTATTATTAATTTATGTATTTCCAAGTGCATATAATTCCATTTAAAACACTTTTTGTGTGTTGAATAAATTTCCCAGTGTATGGAATTACTAGAAAAATTATATACAACATTAATAGACAAGTTACAAAAGTTATATACAACATTAATAGACAAGTTACAAAAGTTAAATATAAACAAAATAATTTGAAGATTCAGGATATGACAATGCCACCATGCATGGTAAATATAATTGGCAACATCTAAAAGTGTGTGAAAAAATTCAATGTCATTCTATATTCTTTGATCCATTAACAGTCTTTTTTTTCTCTCCTAAACAAATGACATGTTTGCAGTATGTTAAAAGGCAGGAAAAATTAAGCAAAAAGCCCCAAGACCTTCATATGGTCTTTATTCGCCTGCTGTAAACATTAAGTACTTTCTTTTTTCTTTTTTTAATTATATTTTAAGCTCTCGAATACTTGTGCAGAATGTGCAGGTTTGTTAAATAGATATACACGTGCCATGGTGGTTTGCTGCACCCACTAACCCATCATCCAGATTAGGTATTTCTCCTAATGCTATCCCTGCCTTAACCCCTCATCCTCTGACAGGCCCCAGTGTGTGATGTTCCCTGCCCTGTGTCAATGTGTTCTCATTGTTCAACTCCCACTTATGAGTGAGAACATGTATGTTTGGTTTTCTGTTCCTGTGTTAGTTTGCTGAGAATGATGGTTTCCAGCTTCATCCATGTCCCTGCAAAGGACATGAAATCATCCTTTTTTATGGCTGCATAATATTCCATGGTGTATATGTGCCACATTTTCTTGATCCAGTCTATCATTGATGGGCATTTGGGTTGGTTCCAAGTCTTTGTTATTGTGATTAGTGCCACAATAAACATACATGTGCATGTGTCTTTACAGTAGAATGATTTATAATCCTTTGGGTATATATCCAACAATGAGATTGCAGGATCAAATGGTATTTCTAGTTCTAGATCCTTGAGGAATCACCACACTGTCTTCCACAATGGTTGAACTAATTTACACTCCCACCAACAGTGTAAAAGCATTCTTATTTCTCCACATCCTCTCCGGCATCTGTTGTTTCCTGACTTTTTAATGATCATCATCTTTGTGGTGTTCTCTGTATTTCCCGAATTTGAATGTTGGCCAGTCTTGCTAGGCTGGGGAAGTTCTCCTGGATAATATACTGAAGAGTGTTTTCAAACTTGGTTTCATTTTCCCCATCACTTTCAAATACACCAATCAAATGTAGGTTTGGTCTTTTCACATAGACCAACATTTCTTGTAGGCTTTGTTAGTTCCTTTTCATTCTTTTTTCTCAATCTTTTCTTAACGATTTATTTCATTAAGTTGATCTTCAATCTCTGATATCCTTTCTTTCACTTGATCGATTCAGCTATTGATACTTGTGTATGCTTCACAAGGTTCTCTTGCAGTGTTTTTCAGCTCCATCATGCCATTTATGTTCTTCTCTAAACTGGTTATTTTAGTTAGCAATTCCTGTAACCTTTTTTCAAGGCTCTTAGCTTCCTTGCTTTGGGTTAGAATATGCTTTTTTAGCTTGGAGGAGTTTGCTATTACCCACTTTCTGAAGCCTACTTTTGTCAAATTGTTAAACTCATTCTCCATCCAGTTTTGTTTCCTTGCTGGCAAGGAGTTGTGTTCCTTCAGAGGAGAAGAGGCATACTCTTTTTTAGAATTTTCAGCCTTTTTGTTCTTGTTTTTCCTTATCTTCGTAGATTTATCTACCTTTGGTCTTTCGTTTTGGTGACCTTCGGATGGGGTTTTTGTGTGGACATACTTTTTGTTGATGTTGATGCTTTTTCCTTTCTGTTTGTTAGTTTTCCTTCTAACAGTTAGGCCCCTCTGCTGCAAGTCTGTTGGAGTTTGCTGGAGGTCCACTCCAGACCCTGTTTGCCTGGGTGTCACCAGCGGAGGCTGCAGAACAGCAAAGATTGCTGCCTGTTACTTCCTCTGGAAGCTTTGTCACAGAGGGGCACCTGCCAGATGCCAGCAGGAGCTCTGCTGTATGAAGTGTCTGTCGACCCCTGCTGGGAGGTGTCTCCTAGGCAGGAGGCATGGTGGTCAGGGACCCACTTGAGAAGGCAGCCTGTCCCTTAGCAGAGCTTGAGCACTGTGCTGGGAGATCTGGTGCTCTCTTCAGAGCTGGCAGGCAGGAACATTTAAGTCTGCTGAAGTTGTGCCCACAGCTGCCATTTCCCCAGGTACTCTGTCCCAGGGAGATGGGAGTTTTACTTATAAGCCCCTGACTGGGGCTGCTGCCTTTCTTTCAGAGATGCCCTTCCCAGAGAGGAGGAATCTAGATAGGCTCATTCACAGTCTTTTTAAAACTTTTGTAGTAAAAGATATAGTAAAATTTATCTCTAAATAGTTTAAAAATATCATACAAGAGTAGTATTATCTTTCAGTCTTGACAAAACATTGGATTGCATTGCTAATAGAAATTAATATAAAATTATAACCATGGTTGATTATATGATGGGGAAGTTGAGCTGACACCATTGTATTCCTAGGGATTCAATTAGTGATGGTCTGCAATACTTCTTTAGAAATTTTGAAGATATTAATAAAATCCTGGATTCTAGAAAACAAGCCAAAAGTATAAGTACTTCCAAAAATACTTTGAAATTGATGTGTTTAATACTGGTTTGGCATGATATGTAAGTAAAATTAATACCATAAACAGAATGATATTAAAATCCCAATAATTCCTTGCAAACTTCAAAGGATTATGACATTTTTAAATGAAAAATGAGGTGATAAGATTCATAAGAAGATATCACTGATACTTAACAACCTGCAGTTTTTAAAAATTTTGACTCCAAATCCTGTAATATAAAGTCAGTCTTTGCTTTGCATGTTAATGCAGGACTGTAAAAATTGATCATGCAAGCTAAAATCATGTGAAAGGATCTCAATAATCAAGAGAGAGAATTATGATCACCCTGTGACTTGAAACATCTTTGTCAAAATATTCAAAACCCACTTACTATTGGTTATAAATATATAGGGAAGTGAAAAACAGTACAATATAATTTACTTAGCACACTATACTTTAAAACATTAAAACATTTGGAATTAAAGTCTTTTTCCCTTGTATTAACTTACCAAGAATGTTTTGAGCAATGTTTGCCTTCATCTTCTGTTACTTAAAGATACAGAGTATCTTTGTATTCCTTGGTGAATTTTCATACTCCTTTTAATGTTTGGATCAGCTTCTGATATTTTATACTTTGTGCTTTCCCTCTTGGGGAATATCTCTGAGAGTTCCTTTAATGGGAAGTTTTCTGCCAGTGTCACTTCATTTAAGACACCTTCATTCTTTTCACAACAATCACTTCCCTCCTCCAGGTTCCTCTAGCTTCACCTCTAAAGTCTCTCAAACAGTAGCATTCTCAGCATTCCCACGGTCAGCTATTTCCTCTATAGCTTCTTTTATATTTAATTCAAATCTCACTTCTAGCATTGTCCCTTTTCTTCTTTGCACATTCATCTTTGTTGCCCAATTTCCTCTTTCTATTATTCACTCATGTCAGATGGGTATGGGTTTATTACTGAGACACAATGAGACCACAGGACTACACACCTACATGCTTTGCTGTTTTGCACAGCACAGAATAATAGTCAAACTGACAAACTTTGACATATGTAAAGCAATTGGTCACTGATTATGATGTGGATTTGTTACTTCTATGGTGACTCATGGACTGAAGACCTAGTGGTAGTTTATACTTCGTGCAGTTACTAAGAGTTACTATACTGTGGCAACTGAAATTTGTGGCACACATTTCAAACTTGTTGTTGGGGAATTTGTGTTATTTAACTAAAACTTTGCTGACTGAAATTTGTGCATTTTGAAACTGGGCAAAACAAAGACAGCCTATATCAGAAAAATGAAGAAGACTGTGTTGATTTTGTTGAATATTTTTGTGTTTGCTTTGAAATTATATACTACTAGAAATAAGTTTTGTGTTTGCTTCTGAGTGATATAGTACTTCTACAAGCTTGGAACTATTTTGTATTGTTGATTTCTTGGATCAGACATTTTAAGACAAATAGAATACATTTAATCTCTAAACTCCTGTGAGAGCAAACCTGTGATTAAAACTTTTTGTAAGAAAAAAAAAAAAAGGAAATCTAGCCAGAGCTTAAGGCGACCACAAGATTCCTTCTTGTCTTTTGGTTCAGTTGGATTTTTTTTTTTCCTGACCAATTTTATTGAGGATACAGTAGAAGATTTCTTGCACTTTTATTTGGTGGTCTCAACATGATCTTATGACCTATGTGGATACTGTGGTCAAAGCCCTCAGGAACCCACTCTTGTCAATGTCTTGGGAAGCTCAAGTGTTAGCTTCTATTTCCCTATCTAGTTCTTAATTTCTTATTTGTTTTGTTTTTTGCAGACTTTCTTATCTTGTGAGTTCAATGCATACATGTATAAATAATTTTTAAAATTATAGCTTACCCAGTATATCTATGTGTTTTGTAGTTTGTTTGTTTCTTCTCTTTTTTTGAGATGGAGTCTCACTCTGTAACCCAGGCTGGAGTGCAGTGGTGCAATCTCGGCTCACTGCAACCCCCACCTCTTGGGTTCAAGCGATTCTCCTGCCTCAGTCTCCTGAGTAGCTGGGATTACAGTCACACACCATCACACCTGGCTAATTTTTGTATTTTTAGTAGAGATGGGGTTTCACCATGTTGGTAAGGCTAGTCTCGAACTCCTGACCTCATGATCCACCTGCCTCAGCCTCCCAAAGTGCTGGGATTACAGGCATGAGCCTCCATAAACACAGAAATCTAAGGACTAAGTGAAAAGCAATATTTTAGGCTTCAAAATTTAGCCAGGGTGGTGCTTAGAATGAATGGGTAGGGAGTTTAGGTAGAATTGGTGATAAGATAGAGAGGAGACCCAAGGGATTCAAACAAAGGATAAGTAGAAAGCAATATGAGATCATAGAAAAGTTAAACATTAAGACAAAGAAGCCCAGAAGAGACAGAAAATACTGTATAAACAGAAATGAACAGAAGCACAGGACAAGTCAAATAATATTAAAGTTGAAATGGAACTAGAAAATATCAAGTTCCTCCAATTTTGTCATTTTACAGTGGGGAATTAGTGCTTCTAGTAAGTGGTAAATCTAGGAGTTTTCATAGCTCTCAGACTGGGACCTTTTTGGCTGTTGCAGAGGGCAGAGGGTGGAGGATATACGCTAGCCACAGGAACTATGCTTGGAGGCCAGAAAGAAGGAGTGAATCACTTCAATAAGAGTTGAGGAGGAAATGAAAGGCCATGTAAGAGTCACGTGGCTGTGGGAGGCTTGTGGGGTTTCCGTAATGGGGAAGTAGGCAGAGGGCAAGGTTTCTGCTGGGAGGAAGGGATGACAGAGCTGTGTGGGGTGGGAACATGACACTGGAGTTCTGAGGAAATCTCTCTCTCTCTCGGGGTGCAAAAGTCACCCACTAGAGTGGTCTTAGGGAAGTGACAGGCAAGAAGAGCCCAGGCGAAGGCAAACACAACAACGTCTGTGGTCTGAGCAAAAGGACAAGAAAAGGGAAGTTGGGGAAGGACAGGAAGAGCACTGGGCTCCCTCGGGACAACCCAGCCCCTCTGTTCAGGCTGGGTTCTAATCATAGGGTGTCCTACCCACTTCAGATTATTCTCTTAGGATTTTGTGTGTTCAGAGAGCTTAATAACCACTTACTCCTCTCCCCATTGCATTTTATATCAATTTCAGATTCTTGCATCTATATTTATAAGTATTCACCAGTGTAAAGAGTCTGCCAGTTTCCCTTCTTACACTACCTCCACCCTTCCTTTTTAGGGATAGATGTACATAAACTCTTGTGTATAAAATTGTCATACTTAGGAGTCTGGGTTATTTTTCATGAAAGCAATTTGAATATTTTAGGCTGATAGACATTCTAAGGATCACGTTTTCCATGGCAGCTCTGGGGCAGAGCACTGCATGGACATGGAGGGATATGGACTGTGACACACCGGCAGGGACTGTGGCTGTGATCTCTGTCCCACAGGATGAAAGCAGGACTACATATCAGTCAGATCAGAGAGGAAAAACCAGGTGGAGGGAGAGAAATGACATGGTGACTGTGTGGAGCAAAGGAGAGGGAAGTTTTCGGAGAACACACATTTCTAGGTATCTATTTGAATGCGTATTGCCATGATGGGGGTGAGGGTGTTACTTACTCTTCTAGGCACCCTGAGGGGGAATTTCCCATAAATACTTTTTGTTTTTTTTTCCTCACCCCTTAATCTTTCCTCTGAAAACAGACTGATTTATCTCACTGATAAATTCAGGAGGGAAACTGGGCAAGTATATATCAGCACCTCCTACTGCCCTTTACCTCTCTGGGCAAGTTGCTCCCCAAAGGCTCAGTCTTGCTCTCCTCCTCCAGGCCCTGGCTCTCACAGGAACAGCTGCTCAGGTGGGGAACTTAGGGTTTTATCAGCATTGCCTGAAATAAGTGAGTGTATTAGTCTTCTTGGGCTGTGCTAACACAAGGCAATCAGCTGGGTGGCTTAAACAACAGGAAGTTATTCTCTCACAGCTCTAGAGGCTAGAAGTTCAAAGTCTCCATCTGGAAGACTCAGTTTCTAGTGAAGGTTCTCTTCCTGGTTTATACAGACAACTGCCTTCTCACTATGAGCTCATATGGCCTTTCCATGGTGGGTGCACACACACACACACACACAGAGACAGAGAGCGACAGGGAGAGACAGAGAGACAGAGAAGGAAAGTGGAAGGGCACTCCAGTGTCTCTTCTTATAAGGACACTAAGCCTATTGGATCAGGGTCTTACCGTTTAGACATGAGATTGACATTACTTCTTAGAGGCCCCATTTCCAAATATAATCACACTGAGAGTTAGGGATTCAACATGTGATTTTTTTTTTCTTTGGGAGGGTACACAAACTTTCAGTCCATAACAATGAGAAGGCCACTCCATTTAGGGTCCAGTATGAGCAAGATCACTTGGATTACACACTTAAAGCAAATTATCTAGTGGCACTATCAGAAGTCAAGATTGACCATTAGATCCATCTATCTCATGTTATTTTCAACTTGTTTGCTTCTGAATTCAAGAGGGCAAAAAGGATGATACTTACTGGGTTTTATAATATTATCCAATATAGCTAGGTTATGTTGCAGTTATAAATAAACTTTAGAACTTGGAGGCTTAACACAATGAAGTTTATTTCTCATGCAGTTAAACTGCATGTAGATCAGGCTGCTCTTCTCCATCTCATAGTCTTGCCATTTAGAAATTTGACTGCCAAGTTGGTACCACAGGGTAAGATGATCAGATGTGATATTTTCAGTGGTCAGGACTGGAGCTGGCTAATGCTTCCAACACCACACATTCCATTGCCCAGAACTCAGTCCATGACCTTAACCCAACTATTAGGAAATAGGACAGTTGCATCTTTCCTGTAGGAACATGGAAAAAAATGTGAATAAACACATAATGTGGTATCTACTATTGTTTTCTAAAACCACAAACCAAGTATTTGCCATTAACAGCACAAGATGAGCAAAGATAACACCTAGTGCTTATGAATGATTTGGGTAGGATTTGAACTGGGTATTGCTCTTAAAGATATTATAGTTCATAGAAATTGCCACATATCTGTGGCCATGATAGGAAGAGCTCATTGAGAATGACTTCTGGCCTCACTATTAACGTTGACAAACCTAAGAAATAGTGTATATATCAAAGTATCATGTTGTACACAGTAAATACATAGAATAAATATAAATTTAAAACAGAAACAATGTTACAAATGGGATTTTCCTTTTTAAGGCACGGTCTTGCTCTGTTACCCAGGCTGGAGTACAGTGACATGAACATGGCTCACTACAGCCCTGACTTTCAGGGCTCAAAAGATCTTCCTGCCTCTGCCTCCCATTTAGCTGGGACTACAGGCATGTGCCACCACATTTGGCCAACTTTTTAATTTTTTTATCGAGATGAGGTCTAACTTTGTTGCCCAGGCTGGTCTCAAACTCCTGGGCTCAAGTGATCTTCCCACCTTGGTCTCCCAAAGTGCTGGGATTACAGGCATGAGTCATTGTGCCTAGCACAAATTCATGCCCAGATTTTAAGTGACTGCTCCAATGCATTCAGTGAATAATTAATATGATTTAAGAAACACTATAATAATAAATGTATTTCCTGGATCTCAAAAAAACTGTGTTCATGTATTTACACATATTAACCAGCCAGGGTCACTGATAAGTCACTGAATACTTCATATAAACTACTTAAATCAAACATTGACAAATGCTGCCCTTTTTATACAATGTGTTTTGGTCAGATCACAAAACAACTTAAATTTGGATTTTTGTGGTCTCCCCATGTATGAGTCCTCTTGAAAAGCTGCATGTTCTGACTATCACAATCGTATACCATTCCACACTGTACAGAATTTTCAGTATTTAGTTGAGATGCATGCTGTTCTTCCAGGACTTCAAATTATGAACTTCCCAGGGGGTTAGTCAGTCAAAATGCTGCTCTAGAGAATATAGTTCTAAGTAGATTTGTATCTGGGATTCTATACATTGAAATTAAAATCACAATGCATTTTAATTTTTTGTTTAAACATCTGCAGTTTAAAACTCTTTGATAGAAGAGATTACATTGTTAACCTCTGTGTGTTTATATGCCTAGTAAGACACTGGTATCAACCATGTACTATGTAATTTTTTAGTGAATGACTATACAGATTAAATGCAGTAGAAGGGCTTCTTTATATTTGTTATGGTCCTATGCATTCTGAATGGCTGCAATTTAATCTCTAAGGATAATGTAGAGTGGACTGTAGTTTATATAATTGTGCAGGGAAATCTTGGAAGATGTAAAAAGCAACGTCTCCAATTTATAAAAGAATCAGTGAGAATGAGGAAATAAGAAAGATGGGTGAAAAGAGGTGAAATTGGAAAGAGAAAACTTTGAGGACATTCAAAAGGGGGAAAGAAAGAATGGAGTGATGAGAAGAGGGGACACTATGGAGAGTGGAGGCAAAGTTAAGTGGAGAAACTGGAAGAACTGTGATCTATTAAAACAAGCAGGAACTGAAAAAATGACATGGTTTCTCCTTTTTATCTTACAAATGACATGCAAAATCCAGAGGGACAAAATGACCTTTCTTTCAATGCCATACACCACTTTGTCTAAGGCAGTTGAGGAAGGGAAGTAGATATAATGGAGCTTAGTGGCAGAGCAGCTGGAATCCTGAGAGAAGAGAATAACTTTAGTTCAGAGCAGGTGGGGAAATGAGAGATTGAGTAGGAGGACCAAGGTTGAGGGAAGCAGATCTTCTTAGTTGCTGTCAGCGGCTGATGGGGAAGATTGTTGGTAGAAGGAAGTCAGAATATAGGTACAGAGGGATAAGTTTGCTAAGAACAGAGATCAGCAAACAGCTTTTCTGAGAGAAAGAAACATCTGCAAATGACATGCTGTTTCTGCAGTTTCTGCTGCTAGCTCTTCTTCTCCCAGGTGGTGACAATGCAGACGGTAAGAACATCGCTGTCAGCTGCAAGGTTACATGTATCTGGGTAGAGTGTGCTGGGCTTTCCCGAGATGGATCAATAGAGATGCCAGAATGCTTGCCATCTGAGCATACCTGTCTCCAGGTCCAGTTTACTCTTTTGGAGGATGGTGGCAGAGCATGGGCTCTGTGTAAGGAAAATGTTATAGCTAAAGTAGTCATTAATGTTTCTCTGTGGTAACTGGTTCAATTTCCATTTCCTCTCCATTTTCCGTTAAAACAATCAGGGCCCAGGAAAATGATGTGGTTTCTCCTTTTTATGTTACAAATGACACGCAAGGTCCAGAGGGATGAAGCAACCTTTCAATGCCACGCACCACTTTGTCTAAGGCAGTTGAGGAAGGGAAGTAGATAAGATGGAGCTTAGTGGGAGAGCAGCTAAAATCCTAAGGGAAGAGAGTAACTTTAGTTCAGAGCAGATGGGGAAATGAGAGATTGAGTAGGAGGCCTAAGGTTAAGGGAAGCAGATTGTCTTAGTTGCTGTCAGTGGCTGATGGGGAAGATTGTCTGTTGGTAGAAGGAAGTCAGAATATAGATGTAGAGGGATAAGTTTGCTAAGAACAGAGATCAGCAAATGGCTTTTCTGAGAGAAGGAAACAACTGCAAATGACATGCTGTTTCTGTAGTTTCCGCTGCTAGTTCTTCTCCTCCCCGGTGGTGACAATGCAGATAGTATGAACATCTCTGTCAGCTGCAAGGTTACATGTATCTGGGTTGAGCATGATGGGCTTTCCCAAGATGGATCAATGAAGAAGCCAGAATGGTTGCCATTTGAGCATACCTCTCTCCAGGTCCAGTTTACTCTTTTAGAGGATGGTGGCAGAGCATGGGGCTCTGTGTAAGGAAAATGGTATAGCTAAAGTAGTCATTAATGTTTCTCTGTGGTAACTGGTTCACCTTCCATTTTCTCTCCATTTTCCTTGCCTCTCTTTTTTTTTTTTTCCTTACACTACTTGCCCTTCTTCCACCAAAAGCATCCCAGGAACACGTCTCCTTCCATGTCATCCAGATCTTCTCATTTGTCAACCAATCCTGGGCACGAGGTCAGGGCTCAGGATGGCTGGACGAGTTGCAGACTCATGGCTGGGACAGTGAATCAGGCACAATAATTTTCCTGCATAACTGGTCCAAGGGCAACTTCAGCAATGAAGAGTTGTCAGACCTAGAGTTGTTATTTCGTTTCTACCTCTTTGGATTAACTCGGGAGATTCAAGACCATGCAAGTCAAGATTACTCGAAATGTAAGTTCAATCATCTAAATTATGGGAGTTCTTTAGAATGTTCTATTTCAGGGAAATATTCTCTACTAATTTTTGGGCCATTTCCCATTATCCCATCCCACCATAAAATTCTGCATAGATGAACCTTTTAAGGGATATTCCTGATGTTGACTCCCTCAAATTTCCTAGGCTCTTGCTATTTTTGGAATTTTTTTTCTTGTGCTTTGTTATCTTCCACCTGTGGTCTCCCTCTGTATCCTACAATCCAGAGATACACAGCTGTCCCACTCTGTGCTTGACTCCCTTAAAATAAAATCTATTCCCCCATTCAATTTCTTCAAAGATCTATGTCCACAGTTCAATGACCATTATGACCAATTTCATGCGTCATGGAATGCTATCCTCCTACCTCCCTCACAAAGGCTCCCCCTTCACCCTCTATCCTATATTATGTGGCTCACCTATCATTTTTCCACATCTTCCTTGGCCACTTTTTCTTGTTAATTCAAGGCATTTATCTCTTATTGTCCCCTTCCCTATCCCCAGCAATTTTTCTCTCTTGTTTCTGATCAAATATGTCTTTGGCTCACTCTCACATCCATGTAAAACTTTCTTGCTTCACTTCCTGATACAGCCCTAGGTTTTTATACTGTTGTTTTCACTTTTTTGTTTGAACTCTTTTTCTCATTCCTCCCTTCCTCCAGATCCCTTTGAAGTACAGGTGAAAGCGGGCTGTGAGCTGCATTCTGGAAAGAGCCCAGAAGGCTTCTTTCAGGTAGCTTTCAACGGATTAGATTTACTGAGTTTCCAGAATACAACATGGGTGCCATCTCCAGGCTGTGGAAGTTTGGCCCAAAGTGTCTGTCATCTACTCAATCATCAGTATGAAGGCGTCACAGAAACAGTGTATAATCTCATAAGAAGCACTTGCCCCCGATTTCTCTTGGGTCTCCTGGATGCAGGGAAGATGTATGTACACAGGCAAGGTCAGTAGTTTCAGCCCCTTCCTCTAAGATTTTTCTATTCAAGTACTGCCCCTTCTGTTCCCACCCTTCAAACTCAGGACAAGAAAGAGGACAAGAAGCAGGGGGGTTGCTGGGTAATAGTTTCTTAGAGGCAGGAAAAAGATAACTGTGCATATTCATGTGGATGTGTGTATGTGGATGTAAGTTGTGTGTAAGTTTCTTCATCAGAACACTTTTTCTGCTCTCTGCAGTGAGGCCAGAAGCCTGGCTGTCCAGTCGCCCCAGCCTTGGGTCTGGCCAGCTGTTGCTGGTTTGTCATGCCTCCGGCTTCTACCCAAAGCCTGTTTGGGTGACATGGATGCGGAATGAACAGGAGCAACTGGGCACTAAACATGGTGATATTCTTCCTAATGCTGATGGGACATGGTATCTTCAGGTGATCCTGGAGGTGGCATCTGAGGAGCCTGCTGGCCTGTCTTGTCGAGTGAGACACAGCAGTCTAGGAGGCCAGGACATCATCCTCTACTGGGGTAAGACTGGAGGTTGGAAGTGTAGGTAGGTGGTTCTTGAGCCTAGAGGTTAGGGGAGAGGAAATTTTGAGGATAGCAGACCTAGGTGAGGGATTGTAGGAAGAAATGTATAGGGTAATTTAAAGAATAGTGGAGTAAGACCTAAGGGATACATGGATACTAGAGATTTAAGGGGAAATGAGGAATCCTTCCTTGAGTAAGTTTTGGAATAGAGTGACTGAAATAGGATAACTGATGCAACTCATCCAATGCATATGTTAAGTAAGGAAATCAATAGATGGAATAGAATCAGCAGTGAGTTTAAAATGGCATCCATGTATCTTTCCAATATGTGCAGGACACCACTTTTCCATGAATTGGATTGCCTTGGTAGTGATAGTGCCCTTGGTGATTCTAATAGTCCTTGTGTTATGGTTTAAGAAGCACTGGTGAGTTTTTTGTATTTCCTCCTCTCCTCCCAGTTTCTTATTTCACATTCCATTTTTCACTCTCTTAGCTTTTCTCTATTGACTACTCCACCTTATCCTCAGTTACCACCTCCAACTTATTCAGGGTTTCTCCCATTCCTGTTCCTTCACAGCTCATATCAGGACATCCTGTGAGACTCTTCCCCCTGACTCCCCCATTGTGTTAAGAACCCAGCAACCCAGGAGCCTAGTACAATATAGTGATGCCATCCCGTCGACTCTCCATTTAAATTGTTTCTCTTTCTGCATAATAAACATTTGTTAATAAAAACCAAATTCTAATTTGGAATGTTTTTCTTGGAATCTCCACTTTTTATATAGCACTCAACCTTCAAAGCCCATTTCTGATGTCATTTCCTCCAACGATCTTCCTTGACCCATACTGAACCCAGAGAGCCCCTCAACTGTTATGTGCATGCAACACTTCCTACCCTGTGTTGCAGCTACTTGAGTCTTTCATTTCACATTTTTAAGCTTTTAGGAGGCAAGGATCATGATAAATGTGCCTTTCCTGCATATGATAGGCTCAGTGAAACACAAAACAAAACATCATATCTAAGTTGGATTAACTGTCATGTTGACAATTTTTCTCATTATATTCCTTCCCAATGTTGTTGTAGCATTGGAAATATTCATGCTTCTCTTTTTGTTTAAATGCTTCATACCTAGCAGATAAATTCCACTCTCCTTTAGCTCCCTCATTTTCTCCTTAAACATTTAAGGAAAAGTGCAGCCTTGTGCCTTGATACACTTATTTTCTAAACACAGAGAATTACAAATGCAAATAGACAGAGAGTGTGCAAGTTACATGTGATGATCAGTGGTGCAGATATGTCACAGAATACTTAAGAAAAGGAACAAGAGATTTGGTCCTCAGGGTTGGAGTGGGATCAAGGCAACCGTTGTGCTGTATATGGAAGACAAATTTCCTAAAGGACTGTGTTATCTGAGATAGCCTTGGCTAAACTTTAGTCCCTTTAGGTTTCATTCACTAATTCAACTAATATTTTTTGGGTACTGAGTTGAGACAGGCACATACAGCTTCTAAACTGGTGGTGGATAAAACAAATGAGATTGTGTCCACTCTCCTGAAGTTGCAATGTTTGCTTCCTCAATCTGTCCATGTTTCTTTTCTATTGTTTTCATGTTTTTATTTATTTCAAAAAATTTTAAATAGATTTTATTGATGTATAATTTATAGTAAAATTTGAATCTTTAAGTGTACAGTTCTATTTATTTTGATAATTATATAAGCCCATGTAAACAAAATCACAATCAAGATATTAAATGTCATAACCCCTCATACCTGTTTGTAGTCAAGCACACCAACAACCTGGCATTCTTGCAACTACTGATATACTTTATGTCACTTAAGCTTAAACTTGTATTTTCTATGATTTTATTAAGATGGAAATAAACATATCTACTTGGTATTGCCTTTTATTTTTCTTCAGTTTAGCATATGGTTGTAAGTAATCCATGCTGCTCAGTGTATTAGTAACCATTCCTTTTCATTGCTGAATAGAATTCCATGTATGAATATAACTTTTTTTGGAGGAGGAGGTGGCTTCCCAGATCTGGCAGGGCCTTTGTCTCCTTGTGCCCACTCACCCAGCTTGGGTCCTGCTTCCATTGCTCATTTCCTTGGCACCAGGAGGCCCTAGGTGACTCTCCTGCACCCTTAGTCACCCTGTGACCTGCAGATACAGAGAGATCAATAGAGAGGATTCTAGGACACCCAGGAAACTGGGAAATAAAGCCAAAAATATATAAAATTAAACTTATTTTTGGGAGAAGAGACAAGATGGCTGACTAGATGCAGCCAGGAAGAGCTTCTCCCACCAAGAGACAAGACCATCAAGAAGAGCAGTATACTCTGAGAAGATCATTGGAAAGAAGGCATTGAGAGTGGATGGAGGGAGAATGCAGACCCTGGGCTGAAGGGGGGAAGAAGCTGCGAACCCTACACAGGGTTGCCAAACACTAGGACTTATTCTTGGTCCTCAGTGGCTTCTAGGGAAGGGGTTGGTTAAATAGGCATGAAGTGGCCCACTCTATCCATGAACCTCTGGAATCCTAGCTGCAGGAGACCCCCACGACCCACACAGACATTTGAGTTGGCAGGGAAAGCTACTTGCAGAGTTGGCAGGGACAGGACTCCAGCTTCTATGGAACCCAGAGGGTTTGGTGTGAGAACAGCTACAGTGGAGCATGGTTAGGGATGTCCATTACCCGAGGATTGGCATGCTCCTCTAGGTGGCTTTGACCCCTTTGTTGACTATCAGACCTGGACAGAATAGGGCTACCATGATATTTGGATGGGGCTAGACTGATCTGAGCCCCCCACCCCATGTCTGCTGGCCTCTCCCAGGATCCCTGCCTGTCTGTACCTGCTTGCAGCACAGCCTCAGATGTTCAACTGAGGCAGTTCTCAGAGACCACTGCCATAGGTCTTTCACTGGCTGACCCCACCAAACCACCAAATAGCTTCTGTCACTGGCCTCACATCAGCATGCACCTGCCTTCAGCACCCACAACTGCTTTGCTGGCATACATACACAGACATCACTGCCTTGCTACCACTTCTGTGCACATATGCATGGAGACCTCACCACTGCTGCACTGTCCCCACTAGCCTACATGCGTGCATGTACCCTGCCACACTACCATCCCTGGTGTACATGTGCATGGACCTTCTACCCTGCTGCCCCACCACCACCAGCATGTGAGTGAGTGTGGACCCCACCATGCCACTGCCCCACTGCTGCCAGTACATGCATGTGAGAGCAGACCCCCACCGCCACTGCCCTTATGAAATGCTTTTCTGGGACCCCCCCACCCTGCCCACCATAGGAGTGTTGTTGCTAGTGGACTGGGAGCACCTTGGCCCCCTCCAGTGAAGCAGGTGCTCAGTCTCAAGGGGCCAAAGAACAAGGTTCTGGGCCTGGTCCCAGGCCCTCAGTCTTAGAGCATATAGCCCAGGAGTGCTGAGCTGAGCCATGGCCCCCTGAAATCATCAAGAAATAAAGCTAGCTCACTGACCCAAACCTATACCATAGTCAAAGCCTCAAGGGCATCAAAGAATATAAAAGCAAAAGGCCCCATCAAAAGGACAGCAACTTTAAACGTTTAAGGAACATCAGCCCACATAGATGAGAAAGAACCCGTGGAAGAACTCAGGCAGCTCTAAAAGTCAGAGTGTCTTCTTACTTCCAAATGAACACACTAGCTCCCCAACAATCTTTCCTAACCAGACTAAAATGGCTGAGATAATAGACATAGATTTTAGAATCTGGATGGCAATGAAAATCATGAGATTCAGGAGAAAGTTGAAATGGAATCCAAAGAATTTAAGGAATCCAGTAAAATAATACAATAACTGAAAGACAAAATAGCCATTTTAAGAAAGAACTAAGCTGATTTGACAGAGCTAAAAAATTCACTAAAGAATTTTATAATACAATTGGAAGTATTAAAGGCAGAATAGACCACACTGAGGGAAGAATCTCAGAGCTCAAAGACCAGTTCTTCTAATTAACTCAGTCACACAAAATAAAGAAAAAATAATACAGAAGGATGAACAAAATCTCTGAGAAATATGAGGTTATGTAAAGAGACCAAACCTGTACTCACTGATGTCCCTGAAAGAGAGAGAGAGAGAGTGTGCAAACAATTGAAAACATATATGAGGATATTGTCCATGACAATTTTCTCAACTTCACTATAGAGGTCAACATTCAAATTCAAGAAATTCAGAGAACTCCTGAGAGATACTACACTAGAAAACCATCCTCAAGATACACAATAATAAGATTATCCAAGGTCAATGTGAAAGAAAAAAATACTAAAGGCAACCAGAGAGGAGGAGCAGGTCACCTACAAAGGGACCCCAATCAAGCTAACAGCATACCTTTCAGCAGAAACCTTAGAAGCCAGAAGACATTGAGGGCCTATATTCAGCATTGTTAAAGAAAAGAAATTCTGACCCAAAATTTCATATCCAGCCCAAGTAAGATTTATATGTTAAAGAGAAATTCAGCAAAGCAAATGCTAAGGAAATTTATTACCACCAGACCTGCCTTATAAGAAGTCATTAAGGGAGTGCTAAACATGGAAATAAAAGACTCTTACCAGCCACCACATAAATGCACTTAAGTAAACAGACCAGTGACACTATAAAGGAACTACACAATTAAGTCTACATAACAACCAGCTAACAATAATGACAAAATCAACTTCTCACTTATCAATATTTACCTTGAAGGTAAATGAGCTAAACACCCCAAGACACAGAGTGGCAAGTTGAATAAAGAAACAAGACCCTGGCTCATGCCTGTAATCCTAACACTTTGAGGCTAAGGCAGGCCGATTGCTTGATCCTATGAGTTTGAGACCAACCTAGGCAACATGGAAAAACCCCATTTCTACAAAAAAACCAAGAAAATTAGCTAAGAATGGTGGCACATGCCTGTAGTCCCAGCTACTGAGGAGGCTGAGGTAGGAGGATCACCCAAGCCTGGGGAGGTGGAGGCTGCAGTAAGTTGTGATCATGCCACTGCACTTCGGCCTAAGTAACAGAGTGAGACCCTGTCTCACGTTAAAAAAGACAAAAAAAAAAAAAATAAACAAGACCCACCTGTAAGTTATCTTCAAGAGACCCATCTCACATGCAAGGACACCCATAGGCCAAAACTAAAGGATGGCAAAAAATCTGTCAAGCATACAGGAAAGAAAAAAGAGCAGGGGTTGCTATTTTTATTTCAGACAAAATAAACTTTAAACCAACAACTGTCAAAAAGGACATAGAAAAACATTATTTAATGATAGAGGGTTGAATTTAATAAGAAGACTTAGCTATCCTCAATATATATGCACCCAACACAGGAGCACACAGGTTCATAAAACAAGTACTTAGAGACCCACAAAGAAGCTTATGTTATCATACAATAATGGTGGTAGACTTCAACACCCAACTGACAGCATTAGATAGATCATCAAGAGAGAACACTGATAAAGGTATTTGGAACTTAAACTCGACACTTGACCAAATGGACCTAATAAACATTGACAGAACGCTCCACCCAAAACCAAAAGAATATACATTCTTCCCATGCCTCCAGCTTTGTTCCTTTTGCTTAGGATTGTCTTGGCAATGTGGGCTCTTTTTGATTTCATATGAAAGATCAGGTAGTTTTTCCAATTCTGTGAAGAAAGTCATTGGTAGCTTGATAGGGATGGCATTGAATTTATAAATTACTTTGGGCAGTATGGCCATTTTCACGATATTGATTCTTCCTATCGATGAGCATGGAATGTTCTTCCATTTGTTTGTGTCCTCTTTTATTTCATTGAGCAGTGGTTTGTAGTTCTCCTTGAAGAGGTCCTTCACATCCCTTGTAAGTTGGATTCCTAGGTATTTTATTCTCTTTGAAGCGATTGTGAATGGGAGTTCACTCATGATTTGGCTCTCTGTTTGTCTGTTATTGGTGTGTAGGAAAGCTTGCGATTTTTGCACGTTGATTTTGTATCCTGAGACTTTGCTGAAGTTGCTTATCAGTTTAAAGAGATTTTGGGCTGAGGTGATGGGGTTTTCTAAATATACAATCATGTCATCTGCAAACAGGGACAATTTGACTTCCTCTGTTCCTAATTAAATACCCTTTATTTCTTTCTCTTGCCTGATTGCCCTGGCCAGACTTCCAATACTATGTTGAATAGGAGTGGTGAGAGAGGGCATCCTTGTCTTGTGCCAGTTTTCAAAGGGAATGCTTCCAGTTTTGCCCATTCAGTATGATATTGGCTGTGGGTTTGTCATAAATAGGTCTTAGTATTTTGAGATATGTTCCATCAATATCTAGTGTATTGGGAGTTTTTTAGCATGAACAGCTGTTGAATTTTGTCAAAGGCCTTTTCTGCATCTATTGAGATAATGATGTGGTTTTTTTCTTTAGTTCTGTTTATGTGATGGATTACATTTATTGATTTGCATATGTTGAACCAGCCTTGCATCCCAGGGATGAAGCTGATTTGATCATGGTGGATAAGCTTTTTGATGTGCTGCTGGATTTTGTTTGCCAGTATTTTACTGAGGATTTTGCATCAGTGTTCATCGGGGACATTGGTCTAAAACTCTCAGCATCAGGATTATGCTGGCCTCAAAAAATGAGTAAGGGAGGATTCCCTCTTTTTCTATTGATTGGAATAGTTTCAGAAGGAATGGTACCAGCTCCTCTTTGTACCTTTAGTAGAATTTGTCTGTGAATCCATCTGGTCCTGGACTTTTTTTGGTTGGCAGGCTATTAATTATTGCCTCAATTTCAGAGCCTGTTATTGGTCTATTCAGAGATTCAACTTCTTCCTGGTTTACTCTTGGGAGGGTGTGTGTGTCGAGGAATTTATCCATTTCTTCTAGATTTTCTAGTTTATTTGCACAGAGATGTTTATATTATCCTCTGATGGTAGTTTGTATTTTTGTGGGATCAGTGGTGATATCCCCTTTATCATTTTTTATTGTGTCTATATGATTCTTCTCTCTTTTCTTCTTTATTAGTCTTGCTAGTGGTCTATCAATTTTGCTGATCTTTTCAAAAAGCCAGGTCCTGGATTCATTGATCTTTTGAAGATTTTTTTTGTGTCTTTATCTCATTCAGGTCTGCTCTGATCTTAGTTATTTCTTGTCTTCGGCTAGCTTTTGAATATGTTTGCTCTTGCTTCTCTAGTTCTTTTAATGTGATGTTAGGTGTCAATTTTAGATCTTTCCTGCTTTATCTTGTGGGCATTTAGTGCTATAAATTTCCCTCTACACACTGCTTTACATGTGTCCCAGAGATTCTGGTACATTGTGTCTTTGTTCTCATTGGTTTCCTAGAGCATCTTTATTTCTGCCTTCATTTTGTTATTTACCAAGTAGTCATTCAGGACTACAGTTTCCATGTAGTTGTGTGGTTTTGAGTGAGTTTCTTAATCCTGAGTTCTAATTTGATTGCACTGTGGTCCGAGAGACAGTTTGTTGTGATTTCTTTTCTTTTTACATTTGCTGAGGAGTGCTTTACTTCCAATTTTGTGGTCAATTTTAGAATAAGTATGATGTGGTGCTGAGAAGAATATATACTCTGTTGATTTGGGGTAGAGAGTACCGTAGATGTCTATTAGGTCTGCTTGGTGCAGAGCTGAGTTCAAGTCCTGGATATCCTTGTTAACCTTCTGTCTTGTTGATCTGCCTAATATTGACAATGGAATGTTAAAGTCTCCCATTATTATTGTGTGGGAGTATAAGTCTCTTCGTAGGTCTGTAAGGACTCATTATATGAATCTGGGTGCTCCTGTTTTGGGTGCATATATATTTAGGATAGTTAGCTCTTCTTTTTGAATTGATTCCTTTACCATTATGTAATGGCCTTCTTTGTCTCTCTCTCTCTCTTTTTTTTTTTTTTTTGAGACAGAGTCTCACTCTGTCACCCAGGCTGGAGTACAGTGGTGCGATCTCAGCTCACTGCAAGCTCTTCCTCCTGTGTTCATACCATTCTCCTGCTTGAGCCTCCTGAGTAGCTGGGACTACAGGTGCCCACCACCATGCCCAGCTAATTTTTTGTATTTTTAATATAGATGGGGTTTCACCATATTAGCCAGGATGGTCTCAATTGCCTGACTTCATGATCTGCCCACCTCAGCCTCCCAAATTGCTGGAATTACAGGTGTGAGCCACCGTGCCTTTGTCTCTTTTGATCTTTATTGGTTAAAGTCTGTTTTATCAGAGACTGGGATTGCAACCCCTGCTTTTTTTTTGCTTTCCATTTGCTTGGTAGAGTGTCCTCCATCCCTTTATTTTGAGCCTATGTGTGTCTCTGCACTTGAGATGGGTCTCCTGAATACAGCACACTGATGGGTCTTGACTCTTTATCCAATTTGTCAGTCTGTGTCTTTTAATTGTCATATTTAGCTCATTTATATTTAAGGTTAATATTAAGTGTGAATTTGATTCTGTCTTTATGATGTTAGCTGGTTATTTTGCTCATTAGTTTATGCAGTTTCTTCATAGCATCAATGGTCTTTACAATTTGGCATGTTTTTGGAGTGTCTGGTACTGGTTGTTTCTTTCCATGTTTAGTGCTTCCTTCAGGAGCTCTTGTAAGGCAGGTCTGGTGGTGACAAAATCTCTTAGCATTTGCTTGTCTGTAAAGGATTTTATTTCTCCTTCACTTATGATGCTTAGTTTGGGTGGATATGAAATTCTCGGTTGAAAATTCTTTTCTTTAAGAATGTTGAATATTGGCCCCCACTCTCTTCTGGCTGGTAGTGTTTCTGCAGAGAAATCAGCTGTTAGTCTCATGGGCTTCCCTTTGTGGAACCCGACTTTTCTTTCTGGCTGCCCTTAACGTTTTTCCTTCATTTCAACCTTCGTGAGTCTGATAATTATGTGTCTTGGGGTTGCTCTTCTCATGGAGTATCTTTGTGGTGTTCTCTGTATTTCCTGAATTTGAATGTTGGCCTGCCTTGCTAGGTTGGGGATGTTCTCCTGGATAACATCATGAGCAGTGTTTTCCAGCTTGGTTCCATTCTCCCTGTCACTTTCAGGTACACAAATCAAACATAGATTTTTTTCTTTTCACATAGTACCATATATGCAGAATACACCTGTCTTCTGCATCAATCAAGCTGGTAGTTGCAGACCGGAGCTCTTCCTATTCAGCCATCTTGGGGGAAGTCGCAATTTTCAACACATTCAAAAAAACCAAAATCATACCAACCACACTCTTGCACCACAGCACAACAAAAATAGAAATCAAGATCAAGAAGAGCTCTGAAAAACTATACAATTAAATAGCAATTAAACAATTTCTGGTCCTGAAAGACTTTTGGGTAAACAACGAAGTCAGAAATCAGGAAATTGTTCTAACAAATGAAAACAAAGATACTACATGCCAGAGTCTCTGAGACACAGCTAAAACAGAGTTAAGAGGAAAGTTTATAGCACTAAATGCCCACATCAAAAAGTTAGAAAGATCTCAAATTAGTAACATAATCTCACATCTAAAGGAACTAGAAAAATAAGGAAAAAAAACCTAAAGCTAGCAGAAGACAAGAAATAACCAAAATCAGAGCTGAACTAAATAAAACTGAGAACTGAAAACTATATAGAAGATAAACAAAAAAATTGGTAATTTGAAGGAATAAATAAAATTGGTAGACCACAGACTAGAATAATAAAGGAGAAAAAGATGAGAAAATCCACATAAACCCAATCAGAAATGACAAAGGGGGCATTGCCACCAACCTCATAGAAATACAAAAACCACTCAGATACTGTTATGAACACCTCTATGCACGTAAACTATGAAACCTAGAAGAAATGGAAAAATTCTTGAAAATATACATTCCCAAAATTGAACCAGGAAGAAATTGAAACCCTGAACAGATCAATAATGAGTTCCAGAGTTGAATCAGTAATAAAAAGGTTGCCAATCAGAAAAAGCCTTGGAACAGAGAGATCCATGGCTGAATTCTAACAGGTATATAAAGAAAAGCTGGTATCAATTCTTTGAAAACTATTCCAAAAATTGAGGGGGAGTGATTATTCCCTAACTAATTCTATGAGATAAGTATCATTGTGATACCAAAACCTGGTAGAGACACAATAAAAAAAGAAAACATTAGCTAATTTTCCTGAAGAATATATATGCAAAAATCCTCAACAAAATATTAGCAAAGCAAATCCAGGATCATATCAAAAAGCTAATCTGCTATTATCAAATGGGCTTCATCCCTGGGACTCAAGGTTGGTTCAACATACAGAAATCAGTAAATGATTCATCACATAAGCAGAACTAAAAACAAAAAACACATGATTATCTCAACAGATGCAGAACAGTCTTTTGATAAAATTCCACATCTCTTCAGGTTAAAAACCCTTAAGAAACTAGGCATTAAAGGAACACACCTCAAAACAATTAGAGGCATCTATGACAAACCCACAGCCAACAACGTACTGAATAAACAAAAGCTTGAAGCATTCCCTTTGAAAACTAGAACAAGGCAATGATGTCCACTCTTACCACTGCTATTCAACATAATACTGGAAGTCCTAGCCAGAGCAATCAGGGAAGAGAAAGGCATTCAAATAAAAAGAGAGGAAGTTAAATTATCTCTTTCTTCAGACAATATGAATCTATACCTAGAAAACCCCATAGTCTCTGTGCAAAGGGTTCTAAATCTGATAAACAATTTTAGTTAATCTTCAAGGTATAAAATCAATGTACAAGAATCAGTAGCTTCTCTATATATCAATAAAGTCCAGACCGAGAGCTAAATCAAGAACACAATCACATTCACTATAATCACAAAAAGAATAAAATGCTTAGGAATATAGCTAACCAAGAAAGTGAAAGATCTCTACAACAAGAATTATAAAGCACTGCTAAAAAATCAGAGATTATACAACTGAATGTAAAAATATTTCATGCTCATGGATTGAAAGAATTAATGTTGTTAAAATTATCATATTGCTGAAAGCAATTCAGAGACTCAGTGCTACTCCTATCAAAGTACCAATGACATTTTTTCATAGAATTTGAAAAAACTATTCTAAAATTCATACAGAATCAAAAAAGAGTCTGGGGGGTGCAACCAAGATGGCCGAATAGGAACAGCTCTAGTCTAGAGCTCCCAGCATGAGCGACACAGAAGACGGGTGATTTCTGCATTTCCAACTGAGGTACCCGGCTCATCTCACTGAGGAGTGTCAGAAAGTGGGTGCAGGACAGTGGGTGCAGTTCACCCAGCGAGAGCCAAAGCAGGATGAGGCATCGCCTCACCTGGGAAGCACAAGGGGTCAGGGAATTCCTTTTCCTAATCAAAGAAAGGGGTGACAGATAGCACCAGGAAAATCGGGTCATTCCCACCCTAATACTGTGCTTTTCCAATGGTCTTAGCAAAGGGCACACAAGGAGATTATATCCCATGCCAGGCCTGGAGGGTCCTATGCCCACGGAGCCTCACTCATTGCTAGCACAGCAGTCTGAGATCAAACTGCAAGGCAGCAGAGAGGCTGGGGGAGGGGCGCCCACCATTGCCTAGGCTTGAGTAGGTAAACAAAGGCCAGGAAGCTCGAATGGGGTGTAGCCCACCGCAGCTCAAGGAGGCCTGCCTGCCTCTGTAGACTCCATGTCTGGGGGCAGGGCACAGCCAAACCAAAGGCAGCAGAATCCTCTGCAGACTTAAATGTTCCTGTCTGACAGCTTGGAAGAGAGTAGTGGTTCTCCCAGCATGCAGCTGGAGATCTGAGAATGGACAGAGTGACTCCTCAAGTGGGTCACTGATGCCCAAGTAGCCTAACTGGGAGGCACCTCCCAGTAGGGGCAGACTGACACCTCACACGGCAGGGTACTCCTCTGAGACAAAACTTCCAGAGGAATAATCGGCAGCAACATTTGCTGTTCACCAATATCTGCTGTTCTGCAGCCTCTGCTGCTGATACCCAGGAAAACAGGGTCTGGAGTAGACCTCCAGCAAACTCCAACAGACCTGCTGCTGAGGGTCCTGACTGTTAGAAGGAAAACTAACAAACAGTAAGGACATCCACACCAAAACCCCATCTGTATGTCACCATCATCAAAGACCAAAGGTAGATAAAACCACAAAGATGGGGAAAAAACAGAGCAGAAAAACTGGAAACTCTAAAAATCAGAGTGCCTCTCCTCCTCCAAGGGAACGCAGCTCCTCACCAGCAGTGGAACAAAGCAGGATGGAGAATGACCTTGACGAGTTGAGAGAAGAAGGCATCAGACGATCAAACTACTCCGAGCTAAAAGAGGAAGTTCGAACTCATCGCAAAGAAGTTAAAAATCTTGAAAAAAAATTAGATGAATGGCTAACTAGAATAAGCAATGCAGAGAAGTCTTTAAAGGACCGGATGGAGCTGAAAACAAAGGCAAGAGAACTACATGATGAATAACAAGCCTCAGTAGCCGATGGGATCAAGTGGAAGAAAGGGTATCAGTGATGGAAGATCAAATGAATGAAACGAAGTGAGAAGTTTAGACGAAAAAGAATAAAAAGAAATTAACAAAGCCTCCAAGAAATATGGGACTATGTGAAAAGACCAAATCTATGTCTGATTGGTGTACCTGAAAGTGACAGGGAGAATGGAACCAAGTTGGAAAACACTCTGCAGGATATTATCCAGGAGAACTTCCCCAATCTAGCAAGGCAGGCCAACATTCAAACTCAGGAAATACAGAGAATGCCACAAAGATACTCCTCAAGAAGAGCAACTCCAAGACACATAATTGTCAGATTCACCAAAGTTGAAATGAAGGAAAAAATGTTAAGGGCAGCCAGAGAGAAAGGTGGGGTTACCCACAAAGGGAAGCCCATCAGACTAACAGCTGATCTCTCAGCAGAAACTCTACAAGCCAGAAGAGAGTGGGGGCCAATATTCAACATTCTTAAAGAAAAGAATTTTCAAACCAGAATTTCATATGTAGCCAAACTAAGCTTCATAAGTGAAGGAGAAATAAAATAGTTTACAGACAAGCAAATGCTGAGAGATTTTGTCATCACCAGGCCTGCCCTACAAGAGCTCCCGAAGGAAGCACTAAACATGAAAAGGAACAAGTGGTACCAGCCACTGCAAAAACATGCCAAATTGTAAAGACTGTCGAGGCTAGGAAGAAACTGCATCAACTAATGAGCAAAATAACCACCTAACATCATAATGACAGGATCAAATTCACACATAACAATATTAACTTTAAATGTAAATGGGCTAAATGCTCCAATTAAAAGACACATACTGGCAAATTGGATAGAGTCAAGACCCATCAGTGTGCTGTATTCAGGAAACCCATAGCAAGTGCAGAGACACACATAGGCTCAAAATAAAGGGATGGAGGAAGACCTAATAAGCAAATGGAAAACAAAAAAAGGCAGTGGTTGCAAACCTAGTCTCTGATAAAACAGACTTTAAACCAACAAAGATCAAAAGAGACAAAGAAAGCCATTACATAATGGTAAAGGGATCAATTCAGCAAGAAGAGCTAACTATCCTAAATATTTATCCACCCAATACAGGAGCACCCAGATTCATAAAGCAAGTGATTAGAGGCCTAGAAAGAGACTTAGACTCCCACACAATAATAATGGGAGATTTTAACACCCCACTGTCAACATTAGACAGGTCAACGAGACAGAAAGTTAACAAGGATATCCAGGAACTGAACTCAGCTCTGCACCAAGTGGACCTAATAGACATCTACAGAACTCTCCACCCCAAATCAACAGAATAGACATTCTTCTCAGCACCACACCGCACTTATTCCAAAATTGACCACATAGTTGGAAGTAAAGGTCTCCTTAGCAAATGTAAAAGAACAGAAATTATAACAAACTGTCTCTCAGACCACAGTGCAATGAAACTAGGATTCAGCATAAAGAAATTCACTCAAAGCCGCTCAACTACATGGAAACCGAGCAACCTGCTCCTGAATGACTACTGGGTACATAATGAAATGAAGGCAGAAATAAAGATGTTCTTTGAAACCAACGAGAACAAAGACACAACATACCAGAATCTCTGGGACACATTCAAGGCAGTGTGTAGAGGGAAATTTATAGCACTAAATGCCCACTAGAGAAAGCAGGAAAGATCTAAAATTGACACCATAACATCACAATTAAAAGAACTAGAGAAGCAAGAGCAAACACATTCAAAAGCTAGCAGAAGGCAAGAAATAACTAAGATCAGAGCTGAACTGAAGGAAATAAGAGACACAAAAACCCTTCAAAAAATCAATGAATCCAGGAGCTGCTTTTTTGAAAAGATCAACAAAATTGACAGACTGCTAGCAAGACTAATACAGAAGAAAAGAGAGCAGAATCAAATAGACGCAATAAAAGATGATAAAGGGGATATCACCACTGATCCCACAGAAATACAGACTACCATCAGAGAATAATACTATAAATACCTCTACGCAAATAAACTAGAAAGTCTAGAAGAAATGGATAAATTCCTCGACACGTACACCCCCCCAAGACTAAATCAGGAAGAATTTGAATCCCTGAATAGACCAATAACAGGCTCTGAAATTGAGGCAATAATTAATAGCTTACCAATCAAAAAAAGTCCAGGACCCAATGGATTCACTGCCAAATTCTACCAGAAGTACAAGGAGGAGCTGGTACCATTCCTTCTGAAATTATTCCAATCAATAGAAAAAGAGGGAATCCTACCTAACTCATTTTATGAGGCCAGCATTATCCTGATACCAAAACCTGGCAGAGACATAACAAAAAAAGACAATTTTAGACCAATATCCCTGACGAACATCGATGCAGAAATTCTCAATAAAATACTGGCAAACCGAATTCAGCAGCATATCAAAAACCTTATCCACCCTGATAAAGTGGGCTTCATCTTGAAAAGTCCTTTGACAAAATTCAACAACCCTTCATGCTAAAAACTCTCAATAAATTAGGTATTGATGGGATGTATCTCAAAATAATAAGAGCTATTTATGACAAACCCACAGGCAATATCATACTGAATGGGCAAAACCTGGAAGCATTCCCTTGGAAAACTGGCACAAGACAGGGATGCCCTCTCTCACCACTCCTATTCAACATAGTGTTGGAAGTTCTGGCCAGGGCAATTAGGCAGGAGAAGGAAATAAAGGGTATTGAATTAGGAAAAGAGGAAGTCAAATTGTCCCTGTTTGCAGATGACATGATTGTATATCTAGAAAACCCCATCGTCTCAGCCCCAAATCTCCTTAAGCTGATAGGCAACTTCAGCAAAGTCTCAGGATACAAAGTCAATGTGCAAAAATCACAAGCATTCTTACACACCAGTAACAGACAGAGAGCCAAACCATGAGTGAACTCCCATTCACAATTGCTTCAAAAAGAATAAAATACCTAGGAATCCAACTTACAAGGGATGTGAAGGACCTCTTCAAGGAGAACTACAAACCACTGCTCAGTGAAATAAAAGAAGATACAAACAAATGGAAGAACATTCCATGCTCATGGGTAGGAAGAATCAATATCATGAAAATGGCCATACTGCCCAAGGTAATTTGTAGATTCAATGCCATCTCCATCAAGTTACCAATGACTTTCTTCACAGAATTGGAAAAAACTACTTTAAAGTTCATATGGAACCAAAAAGAGCCCGCATTGCCAAGTCAATCCTAAGCCAAAAGAATAAAGCTGGAGGCATCACACTACCTGACTTCAAACTATACTACAAGGCTACAGTAACCAAAACAGCATGGTACTGGTACCAAAACAGAGATATAGAACAATGGAACAGAACAGAGCCCTCAGAAATAACGCCACATATCTATAACCATCTGATCTTTGACAAAGCTGACAAAAACCAGCAATGGGGAAAGGATTCCCTATTTAATAAATGGTGCTGGGAAAACTGGTTAGCCATATGTAGAAAGCTGAAACTGGATCCCTTCCTTACACCTTATACAAAAATCAATTCAAGATGGATTAAAGACTTACATGTTAGACCTGAAACCGTAAAAACCCTAGAAGAAAACCTAGGCAATACCATTCAGGACATAGGCATGGGCAAGGACTTCATGTCTAAAACACCAAAAGCAATGGCAACAAAAGCCAAAATTGACAAATGGGATCTAATTAAACTAAAGAGCTTCTGCACAGCAAAAGAAACTACCATCAGAGTGAACAGGCAACCTACAGAATGGGAGAAAACTTTTGCAACCTACTCATCTGACAAAGGGCTAATATCCAGAATCTACTATGAACTCAAACAAATTTACAAGAAAAAAACAAACAACCCCATCAAAAAGTGGGCAAAGGATATGAACAGACACTTCTCAAAAGAAGACCTTTATGCAGCCAAAGGACACATGAAAAAACGGTCATCATCACTGGCCATCAGAGAAATGCAAATCAAAACCACAATGAGATACCATCTCACAGCCTTTAGAATGGCGATCATTAAAAGGTCAGGAAACAAGAGGTGTGGAGAGGATGTGGAGAAATAGGAACACTTTTACACTGTTGGTGGGACTGTAAACTAGTTCAGCCATTGTGGAGGTCAGTGTGGCGATTCCTCAGGGATCTAGAACTAGAAATACCATTTGACCCAGCCATCCCATTACTGGTTATATACCCAAAGGATTATAAATCATGCTGCTATAAAGACACATGCACACATATGTTTATTGAGGCACTATTCACAATAGCAAAGACTTGGAACCAACCCAAATGTCTAACAATGATAGACTGGATTAAGAAAATGTGGCACATATACACCATGGAATACTATGCAGCCATAAAAAATGATGAGTTCATGTCCTTTGTAGGGACATGGATGAAACTGGAAACCACCTTTCTCAGCAAACTATTGCAAGGACAAAAAACAAAACACTGCATGTTCTCACTCACCGGTGGGAATTGAACAATGAGAACACATGGACACAGGAAGGGGAATATCACATACCGGGGCCTGTTGTGGGGTGGGGGGAAGGGGGAGGGATAGCATTAGGAGATATACCTAATATTAAATAACGAGTCAATGGCTGCAGCACAACAACATGGCACATGTATACATATGTAACTAACCTGCACATTGTGCACATATACCCTAAAACTTAACGTATAATAATAAAAAAAAAAGAGTCTGAACACCCAAAGCAATCTTAAGCAAAAAGAACAAAGCTGGAAGCACCACACTATCTGACTTCAAACTATAGTACAAGGCTACAGTAACCAAAACAGCATGGTACTAGTAGAAAAACAAACACATAGATAAATGAACAGGTTAGAGAACCCAGAAATAAATCTGCACACCTTACAACCATCTGATCTTTGACAATGTCAACAGTAAGAAGCAATGGGGTGAAGACTTCCTATTCAATAAATGGTGTTGTGCTAACTGGCTAGCCATATGCAGAATATTGAAAATTTACATCTTCCTTTCACCACATACAAAAGTTAATTCAAGATGGATTAAAGACTTAAATGTAAAACCTAAAACTACAGAAATCTTGGAAGAAAACCTGTGAAATTCCATTCTGGACATAGGCCCTGGCAAGGATTTCATGATGAAGACTTCAAAAGAAACTGCAATGTAAACAAAAATTAAATGGAACTTAATTAAACTAAAGAGTTTCTGCACAGCAAACAAAATTGTCAACAGAATAAACAGACAACTTACAGAATGGAAGAAAATACTTGCAAACTATGTGTATGACAAAGATCTAATACCCAGCATCTATAAGGAACTTAAATTAACAAGCAAAAAACCACAACCTCCTTAAAAAATAGGCAAAGAATATCAACAGACACTTCTCAAAAGAAGACATATACATAGCCAACAAGCATATTTAAAAATTCTCAACATCACTAATCATCAGAGAAATGCAAATCAAAACCACAATGAGATACCATCTCACACCAGTCAGAATGGCTATTATTAAAATGTCAAAAAAGTAACAGATTCTAGCAAGGTTGCAGAGAAAAGAGAATACTTACACTCTGCTGGTGGGAATGTAAATTAGTTCAGCCACTGTGAAGGGCAGTTTGGTGATTTCTCAAAGAACTTAAAACAGAACTTAAAAACTACCTATGGGTACTATGCTCATTACCTGTGTGACGAAACATTCTGTACACCAAGCCCCCACAACATGCAATTTACCCATGTAACAAACCTTCAAATGTAGCTGCCGAACCTAAAATAAGAGGTGGAAAAAAATAATTTTTAAAAATCTATCTGGTCTTTAATGGGTATGTAGTATATTTTTAGTTTGAGACTTTTTAAATAAAATCTATTTTTGTTTGTTTTGTTTTTAATGTGTTTTTTGTTTGTTTGCTTTTGTTTAGTTACCTGCTTAGACTAATTCAAACTGGGGTGAAGTGATATCTCATTGTGGTTTTGATTTGCATTTCCCTACTGATTAGTCATGTTGAGCATATTATATTTACCTATTGGTCATTCGTATGTCTTCTTTTCAGAGTTGTCTAATCAGGTCTTTTGCCCTTTAAAATTTAAATAACTTACTTTTTTGCCATTGAGCTCTTTGAGTTCCTTATATATTCTGGATCTTAATCCCTTTGGATACGTAGTTTGCAGATATTTTCTACCATTCTGTAGCTTATTTCCTTTGCTGTGCAGAGCTTGTTAGTTAGATAAAATTTCATTTGTCTATTTTGTTTTGTATTACCAGTGCTTTTGAGGTCTTATCGAAAATCTTTTCCCAGACCAACATGAAGCATTCCCCTATATTTTCTTCTTGTAGTTTCACAATTTTGGGTCTTACATTTAAGTCTTTAACCCATCTTCATTTGATTTTGTATATGGTGAGATATAGGGCTCTAGTTTTGTTCTTCTGCATATGGATATTCAGTTTTCCCAGCACTATTTATTGAAGAGACTGTTCTGTCCCCAATGTGTGTCTTGGCACTTTTGTTAAAAATAGGTTGGCTGTAAAGGCATGGATTTATTTCTGGGTTATATATTCTGTTCCGCTGATCTATGTATCTGTTTTTATACCAGTACCATGCTGTTTTGGTTACTATAGTTTTGTAGTATATTTTGAAATCAGGTAGTGTGATTTCTACAGATTTGCCCTTTTTGCTCAAGATTACTTTGGCTTTTGGGGTCTTTGATGGTTCAATATTAATTTAGAATCATCTTTTCTATTTCTATGAAGTATGTCATTGGTATTTTGATAGAGATTACATTGAATCTGTAGATTGCTTTGGGTAGTATGGGCATTTTAACAATGCCAATTATTTCAATCTGTGAACATAAAATACGATATGATTTGGCCCTGTGTCCCCACCCAAATCTCATCTTGTAGCCACCATAATTCCCATATGTTGTGGGAGGGACCTAGTGGGAGATAATTGAATCATGGGGACAAGTCTTTCCTGTGCTGTTCTCATGTTAGTGAATGAGTCTCATGAGATATGATAGTTTTAAAAACAGTAGTTTCCATGCACAAACTCTCTTCTCTCTTGCTGCTGCTGTGAAAGAAGTGCCTTTTACCTTCTGCCATGACTGTGAGGCCACCCCAGCTACGTGGAACTGTGAGTCCAAATAAACCTCTTTCTTTTGTAAATTATCTAGTCTCAGATATGTCTTTATTAGCAGGACGAAAATGAACTAGTACAAAATACCTTTCCAATAATTTTTGTCCTTTTCAATTTCTTTCATCAGTGTTTTATAGATTTTTTTGTAGAGTTTTTACCTCCTTTGTTACATTTATTCTTAAGTATCTTATATTTTGTAGCTATTGTACATGGAATTGTTTTCTTGATTTATTTTTCAGATATTTTGATGTTGGTGAAGGAAATATTACTGCTTTTTGTATATGCATTTAATATCCTGAAATTTTACTGAATTTATTAGTGCTCATGGCTTTTTGATGAAGTAATTAGTATTTTCTGTATATAAAGTTGTGATCTCCACAAACAGGGATAATTTGACTTCCTTCTTTTTAATTGTATGCCCCGTATTTCTTTCTCTTGCCTAATTACCCTGGCTAGGAGTTCCAGTACAATGTTGACTAGAAGTAGTGAAAGTGGACATCTTTGCTTAGTTCCAGATTTTAGAGAAATTTCTTTCATCTTTTCCCCATTTTGTTTTATATTAGCTGTGGGTTTCTCATATGTGGCTTTTATTGTGTTTAGGTACGTTCCTTATATACCTAATTTATTGATAACTTTTATCATAGTGGGATGTTGAATTCTATCAAATGCTTTCTCTGTTTCTATTGAAATGATTACGTGCTTTTGTCCTTTATTCTATTAATGTGATGCAGTACATTTATTAATCTGAATACTTTGAATCATCCTTGCATCCCTGGAATGAATGCCACTTGATTTTAAAGGCTGGTCTTTTAAGTATTCTGTTAAATTTAGTTTGCTAGCATTTTCTTGAGGATTTTTGCATGCGTTTCATTAGGGATATTGGCCTGTAGTTTTTCCTATTTTATTTTATTTTTTTGAGAAAGTGTCTCACTCTGTCACCCAAGCTGGAGTGCAGTGGCACAATCACATCTCACCACAGCCTCAACCTCCTGGGCTTGGGTGATCCTCCAACCTCAGCCTCCTGAGTAGCTAGGACTACAGGCGCCCACCACCATTTTTGGCTAATATTTGTACTTTTTTTAGAGACAAGGTTTCATCATGTTGACAGGCTGGTCTTGAACTCCTGGGCTCAAGTGATCCACCCTCCTTGGCTTCCCAAAGTGCTAGGATTACAGGCATGAGCAACCACTTCTGTCCTGTAATTTTCTTTTTTGTTTTTGTTGTGTCATCTAGTTTTTATATCGGGCTAATGAATGCTAGTCTCAAATAATAAGTCTGGACAAATTTACTCTCATTCAGTTTTTTTGGGGGCAGTTTGAGAAGAACAGGCATTAGTTATTTTTAAAATATTTGGTAGAATTCAGCAGTGAGGTCATCAGCTCCTGTGCTTTCTTTAATGGGAGACTTTAAACTATTGTTTCAATCTTGTTACTCATTATTGGCCTGTTTGAATTTTCTGTTTCTTCATGATTCAATCTTGTGGTTGTATGAGTCCAGGCATTTACCTATTTCTTCTAAGTTTTACAATTTGTTTTCATATAGTTGTTCATAATGGTCTCTTATGGTCCTTTGTATTTATATTATATTATTTGTAAAGTCTCCTTTTATATCTATGATTTTATTTTTTTGACTCCTCTTTTTTTCTTAATTTGTCTAGTTAAAAGTTTGTCAGGTTTTGTTTTTGATTTTTGAGACAGAGTCTAGCTCCATTGCCCAGGCTGGAGTGCAGTGGCACGATCTCTGCTCACTGCAACCTCTGCCTCCCAGGTTCAAGTGATTCTCCTGATTCAGCCTCCCTAGTGGCTGGAATTACAGGGGCCTGCCACCACAATCAGCTAATTTTTGTATTTTTAGTAGAGATGGGGTTTCACCATGTTGCTCAGGCTGGTGTTGAACTCTTAACAAGTGATCCACCCTCCTCGGCCTCCCAAAGTGCTGGGATTAAGTGGTGAGCCACCGTGCCTGGCCAAGTGTTTTATATTTTGAAAAAACGAAGTCTTCTTTGTTATTCTTTTGTGTTGTTTTTTAAGGCTCTATTTAATTTATTTCTGTTTTTACATTTATCGTTGCTTCTCTTCTACTAGTTTTGGCTTGATGTTGTTCTTGTTTTTCTAGTTCCTTGAGCAACATGAGGTTATCTGAAATCTTTCTACTTTTTAAATGTAAGCCTTTATTGCTGTAGACTTCCCTCTTAGAAATGCTTTTGCTGTATTCCATAGGTTTTGTTTTGTTTTTTTTATTTTTTTATTTTTTTATTATTATACTTTAAGTTTTAGGGTAATGTGCACATTGTGCATGTTAGTTACGTATGTATACATGTGCCATGCTGGTGCGCGGCACCCACTAACTCGTCATCTAGCATTAGGTATATCTCCCAATGCTATCCCTACCCCCTCCCCCCACCCCACAACAGTCCCCAGAGTGTGATGTTCCCCTTCCTGTGTCCATGTGATCTCTTTGTTCAATTCCCACCTATGAGTGAGAATATGCGGTGTTTGGTTTTTTGTTCTTGCGATAGTTTACTGAGAATGATGATTTCCAATTTCATCCATGTCCCTACAAAGGACATGAACTCATCATTTTTTATGGCTGCATAGTATTCCATGGTGTATATATGCCACATTTTCTTAATCCAGTCTATCATTGTTGGACATTTGGGTTGGTTCCAAGTCTTTGCTATTGTGAATAATGCCGCAATAAACACACGTGTGCATGTGTCTTTATAGCAGCATGATTTATAATCCTTTGGGTATATACTCAGTAATGGGATGGCTGGGTCAAATGGTATTTCTAGTTCTAGATCCCTGAGGAATCGCCACACTGACTTCCACAATGGCTGAACTAGTTTACAGTCCCATCAACAGTGTAAAAGTGTTCCTATTTCTCCACATCCTCCCCAGCACCTGTTGTTTCCTGACTTTTTAATGATTGCCATTCTAACTGGTGTGAGATGGTATCTCATTGTGGTTTTGATTTGCATTTCTCTGATGGCCAGTGATGATGAGCATTTTTTAATGTGTTTTTTGGCTGCATAAAGGTCTTCTTTTGAGAAGTGTCTGTTCATGTCCTTTGCCCACTTTTTGATGGGGTTGTTTGTTTTTTTCTTGTAAATTTGTTTGAGTTCATTGTAGATTCTCGATATTAGCCCTTTGTCAGATGAGTAGGTTGCAAAAATTTTCTCCCATTTTGTAGGTTGCCTGTTCACTCTGATGGTAGTTTCTTTTGCTGTGCAGAAGCTCTTTAGTTTAATTAGATCCCATTTGTCAATTTTGGCTTTTGTTGCCATTGCTTTTGGTGTTTTAGACATGAAGTCCTTGCCCATGCCTATGTCCTGAATGGTATTGCCTAGGTTTTCTTGTAGGGTTTTTATGGTTTTAGCTCTAACGTTTAAGTCTTTAATCCATCTTGAATTAATTTTTGTATGAGGTGTAAGGAAGGGATCCAGTTTCAGCTTTCTACATATGGCTAGCCAATTATCCCAGCACCATTTATTAAATGGGGAATCCTTTCCCCATTGCTGGTTTTTCTCAGGTTTGTCAAAGATCAGATAGTTGTAGATATGTGGCATTAATTTTGAGGGCTCTGTTCTGTTCCATTGATCTATATCTCTGTTTTGGTTCCAGTACCATGCTGTTTTGGTTACTGTAGCCTTGTAGTATAGTTTGAAGTCAGGTAGTGTGATGCCTCCAGCTTTGTTCTTTTGGCTTACGATTGACTTGGCAATGCGGGCTCTTTTTTGGTTCCATATGAACTAAAAATAGTTTTTTCCAATTCTGTGAAGAAAGGCATTGGTAGCTTGATGGGGATGGCATTGAATCTGTAAATTACCTTGGGCAGTATGGCCATTTTCATGATATTGATTCTTCCTACCCATGAGCATGGAATGTTCTTCCATTTGTTTTTATCCTCTTTTATTTCATTGAGCAGTGGTTTGTAGTTCTCCTTGAAGAGGTCCTTCACATCCCTTGTAAGTTGGATTCCTAGGTATTTTATTCTCTTTAAAGCAATTGTGAATGGGATTTCACTCATGATTTGGCTCTCTGTTTGTCTGTTGTTGGTGTATAAGAATGCTTGTGATTTTTGTACATTGATTTTGTATCCTGAGATTTTGCTGAAGTTGCTTATCTGCTTAAGGAGATTTTGGGCTGAGACAATGGGGTTTTCTAGATATACAATCATGTCGTCTGCAAACAGGGACAATTTGACTTCCTCTTTTCCTAATTGAATACCCTTTATTTCCTTCTCCTGCCTAATTGCCCTGGCCAGAACTTCCAACACTATGTTGAATAGGAGTGGTGAGAGAGGGCATCCTTGTCTTGTGCCAGTTTTCAAAGTGAATACTTCCAGTTTTTGCCCATTCAGTATGATATTGGCTGTGGGTTTGTCATAGATAGCTCTTATTATTTTGAAATACGTCCCATCAATACCTAATTTATTGAGAGTTTTGAGCATGAAGGGTTGTTGAATTTTGTCAAAGGTCTTTTCTGCATCTATTGAGATAATCATGTGGTTTTTGTCTTTGGCTCTGTTTATATGCTGGATTACATTTATTGATTTGCGTATATTGAACCAGCCTTGCATCCCAGGGATGAAGCCCACTTGATCATGGTGGATAAGCTTTTTGATGTGCTGCTGGATTTGGTTTGGCAGTATTTTATTGAGGATTTTTGCATCAATGTTCATCAAGGATATTGATTGGTCTAAAATTCTCTTTTTTGGTTGTGTCTCTGCCCGGCTTTGGTATCAGAATGATGCTGGCCTCATAAAATGAGTTAGGGAGGATTCCCTCTTTTTCTATTGATTGGAATAGTTTCAGAAGGAATGGTACCAGTTCCTCCTTGTACCTCTGGTAGAATTCGGCTGTGAATCCATCTGGTCCTGGACTCTTTTTTGTTGGTAAGGTATTGATTATTGCCACAATTTCATATCCTGTTATTGGTCTATTCAGAGATTCAACTTCTTCCTGGTTTAGTCTTGGGAGAGTGTATGTGTCGAGGAATTTATCCATTTCTTCTTGATTTTCTAGTTTATTTGCGTAGAGGTGTTTGTAGTATTCTCTGATGGTAGTTTGTATTTCCGTGGGATCGGTGGTGATATCCCCTTTATCATTTTTTTATTGTGTCTATTTGATTCTTCTCTCTTTTTTTCTTTATTAGTCTTGCTAGTGGTCTATCTATTTTGTTGATCCTTTCAAAAAACCAGCTCCTGGATTCATTAATTTTTTGAAGGGTTTTTGTGTCTCTATTTCCTTCAGTTCTGCTCTGATTTTAGTTATCTCTTGCCTTCTGCTAGCTTTTGAATGTGTTTGCTCTTGCTTTTCTAGTTCTTTTAACTGTGATGTTAGGATGTCAATTTTGGATGTTTCCTGCTTTCTCTTGTGGGCATTTAGTGCTATAAATTTCCCTCTACACACTGCTTTGAATGCGTCCCAGAGATTCTGGTATGTTGTGTGTTTGTTCTTGTTCATTTCAAAGAACATCTTTATTTCTGCCTTCATTTCATTATGTACCCAGTAGTCATTCAGAAGCAGGTTGTTCAGTTTCCATGTAGTTGTGCGGTTTTGAGTGAGATTCTTAATTCTGAGTTCTAATTTGATTGCACTGTGGTCTGAGAGATAGTTTGTTATAATTTCTGTTCCTTTACATTTGCTGAGGAGAGCTTTACTGCCAACTATGTGATCAATTTTGGAATAGGTGTGGTGTGGTGCTGAAAAAAATGTATATTCTGTTGATTTGGGGTGGAGAGTTCTGTAGATGTCTATTAGGTCCGCTTGGGGCAGAGCTGAGTTCAATTCCTGGGTATCCTTGTTGACTTTCTGTCTTGTTGATCTGTCTAATCTTGACAGTGGGGTGTTAAAGTCTCCCATTATTAATGTGTGGGAGTCTAAGTCTCTTTGTAGGTCACTCAGGACTTGCTTTATGGATCTGGGTGCTCCTGTATTGGGTGCATATATATTTAGGATAGTTAACTCTTCTTGTTGAATTGATCCCTTTACCATTCTGTAATGGTCTTCTTTGTCTCTTTTGATCTTTATTAGTTTAAAGTCGGTTTTATCAGAGACTAGGATTGCAATCCCTGCCTTTTTTTGTTTTCCATTTGCTTGGTAGATCTTCCTCCATCCTTTTATTTTTAGCCTGTGTGTGTCTCTGCACGTGAGATGGGTTTCCTGAATACAGCACACTGATGGGTCTTGACTCTTTATCCAATTTGCCAGTCTGTGTCTTCTAATTGGAGCATTTAGTCCATTTACATTTAAAGTTAATATTGTTATGTGTGAATTTGATCCTGTCATTATGATGTTAGGTGGTTATTTTGTTCATTAGTTGATGCAGTTTCTTCCTAGTCTTGATGGTCTTTACATTTTGGCATGATTTTGCAGCAGCTTGTACCGGTTGTTCCTTTCCATGTTTAGCGCTTCCTTCAGGAGCTCTTTTAGGGCAGGCCTGTTGGTGACAAAATCTTTCAGCATTTGCTTGTCTGTAAGGTATTTTATTTCTCCTTCACTTATGAAGCTTAGTTTGGCTGGATATTTAATTCTGGGTTGAAAATTCTTTTCTTTAAGAATGTTGAATATTGGCCCCCACTCTCTTCTGGCTTGTAGGGTTTCTGCCAAGAGATCCGCTGTTAGTCTGATGGGCTTCCCTTTGAGGGTAACCCGACCTTTCTCTCTGGCTGCCCTTAACATTTTTTCCTTCATTTCAACTTTGGTGAATCTGACAATTATGTGTCTTGGAGTTGCTCTTCTCGAGGAGTATCTTTGTGGTGTTCTCTGTATTTCCTGAATCTGAACGTTGGCCTGCCTTGCTAGATTGGGGAAGTTCTCCTGGATAATATCCTGCAGAGTGTTTTCCAACTTGGTTCCATTCTCCCCGTCACTTTCAGGTACACCAATCAGACGTAGATTTGGTCTTTTCACATAGTCCCATATTTCTTGGAGGCTTTGTTGATTTCTTTTTATTCTTTTTTCTCTAAACTTCCCTTCTCACTTCATTTCATTCATTTCATCTTCCATCAATGATACCCTTTCTTCCAGTTGATCGCATCAGCTCCTGAGGCTTCTGCATTCTTCACGTAGTTCTTGAGCCTTGGTTGTCAGCTCCATCACTCCTTTAAGCACTTCTCTGTGTTGGTTATTCTAGTTATACATTCTTCTAAATTTTTTTCCAAGTTTTCAACTTCTTTGCCTTTGGTTTGAATGTCCTCCTGTAGCTCAGAGTAATTTGATCGTCTGAAGCCTTCTTCTCTCAGCTCGTCAAAGTCGTTCTCTGTCCAGCTTTGTTCCATTGCTGGTGAGGAACTGCGTTCCTTTGGAGGAGGAGAGGCGCTCTGCTTTTTAGAGTTTCCAGTTTTTCTGTTCTGTTTTTTCCCCATCTTTGTGGTTTTATCTATTTTGGTCTTTGATGATGGTGATGTACAGATGAGTTTTTGATGTGGATGTCCTTTCTGTTTGTTAGTTTTCCTTCTAACAGACAGGACCCTCAGCTGCAGGTCTGTTGGAGTACCCTGCCGTGTGAGGTGTCAGTGTGCCCCTGCTGGGGGGTGCCTCCCAGTTAGGCTGCTCGGGAGTCAGGGGTCAGGGACCCGCTTGAGGAGGCAGTCTGCCCGTTCTCAGATCTCCAGCTGCGTACTGGGAGAACCACTGCTCTCTTCAAAGCTGTCAGACAGGGACATTTAAGTCTGCAGAGGTTACAGCTTTTTGTTTGTCTGTGCCCTGCCCCCAGAGGTGGAGCCTACAGAGGCAGGCAGGCCTCCTTGAGCTGTGGTGGGCTCCACCCAGTTCGAGCTTCCTGGCTGCTTTGTTTACCTAAGCAAGCCTGGGCAATGGTGGGCGCCCCTGCCTCAGCCTCACTGCCGCCTTGCAGTTTGATCTCAGACTGCGGTGCTAGCAATCAGCTAGACTCTGTGGGCGTAGGACCCTCCGAAGCAGGTGTGGGATATAATCTCATGGTGTGCCGTTTTTTAAGTCCGTTGGAAAAGCGCAGTATTCGGGTGGGAGTGACCCGATTTTCCAGGTGCCGTCCGTCACCCCTTTCTTTGACTAGGAAAGGGAACTCCCTGACCCCTTGCACTTCCCGAGTGAGGCAATGCCTCACCCCGCTTCAGCTGGCACACGGTGTGCGCACCCACTGACCTGCACCCACTGTCTGGCACTCCCTAGTGAGACGAACCCGGTACCTCAGATGGAAATGCAGAAATCACCCATCTTCTGCGTCACTCAGGCTGGGAGCTGTAGACCGGAGCTCTTCCTATTTGGCCATCTTGGCTCCTCCCCCTCCATAGGTTTTTGTGTGTTGTGTTCCCATTTCCATTTTTTCAAGAAATATTGAAATTTTCTTTTTGATTTTTTTCACTGAACCACTGGTTGTTCAGCTGTATGTTGTCTAATTTCCATGTATTTGTAGTTTCCAAAGTTCCTCCTCTTATTGATTTCTAGTTCTATACCATTATTGTTGAAAAAAACATTTTTTGATTTTTAATTTTTTAATATGTTAAGACTTTTATTGCAGCTTAACATAAGATATATCCTGGAGAATGTTCCATGTACTGTGGAGAAGAATGTATATTCTGCAACTACTGGATAGAATGTTCTTTAAGCATCTGTTAGGTTCATTTGGTCAGGAGTTCAGTTTAACTCTCATTTTTTGTTGATATTCTGTCTGGATTATCTGTTTATCACTGAAGATAAGATGTTCAAGTGTTATACTATTGTTGTATTGTACGCTATATCTCCCTGTAGGCCTATTAGCATTTGCTTTATATATTTGTATGTTCAATTGTTGGGTACATGCATATTTATAATTGTTATATTCTCTTTCTGTATTTACCCCTGTATCAGTTTTTAATTAGCATATTTGTCTTTTTTTACAGTTTTTTTGGCTTAAAGTCTATTATGTCTGATATAAGTATAGCTACTTCTGCTCCATTTTGCTCTCCATTTGCATGGAATATCTTTTTCTATCCCTTCACTTTCAGTCTATTTGTGTTCTTCTGCGTAAAGTGAGGCTCTTATAGGCAGCATATAGTTGAGTCTTTAAAAAAATCAATTTAGCTACTTTATGTTGTTTAATAGGAAAATTTAATCCATTTACATTCAAGGTAACTACCAATAGGTAAGGAGGTACTACTGACATTTTGTTACTTCTTTCCTAGTTATTTTGTAGATCCTTCCTTCTTTTCTACCACTCTTGCTATATCCTTTTGTGGTTAAGTGATATTCTCCAACATTATGCTTTGATTCACTGCTGTTTATCTTTAGTGTATCTATTATAGGTTTTTACTTTGTGGTTATCATGAGGCTTTGAAATACATATTTTGTTTACATCAAGTTGTTTTATTTTATTTTAAATTTCCTACTTTTATTTTAAGTCCAGGGGTACATGTGCAGGATGTATAGGCTTATTACATAGGAAAACGTGTGCCATGGTGGTTTACTGCACAGATCATCCCATTACCCAGGTATTAACCCCAGCATCCATTAGCTATTCTTCCTGATCTTCTCCCTCCTCTCATCCACCACACTCAGGCCCCAGTGTGTGTTGCTCCCCACCATGTGTCCATGTATAACAAGTTATTTTAAGCTAATAGGAACTTAATTTTAATCAGAAAAGAAAGGAAACAAAAATATTGTACACTCTAACTCCTTTCTTCTCAAGTATTTTGAATTTTCATGTCCCAATTTACATCTTTTGTATGGTTTATCTTTTAATAAAGTATTTTAGTTATCATTTTTAAGAGCTTTGTATTTTTGTATTCATACTAAAGTTATAAGTGGTTTACATACCATAATTACAATGTTAGATATCCCAAATTTATCTGTATTCCTACATTTATTCATTTATTTAAAGGCAGGGTCTTACTCTATCACCCAGGCTGGAGTGCTGTGACTCAATCTTGGCTCACTGCAACCTCTGCCTCCTAGGCTCAAGGAATTATCCTATTTCAGCCTCTTGAATAGCTGGGACTACAGACACAAGCCACCATGGCTGGCTATTTATTTTTTTTCTGTTTTTTTTTTTTTGTGTGTGTGTGTTTTCTCGTAAGATGCGGTTTTGCCATGTTGCCCAGGCTGAACTCAAATCCTTGGGTTTTTTAGTCAATCCACTTGCCTCAGCTTTCTAAAGTGGTGGGGTTACAGCCATGAGCTACCATGCCTGGCCTGTATACTTACCTTTACCAGTGAGTTTTATACCTTTTGATATTTTCTTGTTACACATTAGCATTTTTTTTCTTTCAAGTTGAAGAACTTCCTTTGTTATTTCTTGTAAGACAGATCTGGTGGTGTTGCATTTACTTGGCTTTTGTTTGTCTGGAAGAGCCTTTATCTCTCCTTCATTTCTGAAGGACATATTTGCCAGTTACTTTATTCTTGGTTGGCATTCTTTTTCTTTCAGCATTCTGAATATATTGCCCTACACTTTTTGGCCTGCAAGGTTTCTGCTGAAAAGTCTGCTGCCAGGCATATCAACATTCCCTTACATGTTATTTGCTTCTTTTCTATTACTGCTTTTAGAATGCTCTGTTTTTATTTCGAGAGTCAAAGGGTATGTCTTGAGGTAGTTCCATTTGTGTTGAATATGATTGATGGCCTTTGACCTTCCTTTACTTGAGCATTTACATCTTTTTCCAGGATTGTAAAATTTTCTTTTATGATTTCTGTGAATAAGCCGTCTATTTCCTTGTCTTTTTCTGTACCCTCTTGAACTCCAATGACCCAAGTATTTGCTCTTTCAATAGTATCCCATAGACTCCATGAACTTCACTTGTTTCTTTTTTTTTATTCTTTTTCCCACTTTGGCCATATTTCAAATAGTCTATCTTAGATTTCACTGATTTTTTTTTCTTCTGCTTGATTAATTCTGCTGTTAATGCTCGTATTGCATTTCTTATTTCATTAATTGTATCTTTTAGCTCTAGGATTTCTGTTAGATTTTTCATTACTTTAGTCCCTGTTAAACTTCTCTGATAAATTTCTGAACTGCTTTTCTCTGTGTTTTACTGAAATTCACTAAGCTTCCTTAACAAGCTATTCTGAATTCCTTGAGAGATAATACTTCTGCATCACTTTAGGGTTTGTCACTGGCATCGTGTTTTGTCTGTTTGGTGAGGTCAAAATTCCCTGGTTGTTCTTGATGCTTGTGTATGTACATTGATGTATTTGCTCTGAAAAAAGGTATTTATTTCAGTCTTCACAGTCTGGCTTTGTTTGTGCCTGTTTTTCTTCACTGGGCCTCTCCAGAATTTAAGCAAACCTAATGTTAGATCGCATGACTGCTGCAGCCATTTCAGCACTAGAGGAAACTCTAAGCCTAGGTTCACTGTGAGTCTCATGAGGGCTGTCAGGTTGGCATGGAGCCCTTATGTAGAAGGACGTGGTGAAGACCCAAGGAGGGTGCCCAAGCTGTGTGAGGAAGCTGGCCAGGGACCTAAGTCCAGGAGCCTGTCTCATTGGCTCAGATGTGGGAGGAGCTGGAGCTGAGACTGGGTCCCCTCAGGATCTGCTTTGGGACAAAGGCTGGTGGTCCCACCAAGGAGTTTCAGAAAAATGGGTGATTGCCTGGCTATGAGATAAGGGTAAGTCTTTCTCTAGGTATCCTTGTGTGAGCAGTAATAAACTCAGATCACAGCTGAGTGGGTCTGGAGCCAAATTACAGGGTAAGTTTCAGATTCACTGCCAACATTTAACGGACAGAAGAGATTTTCTGCCAAGTTATTAGTGTGCATGATTCCTCCTAGACACATTGGTAGATGTTTTTGGTTCAAGACTCAAGACAAAATTGGAGTGTAGCCAAGCCTTTTGTTAACAAGGATGTCTCCAAGTTTGAAACCTGCAGTATCATTGGTGGGTCTGCTATCCAGGTGCTGGTCTGCAATCCCAAAGCTGCCTACCTAGGGCCTTGATTCCACTGAATTTTCACAGATTACTCCCTGATTCCTGAGGCTTCTACAGAGAGACTTTTGTCTGTGGATGAGTAGATAATTCTTGGAGTTGGGGGATATGAGTGGGTTACCTCCTATTCCACCATCTTTCTGACATAGTGTTTGTATTTCTATTCTGACTATAACATATATAGTGGGATTAGATGAATACATAATTACATTGATTCATCGGAAACCAAGATTTTCCGTGTGGGAGAAAAGAGAAGTAGAAGTGAGACTGATGAGTTAAACACATAGTTTTGAATTTGAAGTGAAAGTGTAAATATGAGCTTGTGATGATATTTATCCTCAAAAAAATTTCCACAGGCTAATTTTTTTTTAGGTTTTCCCCCTTAGAAGGCCTAGAAACTAGGATTAACCCAGTAATTTCCGTATCACATTTTTTCCAACTAACAAGGACCAGAGATCCTTGCTAATTTCTAGTGTAGGGCAAGAAGTTTCGGCAAGAACCTTGAGCAACTTTGCCACATCAGGAAGTAATACAGTCTTGATGACAGAGGTGTATTGATGGAGCTCAGGAAGAATTGACTTGAAAAGAATCTCATTGTCACAGATAGGACAATTTGAGCTTCAATAAAACAACTACTATGATAGATACAAGCATTTCAAATAAGCTGAAATTCATGAGTATACAATTATGCAAAAAAATATTGATCACTTGTGGAGAATGCCATATAAAGCATTCATTCTCTTGAGAACGGGCAAATAAATAGAAAGAATAACTATCTTATTACCTTGATTCCATCAAGGTAATAAGATAGTTACTGAAGATAATGTCTCTTTAGGAATATTCTAAGTAATAAGTGAAGAATGTTTAATATATTTTTCTTTCACCCCTAGGCCATTCATTCATAAGATATGACCCAGGGCACTTTGAGGTCCCTGACTCCTTTTCTGAGGGTCCATAGTTCCCAATAAATCCTAACAATACTACCAGGTTAAATTTTTAATTCTATTCTTCTCATGATTTTATGTTGTTCTCCAGAGACTACATGGAATATGATATTGCATCAGATTGGATGCCAAAGCAGATATGAAAATGTAGCTGTTTTCTTATTAAGCCAGACATTAAAGAGAATTGCCAAAATACTAAATAAATAAATAAATAGATGCAGCTGTAAAGCCACGCTTCTCACTACATTTTTGAAAAACATTTAAAAATAAAGATGTAATTTTTGTTGATATGTAATCCATGTTTAATTGTAGAGAAGTTTATAAATATTTTAATTATTAGTTTATTAGTTTTTACTTCTAAGATATATCTAGCTATCTGTCTGGACATACATTTTATACACACACACACACACACACACACGCACACACACAATTTCCATCACACAGAGAAAAGCTTTTCTGGTGATCTCAATCTTTTTTTATTGTGGTAAAATACACATATATAAGATTTACCATTTTGCCATTTTTAAGTGTACAATTCTGTGTTATTAAGTACATTCACACTGTTGTGCCACCTTCAATATAACTTGTACATATGTAAAATGTGTAAGAGTTGAGACCTATTAATCTAGTAATGAATGAAGACCATTAAGCATTATATGCCTCTTGTGAGATATACATAGTATAATAAAACCTGAATCTGAGCACATCACAAATCTATTTATTTATTTTTTATTTTTTCTTGAGACGGAGTCTTGCTCTGTTGCCCAAGCTGGAGTGCAGTGGCGCGATCTCGGCTCACTGCAAGCTCCGCCTCCCGGGTTCATGCCATTCTCCTGCCTCAGCCTCCCTGAGTAGCTGGGACTACAGGTGCCCACCATCATGCCCGGCTAATTTTTTTTGTAGTTTTAGTAGAGATGGGGTTTCACCGTGTTAGCCAGGATGGTCTCAATCAACTGACCTCGTGATCCGCCCGCCTCGGCCTCCCAAAGTGCTGGGATTACAGGCGTGAGCCACCATGCCCGGCCCACAAATCTATTTATATATAGTAAATAAAGAGAACAAAGGGGCATGTTAAATGACATTATAGCTATGTAATCAGCAAAATCCAAACTGTGGATGATTTTACAAGAAGAATGATGAAATTTCTTAAAAAACAAATTCTAGGATAAAAATGAGAGAAGAATCCTACAGATTAAAAACGGTTTATGAAACATCAACTAATTTTAATGCATGAATCTTATTTTTATTCCAATTTAATGAATAAACTGTAAAAACAATTCATGAGACAATTGGAAAAAATTTGAATGCTGAACAACTATATATTTAATGATATTAAGAAATCTTTTATTTGGGGATGTCATAATGTAATTTCGGCTATATGTTAAAAAAGTCTATATGTTACAGAAAGACATGTTGAAATAGTTAAGGATGAAATGATACAATATCTAAAATTTATTTTAATCATGAGTTGATAATTTTTTCAAAACTGTCTAATGAGCAAAGGATAGTTTTTATACTGCTTTATGTTTGCACATATAAAATTATTATTATTATTATTATTATTTTTGGAGACAGGGTCTTGCTCTGTCACCCAGGCTGGAGTGCAGTGGCACAATCTTGGCTCACTGCAACCTCCACTTGCTGGGTTCAAGTGATTCTCCTGCCTCAGCCTTCCAAGTAGCTGGGACTACAGCCATGCACCACCATGCCCGGCTAATTTTTGTATTTTTAGTAGAGACAGATTTTTGCCATGTTGGTCAGCCTGGTCTCAAACTCCTGACCTCAGGTGATCCACCTGCCTCGGCCTCCCAAAGTGCTGGGATTACAGGCGTGAGCCACCACGCTTGGCCCCTATAAAATTATTAATTAATGGACCAGCGCTGGCTGGTCCATTTTACAGAGTGCAGATTGGTCTATTTTACAGAGCACTGATTGGTGCATTTTACAAACCTCTTGCTAGCTACAGAGCACTGATTGGTGTGTTTTTACAGAGCATTGATTGGTGCATTTTACAAAACTCTTGCTAGCTACAGAAAAGTTATAGGAGTCCCCACTCAACCCAGGGAGTGCAGCTGGCTTCACCTCTCACTATGACCCTTTAAAAGCTAGACTATAGCTGTAGTAAGCCAAGGGTGGTTTTCTCCAAAGGAGTTTGGAACAGAAATAAAGAAAACATAATATTTTTTGGCTAAGTGGAAACTATTTTAGCAAGATGAGGAGAATCTACAATATCAACTAAAAAGAAAAAAAAATGGAAGAAAGTAGATGACTCTGAAAGAAAACACTTAACTTGGCAGTTACAGCAACTCAGATAGTTTTTACTGAGAAAATGAATTTGCAGCTAAGAGATCTTGCCAGAGATCTACAAATAGGGAACACTGTCCTCAAGGAACTTACAAAGAGAAGGGGAGGAAAAACAAAAATAACTCCAATGCTGTGAGTAAAGTGTAAAGTGGATCTCTGCATAGTTCCTTTTATTATAGCACTAGGAAAGTCTTCCTGAGGAAGAAACATCTCAGCTGAGCCTTCAGGGCTAGAAATTCATCCAGGCAGAGACAGAGAAGAAATTACATCCAAAAGGCTCTGCATCTCTGCAAATACAGTGATTCTGGCATAATTATATTTGGTTTTCTTTGACAAATGATATTTAACCAGAAGCAGAAAAAGAAAAGTTTTAAATTAGGAAGCCAAAGGGAGTCACCATTAAGTCATATGTATTATATTTCATTTATTTTGAGACACATTTTTTCTAACATTTTAATGTGTGTAAAATCAGGGTGAATCACACTGTTAGTACAGTCTCATAATAAATTTACAGTTTTAAGTACTTTTTTGCTGATGTTTAAATAATAATTTATTTTAAAATACATGAAAACTCTGATTTCATCAAATTTGAAAATCATTTGAAATATGATAAGATTGACTTTTGGGCTGATATCTTGGGCTTCTTGGTACTTATTGCGAATGGGAGAGGAGACATGATGATGGCTCATGGGATATTCTGATATGACCTGTTAAAAACAGAAGAACAAAAGAGCTCCACATAAAAGATGTTTGTACACCCATGCTCATAGTAATATTATTCATGATAGTTAAAAGTGAAAGCAACCCAAGTGTCCATAGATAGACGAATGGATGAACAAAATGTGTTATACGCATATGGTGGAATATTGTTCAGTTTCAAAAAAGGAAGGAAGCCCTTTCATATGCTACAATGAGGATATTACGCTAAATGAAATAAGTCACAAAAAGACAAATATTTACAATTCCACTTATATAAGGTACCTAGAATAGTAGAATTCATAGAGACAGAATGTAGAGCTGTCCTAACCAGGGCCTGGAGAAGAGGGGAAATGGGAACTTGCAGCGTAATAGGAATAGAGTTTCAGTCTTGCAAGACAGAAGAGTTTTGAAGATTGCTTGCACAACAATGTGAACACACTTAACACCACTGAACTGTACACTTAAAAATGGTAAAGATGGTAAACCTTATGTTATGTGTATTTTAACAGAATTTTTTTTAAGTCCACATAAAACGAATGGGAGTTTGGGGAAAGGATATGGTGAAAGGATTGAGGATAAACAATTTTTAAATAGATAAAATGGTAAAAAACAGTGGAAGGGTGAACAGAAAAGACATATTAAAAAAAAAAACAACACCACCCACAACTCACCGGCGCCTCATATACCATAATGCAAGGCATAGCAAAAGGAGCAAGGAAGGCACTATTATTGCCAAAACAATTGAGCCAATGGAGGTGGGGTTTCCTGGCAATTGAGAGAGGACAAAAGGATGTCACTTCAGATACTATACACAGAATTCCTTGGCCTTCCTTTGCCCACCTACTTCCAATGTATGGTCATTTCCAACTTCCTCTCTCATATTCCTGGCCACCATATATCCATCCTTTGATCCCCTCTACCCAGTTTACAGGTCCTTAATTCCTACATTTTTGATAACTTGGATTATCTATTTTTACTCCTGTTGGGATTGGGGTCAGGGAAATCAATCAATCAATCTCTCCCTCTTTCATCTCTCAAGCTCTATCCTTCCCCAGTGCCTCCCTCTATGCCTGAAGATCACTTCCTGGCATTTCCAGCCTGGGTCCCTGCTATTTCTTACTCCAGTAGAGGATGATGTCCTGGCCCTCTAAACTGCTGTGCTTCACCCGACAGGACAGGCCAGCCGCCTCCCCATCTGCCACATCCAGGGTTGCTCGGAGATACCATGTCCAGTTAGCATTGGGCAGGATGTCCCCTAGCTGAGTGCCCTGCTGCTCCTGCTCACCCCGCATCCACATCACCCACACGGGCTTTGGGTAGAATCCTGAGACATGGCACACAAGCTGCAGACGGCCAGGTCCAGGACTGGGGCCACTGGACAGCCAGGCCTCAGGCTTCACTAAGGCAGGAAGGAGAAAAAAAAGTGTCATGTTATAACTCGAGTTCAGAGGTTATGAACTCAGAAACCTACAAGCTTGGACAGCGACCCCATTCACTCCTTTGGGAACCAAATAACTTGTTATTTAAGCTCCTATCCTTTGATATCTTCCTACTCTTGATCTTAGAGGAGGTGGTGGGAAGTGAAATAACAGCAGGACTAACCTTGTCTTTGCAGATCTGCTTTTCCTGCATTGAGGACGCCCAAGAGATATCGGGGGCAGGTTTCATAGAGGAGAATTCTCACAGTTTCCATGATACCTTGATATTGTATGATTAGTGCACAGAATTTCTGTGCCCTGCTGCCACCTTCTGGGGAAGGCACACATGAAGCATTCTTGACACTCAGGAAATCCAATCCTCCTAGAGCTCCCCTCAGGAAGCTTACTATGGCACCTCCAGAATGTAGCTCACAGCCTGCTATGCCCTGGATCTCAAAGGGGTCTATGTAGAGGGAAAAGAGAGCAAGTTATTAAACACAAATAAGAAAAAAAGGCATGAGAAAAGAACCTAGGATTTTAGATTTTGGTGGGGATAAAGTTATTTGGTGTAAAATGATGATGAGCTAAAAACTAATGATAACATTTAGACATTTTCAGAAACAAGAGCATTGAGAAAAATGTGCATGCCATGAAGACAAAGGTATGTGATAAAGGAGTACAGTGAGTATGAAAGGAGAGGTGAGGCAGAGCGTGGTGCAGTCAGGAGTGCAGCATTCCAGAGTGAGTGGAGGTTCCCAGCAAGAGGAGGGTGCGGGGAGGAGATGATTGAAAAGATGGATTAGGGGAGAAAGCCACACGTTAGATCACTCAGGCACAGGGTAGGAGAAGTAAGGGCCCTTGAGGAGAAGTTTCACATAAGACAAACCAGCAGCTGGTTACAAAGTGGAAGACAGTCTGAGAGTAAGAGAAGAGTGCAGAGGCAGCAAGAATCTGAAATATGAGGTGTGATGGTGTGAAGCTGGAGTGAGAGACTACTCAAGAAAAGCATGTGCGTGCATTTGGGTAAAATAGAAAGGAAGGGAGAAGCATCAGAGAGAGCAACACTTTGCAAAAAAGAGAGAAAAGAGAGTCCTTGAGACTCTTCCCAGTTCGGTGGACTAGACTCACATTTCATCTGGAAATCACCGGCAAAGTCTTGTACTTCTCGAGCGAATCCAAAGATGTAGACTCGGAATATCTCCTCTAACTCAGCAACCTCCTTATCACTAAAGTTACCTTTAGACCAAGGCTTCAGGAATATGGCAGTGCCTGAGTCGCTATCCCAGCCATGAATCTGCAAATCATCCAACCAGCCTGAGCCTTGAGTTTGTGCCCAGGTACTATTGGTAAAGGACGAGGTCTGGATAACATGAAAGGAGGTCGGCCCCTGGAAGGCTGTGAAGAGTGGAAAAGCAAGATGGTGAAGATAAAGAGAGAAGCAGGAGACAATTAGGAAGAATGGGAATGAAAATGATTTAGAAAACAAGAACCTAGAGTCTAAAGAACACAGGAAGTCTGACACATTTGACTGCCTTAAGGCTTCAGGTTCTAGTCCCAACCACCAGAATGGTTGAAGAGGGCGGGAGACAGAAAGACCCAGACCCTTAGTGTCCAATTGCACCTAGGAAAGCCCTGCTTGCTTTTTAAAATCCAAACCCCTGCACCAGTGCTGGGAGCTGCCAGAGTGACTCTTACCATGTTCACTGTTACCACCAGGAAAGAGAACAGCTAACAGTTGAAATGGCAGCAGCAGCATTTCACTGGGAGATGCAACTTCTTACTGGCAGAGCTGGTATTTGATCTCCAATTTCAGCAAAGCTTTTCCTCAGTACCCTGTAGTGACTTCTTCTCTCTTCCAACTGCCAAATCTCTTCCTCATCCAAACTGCTTTTCAGAGAAAAATGTGCCTCCCACAGCCCTGAGCCTCTTACCTCACCTTTTATTTCCCTCAAGCCCTGATTTTTAGAGTTTCTCTTACCCCCTGACTTCCAGCCGCTCTCCCTGTCCTCACCTTCCTTCATACCTCCTTGGAAAAGCCCCCATATGATTCTGCATTTTCATTTCTCCTTCCTTAGCCTTTATTCCCACATCTATAGGATAAGATGGTGATATTAAGCAATTGCTAAGCTTTTAGTCTGCTTTAACCCAGAAGGATGCTTTTAGTTTATCCACCTCACTTAGTTTCTCCCCCTCCCAGCTGCCTTATCTTCTCTGGCACTCTGTTACTGCCTCTTCCCAATGTTTTCAATGTCTTCTCTTTCTTATATTGCCCTCTTTGTCTGGTGTTCCTTACCCCACATTCTAAACTGGCTGTGAGTGTGTGTGTGTGTGTGTCTGTGTCTGTGTGTGTATGTGTATGTGTGTGTACCGATATTCACTTACATAAAGGCAAAGCATTTAAAACATTTCCTGTACTATAGCACTACAAACCAAAATGCCAGAATCAAATATAATAAAGACTGAAGTTTATAATTCAAACAAAATTATACTATAGCAATATTTGAGGGAAAAAATGACAATTGCTGCTAGCATGTGACCTTCTCTTCAGGAGCTCTTGGCCTATGGAGTTTTGAGTAACAAATATTCATGACATAAACAGAACTCTAGGAGCTATGCTATGTGCACCTCCAGCCTAAGTCAAAGATAACTTTTTGGGTAAGTTGCCATAAGCGGCAGAGCTTTTTTCTTCTCTTGTAATATCTCATAACTGCTGTCTACATTTGGGCATTCATATCACCACATGTGGTATTAATAATAGAGCAAAGAGGTTGCTTTTTTTTATACAAAAAGTTCAGAGATACTTGTTTTAAGATGTCACCTCCTATCTTCTTGTATGCCCATGAAAAATTTTAAGAAGAATTTTTGGATTTTCTCCATTTAGGAAAAAAATCACATATTTGCAGAGATCTATGTATCATGCAGAAATGTGGCAGCAATCGATTCCGAGTAAAGAGGGTTATCACTAACTAATTCTATTATGTGGATAAGAAAATGCAAAGTGAGTAGTGTAGTGTTCTCTATTCCTGGGGACACTACTGGTTCACAACATTAATAAGACTGGTTCACAACATTAATAAGACTAGCCTTCATCCAAGATTATTACTGCCTAATTGATAAATACAGAGCAGCTCTCCAAATTTCAATGTATGTATCTCTTAACAACATTCCCAGACTCCAATACATGACAGAATTGAATCTACTTTTTGGATAACAGCCATAGACAACAGCAGAGACTTAACATTGGCTGTCACAGACATGAACATTACTATTTTTGTGTTTATACGTTTTTTATTTTGGGTAGAACACCCAAAACAGAGCTCAGGAAAAGCTGGTAGACAACCTGGGCTATTTTCCATTAAAATAAGTGAGTTCTTGCAAGACTCCCAAAGTTGAATTGCTACAAACTAAATCTGAAATGTTCCTCATTTTAAAAAATAATCCAAAAGAGTTGGCAGGGCACAGGAGACTATCACAACACTAGCCCCACACTCATCAAACTTTTTTTTTTCTTGAGACAGAGTCTTGCTCTGTTGCCCAGGCTGGAGTGCAGTGGCATGATCTCGGCTCACTGCAGCCTCTGCCTCTTGGGTTCAAGTGATTCTCCTGCCTCAGCCTCCTAAGTAGCTGGAACTGTAGGCATGTGCCACTATGCCCAGCTAATGTTTGTATTTTTAGTAGAGACTGTGTTTCACCATGTTGGCCAGGATGGTCTTGATCTCCTGACCTTGTGATCTGCCCACCTCAGCCTCCCAAAGTGCCAGGATTACAGGCATGATCCACCACGCCCGGCCACTCATCAAATTTTTAAACAAGTTAGGCCTAAAACATGAGAACAGTAATCCAGTCAAAATTATGTTACCAGAAAGGAATATTAGTATTGCCAAAGACTGAGTTAGAAATTGAGTTGTGCCTGAGAGATGGAAGATAGAGGAAGAGGTCTTGGTTTCAGTTTCAACAGCGTGTAAGTTTTTGCCAAATATGTGCAGAATGTCTACCTAAATAACAAACAGAAAAAGAGGCTCTCTAAAAGAAAAAGATATTTATTTGAGAATAGAGCATTGCAATGGGAATATATATGCAATAGTAAACGATGTGCATACTCAGGGAGGTAAAGGAAGGCAAATTTTTTAAAGAAAAAAAATTAAGAGAATTACATATTTGTTTTGAAATAATTATCCTTGCCTACAAATATCAATAACAACGGTGACACCAGTCAGAGGTTAAACAGACAGTTGCTGGCAGGGCAGATGTCTTTGAGGCATTTTTCATGTAAGGTTGTGATGGCCTTTTCAAGGTTGTGGTTTTTGCAGAGTCTTTCGTGGTAGTTGTTCTTATTAGGTATACAAGTGTGAGAACCCTCTCTGCATAGTCTTCCCTAGCTCTGCCAGTTTTTTTTTTTTTTCCTTAGTGACTCCGTTTTGTTTCTGGCAACATTTGCAAGAAGATGACTGTAAATTTAAATTTAGTTAGGAAAATCGCCAGACAAAATGAAAATTTTGTAATTCTTCAAATGTCATATTTGAGGGAAAAATTTACTTTATACACTGTCTTTTCCCTGAAAAGTGGAGCAATTGAGATAGTTTGAAAGGTCTAGAAATTAACCAGGTTTTCAAGTTACATTCTTTCTCACATATCATATCCAGTATTTCATATTTCCTTTCTGTTTCAAAAGTACAGAAATGGACATGGCAGTGTCCACAGTGTCCACATAGCAATGTCACACATTTCCATACTACACTGTGACTATGCTTGTCCAGCTCTATGGCATGGTTTGTATTTCCACTCTGCATTAGTACCATTGTTGCTTGACATATGAAACCTGTCTTCTAGGGAAAGATTATCCCTAGTCCCAATATTTGTTTCAAATTAAAAAATCAACATGTGCACACTTCTAAATCGAAGCTTTAATTGATGCTTCTAACTCATACTCTCCTATGGGCCTAAAGACCATGTACACTTCTGATAAGCTCATCAAGACACAGGTTTTCTCAGATATTGATTGCATAATCTCACTTATATGTGGAATCTTAAAAGAGTTGAGTACACAGAAATAGAGAATAAAACAGTGATTACCAGGGGCAGGAAGCAGGTGGTGGTGGGAGGAAATGAGGAGATGTAGGTCAAAGAATACAAAGTAGCCGATGAGTAGTCCCTTCTGAATTGCAGAGGATACATTCCAAGACTTCTGGTGGATGCCCAAAACCACAAATAGTGCTGAACCTGATTGCTGCCAATTGGAGCCCCTTTCTGTTCATGTCCTCCACCCACAAATTTGATGGCTTTTTAAGATCTTAACTAAGCACTTACCACACACTCTGATCATAACCTTTGCAATTTGAGGTGTGATGGTAAAATTTGTACAATTCCCTTTTCCCCATCACAATTTTATGGAAAGAAGATTCCTTTTTACTGTAGAACATAGCAACATCAGCATATTTTGTTTCTTTCCTTATTAAGTCAAAAACTTAACACCTTTTCATTTAAAGGAAGCACTTAATGGCTTCTCTTTGGCATATTTGAATTACAAGCATCACTACTTCTGTGCTTTGGGGCTGTTATTAAGTAAAATAAGGGTTACTTGAACACAAGCACTGGAGACCAGGACAGCTGATCTGATAACTGAGCCAGCTACTAAGTGACTAAGGGTTGGGTAGCATATACAGTGGAGATATGATAATTAAGGGGTGATTTGCATCCTTGTCCAGATGAAGTAGGCTGGCCTGAAATTTCATCATACTACTTAGAATGGTGCACAATTGAAAACTTATAGATTATTTATTTCTGGAATTGCCCATTTAATATTTTCAGACTGCCATTGACCATGGGTAACTAAAACTGTGGAAAACAAAACCATGAATTAAGGAGGGGTCTACTGTATATTATAAATAAAAAAATATTTTGACCTTGCTACCAGTATCCATGTTAAATTAACTTATTACATTTAATATTTTATCTATAGATCCTTTTGGATTTTCTAATGATATCTCTAAATATGAAAGTTTCATTAGATTTTTTTCAATTGTTATACCTTTTATTATATTTTTTGCCCATTTTCCCTGGCCTATGACCTCCAGTAAAATGATAAATAGAATTATTGATAGCTACTTTTTTTTTTTAAACAGAGTCTTGCTCTGTCACTCAGGCTGGAGTGCAATGGTGCGATGTCAGCTCACTGCGACCTCCACCTCCTGGGTTCAAGCAAGTCTCCTGCCTCAGCCTCCCAAGTAGCTGACATTACAGGCATCTGCTACCATGTGTGGCTATTTTTTTTGTATTTTTAGTAGAGACGGGGTTTCACTATGTTGGATAAGCTGGTCTCAAACTCCTGACCTCAGGTGATCCACCTGTGTTGGCCTCCCAAAGTGCTGGGATTACAGGCGTGAGCCACCGCACCTGGCCCAGATAAGATTTTTTAAGAGGTTAGGTGGTTCCAAGATGGCTGAAGAGGAACAGCTCCAGTCTATAGCTCCCAGCGTGAGTGACGCAGAAGAGGGTGATTTCTGCGTTTCCAACTGTGGTACCCGGTTCATCTCACTGGGGCTTGTCAGACAGTGGGTGCAGGACAGTGGGTGTAGCCCACCAAGCATGAGACGAAACAGGGTGAGGCATCACCTCACCAGGGAAGTGCAAGGGGTCAGGGAATTCCCTTTTCAAGCCAAGGGAAGCTGTGACAGATGGCACCTGGAAAATCGGGTCACTCCCGCCCTAATACTGAGCTTTTCCAATACTTAGCAAACGGCACACCAGGAGATTACATCCTGCGCCTGGCTCAGAGGGTCCCATGCCCATGGAGCCTCACTCATTGCTAGCACAGCAGTCTGAGATCGAACTGCAAGGCTGAAGCAAGGATGGGGGAGAGGCACCTGCCATTGCTGAGGCTTGGGTAGGTAAACAAAGTGGCCAGGAAGCTCGAACTGGGTGTGGCCCACCGCAGCTCAAGGAGGCCTGCCTGCCTCTAGAGACTCCACCTCTGGGGGCGGGGCATAGCTGAACAAAAGGCAGCAGAAACCTCTGCAGACTTAAATGTCCCTGTCTGACAGCTTTGAAGAGAGTAGTGGTTCTCCCAGCACGGAGTTTGAGATCTGAGAATGGTCAGACTGCCTCCTCAAGTGGGTCTCTGACCCCCGAGTAGCCTAACTGGGAGGCACCCCCCAGCAGGGGCAGACTGACACCTCACACGGCTGGGTATTCCTCTGAGATGAAGCTTCCAGAGGAACGATCAGGCAGCAACATTTGCTGTTCAGCAATATCTGCTGTTCTCCAGCCTCTGCTGCTGATATCCAGGCAAACAGGGTCTGGAGTGGACCTCCAGCAAACTCCAATCAACCTGCAGCTGAGGGTCCTGACTGTTAGAATGAAAACTAACAAAAGAAAGGACATCCACATAAAAGCCCCATCTGTACATCACCATCATCAAAGATCAAAGGTAGATAAAACCACAAAGATGGGGAAAAAACAGAGCAGAAAAACTGGAAACTCTAAAATTCAGAGCACCTCTCTCCCTCCAAAGGAACACAGCTCCTCAACAGCAATGGAACAAAGCTGGACAGAGAATGACTTTGACAAGTTGAGAGAAGAAGGCTTCAGATGATCAAACTTCTCAGAGCTAAAGGAGGAAGTTGGAACCCATCACAAAGAAGCTAAAATCCTTGAAAAAAGATTAGATGAATGGCTAACTAGAATAACCAGTTTAGAGAAGCCCTTAAATGACCTGATGGAGCTGAAAACCATGGCACGAGAACTACATGACGAATGCACAAGCTTCAGTAGCTGATTTGATCAACTGGAAGAAAGGATATCAGTGATGGAAGATCCAATGAATGAAACAAAGCAAGAAGAGAAATTTAGAGAAAAAAGAATAAAAAGAAATGAATGAAGCCTCCAAGAAATATGGGATGATGTGAAAAGACCAAATCTATGTCTAACTGGTGTACCTGAAAGTGATGGGGACAGTGGAACCAAGTTGGAAAACAATCTGCAAGATATTATCCAGGAGAACTTCCCCAACCTAGCAAGGCAGGCCAACATTCACATTCAGGAAATACAGATAATGCCACAAAGATACTCCTTGAGAAGAGCAACCCCAAGACACATAATTTTCAGATTCACCAAAGTTGAAATGAAGGAAAAAATGTTAAGGGCAGCCAGAGAGAAAGGTCAGGTTACCCACAAAGGGAAGCCCATCAGACTAACAGCTGATCTGTTGGCAGAAACTCTGCAAGCCAGAAGAGAGTGGGGGCCAATATTCAACATTCTTAAAGAAAATAATTTTCAACCCAGAATTTCATATCCAGCCAAACTAAGGTTCATAAGTGAAGGAGAAATAAAATCCTTTATAGACAAGCAAATGCTGAGAGATTTTGTCACCACCAGGCCTGCCCTACATGAGCTCCTGAAGGAAGCACTAAACATGGAAAGGAACAACTGGTACCAGCCACGCAAAAACATGCCAAATTGTAAAGACCATCGATGCTAGGAAGAAACTGCATCAACTAACGAGTAAAATAACCAGCTAACATCATAATGACAGGATCAAATTCACACATAACAATATTAACCTTAAATGTAAATGGGCTAAATGCTCCAATTAAAAGACACAGACTGGAAATTGGATAAAGAGTCAAGACCCATCAGTGTGCTGTATTCAGGAGACCCATCTCACATACAGAGACACACATGGGCTCAAAATAAAGGGATGGGGGAAGATCTACCAAGCAAATGGAAAACAAAAAAAAGGCAGGGGTTGCAATCCTAGTCTCGGATAAAACAGACTTTAAGCCAAGAAAGATCAAAAGAGACAAAGAAGGCCATTACATAATGGTAAAGGGGTCAATTTAACAAGAACAGCTAATTATCCTAAATATATATGCACCCAATACAGGAGCACCCAGATTCATAAAGCAAGTCCTTAGAGACCTACAAAGAGACTTAGACTCCCACACAATAATAATGGGAGACTTTAACACCCCACTGTAGACATTAGACAGATTAACAAGAGAGAAAGTTAACAAAGATATCCAGGAATTGAACTCAGCTCTGCACCAAGTGGACCTAATCGGCATCTACAGAACTATCTGCCCCAAACCAACAGAATATACATTCTTCTCAGCACCACATCACACTTATTCCAAAATTGACCACATAGTTGGAAGTAAAGGTCTCCTCAGCAAATGTAAAAGAACAGAAATTGTTACAAACTGTCTCTCAGATCACAGTGCAATCAAACTAGAACTCAGTGTTAAGAAACTCACTCAAAACCACTCAACTACATGGAAATTGAACAACTGGCTCCTGAGTGACTACTGGGTACCTAATGAAATGAAGGCAGAAATAAAGATGTTCTTTGAAACCAATGAGAACAAACACACAACATACCAGAATCTCTGGGAAACATTTAAAGCAGCCTGTAGAGGGAAATTTATAGCACTAAATGCCCACAAGAGAAAGCAAGAAAGATCTAAAATTGACATCCTAATTTCACAATTAAAAGAACTAGAGAAGCAAGAGCAAACACATTCAAAAGCTAGCAGAAGGCAAGAAATAACTAAGATCGGAGCAGAACTGAAGGAGATGGAGACACAAAAAAACCTTCAAAAAATCAATGAATCCAGGAGCTTGTTTTTGGAAAAGATCAACAAAATTGATAGAACGCTAGCAAGACTAATAAAGAGGAAAATAGAGAAGAATCAAATAGATGCAATAAAAAATGAAAAAGGGGATATCACCACCAATCCCACAGAAATATAAACTGCCATCAGAGAATACTATAAACACCTCTACGCAAATAAACTAGAAAATCTAGAAGAAATGGATAAATTCCTGGACACATACAACCTCCCAAGACTAAATCAGGAAGAAGTTGAATCTCTGAACCTACCAATAACAGGCTCTGAAATTGAGGCAATAATTAATAGCTTACTGACCAAAGAAAGTCCAGGACCTGACGGATTCACAGCCGAGTTGTACCAGAGGTACAAAGCGGAGCTGCTACCATTCCTTCTGAAACTATTCCAATCAATAGAAAAAGAGGGAATCCTCTCTAACTCATTTTATGAGGCCAGCATCATCCAGATACCAAAACCTGGCAGAGACACAACCAAAAAAGAGAATTTTAGACCAATACCTTTGATGAACATCGATGCAAAAATCCTCAATAAAATACTGGCAAACCAAATCCAGCAGCACACCAAAAAGTTTATCCACCACGATCAAGTGGGCTTCTTCCCCGGGGTGCAAGGCTGGTTCAACATATGCAAATTAATAATTGTAATCCAGCATATAAACAGAACTAAAGAAAAAAACCACATGATTATCTCAATAGATGCAGAAAAGGCCTTTGACAAAATTCAACAGCCCTTCATGCTAAAAACTCTCAATAAACTAGGTATTTATGGGATGTATCTCAAAATAATAAAAGCTATTTATGACAAACCCACAGCCAACATCATATTGAATGGGCAAAAATTGGAAGCATTCCCTTTGAAAACTGTCACAAGACAGGGATGCCCTCTTTCACCACTCCTATTCAACATAGTATTGGAAGTTCTGGCCAGGGCAATCAGGCAGGAGAAAGAAACAAAGGGTATTCCATTAGGAAAAGAGGAAGTCAAATTGTTCCTGTTTGCAGATGACATGATCGTATATTTAGAAAACCCCATCTTCTCAGCCCAAAATATCCTTAAGCTGATAAGGACATTCAGCAAAGTCTCAGGATACAAAATCAATGTGCAAAAATCACAAGCATTCCTATACACCAATAACAGACAAACAGAGAGTCAATTCATGAGTGAACTCCCATTCACAATTGCTTCAAAGAGAATAAAATACCTAGGAATTCAACTTACAAAGGATGTGAAGGACCTCTTCAAGAAGAACTTCAAAACACTGCTCAATGAAATAAAAGAGGACACAAACAAATGGAAGAACATTTCATGCTCATGGGTAGGAAGAATCAATATCATGAAAATGGCCATACTGCCCAAGGTAATTTATAGATTCAATGCCATCCTCATCAAACTACGAGTGACTTTCTTCACAGAATTGGAAAGAACTACTTTAAAGTTCATATGGAACTAAAGAAGAGCCCGCATTGCCAAGACAATCCTAAGCCAATAGAAAAAAGCTGGAGGCATCATGCTACCTTACTTCAAAGTATGCTACAAGGCTACAATAACCAAAACAGCATGGTACTGGCACCAAAACAAAGACATAGACCAATGGAACAGAACAGAGCCCTCAGAAATAATACCACACATCTACAACCATCTGACCTTTGACAAAGCTGACAAAAACAAGAAATGGGGAAAGGATTCTCTATTTAATAAATGGCTCTGGGAAAACTGTCTAGCCATATGTAGAAAGCTGAAACTGGATCCCTTCCTTACACCTTATACAAAAATCAATTCAAGATGGACTAAAGACTTACATGTTAGACCTAAAACCATAAAAACCCTAGAAGAAAACCTAGGCAATACCATTCAGGACATAGGCATGGGCAAGGACTTCATGTCTAAAACACCAAAAGCAATGGCAACAAAAGCCAAAATTGACAAATGGGATCTAATTAAACTAAAGAGCTTCTGCACAGCAAAAGAAACTACCATCAGAGTGAACAGGCAACCTACAGAATGGGAGAAAATTTTTGCAATCTACTCATCTGACAAAGGGCTAATATCCAGAATCGACAATGAACTCAAACAAATTTACAAGAAAAAAACAAACAACCCCATCAAAAAGTGGGCGAAGGATATGAACAGACACTTCTCAAAAGAAGATCTTTATGTAGCCAACAGACACATGAAAAAATGCTCATCATCATTGGCCATCAGAGAAATGCAAATCAAAACCACAAAGAGATACCATCTCACACCAGTTAGAATGGCAATCATCAAAATGTCAAGAAAGTACAGGTGCTGCAGAGGATGTGGAGAAATAGGAATACTTTTACATGGTTGGTGGGACCATAAACTAGTTCAACCATTGTGGAAGTCAGTGTGGCGATTCCTCAAGGATCTAGAACTAGAAATACCATTTCACCAAGCCATCCCATTACTTGCTATATACCCAAAGGATTATAAATCGTGCTGCTATAAAGACACATGCACACATATGTTTATTGTGGCACTATTCACAATAGCAAAGACTTGGAACCAACCCAAATGTCCATCAGTGATAGACTGGATTAAGAAAACGTGGCACATATACACCATGGAATACTATGCAGCCATAAAAAATGATGAGTTCATGTCCTTTGTAGAGATATGGATGAAACTGAAAATCATCATTCCCAGCAAACTATCGGAAAGACAAAAAACCAAAGACCGCATGTTCTCACTCATAGGTGGGAATTGAACAATGAGAACACATGGACACAGTAAGGGGAACATCACACACCGGGGGCCTGTCGTGGGGTGGGGGAAGGGGGGAGGGATAGCATTAGGAGATATACCTAATGTTAAATGACGAGTTAATGGATGCAGCACACTAACATGGCACATGAAAACCTATGTAACAAGCCTGCATATTGTACATGTGTACCCTAGAACTTAATGTATAATAATAAAAAAAAAGAAAATGAAGATGAGGAGGAAAAAAATTAAAAAAAAAAAGATTCCTTTGGATTTTCCAAGTATACAATCAAAAAAATTTAAGAGGTTAACAAGTGTCTTATTTTCTGGGAGTGTTTTGTGTAAACTTTTCTTACCAGATTAAGAATATTCTCTTCTAAATTAGTTTAAAGTTTTTTTATTATTATTATGGAGAACTGTTTATATAGGTGCTTATATTATTTTATTTTATTATGTACTTATTTATTCATTTAATTTTTTTTTTTTTTTGAAATGGAGTCTTGCTCTGTCGTTCAGGCTGGAGTGCAGCGGAGCAATCGCAGCTCACTGCAAACTCCGCCTCCCAGGTTCAAGCGATGCTTCTGCCCCAGCCTCTCCAGTAGCTGGGACTACAGGTGCCCACCACCACGCCTGGCTAATTTTTGTGTTTTTTTTTTTTGTAGAGATAGGGTTTCACCATGTTGTCCAGCCTGGTCTTGAACTCCTGAGCTCAAGTGATCCACCCGCCTTGGCCTCCCAAAATGCTGGGGTTACAGGTGTCAGCCACTGTGCCTGGCCAGGTCTTACATTTTAATTGTTAATCCACCGTGAGTTAATTTTTGTAAATGGTGAAAGGCAGAAATGCAGTTTTATTCTTCTGCATATGGTTATCTGTTTTCCCAGAACCATTTATTGGATATTGAGTTATTTATCAATTACTCATTTTTGTTCACTTTGTTAAAGAACAGTTGGTTGAAAATATGATGCTTTATTTTTGATTTCTCTATTAAGTTCCATTGGTCTATCTTGTTAATTTTTGTATCAGTACCATGCTGTTTTGGTTATTGTAGCCTAATAGTAAAGTTTGAAGTCAGGTAGTGTGATTCCTCTGGCTTTGTTCTTTTCCCTTTGGATTGCTTTGGCTATCTGGGCTTATTTTTGGTTCCATATGAATTTTGGGATAGTTTTTTTCTAAGTCTGTGAAAAATGATGTTGGTGATTTGATACAAATAACATCAAATCTGTAGATTGCTTTGGGCAGTATGAACATTTTAATAATATTGATTCTTCAAATCCATGAGCATGAAATGTTTTTCCATTTGTTTGTGTCCCGTATGATTTCTTTCAGCAGTGTTTTGTAATTCTCTTTGGAGAGATCTTTTGCCCCTTTCGTTAAAGGTATTCATAGATATTTTACTTTTTTTGGTGGATACTGCAAATGGGGTTGCATTCTTTATTTGGCTCTCAGCTTGAATGTTATTGGTGTATAGTAATGCTACTAGGTTTAGTACATTGACTTTGTATCTGAAGTTTTATTGAAATTGTTTGTCCACTCCAGGAGACTTTTGGTGGAATCTTTAGAGTTTTCTACAGATAAAACTATATCATCAGTGAAGAGAGGTAATTTGACTTCCTATTTAGTTATTTGGATGCTTTGCATTTTGTTCTCTTGACTAATTGCTTTGGCTTGGTCTTCCAGCACTATGTTGAATAAGAGTGGTGAGAGTGGGCATCCTTGTCTTGTTCCAGTTCTTAAGAGGAATGCTTTTGGTCATTCAGTATGATGTTGGCTATGGGTTTGTTGTATATGGCTTTTATTATTTTGAAGTAAGTTCCTTTGATGCCTGGTTTGTTGACGGTCCAGGGACTTTTTTGGTTGGTAAGTTTTTATTGCTGATTCAGTTATGGAACTCGTTATTGCTCTGTTTAGCGTTTCAAATTCTTCCTGGTTCTATCTTGAGAGATTATGTGTTTGCAGGAATTTACCCATTTCCTCTAGATTTTATAGTTTGTGTGCATAGAGGTATTTATAGTAGTTTCTGGGGGATCTTTTGTATTTCTGTGGGATCAGTTGTAATGTCACCTTTTCCATTTCTGCTTATGCTTATTTGGATCATGTCTCTTTCTTTTTTTTTAACACTTTTATCTTAAGTTTAGGGGTACTTGCACAGGCTTGTTACATAGATAAACTTCTGTCATGAAGGTTTGTGGTACAGATTATTTAATCACCCAGGTATTCAGCTTAGTACCCACTAGTTTTTTTTCCTGATCCTCTCCCTCCTCCTACCCTGTAACCTCCAATAGGCCCCAGTGTGTGTTGTTCCCCTCTATGTGTCCATGTATTCTCATCATTTTGCTCCCACTTATGAGAACATGTGGTATTTTGATTTCTGTTCCTGTGTAGTTTGCTAAGGATAATGGCCTTTATTTAGCTCCATCCATGTCCTATAAAGGGCATTATCTCATTCCTTTTTGTGGCTGCATAGTATTCCATGGTGTATATGTACCACGTTTTCTTTATCCAGTCTATCATTAATGGACATTTAGGTTGACTCCATGTCTTCACTATTGTGAATAATGCTGCAATAAACATTCACGTGCATGTGTCTTTATAATAGAACAATTTATATTTCCCTGGGTATATACCCAGTAATGGGATTGTTGGGTTGAGTGGTATTTCTGTTTTTAGCTCTTTGAGGAATTGCCCCACTTTCTTCCACAATGGTTGAACTAATTTATACTCCCACCAACAGTGTATAAGTGTTCCTTTTTCTCCACTACTTCACCAGCATCTGTTATTTTTGGACTTTTTAATAATAGCCATTCTGACTGATGTGAGATGGTATCTCATTGTGGTTTTGATTTGCATTTCTCTAATGATAAGTGATGTTGAGCTTTCTCTTATATGATTGTTGGCCACATGTATGTCTTCTTTCGAGAAGTGTCTGTTCATGTCCTTTTCCCACTTTTTGATGGGACTCTTTTTCTTGTAAATTTATTTAAGTTCCTTATAAGTGCTGGATTTAAACTTTATTAGATCTTGTTGAGCTTCCTTATCATCCAGATTCTGAGTCCTATATCTGTCATTTCATACATTTCAGTCTGGTTAGGTTCATTGCTAAGGTTCATTTTCAAGGTAACAAAACACCTCGGACTTTTTGAATTGCTGGAGTTATTGTGTTGATTCCTTCTCGTGAGGGAGCTGGCACTTCTTTTTCTTTTTGAATTTGTTGCCATTTGGATGAGGTTTATATATACATATATTATTTTTATATATATATATATATATATATATATATATATATATATGTACACACACACACACACACACACACACACACATATGAGAATGAGTTCTTTCAGAGAGCCAAGGCTCTGTACAGGTTCCTAGGTTGTAGATAGTTTCCTGCAGTGGGTTTCACAGGCAATGAGTGTTGGTGAAATGCACTTTTGTTTGGTGATGTACTTCAGGCTGCAGTCAAGTAGATGGTGCTTAACAGCAGGGCTGACAGTCTCTTAGTCAGCTGTACACTTGTTTTGTTTTTCAGCGTGTTTGTAGCAATGCTCTGGGAAGAGGAGATGGGGGTCAATATATGGCTCCCTCTACAAGTCCATTCCCAGGTTTGGGTAACATCACCTTCGATTACTGGTGCTTTGTCCACTTTTTCTTTGTCATTTTTCTGTGTCTACTTTAATATCTTTCATTAATATTTTGTAATTTTCAGTGCATTAGTCTTTTTTTTTTTTTGAGATGGAGTCTCACTCTGTCACCAGGCTGGAGTGCAGTGGCACGATCTCGGCTTACTGCAACCTCTGCCTCCCAGGTTCAAGCGATTCTCCTGCCTCAGCCTCCTGAGTAGCTGGGATTACAGGTGCGTGGCACCACACCCAGCTAATTTTAGTATTTTTAGTAGAGACGGAGTTTCACCATCTTGGCCAGGATGGTCTGGATCCCTTGACCTCGTGATCCACCTGCCTCGGCCTTCCAAAGTGCTGGGATTACAAGCATGAGCCACTGCGCACCTCTTTGATTAAGCTTATTCCTGAGTATTTTATTCTTTTTATGCTACTATAAATGAGATTGTTTTCTTAATTTCCTTTCATGATAGTTTATTGTGTATAGAAACACCATTGATATGTGTGTGTTGATTTTTGTGTTCTACATCTTTACTGAATTTATTAATTCTAATCATTTTTCTTGTTGAGTATTAAGGGTTTTCTGTGTACATCATCATGTAGATTTTATAAATCATATCGATTTTGTAGATTATTGCTGCAGACAGATAATTTTACCTTTTACTTTAGATTTTGATGCCTTTTATTTCTTTTTCTTATCTACTTGCTCTGTCTAGGGCTTCTAACACTGTGTTGAATAGAAGTAGCAAGAGTGGACATTCACGCCTTGTCCTGGATCTTAGAGAAAAGATTGATTATGATGTTAGCTGTGGGATTTTCATATATGCCCTTTATTATGGGATTTTTTTTTGGATATGACACCAAAAGCACCAGCAACAAAAGCAAAAATAGACAAACAGGATTGTTTCAAACTAAAAAGCTTCTGTGCAGCAAAGGAGACAATAGAGTGAAGAGGCAACCTACAGAAGGGGAGAAAATACGTGTAAACTGCTGGGTGCCGTGTCTCACGCCTGTAATCCCAGCACTTTGGGAGGCCAACGTGGGCAGATCACCTGAGGTCAGGAGTTTGAGACCAGCCTGGCCAACATGATGAAACCCCATTTCTACTAAAAATACAAAAAATTAGTTGGGTGTGGTGGCAGGCGCCTGTAATCCCAGCTACTCAGGAGGCTGGGACAGAAGAATCGCTTGAACCTGGGAGGCAGAGGTTGCAGTGAACTGAGATTGTGCCACTGCACACCAACCTGGGCAACAAGAGTGAAACTCCATCAAAAAAAAAAAAAAGATAGTATTTGCAAACCATATGTCTGAAAAGGGTTTAATAGTCAAAATACATAAAGAACTCATGCAACACAATAGCAAAACAAAACAAAACAAAACAAAACCCTAATTAAAAATGAACAAAGAATCTGAATAGACACTTTTCTTAAAAAAAAAGCATACAAATAGCCAATAGATATATTAAAAGGTGCGCAATATCACTAATCATCAGAGACATGCAAATCAAAACCATAGTTAGATATCCCCTCCTACCTGTTAGGATGGCTATTGTTAAAAATACAAAAGAAAAGAAGTGTTGATGAGGATGTGGAGAAAAAAGAACCCTTGTATTCTTTTGGTAGCCATGTAAATTGGTATATCCATTATGGCAAACAGTACGCAGGTGCCTCAAAAAATTAAAAATAGAATTACCATATGTTCCAGCAATCCCACTTTTGTAAATATGTCCAAAGGAAATAGAATCACTATCTCAAAGAGCTATCTGCACTCTCATGTTCATTGCAGCACTATTCACAATAGCAAAAATGTGAAAAAAAAACTGAGTGTTCATTGACATATGAATGGATAAATAAAATTTGATATATATAATGGATGTTATTCAATCTTTAAAAAGAAAATCCTGCCATTTGTAACAACACAGGTGAAACTGGAGGACATTATGTGAAGTGAAATAAGCCAGAAACAGAAAGAAAAATGCTGCATAATCTTGTGTGAGGATTCGAAAGTAGTCAAACTCATGGAAACAGAATAGAATGGGGATTTCCAGGGATTGCAGTAAGGGAGAAGTGAGGAGATGTTGGTAAAAGGTAGATAGTTCCAGTTATGCAAGATAAGTTCTGGAGGTCTAATGCACGGCAATGTGACTATAGTGAACAATACTCTATTGTGTAGTATTTGAATTGCTAAGAGGGAGGATCTTAGATGTTCTCACTATAAAAAATAAGAAAAAATGGCCAGGCGCGGTGGCTCATGCCTGTAATCCCAGCACTTTGGGAGGCTGAGGCGAGCGGATCACGAGGTCAGGAGATCGAGACCATCCTGGCTAACACAGTGAAACTCCATCTCTACTAAAAATACAAAAAATAAAAATAAAAAATAAAAAAATTAGCCGGGCATACTGGCTGGTGCCTGTACTCCCATCTACTCGGGAGGCTGAGGCAGGAGAATGGTGTGAACCTGGGAGGCGGAGCTTGCAGTGAGCCAAGATCATGCTGTGTCCGGAATTGGTGGGTTCTTGGTCTCACTGACTTCAAGAATGAAGCCGCGGACCCTCACGGTGAGTGTTACAGTTCTTAAAGGCGGTGTGTCCGGAGTTTGTTCCTTCTGATGTTCAGATGTGCTGGGAGTTTCTTCCTTCTGGTGGGTTCGTGGTCTCGCTGGCTCAGGAGTGAAGCTGCAGACCTTCGCAATGAGTGTTACAGCTCTTAAGGCAGCACGTCTGGAGTTGCTCGTTCCTCCCGGTGGGCTCGTGGTCTCGCTGGCTTCAGGAGTGAAGCTGCAGACCTTCGAGGTGAGTGTTACAGCTCATAAAGGCAGTGTGGACCCAAAGAGTGAGCAGTAGCAAGATTTATTGCAAAGAGCGAAAGAACAAAGCTTCCACAGTGTGGAAGGGGACCCCAGCGGGTTGCCACTGCTAGCTGGGGGCAGCCTGCTTTTATTCTTTTATCTGGCCCCACCCACATCCTGCTGATTGGTAGAGCCAAGTAGTCTGTTTTGACAGGGTGCTGATTGGCGAGTTTACAATCCCTGAGCTAGACACAAATGTTCTCCACGTCCCCACCAGATTAGCTAGATACAGAGTGTGGACACAAAGGTTCTCCAAGGCCCCACCAGAGTAGCTAGATACAGAGTGTTCATTGGTGCATTCACAAACCCTGAGCTAGACACAGGGTGCTGATTGGTGTGTTTACAAACCTTGAGCTAGAGACAGAATGCCAATTGGTGTATTTACAATCCCTGAGCTAGACATAAAGATTCTCCACGTTCCCACCAGACTCAGGATCCCAGCTGGCTTCACCTAGTGGATCCTGCACTGGGGCTGCAGATGGAGCTGCCTGCCAGTCCCCCGCCGTGAACCCGCACTCCTCAGCCCTTGGGTGGTTGATGGGACTGGGCGCCGTGGAGCAGGGGGCTGCGCTCATCGGGGAGGCTCCGGCCGCACAGGAGCCCATGGAGGGGGTGGGAGTCTCAGGCATGGCGGGCTGCAGGTCCCGAGCCCTGCCCCACGGGGAGGCAGCTAAGGCCTGGTGAGAAATCAAGCACAGCGCTGGTGGGCTGGCACTGCTGGGGGATCCAGTACACCCTCCGCAGCCGCTGGCCCGGGTGCTAAGTCTCTCATTGCTCGGGGCCGGCAGGGCCGGCTGGCTGCTCCGAGTGCAGGCCCGCCAAGCCCACGCCCACCCTGCACTCCAGCTGGAACCGCCCGCAGCCCAGGTTCCCGCTCGCGCCTCTCCCTCCACACCTCCCTGCAAGCTGAGGGAGCCGGCTCCGGCCTTGGCCAGCCCAGAAAGGGGCTCCTACAGTGCAGCGGCGGGCTGAAAGGCTTCTCAAGTGCTGCCAAAGTGGGAGCCCAGGCAGAGGAGGCACCGAGAGCAAGCAAGGTCTGTGAGGACTGCCAGCACGCTGTCACCTCTCAATGCCACTGCACTCCAGCCTGGGTGACAGAGTGAGAATCCGTCTCAAAAAGAAAAAAAAAAGAAAAAATGTAACTATGTGAAGTGATGGATATGGTAATAACTTGACTGTGGCGATTACTTCACAGTATATACATATATCATAACATCATGTTGTGCACCTTAAGTATACCCAATTTAAAAAAAATTAAGGTAGAATATAAATATATAATTTATCATCTTCACCATTTTAAAATGTACAGCTCAGTGGCAATAAATACTTTTTTATACTCAATTTTTATTTGTTGGTTGTACCTCACTAAAGCTGAAAAATATATTTGAATAAATGTTAAAGAAATGTAAGTATACACAAACAAGAAAATAAGTATGTAGAAATTGCAATCTTTCCTGAAAATAAGCCAAAAGAATAAAACTCGTATTTAAATTCTTTGAAAAAAAATTAGCAGATGGAACATTTTCTTACATTTGTACAAATGTACTCAAAAATTTTATTTTAAATCAATTTTAATGAGTTATCTCCCATAAATTTCTTACATAGAAAGATTAAGTTGTCCAAAGGCACATCTTATAATATGTTTTGAGAGAATTTTCTGGTTTTGGCAAAAGGGGATCTGCGAATGTGACTGGGGCAGCCTCAGGAAAACATAAGAGGGGGAATTTCTTTTTAAAAGAGACCTCTGGCCACAGACACTAAGTATTTTTAGTAAAAAATGTGGTTAGGCACTGATGGAATATTTTTTTTTTTTTTTTTTTTGAGACGGAGTCTTTCTCTGTTGCCCAGGCTGGAGTGCAGTGGCACAATCTTGGCTCACTGCAACCTCTGCCTCCCAGGTTCAAGCGATTCTCTTGCCTCAGCTTCTCGAATAGCTGGGACCATAGGCACGTGCCACCACGCCCTGCTAATTTTTTTGTATTTTTAGTAGAGAGGGGTTTCACCGTGTTAGCCAGGATGGTCTCGATCTCCTGACCTCCTGATCTGCCTGCCTCGGCCTCCCAAAGTGCTGGGATTACAGGAGTGAGCCACTGTGCCTGGCCCACTGATGGAATTTTGTAAAGCAGGAAGGAAATAATTGTACCATATAATGTTACAAAAATTAAAATTAATATATATTTTTTCTTTGGAATTTATCTTCTGGATAATTTTAATTTAGAAGGAATTTCATTATTTTGTTAATGATTATGGGGTTGCTGTCAGACATTATTTCTACTTTGCTCAGTAATTTGCAGTTATCTGTGAGTTCTGTAGCCTCAAAATTAAAAACTAGGGTGTGGTTATCTTTACTTACATAAAAGTGCAATTTTTTGTGGAATAACAACATTGTTTTATTCTCTAAATATACTTTGCTTTATTTTACTTTGCAAATGATTTTAAAATTCTCCCTCTTTTTTTTTTTTTTGAAACAGAGTCACACTCTCCTGCCCAGGATGTAGTACAGTGGCACAATCTCAGTTCCCTGCAATCTCCACCTCCTAGGCTCAAGCAATTCTCCTGCCTCAGCCTCCTGAGTAGCTGGAATTACAGGCACACATCATGGCACCTGGCTAATTTTTACTTTTTTTGGTAGAGACAGGGTTTCGCCATGTTGGCAAGGCTGGTCTCGAATTCGCCTGCCTTGGCTTCCCAAAGTGCTGGGATTACGGGTGTGAGCCACCGTGCCTGGCCTGATTCAAAAATTCTAATGGCCGGGGCACGGTTGCTCACGCCTGTAATCTCAGCACTTTGGGAGGCCGAGGCGGGTGGATCACGAGGTCAGGAGATCGAGACCGTCTTGGTCAACATGAAGAAACCCTGTCTCTACTAAAAATACAAAAAATAGATGGTCATGGTGGCTCTTGCCTGTAATCCCAGCTGCTCAGGAGGCTGAGGCAGGAGAGTCGTTTGAACCAGGGATTCGGGGGTTGCAATGAGCCGAGATCCTGTGGCTGCACTGCAGCCTGGGCAACAGAGCAAGACAGCAAGACTCCGTCTCAGGAAAAAACAAAACAAAACAAAAATTCTAAGGAATACAGTTACTTGTAGTATTGATGTTTGGCATAGGTCATTCCAATCTTTTTATTATGTATTATTGTTTTTGTAGGTTATTATATATTCTCTTGAATATTTATCTTTGTTTACTGTTCATAATTTTATTATGAAACCAATTTTGGATTTACATAGCGATTTATAGATAGATTTACATAGCAACTTATAGCTTTGAATGTATTTGTAGAAAAGAAAGAGTATTGAAAATAAATGTAGACATTCTACTCAGGAAACAAGGAAACTTTTTTTAATCTTTCTTTAACCTTAGAATTTAGAAATGATAATAAGATGAAACTAGGTTTGGACCTTTTTCTTTTGTTTTTTTGTTTGCAGTTTTTTTTTCTTTTTTTAATTATTTTTATTTATTTATTTATTTTTTATTATTATACTTTAAGTTCTAGGGTACATGTGCACAACGTGAAGGTTTGTTACATATGTATACATGTGTCGTGTTGGTGTGCTGCACCCATTAACTCGTCATTTACATTAGGTATATCTCTTAATGCTATCCCTCCCCCCTCCCCCCACCCCACAACAGGCCCCGGTGTGTGATGTTCCTCTTCCTGTGTCCATGTGTTCTCATTGTTCAATTCCCACCTATGAGTGAGAACATGCGGTGTTTGGTTTTTTGTCCTTGTGATAGTTTGCTGAGAATGATGGTTTCCAGCTTCATCCATGTCCCTACAAAGGACATGAACTCATCATTTTTTATGGCTGCATAGTATTTCATGGTGTATATGTGCCACATTTTCTTAATCCAGTCTATCATTGTTGGACATTTGGGTTGGTTCCAAGTCTTTGTTATTGTGAATAGTGCCACAATAAACATACGTGTGCATGTGTCTTTATAGCAACATGATTTATAATCCTTTGTGTATATACCCAGTAATGGGATGGCTGGGTCAAATGGTATTTCTAGTTCTAGATCCCTGAGGAATCGCCACCCTGACTTCCACAATGGTTGAACTAGTTTACAGTCCCACCAACAGTGTAAAAGTGTTCCTATTTCTCCACATCCTCTCCAGCACCTCTCCAGCACAGAAAGAGTATTGAAAATAAATGTAGATATTCTACTCAGGAAACAAGGAAACTTTTTATCTTTCTTTTAACTTAGAATTTAGAAATGATAATAAGATGAAACTAGGTTTGGACCTTTTTCAATAATTCTGACCACCGTTCAGTAAATTTACTGTATAAGAAAAGTAGAGGTTTGGGGTTGAATTTTGTTTTATTTTTTCCCAAAGATGTCTATCTCTGATATCTTAGGGCCTGGCAATTGTTTTTGGTCATAGGTGGGCTCTGAATAAATGTCAGTTGAACAAATATATAAAAACCAAACAAAGGAATGTTATTTCAACTGCCTTCAGAGTGTCACAACAAATATCAATGAAAAAGAAACAAAAATAAAGACTCAATTAATTCTCCAGTGAACACTTCAGTCCTCTAAAGGTACTTCCCTGTGTCCACCCAAACTGCTCTCTAACCGAACGCAAGCAAGGGGACTCCAATGCTCTCAGGCCATGAACTAATGAGGAGCTTCATGCCTGCCCTCAGTCTTTCTTCATACCCAGGGCAAAGCTGGCCCACAGACTTCCAGACATGCTTTCTTCGTTTGGGTAGAGATGGGGATCCAAGTCCCCTATGTATTTCCTCCAGAGCCACCTGTAAAACATGGGTGAAATCTACCTGCCCTCTAGCTCACCACTTCCAGGTCAAGCCCACTCATGGACCACTTTAACAGTGACAGTTGGCTTGACTGGGGAAACTGAAAAAAAGGAGCTTTCTTTAGATTTTCTGATAATCTGCATTGCCATTGCTGCTCCTTTTTCAGCAGCACAGAGAGTTGGATTATGGAGGGTTGCCTGCTTATTATGCAGCTACATCCAGGATGCTGAGTGTCTTCTGATCATGATCAAGAGCAGAGTGAAGAGATACAGGCGGAGGAGAGGATCACAGAGAGGTAGAAGTGGGAGACTGGTGGATAGGTCACTAGGCACCACTGAGTGACTACCATCACTTCTCACAGATTAGATTATTGACAAGCCAAGTATGGATTTGATTTCTACAAGGCCAAAAGCTACTCCATCTTCTAGCCAGACCACAGACTTTGTTTTAAGCCAGGACTCGTTTTCCAGCAGTTAGTGCAATTAGGGAGGTTGGGAGGATGTACACAAGAGCAGGGAGAAAATCTGGAGCCAGACAGTGAGAGAGGCAGAGGGGAAATGAAAAACCCCGTGGGAGGCTGCAGCAAAGCGAGGCAGTGTGGCTTCTCTGACAGGGAAGTCAGCAGAGGGAGAGGTTTGTCTGTCTGTACAGCAAGGGAAGTCAGACGAGAGTGCAAGAGGGTGTGGAGAGGGGTACTGATATCTGAATTATTAGGGCAGGTGTCCTGCCAAGGAATCCCTCCTTTAACAGAGCTTCAATGCTGCTCCTGTTCCTCCTCTTCGAGGGTCTCTGCTGTCCTGGGGAAAATACAGCAGGTAAGAAGAGTGCAGGTGGAAAGATACCTATGGTAGGGCACCAGAGGGCTGAGAGGAAGCTCTGGGGAGGTCCTGGGGGAAGGGAGCAGTACTCTTCTAGGATGCCCTTGGAATATGCCTTTCAGGCTAGTTCCAGGCAGAGAATTCTTGCTCTCAGTCTCAGTTTTTGTCTCTGATTTTGGAGAAAGGAAGCTGGCCCCACAGGAAAAGGGTATTGGAGTATGTACAAGCTACCTAACTGTCTCTCATCTCTGGGTTCCTTTTTTCCCTTTGGCATCACTTTTCCCATCCCTTTACATTCTCTCTACTTGTCATTTCCCTCTCTCTCAGCTCCCCAGGCTCTACAATCCTATCATCTAGCAGCAGAGGAGCAGCTGTCCTTCCGCATGCTCCAAACTTCCTCCTTTGCCAACCACAGCTGGGCACACAGTGAGGGCTCAGGATGGCTGGGTGACCTGCAGACTCATGGCTGGGACACTGTCTTGGGCACCATCCGCTTTCTGAAGCCCTGGTCCCATGGAAACTTCAGCAAGCAGGAGCTGAAAAACTTACAGTCACTGTTCCAGTTATACTTCCATAGTTTTATCCAGATAGTGCAAGCTTCTGCTGGTCAATTTCAGCTTGAATGTAAGTTCGTTGCTCTAAGCTGATAATTTGCCTGGGAACACCAACTATTTTCCAAAGTGGAAGATAGTATATAGACTCTGACCATCATTTAACCTTACTAACCTTGTTCCCCACTCTCTGACTCCCACTCCCTCCTCTGCTTCACCCTTCACCACCACCCACACTCCACCATATACACAAAAGGGCCTGCATGTACATATCTCAACATGAATATAGCTTCATGTCTGGCTCTTTGGAATGATTGTCTCCTCTGGATCTTCTGCCCCTCATTCCTGCCCTCAGACTCAGCCTTTCTCAACCCTCTTTCTGCCCTTCTTTATCCTTTGCCTGAGTGTTGACATGGACTGGCCTGTACCTAACCACTTTCACGTGAATTATTTATGACCAATCTCCTATCTTCCTGATAGCCTTCCCATCTACCACTTTCCCATTAGTTATTTCAAAGTATCTTTATTATCTTCAAATTTTCTTCCCACAAATTTTCTTCCCCTTTGCCAGTAAACTCTAGTCTCCATATGATTTCCCAGCAAATTTTTCTTCCCTTGAATCTCTTTACTGTCTAAATTGTTTGTTTTTCTTCCTTGTCATTCTTTCCATAATGATCTCTCTTCCCTGTCCACTCTCAGACCCCTTCGAGATCCAGATATTAGCTGGCTGTAGAATGAATGCCCCACAAATCTTCTTAAATATGGCATATCAAGGGTCAGATTTCCTGAGTTTCCAAGGAATTTCCTGGGAGCCATCTCCAGGAGCAGGGATCCGGGCCCAGAACATCTGTAAAGTGCTCAATCGCTACCTAGATATTAAGGAAATACTGCAAAGCCTTCTTGGTCACACCTGCCCTCGATTTCTAGCGGGGCTCATGGAAGCAGGGGAGTCAGAACTGAAACGGAAAGGTGAGCCCAACTCTCTCTCTCCCCTCTTGTTCCTAGTACTATAACTCTCATATTTGAATTTGCCTCTCATCATCATTTTGAAAGACATAGTGAGAGACTAGAGAATGAGATGTGTGGGTTCAGGACTGTTTCTTAGACAAGAGAAAGAAGTGATTACTAAATCACTCTTAGTATTATTACAAAGGCACCTGAGTCTCTGAGCTCTGGCCTGGGGTGCCCTTCAAAATTCCATTTTTTTTCTATCTTCTTCTTCCTAGTGAAGCCAGAGGCCTGGCTGTCCTGTGGCCCCAGTCCTGGCCCTGGCCGTCTGCAGCTTGTGTGCCATGTCTCAGGATTCTACCCAAAGCCCGTGTGGGTGATGTGGATGCGGGGTGAGCAGGAGCAGCGGGGCACTCAGCGAGGGGACGTCCTGCCTAATGCTGACGAGACATGGTATCTCCGAGCAACCCTGGATGTGGCGGCTGGGGAGGCAGCTGGCCTGTCCTGTCGGGTGAAACACAGCAGTCTAGGGGGCCATGATCTAATCATCCATTGGGGTGAGAAACAGCTGAGGCTCTGCTGGGAAATAATGAAAATAGCCCTGGGGCTTTTGAGTGTGGGGCTGAGGAAATGGGTAGGAATGCTAGGTACAAGAAGGGTAAAACTGGGACAATCAAAATAAAGAAGGATAGAGTATGACAGTAGTTAAATTTTAAGAAAATGGAAGTAGAGAATTAGACATACTAACAGAAAAAGGAGGAGGAACTAGTGATTTAGTGGGAGAGGGTTGGGAGGAGATCACAGACAAAGGATCAGGAGGAATTGAAATGAGGGCTTTGGAAAACCCAGATGAAAATTCTAGGAAGGTCCCACCCTTGTGAAATGGGAAATCTCAGCTTGGTGGAATAGAGTATTTTAGGGTTGGTATTCTTATTCTATCCCCAACCAGGTGGATATTCCATCTTTCTCATCCTGATCTGTTTGACTGTGATAGTTACCCTGGTCATATTGGTTGTAGTTGACTCACGGTTAAAAAAACAGAGGTGAGCTTTTTCTTGTTCTTTGTTTCTTCAGCCTGTAATCAATTCATTCCTTTTTCCTCTATCTTCTTTTTTTTTTTCTCTGCCTTTCCCCTTTATTTCCTTTCTTTGAGATTAATATCCTCCTCTTTTCCCACAGTTCAAATAAGAACATTCTTTCTCCCCACACACCCAGCCCTGTCTTTCTCATGGGAGCCAACACTCAGGACACCAAGAATTCAAGACATCAGTTCTGCTTGGCACAAGTATCGTGGATCAAAAACAGAGTATTGAAGAAGTGGAAGACACGCCTAAACCAACTCTGGTGACATTTGCTTTACCTTATACATAAAATCCTTGTCTGCATCTTCTTAAACACCGTCCATGTCCCATAAGGGAAGCATGCTTTTATTTAAACAGTTTATACTAGCAAAGATACTGACCCCTTTAGGAATACTTTTTCCCCATCTTCCAGAGATTTTTTTTTTCCTGCTTTGGCTACATATCCATCATTGTTTATTTTTGAAACTATAATCCAGATACTTCTTTTTCATGGATTCCCGAGATCACCCAATTGATAGCTCTTCTGTACTCCCCAAATTGAACTGATCTTCACAAGCACATTCATCTCTTCCTACTCTGAACAGTAGTTATTTAGGTTTTTGCTCTTTTTTTTTTTTTAATCTCAGTTGCTTGAAAGTAGGATTTAGGTATTTGTGTCTGTATTCATGACCAAAAATCTTATCTGAATTCAGGGCCAGCTTCATAAGCATGTGACCTGTGCAGACACATGGAATCGTATGCTCTGCAAGAACCCATGCTAGATTTAATGCTCTGCTGTTGTCATCTTGGAATCCTTAGTCATTTTCAAACAAGAGATATTGTATTTTCATTTTTCACTGACCCCACAAATTATATAGCTGATTCAGTGTGAATGTAATATTTCTCAATAAATGCTGACTGAAATAAATTTGTTGTTAGATCAAGTGATGTTGTTTTACTCCATTCCCTCTCTGATATCTCTGCGTCATTTGACTGTGCTCTTGCTAAAACTCTTCCTCTCTCCCTTTGTCTCTCACCAGAGGTGAAGGAGGCAGATGAATGCCTCAGACTCCACAGTGATTGGAATGTTAATGAATCTTCAGGGATATTTAGGAAAATAATAACATAAGGGCTATCTCCTGTCAAAGTGAGGAGAGGTTTGAACTGGCATTCCTACTTCCCTGAGCCATGTGTATCTATGTGTGTCTTTGTGGATGTGCATATTCATGGGAGAAATTCATATTTTGAGCAATTAGAAGGAGGACATAGGGTTTGAGCCAGAGCTAAGGCAATGAAGCAAAAGAGTGATTGGATGCCAGTTAAGCTACATGCTTGTTTTTATTTATTAGTGTGGCTTATTATTGTTATTATTATTTACAGTTTGTTTTTCTTTAGTTTTTATATGGATTCTTACATTTACATAATTTACTTCATTTGAGATACATTTGGTTGAGCCTACTGGAGAGCAGGAATCTGGTAGAAGTGCAGTGTTTATATACATGTCCAGTCAACCCCTCCCTTGGATGGAATAATTGAGCAGATTGTGCATATTTCTTTTCTTTTTTTTTGAGATGGAGTCTCGATCTGTTGGCCAGGCTGGAGTGCAGTGGCTGGTGTCAGATCACTGCAAGCTCCACCTCCGGGGTTCATGCCGTTCTCCTGCCTCAGCCTCCCCAGTAGCTGGGACTACAGGCGCCTGTCACCACTCCCGGCTATTTTTTTTTTAATTTTTAGTAGAGACGGGGTTTCGCCATGTTAGCCAGGATGGTCTTGATCTCCTGACCTCGTGATCCACCCCCCTTGGCCTCCCAAAGTGCTGGGATTACAGGCGTGAGCCACCGCGCCCAGCCGGTTGTGCAGATTTTTTAGTGGAAGTTATAAACTTCATGCTGGGCATTTTCAAGTAATCAGCAAGGGTCCCATGATCACACATCCAGGCTGCACTCTTACTCATGAACAAGGTATGAGGCCAGCCTTTTCACTGTTGAGAGTCCATCACCTTCCATATGGCACATCCAATCAGTCTATCTAGAGTCAGGCCACTAGAATCGGGAGAGGAAGGTAGAATCTTAAAGGGTTGTTTGGAGCAACAAATGATGAAAGGGGTCAGGGTTCCATCACGTGGTATAACTCTACAGGGGAGGACCTCTATTAGAATGAAGAGGTTCAAGTAGGAACCTTTCCGTTTTTGGCACAAGGTGTGCGAAAGGCACAAGCTATACCTCTGGAGACAATAGATCTGGGCTGCCTGCACATATACATCCTTCTTCCCCATAAAATGACATAGAAGGATTAAAAAAAGAGCCAGAGGACAAATAATCATGTTATAAGAAGTATCAGCTCAACAGGACTTGAGGAAGTTTAAATATCAGTCCATAATAGTGTCAGAAAAGCTCTAGGTCTTCCCTGTACTGTGGTAAACCTTTGGGCTGGGTATTTTCATTATAACTCCTGGATGATGGTGTACTTAGGAGCAAAATATGTTGCTAAATTGCCCCCAAGACAGAGATGTTACCTAATACTATTAACAACTTCATTCTGGCTGAAACTCTGGGACATGGGACTTATTCTAGAAGACCAGTGTAGTTTTTTTCAATAGCTAAGTATACCAATTTCCATTCCCACCAGGTATAAAACAAAGAAGGTAATCTGCTTTACTGACAGTACACATCTGGAGCTTTCTGCATTCTGTTGTAAATACAAATACAGTAAGAATGAAAGTAGGTAGTTTTGGAAAAAGAGATGGAGGGGGTATTCTTGATGATTGCTAAATTTCTCTAGAAATAGCATTCATTGTTTGAGGGAGAATGCATTGGGACTGGTGGAATCAGAATATGCTGGGGCCAAAGCTCAGAAGAGTGCAGTAGCCACATGCCCCGGATAAACCATGACCTAACCTGTCTGCTATCTTCTATCTAATGAATGAGATAAGCTGAGGATATGGGAGACTTGATAAGTGGAGCAACATAAACTGAAACAGGGGTCCAGGCCTCCAAGTGTATCACCTACAAACAAAGAAAGATGCAGCACCTGCTCTGGAGCTTGTGTTCAGATGAGTAGGTATAGTTAAGGGCACATGACTCCTTCTTCAGGTTATGCATAGAAGGTACCTATAGATTTTTGAAACTTAGACTTTACTCTTAAGGAATTAGAACTAGTTCATAATCTTTCCTCATTAACCATTTTCTCACTCTCACTTCCTTATGTAAATGGTTCCATTATCTTACTAGTTTCTCAAGATCCAAACTTTCTTCTGTTTGCTTCATTATTCTTCCTGAATAGCAAGTTACCAAAGCCTTCTTTATAAGTTTTCTTATGTTCCATTCCCTCTTCCTTGATCCTGCCCCACGTGTGAACACCACTGCCAAAAATGTAATGCAAATTACTAAACCCATTATCAACAACGCCATAATGATCACTTATTGAGCATGAGATCTTATTACAGCAAATAAGAGAAGTATTTGTTTTATAGTTAAAGCTGATTGAATAATAAAAATCATTTGAATGGGGCCTGCTGTAGGCCAGGCACTCTTCTCCATACTTTATACATATTAACTCATGCAATCTTCTTATCAATCCTGAGCATATAATATTATTCCCATTTTATATATGAGGAGACAAAAGTCACATAATTAGTAAGTATGTAGGCAATTTTGCTCCAAAATTCCTGCTTTAACTACTATACTGCACATTCACTAAATAACTATTGGAAGCTTGTTATGTGATAAATGCTATTATGGTAATGAAATGCATTAAAGACACAAGAATGAATTACCCTGTCTTCACAGAACTTACGTTGGCAGTGGGGGAGCTGGAAAGACAGACAATAAGTAAACAAAGATGTTGTATTAAGGTGATGACATATTAAGATTGATAACTGAATCAGGGGAAAGGAATCAGAGAGAAATTATTTATTATTTCAAAATTTGTGGACAGAATGGGCCACTCCGAGAATATGGCCTTTGAGAAGGGAACGAAAGCAAGAACAAACACAAGTCATGCAGTATCTGGGGTAAGAACATTTCCGGCAAAGGAACTACAAAGAAAAGCAGCATTGTAATGGCTGTTTTCTAAAACCTGTGAGAATTCCAGTTTAGATGGATTGGAGTAAGTGATAGGGAACATAGGAAATGAGGCCAGTGAGTTCAAGTCAGATCACAAAGGGGACTTATAGGCTATTGTACAGTGATTAAAAGCCATTGCAGGGTTTTGTTGTTGTTGTTGTTCACAGTAATATACTTTACTCAATTGTTATAAGCTGTAAATAGCTTAAAAGTTTCCTTGACTCTGAAAAACAAAACAAAGGATTAGTAGTGTTTTAAGCAAAGTTAAAAAGATTGCTTCAGTTTTTTTTTTATAGAACATCTTTCTTTAAATTTTATTATTATTATACTTCAAGTTTTAGGGTACATGTACACAATGTGCAGGTTTGTTACGTACGTATACATGTGCTATGTTGGTGTGCTGCACCCATTAACTCGTCATTTAACATTAGGTATATCTCCTAATGCTATCCCTCCCCCCTCCCCCCACCTCACAACAGTCCCCAGCGTGTGATGTTCCCCTTCCTGTGTCCATGTGATCTCATTGTTCAATTCCCACCTATGAGTGAGAACATGCGGTGTTTGGTTTTTTGTCCTTGCGATAGTTTGCTGAGAATGATGGTTTCCAGTTTCATCCATGTCCCTACAAAGGACATGAACTCATCATTTTTTATGGCTGCATAGTATTCCATGGTGTATATGTGCCACATTTTCTTAATCCAGTCTAACATTGTTGGACATTTGGGTTGGTTCCAAGTCTTTGCTATTGTGAATAGTGCCTCAATAAACATATGTGTGCATGTGTCTTTATAGCAGCATGATTTATAATCCTTTGGGTATATACCCAGTAATGGGATGGCTGGGTCAAATGGTATTTCTAGTTCTAGATCCCTGAGGAATTGCCACACTGACTTCCACAATGGTTGAACTAGTTTACAGTCCCACCAACAGTGTAAAAGTGTTCCTGTTTCTCCACATCCTCTCCAGCACCTGTTGTTTCCTGACTTTTTAATGATGGCCATTCTAACTGCTGTGAGATGGTATCTCATTGTGGTTTTGATTTGCATTTCTCTGATGGCCAGTGACGATGAGCATTTTCTCATGTGTTTTTTGGCTGCATAAATGTCTTCTTTTGAGAAGTGTCTGTTCATATCCTTAGCCCACTTGTTGATGGGGTTGTTTTTTTCTTGTAAATTTGTTTGAGTTCATTGTAGATTCTGGATATTAGCCCTTTGTCAGATGAGTAGGTTGCAAAAATTTTCTCCCATTTTGTAGGTTGCCTGTTCACTTTGATGGTAGTTTCTTTTGCTGTGCAGAAGCTCTTTAGTTTAATTAGATCCCATTTGTCAATTTTGGCTTTTGTTGCCATTGCTTTTGGTGTTTTAGACATGAAGTCCTTGCCCATGCCTGTGTCTGAATGGTATTGCCTAGGTTTTCTTCTAGGGTTGTTATGGTTTTAGGTCTAACATGTAAGTCTTTAATCCATCTTGAATTAATTTTTGAGGTTTTAAATAAATGTATAATGGTTGTTAGGTAAAAGGAGATGAGTTCCAAGAAGCAGAGAGTAGAATAGTGGTTGTCAGGGCCTAAGGGGAGGAGTCAATGGAGAGATTGTGGTCAATGGGCACAAAGTATGTAAGATAAATAAGTTCTGGAGATCTACTATGCAGCACAATACCTATGGCTAACAATGCTGTGTTGCATTCTTAACATTTGCTAAGAGAGATCTTGTGTTAAGTGTTCTTACAACATACACAAAACATTACTATTACTAATAAAGGGGGCGCGAAGAGACTTAGGGCTTTGATAGTGGTGATGTTATTATGGGTGTATACTTACCTTTATACTCATTGAGTTATATACATTAAATATTAACAGCTTTTTACATGTCAATTCTACCTTAATACTGTGGTTAACAAAAGGAGATGAGTTCTTAAACACAAGTGTCACCTGGGTTTGCCATCTGTGACTACAAAATGGGACATGATCATATCTACACTCAAATTACAGTGATCCCAATCTGCTTATCTTCACGAGTACAAACTTGTCCCCACTAAAAGTATGCCTCACCTGTGCTTACAACCCAGTCTTTCTGAATCAATTACCAAGTAACACCTGCTTTGTTTATTCCTCTCCAGTTCATGCTTCCCTTTGCCAGCTGTCTGCTGTTCTCAGGGTTGCTTGGAACAGCTTCATAACTGCTGGTGCCCATGGCAAGAAGATGATATTGATTCCAAGGTAGCTACCACCTATTTCTCCAAAGCTTCTGTCCAGTCCTCAGATGGCTTTATGTAGGGATGCTCCATACAGAGACACGGGGTAAGGGCTATGCTTCCTTTCTTTGACTCCTTTGATACCCAGTTCTGGAAGTTGCTTGGCTTGTGTTGTCTTCTTAAAGCCTCTATGTACAATAACATCAGATTCTGACTCTCATCCAACTCTTGGGTTTCAGTGAAGAATCTCTTAGCAACTTTCCCTTCAGTTTTGGTTGACTGGCCAAATCAGCTAGTTGAGTCATAGCAGTAATTACACAGGTTGCAAAGGATTAACATAAACTCAATTTGTTAAAATACCTAAAAAATATTCTCAATTTCTGTCACTCTTAATGTAAGTGCCTTGCTTACCACTGTATATCATATGTATGCACCCCAGTGCCCAGATTATACATTTAAAGAAAAGAGAAATTCCATCAAGGGAGGTAGTGGGTTCCATTTCTTGTATCAAGAAAAAATTTAGATTACAAACATTCTTCAAATAAAGAACAATCATTCTAAAATACGAAATAAAAATATTGAGTTTCCAAGCAAATTTGTTTGAATGTTATAGTATGTTTAATTTTTATCATTTTAATAAATAGTAGTGTTTTTTATATATAGATGCCATTCTATTGATTATGGGTTATTTATATGCATATTTGTTTGCATAAGCAGGCAAGACTAAAGAGAGGAAATAATAAGCACAGTAATCATAAAAATGTATATATTGAAACCAATACAAGGAGATTGTTTACCAGCAATAATTATCTATATAATTATCAAGTGAAAAAGTGGTCCTACAATTAATCATAGATGGTCATTGTTGAACAGAACACTATGCACCAGTTACCATTGTTGGAGGAGGACTCCAACTACATGGAGAGTAGCAAAGATCATCACCATGCCAACCACCAGGAATAGAAGTCCAAACACTTCTGCTCAATGCATCTTGATATCAGAGTTTCCAAGAAAAACACAACACAGTCAGGTCCTGGATAGGACGACACTTTACTTACATAGAGAAGAGATAGAGCAAAATCACTTTCAATAGTGTGTGTCAGTCCCCCTTGGCCTGTGGGTCCCTCCTGGCAGCCCACACAGTTGGCCTGCATACATCTCTCTTGTGCTGCAGCAGAAGGAACCTTTCCTTTTCCCCTTGGAGCCTGAAATAATGAAAGCTGGGAGTGTGCTACAAAATTGGGCCATTTATGCACACACTGAAGCAAAAGGAGGAGCACACGTTGAGTCTGAAATAGGGAAAGACTTTCCCACATAGGAAAATAACCCTGGCAAAAGCTGTGGGGGCTCTTTGTCTCCTGGTAAGAAAATGTTCCTGGCCTAAGGCCCATTCTTATGTGGCCAAGTCGTGGAGTTGAAAGACCACATGCATAAGACCACCTTTCCTTACAGCCCATCCCGACTCTTGTCTGGCCACTGAAACAGCAGATAAAACATATCAAATCACCCACCTTGATTTGGAGGTGTAGTTGGGTCCCATGGAGCCCCTGAACAACTTGTGCAGATGCAGTTTGCTCAAACAGCCTCTTTTATTTTGAAAGAGCACTTTACCAGAGTCAATAGGGGAACTAAAAGCAGGAGAATGGTTCTCATCAGAAATCCCAAGTGCTTGGATTAAGGTAAACAAAGAGGTAAAAAATGAGTCTGGGTGGACTGTGGATACATAGCTGACAAGGACCTCACTGAGTGTGGATATTCAGCTTGGTTTCTACCCTCCCTGAATTAATGATATACACATAGCAAGTGGTGTTGGCCATAACACAACTAACACCCTGTTCTGCCAGCAGATAACTGAGGGCTATTCAGTTATCCATCACCCCCTTGGCTAGTGAATTTAGTGGCTCTTTTTCTTAGGTGGCTCAGGCAGTAATGTTAACTAACTCCACTACCGTCAATGGCAAATTGTGTATTGTTTTTCCAGGATATGTATGCCTATGTTGGATTTGAGGACACAGACAGTAGAATAGAGCCAGCTGTCAGTTTGTTCACCTGGCAGGGTGTCTCAGGCAACCCTGTGATGTGTCAGAAATGTGGATACTTCCAATTTAGTGTCATTTTGAAAAAGCATGTGAGACCCTCACATTCCCAAGCAGCATGCCCATGTGAGGGTGACAGGCACTCGGAAGTCTAGTATGCCCCACAGAGGAACATATAATCCAGGGGAGCACATGTAACGCTGGTCAGGGAGCAGTTGTGTTAAGAGTCTGTAGTCCAGCTGTACAAAGCTTTGTTTGATTTAACCATGAGTTAGGTGGCAGGGTAAAGTTGTCCAATGTATGGACCTTCCCATACTATCTGTGATGTTTAATTTGCCTTTGATTTTTTTTTTTTTTTACCTCTGATTTTATGTCTGTGGAAGAGGTAAGCTTCACTCATGGAGTATTGGGTGCCCTGCATATTTGAACTGCACTGAGGGTGTCACTCTTTGACTGGAACCTCTGGTGACCATTAGAAATCCTATCAGGCTGCTGATGGGCCACACATGGACTATTTGAGGAAATTCAGAGGAAACCTTCTGAATATGTGGGTGGCAGATCCAATAGCCCTTCAAATCTCCACCTGCTGCTACTGCTGGGCTGATCTTCACCAATATGTTGTCAATCCAGGCACTCCAACTACATTATTATACCCATAACACACAGGGTATTATTAAGGAACAAAAGGGAGAGAGATTAGTATCCCTACTGACTACCTGCTTCTGGTACTTCCAGTGGCTGGAGGCATTCCTGTCTATTAGTTGGGGTGCTAGAAGTCTGAGTATTGCAACCCAGGCTGTCTGTCCCAGTCCTGAGGCTACTACCTCTGTGGGTACTCATTATTCTTGTTACTTGATCCAGATCTTTTGGACTTGAATATCCAGTCCAGAAAGGAAGGTCACACCCTGCACAAACTTGACGTGTCGGTTAATGTCACCTATGAGAATGGAAGAATTGGATTTCCCAGTGCCTCTAGAGTGATCTTAGCACCCTGACAGTCCCGGGTTGAATCGCCCACCCCAGTACAATCCCATAAAAAGGAGGACTCCAGGAGTAAGTATTGCCTTCAGATTAGAGTCAGAGAGGTGGTATTTAGGGTACAATGGCAACCTGAACTGCAAGCCATCTCTAAGACTTACACTCTAAGGGGAAAGAAAAAGGAAAAAAAATGGTTGGGAATACTGAGTTTGAGATTTTGAAGTCCCAGCCTGATACGGCTTGGCTGTGTCCCCACACAAATCTCATCTTGAATTGTAGCTCCCCTAATCCCCATATGTTGTGGGAGGGACCTGGTGGGAGGTAACTGGATCACGGGGGTGGATCTTTCCCATGCTGTTCTCATGATGGTGAATAAGTCTCATGAGATCTGATGGATGTATAAAGAGGAGTTCCCCTGCACAAGTCCTCTCTTGCCTGCCATGATGTAAGAAGTCTTTTTGCTCTTCCTTCATCTTCCACCATGATTATGAGGCCTCCCCAGCCACGTGGAACTGTGAATCCATTAAACCTCTTTTTCTTTACAAATTACCCAGTCTCGAGTATCTCTTTATCAGCAGCATGAAAATAGACTAATACACAGTCTAATCAAATGGCTGCCTGATCTACCGTGACATCCACCATATCAAACACCAAGCTCAGTGTTTCCCAACATGCATTGCAGTATCCTCTTCCCCCTACAATCAAGTGCAGTGTTTAGTGTCCATTCTGTCCTAGCCAGATGTGGGTACCACCCCACTAGCAAGCCTTATTTGTTGTCCTATTTTTAATTGTTACAGTCTATTTTTAATTGTTTCATTGTTTGATGAATTGTCCTATTTTTAATTGTTTCATTGTTTGATGGTTCCATTGACTTGCAAGTAAGAGTGCACATAATAAGCCCTCTGCATTTTATGAGAGTGCATCCACTGTTGTTTTGCTTGGGCAGTGAAAGATGTTCCTTGGTCAGAGTAAAGCCTCATATATTATCTATAAACATGACACAGTTTTTTTCAAAGGGGGCTATGGTGATTCTAGCATCCACATTTTGGGCTGTAATAGCAATACCACATCCTGAATAGGTGTCAATAGTGGCAAGGCACCACCAGTGCTTGTGGCTAGGGGCCATGGGTTTGATGTGGTCAATCTGTCAAATTCAGGCAGGTCCTAGTCTTTGGTTAATTTGTCCTTATTTTTCTCTTTGGATGATGTGGGTCCATTAGCAAGAGCCACCATGTCCTTAATCTTGGCATTTTCTAGGATCATCTCTTGGATCTTATCCAATTTTTATATGTAAGATGAATGTCCATTTTAAGTCCATATAGGTAGTAGGCTGCCTATTGGCCACAAGCTTCATCAGCAGGAGAGTTAATTTATATTTTGTTTTAAAAGATCATTTGTTATATGAGTAGCATTTTTGTTCCTCACAGGCAGCAAGATGCTGCCATAGTTCCTGTCCACACACAGGCAATCCTTTAATAGTTCAGTCATTTAGCTGACCTTCTCCTGGTCAGGAAGCTAGGCAGTTCTCTGCTTGGGATTCAAGAGCCTATGGAACATCCTTCGAAATATAGCTGGAGGTAGCTAAGTCCCTGCAGCTCTTGAATTATGTTCACCTGAAAAGTTAGCACCACAGGATGCTGCCAAGATTTATCACTTGTGCACTTTGGAGTAGTGGTCTGAGCCATACCTGGACCCACTTGAGCCACAGCTGGATTGCCAAGGAACTCTGCTGTGGAGTGCAGAGAGCTTTGAAATCTTTCTGTCCCCAGGGTCCTGGCATTCTGGGCATGTGATGGTTGGAGCAGCCCTGAAGATCTCAGAAATGCCTTTGGGATCATTCTTCCATTGTCTTAATATCGCCAGGCTTCTGCCCATTCATACTAGTCTTCTTATTAGAAGGTTTCTTGGCCACATCCTTGGTGTCCTCTCCTTAACTATCTTTTTTATTTTTTACAGCATAGCCAGGTTGAGAATTTTCCCAATCTTTAATGTCTGCTTCTCTTTTGATTATACATTCTATCTTTTTTTCCCTTTCTTTTCACATTTTACTGTAAGCAGCCAAGAGTAGCCCGACTACATCCCAACACCTTGCTTAGAGATTTATTCCACCAAATATCTTTTTTCATTGTTTGTAAGTTCTGCCTTCCACAGAACACTAGGGCATAAATAGAATTTAATGAAGTTCTTTGCCATTTTATAACAGGGCTTTTTTTTCCTTCAGGTTCCAATAATATTTTCCTAATTTTGGTCTGAGATCTTATCAGAACAGCCTTTACTGTAAATATTTCTGCCAATATTTTTCTGATCACAATCACTTAGGTAATCTCTAAGAAGACAAAGGCTTTCTCTACATCTCTTCTCTTCTTCTGAGCCCTCACGGGAATCACCCTTAATACCCTGTTCACAGCAATATAGGCGTTTTTTTGCATTAACATCCAAACTCTTCCAGTTTCTACTTACTACTCAATTCCAAAGCTGCTTCCACAACTTTATGTATTTATTAAAGCAGCACTCCACTTCTCAGTATCAATTTCTGTCTCAGTATGTTCAATCTACTGTAACAAAATGCCTTCGACTAGGTGATTTATAAACAACAGAAATTTATTGCTCACAGTTCTGAAGGCTGGGAAGTCCAAGATCAAGGCACCAGCAGATTTGACGAGGGCATGTTTTTTCCTTCAAAGATTGTGCCTTTTGCTATGTTTTCACATGGTAGAAGAAAGAGATAAGCTCCCTCAGGCCTCAATAAGTCTGCAACAGGGAAAGATAATCCCACACAAAGATGGTAAGCCTGGTACAGGCTGTGTGGGTTGTTTGTCTCTTGGTAAGGAAGTGTTCCAGGCCCAGTGACCATTGTTTTATAGCCTATTGTGGATCAAAAGACCAACTGAATGAGACTGCCCTTCCCAAAACAAGTACATGTAATAAACAAACACAAAGTAAAGTCAATGGTATGTTCTAATATTTAAATTAGCCAAGTGTAAAAAGCAGAACTAACTTTGCAACTTAAATCTTCATATCCAAATAATGCTATTCAAAGTATGGTCCAAGGAATAGAGTCAGACTAAGAAATATTTGTTACTCATTGTTGAAAAGATAAGTATAGAAATTGAGAGTAAATGTTTAGAAACTTTTATGGAAATTCAACAAAGTCATTTTACATCTGTTAATTTAATAGTAAGAAAGAAAGGTCTTGTATGTCCTGTTTCATTTCATTTTTAAAATAATATGTTTCACTGTGTTTTACAAAGTCTACAGTAAATCTGGGAGAAAACACTGGTCTTTCACCTTAGGTAGGTTGAGAAGCACAGACATAGAATGTGAGAAGGGGGACATGGTCAGGTGTAAAGAGTACATGGGTAGAATGTACAGGCCTTTGTGTGTCATGCTACAGTATTTGGATGTGATCTCATAAGAAGGGAAAAAAACATGTGTTTATAAACTATTTTTAAGAACTTCTTAGAAAAATTGATCTTGAGAATGTGTCCAAGTTTATTAACATGTTATCAAGGAAATCAGCAAAGTGATAAAAAAATATTTAAGAAGTGCAAGTTTCAGAGATGTTATAAATTTGGAGCGGTGACAAATTTAAAAAATAACACTTAAAGAATAATAGTGATTATAGTTTTATTTGAAAGGTTCATAAAGGCATAATAGCCAAGTAATTTATTTACACAGAGCATCTGTAGCAAAATTATCTGAGATGCCAGATGTGCAGCCATAAAGTCAGAAGAAAAAAATAAAAGAAGCAAATGAGAGATACAAGGTATCTAAAATTGAAATGACGTGTTTTCACTCTCAAAACTAGCATAAGATATAAAAATGTATTTAACAGAGATCTGAAAAAACAATTTCTGATTTCAAAGATGCCATTGCCAGGGGATTTCTTCTACTCTGAGCTATAAACAAAAATGCTGATGACACAGTTCACTCATTTCTTACTTTAGGACTATTTTACTTTTTTTTTTTTTTGACACATGGAAGAGTTTTTGAGAGTAGCTACAATGTTTGCATCTTAGAAACATAACTGAGTCTGCAACATAGAGGTTGATTTGAAGGGTGTCAACAAAGAGACGTCTGGGCTGGGTGTTGTGGCTCATGCCAGTAATTCCAGCATTTAGGGAGGTAGCTGAAAAGATAGCTTGAGCCCAGGCATTCCAGACCTGACGGGGCAACATGGTGAGACTATTCTCCACAAAAAGGAAAAAAGGACAAAAAACAGATTTCTGTAGTAATCAGGGTGCAAATTAAGAAAGGATTGAACTAAAAATAACAGTGGTAAATGTTGCTATACAATTTAACCTAAACTAGAAGTTAAACAATACATTATGGAAAAAATGCCAACCTGTATTAAAATCAAGAAGAATTATTCTCTATGAGCTCTACATTAATTCATTCTTGAAACATTACCAAAATAATATAAAGAGTTACAAAATGGTCTCAGCAGTCACTGTGATGGAATTAGGGAAAGGCTCTGAGCCTGTACTGGGGCCCTTAGTACATCTTACATCAGGACCATCTGTATGGGAATAGCACTACCATGGAAAAGGTTTGTCTTATGGGCCCCCAAGATAAGAAGTCTGAGAGTATTAATAAAAGAAACAGAAAGTTAAACATTATTGGGATTTTGCTCTTGTCAAATAAAGAGGCAAATAGAAAGTTGGTAATTATTAAAAGTAATTTTCCAGTTTTTCAGTTTAAGTACTGCCTATGATAAAGATGATGGTCCCTATTTTAAAGAGAGGTACAGTTTCATCAAAAAAGCTGATAATATTTAATAAATAGGCTGTCAAAATACATACGTCATGGGAAAATAGAGAAAGAACTGAAGTATATTTTTAAATTTTCAGATAGAAATTAAGGGAATACAAGATGTCAGAAAAGAACTGGTTACTGTAATTAGCATTACTGTAAATTTCTATGTTTGTCAAGAATATGAGAAAATTTTAGTTTTTTCCCTAAGAAAGAGGCTATTGAAAGATTCCAGTTCAATAACTTAAGACATCTTTGGAAAGAAGAAGAAAAATTATAAATTGATAATCATACATTAAAGAGAACATCTAGAGGAGAACACTAGAGTCCAGCAGAGAATTGATGGGAAAGATCTGAGGTACAGAAGGAGAAGAAAGTGAGTAGCCAGCTTCACTGAGTTGGGCCAGGAGCCCAAAGGGGCTTGGTATAGCACATGCTTTTCAGAGCCCGAAAGCTCCCTGTCTAGAGCTTTGAGAAGTGATCCTGACCTTAGCAGCAGCACAAACTCTGTCCTTAGCATTGCAAGGGAAGAACAAAATCCCCTCTCACTGGCAGAGTGACCTCTGTGCTTGGCTTCATGAACAGAGAATGAAGCCCTTCTGCCCCTCCACACATCCTCTCTTTCTGTTACCAGAGACTGGAACAAATGAGCCAGGAGGCTACCTGTCTGGGGGAATGAGTCACAGCTACGACTCCACTAGCAGCACAGGCTCCACAGCTGGGATTTTCCCCTCTTCATGGTGCTGTAGTGCTGCTGCTACAGGGAGCAAGAGAGATTGAAAGCAGTGTGTCTCGGGGTGTTGGGGACTACCCCATACCACAGACACCACCAACACTAGCCCACATTATTTGGGACCTAAAGAGTCATTCCACTACTGCTATTGCCATGGCCCTTACCATGCTGGCTGCCCAGAAACCTGAGAACCTGCTCACCTACCTGGCTCACTGCTACCACTATAGTCATCCAAGCAAGCCACTTGGGGGCTCAAGAATCAGCCCACTGGTAACCGCCAACACAGGTGCCAGGGTACACCACCCTGGGGCACAAAGATAGGCATGCACAGCCCGCTGCTGCTACTACTGAAGCCTGAAGACTGACCCTCCTGGCTTCCTAGTCCCCAGCACAACGTCACCACAACCTCCACTAATAACTAAAACCTAACCCTGATAGGAAACCACAGATACCCCTAGCATTGTTTAGAGCCAAAGATATGCAGAGACTATACTACTGCATACACCCAGAGTCAAATCCAAACTGCCCAGACCAATCGATAGATATGTCTTCAGGAAAAAGTTGTCTCTACAAAAGTAAATTCAAAAAATAAAAGAAAGCAACTGTTACATCAGATGTGCAGATATCAATGTAAGGACACAATAAACATGAAAAAGCAAGAAAATACGACACCTTCAAGGGAATGCAATCATTCTCTAGCAATAAGTATTAATAAAAACATCTCAGAAATCTCAGATAAATAATTTAAACATTGATTTTAAAGAGGATCACTGAGATAAAAGAAAATTCTGAAAAATATTACTGAGAAGTCAAAAAAATAGTTTATCGATGGGAAATTTGCCAAATACATAGATATTTTTAAAAAGAACCAAACAAAAATCTTGGAACTAAAAAATTCATTGAAGAAAATGCAAAATACATTTGAAATCTTCAGGAATAAATGAGATGAGGCAGAAAAAAATATCAGAACTTTAAGAAAAGTCTTTGAAACAACTCAGACAAAGTTAAAGAAAAAGAGTTAAAAAGATGAGCAAAGCGTTTATTACATTTGGGAGTAAATAAAGTGACCAAATATATGGCTTATCACTATCCCCAAGTATATTAGTCAGTTCTCACACTGTTAATAAAGACTTGCCTGAAACTGGGTAATCTATAAAGAAAAAGAGGTTTAATGGATTCATAGTTCCACATGTGGGGGAGGCCTCGCAAACATGACAGAAGGCAAAGGAGAAACAAAGGCATGTCTTACATGGTGACAGGCAAGAGAGCTTGTGCAGGGGAACTGCTGTTTATAAAACCATCAGATCTTGTGAGGCTTATTCACTATCATGAGACCAGCACAGGAAAAACCTGCTCCCATGATTCAATTACCTCCCACTGGGTCCCTCCCTCAACACATGGGGATTATGGGAACTACAATTCAAGATGAGATTTGGGTGGGGACACTACCAAACCATATCACTGAGAGTGAAAAGAAAATGAAAGAATTAGAAAATCTATTTATTATTTATAAATAGTATAAATTATTATTTATGACTGGTATAAAATTAGAAAACCTATTTATTTTTGTAAAATAATAGGTGAAAATCTCTGAAGTATAGAAAGAAATTTAAACATTCAAGTATAGGGTTCAATTATCCCCAGCCAGGTACACGACAAAAAGGTCTTCTTCATGGCACATTACAATCAGACCATCTAAGGGAAATGATAAAGAGCAAATCCCCCAAACAGCAGAAGTCTCTAGTCACTCATAAAGGAAACTGTATTGTGTCCGGAACTGGTAGGTTCTTGGTCTCACTGACTTCAAGAATGAAGCCGCGGACCCTCGCGGTGAGTGTTACAGTTCTTAAAGGCGGCGTGTCTGGAGTTTGTTCCTTCTGATGTTCAGATGTGTTCGGAGTTTCTTCCTTCTGGTGGGTTCGTGGTCTCGCTGGCTCAGGAGTGAAGCTTCAGACCTTCGCAATGAGTGTTACAGCTCTTAGGGCAGCGCGTCTAGAGTTGTTCGTTCCTCCCGGTGGGCTCGTGGTCTCGCTGGCTTCAGGAGTGAAGCTGCAGACCTTCCTGGTGAGTGTTACAGCTCGTAAAGGCAGTGTGGACCCAAAGAGTGAGCAGTATTAAGATTGATTGCAAAGAGCGAAAGAACAAAGCTTCCACAATATGGAAGGGGACCCGAGTGGGTTGCCACTGCTGGCTCCAGGCAGCCTGCTTTTATTCTCTTATCTGGCCCCACCCACATGCTGCTGATGGTAGAGCCAAGTGGTCTCTTTTGACAGGGTGCTGATTGGTGCGTTTACAATCCCTGAGCTAGACACAAAGGTTCTCCACCTCCCCACCAGATTAGCTAGATACAGAGTGTGGACACAAAGGTTCTCCAAGTCCCCACCAGAGTAGCTAGATACAGTGTGTCAATTGGTGCATTCACAAACCCTGAGCTAGACACAGGGTGCTAATTGGTGTGTTTACAAACCTTGAGCTAGATACAGAGTGCTGATTGGTGTATTTACAATCCCTGAGCTAGACATAAAGGTTCTCCAAGGCCCCACCAGAGTAGCTAGATACAGAATGTCCATTGGTGCATTCACAAACCCTGAGCTAGACACAGGGTGCTGATTGGTGTGTTTACAAACCTTGAGCTAGATACAGAGTACCGATTGGTGTATTTACAATCCCTGAGCTAGACATAAAGATTCTCCACGTCCCCACCAGACTCAGGAGCCCAGCTGGCTTCACCCAGTGGATACCGCACCTGGGCTGCAGGTGCAGCTGCCTGCTAGCCCGCACCCTGTGCCCACACTCCTCAGCCCTTGGGTGGTCGATGGGACTGTGCGCAGTGGAGCAGGAGGTGGTGCTCGTCAGGGAGGCTCGGGCCGCACAGGAGCCCATGGAGGGGGTGGGAGGCTCAGGCATGGCTGGCTGCAGGTCCCGAGCCTTGCCCCTCGGGAAGGCAGCTAAGGTCGGGTGAGAAATCCAGCGCAGCGCAGTGAGCCGGCACTGCTGGGGGACCCAGTACACCCTCCGCAGCCGCTGGCCCGGGTGCTAAGCCCCTCATTGCAGGGGAGGGGGGGCCACCAAGTCCACGCCCACCCCGAACCCCAGCTGGCCTGCAAGCGTGTGCGGCGCCCGGTTCCCGCTCGCGCCTCTCCCTCCACACCTCCCTGCAAGCTGAGGGAGCTGGCTCTGGCCTTGGCCAGCCCAGAAAGGGGCTCCCACAGTGCAGTGGTGGGCTGAAGGGCTCCACAGTGCAGTGGTGGGCTGAAGGGCTCCTCAAGTGCTGCCAAATTGGGAGCCCAGGCAGAGGAGGCGCCAAGAGCGAGCGAGTGCTGTAAGGACTGCCAGCACGCTGTCACCTCTCACTGTCAGGTTAACAGTAGATTTATGAGCAGAAATCTCACAGGTCAGAAGAGAATACAAAGTGTGAAAGAAAAAAAGAAAAACCATGCCAGCCAGGGAAACTATACCAAGCAAAATTATTCTGCATAAATGAAGGAGAAATACTCTTTCCTAGAAAAGCAAATATTGAGGAAAATTTGTTAACACTAGGCATGTCCTATAAGAAATGCTCCAGGGATTAAAGCCTATAACAAGTTAACAAAAAAAAAAAATGCTCAACTGAGTACTAAACCTGGAAGTGAAAGGAGCACATTTACCATCATGAAAACACACAAAAGTATAAAATACACTGGTAAAGCAATCATACAAAAGAGGAAGAGAAAGGACTCAAACGGTACCAATCTAGAAATCCACCAAACCACAATGACAAACAAGGAAAAAATAAAGGAATGAAGAATATACAAACCACCAGAAAATAATTTATAATGTGACAGGAATAAAGCCTCACATGTCAATGATAATTTTGAATTTAAATAGATTAAATTCTACACTTATGAGATATAGAATGGCTAAATGGATAAAATTACATAATCCAATTATATGCTGCTTACAAAAATCTCACCTTACTGGTAAATACACATAAAGATAGAAACTAAAAGAATGTAAAAAGATAAGCCACACAAATGGAAACCAAATACTAGTAGGAGAAGGTATTCTTATATCCAGTAAAACAAACTTTTAGTCAAGAACACTAGAAAAAGACAAATAATATAATGATAATCAATCCAGCAAGAAGATATAACAATTTTGAAAATATGTGCATGCAACATTGGATCACCCAGATCCATAAAGCCAATATTACTAAATCAGAAGGGAGAGATTTAGTGCAATACAATAATAGTGAAAACTTCAACCCCTGACTCTCAGCATTAAATATATCATATAGCAAGAAAATCAACAAAGAAACAATAGCTTTACATCAGACTTTAGGCCAATGGGCCTAAGAGATGTTTACAGAACAGGTCACCTGACTGCTGCAGAATACAGGTTCTTTTCATTAGCACATGGAATATTCTCCATGGTAGACCATATATTAGACCACAAAACAAGTCTCAACAAATTAAAAATAATCAAAATTATATCAAGCATCTTCTCATGCCACGTTGGAATGAAACCAGAAATCAATACTAAGATAAGCTTTGGAAACTATACAAATACACGAAAATTAAAGAACATGCTCCTGAATGACCACTGGGTCAATGAATAAATTAACATGGAAATAAAAAAATTTCTTGAAATAACTGAAAATGGAAACAGAACATACCAAAACCTGTGGGGCACAGCAAAAGTAGTATTGAGGGAAGTTTATAGCAAGAAATGTCCAAATCAAAAGAGTAGAAATATTACAAATTAATCAAGCAACACAACACAGAGAACTAAAAAAGATCTAATTAAACCCCAAATTAGCAGAACAAAAATAATAGAGATTAAAGCAAAATAAAATCAAATAGAGGCTGCCCAAAATACAGAAGACCAATGAAATGAAAAATTGCTTCTTTGAAAAGATAAGCAAAATGGGTAAACCACTAGATAGACTAACCAGGAAAAGAAGAGAGAAGATTCAAAGAAACAAAATCAAAAATGAAAATGGAGACATTAAAATGAATATCACAAAAATACAAAAGATCATCAGAGATTATTATGAACATCTATATGCTGACAAACAGGAAAACCTAGAGGAAATAGAGAATTCCTGGAAATACACAGGCAACTGAGATTGAATCAGGAAGAAATAGTAAACCAGAGTAGATCAATAATGAGTAGTAGATTGAATCAGGAATAAAAGATCTTCCAACAAAGAAAAACTGAATTGCATGGATTCGCAGCTGAATTGTGCCAAATGTAAAAAGAAGAACTAAAACCAATTTCTGCCATTATTCCAAAAAATTGAAGAGGAGAGAATTCTCCCTAGTCATTCAATGAGGCCAGCATCTCCCTGATACCCAAACTAGAAAAGGATACAACAAAAAACAAAACTATAGACCAATATCTCTAATGAACATAGTCATAAAAATTCTCAAGAACAAAACTAGCAAACAAAACTCAATAGCACATCCAAAAGGTAATCAAAAGTGGGTAATAAATTCCACTGCTATCAAGTGGGATTTATATCAGAGATGCAAAGTTAGTTCAACATACACAACTGAATAAACATGATACAACATATCAACAAACTGAAAACCATACAATCATCCCAGTAGATACAGAGAAATCATATGATAAAATTCAACACTCTTTTATGATAGAAACTCTCTACAAACCAAGCATAGAAGGAACTACCCCAAAATAATAAAAGCCGTATATGACAAACTCACAGGTAACATCATATTGAATGAAGAAAAGTTGAAAACATTCCAAGAACTTGAACAAGACAATGATGCCCATTTTCACAACTCCTATTCAACGTAGTACTAGAGGCCCTAGCCAGAGAAAATCAGGCAAGGAAAAGAAGTAAAAGGTATTCAAAATGGAAAAGAGGAAGTCAAATTGTTTCTCTTTGCTCTTAATATGATCTTATATCTGGAAAAACTTAAAGACTCCACCAAGAAACTCATTAGTTTGGTAAATACATTCAGTAATAACGCAGGATACAAAATGAAGATATGAAATTAGTAGCATTTCTATGCACCAATAATGATTTAACCAAGAAAGAAATCAAGAAAGCCACCCCATTTACAATAGCTAGAAAAACAATGAAATACTTAACAAATAACTTTAGCCAAGAAGGTGAAAGATCTCTACAGTGAAAACTCTAAAACGCTAATGAAAGAAATTGTAGGTGACACAAACAAATTGAAAAATATCCTATTTTCACATATCAGAAGGATTAATATCCTTAAAATAACCATATTGCCCCAAATAATCTACAGATTCAATGCAATCTTTGTGAAAATACAAATGTCATTCTTTATAGTATCAGAGAAAACAATCCTAACATTCATATGGATCCAAAAAAGAGCCTAAATTGCTGAAGCAAGCCTGACTGGAGGCATCACATTATGTGACTTCAAAATGTATCACAAGGCTATCATAATGAAAAACAGCATGAAATTTTTATAAATATATAAACACAGACCAGTGGAGCTAATAAAAAAACTCAGAACTAAAGGCATATGTTAATAGCAAACTAATCTTCTACAAACCTGACAAGAACTTACATTGGGGAAAAGACACCCTATTCAATAAATGGTGCTGAGAAAATTGGATAGCCACATGTGGAAAAATAAAACTGGATCACTGTCTCTCATCTTATTAAAACAACTCAAGATGGGGATTAAAGACTTAAACATAAACCCCAAAACTATAAAAATACTAGAGAAAACTCTCCTGTACATTGGTTTAGGCAAATAATTTATCACTAAGACCTTAAATGCACAGGTGACAAAAATAAAAATAGACACATGGGACTATATTAAACTAAAGAGATTCTGCATAGAAAAAGAAATAACAAAGTGTAGAGACAATCTGTTAAATGGGAGAAAATATTTGCAATCTACTCATCTGGCAGGGGACTAATATCCAGAATATACAAGGAACTCAAACAACTCAACAGGCAAAAGAAAATAATCTCATGAAAAAGTGGGCAAAGAACATGAATAGACATTTTTCAAAAGAAGACATACAAATGGGTAACAGGATTTGAAAAAAAAGTTTAACATCACCAATCACCAGAAAAATGCAAATCAAAACCGCAGTGGACACAATCTTATCCCATTCAGAATTGCTATTATTAAGAAGTAAAACAAACAAATAAAAAACAGATGTTGACAAAGATATGGAGAAAAAGGAACTCTCATATACTGCTGGTGGGAATGTAAACTAGCACTCGAGCTATGAAAACAATATGAAGATTTCTCAAAAAATAACAATAGAATTACTGTTCGATCTAGAAATCCCACTATGGGTATCTACCCAGAGGAATAGAAACCAATATATCAAAGGGATACATGAACTTGCATGTTTCTTGCAGCATTATTCACAATAGCTAAGATATGGAATCAACCTAAACATCCATCAATGGATGAATGGATAAAGAAAATGTGATATGTATACACAAAATGGAATACTGTTTGGCCCTGAAAAAGAATGATATTATGTCATTTGCAGCAAGATGGATGGAACTGGAGATCATCCTAAGTGAAATAATTCAGGCACAAAAAGACAAATATCACATGTTATCACTTATATCACTTATATCACTAAAAAATTTGATCACATTGAGATGGAGAGGGGAAAGATTGATGAGAGACTAGGAAGGGTGAGCTGGAGGAAGAAGCAGGATAAAGGGAGGAGTTCTAAAGGGTGCAAACATAACAGTAAGATAGAAGAAACAAATTCAATGTTTGATGGCAGGGTAGAGTGCTTATACTTAACATTTTTGTAACAAAAATGCTATAAAAATGTTTTATATTCAGGTGATCAACACCCTAAATACAAAACCTGTGGGGGACAGCAAAAGTAGTGTTGAGAGAAGTTTATAGCAAGAAATGTCTAAATCAAAAGAGTAGAAATATTACAAATTAATCAAGCAACACAACACAAAGAACCAAAAGAGATCTAATTAAACCCTAAATTAGCAGAACAAAAATAATAGAGATTAAAGCAAAATAAAATCAAATAGAGGCTGCCCAAAATACAGAAGACCATACAAATGGCTAATATGATTTGAAAAAAATGCTCAATGTCACTAATCACCAGATAAATGCAAATCAAAACCGTAATGGACACAATCTTATCCCATTCAGAATGGCTATTATTAAAAAGTAAAACAAACAAATAAACAAAAACAGATGTTGACAAAGATATGGAAAAAAAGGAACTCTCATATACTGCTGGTGGGAATGTAAACTAGCACGCACACTATGAAAACAATATGAAGATTTCTCAAAAAATAAAAATAAAATTACTGTTTGACCTAGAAATCCCACTACTGGGTATCTACTCAGAGGAATAGAAACTAATATGTCAAAGGGATACCTGAACTTGCATGTTTATTGCAGCATTATTCACAATAGCTAAGATATGGAATCAACCTAAACATCCATCAATGGACTTGATTACTATGCATTCTATACATGTAACAAAATTTCACATGTACCTCATACATATGTAGAAACAAAAAATATGGTGGCTAGATTTACAATTCTAAAATAATCATCGCCCAATCAGTGTATCCCTCACCCAGGAAATAAACTTTTCGTGTCTGGATTAATCTCTTAGCTACATGGAACTTTATTCTAAAATAATTTTTATCTCATAGAAAGTTGCCTATCATCTTGATTCGGAAAACATAACAGCTTTCTCTCTTAATTTCTCTATCTAAATTTGCCTGAAATTAGTAAATGTTTGAAGTGAACCGTGCCAGAAATGTAGACTTATATATGTGTTCTTCTTTGAAAACATTGTTGAGGGCTGCTTAATTTTGAATTAGGGGTAGGGATTCTCAACTTTCCATTTAAAAGGTGATCATTTGGAATAAAAGAAAACTGTTTATTTGGTCCTCACCTTGGTCTTGTTTTAAGAAATAGTATAACTCTCTGTAGGTCTTTATTTGCTTATTCATAAAATAAGGCCACCTGGTACATTATCTTTATCTTACAAACAAATACAAACAAAAAAAAAAACCCTTTCATTTTTCTGAGAGTAGAAATACAGGCCCTATGAACATGTGGTATTTATGCTGCGGTAAAAAAGCCATGCAATGTTTTTACTGTCAAGATACTGGGTTAATCTCTAATAATCCAGTTGTTGCTTCTGATTGGGTGCCAAATGTTTTGTTAGAAATTGTAGAGGGATTACAGAAAGGAGATAAGAAATCTCTGAGATCTAGAGACCTGAACCACATTACCAACCAACTTGACCTAGTTGACATAAACCTTCAATCTAACAACAGCAGAAAGCATAATCTTTTCAATAGCACAAGGAACATCACCAAGAAAGTCTATATTCCGAGTCATTAAACAAACCTTAATATATTTAAAAGGATTGAAATCATATGAAGAATGTTCTGTCACCATAATACAATTAAGCAAGAACACAAAAATAGGAAATGTTCTGGAAAACTCCATATATTTGGAAATGCAAATAACCGCTGAGTCAAAGAAAATTAAAATAAAAACTGGAAAGTATTTTGAGTTAGAAGAAATTGAAAATACAACATATACAATTTGTGAGATGCAGTTAATGCAATGCACAGAGCACAAATTATAGCTTTAAATAATTAAAATTTTAAAAAGCAATGTGTAAAATTAATAAGCTAAGCTTCTACCTTAAATAACTGGAAAAAAGAAGAACATATTAAATCCAAAACAAGTGGAAAGAAAAAAATAACAACAGGGGAAATAAATGAGTTAAAGATGTAAAAAATTAGAAAAGAATTATTTAAATCAAAAGATAACTCTTTTGAAAAATCATTAATACAGTTACATCTCTATCCAGGCAAAAAAGAGAAGACACAAGTTACTAATATCAGGAATGAAAGGGAGGAGATTGTACTATTCATGCAGATTTCATAAATATGATAAAAGTAATAAAACAACTTTATGCTGGTAAGTTCAGCAACTTAGATTAAAGAAATTTATTAAAAGAAACAACCTAGAGTCACTCAAAAATATATAGATAATCTACATAACCTTATATATCTTTGAAAAACGTGAATTTATAATTGAAATACCTAACACAATGAAACTATATGTCCAGATGGCTTTATTGTTGAATTCTACTAAATGTATAAGAAGAAATAATGCTAATTCATCACAATGTTTTCCAAAACGATAGAAGCGTAAAGAAAATTAAGATGAGTCATAGACTTAAGGGTAATAGATGAAATTATAAACTTTCTAAAGGAAAACATAGAAAAATTCGAGTGACTGAGTTAAGCAAAGATTTTTTTAGATAGTACACAAAAAAATAAGAGCCATTAAAATTTGATCTTCAGAAAACACTATTGAGAAGCAGAAAATGCAGAGCAGGGATGGGGAGAAAATATTTGTAAAACATATATATCTCATAAAGGATTAGTGGCCGAGGAATATTCTTTAAAAAACTCCTATATCTCGATAACAGGAAAAACAATTCAATAACAAAAACAGAGCAAAATATTTGAATACACTTTTTATCAAAGAAGATATGTAAGTGGCTCATAAGTTCATGAAAAGATGCTCATCATCATTAGTCAAATGCTAATTGAAACCACAATGAGGCATTACTACACAACCGCTAGAATGCTTAAAATAATAATAATAAAAAAACCCTGAAAGTACTGTCTTAGTGCAGGCTGCTACAACAAATAATCAAATACTGGGTGGCTTACAAAATATAGAAATTTATCTCCCAGAGTTCTAGAGACTGGAATTTCCAGATCCGAGTAGCAGCCTAGTCAGGTTCTGGTGAGGGTCCTCTTCTTTGCTGCAGACTGCCATCTTCTTGTAGTATCTTCACATAGTGTAATACTACGTGAGAGGGGCTCTGGTGGTCCCCTTTATAAGGACACTAATCTTGTTAATGAGGGCTCCACTCTTACGACCTAATTCCCTCCCAAAGGCCCCAGCTCCTAACACCATCACATTGAAGGTTAGGATTTCAAAATACAAACTTTGGGAAGAGACAAAAATTCAGTCTATTGAAGCACCAAGTGTTGAAGAGGATGTGGAACAAAAGGAGCTTTTGTACATCACTGATAAAATTGCAAAACGGTACAGCTATTTTTGAAACAGTTTTGAAAACAGTTTGGTAGTATTTTACAAAGTTAAACATACCTAGTACGTTATTGATTGATTTATTGTAAATGTGAATACATGTAACCTAGTAATCTCATTCCTAGTTATTTACTTAAGAGAAATAAAGACAATTTTCTTCACAAAGACTTGTATGTGAATATTCTCAGCAGCCTTATTTATAAGAGCCCCAAACTGGGAGCAATCCAAATGTCCTTTGACTGGTGAATTCAGAAATAAATTGTGTCATAATCATACAATAGAGTACTTCTCAGCCATAAAAAGATGGGGGAAAAAACGCTATTAATATACTCAACAAAATGGATGACTAACAAGAGCATTATGCTAAGTGAAATAACTCAGACACAAGACTGCATAATGTATTTCTATACTGCAATGCATATTTTTATTTATATGAAATTATAAAAAAAGACATGTTATAGTGACAGAAGATTAGTGCTTGCCTGGGGTCATGGATGGGGGAAAGGTTTGAGTGCTAAGTGTGCATGGAAACTTTTGGAGTGATGAAATTGAAATATCTTGAATGTGGTGTTGGTTACATGACTGTATCCACTTGTGAAAATTTGATCTTTACATTTAAAATGAATGAATTTGAATTTTATGTATTATTGCTAGCAATTCAAAAGAGTAGTTGGACTCTCAAAGTTAGACAAAGATCCCTTTCTTCTGGGTGAATTCCGCCCGTCTACTTAATAAGCAGATGTGATTATTCAATATTTGGGTAGGTGCAAATTAAGATTGATTTACAATAAAAATGTATCTGAAGAAAATTAAAAGGTATTACCTGTGCAATATTTTGAAGAATTTTTCTTCTCCTTTGTGTTTAGTGAGTGTATGATATTCTACTTTATTGTCATATAATTTATTTAAAATATATCCTGTTGTTATATTTAGTGTAGTATTGTTTGAAATTTACTTTAAAATATTTTACGTAGCACATCGTATTTGTAAATTAATCTTGAATTTACAACATAGAGACAGCTGTTCACCAAGTCAATCATTCTATTAAGGAATACTTCCAGCAGCTGTTAGTTAGCATTTTTAAACACCCTATTGAGGAGCTCCCATTCAAGAGGAAGATTAGGAAATGGCAAGAACTTTAAATATTGCTACCTAAATCTATACTAGATAATACATTGTTCTGCATCAAAGATGCTTGAAATAATTTTTAATATGTGAAATCACAGGTATATCAAAGTCTGAAGTCTAAAGATATCTACTCATACTTGTGGGATGCTGTAGGAGAATTAGAGAAGCCCAGGAACCTAACATCCTTCAGAATACTGCCCAAGGCTTAGGATTATTTTAGTTCCATATTTTACTATATAACAGGCTCTGTCTTCTAACCTGACCAGAGTTTGACTGACTATCAAGGATACTATATTGTCATATCTGCCTGGAGAGAACCCTTTAAACAGAGAACATAATAGAAAATTTACATATATTGACTTAAACAAAATATGTGTCCATTTCCTTCCATGAAAAAGATACATTCAGAGAGGGGCAGTTTATAACTTGTAGGACAGCTTTATGACATTTTTAGGGCTCAGGTTTATGATATTTTATTTTCTGAGAGACTTAACATGTGAATTCCTTCTCATGGTTTAAAAGAGACCACTGGTGTTTTGGCCATCACATCCACATTTTAGTTAGGGAGGTAGAGAAGATAAATATTATTCCCCCACCGCCACCACTTTAAAGACATTTTCTGGGGCATATGACATTTTCACTTACATTCCACACTTACAAGACATCTTAGTTACATTCTAGCTGCAAAGGAGCTGGGGAGTATCTTTATTTAGGTTAATCATTTGCCCATTAAAAATTGAGGATTTCCTTTACTAAGAAAGATAATAAATGGGACATTTTAGGACCAACTAGAAATCTAAGCCCTGATACATTATAACACAGAGTTATTTTAAAAAAGAACTTTAAACAAATGCAAATTAGAATCGAATTTTCTTATCATTGGTAAATGTTATAAACAAAAACTTATAGAAAAGGCCATATTTATTAAAGATTCTTTATATACCTATCATTCAATATTAAGAACTAGACAAGAATGGTTATTATTTTACTATTAACTCTAATATACCATTGAAAATCCTATGAAATATTTGGAGACAAGAAAAACAAGTGAAATATAAAGATTTGAAGAGAAATTAAAATGTTCATTATTATAGGACAGTATCGTCATTTGAAAGTTGTCAAATACAAGTAGTGGATAAACTATTGGCACTAAAATAATTCAGTAAATTTGTTGGACACTAAATGAACAAACAAAAGTGAAGTGCATTTCTTTATGTAATTAACTATTAATAGAAAGTAAAATCCAATATGGATATTACAAAAAGTAGCAATACAAACTATAAATTATCTAGAGATTAATTTAATAAATATTTTTTAATCACTATTAAATAATTATTGTCATATAAAAATATCTTAAATGGAAAAAATGGTTCACATTTTTGGATGACTGAATTTAATGTTATAAAAAGACTGACTTCCCTAAATTTCAGGTGACCAGTGTATGTGTGTGCTTGTGTGTAGGTGCTACTTGAAAATGTTAAGCCTAATTTGAAAAAGAAGACATAGTGAGCAAAGTTACTCTGTAAGGTACAAAGGATACTGCAAAGAAATGGCAATATAAAAAATGGAACGTCAAGCAGTGAAGAGCATCAGGAATCTGTGCTTTATAGTATTCAATGACATCCCATTCTGGCGTGGCCAGGGGAAATATAGTGCTACCTAAATTCCTAAAATTTAACTTTATTCATAGAAAAATATTCTAAAGGAAATACTGAACTTTCAGAAGAAAAAACCTGAGATAATTTTGGAGTTGAATTTGTGGGTAAAATAGCAAATTTTTTTTCTTTTTTTTTTATTATACTTTAAGTTTTAGGGTACATATGCATAACGTGCAGGTTAGTTACATATGTATACATATGCCATGTTGGTGTGCTGCACCCATTAACTCCATTAACTCGTCATTTAACATTAGGTATATGTCCTAATGCTATCCTCCCCCTGCCCCCCACCCCACAACAGGCCCCAGTGTGTGATGTTCCCCTTACTGTGTCCATGTGTTCTCATTGTTCAATTCCCACCTATGAGTGAGAACGTGCAGTGTTTGGTTTTCTGTTCTTGCAATAGTTTCCTGAGAATGATGGTTTCCAGCTTCATCCATGTCCCTACAAGGGACATGAACTCATCATTTTTTATGGCTGCATGGTATTCCATGGTGTATATGTGCCACATTTTCTTAATCCAGTCTATCATTGTTGGACATTTGGCTTGGTTCCAAGTCTTTGCTATTCTGAATAGTGCCACAATAAACACACGTGTGCATGTGTCTTTATAGCAGCATGATTTATAATCCTTTGGATATATACCCAGTAATGGGATGGCTGGGTCAAATGGCATTTCTAGTTCTAGATCCCTGAGGAATCGCCACACTGACTTCCACAAGTTTACAGTCCCACCAACAGTGTAAAATGTTCCTATTTCTCCACATCCTCTCCAGCACCTGTTGTTTCCTGACTTTTTAATGATTACCATTCTAACTGGTGTGAGATGGTATCTCACTGTGGTTTGGATTGGCATTTCTCTGATGGCCAGTGATCATGAGCATTTTTTCATGTGTCTTTTGGCTGCATAAACGTCTTCTTTTGAGAAGTGTCTGTTCATATACTTCACCCACTTGTTGATGGGGTTTTTTTTGTTGTAAATTTGTTTGAGTTCATTGTCGATTCTGGATATTAGCCCTTTGTCAGATGAGTAGATTACAAAAATTTTCTCCCATTCTGTATGTTGCATGTTCAGTCTGACAGTAGTTTCTTTTGCTGTGCAGAAGCTCTTCAGTTTAATTAGATCCCATTTGTCAATTTTGGCTTTTGTTGCCATTGCTTTTGGTGTTTTAGACATGAAGTCCATCCCTGGGATGCAAGGCTTGTTCAACATATGCAAACCAATAAACGTAATCCAGCATATAAACAGAACCAATGACAAAAACCACATGATTATCTCAATAGATGCAGAAAAGGCCTTTGATAAAATTCAACAATGCTTCATGCTAAAAACTCTCAATAAATTAGGTATTGATGGGAGTATCTCAAAATAATAAGAGCTATCTATGACAAACCCACAGCCAATATCATACTGAATGGGAAAAACTGGAAGCCCATTCCCTTTGAAAACTGGCACAAGACGGGGATGCCCTCTCTCACCACTCCTATTCAACATAGTGTTGGAAGTTCTGGCCAGGGCAATCAGGCAGGAGAAGGAAATAAATGGTATTCAATTAGGAAAAGAGGAAGTCAAATTGTCCCTGTTTGCAGATGACATGATTGTATATCTAGAAACCCCATTGTCTCAGCCCAAAATCTCCTTAAGCTGATAGGCAACTTCAGCAAAGTCTCAGGATACAAAATCAATGTGCAAAAATCACAAGCATTCTTATACACCAATAACAGACAAACAGAGAGCCAAATCATGAGTGAACTCCCATTCACAATTGCTTCAAAGAGAATAAAATACCTAGGAATCCAACTTATAAGGGATGTGAAGGACCTCTTCAAGGAGAACTACAAACCACTGCTCAACGCAATAAAAGAGGATACAAACAAAAGGAAGAACATTCCATGCTCATGGGTGGGAAGAACGAATATCATGAAAATGGCCATATTGCCCAAGGTAATTTATAGATTCAATGCCATCCCCACCAAACTACCAATGACTTTCTTCACAGAATTGGAAAAAACTACTTTAAAGTTCATATGGAACCAAAAAAGAGCCCACAACACCAAGTCAATCGTAAGCCAAAAGAACAAAGCTGGAGGCATCACACTACCTGACTTCAAACTATACTACAAGGCTACAGTAACCAAAACAGCATGGTACTGGTACCAAAACAGAGATATAGACCAATGGAACAGAACAGAGCCCTCAGAAATAATGCCGCATATCTACAACCATCTGATCTTTGACAAACCTGACAAAAACAAGAAATGGGGAAACGATTCCCTATTTAATAAATGGTGCCGGGAAAATGGCTAGCCATATGGCCAGTTTCAGAAAGCTGAAACTGGATCCCTTCCTTACACCTTATACAAAAATTAATTCAAGATGGATTAAAGACTTAAATGTTAGACCTGAAACCATAAAAACCCTAGAAGAAAACCTAGGTAATACCATTCAGGACACAGGCATCGGCAAGGACTTCATGTCTAAAACACCAAAAGCAATGGCAACAAAAGCCAAAATTGACAAATGGGATCTAATTAAACAAAAGAGCTTCTGCACAGCAAAAGAAACTATCATCAGAGTGAACAGGGAACCTACAGAATGGGAGAAAATTTTCGCAATCTACTCATCTGACAAAGGGCTAATATCCAGAATCGACAATGAACTCAAACAAATTTACAACAAAAAAACAAACAACCCCATCAACAAGTGGGCAAAGGATATGAACAGACACTTCTCAAAAGAAGACGTTTATGCAGCCAAAAGACACATGAAAAAATGCTCATGGTCACTGGCCATCAGAGAAATGCCAATCAAAACCACAATGAGATACCATCTCACACCAGTTAGAATGGCAATCATTAAAAAGTCAGGAAACAACAGGTGCTGGAGAGGATGTGGAGAAATAGGAACACTTTTACACTGTTGGTGGGACTGTAAACTTGTGGAAGTCAGTGTGGTGATTCCTCAGGGATCTAGAACTAGAAATACCATTTGACCCAGCCATCCCATTACTGGGTATATACCCAAAGGATTATAAGTCATGCTGCTATAAAGACACATGCACACGTGTGTTTATTGCGGCACTATTCACAATAGCAAAGACTTGGAACCAAGCCAAATGTCCAAAAAATGATAGACTGGATTAAGAAAATGTGGCATATATGCACCATGGAATACTATGCAGCCATAAAAAATGATGAGTTCATGTCCCTTGTAGGGACATGGATGAAGCTGGAAACCATCATTCTCAGGAAACTATTGCAAGGACAGAAAACCAAACACTGCATGTTCTCACTCATAGGTGGGAATTGAACATTGAGAACACATGGACACAGGAAGGGGAACATCACACACTGGGGCCTGTTGTGGGGTAGGGGGCAGGGAAGGGATAGCATTAGGAGATATAACTAATGTTAAATGAGGAGTTAATGGGTGCAGCACACCAACATGGCACATGTATACATATGTAACTAACCTGCACGTTGTGCACATGTACCCTAAAACTTAAAGTGTAATTTTAAAAAAAGTAAAAATAAATAAGAATTTTCAAATGAAAAACAAAGAAACAAAAAACACCCACCATATCAAATATTAAAACTGACAAGTGTTCTAATATTTATATATTGGAATCATTGCAAATAATCAAATTTCATATTAAAATAAGTATTTTTATTAAAAATCTATTTTCTAAAAACAGAAAATATTGAGAAGAGATGCATTATTTTACACTTTTTTGAATCTGTTATAATATCTGGCTGAACAGAAGAAAGTTGGATTCCCTATTTGCTTCTGCATTCAATTTTTGAAATATGCTGTTTTAGTTGAAGTAAAGAAAATCCAGACTTCCACAGATGGGTAATTTGAAAGGGGAGGAGAATTTTAATAGTCTTTTTATATAGTTGTGGATATTTTTCTTTGATACTACACCATGATCTGAAAAATGATAAAGTTTTTCAAAGGATATTTTCCATGAGCATTCTGAAAACTTGTCAGTGAACTTTCTGTACTGCTACATTAAAATCCATCGGTCTATCTTGCACACTGAATGGATCTTTCTCCTATGTATAATTTTGTAAACATTATTAATTGGTCATTTGGAAAATATTGGTTCACTGTGTTATGTAGATCTTCCAAATGTTGATATATTTCTTTATACAGTATAAAAATCACATTAGTTAATATCACCAATTTTCCCAGAAAAGCCTTTAAATATTGAGACGCTATCAAGCTCACAGTACTAGATACAGGTTCTCTAAAAATCTAATTTTCACTTGATCCATTGCCAATTTTATCATTGGCAACGAATACTATTAGTTATTAGCCTTGAATAGACAGGCTCACTTTATTCATTTTTGAGAAATATAGTTTGTCAGTCACTCTTTCAAATAAAAATGGTGATTTATGAAAGATAAAAATAAACTAGTTCAGCACACCACTCAATCACCCAAGTGTTTTTCCACAACCGCTGTATTTCAGTATGTAACAGAAGTGTCTTATGAACACTTACTATTTGGGCACAAAAATCATTAAAAAGAGGTATACTTAAGAATCAAGAGGTAATAAAATTAATAATTTTTACTACAAAAAAATTTGAAAAAATTGCATGTGTAATAAATATGTACAGACTTTTTCTTGTCATCATTCTTTAAACAATTAGGTATAACAACTATTGACATAGTATTAAATATTATAAGTAATCTAGAGATAATTTAAAGTATACAGGAGTATGTGCATAGGTTTTATGCAACTACCATGCCATTTTATATTAGGTACCTGAGCATTCACAAATGTTGGTATCTGTAAGAGTTCTGGAACCAATCCCTATGGATACAGAGGGATGTCTGTAACAGAAAAATATGTAATAAAGGATGTTAGAGTCCCTTAGTTTCAAGGTACATAATTAGCTGTTGGGAGATAATTGTCCATGTGTCTCACTTTTCTGCTCATTGTGGGAGCACTCTGGAACCTTTGTTTCAGAATATTTTTTCCTTAGTGTTTCTGTGGTGACAGAGAGAGATAATTGTCTTTTTCTTTGAGGTGTGCTTATTGTCCATATAAAAGTTTCAACTTCCCTATGTCAAAGCAGATTTGTGCTAGACAATGTTAAATGGCCAAGCAAAATTGTATTTAAGTGCATTTCAATAGAGAAGCAAGACCAAAACTTGGTATGAACTAGGCAACTTCATCTAAACAAGGGGCAAGATGGTTTTTAAAGGTTGAGGTAAGCTAGTAGAGAAGTATATCACAGAGAAGTAATATCAAAAGGGAAAATAAGGCTTTGATATCTTTGTGACAGGAAGTAGAAGTTTTGTGACTTTAGTGAGGCATCCACTGAAGTTAGGCTTCTACTCTCCCATAGAAAGTGGGAGATAAGGGTACTGTCTTGTTTGAAGATTACATTTCAAAGAGATGGCTCTCAGGTCCTTAAGAAAAATATTTCTGGATTCTAAAATTAACAAAGGCTTTTAAAAAGATTTATATCACGGGGGGGCAGAGAAATAATTTACAATTACAAGTTTTCTAAAGTAAACCTTTTAAGAAAAAGGAGGGCAGGTGCCTGGAGTCAGGAAAAAGCCTGTCTAAAGTTCAGTCAAGCCTAAGGAAACATTAAGGCTGTTGTAGTCACTAAGCTCTGGGTTCCTGTCCTGTAATATACATCACTATATGTGCAGATGTTCCAGCCCTCTTCACATTTTTCTCTGGGAACTGATGCTCAGCACAAATTTTGATAGTCTGGCTACCACTATTACTGTGAGTAATAAGCTGTCGTCTGTCTTGAACCCAGGAGTCTTCTACTGGCATCCATGAAATTGAAGCAGACCTAACTTTGTAGGCTTGCAACAAGTGCAAAATCTCAGACTCTTTAAAGTTCTTCAAATTTGATTGTGTAAGTAAAAGTGAAGATTTTTGAAAGTTTTGTGGGCAGTTCATGTACATGAAGAAAGAACTCAGTAGCCAGGCCTTGTGAGGGAAACAGAACAACTCAACAACTCCAGAGTATCTTAGCTGTAGCATCTTGTTAGTCATCTACTTAGGGAATTATCACTGGATGATTTCCAGCCCTCTGTGTCTCTACTCAAGATTTTAAATCCTGGGTAAGAGAAAAGGATTTGCTCTGCTGGGGTCACAAGTCCAAACTTGTGGTCAAAATAATGATTTCCTGTAATTTGTTTCCCCAGTTGGTTTTCATGGAGTCAGGAAAAGAATGTTCCCTGAAAGAGGGATACTGACATAATGAAAATAGTAGATCTCCATTAAATTGTACTGCTGGGCTTTACAGCAATGTCCACGTGTTTGAATACACAGACATATCTCTTCCTTTATATAGTTCCCAAAATGTCCATTCTTAATCTAATAAAATATTATTAAATAAACACCTACTGTGTGTTAGCCACTTTTCTAGTCAAGGGATACATTAGTGAACAAAGGCACAGAATCCTGCCTTTAAGGAGTTTATATTCTAGTGCACAGAAAGAAAAAATTAAACAGGACAAATCAGTAAATTATGTCATATATTAGAGGTAATATGTACTATAGAAAAAAAGTGGATTGAGGTAAAAGAGTAGAGGTGTTAGGAGTGATGATTTTAAATAGGGTATTCAGGAAGGCTTCATTAAGAAGGGGACATTTAAGCCAAGACATGAAAGAGGTGAGCAAGTTAGCAGTTGCACACATAACTGGGAAAGAATACTCAGTTCAAAGGCTTGAAGCCTAGAGCATGCCTGGGGTTTTAGGGAGTCCGAGGAGACTGTGGTTCTAATGGAGAGATGGAGGGAGAGAGGAGGAGCAGATGGATTCAGAGAGTTATCTGTGGGGATAAAGGTGGCAGCAGAGTGACCAGCTAGGAGGCAGTTGCAGTAATCTATGATACTCCAAAGTTAGGAAAAAGATGTGAATAGAGAATGACTCTTGGATTAAGCATCATAAAATAAAATGAAATGTATTCACTGCTCCTAAAAGGAGACTACCTAAAGTCACAAATTAGCCATAGGAAGGACCTCTGGCTGATGTTCATGTGCTTTAGTCCTGTCATAGTACCATCTCAGAATTACACAGTCTTTGGACTAGGTGGAAAATTTAAGTACCACCATCATACTGTTAAATAACATGAATTTTTGAAGAAATTTAAAGAGAAAAATTTTAAAAACTGGAAATACCATTAGGGGTTATAATCCTCAGTTCTTCCATGGATTATGGTGATATAATTGCTGTTTACTTACGCTTAATCTACTCATTTGCTCTTGCCATTTTTTTAACTTCATTTAGCTTAGTAGTTGATTGGCATTTGGTGTAAATATTTATTCCAGACAACTCAGACTTCTTGGAGAAACTGCCTTGATGAGATTGTGGGTGTCTTCTTTTATCTCTAGGCAGGGTAGTGCAGTAAGGCCTACAAAAAGATTCTCAACATTCTATGTCTTCTTCTCATCTTAATAATATAATTGTAACCTAATTTCTATCTGATGCTCAGATAAGCCACCCTAAGTGACACCATATTCCTTTATTTTCTTGGTTGTTCAATAGCTTCGGAAACCTGAAATGACCAGTGGTCTCATTGATCCAATGACTGCTTTTGAGGAAGTGCTCTTTCTTTGGGCTCCAAATTCTGTAGGCCAATAAAGAATTGGGTTAGGGCAGAGAGAAATGGTTGAGAAGAAAATATTTTGAGTAAAATTAGACATTGATGGTTGAGAGTTGAACCCTCTACCTCACTCCTAGGGTTCCCAGAAGCCCACCATATATCAATTACTGTTTCATATTAAATGTTTCTTCCACAATTGATGGCATACTTCGGTTTCGAGATGTTTTATTGAAGTTAACAACATACTGAGTTCTCAATAGGTCATTTCAGCAAATGTAAGACAGAGTTGCACCAAACTGAAGAAAATACAAAATATCAGGGTTAATAAGTATTGTTGTCATCTAGCAGTGAGCAGTAGCCAGGTGAGCTTTTATGAGGCAAATAAATCTTGCCGAGTATATAGATAGCTTTCCCCACTGCCAACATAGCCTTTGTCCATCGTCCCATTAATCCACACTAGGTAGTCTGCGAAGAATGATGACTGATGATCTGAAAGTAGGTTACCGCATCTACTGGATTATTAAGATTGTTTGTGTTTTGGGGTCTTACTGATGAACATTTATATAGATACAATCATATTCAAGGATTATCCTTAGAGGTTTTTCTATCTATTTCTTCCCCCAAATATCCTTTTTCCATTGGTCTGACTTTTGTCCTAGGTTTGTCAGAATATGGCAAGACTAAAGCAACTTTCCAGGATTTGTTGTAAACCTCATCCTTGGATGTCTCTTCACACAGATAAAGTGAGAAAACACATGTTCTGCCTGGAGGGCTGCCCCCTGATGGTTCAGGTCCATCTCTGACTGACCACAGAGTCTACTTCTTCTTGGTATTGCTATATCAAGCAGAACTAGCTGGAAACCAGGCTTCGGAGTTTTCGTGCCGAGTCATACGTTCATGGAAAAACTCCCTTAAATGCCATAGTTTCAGACTGAAAGAAGAGTAGGAGTATGATTTTTAAAAAATATGCGTTCTGGGATTGGAAACTATATGTACATATCATATACTTGTGTATTTGGGTATTTTTTTTTTTTTACCTCAGTCACATATATACTTCTTCCAATTCATTAAAAGTTGCTGATTATACCCAGTTTTGTCGTTATACATGTCAAATATCTGATAATGTTGTCTGGTCACTTAGTTTCTACCCAGGACCAGTAAGTAGTAAGCCAGAAACTTTTTAAAAACATTTTTAAAATTTTTATTTCAGTAGTTTTTGGGGAACAGGTGGTGTTTGGTTACATGATTAAGTTCTTCAGTGGTGATTTCTGAGATTTTGGTGCACCCATCACAGGAGCAGCGTACACTGTACCCAGTGTGTAGTCTTTCATACCTCACCCCCTCCCAACCTTCCCTTCCAGTCCCAAAAGTCCATTGTATCATTATGCCTTTGCATCCTCATAGCTTAACTCCCACTGGTATGTGAGAACATGTGATGTTTGGTTTTCCATTCCTGAGTTACTTTACTTAGAATAATGGTCTCCAACTCCATCCAGGTTGCTGCAAATACCATTATTTTCTTTCTTTTTATGGCTAAGTAGTATCAGAAGCTTTTTCTTAAATAAAAATAAATACTTGCTAAAAGAGCCAGAATTTTAATCTGACATCAGTATTGTAGTATGAAAAATATTTTTCTTTATTATTCAGTTTCTTTTAGTTCTTTATTAGTTGCAAAAATAATTAACTATATAATACAAAGGGAATAATTTTAAAAAAATAAGCAAATTTAGTTTTTAAATAATAAAAAACTCAAAAGAACCATTTACATTTTGAACTTTTTGTTAAAACACCTATATTTATAATAAAATATTAATTATTTAACATTTATATTAATGTATGATTTTAGAAAAACAATGGGCAAAAAAATAAAAAATCTTACAATCTCTTCTTTCAAGAGAGCTTTTCTTTCTCCACGATAAAAATGTGATATTCACATCATTAAAAGTGAAAGAAAACTATGACTTCCTCTTTTGAGACATGAAATAGGTACTTTCCTAGGTTACTTAATGGAGACAGCAAACATAAATTGTTTTCCTTAAAATTAACACTCTATTGAGACCATCCTGGCTCACACAGTGAAACCCCGTCTCTACTAAAAATACAAAAAATTAGCCAGGTGTGGTGGTGGGCACCTGTAGTCCCAGCTACTCGGGAGGCTGAGGCAGGAGAATGGAGTGAACCCGGGAGGCGGAGCTTGCAGTGAGCGGAGATCGTGCCACTGCACTCCAGCCTGGGTGACAGAGAGAGACTCCGTCAAAAAAAAAAAAAAAAAAATATATATATATATATATATATATACACACACACATATATAAACGCTCTAGTTAAATGTAACATTTTATGGAACACTTCAAGTAATCTTCCTTTTCAAGCTTACATTTTCATTGTTTATTACTGAAAAGATAACAGCTGCTATGGAATACCCTGCTAGAGGAAGTATACTGTCAGTCCTAATTTCAAATTTTTTTTCTTTAATTTTTCCATTTTTCTAGTGAGAAAACCACCTTCAAATCACCAGAAGCAATTTTCACAGGTAGGTAGACACACTTGAAAAGGTATATAGGGGAGACCCTAAAGTTGCAAGTGTATATTTGCCTTACAAGTGATTTGTCCCATTGTTTTGGGGAAGAAAAAGGGTAATTAGATCTTTCAACTTTTTTCTTGTACATATTTAGTGGATACAGTGTAATGTTTTGATACATGTACACATAATGTTATGATCAGATTGTCTTCTGAGTGTTTGAAAGGAGCAGCTCTTGTGTAGTAGACACTTATCCCCATGGAGAAAAGAGTGATGGAAACTTGGGGTCTGAAGTGCTTACACAACAGAACAAATTCTGACTCAGTGTTCCTGAGGAAAGCTGGTGGTTCATACAGAATTGTGAATGGGAATTAAAGGGGGGCATAGTTGAAACCTGGAGAGAACAAGTGTGAGAGAGTCTTAATTTACCTGGGAGAAATTAATATCCCTCAAAGAACCATGCCTGTTGGGAAGCCCATTGTGATGAGTGAGAAAACCAGCACTGCCTGTCAGCCATGTAGGAACAATCCTACTGATGATACTGTGGATGGCAGGGGGGACAGCAGCACATAGTGAACCAGCTGTCTCTTGTCTTTGGTATGGAAACCACTCTGATTCCCCTTTTAAATGTGTAAATCCACAGGGTTTCCAAAAAATTCAGGATAGAACGCCTCGAGAAGGAAATAGTGAATTTCTTGCTAACAAGGCATCTGGGGGGTTGAGGAATAACTTGGACAAACAAGAGTTGTAACTGCATACACATCTTTCTTAAATTGTAGAACAGTTTATAAAATCATATGGACTTAGTTTTAAATGAAAACTAATAAACCATACACCCACAATATCAGCACACTTCCTTTTGCATGTTACATTTCTATTCTCATCTATAGAAAGATACTTTTTTACATAGTTAAAAATAAACAATAGAATCCTCACATCTGCCCAACAGGACCAGGTAATTGGTTGATTAATCCAAAGTCCGACAGAGTTGAAAATAAAAAAGATGACTCATATACTAAAATGTTTTATTTTAACTCGAACCACTTAAAATGCATATATTTGTGAGTATATTCATGTAAGGATAAAGCTTTTACTTTGAGTGTTAGACTACTTGATCAGAGTTCTTCAGAGTACCTCTAGCATAAGCCCACTCATAATGCATTACATTCATTTTGGTGAATTTAAATATAAGCAGCAACTTAGAGACACTTGCAAATCCAAATGAATAAGACTTCTAGAATTTTTGATTTTATTTTCTTCCTCATATTTAGTCTTTCCAAAATACTCACCTGGCTGTATTAAAAACAGATGATTTTTTTGCAATCATACTTTATTAGTTTACATAGTACAAAATTACATTTTCCAAGTAGAATAAATAGAATAATAAATACAACTGTTAGAAGTGGTTTTGAGCACAACCCCCAACCCCCACCCCAACTTGTAGGGGCAGAAATATGCAGGCACAATGGAAAGTAATCTGTTAAACATTAAGTGTTCATTGTGCCATGAAAATCAGTCAGGGTGCTTTACAGAGGGAAGAGAGCATGCTGTTTAGTTTGTTATATAAAAATATTTTGGCCAGGGGCGGTGGCTCACTCCTGTAATTCCAGCGCTTGGAGAGGGTGAGGCAGGCAGATCTCTTGAGGACAGGAGTTTGAAACCAGCCTAGCCAACATGGTGAAACCCCGTCTCTACAAAAAATACAAAAATTAGCCGGGCATGGTGGTGGGCGCCTGTGGTCCCAGCTACTCGGGAGGCTGAAGCTCGAGAATAGCTTGAATCCGGGAGGTGGAGGCTGCAGTGAGCCAAGATGGAGCCACTGCACTCCAGCCTGGGTGACGGGAGTGAAACCCTGTCTCAAAAGAAATTTACATGTAATTTTTACAGTCATACAAATAATGATATTTCAGCTTTTCATTTGTGAGATGTAACATAATTTTAACAAATCAGCACATTTTAATTCTAGTATGGATTAGTCTCTGGGCAGAACAAGGATCTCATTAACAGTAATTGACTTCCTCAACTAGAATCCAAGCACTGTGAGAATGAGATAGTTCACATATTTACTCAAAAAGAAATCTTAGTTGTCCAGATGAAAAAATTCAAGGCTTATCGGTTTTAATATTTTAAATAACATTTCTTAAACTATGTAGCTTGAAAATGATAGTTTAGATTTAAAATCAATCCTGATCAGTGTTTATAATTCAAATTATATTATTGTAATCAATAAAATGTTAGGTTCTTATAAATATTACACTATGATCATCATAGAGATTATGGCCATTTTTGCCTCTTCAGAGCACTGTGTTCTATTTGATCATCAAGCATGAGGATGTCATTATTGTTTATTTTTAGTCTATTATTAAATAAAATTACATGATCTGAAAGACTTAAACATATAGCTAAGTGAAAACAAAACAAGAACTATAAATAAAAATAATGTTTAACTTATGATTAACATAATAAAAATCTAGAATTATCAACAATTCTGATAATATCGACTAACATTTTTGTCACTGTAAAACCCAGTTTCTTAGTATTAATATCTTGTTCTCCATTTAAGGCCCAGTTTAAATTTTCTCTCCCTTCTTTTCATCCCACTTATTCTAAATCTTTTTCTCTTTCAGATGGAATAAATACTCATTCCTTTGATTCTCATAACTTTTATTTATATTCTTTTAACTGATCTGATTATCTTGCATTATCATATTTTTTTCAGTGTTCATCTTTTCACCTAACCAGTCCCAACCACCATAAACTATACATTTGTTCATTTTAATTTTTCCTCTTTGAATGGGACTTGGTACACAGATGAATGTATTACTAGATGAATGCCTGTGTCCCGGATAAAAATGCTTCCAGCCACTTCAGACTCTGTTCTGTCTCTCCAACTGGAAAAGCAATTCTTGTCCTTATATTTGTTTTGGTTGTGTCTTTCCTTGAAAAACTCTCATGCTTTTCTCTTTTTGCCAAGTGTGAATTCTTTTTTTTTAACTAGACATCGGACAATATAGAGTGTAGATTGACTTGCATTTTTTTTCTTTTTGGAATAGGAGAAAATAAAAAGGCAAGAGTAGTCTTAATCCTTGGAAACACTGTCTGAGACATGCATTAAAGGTCAGAAAATTTTATGCCTTTGATTTCTTCTGTGACTATCCTAGTTAATTTTATTATTATTTTTTGTTAGCTCATCTTGGTTGCCACAGGCATTCCAAGAACTCTTTTCAATGCAGTTTTTACCTCTTTGTTCCTCAGACTGTAGACAAGAGGATTAAGTAAGGGAGTAACCACTGTGTAGGTCACTGCCACCAACTGATCCTTGTCTGAGGCAGACTTGGACTTGGGCCGCAGATAGATGATAGAGGCACAGCCATAGTGGACAAAGACCACAGTGAGATGTGAGGCACAGGTGACAAAGGCCTTCTTGCCCTCAGCTGAGGGGATCTTCAGGATGGTGTTAACTATGAAGCCATAGGATATGAGAATTAACAGAAAAGGCACCATAATTACCAGGATGCTGAGGCTAAATAAAGCCAGCTCTTTCACATGGGTGTCAGTGCAGGCTAACTTGATAACAGGTGCCATGTCACAGAAATAGTGGTTAACCCTGTTGGGGCCACAAAAACGCATGTCACAAATGAGGTTGGTGGCCACCAAAGCAATAAAGAAACCTGTGGCTCCTGAGAGAGAAATCAACTCCAACCCCAGCCTTTTGTTTATGATGAGTGTGTACCTCAGAGGGTGACAAATTGCTACATAGCGATCATATCCCATCACAGCAATGAGGAGGCAGTTGGTGCAAGCAAAGCCAAGGAAAAAGAACAGCTGGGTGGCACAGGCCATGAAGGAGATGGTCTTGGTGTCTGAGAGCAGGTGGACCAGCAGCTGAGGGATGATGACAAAAGTGTAGCAGGACTCAGAAAATGAAAGGATGAATAGAAAGCCATACATGGGAGTGTGGAGAGTCCAGCTGAAGCGAATAACGGCCATGATGGTCACATTGGCCACCAGGATTGTCAAGTATAGGAGAAGAAAGATGACAAAAAGCAGCAGCTGGAGCTCCCCCAGGCTGGAGAAACCCACCAGGATGAACTGTGTAACCACAGTGGTTTTGTTGAAACCTCGCATCTGAAGAACTTCTTTCTGTGAATGTGTTTGAAAGAGACAAAATGATAACTATCTTTGTAATACGAACATTTTCCCAACGCCTTCACTTTAAGTATATTGTCAGATTCATAATGTTAACATCTCTTTCTCTTAGTCTATCTAGATATAGATGCCTCTTTAATGATTTTTCCAAAAAATTATTAATCTGAAGTAACAGAGAAATGATTATCTACAGTATATAAATACCCCAAAGTTAAAAGGATCCAACTATTTGACAAAGTGAAAAAATTCTCTCAGTTTAAGAAGAACATTACCTTTAATATGGAATAGAAAATTTAAATTATTTTTCTTGTACTGTATGTATTTGGTCCTTGGATGTATATTCTATCCTAGTAATTTGGTTTCTTTTCCTAATATCACAATCCATTTAATTAGCATTATTGTAAAGGCATTAAAACACTGTGCCTCAGAGCATGAACTCAGGAACAAGAATGCTAGAGTTTGAAACTTGCCTTTGCCACTTAGAGCTATGAACTTCAGTGTGACAATTTTTGTCATTTGTAAGACATAAATAATAATAGAACATATTATATAGGATTGTTGTAAGAACTTAGATGGTATCAGTAAAGTACTTGAAACAGCACTTAACACATAGTAACTCCAATCTATGTGTCAGCTGCTTATGCAGTTAAGGAGTTGAGAGGCAAATATCCTGGTTTGATATTTGAACACTAGAAGAGCCTGGATCCTTAAATCAGGACAGAGTTTCCCTGCATTTGACTCAAGTGTTCTTATCCTTGAGATTCTTTTTTTAAAATTGAGCAAAAATTTAAATATGCACAGTTAAAGAAAGAACTGTTACTTTTACATTAAAAATTATTTTCTTTTTAATTTATTTTTTATTAGCAACTAATAATTATACCTATTTATGGGGTATTATGTGATGTTTGGATACATGTATACATTGTGGGATGATTAAATCAGGGTTCTTTAATAAATCTGCCCTTTTTTATCTAAGGAGTCTATAGCCTTTGAATTCTCTTTCATGATTCTATGACATTTGTTCTGTATGTTTCTGGAACTGTGAAGGGACCCAAGTGTAAAACCTGGGTCACAAGGTTATGATGTATCTGTCTATGAAACAAAATAGATTGATGATCACTAGGGATAGGGGTGGAGCAGGAAGACTTAGGTTAAGTCTTCTCTCTATTGAAGAAAGGAGAGGAAATAACGTGAACACACCTTGAATCTCTTGCAAATAAAATAGCCAGAAAGTGCTAAATGGAAAGAGAAGAGCCTATCTCAGGAACTTCCCATTATTTTATAGTCTAGGTTATTCCTCCTCCCAGAGCCCTAATCATTTTTACTTTCAGAATCAGCTTCAGAGATTCAGGAGAAACCAGATGTAATATTTGCACAACTCAACATCTCCCAACTTGTTGGCTACTTTAATGGCTATAAGATGTTAGGAGTTGTTTGACATGACACACTTGAGTTTGTTCATTGTTCATCATCTCTGTTGTGGTTTATTTGCTTAGGTAGTTCCACACACCTGCTACAACAGCTTTTTCCTTTGTTTCAGACCTTGCGGAAAATAAGATGCTTTCATGTAAGCTACTTCATTTTGACTCTAACATCCTGGTAGATAGCAAAAGTGTCTGTCGCTATCTCACGGGTAAGGCAAGTGTACTAAGTGCCCTCTCCTGGGCAGAGTAACCCATGAACATCCTCATCCTTGCATTTAACATGTTGCATTGAACATACCTCTTTATATATTTGGCACTCTTTATAGATTATAAGCTTCTCACATGCAGGAATAACTTTTTTTAATTAAAAAATGAGTCCCTAGAATATAGCATAGTTTGTGATTTATCATGTGCTCAAATATTTTGACTTGATTAGAATGTCAAAAATTAAATAATATGCTCAAGTGGTAGATCCAGTATCAGAATTCAAGTCTTCTAACTTCAAATCCACTTTCTACTTACCAAATTTTATGGCACCCATTCTTTACCTTGTGAGAAGATGATCTGCTCATATACTTTTTCCAAGGGATGAAAGCATAGTTCCACACTGCTTGTTCAAGTAAAACTTATTTGAACATTTCTGACTTTTCTGGAATAATCCAATTTTAATTATCCAAGTTTTTGAATTATCAAATTTTACAATATGAGCTTTATTCTCTTTAATCTTAATATTAGGGAGATAAGAAAAAAAGGAAAAAGGGGTAGGAAAGTAGGCAAATCAACGATATGATTGATGAAAACACTCAAAGGCAAGGAAGGTCAAGAGGATGTTGCTTAATTTCAATCACAGTTTTATGAACCAAACAAATTGCAATGTCTCCCTAAATCATTAGCTTCTTTTTCTGTGACTTTCATGAGAATTTTGTTAAATAAAAAATATCCTCTAATCTTGTCCTCAACACTAGTACTGCTTCTATATCTTTTTTCAGGTTGCTTCATATACTTGTTTTGCCCATTGTTTTTCATATTCAAATCCCTGTCATGTCCCATGTTCTCCAATAAACCTTCCCTGCCTACTAGAGTCCATACAGATGCTCATTCTCTTCATAGCCCTTAGGGACTTTAAAATCATGCATGTATGGGAACAGGTTAGGTAATATCTTGTATTACTTTATAACCAATTTGCCTATGTGGATGCCTCATAACCTTACTTACATTCTTTCTTTGAGGCAGGGGGCATAGCAACGTATTCTAAACAATCCGCAGCAGCTGCAAACAATACTGGGCACACAACAGACACTAATTAAATACTTAATAAATTATGGCATGGTTTATTTCATTCTTCTTTTGTTTATGAGTTTTCTCATCTGCTATTTTTTTCTGGAATATATTCTTTGTTCTACTATAATCCGTATTATTTTTAAATTTTTATTTTTTTTCAAAATCATCTTTTACTTTAAAAGGAGAAATCTACACTGCTGAGTTTTCCTGCCTTTCTAGTTACTTCTGTTGCTTGACATCTCAGCATTTAAATTTGATATATTAAGATGGGGTGGGTGTATATGTGTGTGTGTGTATATGTGTCTGTATCTGTGTGTGTGCACTCTAGCAGAGTGGAAGCTTTTTCATTTCAAGAAAAGAGCAAATAAAGTTTTACTTTGGCTCAGAATCCTTTTTATAACAATAAAAACTGCTAATGAATTCACACCTGAATTTTTGGTAGAAAATATTTCTTTCTTTAGATAGTAACTGACAAAGAAAATAGACTTACCTACTTATGTTCAAAAGATCAAGGAAGCTGCCATATGACTTTGTTGACTTATACTCTGGTAGGTCTTTTAAATATTGAAAGAGGCAGCAGAAAGTCAGTTGTAAAATCAATGACATCTGTCCCAGAAGATTAAATAATTGGAAGAAAATGCACTGAAGCATTTCATAAAGGGCTTATATGGAGACTTAGTTGTCCAAACCTTTTTAAGTCTTAAATAAGAGCTGAAAATAGTCTGGTTTATATTAATATGTCAATTCAGATTCTATATAATTGTATTTGAGAGTATTTATAGCCTTCTGGGATTCTAAGGAGTAAGGCCTTCTGAGACTTAGTAAGAGCTAAAACAAGAGAGGAAATAAATGACTAACCTTGAACAAGGACATATTATTTAATACCAGAAGAAAAAAATTCAAATGGCAATAAAACATTCCATCTCTGCAAAGAACTACAAGTGTAGATAAGTATTCTAGTGATTTTCTGACATCAAGACTACAAAATGTTGAAATGCCAGGAGAAGCCAAATTCTCCAACCAGGAGATATACAATAAAACTGCCTTGATAAGGCCTAAGAGATGAAGGCAGGGGTTGGTGAGTGCTGGTTGCTTGGCACTTTTGGGAATTACCTAAGTAGTCTCTGTTCTCCTAAATCAAAACCTGGAAAAAATTCAAATAACTGGATTTCTTAATTCTGTCCTAGGAATTATTGTAAGGAAATGACTTTCATCGAGGAACCATTCATTGAGTACCATGATTTAGAGAGCAGGATATGAGACATTATAGTGATACAAAGATAAAATGTATGAATTGATCTGCTCTAGTAGAGAAGACAGATGTAAGCAGAGCTATGTGTAATAAGAGGTAAAATGATGTTCAGTGTTATTGTGACATTAACAACAGGGCAGCTACAAGGATGAGCACCCCCAGCAGGGATTGCCTTGACCACAGCCAGGGCCGAGATTCAGCAAATGACTTCATGAATAAAAACATTCTGGAATAATAAGCCAAGTAGAAATATAAGAATTAGGAATAAAAAGTCAATACTGAATGTTTTGTGCCTAGGACACTCAAAGGAAAAAGGAGTGAGGAGGAAGACTGAGAACTATTTCTTGTAGTGGCTTGGCTGGTCACATGAGAAAACTTTCTGAAAACAAAATTGCTGGGAAAAATTTTAAAAAATTTTAGAAACCTATTGACAAGTTGAAGGTATAGTAGGAATTTTTAGGCCAAAATCTGAAGAAAATAAAATCCACAGAGGAACACTGGAAATTGCTTCTATTCTGAGGACATTTATTTACCTGTATGAAATTACAAACTCAAGCTGTTGATTTGAGAGAATCACAGGATGAGGCTGACAGAAATTAAAGACCAGAATCTAACAAATGGGGGAGTCAAAAATTAGATATTAAAGAGATTTTCTAGTTCCCATATTTGATGCTTTGACATCTGGACCTTCCTGACCAGGAAAAAAGCAGCCCTCCTAGGGTTAGCAGATTCATAGAGATAGAAAATGAATTTAATTTCATGTGCAGTCAAACACATCCAGAAGTCATACCCACAATTGCCTATTTTTGCATGCTCTTGGACTGAGGGACACTACTTCCTTTTCCTAATCCCCCTGGGGCCAGGTGTCAGACAACTAAGGATAGTCCTGGAACCCAGTGAAACTGTTTAAACTATCCAATTCTAAACCTGCTCAAAACCACTTACCCTGCTTTGCCTCAAAACCACTCTGAAGACTCTCCAAAACTTCCCTTTGCTTTCTGCCTACAACTGAACTTTGTGCTCTGGTGTTCTCCCCATGGCACTTCATGTGTGGCGTGATATGCCACCTTCCCACTCAGGCACTCAGGAACTCTAAGTAATCAACTATCTTTCAATGGCAGTCATCTCTCTATCTGCTGGTCTTACCCTATCTGAATAAAAATAAAGTCAACATTTTAAAACATATTGAAGGAGAGGAACAAAGTTGAAGAACTGACACTATCTGACCTCAAGACTTACTGCAAAGCTACAGTAATCAAGACAGTGTGGTATTGGTGAAAGAACAGATAAATAGAAAAATAAATGGGCTATCAAGCCATGAAAAGTCATTGAGGAACCTTAAATGTGTATTGCTAAGTGGAAAAGAGCTGTCTGAAAAGCCTATATACTATGTGGTCCCAACTACATGACATTCTGGAAAAAGCAACACTATTGAAATAATAAAATGACCACTGGTGTTTTCCAAGGATTCAGAGAAGGAGGGGAGGGAAAAATAAATGGGGCCCAAGGCATTTTTAGGACAGTGAAACTATTCTGTATAATACTCTAATTGTGACTATGACATTTTGCAGTTCTGAAAATATGTAGCATGAACCCAAATGTAAAATATATGGACTTAGGTTAATAATAATGTGTCAACATTGGTTTAATAAATAAAAAATGTACAGCAATAATTCAGAATGTTAATAATAAGAAAAACTGTGCAGGAGAGGGAGGCCACAACGGAATTTGATATTTTCTGTGTATTTTTTCTGTGAACCTAAATATGCTCTAAAAATAAAGTCTACTGAAGAAAAACAAAAAGAAAATAAGATTCTCATAGACATGATATGTAGAGATACAGGCCAAGCACAGTATGATTCAATTTATATAATGATCAAGGAAAGGTCACAATGATGGTGGTGGAAGTCAGGATAGAAGTTATATTTATAAATGCAATACCTGAGAGGCAGTACAATGGAACCCTACAGTGTTCTCATAATATTTAATTTATTTATTAGATATGTTCAATTTGTAACACTTTCATCAAGCTAAACCCTTATGATTTACGTCCCATTTAGTGTATATATTATGTTTTAAGATATTTACTTTAGTTAAAGTATACTAATTAGAGTTTCTCTTTGGGGAATAGTGAGCTAGAAATTTTTAGTCAGCCCACAGACTAGTAATCACTAGAAAAACTACAAAAATATTGGAAAAAAATCAGATCGAAGGCATCAGACTTTAACAAAGAATTAGTATTCAGGAAAAGCAACTAACCTGTGATGTTGTCCTGGTATTTGGGAGTAATTAGCTCCCAAGGAGAATCTGACAATTCCGGAAGATATTACCAAAAAGTCAAGAAGTTGAGACACACCGAGGTAAAGAGCAAATATATAGATCATGAACCACTGAGGAGTGATGGGGCTGGTGAACTTCCTGAACTTTGAATTGACATTTAAAAGGGAATATAATAGGAACAAGATTAAACAAGAAAAAAATCAACTTTCACAGGAGCCAAATTCAGTTTCAAACAGCCTTAAACCCTGGTAAACTTGAGCCAAGACTCCATTTAATACTCTAGCTCCATAAGTCCCTACTCTGAAAAGTAGATCATAGCAGCATTTTGGGTCTCTTGGGATCTGAACAGGTTAATAGACAGTATATCTTATGATCCCTAGAAGGCCTGGGTATTTTTCTTTATCCAGTACACAGATACCTTAGTAGATGGCAAAGTTCTCTAGGGAAATATTGGAACAAGATTCTCAGGATATAATTGTGGCCATGCTGTTGTGTCTTTCCTCAAAATTCCCCATCTACCCTCACAATCAAGGGGTTTTGGGTTTGGGAATTGGTGTTGAATTGGCAATTGGGTGCAAAGACATGAATTAAAACACTATAACTTACTTTTATCTGTTTGTCAGACATGAAATAAATGTCAAACATCACTTTAGTTGTCTGCTCATCTGCTTCATTGCTAGAAATCCCTTATCCATTAGCCATTTCTACAGATCTCTGCAGGACAAAACTCCTCTCATTACTCTGAACTTCAGGTTTATATTGGTTATTTTCCATATCTTCTCCCTGACAGTTTCATGTAACTTCCTGCCTTCCATCCTCTGGAATACTATTATTCTTATTGATAGCAGTGAGCTCAATTTCTCTGTAGCATCATCACCGTCATCTCTAGTTTACTAATGACAATTTCTTTAGAACACTTCAAAGATGTTTATATTCTCATCACCAATGCATTTATTGATGCATTTATTAATGCATTGGTAGGTGGTTATTTTCCAGGTCCTCTGTGTAACAGTGGTTAGGGATTAGCCAAGGAGGCTGTCCAAATAATTCATTCCAACACATCTATTTCTCTGAATCTTTGAATTAATTCCTTTACAATGAGTTAAAAGATGTGACATTTCCAACTTATTAACCATAGATCAATGTTTAGTTTAGGTTTTGTTTAGTCTATTAGCTAGCAAAATATTAATGCCACTTTTGCATGCATGAGCCAATATATTAAATTCTGAAGCCCAAGGGAATACTCCCATAGCAATGAGTTTGACTGAATTCCAATTTATGTTTCCTCTCCCTTGGCTAAAGTCTTTACAATTCTTTCCTAAATATACCCTCCTAACTCCCACAGATACAAATTGGAAGGCATTTTATTATTATTATTAATTATTATTATTTTTGCAGTTTATCTGTTCTCAGAGCCAACCTTGTACCTCTTTATCTGATTATACTGTGATCCAGTTCCTGTTGTAGGCCTAGAAACAAAGTTAAGTGATGGGGCAATTATTTCAGGTGCAATCCCTGAGTCTTTTATGTTGAGTATGGTTGATTACCTTAGATGTGGTGTGTGCGCCTGTGTGTGTGTCGGGGGACGGGGGCGGTAAGGGTAATTTAAAGGAAATGGGTCATCAAGATCTCAGCCTCACATGGATCTGCTGAAAAATGTCCATTTCATGTCTCAAAGTCTTACTTCTTATTGAGCAGAAGAGCGCTGGTCAGGCTGATATTTGACAGCTAAATGTATAATCAGTTTGTGTGCTTCATCCTTAGCCATGGCTGCCCTAAACCCCTGGATGATCCTTCACATCTGTCATAAAAACATTTTGATTTTTTCATACATCTTTTAAAATGCTTATTACTTATAATTTCCCTTTCGTCTATGCTTACTCTCTATGATAGTAAAGAAAAGCCAGAAGCTTAATAAATCTCTGAAATCTCTGTTATTGCCAACAACCACATGATCACCCAATGTCTTGCCCTCCCTCTGTAATTCATCCTATGCTATTACTGGTGTTTATTTGTTAATTAAAATGGTATTAGGTCAGGAGTTTGAGACCAACCTGGCCAACATGACGAAACCTCATCTCTACTAAAAACACAAAAAAATTAGCTGGGCGTGGTGGTGTGTGCTTGTGGTCCGAGCTACTCGGGAGGCTGAGGCAGGAGAATCGCTTGAACCTGGGAGACGGAAGTTGCAGTGAGGGGAGATCATGCCACTGCACTCCAGCCTGGGTGACAGAGCAAGACTCCGTCTCAAAAAAAAAAAAAAAAAAAAAGTATTAAATGCTGGGATGAATTCATCCTTTTTTACCCCAACACTGAAGTTATTTGTGTACTCATTAGATATACAAGCAACCCAATCCAAGAATCCCATTTTCAGGAATTTTTTTCTTAAGTTACTCTTGCTCCTAATCACTGTTTCAGCCAAGGTCCACTAGAAAATAAATAGCACATCAAAATAAAGGAAATTCAAGAGATAGGAAAATACCATAGACAATGGAATAATCTGGGATTAGCAGCATCCCAGTTTTTGTGTCTTCTATTTTATACCCTGTTACTGTGATCCATATAGATCAGTCTTCTGAGAAAGAAAGCTGGGTGAAGAATGGTAGAGAGTAGATCTGGAGTGAATGTGTACATACTGAACATTAGCATAATATTGACTAAAAATTCTGACAAAAGTAGTACAACAAAAGAAAATTTCAAGCCAATCTCTTGACCATGGGTGCTGTGAAAATTAAGCAGAAGCTTTAAGAACTATGGCACAGCTCTACCATCCTGTTTTTTCTCCCTTAGTGAGAACAGCATGCTATTCTCTTAAGGGCTGTTTCTTCAGTCTTAATCACAGAATAAAAAAAAAGAAGAACTGTTTGAGGGTTGATACCCACACACAACTTGTTTAAGAAACAGAGCTTTGTGGTTCTAAGCCATTTAGGGTTTAGCATTATTTGCTATTGGAGAATAACCTAACAAAGGCTGACTAATAGAGATGTAAAAATTAAATAACTAAAGGCTTACAAAACCCCAAGGAATGTGGTATAGATGTATTAAAATGCGATATACTAGGTTTTATAATAAAATTACCAATGATAGAGGGGTTCGGTTTATAATGCATGAATTTTAATTCTTTAGGAAGCCACCAGTATATATATACACACACACTCAGAACTAAAGAAAGAAATGCAAAAATCTAGAATCATTTGGGAGGTTTAACAAATCTTTTAAAATAATACCATTATCTATACATACATAATATATTTATGGCTGTATATTTCCTTCTAAGTACTATTTTAGTTAAATATCACAAGTTTTCATGTACAATATTTAAAAATATTTTCTTGTGAAAATATGATTTCTTTTTAAGCTATTATTTACAAGTGTGCTTTCTAAGTTTTAAACATATGGGGATTTTCTTTTTTTCTTTTTTTATTATACTTTAAGTTCTGGGGTACATGTGCAGAACATGCAGTTTTTTTACATAGCTATACACGTGCCATGGTGGTTTGCTGCACCCATCAACCCGTAACCTACATTAGGTATTTCTCCTAATGCTATCCCTCTCCTAGCCCCTCACCCCCAAACAGGCCCCAGTGTGTGATGTTCTCCTCCCTGTGTTCATGTGTTCTCATTGTTCAACTCCCACTTATGAATGAGAACATGCGGTGTTTGGTTTCCTGTTCTTGTGTTAGTTTGCTGAGAATGATGGTTTCCAGCTTCATCCATGTCCCTGCAAAGGACATGAACTCATCCTTTCTTATGGTTGCATAGTATTCCATGGTTTATACAAACATATGGGGATTTTCTAGTAATATATTCTACTCATTTTGTATGCAATAAATATTTATTGCCTGTTATGTACCAGGCACCCTTCCAGCTCTAGACATGCATCAGTGAGCAAAATGAATAAATATCCCCATAAATATATTTATAGCTACATATTTCTAAGTACTTCCTTTTCAACATAGAAAGGAAGAAAGACCAAAAGCTGCATGTAGAGCCTTAAAGTTATATAGGACTTGAATAGTTAAAATAGGAAACAAATTTACCATACAGATACCAACAAAACCAAAAATTTGTTCTTTTTAAAAAACTGATAAAATTGACAAATCTCTAGTGAGACTGATTAGTGAAACAAAAGCCCAATATACATTATCAGAAATGATAAAAGAGCTATAACTACCGATGCTGCAGAGAATAACAAGGTAATAAGGACATACTGTAAAGGTTATTATATATAGCTATGTATAATTTAGATGAAAATAAATGAAATGTTAATAAAATAAACAATAGCATGATTTATTCTGGAAGAAATTGGGGACTTATACAAACATTTAACAACTGAATTATTTGTAAACTTTTCAATAAAGAAATATCCAGTCCCCAATGGCTTCAACAAAGATTATAAAATTTCAGTGATTCAGAAATATTTCAGAGAATATACAAGAAAAATCCCAAGTCGTTTTATGAGGCCAGAAAACCTTGATTTTAAACCTTAATGGGAATTGTTAAGAGAGATAAAAATTTCATACCAATATTCATTCATAAGTACATACAAAATACACACACACACACATATGGCATATCTAAATTGTCTCAGTCTGAGTAAGTGTGGGTGTGTGTGAGTGCACCTTGTGATGGAATGGTGTTCTGCTCAGGCTTGGCTCCTGCTTTGTGCTTCGGCCTTCCAGAACCCTGAACTGAAATAAACGAGTTGGAAAATGAATGAAAAATACAAATTATTTCAACATAAAAATTTGTAAATATACAATAATGATACAAATGCATGACAATAAATGATGTGATCTGAAAGTGTTCAGCAAGCCTGCCATATTTGTGATTGTTTTGAACTGCCTTGTGGTAGGAGGTGCTCTTTACAATGTTCTCTTGGCAAGCATTTATTCCTTAATTTAACCTCCACTACTATGATCACCATTACTTACTGATTCACCTAAAATTGGGTAAATAATAATCATGGTTTTATTAATCTTTTGCAAATGTATGGATAGCTTAAATTTATTACAATATTTATTGTAATATTATTATTATAGTAAGTGAGGACTTACTGTACAAAGGTGATTTGGGAGGGTTCATTAATTTCACCATTATCCTGTTCTGTCTTTTTTACTCCCTCTTCCACTTTAGCTATCTTTCTTTTGCTGTTAAGTAGCAAGCCCCCCATGGACACTCTAGGGTTGGGGAGGCATTGTGAATAACCCTGGCCATCACTTGTTGACCTAATATGTGTAAGGAAATTACTTAAAACTTTACACAAATTGTCTTATTCAATCTTCATGATCAGAAAATAAAAGAAAAATCTTATGTCAATTGTGAGGTAATAAATGGTATGTGTGAAAGTCAGGATAGAAGTCCTGGGTTCCCCCTTACAGTGTCAATGGGAGCAATGGAATTCTTGATCTAGACAGCCCTCACATGAGGACCTACAAGACTTCCCGCTGGGCAGGGTTTGCAATACTTGCCCAGATCATGGGTTGAATGATATATCAGGGAAGTTTATAAGTTTTGTCTGGGCATAGAACCAAGTGGCCTAAGTACTAATCTTGCCTGCCACCAAGCAGCTGTGTGGGACATTGGACAAGCTATATTACCTCTCTAGCCTTGGTTTTCTTCTCTGTGAAATAGAGATTACATAAAGACATTTGACATCTTTGAGATTCTAAAACACTCCTGGATAAGATATCTGACTAGCTAGTCTATGCTTGGGGAGAAATAGAAGAAAAGGTTGACTCCAAGGAATGGCTACAGGGAAAGACCAAGTGGATTTACCTAGCTAGGGAGTTGAGAGATGATACAAAATTATCCTGCCTCCTGCATACTTTGCCTGGATCTGGGCACTAGCATACGACCAATTTCCATACGACAGACCCTGAGACCTTCTGGGCTGTAAAAAGCCTTATAACCATCTGATGCTACTTTTGCTAGCCTTTAGAGGTTTGTTCATCAGAATCTGCCAATTTCTGCACAGGAGAACACAGGGAAAATAGAAATAGAGTGGCTAACTGGTTATGCGGAACTAGTGTCCTATATTTGATCAGCACTAATATTATTGGCTTTTCAATTTCTTTATTTTATATGTGGGCATATTCTTAACTTTTGGGAATATTCAAGATAGTGAAGATTGCTGAGAAAGTAACGTTTTTGGTTTTTCTCTTTCAGTTCCTTCAAGTTCAATGCATCATAGCAATTAGGAAGTATTAGCATTGGTTTCTAGTAAGGGTTAGGATATATTACTGCAGGTTAGAGATGTTCTGTAAGCAAAACACCCTGAGCCAATAGGGAGAAAGAACTGACTCAAGGTCAGCATGAAACAGGGACAGAGAAAAGTTTAACAATCTGGACCAAGGTCCAAACAAGTAAATAAAAAATGCAGTAAATCCTGACACAGGTATCAAAACAAAGAAACAGCCAAGCCAGAGGCAAATGCATCATTTTGTTATGCAGAATGAAGTGAAATGGGTAAGAATATAACTTTAACATTTGTGTTATACTTAATATAAGAACCAAATAAATGAGACAAGAAAAAGTCCTTTGCTGTAGGAAAAGGGCATTGGCATTCATTCACTGCAGATTTAGCTTCGGAAACTATAAAATGGGAGACAGAAGATCAAGCACTCATGTAGGAGGAGGAGTCAGTGCCCAGTCAGTACCAAGTGAAGTGTGCCTGGGAACAACATGGCCATAAACAGCACTACGCAGTTTAAACTGTGTTATCAAGAAAAGCATCAGGTTTCCCAGCTGGTGACAGACTCCGAAATCCATTCACTTTACTCTTAGGGTGCATAATGCCGTCCCCATTAATGACTACAAAAATAAAACATTTAAAATAAATAAATATATTAAGAAGACAATAAACTTTTATCTGTACTCTTACCACCCAGATATCAATCACTTCTATTAACATGTTCACATATGTTTCTGACTTTTCTATGTGCACAATGTGGAGAAAAGTGTTTTATGGCAGGCCTGAACTGCTGCTATTCTTAGGAAAGCCTGCTTGCAAGATTGGCCTTTGGCTAGCATCTGAAAACTTGGCTGGCAAACAGTTCCTTACACAAATCTTTCCCTAATTGATAAGGTGGCTCACTGTCCCTCTCTGTTTGTACAAAGAATGCAGAATTTTGGTACATGCTAGGCAGAGGTTGCCAATGTGGCCAATTCTGAATGAAGTCCTCGGACACTGCGTTTCTAGTGGGTTTTCCTGGGTAGAAACATAACCTAGAGGTTGCTGCATTTTTGTTGATGGGGAAGGATGCACTATGACTCTTATGGGGAGAGGTAGCATGAGAAGTCTGCACATAGATTCCTGCAGACACTGCCTGTGTCTTATGATTTGACTGTGTGGTGAATTCTCATTAAGCTCCTGTAATCAATGTTAGCTGTGAAGACAACCCTATTGTGAGTCTTGAGTCCTGGTAGTAAAGATTTGAATGTGGGGTTGGTCTTGGGAACTCCCCAACAAAACAAACACATGTAATATTTTTAAAAGAAGAGATCGTATTATCTGCACCTTTTTCTACCTTTTTATATAGAATACATAGAAAATATGTTTCTACATCAATAAATATAGACCTATAATAATATTATAAATTATTGCATAGCATTATAGTTAGTCTTGGACTTTTAAGTTTTGCACATTTTACCACACTGTGACTTAAAAAAAAACCTTGAGATATAGCAACACTTAATCCTCATTCATTATTACTTATGAGGAAATTTAAAAAATAGTAATTCTGGGTCTACATACATTTTTATGATTTTTGATACATATTGTAAACTGGCCTTTAGAAAGCATGAGCCAGTGTCCACATAAAGATAATGTGTAATCAAAAGTCTCATTTCCCATTTCCAGAATGATAAAATCATTAATTTAAAAAAATTTGATTGATGCAGCAGAGTGATAATTCTTTGTTTTAAATTGCATTACTTCAATTGTTTACACAATTGGACATTTTTCAAAATTCTTCTAAAAATTGACTATGATTTCTTCTTTTAGAAATGCTTATTTATTTATATTTTTCATTTAAAAATTATTTGGCTTTACTTTTATGATATTTACATTTCTACAATTAAAGAAGTAATTATCTTTCATAAGTGTTTAAAATATTTTTTACTCATTTTTAAATTTTATTTAATAGCCACTTCATATTGTTATATAAATAATTTACACATTCAAATCTTTTCCTTCATGCTTACAACTTCTATTTTCATGTTTGTAGAGCTCGTCTATATTTAGAGAACTCTCCAACATTAGATGCATTTACCTAAATTTGCTTTTTAACTCACTATAATTTTGAAAATATGGTAATATCTGATCTATTTTATTTTAGATTATATTTTGAACATAATCTAATTGGCATCCTTTAGTATTAAACAATGTGCATACTTCTATTTCTTTAAAAAATAACCTTTCCTCACTAATTGAATATTACTTTTGAATATTCCATTCTGTGCTTTGATTTGTGTGTCTAGTTTGCTCTAATATCACACTGGTTGAGTAGTTATTTTATAGTACATTTTACTTTCTGACAGAGCAAATCTTATCACTATTCTTTAGAAGCTCTTTGAATATTAATTCATGACCAATCTTGCACTTGAAATTCAAGGATATTTATCATATTATCAAAAATAGGTATTTGATTGGAATTTATTTAAACTTTGAAGTGAAATAAGGATTAATTGGCATCTCTAAAATTGAGAAATCCTATCCTTGTATAATGCGTGCCTGTATTCATTCATTTTTCATTCTGTATCCCCGTGAAAAGTTTTTAATGGCTTTACTTTAATAGGCCTTCACTAGAAATTGTTAAATGTGTTTCTGGAAGTTTTGTGAGCTGACTAATTTAAATTTCCTATTTTTCAACCACTTTCCATCTACCTCACACAGGTGTGTTGAGCTCCCTAAAGGATCTCATATATCTCACACCTTACACTGTCCTCTTGCTTTCCTCATTTGTAGGCTGTTCAGGGATTTACTCTTAAACTATCAGAGTTCTGTGGTCTCTAGCACATCCCCCTACTTTGTTGAATCACTGCTCTGTGGAGTTTGTCTCTTCTACAGGATCCTTCTGAGCTGTTTCCCCACTGATGACCAGTGATGTCCCCTTTGGTCTCTTGCCAACCACAGATACAACATCTGCTTTGTAGCGGTGTTATCATATCCTTTGGGAATGATTACTGCATTATGTTTTAACACCAGTTCTTTCGACCTTGCTAATAAAGATTAATCAAGGGAAATGAACAACTTTCCTAAGACATGAAAGTGAAGAAGCAAAAAAAGTGGAATCAAATTCCAAAAGGTTTTCATGATGGAAAGTTAAAAGTAGAGTGGAATGGTTGGGAAAATCATCTCAGGAATCACAGAAGTTTTGGCGGAAGGACATAGGAAGTCACCTCAGTGAGCATTGAGAGAGGATGAAATCAATGCACGGAAGTTGAGTCAGTTAGTGTCAGATAATTTGCTAGAGAATGACTGTTTCTAAAATCTTATTTTGCCATGATTTAATTACTCTCTTCCCATTACATGTAGTCATACTATATTTTCTGGTTGTTAGAGTCAACATCCTATTAAAAACAGGTACACTTGTGCTACAGACACATTTTATTTTATTTTTATTTTTTCAGGCTGGAGTGCAGTGAGACAATCATAGCTCACTGCAGCCTCAAACTCCTGAACTCAAGCAATTCTCCTACCTCAGCCTCCCGAGTAGCTGGGACTACAGATGTGCCACCATGCCGAGCTAATTTATGTATTTATTTACTTTAGAGATGAGTGGGGAGTCATTTTGTTGTCCAGGCTGGTCTTAAACTCCTGGCCTCAAGTTATCCTCCTGCCTCAGCTTCTCCAGTAGCTGGGATTACAGGTGTGAGCCACCATGCCCAGCCACAGACACAATTTAATCATGAAGGATTATAAGAAGAGGATAGCTCCACACATTTTTAAATGTGCATGGGCACTTTTGTGAGGAGTTGCCTTTTCAAATGAAAGACCCCTACTGTCCTAGAAAAGTGTCCAGGACTCAGCTAGCCTATGTAAAACAAAATGTTTTATTTTACAATGGCTGACTTTCTAAAAATGTGTGAAACTATTAATATCTCACTAAAATCAGCAGGAAATAAACTGATTTAGAATAATTATGAGTTGGATTTTTTTCTTTGAGTATTACTACCCAATCAACCTAATTAACTCTTGATCTTTGTAACCGTTAAGACTGTTATATATTAATGCATAGGAAAACAAACTGTATTTTTAAATAACCTCTCACTAACTTGTGTGGAAGATATAGCCTTGATGTGGAAGACTCTTTATTGCTAAACACAAACCTACTCATCTTCCTCGGTATAAATGCCTCTATGACAGTTATTTACCTGTTGCCCCTCAGCAATACCCCATTCTTCTATATTTTGCAAATTGCCTTTTCTTTAACTCTCTTGCCTTCTGGCTTTTGATACTTGTTAAGCACTGAAGAAAAGGATGTAAGAGAAGGTGCTTCCCTTCTGCTTCCAGCTCCTGTTGGCATTTCCTAGTAGCAGTAGATAGCTGTGGATCCAGCCTCCAGTTTCCTTTAACACTCTTAGTGCCAAACTTGCTGTGTTCCCTCAGAGGTACCAGCCACATCCATGCCAATCCTCTGGGTAATCATGATACTACTGCATGCTCCCACACCCACTGGGTATACCCAATAGATCACTTAATCAACTGTCAGGCCACTCCCACTCCTGGAAGGTTCTAGCATTGGACCTCCAAGGTTTCTTCTCTGAACTCCTGGTTTCTATTAACACCACATTTTCTCCATCCATTGCAAGTCTAAGCAGAGTAGCCATTTTCCTTAATTATACAAATGTGTTGCCCTAGCATCCCTTTTTGCTTTTACAAATTTTCACATTCGTGTAAGCAATTCCCTATATTAAACCAGTTCTGTTTGAAATAATTGCCATTACTTTTGTTTTATTGGCTTACCCTTGAGAGTTAGAGCCTCGGACATAACAGAATATAACATTGAATATTGAGTGTGGGTAAGCACTTTAGACTTCCATGATATGTGGGAGAAACGGAATGCTCAGCATAAGATGGAGTGAGTAACGGAAGTGGTACTCTGGTAGAGATTCAGGATTGGCACATGTTCTCACAAGTGGGAGCTAAACAGTGGGTACGCATGGACATAAAGATGGAAATGGCAGACACTGAGGACCCCAAATGAGGGAGGGTGAGAGGGAGGTTAGTGCTGAAAAATTATCTATCGGGTACAATGTTCACTGTTTGGGTGATGAGTACACTAGAAGCCCAAACCTCAGCATCACACAATATATCTATATAACAAACCTGCACATGTGCCTGTTGAATCTATTTTAAAAAAAGCTTTTGGTTTGAGGAAGAGAAAGTAGGATCAATTGAAGGAGTAGGAGGCTGGCAATCTAGGGGAGAGATTTGGGAAGAGATATCTAAAGGTGATAGTTGGAGTGGAATGTGATTCTTCGCTAAATGTTTTTTTGAAAATAAAAATTTACCTGAGGGGTTGGATATTGGTTTATATGGGGCACTGAAAACAGCTATTATGTGGGTTGCCTTCTGTTAGTGTAAATGTGTACTTGTCCTGGCACTTGGTGAGAGCTGTCTTATGATTTCAATTGTCATCGATCTGTTCAATGTTAAAGGATGTCTTAGAAAATCAGTCCAAAGCCAGCCTCATAGGCTACAAATCTAGTTTTAGTGCTATTATAATTTTTTGTGGCCAAGGTAACAGAAATTCCATAATCCTAACTTGGTATAACCTTTTCTTTTCCCTATAATGTATTCAAAAACATATATACATAATAGACTATGATGAATGGGAATTCAAAACATCAATTTATTATTATTGGTTGAGTTTATGCTTAAAATTCAAGTGCAGATTTCTCTGTAAGCTAAACAGGCATATGTGGCCTAGTTAGAAGGCCTAAGGGACTTTACTCTCTTGCTAAGGCCAACTACAAATCTAAAAATCTTACCCCTCTCCTGCAAATTACATATGACTGGACAATAGAGATATGTGTGTATGCACATGTGTGAAAAGAGGAACAGAGAGAGCAAGATGTTCAGTTTTAACACATGGGAGTGCAGGCCAATGTCAACTTAATTTTTCATTCACATGGAAAAAATAAGAGGAAGGATAAAATGCCAGGAGAGTCATTTTTTATATTCATGACCTTTTAACACAAAGTGGTCCTGCCCACTTGTCAGTGTTGTGGTGTCAGACACCAAAATAATAGTATCCACAGCTCTTGGAAAGAAACAAGGTTTAAAAGACTATTTAACATCAAGAGTATATCTTCCCACAGATGACCCATGGCTTAATCTTCTATTGTTAAAGGTGAATACTTACACATTCTACTCCATTAATTAAAAAAATCACAGTCTTTTCAAGAGGTCATGTGAGAGCATTATAAAAGCATTAATAAAGAAAATATATCGTGTGGACTCAGTATTAATTCTTTTACTCATTAGTAGGCAAGTCATTTTATTTGTCTGAGTGTCATTTTTCTCATCTACAAAATGTCGATTATAATATATACTTCCCAGTGTGCTCTAAAGTTTAGATGAAGTAACATTGTTAAACTGTAGCACACAATGCAGCTATAAATAATTAACACATTAAACTTAGCTCATTTACTTTTCATGAATCAACTTGATATGCTAGAGGCCTGGGGTGGGCAATATGGCCAAGGAAAAGACAACTTGGGGGCCACTGAAATTAATTTTGCATCAATCTCTGATTTTCAACCCCCATCAGCAGCAAGTTTCAAGCTTCAAAGAAATGGAAGAAATGCAATTGACTTACATTCTTGGCAGATGTCCTACAATAAACAGGGCCTGTGAACAAAACATTCCACTTCCTTCCCTCCCGCTTCAACCCCTAAAAGGTATATGTCATTGATGAACAGACTGGTGGAAGAAAAGGAAAAAACTTAGAAACAAAATTAATCAATCAGGAGACTTTTATTGACAGGTGGATCTTGAAAAGAGTTATAATGTGAGAAATCATCACTATTGTGAAACTTCCTTTTTGCTATCACTCCTGCAGAAAGGACAGAGAATGAAAACATCAAATTCAAGTTCTGGTCTCAAATGTACATGCAAACTCTTGAGTTGCATGGAGAACAGATTGATTGTTCCATATGCAAAGCTTTCCACTTGGTGAATATTTAGTGAAATTGACTTAATCTTTAGCTTGCCTTGCCTGGTCATTTAGGGTGATTTTAGGTCTTGTCATTAATCCATTCCCCTGTGAATATCTTCAGGGTATGCTGACCAAATTTAGATGTATGCCTCTGCATACAAAATTAGAAATGATCGTATTTCATTAATACACTAGAAGCATGGAAATGGATAACTTTTCATAATTTTCTAACTTGAACATTATTTGGATATATCTTATGCATCAAACATTGTAATGACGCTTAACAAGTATCTCATTTAACAATTGTGATCTGATGATTTTGGAAGACTGAGGTCCAGAAAACATCTAGAAAAATCCTAGAGATAGAAGCTTCCTGAGTCCCTAGAACAGAGAGTTAGGGTTGTGCCACATTTTGCAGGGTTAGTTTTCAGCCTGGCTGAGATTGGGTGACAGTATTTACTACAGCCTAAAATTCTGAACATACATATGCTTCCCCATAATAGCCATCTGTTATTTTTTAATCAATTGAAAAAAAACCTTCAATAGGCAATAATTCATGTGAGTGTGGCAAGCAGTTGTGTTTTTCTAAATTTTATATTTGGAGATGACGGGAAATGATCTATGTTCCTGAACATAATGCTCAATTGCTTGATCATTTGTGTTCTGGGAATTTTTTCCTGTATAACTTGTGGTTTACGGTTTGGAAAGAGCAGAATCAAGATTTTTTTTTTTTTTTTTTTTTGAGACAGAGTCTTACTCTGTCGCCCAGGCTGGAGTGCAGTGACACAATCTCACTGCAACCTTCTGCCTCCTGGGTTCAAGTGATTCTCCTGTCTCAGGCTCCTGAGTAGCTGAGATTACAGGAGCCCACCACAGCATCCGGTTAATTTGTATATTTTTTGGTAGAGATAGGATTTCACTATGTTGGCCAGGCTGGTCTTGAAGTCCTGACCTCAGGTGATCCACCTGTCTCAGCCTTCCAAAATGCTGGGATTACAGTCGTGAGAAACTGCACCTGGCCAGAATCAAGATTAATTTTACAACAGGGAAATTGTTCTTCTCACAATTTTACAAAGAGCTGATTTGAACTCTTTATTTCTCAAGCTATAAATCATTGGGTTGAACAATGGAGTTATAATAGTGTAGGATACTGATATTAGAGCATCCTGGCTTGAGGAGTAGTTGGACTGAGGCCTTAAGTAGATAAAGGAGGCACAGCCATAGTGGACAGTGACAATAATGAGGTGAGATACACAGGTAGAAAAAGCTTTGCACCTACCCAGTGTGGAAGGAAACTGAAGTATGGCAGAGAGGATGTGAACATAGGACACCAAGATCAACAATAAGGGGATAGCCAGGACCAATGTACAGAGCATGAAGATGACAATCTGACTAAAGTGGTTATGGTGAGATGCCAGCTTGAGGACAGGAGCAATGTCACAGAAGAAGTGATGTAGTTGATTGGAGGAATAAAAAGGCAGGTGAAATACCAAGGATGTGATGATCTGTGCAACAGTGAAGCCACAGGCACAGGCAGCAGCCACTAGTCCCATACACACCCCATGTCCCATTAGCACTGAGTAGCGCAGTGGGTTACAGATGGCTATGTAACGATCATAACCCATGACTGCCAGCAGAAAGGAGTGAGAGCAGCCAAGGAAGAGGAAGGAAAACATTTGGATGGCACAGCCCAGGAAAGAAATGGTCTTCTTCTGGGACAGCAGGTCAACCAGCATCTTGGGTACAATGATGAAGGTGTAGCAAATCTCAGAGCAAGAGAGGATGGCAAGGAAGAAGTACATGGGGATATGAAGGGCCCTGTCCAGGACAATGGTGGAAATGATGATTGCATTGGTGCCCAGAGTGAACAGGTAGAGGAGCAGGAAGATAACAAAGAGCAGCTGCTGCAGCCTGGCCAGGGATGAGAAGCCGAGGAAGATGACCTCTCTCACCACAGTCTCATTGACCCGCTCCATGGAGCATACATCATCAGGAGACAATTAGGGAGAGAAGAGGAGTCAGCACCAAAAGAAATCCCTGAAAATAAGTAGATTCACAGAAAATTGATCATCAGCATGCGTTCTCAGATTTTGAATTCTGAACTCATCTTTTCTCCTCCCTCTTGTTTTTCCAAGACATGATGTTGCTAAAATCAGGCAAGCGTTCATCAAACTTTGAGTCTCCATAGTAGTTCTAACACCATAGCCAAAAAGTTCTTGATACTTTTCAGATTCAAACAACCCTTCACCTCCATTCCCATCATGAGGCTGTTGCTCAGATTCTTAGCCTTTCACTCTTAGATTATCTTGCAAAGCTTGTCTTTTTGGCTTTCTTGTATCTGTATTCTCTCAAAAAAAAAATCTTTCCTACAGTTGCAAAGTAAACCATCTGAATATACCATAGTTGTCTATAACTCAATGGTTCTTAATTGTCATTCTCGTTACACCTAAACCCCCACTCTTAGTTTTAGTCTCTCCATAACTTAGATTCAAATTCTCTTCAACACTGTTTTCCTTACCTCCTGGCAGGAATTGTCAGTTATACTTTTATTATGCTGGCTCTTGTTTCTGTAGCTTTATCCTGGTCCCAAAGTGGAAAAAAATTATCTTCTTCTTTCTATTCATTAATTTCAAGGTGGAATATGTCTACACTTTCTCTAATACCTATATCAGAGTCTTTCCTCTGGCAGGGAGGACCACAATCTTTCTTCAGGATTCTGTCCATTTTCATCACTTCCCTTAAATCCTTCTGAAGTCACATTATGGCTCCTTTCCCATGGCCACTCTTACATCTCTGCAACCCATCTTTCCCGTGATGACAGCCTAATCTTTTAAAATATAAATTGTATTATATTGCTTCACTCTTCAAAAATTTTACTTATGGCTATAGTATAGAGTTCAAACTCTTCATTGTTTCCAAAAGTCTTTCCTTTGGGGAAATAAACTATCTTTCTGTGCTCATTTTCAGACCTTAATGGGATGTATCACTATTGCCCAAATATGTTCTGGACTTCCTTGCCTCTATTCCTTGCTCATATTAGTTTGTTATTCACTTTTATTTACAGATATTTTATGGTTCTTCTGAAGCCTCCATTAAAATCTACCTTTTTGAAAGCTTTCTTGCTACCTTCTGGTGAAAGGAGTTGTTTCTTCCTCAGAACTCACATAAGACATTGATTGCCAAAATTATGTGATATTTACTTAATTTTGAAATATTCTAATGAATTGTTCTTATATCTATTTTCTCTACCAGATTTTGTACCTTTGAGGAAAATATGTGAATTTTATGTATCTTTGCCTGAGTTCTCCTCTGCATCTAGAACCATATTAAGTACTTAACACCTTCTCAATAAATAATTGTTATATAAATAAGAGAGTTAACTTGCCACATTATCTATTTTATTCATGGGCAGCACAGACTTCTTAGAACTCACAGAGTAAGAGAATTCTCAGTGTTATTTCTTTCTAGGCACAAGAATTGCTCAGTGTCAAGAATGCTAAGAATGTCTGCACCACATAAAACTAAGTCTGGCCCATTTAAATCTGAAAGAGAAATCTCTGTTTACAATAGAAAACTGGCACTGAAGAGAGCATCTGGTCATCAGAATTCTGTGTACCTAAGGTGATTCCCAATTCCTAGTACATTTGCTGCTCTGTAGAGCAAATTAGAATTCAAATAAGTGAGAGAAAAATCATAAAGATAACCTTACAATTATCCCATTAAAAGTATATTATTAAAATCACCTTAACTAATATTAATAACAAAATTAATGACAATGCATTTTTATGTTACCTAAGAACCACCAAATCAAGAATATCAGATAGTACACATGTATTAAGCAGTGTGATTATAACAATGTGTCAGCTACTAGGTCTGCAATGAAGATACACATTTAAATAAGACCCAGTCCCGAGCCTCTAGTTCATGTTTCAAGGGTGAGACCCATTCAGAAGATATTATTAAAAATGTGGTGATTGAGATGATGGATATGCATTTGAAATTATAGGAGCACTCAGGAGACATATCTTGTATACATCCTTGAAAAATGATATGTATTTTTTATTTATTTCTAGGTTTCTTTATATATGTTATGAAAAGGCTGAACTAAGTATACTTGGAGAAATATCATAACACAGGCACTATTTAGTTTCTAAAACTTTTAATCTAAATATATAAATAGGGCAAGTAAGTACATTTGCTTCTCCTTGCTCCTGGAAGAGTGCAAGGATGTTTTCTGCTTGCATGTTCTACTTTATATCACTCCCTTCCTCAACCCCATGAAAGGGGCAATCACCCTCCTCCTCCTCTATCTTATTCCTCTGGTTCTTCGCCCAATATTTTTTTTTTTTTTTGCCTAGGTGGTTGGCATATTTATTACTATCATACTATTAACTTTCAAATTCTATATTCTCTAGTTTTTAGTACTACTAATAAATTTCTACATGTAGAATCTGAAATTTTCCTCTCACAAGCACATGTAAAGTTGAGTAATGTAGGAATAAAATAGGCTTTACATTTTGACAGATGTAGGCTTTAATCCTGACTCTGGCAAGTTCTAGTGGTAAAACCTTAATAAATTCTCTAAGGCCTATTTTCTCATTTGTATGATAAGAATAATTCCTGCCTCCTGGGCTATCATGAGAATTAATTCAGGCAATATATATGAAAGAGATTTGTCCCATAAATAAGGAGTGCTTAGTAAGTACTTCTGTTTTATTACTTTATTGTTGTTCTATAGGTATTGGTATCAGAAATATTTTCATCAGTGAGGCAATAAGCATTTAACTCATGGGAAGTTATTGAAACTGATTTTTCTGTATTTTCTCAGGAAGAGAAAATTTAAGAGAAATTATTCTTCCCTTGAGGCTCTCCAAGCCTGACTGAAAGTAACTTGGTTTTCCACGGAGTTCTGTTTTGCTCTTGAAGGGAGGCCATACATATTTAGGCATCAATCTCAACAATTTATTGAGTTCCTAAAGACTGGGGCAGATTGTCTAACAATTCTCATGTTTTACGATTTCATGATTTCTGTTACTATCTAAGCACTATAGATATAATTATGAATAAAATCATTGCCCTTTTCTCAGAGAAGAATCAAACACCTATTCATATTATAAAATAGCCTATAAACATTATAAAATAAGTATAAACAAAATGTCCTGAAAATCTGGAGGAAAAACCCAATAATTTTAGAGAAGGCTTTGAAGAACAAGTAGTATTTGAATTTCACCTGTAAGAATTTTAATAAAAGTACTGGCTGAGTCTAAATGCCATTACTTATCTAGATATTTTGATTGAACTAACTAATCTTTTCTTTAATGTTGACTGGCCTTTCAGAATTAAAATGTAAGTTTACAAAGGCCCATGAAACAAGACACACTAATTATTCTCCCTTTTCTCTTCTTCTGTTTCCTTACAATAAACTTCATGTTTCATGTTGAGGTCACACACTCAAAAAACTAGCAAACAAGTAGACAAAAACAAAGAAAAAATAAACTCAGTTATGTTTTTTGGGAGCATTATTCCATTGTGTCTATCAATATTGCTTTTGATGTTTCCAGGAAGAAAAAATAGAACACAATTTTGGTATCAGTTTATTAATCAAAATTTAGAATTATCTTGTAATAATGTAAGGCAAGTTGACATTTATCACATGCTCTGTTTGTTCTAGATTTGGTGAAAATACTGTTACATATATTCTCTCATTTGGTCCTCACAGCAACCTTATGAAGTTTTTATTACTTTTAATATCTTTATTATAAAGATAAGAAATTTGAGAATCAGAGTTTGGGGACTCCTCTTAAGTTCACACAGCTGGTGGAACCAACACTAGACTACAGTACAATCTGTGTGTGTGTGTGTGTGTGGTGAGAAAGGGAAAGCAGTATTCAACACTCTCCTTCCAGATAAAGCTATTTCAAGGAAAAGACTTCTGCTACAATTTTGTTATGGCCTCAGTTTTCAACTTTGCTATGTATTAGCTACAGGACTTTGATGAGTCTGAATCAATTTTCTCATCTTTGTAATGCGGTTCATTCATTCTGATGTCAGCTAACCTAACTTTTAAGATTTCTTTAAAATGGATGAGACAATGCTTTTGTAACAGTTGAGTGGTTTCACAGACATTATTTATGTAAGTTTAACTTGGAATTGAAAAGGGGCAGAGAGCACTGCTAGTTTTGAGAAGAACATACCTTTCACATTGCTTCCTGTACCTTTGTTGGTTTTGGGAGGGATTTAATAAAATAAAGATCATTTCATTTTTCAGGACTGGGAAAGGTATGTTGCAGTAGTTCTTGTCTCTTACTCAAGAGGTCTCCAGAAAGCCAGAGTCACAGTTACAGCTGTATATGATCTTAAAGATCTAGCTTAGTAGTTTCATCAGACAGATGAAGAAATTGAGCTTCAGAGAGTGCTATGAAGTTTCTAAGACTAGAAAGCAACTGAGTGGATGTGTTAGCAATGGAACAGAGGTCTTTTCTCTTTCAGAAGAATGTGATTTCCACAGTATTATCCTGCCTTCTGAAGATATTTGTTTCATCCATAATTACTTTCTCTTTTTTGGCAGCAGTTACTTACGGTGTTCTTTTCCTAAGTCTATGTCCTTGTGCTAGTGTTTTTGCCTGTTTCTGTTTTTGGGTTCCCAGAGGGCAGGGTTTCTTAGTCTTTATATCTGTCAATTATAACTATTTTCAGAGCATTTATTAAGTTCTCAGCACATATTAGGTATTATATCTTTGTGTAGATCCTATCTGATACAGTCCTTTCTACAAAAACGTCATTATTTAAAATTTTTAATTAAAATATTGTTGAGTGCCCTGTCAAATTAAATCAGAACCAACAGAGTGCATATAAAAATTTAGAAAGAAAAATGAATCAGTTAATTTAAGAATATATAAAATTTATATGCACAATTTTGCAGAAAAACACTTTAAAACTTAAATAATCCTGATTAACATTATTTGATGTACTTTTAATTGTGAGTCTCTCTTTCTGTTATTGGTAGTACACTTGCATGGGCTCATCACCCTTCTTCTCTTACCTGAAATGTGAAAACATAAGTCCTGCCAGAGGATAGATGTTTATTTTCATTTCCTGTCCATTGCCCAGTTTCTCAAGGTTGTAGATGCTTAGTCCAAGCAAGATGGATGTCTGTTATTCATGGAGTGCTTCCATTTTTCTCTGCCTCTCCCTAAGAGAAGCCAGGGACATAGAGGCTACAAGAGACAGAATTCAAGTTGACGTGTAGAATGGAAAAAGGTCAAAATGGGTCACAGGCTACTGATATTTACTCAGAGGTAGAGATGTGATGATGGTCTATGGTCTTAGACCCAGACCAAAGTCAAATGTAACCAGTCTCCTGCCATTTTATGTCAATTGACTAAAGATCACAAGCCACAGCTCACAGTGACCATAAAGCAGTAGGAATTTTCATTATGTTTGTTGGCAGCAGGTGGTTCTTCTGTGGGTCTCCTGATGCCAAAGCCATTGCCATGGGGACATTGCACTGGGTTTAATTAACTACTGAGTTGATTGTGGAAAATAGAGGCAAGTCACTAAATGCCCAATTGCTCAAAACGGGGCCCAGACATTAGGGCTTAGGGAGCAGAAGGCTCTAAGCCATCCTCAGATGCAGCAATTTTAGAAAATGTGACTAATTTTAAGCTTATTTCTCATTTTGTTATGTTATTGAAGAGACAAAAGAGAATTTTTATGCAGACATTTTATAATAGATGCATTGTAAAACATGTTGGTTTAACTGAAAATCTGATTTTGTACTCATAATTGAAAGATAGTTCTTTGTTAGGCTGAGAAGGTAAACTGGGCAATGGCTTTTTAGAGTGAAGACTGTGCTCAGAATAAGCTGGAGGAGATTCAGTTCACCGTCTTAACCCCGAGTTGATTTTTTCTACCTTTCTACTCCATCATCCATAAATGAATATAGTGTGCTGTTATATGTATGAGACACTAAATAAACTTATGCTGAATATTGAGTGAATAAATGGTCGTATTCAACAATACCCCAACTACATAAATATCTCAGCTAAATAAAAATACCATCATTCATTTTCTGAATTCCAATATTTCTGATTTCCACTTTCCTCATGGTTCAACTGGCAATTAATATAATTTCTTTTTTATTATACTTTGAGTTCCGGGATACATGTGCAGAACGTGCAGGTTTGATATATAGGTATATGTGTGCCATGGTGGTTTGCTTTACCCATCAACCCATCATCTACATTAGGTATTTCTTATAATGCTATCCCTCCCCTAGCCCCCAACCCCTGACAGGACCCAATGTGTGATGTTCCATTCCCTGTGTCCATGTGTTCTCATCGTTCAACTCCCACTTACGAGTGAGAACATGCAGCGTTTGGTTTTCTGTTCCTGTGTTGGTTTACTGAGAATGGTGGTTCCCAGTTTCATCCATGTCCCTACAAAGGACATAAACACATCTTTTTTATGGCTGCATAGTATTCCATGGTGTATATATGCCACATTTTCTTTATCCAGTCTATCATTGATTAGCATTTGGGTTGGTTCCAAGTCTTTTCTATTGTGAATAGTGCTGCAATAAACATACATGTGCATGTGTCTTTATAGTAGAATGATTCGTAATCCTTTGGACATATACCCAGCAATGGGATTGCTGGGTTAAACGGTATTTCTGGTTCTAGATCTTTGAGGAATTGCCACACAGTCTTCCACAATGGTTGAACTAATTTACATTCCCACCAGCAATGTAAAAGTGTTCCTATTTCTCCACATCATCTCCAGCATATGTTGTTCCCTGACTTTTTAATGATCACCATTCTAACTGGCATGAGATGGTATCTCATTGTGGTTTTGATTTGCATTTCTCTAATGACCAGTGATGATGGGCTTTTTTTCATATGTTTGTTGGCCGTATAAATGCCTTCATTTAAGAAGTGTCTGTTTATAAACTTTGGCCACTTTTTGATGGGATTGTTTGTTTTTTTCTTGTAAATCTATTTAAGTTCTTTGCAGATTCTGGATATTAGCCCTTTGTCAGATGGATAGATTGCAAAAATTTTCTCCCATTCTGTAGGTTGCCTGTTCACTCTGATGATAGTTTCATTTGCTGTGCAGAAGCTCTTTAGTTTAATTAGATCCCATTTGTCAATTTTGGCTCTTGTTTCCATTGCATTTGGTGTTTTAGTCATGAAGTCTTTGCATGTGCCTGTGTCCTGAATGGTATTGCCTAGGTTTTCTTCTAGGTTTTAATGGTTTTAGGTCTTACATTTAAGTCTTTAATCCACCTTGAGTTAATTTTTGTATAAGGTGTAAGGAAGGGGTCCAGTTTCAGTTTTCTGCATATGGCTGGCCAGTTTTCCCAGTGCCATTTATTAAATAGGGAATCTTTCCCCATTGCTTGTTCTTGTCAGTTTTGTTAAAGATCAGATGGTTGTAGGTAGGTGGCGTTATTTCTGAGGCCACTGTTCTGTTCCATTGGTCTATATATCTGTTTTGGTACCAGTACCATGCTGTTTTGGTTACTGTAGCCTTGTAATATAGTTTGAAGTCAGATAGTGTGATTCCTCTAGCTTTGTTCTTTTTGCTTAGGATTGTCTTGGCTATATGGGCTCTTTTTCAGTTCCATATGAAAGATCAAGTAGTTTTTTCTAATTCTGTGAAGAAAGTCACTGGTAGCTTGATGGGGATAGCATTGAATCTATAAATTACTTTGGGCAGTATGGCCATATTCACCATATTGATTCTTCCTATTCATGAACATGGAATACTTTTTCATTTGTTTGTGTCCTCTCTTATTTCCTTGAGCAGTGGTTTGTAGTTCTCCTTGAAGAGGTCCTTCACATCCCTTGTAAGTTGTATTCCTAGATATTTTATTCTCTTTGCAGCAATTGTGAATGGGAGCTTATTTATGATTTGACTCTCTGTTTGTCTATTATTGGTGTATAGAAATGCTTGTGATTTTTGCACACTGATTTTGTATCCTGAGACTGCTGAAGTTTCCCATCAGTTTAAGGAGATTTTGGGCTGAGACAATTGGGTTTTCTAAATATACAATCATGTCACCTGTAAACAGAGACATTCCCTCTCTTCCTATTTGAATATCCTTTATTTCTTTCTCTTGCCTGATTGCCCTGGCCAGAACTTCCAATACTATGTTGAATAGCAGTGGTGAGAGAGGGCATCCTTGTCTTGTGCCAGTTTTCAAAGGGAATGCTTCCAGTTTTGCCTATTCAGTATGATATTGTCTGTGGGTTTGTCATAAATAGCTCTTATTATTTTGAGATACGTTCCATCAATACCTAGTTTATTGAGAGTTTTTAGCATGAAGTGGTGTTGAATTTTATCAAAGGCCTTTTCTGCATCTATTGAGATAATCATATGGTTTTTGTCATTGGTTCTGTTTATGTGATGAATTACATTTATTGATTTGCATATGTTGAACTAGCCTTTTATACCAGGGATGAAGCTGACTTGACTGTGGTGGATAAGCTTTTCGATGCGTTGCTGGATTTTGTTTTCCAATATTTTATTGAGGATTTTTGCATCGATGTTCATCAGGGATATTGGTCTGAAATTTTCTTTTTTTGTTGTGTCTCTGCCAGGTTTTGGTATCAGAATGATGCTGGCCTCATAAAATGAGTTAGGGAGAGTCCCTCTTTTTTTCTGTTGTTTGGAATAGTGTCAGAAGGAACGGTACTAGCTCCTCTTTGTACCTCTGGTAGAATTTTGCTATGAGTCTGTCTGGTCCTGGGCTTTTTTTGGTTGGTGGGCTATTAATGACTGCCTCAATTTCAGAACTTGTTATTGGTCTATTCAGGGATTCAACTTCTTCCTGGTTTAGTCTTGGGAGGGTGTATGTTTCCAGGAATTTATCCATTTTTTTCTAGATTTTCTATTTTATTTGCATAGAAGTGTTTATAGTATTCTCTGATGGTAGTTTGAATTTCTGTGGGATTAGTGGTGATACTCCCTTCATCATTTTTATTGCATCTATTTGATTCTTCTCTCTTTTCTTCTTTATTAGTTTTGCTAGTGGTCTATCAATTTTGTTGATCTTTTCAAAAATCCACTTCCTTGATTCATTGAAGTTTTGAAGGATTTTTCATGTATCTATCTCCTTCAGTTCTGCTCTGATCTTAGTTATTTCTTGCCGTCTGCTAGCTTTTGAATTTGTTTGCTCTTGCTTCTCTAGTTCTTTTAATTGTGATGTTAGGGTGTTGATTTTAGATCTTTCCCACTTTCTCCTGTAGACATTTAGTGCATAAATTTTTCCTTTAAACACTGCTTTAGCTGTGTCCCAGAGATTCTGGTACATTGTGTCTTTGTTCTCATTGGTTACAAAGAACATATTTTTTTTTGCCTTAATTTCACTGTTTACCCAGTAGTCATTCAGGAACAGGTCGTTTAGTTTCCTTGTAGTTGTGTGGTTTTGCACGAGTTTCTTAATCCTGAGTTCTCTTTTGATTGCCTGTGGTCTGAGAGACTGTTTGTTATGAAATCTGTTCTCTTGCATTTGCTGAGGAATATTTTACTTCCAGTTATGTGGTTAATTTTAGAATAAGGGCAACATGGTGCTGAAAAGAATGTATATTCTGTTGATTTGGGATGGAGAGTTCTGTAGATGTCTATTAGGTCTGCTTGGTCTAGAGCTGAGTTCGAGTCCTGAATATCCTTGTTTATTTTCTGTCTCATTGATCTGTCTAATATTGACCGTGGGGTGTTAAAGTCTCCCAGTATTATTGTGTTAGAGTCTAAGTCTTTTTGTAGGTCTCTAAGAACTTGCTTTATGAATCTGGGTGCTCCTGTATCGGGTGCATATATATTTAGGATAGTTAGCTCTTGTTGTTGCATTGATCCCTTTATCATTATGTAATGCCCTTCTTTGTCTTTTTTGTTCTTTGTTGGTTTAAAGTCTGTTTTATCAGAGACTACAATTGCAATCTCTGCTTTTTTTGCTTTCCATTTGCTTGGTAAATATTCTTCCATCCTTTTATTTTGAGCCTATGTGTGTCTTTGCACATGCAATGGGTCTCCTGAATACACTACACCGATGATTCTTGACTCTTTATTCAATTTGCCAGTCTGTGTCTTTTAATTGAGGGTGCTTAGCCAGTTTACATTTAAGGTTAATATTGTTTTGTGTCAATTTGATTCTGTCATTATGATGCTAGCTGTTTTTTTTTTTTTTTTTTTTTTTTTTGCTCCTTATTTGATGCAGTTTCTTCATAGTGCTGATGGACTTTACAATTTGGTATGTTTTTGCAGTGGCTGGTACCAGTTTTTGCTTTGCATATATATTGCTTCCTTCACATGCTCTTGTAAGGCAGGCCTGGTGGTGACAATATCTCTCAGCATTTGCTTGTCTGTAAAGGCTTTTACTTCTACTTTGCTTATGAAGCTTAGTTTGGTTGGATATAAAATTCTGGGTTGAAAATTCTTTTCTTTAAGAATGTTGAATATTGGCCCCCACTCTCTTCTGGCTTGTAGGGTTTCTGCTGAGAGATCTGCTGTTTTTCTGATGGGCCTCCTTTTGTGGGTAACCCGACCTTTCTCTCTGGCTGCCCTTTACATTTTTTCCTTCATTTCAACCTTAGTGAATCTGACAATTATGTGTCTTGGGGTTGCTCTTCTCGAGGAGTATCTTTGTGGTGTTCTCTGTATTTCCTGAATTTGGATGTTGGCCTGTCTTGCTATTTTGGGGAAGTTCTCCTGGATAATACCCTCAAGAATGTTTTCCAACTTGGTTCCCTTTGCCCTGTCACTTTCAGGTACACCAGTCAAATGTAGATTTGGTCTTTTCACATAGTCCCAGATTTTTTGGAGACTTTGTTCATTCCTTTTCATTCTTTTTTCTCTAATCTTGTCTTCATGCTTTATTTCATTAAGTTGATCTTCAATCTCTGATTGAATTTCTTTCTTCGGCTGGATCGATTCAGCTATTGATATTTGTGTATGCTTCACAAAGTTCTCCTGCTGTGTTTTTCATCTCCATCAGGTCATTTATGTTCTTCTCAAAACTGGTTATACTAGTTAGCAATAACTCTAACCTTCTTTTGAGATTCTTAGCTTCCTTGCATTGGGTTAGAACATGCTCCTTTAGCTCGGAGGAGTTTGTTGTTACCCACCTTCTAAAGCCTTCTTCTGTCAATTTGTCACACTCATTCTCTGTCCAGTTTTTTTCCCTTGCTGGCAGGGAGTTGTGATCCTTTAGAGGAGAAGAAGCATTCGGGTTTCTGGAATTTTCAGCCTTTTTGCACTGGTTTTTCCACATCTTTGTGGGTTTACCTACCTTTGGTCTTTGATGTTGGTGTCCTTTGGATGGGGTTTCTGTGTGGATGTCCTTTTTGTTGATGTTGATGCTATTCCTTTCTGTTTGTTAGTTTTCCTTCTAACAGTCAGGCCCCTCTGTTGCAGGTCTGCTGGAGTTTGCTGGAGGTTCACTCCAGATCCTGTTTGCCTGGGTATCACCAGCAGAGTCTGCAAAACAGCAAAGATTGTTGCTTGTTCCTTCCTCTGGAAGCTTCATCCCAGAGGGACACCAAATACCAGCCAGAGCTGTCCTGTATGAGGTGTCTGTCAACCCCTGCTGGGAGGTGTCTCCTAGTCAGGAGCTATGGGGGTCAGGGACCCACTTGAGGAGGCAGTCTGACCCTTAGCAGAGCTCAAGGGCTCTGTTGGGAGATCTGCTGCTCTCTTCAGAGCTGGCAGGCAGGAAGGTTTCTGTCTGCTGAAACTGCACTCACAGCTGCTCCTTCTCCCAGGTGCTCTGTCCCAGGGAGATGGGAGTTTTATCTATAACCCTTGACTGGGGCTGCTGACTTTCTTTCAGAGATGCCCTGCCCAGAGAGGAGGAATCTAGAGAGGCAGCCTGGCTACAGTGGCTTTGCCGAGCTGTAGTGGGCTCCACCCAGTTCGAACTTACCAGTGGCTTTGTTTACACTGTGAGGGGAAAACCACCTACTCAAACCTCAGTAATGGTGGACAACCCTCCCCCCACCAAGCTCGAGTGTCCCAGATCGACTACAGACTGCTGTGCTGGCAGCGAGAATTTCAAGCCAGTGGATCTTAGCTTGCTGGACTCCGTGGAGGTGGAATCCCCTGAGCTAGTCCACTTGGCTCGCTGACTTCAGCTCTCTTTCCACGGGAGTGAACAGTTCTGTCTCACTGGTGTTCCTGGAACCACTGGGGTATGAAAAAAAACAAAAAAACAAAAAAACTGCCGCTAGCTAGCTGTCTGCCCAAACAGCTACCCAGTTTTGTGCTTGAAACCCAGGGCCCTGGTGGTGGAGGCACCTGAGGGAATCTCCTGGTCTGTGGGTTGTGAAGACTGTGGGAAAAGCATAGTATCTGGGTGGGAATGCACTGTCCCTCATGGCATGGTCCCTCAGGGCTTCCCTTGCCTAGGGGAGGGAGCTCCCCAACCCCTTACCCTTCCCAGGTGAGGCAATGCCCCACCCTGCTTTGGCTCACCCTCTGTGGGCTGCACTCACTGTCTAACAAGTCCCAGTGAGATGAGCCAGGTACCTCAGTTGGAAATGCAGAAATCATCCACCTTCTGTGCTGATCTCACTGGGAGCTGTAGACTGTAGCTGTTCCTATTCAGCCATCTTGCCAGCCACCTAATTAATATAATTTCAACATCACTTTCCATCCCTATGTCAGTGGGTATTAAGGACTTCTAACAATACTTCGGTGATTAGTAAGAGCTCACCAATAATCTGGTTGATGAAGAAATAATGATACCAAAAACAAAAATGTTACTGAGAGCAACAAATGATGCCCAGAGAAGTAAGAAGCAAGAAGAGTGGCATTTAACATACCAAAATGCTGGACATTTGGTTTTTGTGGTTCACTCCCACTACTTATCCTAATAGTGGCCCAACTTTATTTTGGTTTGTTTTGTCTCCAGTCTCATCTAATTGCTTCATCCTAAAGTTTCAGAGAGCAATAGGTGCCATGCACTAACTCAGGTGGTCAGGACATTGGAGTTTCTTTGCTAAAATATCAGGTTAAGGATGGGCATATGCTCCAATTCTGGACAATCAGGAGCAAAAAAATTCCATCTAATGATGCTTATTTTAACATCTGATGAAACAAATTCTCTCTTCCTCTTGACTAGATTTTATAAGCTGAAAGTATCGAGACTACTGTGTTTAGCCTAAAAATAGAACCAAGTCACAAGAAGCAGCTCTATGAGATGCATCCAGATAATAGTTTGAACTTTGAATCAAGCTGTACCTGAAACCATTATACCACCAGATTTCTTAGCTTATGTGGGACAATAGATTTATTGCTTGCTAGTGCCAGTTTGAATTGGATTATCTGTTATTTACAACCCAAAAATTCCTAAATAATAAGAACATATCTCATTTCAGAAAGGATTTGAGATGATTTAAAATAGGTACTATTAAGGCAAGAATAAACATATTACATAGATATGTTAACAAATTAGGGCAAAGGTAAAGTAATGATGTACTAATAAGGTGAATTTTGGAGGACTCATGACATAGAAATATATTCCATGAGGCCCAATTTATTTACTAAATTTTAGACCAAAAATTAAACAGCAAATTTCACACTAGCTAATTCAATAGACAATATAAATATGTAAAAGTCATGTTGTTCACAGGTATAAAACATGCGAGGAATGTGATTTCTAATAGGGAAGTGTTGGCCATATTAATGAAACCCTAAGTAGTTATTGGATATCTGAGTAGAACGGAAGAAGTACTATGAAATAATGTGGCTGTACCACACCTTAAATATCAGATTTATAGCCTAAGTGAAAAGCATAGGTTTATTTATCTTGCCTCAGCCCACCCAGATGTCTGGTTTATGTGAATCATTACTCTGGATGAAGATTGTCCAGACCTTCCCTAGTACAATTCCCACTCTCCAACCTCTTCAGGGCCTCAGGAGTTCGAGATGACAAAGGACAAGACATGAGGACTTACTGTGACTTATTTCCAAACATCCCAGCCCATTTACCCATATTTCCTCTCCCTTCCGTAAAACAGACACAAGAGTGTGGTTCTGCAGCCCTTGAACTGAATAACTTCAACTTCTGTTATTTTGCTCCAAAGAGCATTTCAAAATCACCTGACATTTCCATACCACCCACCTTATTTTTCTCTTCTCTTCTCAATAGTTCCTTCTTTTAAAATTATGCCTGGCATTCCTTCACATCTTTGTTTGTTCTTCTTTTTCGTGGTCTGAATTTCAGAGACCTATCTCACTTCCTTGCTCTACAGGCATCTCTCCAAGAAGAACTAAAAGGATGAAAGCCAAATATCCCTCTTTTGCTCAGTTTTTCTCCTTCCACATCCTCTATATTCGTCCTCCTGCACAGTCAGGATAAGTCTCAGCCTGAAATGGGAATAGTTGAAAAGGAGAGGAGAGGAGGAAATAAGTAATCCATTCTAAGTGTCAGATCTCTGAAGTTCAATTTTGTCTCTGGGCTGTGGACCAGATGGCTCATAGCCAGGCCCCCAGTGTGTTTTTAGGTTGAGGGCAGGTTGTGAAAAATAACAGAGAGAAATGCCTAATGCCAGCATACAAATGGATATTGGTATAAGTTCATTTTTCAAAATAGGAAGTAACTGACACATGATAATCGATTATAAAAATAATCAAAATCATTGTAGAAATGTATTTATTCATTTATTTGTTAGATACTTTTGCTATAAACAGAAGGTTAAACATTTTATTAAGTATGTATTTACTGAATAACTACTCTATGACTTAGACTATTCTGATAGTTCTGGGGTTGTAAAGATAAATGAGATACAGTTCTTGTCCTCATGGAGTTTTAATATATTTATGGAGTAAGAAACAATTAGAAAACAATAGTGTTTTGTATATTAAACTAACAATTTATATCCATAAACTAGAAATTGTCCATTATTCCTTTGCCTTTGTATTTTCAATTTAGCCTTTCAATCTGATTCTTTCCTAAATTTTAAGAAACTTTTATTATAGTGTAACATACACAAAAGTACACAAATCAAAGTCTGTACCTGGATTCACAAAGTGACACACACCAATCCACAATGAAATTTAGAAGTAGAACATTACCCACTTTCTTGCCTGAGAAACCATTATTCTGAACTTCTATGGTCATATGTTTGTTTTTCCAGTTTTTGAAATTTATCAGGGTGGAATTACAGAGTATATAAGATTTTTGTTTAGTTTTCTTTCACTTAAATAATGTTTGTGAGATTTACCCATATTAGTAAATATAATAGTAAAATTTCACTGTTGCACAAAAATAAATTATATGAGTGTACTTCAATTTATTTGTTCTACCATTGATGGATATTTAGGTTATTTCCAGGTTTGGGCTATAGTGGAAAGCAGTGCTGGGAACATACTTGTACGCTTTAAGTAACATATCACTCAATTTATTTGGTATCCACTAACAGTGAAACCACTGAGTCACAGCATATTGCTGTAGATTAAATTTTTAGCCACAATTCTTTATTCCTTTCTATGTCATTTGCTATATGACTTTGCAGTTTCTCTTATGAGAGGCAGAATGTAACTTCCTAACCCTAAACTTTGGGCTTTTATGGGATTTATATTAACCAATGAAATGTGGGCAGAAGTCATAGCCAGTTTCAAACCTTGGCCAAAAGAAACATTGCAAGTTTTCTGCCATCACCATGAAAAGAGTTTTTTCCCAAGTAGCTTCTGTTCTTTTAACCTGAGCTCTAGGATGAATATATCTGATGCAAATCTAACCCCAATCTACCAAAAGGAGTCAAACCCAAGTGACATGAAGCTTGAAGGAGAGCCGCTATTCTAAGCCCAGCTTAGATCTCTAAATTGACTTGCAGACACAAAAGCAAATAAAAAAAATTTAAAAATGTGGTTAAAAACCAAATAACGTAAAATTCACCAACTCAACCATTTTAAGTGTAAAGTTCAGTAGTGTCAAGTATATTCCTATTACTGTAAAATAGATCTCCAGAACTTGTTCATCTTGCAAATCAGAAACTCTGCACCTATTAAACAACTTCTCTTTTCCTAAGTGAAATAGAACAGCCACAAAAAGGCAAGCAAGGACTTTAACTTGTGTTTGGAAGTGGTGTGTTACACAGCAAAAGGTAAATAAAAGTATATACATGTTCTAGTATACTATTCTCTGCCAAATAGTTTTTCAAAGTGGCTGTATAAATTTACACTCATGCCAGCATTGTATGGAAATTCCAGTTGCTTCTCATCTGTAACATTTGCTATTGCAACTCATTTTTATTTGAGAAATTCTGATGAGTATGTGTAATTAGACTTTCCTTTTCATGATATTAGTGACATTGAGCACATTTTCATGTTTACCAGCCACCTGAATTTCCTCTTTCTTGAAAGTCTTGTTTGATATTTTGTGCACTATAGGGATATTCATTTTTATTATTGATCCAAAATATTTTATATGATATCAATACTTTATTGATTACATGTACTTCAAATATTTTGTGTGACTTTGTAAATTTCATTTTCACTCAGTTGAAGATGTCTTTTGATGAACATGTTTACCTATTGTTTAGCTGTCACTTATAAGTAAGAACATGTGGTATTTGACTTAGACTTTTGTTCTCTTTGACTTTTTAAACAAAAGATTACTTCTGTACTCTTTGACTTCTTGTATTTTCATATTTCGTATTCCTAGGCATAGTAATTCTTTCTGCTGACATACAGAAATAGAATTTATTTTTGTATTACCAGCTTTGTATAAGGCAATCATGTAAATACATTTCATTTTTAATTCTTATATTTATCTGCCTATTCTCATGTAATTTTGTTTTTGTATCTCTGTACTGTTTATGTATTTATTAAGGTACAATTGACAGAAATTATATATATATATATTTCATATCCAATGTGAAGTTTTGATATACAAATACATTTTTCAATAATTGGTACAATCAAACTAATCAATATACCTGTCACCTCACATAGTTACCTTTTTTTCATGTGTGTGTGGTGAGAATACTTACTGTCAACAACTTTTCAAGTATAAAATACATTATTGACCGTAGTCAACATTCTGTACATTAAAATATCTAAAGCTTATGTATCTTATAACTGAAAGTTCGTAACTTTTGACCAAAATGTTCTCATTTCCCCCACCTCCTTGCCTCTAGCAACCACCCTTCTACTCTGCTCTTATAAGTTTGAATATTTTAGATTCCACATATAAGTTAGATCATGCAGTATTTATCTTTCTTTGCTTGATTTATTGTACTTAGCAAAATGTCCTCTAGGTTCATCCACGTTGTTGTAAATGGCAGAATTTCCTTCTTTTTAAAGGCTGAATGGTATTCTATTGTATAAAAGTATATACCACATCTACTTTAGCCCTTTGTCTATTGAAGGACATTTCATTGTTTCATATCTTAACTATTGTAAATAATGTTGCAATGAACATGGGAATTCCGATCTCTCTTTGAGATAGTGATTTTATTTTCATTGGATATATACTCAGAAGTGGTACTGCTACATCATATGGTGGTTTTATTTTTAATTTTTTGAGGACATTCTATACTGTTTTCTTTAATGGCTATACCAATTTACTTTGCCACTAACAATATACAGGGGTTCCCTTTTTTTTGCATTCTTTCCAACACTTGTTATCTTTTGATTTTTTGACAATAGCCATTCTAACAGGCGTGAGGTAACATATCATTGTGGTCATCTGCATTTCCCTGATTAGTCATGTTGAACACCATTTCATATACCTTTTGGCCATTTGTTTGTCTTCTTTGGAAAAATATGTCTACTCAGATCCTTTAGCCATTTTAAAATGACATTGTTTATTTGTATTTCTGTAGAGCGATATGAGTTCCTTATGTATTTTGGATATTAACCCTGTATCAGATTTATGGATTACAAATATGTTTTCTCCTTCTGTAGTTTGCCTTTTCATCTTGTTGAGTATTTCTTTTTCTGTGTCCTTAACAAATTAAGGATAGAAGAAATGTACCTTAGTACAATATAGGTCATATATGGCAAGCTCACAGCTAACATTATACTGCATAATAAAACCTTTTCTTCTAAATCTGGAACAAGACAAGGATGTCCACTCTCGTCAGTTCTACTCAACCTAGTGCTGAAAGTCTTAGCCAGAGCAATTACGGAAGGAAAAGCAATAAAAGTCATCCAAATCAGAAATAAAGAAGTAAAATTATTTCTGTTTGAAAATTACATAGTATTATATCTAGAAAATAAAAACTTCACCAGAAAACTATTAATATCAAAAAATGAATTCAGTAAAGTTGCAAGGTACAAAATCGACATATGTAAGTCATTCTACCAAAAAGACACATGAACTTGCATGTTCATTGCCATGCTATTCACAATAGCAAAGACATGGACTAAACCTAAATGTCTATCAGTGTTGAACTGGATAAAGAAAATGTGGTACATATACACCATAGAATGCTATGCAGCCACAAATAGAAGGAAATAATATCCTTTGCATGATAGATGTCCTTTGCAACAACATAGATGCAGCTAGAAGTCATAATCCTAAGCAAATTAATTTAGGAACAGAAAACCAAATACTGCATGTTCTCTCTTATAAGTGGGAGCTAAAATATTGAACACACATGGACATAACATGGAACAATATTCACTGAGAGCTACATATCCAAACATGGGATCAATATTCACTGTAAACTACTAGAGGAGGAAGTGAAAAGGGGGGTCATGAGTTTAAAAACTTCCTATTGATTACTATGCTCACTAGCTGGGTGATGGGATCTGTACTCCAAAGCTCAGCATCACACAGTATACTCATGTAACAAACCTGCACATGTACTACATTTATCTAAAATTAAGAAAAAAGAAATGTTAAAAATCAGTTGCATTTCTGTATATTAACAGCAAACTATCTGAGAAAAAAATTAAAAATGCCATAAGAAGAATGCAATATTTAAAAATAAATTTAAGGAGATTAAAAATCTATAAACTGAAATGTATAAAACATTGATGGAAAAAATTGAGGAAGAAAAAACAAATGGAAAGACATCCTATGCTTATGGACTGGAAGAATTAATATTGTCAAAATGTCCATATTACCCAAAGTGATCTACAGATTCAATGAAACTGTTATCAAAATTCCAATGGCATTTTTCACAGAAATAGAAAAAGAATTCTAAAATTTATATGGAACCAGAAAAAGATTCTAAATAGCTAAAGAAATCTTGAGCAAAAAGAACAAAGCTGGAAGAATCACTCTTCCTGATTTCCATTTATATTATAAAGCTATAGTAGTCAAAACTGTGTGGTACTCTCATAAAAGCAGACACATTCATCACTGAAACACAATAGAAAGCCCAGAAATAAATCCAGACATCTGTGGTTAATTGATCTTTGTCAAGGGTGTGAAGAATACACAATGGGGAAAGGGCAGTCTCTTCAAAAAATGGTGCTAGGAATATGAGATCTCCACATGCAAAATAATGAAAACTGACTTTTATACTATACACAAAAAATCAACTCAAAATTGATTAAAGGCTTAAATGTCAGACTTAATTAAGGGCATAAACTGTAAAACTTCTAGAAGAAAAGATAGGGAAAAGTTCCATGACATTGGCTATGGCAGTGGTATTTTGGATACGATACCAAAAGTAAAGACAATGAAAGCAAAAATAAGAAACTGGGACTACATGGAACTAAATGGTTTCTGAACAGCAAAGAAAACAATCAGCGGTGGGGTGTGGTGGCTCACACCAGTAATCCCAGCACTTTGGGAGGCCAAGGTGGGTGGATCACCTGAGGTCAGGAGTTTGAGACCATCCAGGCCAACATGGTGAAACCTGGTCTCTACTAAAAATACAAAAATAAGCTTGGTGTGGTGTCAGGCACCTGTAATCCCAGTTACTTGGGAGGCTGAGGCAGGAGAATCACTTGAACCTGGGAGGGGGAAGTTGCTGTGAACTGAGATTGCGCCATTGCACTCCAGTCTGGGCATCAAGAGTGAAACTCTGTCTTCAAACAAAAAAAAAAAAAAAAAAAAGAAGAAGAAGAAAACAATCAGAATATTATTAGGTAATTTCTATGTTACAAACAAACTACTACTCTTTTGTGTGTTTTCCTTATATTAAGAAATAACTCTAATAAAATATTGAATAGAAGCAGAGATAATGGGCACTATTGTCTCATTGCTGATATTAATGAAAAAATTTCCTCTATTTCATCAGTAAGTTTATTTATTATAGATTTTCAAAGATACTCTCAAATTAAGACAGTTTCTACTATTTTCAGTTTTATGTTTTCTCAGTTATATTTGCATGTTTAAATTAGAGATATTTTTCTGCATGTATTGATACAATAATATTCTATATAGAATTTATAATCTGTACCTATCCACTGTATGGCCTATCATCCATCTATCTGTTGATGCATCTAGCAATCATCAAAAAGTCAATCTATTTTTCTTTTTTTTGTTTTATATATATGGTAACTTTAACATGTAAAATATATTAAGCCAAGCCACAGTTGGATAAAACCTACTTTTTCACATCAATGAATTCAATCTGACCTGTTTTGTTTTGTTTTGTTTTTGAGACAGCGTCTCTATCACCCAGGCTGGAATGCAGTGGTGCCTTCTCAGCTCACTGCCGCCTCGACCTCCTGGAACCACGTGATCCTTCCTCCTCATTGCCACCCAGTAGCTGGGATTACATGCATGTGCCACCACATTCTTTCTACAGACAGGGTTTCTCCATGTTGCCCAACCTGGTCTCAAACTCCTGGGCTCAAGTGATCCACCCACCTCCGCCTTCCGACATGCTGAGATTTCAGGCGTGAGCCATGGCACCTGGCCCAATCTGACCTCTTTAACTTAACCTACAAAAGCTCTTCCCAATAGGTTTACATTTTCTGCCTTAACTTTATTAACTTCTGTCACTCCAGAGGTCTATTTTCAGGCACATGAGACACTTAAATTTACTCATCTAGGCGATGAGTTCTTTCTTTGCATCTGTGTACACAATGCAAAGTGCCTGAAACACTCTTTAACTTCTTAGTTTTTACTTGTTTTTCAAGTTTAAATTTAAGTGTCACTTACTCTGAGAAGTCTTTCTCGATTCTCCACAATTCAGTTAGGTCCTTATACTATATTCAGCCTCTGAATCACAGTTAATTATTTATTACACCGCAATGTAATTGTCTCTATTTGTCTGCAATATTTTTCCTTTCTTTGTCTTATTTACTCTCACCGTGTCTAGTGAGTGATACATGCCAAGTAGGTAATTGTTAGATAAATAAATGAAGAAGAACATAGACTATATTAGAACATAGAATAAGTATTTTCTGTCTTCCTTTTTTAGAGATGGATCGTAATGTGTTGCCCAGGCTGGCCTTGAACTTCTGGGCTCAAGCAACCTTTCCTGTTTGAGCCTCTGGAGTAACTGGGAGAACAGGCACAGGACACCCTACCTGCTTTAGAATAAGTCTTCAATCACTATTAAATTAAATCAGTATTAAAAGAACCATTAAAGATGCAGAAAAAAGTCCATTCAGTTTTGTGATAATTTTTATCTACAGATAAATTAGAGAACCTTGGATTACCCAACATTTATTTTCATTTATTAATTTAAAAATGATTTTGAAAGCCTAGTATACGCCAGGTGTAGCTATCATTAATATCACCATCACCATCATGGTCATCCTCAAATGCAAATTCAGTACCAGTTGTGTTATTCTCTGAAAAAAATGGCAAGCCATCTAAGCATTCAGGGTTTAAAACAAATTTATGAACACTCTCACATCTGTAGCAAACAAAGAAGTATATATATCATATGCAAATCAGAGGGAAGTACATTTTACAGATGTGTGTTTGTCTGGGTGTGTGTTGAGTAGGTGGACTTGAGGAAAAGTGGTGTTCTGGGAATTCTGAGGTGACAGGGAATGAAGATGAAAGTTGCCTCTCACTCTCTTCAGCTTAACCTTTCCTATAGTAGAAACAATCACAGAAACCCCAAACTACTCTCATCAATGGGTGGTGTCAACAAACAAAGCTCAAATCCTTGAATTAAAAAAAATCTAAAATAAATGATCGTGTCCTAATTTAGCTGTCTTAATCAAAGAAATGTCCTAAGGAGGTTTTAATAATCATATTCCGATAAACTAAGAATACATTAGCAACTCAGTTTTATCCTTGGGACACTCATTGCCAAACTATTGGGTGTGGCACGTAAAAAATGCTAAAGGTAGCATTTTTTTCCAGGTAGTAAAAAAAAATCATGTTAGCATTTAGTAAATTCAACTAAGGCTTCTATCACTCTTTTATTTATTTGTTTTCTTTTTCTCCCTTCTTTCAATCCTAGCTTTTTTTCTTCTTCCTTCTCCTTATATTCTGCATTCTAATGTCTTTCTTTATCTCTCAACATTACATATAGCATACAAATAATAATTAAAATATATCAAATACATACGTTTCAAACTGTGTGTTAATTAAGGAATTTCCCCATTTAATTCTTACAGCAACCCTATTTTGATCACTTTCAATGTATGGTGTTTAAGTTATTGTTTCATACTTACAAGTATGTGAAGAAACCTCCTTCTAAATCCACATAATCTATTTCCCAAGCAAGAGTTATTAAACTGCATGTTGCTCAAGTGAAAAGCTAAGAAATGAAATTTTTTTGATATTAACATAATTCCATTGTTTTATTGAAACACAGCTTTAGCAAAAGCCACAGTAAACTCATTCAAATGTATATGATGCACCTATATTGGGTGACTAAAATTTGACCCTTTCTTTCAGTGAGGCATGAGGAAAAGAAGGGACTGTGCTTTACTCTTCATTGTACTCACTACAGTGCTTGTTTCAATGCCTTGCATATGGTAGCAGGTGCATAAACAGTGCAGGGCTCTTGAATGGTCAACTTACTTTTACACTTTATCTGACATAGAGTCTAACCCTAGATTATAGAATAAAGAAAGGAAAATGAAAGAGAAGTAAAAACAGAAGCAATTTTTCAATACCTTCTCTCAGGCAAGCATGGAATTGTTTTACATCTATTAATTTAACTAGATTTTGCAGTGGCCCACTGAGGAGGTATTAAAGGTCCTTTGTTACATAATAAATAACTAAAAATAAAAGAAGTTAAACCTGGCACAAGGGGCTTAGCTGGAAAATGATCCAAATAAAGATTAAAATCCAGGTCTTTGTGACTCCAAAGTCTGTGTTTTCTATTCTATCATCGACCTCTTAGAACTTTACCACCACCCCCCTCATTTTTCCAGAAGCAAATTTATGTTCATTATTTAGAAACAATTTACTGCATATATTTCTTTTTAAACATATATATATATATAATATATGTGTGTATATATATGCATATGTAGATCAGGGGATAGAGAAGAATCAGGAGACATGAATAGTGACATACCCCAATTTAAAGATAACTGAAGTAATTTATCTTTATTTTTGCAAGTTATTTATATTCTTTGTATTACTATGTGCAAAGAAGGTTTGTACAGTAAAGTCAAACTATGATGTGAGCTCATCTCATTGAATATTGTCATTTTATGGAAGAACAAAATGAGGCTCAAAAAGATTAAACCATTTGCTTTAACCCATTTCCCGTTTGCCCTGAGAATTCCATAATGGCACAGAACTGCACTTTTTTTTTTCCTAAATGGGAAGTGGGTTAAACTTTATATAAATATACACACACATGTATATATATATACATTCATATATATATACACACATATGTAGGTATGTGTATGTATATATAAGTTTAATAAAGAAATAACTGCAGTAAATTATTTCTAGAATATGTTGTTTCTTTCACTGTAAAAGGAGTATCAACAATCTGGGAATTCTCAAAAAGATAATGCAGCATTTGTAGTTTTGATCTGACAAAGCAAACACTTGTAATGCATAAAAACAATGTAGCTTGTGTTATTGAAAGTTTCAATGTTCACATAATTTTCTGGAGACCAATTGGTATAACTTTTGCAGTGGATACAGGCTAACATGAAAAAAATTTTTTGATATAAACAATCAAGGTCACCTAAAGTCCTTATTTCTTTTCTTTTCTCTCTCTCTCTCTTTTTTTTTTTTTTTTTTGTCAAGGAGTCTTAAGAAAAGGACGAATCTGTTTATAGATCTGAAGTGCTACCTAGGAAACTTTCATGAATGTAATTTACTGCCTTATCAGCCCACTCATACAGTTTTGGAATTTAAGCATCTACCCAGAACCTTTCTCAGAGCCATCTTTACTTCTTTATTTCTCAGTGTATAGACAAGGGGGTTGAGTAGTGGAGTAATCACAGTATAAGTCACTGCCACGAGCCGGTCCTTATCTGAAGAGTACAGGGATGTGGGCCTCAAGTAGATAAAGGAAGCACAGCCATAGTGGACGACGACCACTGTGAGGTGGGAAGCACAGGTGGCGAAGGCTTTGCACTGTCCTTCCACTGAGGAGATCTTGAGGATGGTGGAAACTATGAAGATGTAGGAGATGAATATCAACACAAGGGGAACCAGCAATACCAGAATGCTGAGGAAAAAGATGACCATCTCCTTCAGGTTGGTGTCTGTGCAGCCCAGTTTTATGACAGGGGAAATGTCACAGAAAAAGTGGTTGATCCGATTGGAGGCACAGAGGAGCACACTGAACACCAGGATATTGACAATCACAGAAGTCAGGAAGCCACAAAAGCTGGAGGCTAGAACCAGCTGCATGCAGGTGGCTCAGCTGACAATGAGTGTGTAGTTAAGGGGGTTGCAGATGGCAACATAGCGATCGTAGCCCATCACAGCAATGAGAAAACAGTTGGTACAAGCCAAGCCCACAAATAAATAGAGCTGGACCACACATCCAGAGAAAGAAATAGTTGGAATTGCGGATAGCAGGTTGGTAAGCATTTTGGGTACAATGACCAAGGTGTAGCAGGTTTCAGAACATGAAAGGACAAAGAGGAAGAAGTACATAGGAGTGTGCAAAGCCCTGTCCAGGTGAATGACTGTCATGATGGTGGTGTTGGCCATCAGAGTGGTCAGGTAGACTAATAGGAAGATAAAGAAGAGAAGGATCTGCAGATCCCCCAGGTTTGAGAAGCCTATAAGGATGAACTCGGTGATCATGCTCTGGTTCTGTCTTTTCATTGGTCAGTGTAATTAGACTTAGGTAACCTGAAATTGAGAAGGAGAGAATTTGATAAAAGTGAAATGACCCTAGAGATACTCATTTCGCGTTTCTGTAAAAAGCTGATAATACTGGTCTGAAAAAATACATAACACACATTAAGTACATAGATCAGAGTATAGGGAAGGGTCAAGGGACATGAATAGTGACATATCCCAATTCAAAGATATCTGAAATTATTTATTTTTATTTTTGTAAGTTATTTCCATTCTCTGTATTCCTATGTGCCTAGAAAGTTCATACTGTAAAATCAAAATGTGATTTAGACCTCATCTCATTAAGTACTCTCATTTTATGGAAGAAGAAAATGAGGCTCAATAAGATTAAACCATTTGCTTACCCACATGACAGTAACAGTCCTTAAAAATCACCTATCTTTGCTAATACCTTATAAAAATCTGATTCAGAAAAACAAACAAAACAAGTAAAAAGTGATGTACCCAGTCTCTCATATACATAACTCAAATAATGCTTGTTCAGATGTAGGGAACTATTTTAATCTACTTAAAAGTATTCAGATTCTATTTACCCATGATCAATTGTGAAGACTTTGGGATGGCTCACATATTGGGGTTTCCCTTGTCATCAGTGCATGGGAATCTGAGATTAAGAACCTAATAAAGCTCAAATTAACCTCAGAGCATTATGAGGCTTGGGCTGAGATCTCCACTCTTCTGGCCTATGCCTCAATCTCCATTGCCTCCATAATGTTCTAAGAAGAACTTTCATCATTATCTGTAAGAAGATCTGTGGTTTGATTTGGAGATCAAATAAATGCTAAAACCTTCATATCAGACTTAGACAATCAGATTATTTTCATTTTGGAAAAAAGATCAGAAATCTTCTAACTCAACCTGCATACAATTCTGTGAACCTCTTTATAGCAATGTAGGAAGTATTGTCCAACGTCCACAGTCAAGGACAAATTTTAAGAAGTCACTCACTTCCAAAACAGGCTGTTGTTCCCTTGCTAGATAGTTTATTTGGCTACTTCTGAGCTGAACTATGCCTCCTTGAAATAGTCACCCATTGTTCTTGATTTGTCCTCTGCAGATACTCACAATAATGTTAAATTATTTGTATGAATGACAGCTAGCCTTTAGTTATTGAAATAAAATGATCATATATCTTTATGGGTCTTATTTTCCTTCTAACGAATTATTTAATACATAGCTTATGGCAATGTTTCTGGAATTTTCTCTGTCCTCATCACCATCTTAGGTGTGTTTGTCCTCAACATTAGGTCACGCATCTGCCCCTCAGCTGTAGACAAGCTGGTTGGCTGCAGCATCAAACATAACTAACTTTGTCTCTCTGCTTCTACACATAACATTACATTTTCTTTCCTACTTTTGTTATCCCTCAGAATTAATATTTGTCTTTCCTACAAAACCTCAACTCATTATTCATCTCCTGAGAGGCTTCCCTATGTAGCTCTCAATGACTGAATCCTGTTTGAATTCACTTCCCTGTCAGTTTGCTCTGAGATCATTTGTTAGAATGGCAGCATAGTGAGGCTGGATGGACTGAGGCTCTGGAGTCAGACTGCCTAGGTTGAGACCATGGCTCTGCCAATGTACAATGTTGGGGAAATCACTTTGGGTCTCATGATTTAATCTCTAAAATGGCAATAATAATAGCATAAGCCAAAAAGTTTGTGTGAGCACCAAATGCCCACAATGAATTTCCTGATGCATAAGTGGTCAATACAGGCAGGCTGTTAAATATCTAGCCAAGCCCCCTCATGTTATAAATGAAGAAACAGAGGCCCAGAGAAGTAAAATATCAAGATGTAGGTTGCATAAGCTATGAGGCAGGAACTGTATCCCAAATACCTTAAGTCTCCCATCTAGGGTTTTGTCTTTTGAATTACCTGGGTTCTAGTTTTAATATTTCCTTTGCACTGCGTGCTTATACACCAGTGACTTAGGAAATAGATCAATGTCTTCTTTACTCTGTATGATCCCCACAAGGCTTTCTGTTCCACTCTTTCATTCACTCCTATCTCTTATTCTTCCACCTTAACCCATCATATATAGGTACACATTAGGCAGTTTCTCCCTATTTCCTAGTTTAGGTCTATTTTAGGAATATTTTGCTGTTTACACTCTTAGTTATTCTCTTCATTTACTATATCTCCCATGCTCACATGGTCAGGTTTTGTTCAGCTGCATCTTTGCCCTCTCCATATGGTCTCTGTCCTGTCTCTCACTCTAGATTCTGATGCTATGGCCCACACTTCACCAGTGCATGGTTTCCATGAGTTCTTCTGCCTCTGAATCTTTCTTTGGTATTCAGAATATTTTTAGAGAAAATTGACAGATATTACTCATAAGAAAGAGTAGTCCTACAACTCTAGTACAAAGGAAAAACTTACATCCACAGGCAGTTTTAGCACAATCTCATGTTCCTTTTTTTCTCATATCCCATCAAAGTCTAAAAAGGAGAGAGAAATAAACAAACATTAAAAAAAATCATGTAGCATATTTCTCCCAGATCTTACCAGGGAAAGTCCAGGGGCCATTCGCTTTTAAAGATGAAAGACAGCTCTGCCTGGTGTCTGAGCTGAAAGTAACTGTACAGCCCCAATCTTAGCAGCTCTGTGGCCTTGACAGCACATACTCCAGCAAAATCCCTGGGTCTTATACATTTGGGGTGCCTCAGGGGATTGAGGCTTTGGAGGGAGGTTCTTCCTTGGACTCTAGGCATTAAAAATGTAATATTCAACCTTAAAGAAAGAAAAAAAAAGGGTAGATAAATTATGTGGTTTACTTGATCTGCGTAAAAGACGAATAGCTTTAAATACTATAATTTTTTACAGTGATCATTCATTTTGGAGAAAGGTTACATTTGCTGAATAAAGTGATGACTGTTACTTACTTAGTCATTAGCTTTTTGGATGCTAAACATAGATGGACTGTTTTAAGGGATAAAATAAATGACATTCTTGACAAATTTTTTCTTCCTTCTTAAAGTTGCTAGTTGAATTATGAGATTATTTTTTTCTATAACTCTCTTGATTTATGAATAAGTTATACTGGCATCATAAGAGGGCACACAGTCTAACCTTTTCTACATTCCTCTACCTGCTCAATTTGTCTCTTCAAATACATTAATCAATGTAGACTTTTGTCAGGACATTCATTAGTTCATTAATTTAATCAATATGCATCGAGTACCTATAATGCTCCAAGCACTCTGGTGAGTGTTTTAGTGGGGAAGGTGGCACGATGATGGCTTAGTCTGTGCCAGTGGTGACATATGGACCCATATACATTTGAGCCTCCTGAGGTGCACGTGAAGATGCATATTTTGGGGCTTTACCCTAGGATCTCCTAAATAAGAAATATTTTAGGTGGAGCTTGGAATAGTTTGCAATCTGTTTATGTAATTTATTTGATTTTCAGAAAGTTTAGAGCTACTGACTTCATTCTGATAAAAGCTTGATGTTTAGAAGATGAGATAAAGAAATAAGTGAATAATTACAACAAGCAAAGAGGGTTAAGCTAGGTACAAGCACAGGGCACGACAGCATTACTGAGAGGAAGTACAGTTCTCACATTTAGTACCAAAATAAGTGGGTCTCAAACTCCTCTTATACCTTTTCAATCCAACAATATTTATTTTATAAGTTTATAAGTAGAATACATGACAAAACTAGGACAAAACTCAGTAGGGAGAAATGAAAGCATACTATAAAAAATCACAATATAAATAAAGTGCTACAATATTATTTGAAGGTTGACTGTGATGAGTTAAAAACGCACATTTTATATCTCACAAAACACAAAAATTAAAGAAATGTATTGCTAATAAACCAATAGAGGCGATACAACAGAATATTAATAATTACTCAATTAATCCAATGGAAGTCAAGAAAATAGGAAAACAGTAACAAGAAATAAATGAAACAAAGAGACATCACATAGAACAATGGTAGACTTAAACACACTCAAAATGAAACTTACATTGATTGTAAATTATTTACACTTCAATAAAAAGAGATTGCCTGATTTGTATAAACAAAGCAATTACATATTTTCTGCAAAAAAACCCACTATAAATCTTAAGTCTCAGATAACAGTAATGTCCTAGAAAAAAAGCACAAAACTCTAACTATTAGAAAGGCAGAAGGAATATATTAACATGAGACAAGTGGACGTCAGCACAATAAATATTAACAGAACTAAAGATGGACATTTGCTAATAATAAAAAATTAATACAAAATTCTAATTGTCAAATATAAATATGCATTTCATAAAAAGTTAAAAAAAAGGAAGCCCAAAGTGACAAGACAGAAAAGGAAGAAGCCAAATCCAAACTATAAATATTTCTACATACCTTCTTACGTAATTGATAAAATAAGTAGAAAAAAATTCATAAGAATTATAAGATGCAAACAATAACAGGCTTGACATAATTACTATTTATAAAAAGATACACACAAAAATAGCAGAAAATTATTTTTTATCAAGTGCACATAGGCTGTTTATAAAGGTATAGCACTTCCTGGGTAATCAAATGTATAGGTTAAGTAATTTCTATACCCAGAGCAAAACAAGAACATCTGGTTTCATTACTTCAATCCAATACTGTATGAGAATTCCTAGCCAATGTAATAAGCAAAAAAAGAAAGAATAATTTATATTAAAAAGATGTAAATTTGTATTTATTCACAGAAAATGTGAATGTTTACATACAAAATCCTAAATAAACAAAGAAAAGTATTATAAAGACTAGTAAAAGAATTTAGCAGGTCCAGCAATATAAAAATAATACAAGTAGTACTAGACCTAAGAAAACAGTTTGACAGCAATACAATTATAATGAGGGACTTCAACATTTTACTGACAATATTAGACAGATCATTGAGGCAGAATATCAATAAAGAAACTCTGGATTTAAACTTGACTCTAGACCATATGGACCTAACAGATATTTACAGAGCATTCTATCCGACAACTGCAGAATATACATTTTTCTCGTGTGCATGGATCATTCTCCAAAATTGACCATATGCTTGACCATAAAGAAAGTTTTAATAAATTCAAAAATATCAAAATAATGTCACGTATTTTCTTGGACCTCAGTGGAATAAAATCAAATGTCAATGCCAAAAGGAACTCTCAAAAGTACACAAGTACATGCAAACTAAACAATTTGCTCCTGAATGACTTTTTGGTAAATAATTAAATTAAGGCAGAAGTCAAAAAAATTTCAGGGAATAAAAATAGGGACCCAACAAACCAAAAACTCTGAGAGGCAGCAAAAACAGTGCTGAGACAAATTTAAAGCATTAAACACCTACATCAAAAAGACAGAAATATCTCAAATTGGCAACCCAATGTTGCACCTCAAGGAAGTAGAAAAATGAGAACACATGAAGCCCAAATCTAGCAGAAGAAAAGAAATAACAAAGATCAGAGGAGAACAAAATGAGATTTAGACAAAAAGGACAACAGCAACAACAAAACAAAAATAATACTTAGTATCGACAACATGAAAAGTTGATTTTTTTGAAAGAATAAATAAAATTGATAGACCAATAGGTAGATTAACCAGGAAAAAAGAAGATTAAAATAAACACAATAAAAATGGTATTGGTGACATTACATCTGATATTACAGAAATACAAAAGATCATCAGAGACCACTATGACTATCTCTTTGTGCACAAACTAGAATTCCTGAAAACATACAAACTCCCAAGACTGAACCAAGAAGAAACAGAAATCCTGAACAGACTAATAACGAGCAATGAAATAGATCAGTAATAAAAAAAAAATCTTCCAACAGAAAAAAGCCCAGGACCAGATGGATTAACAGTCAGAAACTATTCCAAAAAATCAAGGAGAAGGTATTCCTTCCTAATTCATTCTATGAAAACAATATTACCTTGATGCCAAAATCAGTCAAGGACAGAAAAACAAAGAAGATAACTACAAGCAAATATCCCTGATGAATATAGATGCAAAAATTCTTAACAGAATACTAGCAAACAAAATCCAACATCACAAGGAATGATAATTCATCACAATGAATTGAGTTTTATTCCAGGAATGCAAGGATGGCTGAACATATGCACATCAATAAATGTAATTCACCACTTAAGCAGAATTAAGAAAAAAACATGATCATCTTAATAAATCCAGATAAAGCATTTGATAAAATCTGACATTCCTTTATGATAAAAACTCTCAACAAACTAGGCACTGAAGTAACATATTTCAAAATAGTAAGAGCCATATATGACAAACCCACTGCTGAAGTCATACTGAATAGGAAAAAATAAAGCTAGTGAAGTTGAAATATTGTAACCTAGAAAACCCTAAAGACACCTAGATTTGTTAAATGACTTCAGTAAAGTTTCAGGATACAAAATCAATGTACAAAAATCAGTGGCATTTCTGATTTTTGCATGCAAGCTGATAAGCAAATCAACAACTCAAATTCATTATAAAAGCTACAAAAATAAAATAGCTGGTAATACATTTTAAAAAGGAGGTAAAAATATCCACAAAAAGTATGAAACACTGATAAAAGTAATTATAGATGATACAAACTAATTTAAAAAATCCCAAGGTTATGGATTAAAATAATCAATATTGTTAAAATAATCATCATGCTAAAAGCAATCTATAGATTCAATGCAATTCCTATTAAATTACCAAGGTCTTCTTTCCAAGAATTAGAAAAACATTCTGAAGTTCATGTGAAACCATAAAGAGCCTGAACAGCCAAAGCAATCCTACAAAAAGAACAAATAATGTGATGCCTCTGTATTTGTTCCGTTTTTAGAAATTTTTTAAAAAAGAACAAATACAGAGGCATCACATTATCTGACTTCAAATTACCCTACTAGGCCATAGTAAATAAAATGACACAATACTGGTACGAAAATAGACACATCAAACAATGGAACAGAATAGAGAACCCAGAAATAAAGCCAAATACATACAACCAACTGATGTCCAACAAAGTCAACAAACATAAACAATGGAGAAAGTACATTCTATTCAATAAATGGTGCTGGGAAGATTAGCCAGTCATATACAGAATAATGAAAGTAGATTCCTAGCTTTCAACATATAAAAAATTAAATGAAGATAAATTAAAGACTTAAATGTAAAACCTGAAAGTATAAAAATCCTAGAAGAAAACCCAGAAAAACTCTTCTAGACATTGGCCTAGGGAAATAATGTATGACTACGCTGGAGAGGGTGGCTCATGCCTATAATCTGGGCACTTGGAGAGGCGGAGGCAGGCAGATGACTTGAGTCCAGGAGTTCAAGACTAGTCCAGGCAACATGGTGAAATCTCTTCTCTACCTAAAAACAAACAAACAAACAACAACAAAAACACAGAAAAACCCCCAAACCAAAAATTTATGACTAAGATCCCAAAAGCAAATATGACTAAACCAAAAATAGACATATAGGACTTAATTTAACTAAAAAGCTTCTGCACAGCAAAATAAATAATCAACAGAGTAAACAAAAAACCTACAGAATGAAATAAAATATTTTTAAAAGACTAATATGCAGAATCTACAAGAAACTCAAACAATTCAACAATGAAACAAAAAACAACCCCAATAAAAACTGGGCAAAAGACACGAACTGACATCTCCCAAGAGAAGACATGCAAATATATGACAAACATAAAAAAAAATCAACAGTACTAATCATCAGAGGAATACAAATTAAAACCTCAATGAGATATCATCTTGCACCAGTCAAAATGATTATTATTAAAAAGTCAGAAAACAACAGATATTGGCATGAATGCGAAAAGGAAATGCTTCTACACTACTGGTGGGAATGTAAATTAGTTCAACCTGTGTGGTAGAGAGTATGGAGATTTCTCAAAGAACTAAAAATAGAACCATCATTTAACCCAGCAATCCCACTTCCAGGAATCTACCCAAGGGGGGAAAAAAGCTATTTTATAAAAAAGAAAAGACACCTCCATTTGAATGTTTATCACAACACTATTCACAATAGGAAAGTCATGGAATTAACCAAAGTGTCCATCACTGGTGGATTGAATTAAGAAAATGTGAGCGCCCTGGTGGAGCGAGCCTGTGGTTGGTGAGGGGCTGGGCCGGAGCCTTCATGGCGGAGCTGCGGGTCCTTCATGAGAGATTTGGAGACATTTCTCTCTCCTCTGTGTAGTTGATAGTTTGCTGGTGAAGAGATGGCTGACAGTGTCAAAACCTTTCTTCAGGACCTTGCCAGAGGAATCAAAGACTCCACCTGGGCTGTTTGTACCATCTCAAAGCTAGATGCTCAAATCCAGGAAAAGAGAGAGGAGCAGCCTTGAAGAAGGGCAAGTAGTGTCTTGGCCCAAAGAAGAGCCCAGCATATAGAGTGGAGGCAAGAGAGTGAGCCATGCGTTGTTAGTAGAATTTTCCAGCGTTGTGCTTGGAATGGTGGAGTGTTGTTGTTCAGTCTCCTTTTGTTTTATCGAGTATTTATTCCTGTGCTTCAGTCAGTAACAGCCCAAATTATTGGTGATCCATCACTACATGGAGATGTTTGGTAGTGGCTGGAATTCTTCCTCAGGTCAATTTTCAATGCTCTTTGGGTGCTCCCCTTGTTTGTGCTTAGCAAAGTAGTGAATGCCATTTGGTTCCAGGATATAGCTGACCTGACAATTGAGGTATCAGGGAGGAAGCCTCACCCATTCCCTAGTGTCAGCAAAATAATTGCTGACATGCTCTTCAACCTTTTGCTGCAGGCTCTTTTCCCCATTCAGGGAATGTTTGTGATTCTCTTTCTCATCCATCTTGTAGGTCAGCTGGTTAGTCTCCTGCATATGTCCCTTCTCTAGTCACTGTACTGCTTTGAATATCGTTGGTTCAGTAAAGGAACTGAAATACACCAGCAGTTGTCTAACATAGAGAGCAATTGGCCTTACTACTTTGGGTTTGGTTTGCCCTTGGCTTTTCTCATAGCAATGCAGTCCTCATATACTATCAGCAGCTGCCTTTTCTCTATCCTCTTTCCTTTATTCATTATCAGCGCCAATGAAGCAAAGACCCCTGGAAAAGCGTATCTCTTCCAGTTGTGCCTGTTCTCCTTGGTGGTCTTCTTAAGCAACAGACTCTTCCACAAGACAGTCTACCTGCAGTCTGTCCTGAGCAGCTCCACTTCTGCAGAGAAGTTCCCTTCACCTCATCCGTCTCTTGCCAAACTGAAGGCTACTGCAGGCCACTGAGTTGCCTGCCATCCAAAGGGGATAGGCGGGGTTGGAAGGAGGCTGTGGCAGCTCTTTTTCCTGTTCACCTCTCCCTGCCAAGGAAGACAGGACCCACTCTGCCAAGGGCCCTCTGCGTGTTCCCTTCTCTCTGAGGAATTGGAATTTTTGTCTCTGGTGCACGTGAGGCATAATGTTCCCTGACACCAGTGTGTGGATTTTTAACATCACCATGAGTCTAAAAAGGACCACAGGTTTTACTGCAGCTATTTTCTAGCATTTGCCAGTCCCTGTGCCTGGACTGATTTGAATACTTTGTTTTTCTCTCTGTGCCATCTACCCTCCCACCTTTCCATCCTGCCTTCTACCACCCTTAGATAAAAGGATTTTGTAATTCCAACTTGTATTTTGTGGATTTGTTATTTTTGTTGTTTTTCTGCCAGGCACATACATTGGGTATGGGAGGTAAAGGAGTGTCCCAGTTGCTTCTGGTCACTCCCTTTATAGCCATTACTCTCTTGTTTCTTGTAACTCAGATTAGGTTTTGGTCTGTCCTGCTCCACTGGAAAAAAAAAAAAAAAGCCTGAAGAGATGAGATAGGAGGAAAGATCTCACAGCCAGATCTGCTGCGTTTTGAGGAGTGATATTTTTTCTTCCCCTTGAAGGGGGAAAAGCTATTTTCACTGGTACATTTAAAGTCCTCCAACCATGGAGAGGTACCAATTCTGGACAAGTGCCACTGCTACAACACTAAACCTGAACTTTTCAACTCCGTTGGGGGTGGGAGGCGGTGAGCAGAAATGTGCTGTTGGCCACTGCCAGGTCTGTTTCATATTTCAAAGGAATATTGGATGTTGAAAATAGGAACCGAAGGGGTAAATGTATTAAACATGTGATTGATTAATGTTTTCCTGTCATTTTAAGAGACTAAATGTGGGGGGCAGTTGTCAAAATACTTGTACAATTTTAAAATGTCACAGTTAAACGTGAGCTGGTTTTCCACACACACACACACACAAAAATGTATATATACACCATGGAATACTACGCAGCCATAACAAGAATAAAATTGTGTCCTATTTAGCAGCATGGAGGGAGCTGGAGGCCACTATCCTAAGTAAAATAACTCAGAAACAGAAAACCACATCTCACATATTTTCACTTATAAGTGAGAGCTAAACATTGGGTACACACGGACATAAAGATGGAAATGATAGACATCAGAGACTCCAAAAAAAGGGAGGGTGGAAAGGACATGAAGTTTGAAAAGTTATCTATTGGGTACAATGTTCACTATTTGGGTAATGGTTACACTGGAAGTCCAAATCACATCAGTACACAATCTATCCATGCAACAATCCTGCATATGTACACCTTGAAACTGCAATAAAATAAAACAAATACAAGAATAAAAGGTCATAAGTTTACAACAGTACAAAACTCAATTGTATTTGTTTAGAATAGCACCAAAAAGTAAAAATCAAAATTAGAAAAGCTCTATAAAATGCTCTCAAAACCATGAAATAGTTAAGTGAACTGAAAACCAAAATAAAAGTTGTTGAGAAAAATTAAAGGAGACCTGAATAAATGTAGAGGTATACAATTTTCATGGATTGAAAAACCCAAAATAGTCAGGATGGCAATTACCCCCCAGTTTGATCTATAGTTAAACACAATCACAATATAAATCCTGGTGTGATTTTCTCTAGAAATTGACACATTGATTATAAAATGTATATGAAAATGCAAAGCATGTAAAATAAAGCAATTTAGAAATATAGAAAAACATTTAAAATATATTAGCACACAATTTCAAGACATATTATAGAATGACATTGACTAAGTGATATTATCATAAAAATAGACATACAAATCAATGGAACAGAATGTATATTATAGAAATAGTCTTATGCATATATGCTTAATTGATTTTCAATAAAGTTGTCAAGGTAGTTTGATAAGGAGAGAATAGTTTCTCAACATACTGTTCTGGAAATATTGGATACCCATCCAAAAAAAATTAAAGTTGATCCTTACACCACCACATACATAATTTCACCTCATATAGACATTGCAACTTAAAAATGTCAAAACTGTACACATTTTAAAGAAAGCACAGGGGAAAATTTCTTCAACTTGGAGTAGACAAAGACTTATTAGACAGGAGACAGAAAACATGAATCATAAAAAGAAAAAAATGATAAATTGAACTATGTCAAAATTAAAAACTTCTGCTTTTAAAAAGTTAGGCAATTTGATGGGTGTAGAACTCTGTGAAAATACTAAAAATCACTGGACTATATAAATAAAAAGTACAGATTTTATGATATAAAATTATAGCTCAAAAATTTATATAAAAAGGAATGATTAATGAAATGGAAAGGTGATTCACATGCTAGGCTAACATATTTACAAAATATATACCTAATAAAGAGCTTGTATCCAGAATAAATATATATCTCTTATATAAAAAGGGAAGACACATAATTAAAAGATGGTCAAAGGTTTGAACACACACTTCAAAAAACAAGATATACAAATAGCCACAGAGCCCATACAAATGCTCAATATAATTATTCTTCAAAAGAATGCCTAATAAAACTAAAAGGATAGATATCTACACATGTGATAAATTAAAAAACTGACAATGCCTAGAGGTGGATAAGATAAGAAACCACTGGAATTTTTACAACATTGTTGGTAGGATTGAATTATGATACAACTTCTTTGAAAAACAGCTTGGAGGTTTATAAATAGCTAAATTTATACCTATGATGTGGCAGAGTCACTCCACTCCTAGGTATGTACCAAAGATAAATGAACATATATGTCTATACAATGACTGGGAAACTTATGTTCATAACAGTTTTATTCCTATTAGCCTCCAACGAGAAAGAATCCAAGTATCTTTCAACAGTTCGATTTATCCTTCACTGAATAAATTGCAGTGTATTCATAAAATGGAATACTATTAAGCAATAAAAAGAATGAACTGACAAATGACACAACATGAGTGAATCTCAGAAATATGCTAAGAGAAAGAAACTAGACACAAAAGTTATCATACTGTATGATTCAATTTACATGAAATTCTGGAAAAGGCCAAACCATATTAACAGAAAACAGATTACTGTTTTTCTGGGACCAAGACTGAGTAGAACTGACCACAAGTGGGGAGGGGGAGAGTTCTGGCATTGTAGGAATGCTCTGTAATTTGATTGGAGTGTTTCTGGGACCAAATCTGGGTAGAATTGACCACAGGGCTGGAGGGGGAGATTTCTGGCATTGTAGAAATTCTTTGTAATTTGATTGGGGTGTTGTTGCTTAGTATTGCTTAAATGTACCAAACTGTACATTTAAGTTGGGAACATTTTATATGATGTAAGTTAATCCTCTATAAGGTTAATTGTTAGTATTAAAAGTTTTCTAATAAAAATAAAAGACAAGGTGGAACACTTTTAATTCAAAGGTCAAACACAATTATTGAACCAAGTAGTCTCTCAAATCTATAAAGAAAAAATGTAATAGGAAAATAAATAGATAATTTTCAAAAGTTGGATAACAGTGTCTGATAATTTTTTTTAAAGTGCTTACCTCTACTATTAATCAAAGAAATGTAAATGGGAGCACGGTATGATTTTTATATTTCATCTTGGCTAGAATTTAAAAGATTAAAAGTAACATCATATACATTATGGAGAAATTGGCATCTTCACATATTGTTAATGAAAGTATAAGTTTTATAACCTTTGTGGAGATTATATGCCAACACAATGCATATTAAAATTTGAAATAAGAATAGATTTTCAATCAGCAATTTCATTTTGTGGGTAATGCACAATTTTTCAAAAAACTATTTCATTTATCCAAACTCTGAGAAATTTATAAAAATTAATAAAATGGCATTTATAAAGTTATTCCAACTATGGACAAGAAAAATCACAACTCTAGCATCTATTGCAAAGATTGAGGTAGGTTTACATATTGTTACTTTTTGAGAGTCTATGAATTTAAAATAATAGGTTTGATAGAGAAAATAGAGGCTTATGTATGTATTGGAAGATTAGGAGAATAAATGTCAGGAAAGCTGCTCTTGATTTTCCGAATTGCAAGGATCACAGGAAGCCCTCACAGATGATCTTGGCTGCTTCAGTACTGATGGATGATTCTCAGAAAATCTGAACGTGAAGGGCTAAAGTCCACATCTATCATCTGATAAGTGCTGGCATATCACCCTGCCCCAAACAACTGGCTTCCCCCTTCTGCATCCACATATTTCATGAATGCTCCTTTTTTGTAAAACCCTTTTGGCAAGGTGATATGGAAAACAGACATCAGGATTTCCAGAATTTTTATTCCTACATTGTGGTACAGAGAACTTAGAAGTGTAAGTATGATACTAAATATCAGTAAAATATAGTCAGCACAGGTTTCCCTTTTAGATATTCACCATCCATACACATCCTTCTGTTGATGTTTAAATTTCCAAACAGTAATAACGAATATAACGAAAATACATCTCACATAAAGAGGTACCCACATTTATCTCTAAAAATGAAACAATAAATTATTTGATAGCCTTTTCTTTGTAGATGGAATTATAATGTTTTGTAACATCAACACACCTTATATATACTGGTAGGTTAAGACAAGATGGGAAAATGATCAACATACACATATATACATAATAAAGCAAGCAGTAAAATAAAACAGCTACTGCAATCCTTGTTTCTGTAAGTAAACATGACTATCACTGATGCTTATGACTTTTTAAAATGTCACCTGTTTATATTCTTTTGAACTCACCTAATACCCCAACATTTCTGAAGGGCTTGAACTATTAGTGACTGCCTAAATTAGGTTGTTTTAGTCTTCTATTAAATTTTGCCTTTATATATGAAGTAATAAAAAATGCCCTAGAACATCTAGATTCTAGACATACTATTTTCTGCCTTGGTAGTGTAGCGGCAACACCCTATTTTTCGTTAAAAAACAGGATTCATTTCTGTCTGTAGATTACTGGTACAGAAGGACAAAGTAGACTGAAGTGGCCAAGGGGCCATCTCAATCACCATTTTTGTGTTTTCTGGTGGAAGTAACACTCCTTTGTGAAATAACACTTCTAATCCACAAAGCTCAAACTTATGCATATAAGTCATTAGGAGTAATAACAGAAGGATTCATTTCATCTCCCCTTAAACGTCGGTTCTCAGACTTATACATTCTTGTTAGTAGAGAATGAACACAATCCTTTGGCTGCTGGTTCAGAGTATATTCTGCTTTGGGCAGACACATGGGGCTGTACTAGGTATTGGCACAGAGCCAGTGCAGTAACTGAGCCTCAAGTAAACCGTTTCATATTCCACCAGGTCACCTCCTTCTGAGCGGTGGAATACACAGAGGCTTCCCAGTATTATTTAGTACATAATTATAATTCTCTCACTGACTTGTGAGGTCACTTCTGCCAAAGACCAAGTTCTCAAATACACATACATTAATTTCTGAGCTCTCCTTTCTGTCTCTATACTACTTATTTCTTCTTGCACCAATAGCATGCTCTTTTTTATTACTAAAGCATAGTTTTTTTTTACTAGGAAGAGTGAGGGCCTATATTACTTGCCCTTTACAAAATTGTTTTATAATTTCATGAAAATTTTGGAAATCTGATTGTCAGGGTGACTTCAAAATTTATGCATGGATTTGGGTTGGAATTATATTGGCTTTATAGATTAGCTTGAACAAAATTCACAACTCTATATTATTTTGTCATTCTGGTAAAATGCATTAATAAGATAACACACTGTTTGATGACAGAGCTCAACTAGATTTAGTATACTTACTAAAATTTTAGGTTTTTGCAAAACATCTCAATGTTCTTAATTAGAGTTTCTAGGGGCAGCGCCCTGGAAAACATCATTCAACCCTCTTTTGATTCTTAGAAACACTGAAGTTGAGTGTCATTGGACAAATACATCAGTCTTCTGATTAAAATTCAGTAAAAATTTTCCACTTGGTCTGTTGCATTACAGTCTTAATTGTGGTGGGCTCTCCTTCAGAATCCATCACAACTTTCAAATGGACTCAACTTTCAAAGCATACATGGGCTAATTATGCTCATGACTTCAACTCCCCAGGCTCCTCAACTGAGGCCACCTTTGAGAAACTGGTGACATTATTTTTTCCAAAATGAACTTGACTCCTAATTAACCCCAAGACAACAGCTCCAGTGCAGTAGATCTAACCTCAGGAGTCCAGTGTTTACAGTACATGCTTCTAATAACCACATCCCACGTTGGTCATCAGAACTTCTGAAGATGGTGACTTATCTGGAGAAGCTGGGAGTCCTGATAGATGGAGGAGGCTAGCTCTGTTGATTCAGATGAGAGTTTCTATCTCAAGGCAGCTTCCCTCTCATTTGCTGTTATTTCCTCAGGCTCTGATTTGTGGCAGTGGTGCTACTTGTCAGGAGACTGCCAAATACTGAATAGCTGCTTCTCTCTAAATTAGAAGGGAGAGAGCAATGTAAGTACTTACCGAGCAGTGGGAACATTGACCTAGCTTGGGGATTTGTGGGGACTGGACTTGAATGATGGGTAGTGTTTGAGAAAGCCTCTTTCTGTGCCTCCCATGGAGATCAGTGATGGCATTTCTGGTAAGTAGCAGAGTTAAAAAGGAGAATCAGAGGCTACCTTTCACTGAACTTACTAAGAGTGACTGGGAATGGCCTTTATAATTCTCAGAATTTGGCTGGGTGTAGTGGCTCACCCCTGCAATCCCAACACTTTGAGAGGACAAGATGGGTGAATCACCTGAGGTCAGGAGTTTGAGACCAACCTGGCCAACATGATGAAACCCCGTCTCTACTAAAAATAAAAAAATTAGCCAGGCATGGTTGCGTGCACCTGTAATCCCAGCTACCTGGGAGGCTGAGGCAGGAGAATTTCTTGAACCTGGGAGGCAGAAGTTGCAGTGAGCCGAGACCGTGCCATTGCATTCCAGCCTGGGAAACAGAGTGAGACTCCTTCTGAAAAAAAAAAAAAAATTATCTGAATTGTTCTTGAAGATCATATTGGGTCATTCTTACTCATAGCTAGATTTTATTTTCTTTTTTCTTTTCCTTCCTTCCTTCCTTTCTTCCTTACTTCCTTCCTCCCTTCCTTCTTTCCTTCCTTCCTTCCTCCTCTACTTCTCTTTTTTGTTCATTGGTGGATTCATGGATTAAATGAAACAGATACTCCACTTGTCTCTCATCTCTCACTCTTCTACTTCTGTTTCTGCTGTGTACTCCTGGATGTATAATTTTAGGTATAATTGAAATCTAGTACTTAAACTCCATTTTAATATGGCAATCTGGAGAAATTAAAGATTTTTATTTGTATCTAAGAAGTTAAAATTTCACTCCTTTATTATCTGAAGCTGCTTACATAATTTCTCTCAGCTAACTGATTGATGTTTTCCTTAAAATAAATATTTATATTTCTTAAAAGTTTTACACGTGAAAACTCTGTAGATTGCCTTCTTTTGGGGGAACCCAGCACCCTCAAGTACTTTGTTTCTATTTAAATCCAGATTACATAAAATCCCAGTGGAGCATCTGAGGAATTAGAAAAATAAAACACTGAAGTAGCATCTCCAAGGATCATAGCCTGAATTCTATTCATACGTTCTAAAATATCACAATTAAGGGGATTTTGAGATCATCTAACTAGAGAGTCTTTGATTCTCTGAGCAAGAAAGGCTCCTAGGGGTCATAGTACTCCGATACTATCTTAGTCAAAATTCCTCTGTAAAATGTTCAGGGATCCTCTGCTTCAGTGCCTTCCACATATCCCAACAGTTTATTCCATTACTGTTTATGCTATCCCTTTAATTAAAAAAAAAACTAAATATTGAAGGTATATACTTCATCTAAAGTCACAGAAGACTAGACCTGAAACCTAAATCTTTTCACATCACCCTAAAGATCTTTCATCTTCATTTTACAGCTTGAACGTATTTTGTAGGATGAGAATTTTTATTTTCCTGGTCTTAAGTCTTTCTATCAGTACAGATGACAACACACTATGGTGGTCCCTAATGGCATCTTGAGCAGATGGGGGCTGCCTTCTCAGATGCACCATGGAGCTGAATCCATAGATCATAAAAAGGCAATTATATCGATCACATGATTCATTTAGGCTATGGATTTATATTAATACTATGTAAAAATCCACTGGACTAGAATCAGCTGTCCTCATGTGCCTGAGCAAAAAATAATCCAAACAATTCTCTTTGGTATCAGTTAGATACAGGTACTCCTTCAGAATCAGAGAATTCCAGCTTCCATGGTTTACATTATTCATCATATTCAGTCAAGTGAGGGCCTAGTGGCGGTTAAAGGTTGATTAGTTGAAAGAAGATTCAAATGAAAGTCTTTTGGGAAAGCAATGAGGCAAGGCTAAGCAATGACCATAAGTTTAGATTTCCTCATTGTTTTGAATAGACAGGAAATCATTTGTCCAGAAGGAGGTATTATGTAGGGAAACTTTTACCTTTCTGTATATAAAAACATATAACTAATACACACACACTCATACACAAATATCAATGGAGGTATACATTGTGTTTACTTTTTCTATGTTTATGTACAATAGTAATATCTTTATAGTTATACTAACGTTATTAAAATAAGTAATTATATTAACTAAGTTTAGGACCAGTTTCTAGTAAGTAAGAAAGAAAAAAAATCATCTCCAAATTCTATGAATAGATATAATGAATTTCAAGAATGCCTGATGAATTAACTTAGGATTCAGGAAACAAAAAAAGTTGCTATTGAATAGAAAAATGGAAAAGTAACAGCAACAAAATTCTGGTAGCAGATGCCAATAATTTCCCAAGACAAAATGATGTAGTAACTTCAGAAGTATATAAATGAAGACTGGATACCAGCAAGACATACTGGATGATTTTGTATCCAGATAGTGCTTTTTTTACTTATTAGGTTGGGTTATTGAAAAATGTTCCAGTGAAAAAAATTAGGCCTAAGATGATTTTAGAAATAATTTGTAATGGCAGTTTGCAAAATATTTTTAGTGGCAGAATGTTCAAAAGAAATCTTATTAACATAACAACATACAAAAGATACAAAGCCTATGGTTTACAGCAGGAGAGGGGAAACTGGCAAAATTCCCAAGTGTGCCATTCTCTCTCACACTCTGTAGCAAGCTCTGTCATTTCTACAAAACTCTTATTTCTCTGAGTTTCTCCAAGTTAGCTCAGCATGGAAAAGTGAAGTGTGTTACAAAATGCCACAAAGTCAGTCATCTCTCTTTACCACCCTGGTGACTATTCTCTTCCTGAAAGAAGAATTTTTTTCTTTATACTAATGCACTAATGTTATTTATTTTTATTTTATTTTATTTATTTATTTTTGAGACAGATTCTCACTGTGTCACCCAGTCTGGAGTGCAGAGGCACAATCTTGGCTCACTGCAACCTCCGCCTCCCGGGCTCAAGTGAATCTCATGCCTCAGCCTCCCGAGTAGCTGGGATTACAGGTGTGTGCTGCCATACCTGGCTAATTTTTGTACTTTTAGTAAAGACCAGGTTTTGCCATGTTGCCGAGGCTGGTCTTGAACCCCTGGCCTCAAGCAATCCACCCACCTTGGCTTCTCAAAGTGCTGGGATTACAGGTGTGAGCCACCACATCTGGCTAATGTTATTTTTTGTTTCACTGTTGACTCAATGTTTCAACTTGTGGAACTTCCAATAGTATTTCTTATTGTTCCCTTGGAGATATAAAAAGTTCCCAGTAAATAGATGTGTGCTCACATCTTTACTTAGAGACCATGGAATACTTTATCTCCTTTCTCATTTCATGGTTGGATAAACTGAAGTCCACATGATTATGTCTGAATATTATTCATTCTTTCGTTCTATATTCTGATCAGCTTCAGGTAGCTGAAGTTAACGTTTTCCACTTTGGAGAGTGAGTTGCCTTGGGTTTATAGTAAGTGACAAAAACAACAATCTCTCTGTTACATAAGAAGGAAAACTATTAGCAAATTTCCTAATCCTTGGTCAGAGAGATAACCTGTTCTTCACATTAGAGAAGGCCTCCAAACTGGCTATCAGTTATTCTTTTGCATATTTTGCCTAATTCTTCTTTTAGCAGGCATTTTAATGGGGGAATGAAGAATTCCATCAAATATCTGGAAATGCCTGCCACCTGCAAACTTTGTGTGAAATTTCCCGTACATTTCCACTCTCCTTTCTGGATCCTGGTTTCTACCTCTGTCCCTGACTCTCCTTTATAGAAGTGCTCTCCATGGAGCAAGTCAATAAGACTGTGGTGAGAGAGTTCGTCGTCCTCGGCTTCTCATCCCTGGCCAGGCTGCAGCAGCTGCTCTTTGTTATCTTCCTGCTCCTCTACCTGTTCACTCTGGGCACCAATGCAATCATCATTTCCACCATTGTGCTGGACAGAGCCCTTCATACTCCCATGTACTTCTTCCTTGCCATCCTTTCTTGCTCTGAGATTTGCTATACCTTTGTCATTGTACCCAAGATGCTGGTTGACCTGCTGTCCCAGAAGAAGACCATTTCTTTCCTGGGCTGTGCCATCCAAATGTTTTCCTTCCTCTTCTTTGGCTCCTCTCACTCCTTCCTGCTGGCAGCCATGGGCTATGATCGCTATATGGCCATCTGTAACCCACTGCGCTACTCAGTGCTCATGGGACATGGGGTGTGTATGGGACTAATGGCTGCTGCCTGTGCCTGTGGCTTCACTGTCTCCCTGGTCACCACCTCCCTAGTATTTCATCTGCCCTTCCACTCCTCCAACCAGCTCCATCACTTCTTCTGTGACATCTCCCCTGTCCTTAAACTGGCATCTCAGCACTCCGGCTTCAGTCAGCTGGTCATATTCATGCTTGGTGTATTTGCCTTGGTCATTCCTCTGCTACTTATCCTAGTCTCCTACATCCGCATCATCTCTGCCATTCTAAAAATCCCTTCCTCCGTTGGAAGATACAAGACCTTCTCCACCTGTGCCTCCCATCTCATTGTGGTAACTGTTCACTACAGTTGTGCCTCTTTCATCTACTTAAGGCCCAAGACTAATTACACTTCAAGCCAAGACACCCTAATATCTGTGTCATACACCATCCTTACCCCATTGTTCAATCCAATGATTTATAGTCTGAGAAATAAGGAATTCAAATCAGCCCTACGAAGAACAATCGGCCAAACTTTCTATCCTCTTAGTTAAAGAGCTATTTTTTAAACTACTAATGCCTAGTACATGCCAGGCAGAACGTGTGTTTTATACATTTTTTTTCATTTAATTGTCCAGCTCCACTGTAACATAAGAACATTTTACATATGAGAAGAATGAGGCTCACAGAAGTTAAGACAGTCTGGCTTTCTACTCTCCATGATACTTTAACAAGACTAATCAGATATGGGAACAGAGCACACAGTTCCATAACAAATTTAATTATATTTTACTGCTTTAAATATTGCTAATTTAAAAACTAATATGAGAGCAAAGATGCATCTAAACTGATGAGAGCTGTGTCTTGAAGTAGAGAGCTTGGATACATCAGGAAAGAAAAGATGTATCCAAAAAAAAAAAAAGAAAGAAAAAAGAAAAAAAAAAGGAAAACAGCAGGAAATCCATCTATCCGTACTTTTCTTTTCCTAAAGACAACAGAAAACTTTGGTCCCACACATTCTGCTACAAATCTTGGTGGTCCTTTTTGTCCCCAATTCATTTCCTTAACCTACATATTGAAATATCTTGGCCTTTACTTGGGGTTGTTTTGTTCTTCCTTTGTTTGAGGTGGAACCACTTTATGGTTCTCTTCCTGATGCACATGTATGTCCTTCACATACTAGTGTGTCTTAGCCCCCACATTTGTTCCTGAGACACCATACTAATTTGCTCTCTTCAAGGAAGCTACTAGCATTGCCTACTTGCTGAAATATCTCAAGTAATTCCAAGCAAAGGGCTTGAGTTAATATTAATAGAAGGCTAGATTCCTAGAATGACCAGAAAACTCATGGAAAACCCTCCAGTGACTCCCTTTGCCCTACAAGATAATGCCAAGGGTCCTTCATTGTCATGAATCTATCATCTAGTTTCCACCTACCTCTTCAGTATTATCATTTCTAATTTTGTTATTCTCCATTTTCTATATGCCTTTTGTACACTCTGAAGCTAACCAACTATTTGCTTGTTTTAAAACAAATAAATGTGATGAACAAAATAAATGTGGTCTCTGCCCTCATAGGCCTTATTGCCTGGTTCAAGATAGTCCCAGTAAACAGAAAAATGAGGGAAAATACCTTACCAGTTTAAGTTGATTCTCTGAAGAAAAAGTGCATGCAGGCGATAGAGGAGAGAATACTAAGATAAACCTAATTTAGATCGAATGGCATAGGGTTGGTTTCCCAGAGAAACTGAGAGTTAACCTGCATGTAACCTGAAGGGTAATTAAAAGTCTTCAGGTAAAGGGGATATCCTTTAGGACAGAAGAAACAATGTGTACAAAACCCCTGAAGCAAGAACTGGATGAGTTGGAGACAAGCAAAGAAGGCCTGTATAAATGCTGTTTTAAAAATGCTTTTCAATTGACAAAATTATATATATTTATGGTGTAAAACATGATATTTTCTCCCATCCTGTAGGTTGCCTGTTCACTCTGATGGTATTTTCTTTTGCTGTGCAGAAGCTCTTTAGTTTAATTAGATCCCATTTGTCAATTTTGGCTTTTGTTGCCATTGCCTTTGGTGTTTAGACATGAAGGCCTTGCCCATGCCTATGCCCTGAATGGTACTGCCTAGGTTTTCTTCTAGGGTTTTTATGGTTTTAGGTCTAACATGTAAGTCTTTTATCCATCTGGAATAAATTTTTGTATAAGGTGTAAGGAAGGGATCCAGTTTCAGCTTTCTACATATGGCTAGCCAGTTTTCCCAGCACCATTTATTAAATAGGGAATCCTTTCCCCATTTCTTGTTTTTGTCAGACAAAGGGCTAATATCCAGAATCTACAATGAACTCAAACAAATTTACAAGAAAAAAACAAACAACCCCATCAAAAAGTGGGCAAAGGATATGAACAGACACTTCTCAAAAGAAGACATTTATGCAGCCAGAAAACACATGAAAAAATGCTCATCACTGGCCATCAGAGAAATGCAAATCAAAACCACAATGAGATACCATCTCACACCAGTTAGAATGGCGATCATTAAAAAGTCAGGAAACAACAGGTGCGGGAGAAGATGTGGAGAAATAGGAACACTTTTACACTGTTGGTGGGACTGTAAACTAGTTCAACCATTGTGGAAGTCAGTGTGGCGATTCCTCAGGGATCTATAACTGGAAATACCATTTGACCTAGCCATCCCATTACTGGGTATATACCCAGAGGATTATAAATCATGCTGCTATAAAGACACATGCCCACGTATGTTTATAGCAGCACTATTCACAATAGCAAAGACTTGGAACCAACCTAAATGTCCAACAACGATAGACTAGATTAAGAAAATGTGGCACATATACACCATGGAATACTATGCAGCCATAAAAATAATGAGTTCATGTCCTTTGTAGGGACATGGATGAAACTGGAAACCATCATTCTCAGCAAACTATCGCAAGGACAAAAAACCAAACACCGCATGTTCTCACTCATAGGTGGGAATTGAACAATGAGAACACATGGACACAGAAAGGGGAACATCATACACTGGGGACTGTTGTGGGGTGGGGGGAGGGGGAGGGATAGCATTAGGAGATATACCTAATGCTAAATGACGAGTTAATGGGTGCAGCACACCAACATGGCACATGTATACATATGTAACAAACCTGCACGTTGTGCACATGTACCCTAAAACTTAAAGTATAATAATAATAAAATAAAAAAATTAAAAAAATACAAAAAAAACATGATATTTTGATACACATATGTATTGTAGAATGGCTAAAGTTAATTAACATATACCTTTAGCTCATGTACTTATTTGTTTGTGGTGAGAACACTTACAATCTACTGTTAGCAATTTTCAAGTATATAATACATTATTATTAACTATAGTCACCAAGATATGCAGTAGAGCTTTTAAAATTATTTCTCCTATCTAACTGAAATTTTGTACCCTTTGATAAACATTTTCAAAACTCTCCCCTCAACTGCTCAACCAATTTCAGCCTCTGGTAACCAACATTCTACTCTCTGCTTTTATGAGTTTGACTTTTTTTAGATTCCACATATGTGTGAGATCACATGGTGTTTGTCTTTCTGTTCCTGGCTTATTTCACTTAGCATAATATCATCCAGGTTCATCCATCTTGTTGCAAACAGGACTTCTTTCTATATATGGCTGAATAATATTTTATTGTGTATGTATACCACATTTTCTTATATTAGGTTGGTGCAAAAGTAATTGTGTATTTTTTTTTGCCATTACTTTCAATGGCAAAAACTGCAATAACTTTTGCACCAACCTAATACATTTGTCCGTTAATAGACACTTACTTAGGTTGATTCCACACCTTGACTATTGTGAATAATGCTACATAAACATGGGAGTGCAGCTATCTCTTTGACATTCTGACTTTATATCGATATACATCAAGTAGTGGAATTACAAGATCATATGGTAGTTATATTTTCAGTTTTTTGAGGAACCCCTTACTGAGTTCCATAATGGCTGTACTAATTTACAACTGTCAACAGTGTGTAGGGGTTCCCTTTTCTCCAAATCCTCCCTAACACTTTACATCTTTTGTCGTTTTGATAATAGCCATTCTAACAGGTGTGAGGCGATATCTCATTGTGGTTTTAATATGCATTTTCTGATGAATAGTGGGGTTGAGCATTTTTTCAGCTACCTACTGTCCATTTATATGTCTTGGGAAATGTCTATTCAGATTCTTTGCCCATTTCTAATTGGGTTATTTGTTATTTTATGATTGAGTTTTTAAAGTTCTTCACATGCTGTGAATGTTAACCCATTATCAGATATATGGTTTGCAAATATTTTCTCTCATTACATATGCTGTCTCTTTATTCTTTTGATTGTTACTTTTTCTGTGCAGAAGTTTTTTAGTTTGATGTAATCCCATTTGTCTATTCTGGCTTCGATTACCTGAGCTTTTGGGGTATAAATTCTTTTTCTGCTTTCTCTCTGGAATGAATTTGAATTTACTGACAGCATGGGTTTTTGCACCAGACACAACTTTGTTGACCCAGTTCCTTGTATGGTGCCTGGCATAACAGAAATATCTGTTTTATGAATGGCCATCACTGTCCTGCAATTTTATGTGCCCCCCAATCTTGCTCTGCCATCTTCATGCCTTATCTTGGTGAATATTAACTCCATCCATTCTAGCAACCATGCCAAGCACATGGAAGTCATCTTCACTACTTTTTTTTTTTTAATCCTCATACCACCCATTGTGTCCTATAGATTCCACTGGCTAAAAGTTCCTCAATCACATTCCTTTTCTGTTTTTACAGGATCATCCTGTCTTTTCTGGATTACTGCAAAAACTTCAAGTCCCTTGGTCCCCAATCCATTCTTCACACTGCTGCCAGGGAAGTCTTAGGGTTGTTGTGATGGTTAATTAGAAAATATGTGTTAAACACTTACAACAGTTGTCTGGCATATACTGAGCACTATTTTAATGTTGATTTTTATTATCATGGTCATCATCATCTTTCTAAAATAAAAATCTAATTAAATAATATCCCAGGTTATAAAACTTTCAATAGTTTCTAACAGATTTGAAGGTACATTTTAACTCTGTTAAAAATTCTACCAAAGTACTTGTTGTTCCAATAAAATACATTGTTTCATGCCCTTTGCTTTTACATGTATTTCCTGAAAATTTATGATTTCTTATTATTTGTCTACCCACTACTCAGATTTCAAAACTTCACTCAAGCATAACCACCTCTAAGTAGTTATTGACCTCCATAATCCAATTCATATTTATTTTCTGTATTTCTTTATAGTGACATATGCATATCTCTCATAATCCCCCATCAAAATGTGCAGCAGTCGCTGCTTTCTATGTTTCCTTCTCTGGGGGTTAATATTTTTCTTTTTCCTTTTTTTTTTTTTCTTTTGAGATGGACTCTCACTCTGTCACCCAGGCTGGAGTGCAATGGTGCAATCTCTGCTCACTGCAACCTCCGCCTCCCAGGTTCAAGCGATTCTCCCACCTCAGCCTCCCGGGTAGCTGGGATTACAGGTGGCTGACACCATGCCCGGCTAATTTTTGTATTTTTAGTAGAGACGGGGTTTCACCATGTTGGCCTGGCTGGTCTCGAACTCCTGACCTCAGGTGATCCGCCCGCCTTGGCCTCTCAAAGTGCTGGGATTAGAGGCGTGAGCTACTGCACCTGGCCGGAGGGTTAATTTCTTAAGGTAAAAACTACCAATTATTTGAACTCAGATCACCTAAACACAACACAGTTCATGACTGAAACTAAACTTTGTAATAGATAAATACATGAATGCTCTCTCTGGGCACTATAACTGAGTTCTCCCACATTCTGCCTCATTTCCCATATTTGCTCCTTGCTGCTGTCACTGCTGGATCTACAAGCACCTGTCAGTCCATTGCTCTGCCATTTCTCAAAATATATTCCTTCCCTTGAAATAGAGGCTTGAGTTAAGGAGTGAATATTCTTGTCTCCAGCAAAAGGGCAAAAATCAGAAACTATAGGAGGAAGCCCATGGGAGGTTTTTCTGCTGATTGTATTTCTAGTAGCTTCTAGATTTGTAATGAGTCACTTCACCAAAGGATCTAAAATAGGAAACCAACTAATTTCCTGAGTCTATTCCTTTATCTATTTGGAAAAAAAAGCCTTGAGGAGCATTTTCCCTTTGGATCATAGTTGCTAATTGAGGGAGGGCAGAATGTGTCAGAAGCAATGTGGTCATGGCTCTCTAGGGTGCTAGATAGTAAAATTACCAAGCAGGCATTGATGCTAATGTGAACCAGAAAAAAAGCTCCTTAATTATACTCATTAGGCCTGTAGCTGATCCAGCCCATACAGAAGAGGCACAATGACCACTGTTCTGGGGAGCGAAGTAGTAAGTCATTTGTTGCTGTCTTGAAAAATTTTAAGAGACTAGCAGGAAGATGTGTAATATATTGGGAATATGCTAGTTTTGGGGAATTACTTAGATTTTTCCTTAAAGGGCCTGGGCCATGATTAAGATATACGGCAACTGCATTCCTCTGTACCCCAGGATTCGTGTTTTAAAGAAAGTGAAACTCTTTCATATTGGAGATTTGGTCTTTATTCCATAGATGGCTTGCAGAAATTAAATTATCTAAAATCTTAGGACATATTTATGTCATTTTAAAGATGTTAGCTAGTTATGCCTTTTATCTTATGTTTAATTCAGAAATTGTTGAGATTTTCTTCAAATTGCAGTCTACAAATACGTGACAGCAAAGGATTGGAAGGTGGTAATAGGAAAAGTAGCTGGATGGGCAGATAAAATAATGCTCAAGTTGAGATCTTAAGGTCAAGAAAAAAGAACATTAGAGATATTGCAGAATGGTCAAAAAGGCTATCCCTGGCACCAGTCTTAAGAAGGAATGAAGGAAGAAAGGAAAGAAATATTTAATTAGGGCTTCTTATAATTCTGGGCTACATTTTTTACTTATGTTGTCCATTCATCTTTATAACATCCCATATTACAGAAGAGAAAACTAAGATTCAGGAGGATTAATTTATTTGCTCAAAGAAAATGCTGAAATAAGAATGTGAATTCCATCTTGAGTGCTTTCTTCATAACATAAATTTTTATCTAGCTTCCTTGATCGCTTGCTGGAAGTATCTTTACCAACTACATGAAAAATACCTACAAATTAGTTGCAATGATTTATTTAGGTATTAATTTGCTTAATTATAATTTTGTCAGATTTTGAATATTTGTTCTTGCTAGAAACTCTGATGCTGATGTGGTTAGAGAGATGTATATAAATGTTTGGTGCATGATACGGAAACTTTTGTCAAATGAACAACATAGTCTTTGATTCTAAGAGCTTAAATTGTACCAGGTAAGAATGATCATTGTATAGAATGATCTAAAATGTAAGAAGTCCAAGAATGAGTGTTTCACAAGGGTAAAGATCTTTGGTTTGTTCACTGTTGTATCTCAAACACCAAATAATGTGTCTCAGATTTAGTAATGTATACAATAAATAGTTTTTAAATTGAAATAGTGCTTGGAAACCTGACTTACAGGGAAGTGATTTGAAAGATTAGAGGATCTGCCCTAACACAGGAAAAGGCATTGTTGTTATAAGACATGGCTCTTTGCATGTTCAGTGAACTAAGAAGTTCCATAAGATTAAAACATTGGGATAAAATCTGGGAACTGGAATAAATGTTTGCAGTGTTGTGAGAGATCTAACAGCCTTTTTCCTTGTCTTTCCTTCCTTTTTTCTTCCCTTTCTTTCCTTCCCTTTCCCTCCCTTTCTTTATCCTTCCTTCCTTCCTTCCTCCCTCCTTCCCTCTTTCCCTCTCTGCTTCCTTCCTCCCTCCTTCCCTCTTTCCCTCTCTGCTTCCTCCCTCCCTCCTTCCCTCTTTCCCTCTCTGCTTCCTTCCTCCCTCCTTCCCTCTTTCCCTCTCTGCTTCCTTCCTTCCCTCCCTCCCTCTCCCTCCCTCCCCCTCTCTCTTTCTTTCTTTCTTTTTCTTTTCTTTCTTTTTTCTTTTCTTCTCTTTCTTCATTTCTCCCTTTCTTCCTCTCTTTCTTCTTTCTTTCTTTCTTTCTAAGAAAATTGGAATTTTACAACGTTTGCAGGGATTATTATAGGGTTCTGAGTAAGAAGGTACTTGGTAAAATGTAAATTTAAATGTCTCTGTGACTGCCACTTCTGAGTTGAACTGTTTCAACACCCACCTTACCATTTATTCTCCTATCCTCTCCCATCTTCTCCTAGCTGTTCTCTGTGTTCGCAATGCCATGCCTCCTATTCTCAGGCCCCTGTATCTCTGCTGCCCAAATCACTCTGGAAAATAATCTCCTCCAATTGCCCTTCCCAAGTCAACAGGAGTGGAGGTAAAAATGAAAAACAGAATGAAACAAACAAAACCCTATAGCTTCCTACTTTGAATAAATTTGTTTCTTCTAATTTCTCCCTTCAGGCTGGATACAAGAGAGGAAAGGCAAACAAAAATAAAGAGTGTCATAAGATATTTATTCTTTTTAAAGAAATACAGATTCTCTTAAGATTCCATAGTTCTGGCTCTAGAGAGGAATCAGTCATGTAGAAAATACCAGACAGGGGTTACAGGGGGCCTGGAGAGAAAAAGAAAGTTCATTCTCCAATAAAGATGTTATGAATCAGTTGGTCAGCCCATTGAGTGTGTATTCTATTTTTGTAGTTCTATCTGCAAGAAAAAGTACAAATATATTTTAATTGACACCTAGTATGCATGCACACATACACAAATTGAAATAAAATATTTGCTTTAAATAAGAGCTATTCAGACTGGGTATGCTTTATTTTAATCTTCTCTTCTTTTATCTGCTCTCCATTTAAATTTAAAAACTGCTGGGGTTGAAACCTAATTTGATTCTATAACCTCAGTGATGTAATAAACATAAAGTTTCAAAATCACTGTCTTAAAACGTATTTTCCTATAAGACAAAGAGACCAGCAAAAAAAAATTAATAATAGTTAAGAAAATAATACCACTAGATAGAGCACTTATTATGTAGCAGGTGTTGTTCTCAGCACTCTATATAAATTAATACATTTAATAATAATCACAGCCTGTTTCATAGATGAGACAACTACAATATAGCGAGGTTAAATAAATTGTCTAAGGTTACAGTCACCCAATGGAAGAACTGGTACCCAAAGCCAAGTTACCTTCCTCTAGATTCCATACTGTCATTCAATACACAATAATCCTGCCTTTCTTAAAACAAGTACTATTAGTTTGTGTTACAATTTTCAATTTTTCCCTATTAAAAATACATTTTTACATATAAATCTCTATAGGCAACTTTTAAGAAATAGAATATTGGAATAAATTAGATAAATATATTCAAGGATGTAGATATAGTTTGCTAAATTTCTTGGCATAAACAAAACCAAATTATAATCTTATTAGTAAATTTTTTGTTACTAGTCATATAACACCACCACAGCTAATTTGATGAGTGTAAATAATATCTCTACTTTACTTTATTTGAAATACACTTCAAGTTAAAATATATTTTTAACATAAATTTTTATATGTTTGATGCATTCTATTTCTATTTTATAAACTGTATGCTTTTATCTGTTTTCTTCTTCAAAGTTTGTTATTTTCTCCATCGGCTTGTAATACATTTTTTATTAATATTAACATCTGAAGAATATTTTTGGTAGTTTTCCATTTGTTGTTTGCTTTCTATTATTTCTAATTGTGCCTTTCTGTAAATAAATATTTTATTTTACACCAATTGTTGCTTAATACTCTTTGATAATATCTCATTATTGTTTACGTTTAGCTTTTCAAATTTTCTGTCCAGTAATACAATGTTTTCTAATCCTTTACATTTTTTTGTATTTTATTAACATATAAATTTTGAATGTATCCGTTGAAAATTTAAACTGATATTTAAAATGTATTAAAGATGTATTTATTAAGTTACTATTATAGGTCAGAAACAGTTTAGGTGGCATTGAGATGTTTTATATTTTAAAAATCATTAAATTTTTGTTTAGGTAAAGAATTAAGGTATAAACTTTCTTCTGATAACTGCTTTAAATTTAGCCATATTTTCTAATATATATAGCTGACATTATTTTCTAGAACTTATTTTATTTTACATTATATTTTCCCTTTGACCCAACACTTGTTTAATAGTATTTTCAAATTATCATATGGAAGAGCTTTCAAAAATATGATTTTCGTATGATTTTATTGTTACTGATCAATGGTTTTGCTCAAATGTACAGACAGGTTTTCTATATTTTTTAAAAAAAATTTAAGTAGGCTGGGCGCAGTGGTTCATGCCTGTAACCCCAGCACTTTGGGAGTCCGAGGTGGGCAGATCACGAGGTCAGGAGATCGAGATCATCCTGGCTAAGGCGGTGAAACCCCGTCTCTACTAAAAGTACAAAAAAATTAGCTGGGCGTGGTGGCAGGTGCCTGTAGTCCCAGCTACTCAGGAGGCTGAGGCAGGAGAATTGCTTGAACCCGGGAGGCGGAGCTTGCAGTGAGCCGAGATCATGCCACTGCACTCCAGCCTGGGCGACAGAGTGAGACTCCATCTCAAAAAAAAAAAAAAAAAGGAAAAAAATTAAAATAATTAAACTTAAAAAATTAATGTTTTAATTAATGCTTCTTTAAGTATATAGGATAAATGTGTAAGATACGTTTTAGTCTTTACAGTTTTTGATCAATGTTTGTGAGCACTTGGATAGTCATGAATATGAATAAGATGAAAGGGTGATGGATCATTTCAATGTGTAGATACAAGTCTTTTATTTCATAGCATTCTGACTGGTGTGAAATGGTATCTCATTGTGGTTTCGATTTGCATTTCTCTGATGATTATTGATGATGAGCATTTTTCATAAGTTTCATGGCTGCTTGTATGTCTTATTTTGAGAGGCGTCTGTTCATATCCTTTGCACATTTTAAAATGGGGTTTATTGTTTTTTGCTTGATTTGTTTAAGTTTCTTAAAGATTCTGAATATTAGGCCTTTGTCTGATGCATAGTTTGAATATTTTCTCCCATTCTGTAGGTTGTCTGGTTCAATATTTGAAAATCAATAAATGTAATTCATGACATAAACAATTAGAAATGAAATTCATATGATCATCTCAATAGATGCAGAAAATTTTCAATAAAATCTAACGTCCCTTCATGATAAAAACCCTCAACAGACTAGGCTTTAAGGAACATATCTCAAAATAATAAGAGCCATCTGTGACAAATCCACAGCCAACATCATATTCAACAAGCAAAAGCTGGAACTATTCTTGAGAACTGAAACAACACAAGGATACCCATTCTTACCACTCCTATTCAAGGCAAGAGAAAGAAATTAAAGGCATCCAAATAGGAAGAAAATGTCAAACTATTTGTCTCCATTGTTGATATTATTCCATATCTAGAAAACTAATTTAAAGACTCTGCCAAAAGGCTCCTAGAACTGATAAATGACTTTAGCAAAATTTTAGGATACAAAATCAATCTAAAAAAGTCAGTAGTGTTTCTATATATCAATAATGTCTAGACTGAGGGTCAAATCAAGAACACAATTATATTTGAATAACCACAAAGAAAATAAAATATCTAGAAATGCACCTAATAAAAGAGGAGAAAGGTCTCTACAAGGAGAACTAAAAAACACTGCTCAAAGAAATCAGAGATAACACAAATAAATGGAAAAACATTCCATACTCATGAACTGGAATAATCAATATTGTTAAAATGGCCGTACTGTCAAAAGCAATTTACAGATTCAATGCTATTCCTATCAAACTACCAATGTAATTTTATCAGAATTAGCAAAACTATTATAAAATTCATATGAAACCAAAAAAGCCCTCAAATAGCCCAAGTAACCCTAAAGAAAAAGAACAAAGCCAGAGAGAAGCATCATACTAGCCAACTTCAAACTATACTATAACGTTACAGTAACCCAAACAGCATGGTTCTGGTGCAAATACAGACACATAGACCAAAGGAACATAATAAAAAACTAAGAAAGCAAGCTGCACACCTACAACCATCTGATCTTCAACAAGGCTGACAAGAGCAAACAATGGAACAAGGACGCCCTATTCAATAAATGGTGTGGGAATAGCTGGCTAGCCATCTGCAGAAGAGGGAAACTGGACCCTCACTTTTCACCATATACAAAAATTAACTCAAAGTGGATTAAAAATTTAAATGTAAAACCTCAAACTCTAAAAATCCTAGACGAAAACCTGGGGAATACTATTCTCAATATCAGCCTTGGCAAAGAATTTTTGGTTAAGTTCCCAAAAGCAATTGTAGCAAAAACAAAAATTCATAAGTGGGAGCTAATTAAACTAGAGCTTTTGCACAGCAAAAGAAACTATTGACAGAGAGAAGAGATTCTTATTTCTACCTGTTAGAACCTGAGGGGAGGTTTATGTGCAGTAATTAGAAAAAATTTCATATAAGCTAATTTTATTTAATGGGATTCTACCTGACTAAAAAGTATTCTTGTCTTCTCTTATACTAAGATTTAATTAACTGTTACTAGAAAATCAAAGGTATACTACATTGCTTTGACTATTTACTGCAGAAAAAAACTATTGTAAGTTTCAAACCCCAATTTTCATTTTTTCATAAACCATACACAAAGTTTTTCCTAAAAGCAGTTTATGTATCAGAATTCAATGACTCTACAATGGACCATGTTTTATTTAAGGCATGCTGGACTCCATGTGTGTCTATAGATGAAGATGATGGGTAAGGAAAGAAGGAAGGTGATAAGGATAATTCTAGTCACTTCAGAAAATACTTATTCTGCATATAAATACAGATAATTAGTCATAATCTGTTTGCTCATTTTTCTTGAATGTCTACATTATTGCTGTTCAAAGTGGGGAATAAGTGATATTAACCTAATTCAATCCATCTATATTGAGCTCAACAGAACCTATCTCCCAACCCTCTGTTCAGGTATATAATATCTTCTTTTGTAAAATGTGTTTATGGTTATTTTAATTATTATTACAAATATAACTGGGCATTACTAGAGTGGTAAACTTTATCAGCCTGAGAATGCAAATAATCAACTTACAATTGTTTCTATCAACAATCTTCAAAGAGCTGTGATGTGTTCCAGAAACACTTAAAGATCCTAGAGTAGGACTAAAATGGTGACAATTAAATGGATCACAATGCTCCAAAAGCCTCTATTTAGTGATTAAACTAGACACATTTGGGCAATTCTGATTTCTTTTCATATAAATTTTATAATCATCTTATCAACCTTTAGATGAAAAGCCTGCTGGGATTTGTTAAGAATTATGTTGACTACATAGACCAATTTGGTCAGAATTGCTCTTTATTTTATTACATCTTTAAACTCATGAACATGGGTGTTCTTCATTTAGTCATATATTTTATAATTTAACCCAGCAATGTTTGAGAGATTTCTCTGTATATGTCTCACACTTTTTTGTTAAATCTGACACTAAGCTTTTTTATGATATTGTGAATTGAATTGTTTTCTTAATATCATTTTTAGATTTTTTGTTGCTTGTTGTAGTAGGCCAAATAATGAGCTCCCAAAGATGTCTATGTTTTAATCACCAGAACCTGAGAATATGTTAGATTATACAAGCTCAAGGAATTAAGGCTGCAGAAGGAAAGTCAACTGACAATAAAATAGAGATATTATCTTGTATTATTCTGGTGGGCCCAAAGTAATCATAAGGGTTCTTAAAATTGGGAGAGAGAATCAGAAAGTCAGAGAAAGAGATGTAACTTTGTTGACTTTGAAGATGGAAGAAGAGGACCATGAACCAATGAACATGAGAGGTAGTTAGGAACCGGAAAAGGTGAATAAAAGGCAAGATTCTTCTTTGTCACCACCTGAAAGGAACAAAGGAGTGCATGCCCCAAATTCTTATATTCACATACCTGAATATGTTTTACTTCTTTCCCCCTTTGCAGATCTTGGCAGAAAACCTCACCATGGTCACCGAATTCCTGTTGCTGGGTTTTTCCAGCCTTGGTGAAATTCAGCTGGCCCTCTTTGTAGTTTTTCTTTTTCTGTATCTAGTCATTCTTAGTGGCAATGTCACCATTATCAGTGTCATCCACCTGGATAAAAGCCTCCACACACCAATGTACTTCTTCCTTGGCATTCTCTCAACATCTGAGACCTTCTACACCTTTGTCATTCTACCCAAGATGCTCATCAATCTACTTTCTGTGGCCAGGACAATCTCCTTCAACTGTTGTGCTCTTCAAATGTTCTTCTTCCTTGGTTTTGCCATTACCAACTGCCTGCTATTGGGTGTGATGGGTTATGATCGCTATGCTGCCATTTGTCACCCTCTGCATTACCCCACTCTTATGAGCTGGCAGGTGTGTGGAAAACTGGCAGCTGCCTGTGCAATTGGTGGCTTCTTGGCCTCTCTTACAGTAGTAAATTTAGTTTTCAGCCTCCCTTTTTGTAGCGCCAACAAAGTCAATCATTACTTCTGTGACATCTCAGCAGTCATTCTTCTGGCTTGTACCAACACAGATGTTAACGAATTTGTGATATTCATTTGTGGAGTTCTTGTACTTGTGGTTCCCTTTCTGTTTATCTGTGTTTCTTATCTCTGCATTCTGAGGACTATCCTGAAGATTCCCTCAGCTGAGGGCAGACGGAAAGCGTTTTCCACCTGCGCCTCTCACCTCAGTGTTGTTATTGTTCATTATGGCTGTGCTTCCTTCATCTACCTGAGGCCTACAGCAAACTATGTGTCCAACAAAGACAGGCTGGTGACGGTGACATACACGATTGTCACTCCATTACTAAACCCCATGGTTTATAGCCTCAGAAACAAGGATGTCCAACTTGCTATCAGAAAAGTGTTGGGCAAGAAAGGTTCTCTAAAACTATATAATTGAAATATTATTACATTTTAGATTTCTTAATAAATAATGCCTTTTTATCACAAGCATATTATAACTGTAACAAATTCATTGAAATAATAGGAGTCCTTAAGAGGCATGTCATAAAATATGTTTTTCTCCTTACAGTCTCTTTAAATTTAATCCACAAGCTAATGTTTTTCATTTCCTCATATGGAATCTCAGGGAACTCCTCAAATTTAAATGCCTAGTCCACTGGGATAACTGAAAATTTAAACTTAATTTAAAGCTAAAATTTCTGCCTTTTCTGGGTGTTGAATTTTGAACTGGGAAGCCTTCATTGGTACCAGTGAAGGTTGACTTATGTATTAGCTCTTTCAGCAAACACTTTTCTCTCTACTTATTTCAGTGACTGACCCTTCAAGCATTATACTGGGGAGGGAGGGATAGGTGGAGGGAACATCTTGCTTCATTGCCACAGTCATGCTCTGGCAATACTGCTTTCAGATGTTGCACACTGAGTCTTTCTTATGCAGGGAGCTTTCATGGCTGCTGAAATAATTCCTTACTCGGAACTTCTACCACATTTCCTGTGATATGGTTGAATCTGCCTCTAGCTGACAGCTTGTAAAGTTTCCTCCTAATTCTGAGGTTTCAACATTTATCTGGGTCCCATGTTTTCTAAAGGTCTTATTGGACAAAATGTTATTTTTAAGTGATTCCACAATGACAATTTCTCCTAAATGGTCAATATGTGATCCAAAAGAAAATTTTGACAATCCTTGCTACCCATAGTCAGTTGAAGTGCTGACATATTTCTCTGTGTACTGGTATTTCAGGCCAGTAACTGCAGATTTCTACATTCAGATTTCTCAGGTGAGCTCAGATAGCAATCCACTGTGTTCCTTTATCTCCAGCAGATATATATCAATATCTTGAAGCAGTTTTCTACTCTTGGGGAGAGATAAAACATTAAGAAAGTCAAGAGCTTCCTCCAAAGATTATATTTCCACCCCTTTTTTCTCAAAATTTTTATTTTTTAAGAGCAGTTCACATATTTTATTCTCTCAGCTTTTGTGCCTCAACTGAAACTAAGAAAAACTGCCTTTTATGACATTGCTGCATGTTTTTCCTATAGTTTAAGGTGTTATGATGGTGTTTATTGGTAAATATTTAGTTCATAAAGTTACCATCTGTATACAGAGTCAAGTAGTTGGCCTGACCAGTGGTATAGCCGTAAATAGTCACCTTAATCACTCTAGATCACATTTTGCAGCACATGGTTTTTTGAGAATCTGTTGAAAGCTATGTATCTAATGCATGAAACTCTCCTCATGCACATATACAGGAAAAAAAAAACTTGCTTACAATCTGAGGAGTTTACATAGTATACAAAGTCCATCCCTAAATCCAATTCATGGGAGTACTTGTTCATGGCCAAAGTCATATAATCTATTTAAATTTGCTTTCATCATTTCACCTTTTCTTTTTTACTTTTAACAATTTGTTGTAACTTTTTTTTACCTGATTGAAAGGTTATTTATATCATCATGTCACAGAGTTTACATGTTTTATAATTTTATTATAACAGCAGGATAGATTAATAGACATCCCTGCTGCTATCTTCTAGATCCCTTTAATGGATTTAATTTCCTTTTTAATATCAAATTTCAGAAAAATTTACCGCAAGGTAGGCAGAGAAACTATCCTGGTCAAGATAGCATATTCAATTAACTAGAGTATTGCTATTTTATGTCACATTCGTTAAAAATTTAGGAGAAGGTACTGTGCAGTCTAACATTTGAGGTTTTTAAATACAGAATATGTATACATTAGGAAAACTAAATTCTATACTGTGAAAAGAAATGAAAAGTAAGCAGGAAGTTTCAGAAATAAACTACACTTAACATCTTGATCAACTTTCATGAAAAGTAGCTGATTTTTGTGTCCAACACTAATGTATAGAATATTTTCTGCAGCATGCCGACATGAATGTGATTCAAAACATTTTTTTCTATCTTACTATATGGCTCTAGTTTCCTACCATCCTGGCATATAGGTCTCTTGAATTCCTTTTTTTATTAGTAGAAACAAGAAAGAGTTAAAATTATGTTTAAAAGATATTATAATAATAAACAGTAGAATAATACTTCTACAGGAAAATAATTTGCAGTGACAAAATGGCCTTGTTTGCCATCATCATACTATAGCCATCATTAATTAAAAAGGCAGTAGAAGATAAACATAAATTTGCCATTCTGTGCACCACATTTCTTTACTTACAGCTTATAAAGTGGGATCCTATGGAGAATGGTCCTGTACCGGCCTAAGAATCAAAAAAGGTCTTATTTGAAAAGATTATCTCCTTCTTTGTCCAATGTCTACCATCAAAGTTTTTTTTATTTTCACCTGTTTCATGAAGTATTACCTGATTTCCATTCTTCAAAACACCATAGCATTGTAAGCTTTACTTATACTTCTTACTGAGCTCTGACATATTGAGCTGATTATGTACATATCTTATTTTCTCTAATGGACAATCAACAACGTGAAAGGAAGTAATTTATTATACCGATACATTAACTCCTCCTAAATGTCTTTTATATCCCTGACATTCAGGAGATAACTAATACATGTCTCTTAACTTTAATTGAATAAATGACTTCTTGGTCTAGCTAAGAAAAACATCTGAAACTACATGTGAAAGTGTAGCAATATTTATGTCCCCCATAACAGTAATTAAAAATAACAATGACAATGATAATTTATTTTGCTCATTAATCTCTTAAATGGGAGAGGGCTTATAAGATTGGCTTGTCTTAACTCCATACAATGTCAACTGAGCTGCTCAACTAGAATTGAGGGACCCACTTCCATTTGGCTCATTTACACGGCTGGCAAAATGATGCTGATTTGTAGTGGAGCTGAGTCAGGGCTATAGGTTGTGAGAGTCAGTATCTCTCCATGTGGCCCTTTTCATGGGGTTCTATAAACTTTCTCACAACATCATGACTGGTTTCAAAGACTAAACATTCCAAGAAACAGAAAGAGGAAGCTGCTAGTCTTTTAAGGCATAATACCAGCAGGTTGTCTGCTCCTGACACCCAAAAAGACAATGATGTGATGGGCATAGGAATAGCAATGGACATTCCCTTGTGAAAAAGGAGGAAATTAGACACATCACAGTCATTGGTCCATAGAAATTCTGAAATTCATCTGGACACTGTTGCCAGTCCTATTTTCTGGGAATGAATTCCATGACTCTTAGATCTAACCTGTGATGCCATTTCCCCACTTTCTGATCATCCTTTTTTATCTGCAAGACATAGCTACAATTTGCAGACATGTCATTTCTTAGTCTGATACCTCCATGGAAGAAGTTGAGGGTCCAAAGGTCTATTCATTTCTGTTTGCTCTGTAGCCTTTAGCACATGTTGATAGAATGCCTTTTTAAAACTTGGTGAGTTTCTTATGTTTCAGTTTATAAATTAATTCCATTAGATAAAAGTCACATCCATATTCATTTCTTTATTATGGGTCACTTGTGAGGTAGCAGTATTAATAACTGCTGTATGGCAATTCCCTTAAGATTCTTAAAAAGACTTATTGCTTAACTTTAAGGAGTCAGGCCCTTAGGATATTTATAAATCTTGTTGGGTATAGCCTAAAATATTTCTGAGTTCTAACAAAAAGTATTACAGCTACATTCTTAAGAGGTTTACCCTGAGGCATTGGTTTCCTGATAGCACCTTGGATTTGATTTCTTCCTTGAAGCCATTTTGTACCTTGAGAGTCTTTGTTGAGAGAGACTGTGCATGAGAAACATCTTTATTTGCAAACCCAACAAGTTTTGTTTCTTTCTGTTTCCTCTAAATTCTCAGAAACTTAAGAAACTTTAAAAAATTATGTACTTTTAAATTGACAAATAGTCATTGTTCATATTCCTTAGGTGCATAGTAATATTCTGATATAAATAATGTTATAGGGATCAGATCAAGGTAATTAGCATATCATCATCTCAAACATTTATCATTTCTTCATGTTGGGAATGTTCAACACCCTCCTTCTGGCAATTTGAATCTATACATTACTGTTAACTATAGTCATCCTACAGTAGCAAAGAACACTGTAACTTATTCCTTTATCTAGCTGTAATTTTGTATCCTTTAGCAAATCTCCACCTATCCTTCCCTTTTCTCTACTATTCCCTTCCTCTAGTATCCTGCTGTCTACTCTCTTTTCATATTTTATCATTGGTTGGAATTTTCTATAGTCTTCCTAGAAATTTACCCAGGAAGATAATGAGATTACTAAATAGTCTATTTTCCAGGCTGTAGCATGTGGTCCTGCTGCCAAACTTTAGAGCAATGGATAATAAGTATCCATGTTTTACCTAAGTATGATAACAGTTTCCTCTCTGTCCTTCAAATATTTTTCTCTCTGTGCTTCAAAGCTTTACCAAGAGTTGCCTTATGATCCTTTCACCTTTTAGTAAGAGACTCCTTAAGTCCTTATGGATTATTTATACCACCAATTGCAAAATTAATGCCAAATGTTTTAAATGTTGATTATAACAGCACCCTGCCTTTAGATACCAAATTCTGTTCTCATTATTTACTGCTGCATAATCAACTCTCTACAACTTTAGTTGCTTAAATGAGCTGTAATTATTTTGCACACAAGTCTGCAATTTTGGCAGGGCTCAGTGGGGACAGCTGGAATTTGTTCTTTGTCCCAGCAGGTTGGATGATTCAATTGGGGCTGAAGGATTTACTTTCAAGATTGCTCACTTATGTGCCTGTTTTATTCGTGTTAGCTATTGGTTGTTTGCTCAGCTGGGGCTATTGGCCAGGAGCCTTGGTTTTTTACCATATAGATTCTCCAAGGGCTGTTTGGGCTTCCTCAAAACATGGTTACTAGGGTACAAAAGTAGATGATTCAACACTCCATAAGTAGCAGCTACAAGACTTTAGAGACTAGGGTTAATAAACGGATACAGTCTTACATTTACTATAATTTATTTGTCAAAGTAGTCACTCTTCCTATCTGGATTCAGGGGAAGGAGGAAGCCACCAAAAGTTCCTGTCTGGGTTAATCACTTGGGCTTTTCTCTTGTTTTCTCATTGCTGCAGCATCTTTTTTTAAAAAAAATTAATTTAATTTAAAGTTCTGGGATCCATGTGCAGGATGTGCAGGTTTGTTACATAGGTAAACATGTGTCATGGTGGTGTGCTGCACCTATCAACTCATCGCCTAGGTATTAAGCCCAGCTGCATTAGCTATTTATCCTGATGCTCTCCCTTCCCCTGCCCCTCAACCATAGGCCCCAGTATGTGTTATTTCCCTCCCTGTGTCCATGTATTCTCATTGTTCAGCTCTGACTTATAAGTGAGAACATGCGGGACATGACTTATACGAGAGCAGTTCACGTGAGCACCTTAGAGAGACGTCCATGCATGTCTAGCATTTGACCCATTTCCAGCCCAAGTGGATGGACTCACTGTCAGAAAGAATCGATATGTGAGCTGAAATGGGGAGAAAGCTGATGGGCTTTGTGAAAACCTACATGAAGGCATTGTCACACTTTTCTCTATAACCCAAACTGTATTCATATACTGAGGAAATATTTACCAAATTCACATTATATTCCAGAAGCAAACCTGTTTCTAATGTATCTGAAAGATTCTGCCATTCTAATATTCTGTCCTCTATTCTTTATATCTTCTTCTCTTTTAGCTTTCAGAAATAGGAATGTGTAGCAGCATAAAAAAGAATACTTTTCTTCAACTTCAGAACGAAACTCTAGAGGCACTATGTAGGGAAATTCAAAGGAGATAGTTTCATTGATGTATATTTTAACAAATGTTGCCTGGAGAATCTCCACATCTCTGACTCCTTAGAGAATTTCCAAGAGGAAGTCAACTAATCCCCATGAATAATAGGGCTTTTTCTTTGGCCAATGAATTCTCATAGTGTATTATCATGGTTCCACATGCTAATTAGAAAAATTATGGACAAGTATTGGGCACAATGTGGTAATTAGCTCCCTGTGGAGATGGCGAGCTCACTTACCAACCAAGGCATTGAGACCATGGCTAATGTAAAAAGGAAAGGCCATTGATGACACCCATTGAGGCACTACCTAAAGCACCCATGGAGACAGGGCACAGGTAACATTTTTCTCTGGAGTAATGCTATTTTCTTATTTTGGTCTTGGGAGTTCCTGAAAGATGAAGAAGAACCCTGAGGCATCATGACAGGGAAGGCAATTTTGGCAAATTTCACTTAGAAACCCTTTACAGAAGTTTCTAGGAAATGCCTGAGAATGAATTAACTGGCAGGTTACAAGGCACTAGAACTCTGATTTGAAGAAATGTAAAATTTTAATTTTTATTTAGAGACCTTGATTTTTTTATTAAGAAGACCAGTGACAGTCATTTATTTGTATGTCAAATTTAAAAATTGTTGAGTTTTTCCATGAGCTAGTGATCTGTTTATCCCTAGTTATTAGTAATGAAAAATAGAAATTGTGACCAAATGACAGAAAGCAAAGCTGAATAGTGAAGAAAATAAGGATAAAAATTGAGACCAAGGCCAAGACAAAGGCAGAGACTCAGGCTAAGTCTTGATTATTTCATAGGGTGGAGGTAGTATTAGTTTTGGAAAGAAAGAATAAAAAATTTACAGTAAACATAGAATGTATAAGGAAGACAGAAGTGTTTCTCACTTAAGAGGCACATGGTAGTGCCTCTTAGGGAAACCAAGTTACTACAAAATAAACTAATTGGAATTATTATTAATTCATTAATAGACATTTATTTTTTCATCAAGTATCCATATCTCATTTATTTAAATATTGGATAAAGTTGAGGATACAAAGGGAATAAGATGAGGCATTTATCCTTGGGACTCTTAAATCTATTGGAGAGACCAATAGGAAAAAAAAATTAGATATAACATGTTGAGTATTTTGATGAAGACATACTAGACAAGCTTTAGATTACTAAGAAGGGAACAGCACACCCTCCCTAGACATATTGGAGAAAGTTCAATAATTGATGACTCAAAAAATGTGAGGAATGAGTGGGCCATACATGAAGAGGAAATGATATTGGAGGCTGAGATCGCTCTCTCTCTCTGTCTCTCTGTCTCTCTCTCTCTCTCTCTCTCTCTTCCAGTGGAATCTTGAGACACAAGGGCATATAATGGAAACTGTATTTCAGTACAATTCCTGTGTGATGAAAACTTAGAGGATTAGATTGTAAATGTATGTGAGACAGAGAATCAGATGTCCTATGATTCAGCTTAAGGAATTCTGACTTTACCTGTAGATGATGAAGAGTTACTAAGCGGTATAATGTGAAAATATCAATTCACAATTTCTACTTGTTAAGAAGGTGATCTAGTTACTCTATTTTTCTTCTTTTCTTTTTCTCTCTCTTTCTCATTTTTCTAAGCTTTTCTTTCAACCTGTAATGCCTTGCCTTCCAAACTCATGTCACTATCTCCTATTTAGCAGTTACTTTAAGCAGTATCCTAGACTGAGTTAAGTAAAGTCAAAGATTTCCATAGTAAATTTTATTTTTCACTATTAGTTCCACATAGGTTCCAAGGATGAGTTTGAAAGAACAGATGGTTGATGGGGTAGGAGTTATAGAGTAAATACTGAGTAATGTGACCTTACTTTTCATTCAGGTGCACCAACTTTATTTGCTTACTTTGTCACTATTAATACTGGCGATGAGCCTGTAAGTGAGAAAACACTCCAAGAAAGGATATATGGAAAGTGGAAAGGCATAGAAGATGTCTCAGGAAGAATGTTAGTGAGGACTCTGTTTTGGTCAAATGCATGGTGTATATTCTTTATTTATAAAGCTTAGAGATAAGGCCATTCAAAGATGTATAGAGATAGAAAATAAAACTCTTGGTTCTAGTCCCATTTCAAAATTTTATTAAACATTTGCCTAAGCAAAACAGCAAATATTGATAGCAATTTAGTTATTTGTAAAGGATTTGAAGCCCCTAAATCAAGTGTTTCTAAAATTAAAATAAAAAGTTTAGCTAGTGAGATAACGGAGGAAACTATTTGATCATCAGAAATGATAAATAAGATAGCAACATTTTTTACGGGATTTTTTGCTCTGCATTCAGAGAATAATATCAGAGAGATTTTTCATCCCAAAATGTTGAAGCAGAGTGTAATATTACAGGCTAGGTTGATATTAAGGTAACAAGTTTTGAAAATCCCTGGAATCAAATATCATCTACTTGAGAGTTTTGAAATGATTTAGAAAATAAAGTGATATCATTGGTCATTTATTTTTTTAACAGGCTTTGAAGCACTTAGTATATATTGGGCATCATTGTGTGTTTTTGAGATGCAGTTTCTGTTATTTGGTAAGTTATAATTTGTAGAGTCAAAGACATTCTTATAATAATAGTTTGTGGCAAAGCAGGTAAGATTCTAGTGATTACTCAGGAAATCCAGAAAAAATGGTGCAGCATGATTAGGAAGCTGTAGGAAGGATTCTATGAGTAAAGTCATTTTAAATGAAAAGTAAAAGGAGACCACAAAATCAGAAGCAGAAAAACAATAAGTATAAAGCAGAGACTATTTACAGATATAGAAAGTAGTATGAAAAATGACTTGGTTGTGTAAAAATTCTCACTGCTAAAGTACATATGAAGGAATCTATAATGGCAGTTATGAGTGAAAAGGTGAAACTGGGAAAAGTGTGAAAAACCTAGAATATTTTATAGGTAACAGAGTCAGTTGTTGTGGTAATATGATAGGATTTGTTCTATAGAAAGACAATTCTGCTGCTATTATGAAGGATTACTCAGAGTGGAAGAGAGAATCTGGGCAGTTCATTTATAACACTATAGTCCAGGGAAGGGATAATTGCTTGCAAAAGATAAGAATGAATCCTAAAAGTGAAAAAAAATAGATTGAATGTGGAGGATTAGAAAAATGGTGAGTTTAAACACGTCTTAGAAATTTACAGCTTAGATGGCTTAAGAGTATTTTGAAACTATTTATTGAGATACAGAATCTAGATAAAAGAACACATTTAGGCAAGAGGTAGCACAGAATAAGAATGTTTTGATTAAAATGTATATAATTCAGTACCAGCAATGATAAATATGTTGGAGGCCTTAGGGAAGATATCTGAGCCCACTTATTCAGAAATTTAGAGACAGCTCCTTGGAATGACAGCCTTTTGGGCCTCCAAGTCAGGTACATCAAGGATAGGACATAAAACAATGGGCAACAAGTGAATGCTGAAGCAAAACTAAAGATTCTAGCTATGTCTTTTCTGTAAGGAGAAATCAGGCCTATAATTTTGTAAGAGTTTGTAGAATAATCATAAAGCTAGTCCTAAAACAATAGCAATAGTTCAAAACCAATTTATTTGTAACAAATGAATGCATAAAAATTGGTTATATAATTAGTTGTAAAAGGGAACTGTGCTCTTTAAGTAACACAAAGATCAATGGATGTTTCTCTAGATGGGGAAGGTATTAAAAACAGGTGTAGAAATGTGAATTGTCAGACATTGGTGCTATTGCTTATTCATGCTATCGCTTATTGACATATGTATCAGTAATCAGGATAAAAGTGTGACCGTTGAAAATAATAATTAATATAGATAAAGGATTTTATAGCATTAGATTACAAGAATCCCCTCTAGTCTGCAGGGAATATATTCCAAGACTCCAATGGATGTCTGAAACTGAACAGTACTGAACCCTAAATATACTATGATTTTTTTCTATAATACATGTCCATGATAAAGCTTAATTTATAAATTAGGCATAGTAGGATATTAACAACAATAACTAATAATAAAATAGATCAACAATAACATTATATCAGCATCACTACTCTTGAGCTTTGGAGCCATTATTAAGGAAAATAAAGGTTACTTGAGCACTAATTTGGTGATACCATGACAGTTGATCTAATAACTGGACGGCTTCTGAGTGACTAATGGATAATAGCATATACAGTCTGGATACACTGCACAAAGGGATGATTCTTATCCTGGGCAGGAAGGAGCAAGAAAGTCTCCAAGTAGGGGACCTAATAGATAGGCTTTATTTGAGCAAATGACTGTACACTTCATGTGTACATTTGTCCCCAGATTCACTGCTAAAATCAACAGCAGAAAAATAGGAGTTTGAATGCATACCAATTTAGAAGAACTTCTGGTTAAATTTACAATTCTTTTTTCTCTCCCATGCTTGTTGTTTCTCATCCAAACAAGACTGGCATAGCTACTTTATGAGGGTAGGTCTCCCTGAATTTTAAGTTCCAAAGATCTCTGGACCTGATCATATTGACTTTATTCCGTGGGATCAACTCTTCATGGCCAATTCTTCCTCTGTCACTGAGTTCTTAGTGCTGGGCTTCTCTAGCCTTGGGGAATTGCAGCTTGTCCTCTTTGCAGTCTTTCTCTGCCTCTATTTGATTATCTTGAGTGGAAACATCATCATCATCTCAGTCATTCATTTGGATCACAGCCTCCACACACCCATGTACTTCTTTCTAGGTATTCTTTCTATCTCTGAAATCTTCTACACAACTGTTATTCTGCCCAAGATGCTTATCAACTTATTCTCTGTATTCAGGACACTCTCCTTTGTGAGTTGTGCCACCCAAATGTTCTTCTTCCTCGGTTTTGCTGTCACTAACTGTCTGCTTCTGGGAGTGATGGGTTATGATCGTTATGCTGCCATCTGTCAGCCTTTGCAATACGCTGTTCTCATGAGCTGGAGAGTATGTGGACAACTGATAGCAACTTGTATTATTAGTGGCTTCCTAATATCTCTGGTGGGAACAACTTTTGTCTTTAGCCTCCCTTTCTGTGGCTCCAACAAGGTCAACCACTACTTTTGTGATATTTCACCAGTTATCCGTCTCGCCTGTGCTGACAGCTACATCAGTGAACTGGTCATCTTCATCTTCGGGGTCTTGGTGCTTGTTGTGCCCTTGATATTTATCTGCATTTCCTATGGCTTCATTGTCCGCACCATCCTGAAGATCCCATCAGCTGAAGGCAAACAAAAAGCCTTCTCCACCTGTGCTTCCCATCTCATTGTAGTCATTGTCCATTATGGTTGAGCTTCCTTTGTCTACTTGCGACCCTCAGCCAAATATACATCGGGCAAAGATAGGCTGGTGACAGTGACCTATACCATCATCACCCCAGTCTTGAACCCCATGGTATACAGCCTCAGGAACAACGATGTGCAGATGGCTATTCGGAAACTGATTGGAAAGTCTGGGTTTTCTCTTAAGACTCTATGAGCAGAATACTTTCTAACAGTATGGACACCATTAGAACAATTGTGTCACGATTATTTAAACCATGAGATTATCTAGTCTATTTATCTAACTAACTGCGAGGCCTTGGATTAATTGTTTGACATTTGGGGCCTACATGTTCTATGTAAAGCAGAGATAGCAATATTTTCTTCCTGGAGTCATTGTAATTAAGATAGATTACAAAATATCTGGCAATAAAACATAACTCTCCTCCTCTTTCTCTTCTTCCTCTGAATTTAAAGTCCTCAAAAGGGTCTTAGCAACCATCATTTTTTGCCCTATATTTGTCTTGCTTGACCAAGATCTCTGATTGCACTCTGTTTAAGGTTATGTCCAGCTTAAAATGAGGTGTCCAGGCCTGAAGGTGGCTTAGATCTAGTGGTATGACATGGCAGGGAAAACTGTACCATACAGGTAATTAGATGATTTAAAACTGGACACTGGTTAGGTCATGACTGAAGCGTTGACTCTTCTCTGAATCTAAATTCTAATATATGGAAGGTAGGGATAATGTAATTTCCCTGTTTTACTTCATGGGGGCTTTATTTGTATCTTATAAATAGTATAAAAGAAAGTGTAAAAGCAGTGCAAAATGTGAAACCATATACAATGTAGAGCTCATTTCAAACATGCTTTCCATAACTGAGAGGATTTTATTTCTTTCAAGGTCCTCAAAACAGGTATTTTGGAATGGCTTTTCTGACTGCTCCTTTGAACCACTTCTTATGCAATGTAGAAGTTTTGCTATGTAACATAGAAGTTATGCTTCATAATGGAATGGAAAACAATATTCAACCATTCCGTCCCATCTTGGGCTAAAGGTATCTACGTGGCTTTCCACACTGAATTTATTAGGAAGAGGAAGATACCCGGCTTCAAATTTATCATGGGAATATATAAGATTTGAGAGAGAAGTATCTTGGTGATCATCTGGTCCAACCTCTCACCTGTACAGAAATTTCTTCATCAGTATCTCTAAGGGAAACCCTTCTCCACTGATTGGGCATCAACGACCTCATAAAATGTATATTCCCGTTGCACTCAGCTCATACTATTATCCCCTCTCATTTCAGCTGAAGTTTGCCTCTGCTTTTCATGCATTCTATCTCTTGTGTCATACAGTAAGTCGAGTCCTGATTCACAGATGTTTGAGACAGTTATGATGACAGTCTGAACATTTTCCATAATTTATGTGACCTGAATTTCAGATGCCTCACTATCCTGGGTGCAGTTCTCTAGCTATGCTGTAGATTATCAGTATTCTTTTAAAATAATAATAAATAAAACTGAAGTTCATATTTCATATGCAGCCTCTTTTTTCTGGGACATAATATAACTGTATTCTTTCCTGTTAACCTTATTTAGATTTTCAAATTAAAATGTGTCAAATCACAAATAATGTTTTCTTATATTTAAAAATTATAACCTCTGTTCCAATTTTTATCTCCCTTTTCCAGTTTTTGGCCTAGGTATTTTTATTTATTTTCATTTTACTTCATTTCATTTTCATGGTTAAATAATTAAGGCATTTCAAGTACAACATTGGTTATTGCCATTGTTTTCTTCTGTTCTTTTTTTTTCTAATGGGTTTATATTTCTCATTTATTGACCAAATGTTATTTAGGAATGGAGTGTTTATGTATTATAGATATATTCTTGCTGATATTTAAATAACTTCTGTTATTTATTTCTAGTTTTGTTTGTGGGAGAATGTGATTGACAGTTCTATTTTTACAAATTATTATGTTTTATTAGTGGTTTCTTATGAATTATGCCCAGTGAAGCACATTCATTTAGATTAAAATTTTGGTATGTGTAGATGTTATATTTATTTTATGAATTAAATTTAATTAAACTATTTTAGCACACTATATTGTTATTGGTGTGTATATAACCTGTCATGGTTTCATAGTGCCAAATTAAAATGCTTTACTGCATTTTAGAGCTTATTAGAGTTTTATACACTTCTAACAACATTGATGTTGAATTTTGTTGTGAAATCTTTTATTACATACTAAATAAACCTCTTGGGATTTAACATGTATTTCTACCTATAAATGCACTAAAATAATAGTAGGTGTATTAAAAAATACATATAAGCCCTCATCAAGAAGGTAAACAGGAGAGAACAACACAGGGCAGACATCAAAACAATTATAGAAGCAAAAATAAAAAGGATGATTGACATGGTTGTAAGAGAAAGAGAGAAAGTTGAAAACATACCTGCAAAACGGGGAAGCCAACCAGTTCACAACACCAAACTGTATCTGGACATTCTTGTCACAATTGGGTCACCAAGATGACATTGGAAAGAGTAAGATTGGCTTAATATCTGAATAAGGAACTCGACTTCTCCATCAGTGCTTCTCAAATCATCTGCAGTAAAGAACCAGTTTCTTTTTACATTTCATAGAAGGCCAATACTTCAGTAAAATATGATAAAAATCAACTACTAGAAAAACGAAATGAAAAGCACCTGAGCTATTCTATATTCTGCTCCAAAAATGTGTCTGATTATGTGCTTGTATGTTTCAGTAATACCAAATTTTATAATAGTTGCTTACCACTGGTAAGTAACACAAATATAATTTAGTTTCTATACCTGTCTCATTACAAGCCAATAACAAAAAGCTCATAGATCATCACTAGACTGCCAACTCCCAACGGAGTAGCATTGCTTTGTATCTGTTGAATGCCAGTTTAAGATTGGAGGTTAAGTTTTACAGCAGTTAAACTAAGGACTTCTGACTTCAAACACTCGGTAGAACAGAGGCAAATGTAAGGGGCTATACTTCAAGCAGAGGATTAAATGTGAATGCTTTCATACTATGAGGCAGCACCAGCCTCTTTCCCAACACTCAGACCCCAGATTGACAGCCAGTCTTACACCTTTCACTTAGGTAGTAGGAGTGTTTCTTTCTGGAGAAGGTAATGAGAAGTTATGAGTAATTTCAACAAAATGAATAGCATTGCTTTGCCTGACTTCTGCATTGGAACCCACCAGTTCACAAGGTCTACCCACGTGCAGAGAGCTTCAAATAGGCTTTTTAGTGCTGTGGTCTGGAATATATTTGAACATCCAAGAGTTACCATATATTTGAAGAAGGCTTTAACATGAAACACAGATACCTAAAGATAAGAGAGAATCCCCAGGGGGATATACAGAAAATGCATAGAATAAAAAATAAAATAATTGACATCTTCATATAAAATATATTGGAACCATGAAAGAAGAAGAGTATACCATGTACACTTTTTGATCAAAACACACACATACAGAAAAGTGTACAAATTATGATGAATACATCAATTAATTACCACAAAGTGAATATGTGTAGGTCAAAAAATATAATATTCCAAATACTTCATTACCCACTACCTATTCTCTAACAGAAACAATATTCATGGCTTCTAATATCATGCATTAGTATTTTCATGCCTTCACACTTTATAACGATATAATTACAGAGTTATATTCCCTAGTATTATTATTCTCTTTTACTCTAGTTTCTCTTTCCGTATCTTTTGCTGTTATAGGCTTATCCATCATGTTTATTGTCTTATGTTCCTCCAAGTTTAACCTTCATTTATGAAACAATTTTTCTTTCATTTCCAACTGCTTCCTAATCTATCCCCTCTTTTCAAAACTTCTCCTCTATTCAGTCATGACTGAGTTTATGATTCTGATCTTTGCTGTTATTTTGTATTTTCTATCACTTCTTTAACTTCTTTGACCTCATTTTGAAATATTTAGTTAGAGTTTTCATCGATTTTGAAGTCATATCTTCCTGGCTATTGCAAGTTGTGCTCCCTGGGAAGCATATTCTGAGACAACTTGGCATATAGAATATTTGTTAATAAATGTATGGGATTAACACCTATGGAATGTGGGGGGAAGTATCGGGTACAGAGAGAAGTCAAGCCGAATGCACTCCTAGTGACAGCCTCAGCTGACCCAACAGTGAGTTCTGTAGCTAGAATGACCATTCAGAGGCGTCCTGAGCTGAGCCATGATGGCCAGGGCTTTATTAATCTGCATAATTTTGTTTGGGTGTAGTTTGCTGCACGAAGCCTGTTACTTTGGACAAAGTGTCTGTGTTGCTGATACAATGACTAAGTTGACAGCTAAAGTCTGCCTACTGACAGAGCTACCATCAGTTGGCGGGCAACAAGTCCTTTACTTGAAAGAGAACCTGGGCAGGATATCTTGGTTTTCACTCGGTAGGTGCACAGTTATTCTCTATAGTAATGTTGTACTGCTGATGATTTTTTTCCTCATAATAACTTCATATGAGATATAGGCATGATCTTTTCCTGAATTCATGTTTAGTGAGATTTGTTTTCATGTACTCTTGTAAGGGGAGGATAGTATTCCTAGTTTTGCAGCTGTTGAGCTCCCTCTTGTGTTGTCATCAGAAAGTATTCAGCTGTTAATTGGAGCCTCTAAACATTCCTTGTTTTGGCTAATATCAAATCAGCCAACTGACTTTTTAAGTTATTACCATTGGCAGTTGTTTTTTGTTGTTCTTGTTGTTCTCCCGATATTAGTACTTCCAGAATTTGTTCTTTTGCTCTTATCACCATTTCTAATACTATACTTAGAGTTCCTTGTGTGTATTTTGTTAATTAGATTTTTAAAAAACAGGTCATGAGGGTTTTAAATTTCCCTTTTACATTCACTTTTTTCCTTATTTTTAAATTAAGGAATGGTTTATATTTAAAAATTTAAGTATTTTAAGTATCAGTTATTTGAGGTTTTACAAATACATTCACCCATTTAACCACCCCCACCAGTCAAGAAATATGATATTTTCATCACATCCAAAAGTTATCTCATGTGAATTTCCAGGTGACTCCCTACCCAGAGACAACACAGAATTGATTTTTATCAATATAGTTCAGTTTGCACTTCTTGAATTTGAGATATATGTAATATTATAGTAAGTACTCTTGTGTGTCTAACTTATTTCAGAAAACTTAATGCTTATGAGATTCATCTATCTTACTGCATGTAAAATAGTTTGTCTTTTTATTGATGTATTCACCTGAATGGATATGCAAAAACATATTTATTCATTTATCTGTTGATAGACATTTGGTTCATTCTTATTATTGGCTGTTATAAATAAACCTGCCATGAACATATTTTGAACAAATCTTCTGTGGACATTTGTCCTGTCTCTTACATGTTTAGGAGTAGCACTCCTGGGGTCATAAGGTAGGTACACATTTAACTCCATAATATGATTCCCAAATGTTTTCCGGTATGGGTACACCACATAACTTTCCTACCAGCTGCTTCACATTCTTTCCAACTTTTGGCACTGCCTGTTTTATGTTCCTGTATTTTTAATATATTAATAATTCTAGTGAGGGTAAGTAGTACCTCATTTAGTTTTATTTTGTATTAGCCTGATATCTAATTATGTTGAACATTATTTTATCATTTGCCTATTGACCATTCCATTTTAGTAAATTACCCTAGTCTTCTGCTCATAAGATTAGTTTAAAATTATTGAATCCTATTATTTATATATTCTGAATTAAGTTTGTTTGGAACACATATGTACTATGAATATTGTCCCCAAGTCTGTGGCTTGCATTTCTATTATTTAAATAGTGTCTTTTAATGAGGGCAAGCTTTATTGAATTTTGATTAATTAAATTTACAATTGTTTTCTTTTATATTTAGTACTTCTTGTGTCTTGTCTAATAAATGTTTTCCTAAACTGAGATTGAAGAAATCTTCCCTTATATTTGTGCCTAGAGCTTTGTAGTATTAGCTCATGTGTGTGGTGCAGGTTCATTTATGTTTTATGCCTTAATCAAATATATTGAGACATAATTTATATACAATAAAAGACACCAATTTTAAGTGTATAGTTTGATGTTTTGACGTATATGTAGAAACATGTAATCACCACCATGATCAAGATATAGAACATTTCTTTGCATGTAAGACAGAAACAAAGGGTTATCAGTGACAGTTTCTACCCTACATCAGGCTCAGCCTCCAATGTGTTTCTGCATTATATTTGTATTGTACTTTATTACTTATTCATACAGATAAGTAATTTCAAGTTAAAAGAGAATTATTTATTTTTTATATTATCCCTTCTTGCAATGCTTTTCAATTAAAATCAGATATAGGCAAATCTTTAATCCCAGACTTACCCAAAGCAACTTTTCTGCTGATTTCAAATGCGTTAAAAGTTGTACAACAGAATATCCAGCCTGTATTTGTTTTAAAATACTTAAAAAAAATCAAGAAATATTTATTAAGCTACACTTTAAAATACCATTTATATTAGTATAAAGATGAATAAATAGATTAATGGAACAAAACAGAACATTCAGAAATAGAAACACATATGTATAGTTAATTTTCTACAAGGCTCTCAAGGCAATTTATTATAAAAATGATATTGAAAATGAAAAAAGATATAGAACATTTCCATTACCCCTAAATTTTCTCACATGCCCCATCCCATTGTGTCCCCTATACCACCATCAGCCGCAGGAAACCAATGATTTGCTTTCTATTGCCAGAATTTAGTTTGACAATAAAGAATCTTATCAAAATAAAATAACAATTTGCTTTCTAACTTCTTATCACTAAGCATACTTTTGAGGTTTATCCGTTATGTGTGTGACTTCGCAGTTCATTCTTTTTGTACCATTGTGTATATATACACAATGGTTTTATTTTCTTACACTCTCAACAGAAACGTATGACAGTTACCAGTTGCTTAACATTCTCAACAAAATGTGTTAGTCTTAATTTCATACATTAAGTAGATGCATAATAGTATCCAATTGTGGTTAGAATTAAAAGTTTTTTTTGATGACTGAAGACACTGAATATATTTTTTTGTGTGTATATTGGTCATCTACATATTTTTTAGTTGAGCGTCTTTTCAGATCTTTTGTCCATTCCTCAGTTAGAGGCATATTTTCTTCTTTCCAATATTTTAATTAGTTCCTTTGTCTTCATAATTGAAATGTAAGAGTTCTTTATGTTTTCCAGGTATATATATTTTTGTTACTTGTATATTACGCAAATATTTTCACTATATTGTAACTTGCTTTTAATTTTCTACCATGTCTTTTGAAGAGCAGAAGTTTCCTTTGGTTTTGATAAAGTCCAACTTATTGACTTTGACTTTTATAGTTCAAGTGTTTTCTGTCATACTTAATAAGTTTCTGAAAAATTCAAGCTCACTAAGGTTCTATCTAATGTTCTTTTTAATAATATTAGTTCTTACAAGCAGGATGTGATTCATCTCTAGTTAATTTTTGTAAATGGTGTGAAAAAATTTCAAGATTCTTTTCTATCCAAATGCATTATTATTGGAAAGAGTATTCTTCTACCATTAAATTGCCTTGAGGCTTTGTAGAAAATTAATTATACATATGTGTTTCTATTTCTGAGTGTTCTGTTTTGTTCCATTAATCTATTTGTTCATCTTTATACTAATACTAAAAGTATAGCTTAATAAACATTTCTTGAAATCAATGTAATGCCTTCTGGATTCTGCCCTCTTAGTCCTCATGGGAAGCCATCCATAAGGAAGAGCTATACTTTAGAACTTGCTGGAAAACCACTCTCTGAAGTACTCTGTGGGTGGGGGGCATCTATGGGAGGATGCTTCTGTTTGCAACCTTCTGGCAAAATACCTTTGATGATGGTACTGCCTGGGAAGTAGCACTACTGGGCGTCCTACTTGTTACTAGACTTCACACACACAGCATGTCCAGGCAGATGAAAGCAGCCAGAAATGGGAAGAGAACTCCGTTTTAACTTCAGTGTCCCTTCACGCCTTCTACAGAAGAGCTTAACATCATGTCTGCTGGTAAAGGAGAAACATTCCAGTAACACAATCAGGACAAGTAAAGGTAGATTTGGAGCTAAAAGGCAATTACATTCTTAATTTTCTTTCTTTTTAAAATTTTGACAGAATTTAGATTTATTCATCCCTATGAGCCCTAGAATTATGTTAATGTCAGGAGATGTTTATAAAATATACTCCACTAAAATTTTTCTGAAAATTCTAACAAGGACATTTGAAACAAGGGTTACATAGGTCAATTACAATTTCACTCAGAAAAAACAATAGCACTCTTGATTTATTCAGTAGTTGTTTTTTAATATAGCATGAGTCACAAATAAGCTAGTTTTTCAACTAGGTCAACACTGACTTTTTTTGTGTGTGATAAGAACATTTAACATGAATCCACCCCCTGATCAAAAGGTATTGGTAACTGTAATCATATATTATGCCATTCTTGCATTGCTATAAAGAAATACCTGAGATTGGGTAATTTATAAAGAAAAGTGGTTTTGTTGGCTCATGATTTGCAGAATTTACAGGAAGCATGGTGCTGGCATCCACTTGGCTTCTGGTGAAGGCTCAGGGAACTTTCAATCATGGTGGAAGGTGAAGCAGGAGCGGGCACATCACATGACCAGAACAGGAGAGAGAGAGTTGGGGGAAGGTGCTGCAAATTTTGAAATGGCAAGATCTTGTGAGAACTTACTCACTATCATAAAAATAGACCAAGTCATGCGAAGTTCACCCCCATGACCGAAACACCTCCCACCTTCAGCACTGGTGATTACAATTCAACGTAAGATTTGTGTGGGGACAAATATCCAAACTATATCAATATTTCTCCGGCTCCTCCCAAATCTATGTCCTTCTCACATTGCAAAATATATTTATGCCTTCCTAAGAGTCCTCCAAAGTTTTAACTTGTTCCAGTGTTAACTCACAAGTCCGAAGTCCAGAGTCTCATCTTTGACAAGGAAAGTCCCTTTCATTCATGAACCTATAAAATCAAAACCAAGTTATTTACTTCCAAGATACAATAGGGATACAGGTATTGGGTAAACGTTGCTATCCTAAAAGAAAGAAATTGGCCAAAAAAATAGGGGCTATAGGCCCCAAGCAAGTCCTAAAGCCAGGAGGGCAGTCATTAAATCTTAAAGCTCCAAAATAATATCCTTTGACTCCATATTCTACATCCAGGTCACACTGCTGCAAGCTCCTCAGAGAGGTGTCAGTCATGGCTCTCAAGGCTTAGGGCAGCTGTATCCCTATGGCTTTGCAGGGTTGAATACCCATGGCTGTTTCCACGGGTTGGTGTTGAGTGTTCTTGGCTTTTCCAGGTGCAGAGGGCAAGCTGACAGTGGATCTTCCTTTCTGGGGTCTGGAGGATGGCGGTCCCCTTCTCACAGCTCCACTAGGCAGTGCCCCAGTGGGAACTCTGGGGCGGGGGGCAAACCCACATTTCCCCTCTGCATTGCCATAGTAGAGGTTCCCTGTGGGGTTCCCCACCCCTGCAGCAGGCCTCTGTCTGGGCACTCAGGCTTTTCCATATGTCCTCTGAAATCTAGGCAGATGGTGCAAATTCTCATTCACTCTGAACTCTGTGTGCCTACAGGCTTAAAATCATGTGCAAATTGCCAAGGCTTACAGTGGCTTGAACTCTCCAAAGTAGCATGTTGAGCAGTACCTGGGCCCCTTTGAGCCCCAGTTGAAGCTGGAGCAGCAGGATGCAGGGAGCAGTGTCATGAAGCTGTGTGTGTGGCAGTAGGGATTCTGGGCCTTTAATGGAAGGGGCTGCCACAGAGGTCTCTGAGATGCCTTCAAGGCTTTTCCCCCATTGTCTTGACTATCAGCACTTGGCTCCTTCATAGGTATGCAAATTTCTTTTTTTTTCTTTTTTTTTTTTTTTTTTTGAGATGGAGTCTTGCTCTGTCACCCAGGCTGGAGTGCAGTGGCATGATCTCGGCTCACTGCAAGCTATGCCTCCCAGGTTCACGCCATTCTCCCGCCTCAGCCAGAGTAGCTGGGACTACAGGCGCCCACCACCGCACCCAGCTAATTTTTTTTTTGTATTTTTAGTAGAGATGGGGTTTCACCATGTTAGCCAGGACAGTCTCGATCTACTGACCTTGTGATCCGTCCACCTCAGCCTCCCAAAGTGCTGGGATTACAGGCGTGAGCCACCACGCCTGACCCACTTAAGTATGCAAATTTCTTTAGTAAAGTGGTTGTTCCACAACCTGCTTGAATTCTTCTCCCCTCAAGAGCTTTTTCTTCCTTTGCCACATTGCCAGGCTGCAGATTTCTCAAACTTTTATTCTCTACTTTCCTTTTAAATATAAGTTTCAGCTTTAAGGTATTCCTTTGTGCCCACATCTGAGTTAGGTTGTTAGAAGCAGCCAGGCCACATCTTGAATGCTTGGCTGCTTAGAAATTTCCTTCATCAGATACCCTAAATTATCATTTCAAAACTTTAACTTCCGCAGATCCCTAGGGCATGAACAGAAGGCAGCCAAGTTCTTTGCTAAGGCATATCAAAAGTGACCTTTACTTCAGTTCCCAGTATGTTCCTCATTTCCATCTGAGGCCTCCTCAGTCTGGACTTCACTGTCTATATCACACGTCAGCATTTGGGTTACAACCATTTTACCAGTCTCTAAGAAGTTCTAAACTAAACCTCAACTTCCGTCTTCTTTTGAGCCCTCAAACTCTTCCATTCTATGCCCATTACCCAGTTCCAAAGCTGCTTCTACACTTTCAGATATCTTTATTGTAATACCCCACTCCTCTGTACCAATTTCTTGTGTTATCCCATTCTTGCCTTGCTATAAAGAAATACCTGAGACTGGGTAATTTATAAAGAAAAGAGGTTTAATTGGCCCATGGTTCTGCAAACTTTACAGAAAGCATGGTGCTGGCAACTGCTTAGCTTCTGGTAAAGCCTCAAGGAGCTTTCAATCATGGCAAAAGGTAGTGGGAGCAGGCACATCACTTGGCCAGAGCAGGAGCAAGAGAGAGACAGAGTGGAAGGGAAAGTGCAACACTTTAAACTGACCATATCTTTTGAGAACTCACCTCACTATCACAAAGAAAGTACCAAGCTATGAGGGACTCATCCCCATGATCCAAACACCTCCCACCAGGTCCCACTTCCAGCATTGGGGATTTATAATTCAACATGAGATTTAGGTGGAAACAAATATTCAGACTATATCAAATCACAATGTTGTACAGTTGGTTTCTAGAATTTGTTTATCTTATATAACTGAAACTTATATTCAACAAAATGGAACTCACATTTTCTCCTCCCCTGCAGACTGGCAACCACTGTTCTACTCTCTGTTTCTATGAGTTTGACTAATACTGTATCAATTTCTATTCTGGGCATATATTCAAAATAATTAAAATTGGGATTTTAAAGTGATGTTAACAATCTCATGTTTATTATAACATTATTCACAATAGCCAAGAAAAAAATAAACTAAATGTCCATGAACAGATTAATGGATTAAGAAAATGTAGTATATACTTACAATGGAATATTATTGAATTTGATTAGTAATCTTAGGCAAGAAAGAACTTGTTGCTCTTTCTCTGTTCTTCACCATGTGAGGATATAATTAGACCCCAACTATCTGAAATCCTGAAGCAATCCCCCTTATTAGATGCTGAATCTGTGAGTAGTTCAGCTTGGACTTCCCTCCCTGCAGAACTGTGAGAAATAAATGTTTGTTGTTTAAGCCACCCAGTCTATGGTAATTTGTTATAGCAGCTGGAACTGATTAAGACAGATGGTTTTCATTTCTGTGGCATCAATGCTAATGGCTTCTCATTAGTTTCTGATTTAATTTATTTGAGACTTTTTTTTTAGCCTAGATAACTTTTTATCATTTTTTTATCTTTTCAAAAAACTAACTCTTGGTTTTACATTTTTTTCAATTGTTTTAATATTCCCTATTTCATTTATTTCTGCTTTAATCTTTATAATTATTTTAGGTATAAAGTTAGATGGTTTATTTGAGATCATTCTTTTTTAATGATGGTGTTTCTTGCTATAAACTTCTCTCTTACTGCTCTTTTTGCTGCATTCCATAAGATTTTTTATTTGCCCTGAGATACTTTCTAATTTCCCTTTGATTTCTGCTATGACTCAATGGTTGTTCAAGAGTATGTTGTTTAATTTCCACATATTTGTAAATTTTTCATTTTTTCCTACTGTTGGTTCCAAGCTTCATTCTATTGTGGTTGAAAAGATATTTTTATGTGTATCAGTCCATTTGCACATTGCTACAAAGAAATACCTGAGACTGAGTAATTTATAAAGACAAGAGGTTTAATTGGCTCATGGTTCTGCAGGCTTTACAGGAAGCATGATGCTGGCATCTGTTTGGCTTCTGAGAAGACCTCAGAAAACTTAAAATTATGGTGGAAGGTGAAGGGTGAGTAGGCATATCACGCAGCCATAGCAGGAGCAAGAGACAGAGTGAGGACAGAGGTGATATACACTTTTAGACAACCAGATTTTATGAGAACTCACTCACTCACTATCACAAGAACAGCACAAAGGGGATGCTGGTAAACCATTTATGAGAAATCCATGCCCATGGTCCAATTACCTCCCATCAGTTTTCACCTTCAATACTGCGAATTACAATTTTACATGAAATTTGGGCAGGGAGACAGATCCAAACTATATTCATATGATTTCAATCTTCTTTTATTTGTTGAGACTTAGCATATGATCTTTCCTGAGGAATGTTCGTGTATTTTTGAGAAGAATGTGTATTCTGCTGCTGTTGGCTGCAATATTCTGCATATGTCTATTAGGATCATTTGATCTATTACATTGTTCATGTCCACTGTTTCTTTATTGATATCCTGTCTGAATGTCCTATCCTTATTGCTATCACTGTGTATTTCTTTCTTCAGATCTGTCAATATTTGTTTTATATGTTTCTGTGCTTAGATGCTGGATGCACACACACTTATATATAGATTTATAATTAGTATATCTTCTTATGAATTGACCCTTTTCTTCCTTCCTTTCTTCTGTTGTGTAAAAGTAATCTTCTGATAGTAAGTATTAATTTCTTACTTTTTATTTTTTGTGTATTTCTTGTAGATTTTTGATTTGCTGTTACTATGAGCTGGTAAATGACATCTTATAACCAAATATTTTAAATTGATGTCTACTTAACTGGCTATTAAAAAAGAAAAACAAATAAAGAGAAAACAAAAAAACTACACTTTGACATTATTCCCCCTGCTTTTTGAGTTTTTGTTGTTTCTATTTATAACTTTTTCTATTATCTATCTCTTAAAAACTTGTTGTAGTCATTATTTTTGATGTTTGTATTTTATTCTCCCTATTCAAGATATGAGTGGTTTACACACCACAGTTACAGTGCTAGAGTATTCTGTATTTGCTTGTTTATTTACTATTACTAGTGAATTTTAGACCTTCAGGTGACTTTTTGTGGTTCATTAATGTCCTTTTTTCAGATTGAACAACTCTCTTTAGCATTTTTTTTTGTAGGATCAATCTGGTAGTGATGAAATCTCTCAGCTTTTGTCTGTCTGGGAAAGTCTTTATTTCTCCTTCATGTTTGAAGGATATTTTTGCGGGATATAATACTCTAGGATAATAGTCTTTTTCTTTAGCCCCTTAAATATATCATCTCACTATCTCTTGGCCTGTAAGGCTTTCACTGAGAGGTTTTCTGCCAGACATGTTCAAGCTCCTTTATATGTTATTTGTTTCTTTTCTCTTAGTGCTTTTAGGATTTGCTCTTTATCCTTGATCATTCAGTTTTGATTAATAAATGGCTTGAGATAGTTTTATTTGAGTGAGTCTTCTTAGTGTTCTATGACTCTGTATCTGGATATTGATATCTTTCTCTAGATTTGAAAAGTTCTCTGTTATTATTTCTTTGAATAAACTTTCTACTCCAATCTCTCTACCTCCTTTTTAAGGCCAATAATTCTTAGATTTGCCCTTTTGAGACTATTTTCTCACTCTTGTAGATGTGCTTTATTTTTTTTCTCCTTTCTCCCCGACTTTGTATGTTTATATATCCTGACTTCAAGCTCACTAATTCTTTTAATTTATCAATTTTTCTGTAGAAAGACTCATGCATTTTCACCTTCTCGATTGAATTTTTTAGCTCCAAAATTTTTGATTTTTATTATTTCAATTTCTTCATTAAGTTGCTATGATAGAATTCTGAATTCCCTCTCTATGTTATGTTGAGGTTCATTGAGCTTCCTCAAGACAGCAATTTTGAATTCTCTGTCTGAAAGATCACATATCTCCATTACTCTGGGATTGATCACTGGAGACTTATTTAGTTTGTTTGGAGGGGTCATGTTTTCTTGGATGTTCTTGAAGCCTGTGAATGTCCAGCAATGCCTGGGCATAGAGGAGTTAGGTATTTGTTTCAATATCACCAGTTGGGGCTTGTTTGCACCCGACCTTCTTGAAAAGGTTTTCCTTGTATTCAAAGGGAATTGAGGGTTGGGTTGTAAGCCTACTGTCACCACAGCAATATCAGCACTAGGGGGCACCCCAGTCCAGTAATGCTGTGACTCTTTTGGACTCCTGGAGTCACTGCCTTAGTGGGCTTGGGTAGAATCAAGGAGAATTATTTGGATTACCAGGCAAAGGCTCTCACTCTCTTCCTTCATTTTCCCTTCATCAAAAAGAGTGTCTCTCTGCACTGGGTTGCCTGGAGTTGGGGGAGGGTTGATGCAAGCACTCCTGTGGCTACACAACTGGCATTCTGCTGGGTGATACTTGAAGCTAGGAGAGTACTAAGTCTTGCCCATGGCCTGTGGAAACTACTGCCTATCTACTGATGTTATTTATTCAAAGCCCAAGGACCCTTTAGTCAGCAGATGATAAATCCATGAGGACTAGGTCCTTCCCTTCAGGGTAGCAGGTTCCCTTCTGGTCCAAGGTGGGTCTAGAAATGCTATCTAGGAGCTAAGGCCCGGATGGGGTCTTTAGGAATTTGCTTGATGCTTTGTTTTATTGCAGCTAAACTGGTACCCAATGTACAGGACAAAGTTTTTTGTACTCTTCCCTCTCCTTTCCCCAAGCAGAAAGGGTCTCTCCCCGAGCTGTGCAAGCACTCCCTTGGCCACCACAATTATGTCTTACTGTGTCTTGTGTGCCCCAATTGCATTGCCTCCAAGCACAATACAGCACTAGGGCTTTCCCAGAGACTGCAGTCCTTAGGGCCTAACTACCTCCGAAATCTATTTTGGGTCCCAGACCACATTAGTGAGCTGGTGGTAGAACCAGCCAGAACTTAGTTCCCTCCTGCCAGGGCTGATCTAATTGCTTCCTCCATGGGTGCTGGCAGAATTCTCTCCTGTGTTGAGCACTGCTGTGACAGAGTAGCATTGAGTTTCAATGCATAGTCTCCTAATCACTTTCACTTCACTACCCCTTCCCCAAGCACACAGATTCTTTTCCATGTGGTGCTGCCAGGGATTGGGGCAGAGGTGATGTAGGCAAAGGAAGATTATCTTTCCTAACCTCTTCAATGCCTCTTTCCTTGATGTTGTTAACAACAGGTACTGTAGTTGCTCACCTGATTGTTTGGTTCTTATGAAGGTGCTTTCTTGCATGGATTATTGTTCAATTTGGTGTTCCTATGAGGGGACAATTGCTGGATGGTTCTAATCAACTATCTTGTTCCCATGACTCGACACTTTTGTCATTATATAAATAGCCTCTCTTTCTCTTATGATAGTTCTTTGCTTAAAGTTTTTTTCATTTAATATAAGTATAGCCACCCCTTCTGTCTTTTGGTTAACATTTACTTAATTGTCTTTTTCCATCCTTGTACTTTCAGTTCACGTGGGTTCTTAAATCCAAAGTGAGTCTTTTGTAGATAGCATAAAGTTGTTTTTTAAATCAATTTAGCCTATGCCTTTTAATTGAGGTGTTTAATCCATTTAAGTTTAATGTAATTATTGATAAAGATTTATTGTTGCCATCTTGTTATCCATTTTCTGACTGTCTTATTGTCCTTTTGTTCCTCTTTTTCTCTTTTGCTCTTTTCCTTTATGATTTGTTAATTTTTTTGTAGTGATATGCTTTGATTTTTTTTTTACTTTTCTTTTGTGCATATTGTATAGTATTTTCTTTGTGGCTACCATAAAACTTATATATGACTTTTCAAAGTTATGGGTGTTAATTTCAAGCTGATAACAATTTAACTTCAATTGCGTACAAAACTCTAAACTTTTACTCTTCCGCCTTATACATGTTACTGAAATTACAATTTACATCTTTTTATGTAGTGTTGTGGATACCTTGACAAATTATGTAGTTTCAGTTATTCTTAATAGTTTAATCTTTTAAACTTTTTGTTAGAATTAAAAGTGATATTGCTACATCACCATTACAGTATTGCAGTATTCTGTATCTGTCTATATACAGATGATTCCCTAAGTACAATGTTTCAATTTAGGATTTTTTGGCTTTATGATGGTGCAAAAGTGACACATATTTAGTATACTCCTTGACATATGATGGGGTTATATCCAGATAAATCTGTTATAAGTTGAAAATATTTTAAGTTAAAAATACTTGAACTTAACTTTTAACTTAAAATATTTTAACTTTTAACTGAAAAATATTGAAACAGTTATTTTTCCTGATCCTCTCCCTTATCTCACCCTCCACCCTCCAATAGACCCCCGTGTGTGCTGTTCCTCTCTATGTGTCCATGTGGTCTTATCATTTAGCTGTCACTTGTAAGTGAGAACACACGGTATTTGGTTTTCTGCTCCTGTGTTAGTTTGCTAAGGATAATAGCTCCAGCTTCATCCATGTCCCTGCAAAAGACATGATTACATCCCATATATAGGAGACATAAGACTGAGAATGTTTCAGCTTTTTGAATTGCTAAGAACATATATTTAAGGCTTTTACCTTCATTTTTTTTTCTGTAATTTGGATAAAGCCAGGCCAATGAAAAAGAAATACAGCACATACAGTGAAACTTAATCAAGTAAAACAGAGAAAGAAAAACTAGTTATTCATTCAACAAATATATATGTTACCTTTTTACTATGTATCAGGCAATATCCTAAATGATGGGGCTAAACATTCAGCAAAACATTAAAAAATCACCCCACAAAACCAGAAATATGTAAAGGAAACATGTAATCATAATTACACAGAAATTCTAACATATGTTAAGAATAAAAAGTAAATTATAATGGGGATGTTTTTCAGAGGTTGACCTCTCAATGAAGACTGAGCATAATGAAGTAATTCAAGTCCCTTTCTCTGAATATAGAAATAAAAGATATTCTTTGTTTGCATATTTGAACTGTGTTGGTATATTTGAGATGAAATATGTATCATACTAAGTTTGCTGGAAACCTGGGTTTAAACTCCAGTTTCAAAAAGGAATGACTATCTTTAATTTCCTGGAAAACTATCCTCAGGTACATGAGAATGTGAGCAGAGGCAGCTACTGGTTTGGGGTCCTGCCTGAGTTCACCACAAATTGTGTCAAGAAGTATTTCTGTAAGTGTGACTAACTATAGTATTTTTTCCAGGTCTATTTCTGTTCTAATACTTTAGAGGTTTTTGGACAGTTTTCTTTCTAGAGTTATGCAGTACCAAGTCTGGGGACTTGGCCAGCATCCTGTGGAGAAATGTTTATTTAGGAAGATGCACTAAGCAGACCAGAAGTCCAAAAAAAACCCCAAAACTCAGCTGCAAATGGAAAAAAAAAACTTTGTGAACATTTGAAAATTGCTGGAAGCAGCAGTAGCTGCCATGGGATCTCTGTGGGTAACCTGTGACAATGGTTAGTATAATTGGAAAGAAAAAGACTCTGAGACAGGAATCCTCTCATTTGGGAGTTTCTACTGCTCTGATAGCACCTTCTGGGAACAATGCCAGGAACGTCTGCTGGGAGCCACTGACAGAAACTGCAACAAATAGACTCAGGCTGGGGAAGACCTCGATGCTAAGTGCCTTCAATTCTCTCTGCCATCCTCTTGCGAGTCACTCATAACAAGCTGAGGGAGAATAGAGAGGGCAGATTTTTCCTCTGTTATCTCACAGAGGAGGAAGAATAACAATTTCCAGGAAACTTGAAAATCTAGATACTGTGTTACCGAGTCCAGAAATAAAAAGTTCAACTTTTAACCTAATTTCAAATTCAGGGTCTCACAACAGTGGCACACAAATGTAGACAGGTACTTAATTGTTTTCTCTCCAACCCCAAGTCCCTCTCATCTATCTTGAGTCAGACTATTAGAGAGTTGCAGGAAAGAATGAGAATAATGGAGGACTACCCAAGCCCTCTAGGAGGTTACCCACAAAGCACTTTACTCCCATTCACAAACGTTGAGGCGGACCCTTGATTGAAGTTATTTTCACCTCCAGAAAGCTGGAAAAAAGCAGAGTATCACTTCTGTGACCTGCACTTAAGCACTCCAGAATTTGTCTTCAGTCTCTAAATATATATTCTTTCCTGCTGTTCTTCAAGGTTTCAGCTCTGTCATCAAAACATTGCTCTTTTCCCCGTCCCTCATGCTGTGCTCCTATGCTCCTCTCCTTGGTGCAGCAACTCAATTGTTAGGCTTCAGATGAACACAGACTAAAAGAGAGAACTTTGCTTCTTTTTTGACAATGATAAAGCAAGACTTTGTCCTGATGAAGTCTAAGGGAAAAAAGAGCTTCTCCTTCACTAAAAAAGGCCTTGTAAAAGACAGGCCTAAATTATCTCCTATAATGTGGTTTTTCCATATATACTTGTACTTCCTTAATTTACAATAGCTTTCAGCCTCTAAGAGACACCAGGGAACTTGGAAGAGATGATCAACTAATTATCAATGCCATTTTTTTCCATTTTTCTTTTTTTGAGACAGAGTCTCATTTTATTACACAGGCTGGAGTGCAGAGGCACAATTTTGGCTCACTGCAACCTCCGTCTCCTGAGTTCGAGTGATTCTCCTGCCTCAGCCTCCTGAGTAACTAGGATTACAGGCACCTGCCACCATGCCCGGGTAATTTTTGTGTTTTTAGCAGAGATCGGGTTTCGCCATGTTGGCCAGGTTGGTCTCAAACTCCTTACCTCAGACGATCCACCTGCCTCGGCCTCCCAGAGTGCTGGGATTACACGCATGAGCCGCTGTGCCCCACCTTCTGTTTTTTTATTTTATTATTTGTTTCTATTAGACCTGTGAGATTTTGGATCTGTGGTGTTCTCTGCATCCTCTTTGCTAAGTGAGAGAAGTACGGAACTGTGCCAAAAATAATATTGCAATAATGACTCCCTGGAGTTTTGGAAAGTATAAGTACCAAGCAACATTTTGGGGCCCTAGCTAATAAGAGACTAATGAAAAGTTTTCCAATGATGCTTTGGGCGATGCTTCTCAGAATTATCAGAAGAGCAGGTAGGTAAACAGAGTTTGGGGCCTTGAGAGGTCAATAGTAGAAAGGAATAGAATAGTGTTATTTCAATATAGAAATGGTTGTGATAACATTAAGTTTTGAGTCTCATCTCATTAGAAGATTTCACTGGATTACAATAGCTAAGTTCTAGGGAACATCAGAAAATAACCCTGTTTGGATTATTTTATGTGGGAAAGTGAATGAAGATAGTATGTGAATTTACTAACAGAAAAGTACCAGTCACCATGCTCATTTTAGAAATGCTCTTATTCTCCCGTGAGTTTTAGTTTGTTTATCTAGTTACTCAGTGATAGTGAGATAATATATGATAGCTTGAAAAAATGGAAGATAGTATAGGGCTTGGGAGAGATAAAATAGAGCCTCACCAAATGAGCTACAATAAGCTATTGCTTCAAGCAAATGCCATGAAATATGTTATATTGAGCCCATAGCACTGATTACTTCCCTATGAGCCATCTCAGAAAGACTGATTCCTTAAGCAAGGCTTCTCTGGGTAACTGAAAAGGAAAAAAATAGATACCCATAACTTTCCGTCAAGAATGAGCTTTCAACAGTTCACTCACTTTTCATTCTCAAATGTCACATGAGAGTATTATCTGGTGACAAAGGTATATTAGAAATGTCCAAGCAATGAGGAGGTAAAAAAATGAGTGTCTAATTAACTTGCCATTCTTTACAGACCTTCTGCTGTTTTTGAATCTCACCATCCTAACATTCTGTGGACAAAAAATCTACTGCATAAGCCTCAGAGATAGCAACTGGGGAGGTAAATAAATTGCACTCCTCAGGGAAGATACTGGTACTATTTTTTTCGTTAGTCACCAGTTAATAAATAAAGTATTGTGAAGAGCCAGACTGAGAGATAAAAAAGTAAAAATAAAAATAAATGCCACAGTAGGGAAATTCATGAGAGCTAGATCCAGTTCATATTCCACAACTTCTTGGTCGTGTGAAAGATCAAATTGTGGGTAGTACAATCATAAATATGCAATGTGATCTAGTAGGTTGCAAACTGGATCTTTATTCCCATCAATTTCCTTTTGAGGCTTAAAATTCCATCACACCCTTAATGAGCTTAAATAATGCCTTTTACAGATGCCCTTTATATAATAAAATATTTAATAATCAACTAATTGAACAAGTAGCTTTTAGATAGCAATTTGTTTGTAGATATTATGGGGAATACAAAATTACTCCAAGGCCTTTATGCTCTGATATATGAAAAAGTGCATTTAACAGAGATATAGACCAATGGAACAAAACAGAGCCCTCAGAAATAATGCCACATATCTACAACCATCTGATCTTTGACAAACCTGACAAAAACAAGAAATGGGGAAAGGATTCCCTATTTAATAAATGGTGCTGGGAAAACTGGCTAGCCATATGTAGAAAGCTGAAACTGGATCCCTTCCTTACACCTTATACAAAAATTAATTCAAGATGGATTAAAGACTTACATGTTAGTCCTAAAACCATAAAAACCCTAGAAGAAAACCTAGGCAATACCATTCAGGACATAGGCATGGGCAAGGACTTCATGTCTAAAACACCAAAAACAATGGCAACAAAAGCCAAAATTGACAAATGGGATCTAATTAAACTAAAGAGCGTCTGCACAGCAAAAGAAACCACCATCAGAGTGAACAGGCAACCTACAGAATGGGAGAAAATTTTTGCAACCTACTCATCTGACAAAGGGCTAATATCCAGAATCTACAATGAACTCCAACAAATTTACAAGAAGAAACCAAACAACCCCATCAAAAAGTGGGCCAAAGATATGAACAGACACTTCTCAAAAGAAGACATTTATGCAGCCAAAAAACACATGAAAAAATGCTCATCATCACTGGCCATCAGAGAAATGCAAATCAAAACCACAATGAGATACCATCTCACACCAGTTAGAATGGCGATCATTAAAAAGTCAGGAAACAACAGGTGCTGGAGAGGATGTGGAGAAATAGGAACACTTTCACACTGTTGGTGGAACTGTAAACTAGTTCAACCATTGTGGAAGTCAGTGTGGCGATTCCTCAGGGATCTATAACTGGAAATACCATTTGACCTAGCCATCCCATTACTGGGTATATACCCAGAGGATTATAAATCATGCTGCTGTAAAGACACATGCCCACGTATGTTTATAGCAGCACTATTCACAATAGCAAAGACTTGGAACCAACCCAAATGTCCAACAATGATAGACTGGATTAAGAAAATGTGGCACATATACACCATGGAATACTATGCAGACATAAAAAATGATGAGTTCATGTCCTTTGCAGGGACATGGATGAAGCTGGAAACCATCATTCGCAGGAAACTATCGCAAGGAGAATAAACCAAACACCGCATGTTCTCACTCATAGGTGGGAATTGAACAATGAGAACACATGGACACAGGAAGGGGAACATCACACAATGGAGACTGTTGTGGGGTGGCGGGAGGTGGGAGGGATAGCATTAGGAGATATACCTAATGCTAAATGACAAGTTAATGGGTGCAGTACACCAACATGGCACATGTATACATATGTAACAAACCTGCACGTTGTGCACATGTACCCTAAAACTTAAAGTATAATAATAATAAAAAAATTTAAAAAAGAAAAAAAAGAAAAAGCGCATTTCAAGATCATGCAATTGACTATTCAATCATTGTATATTAATAATTTCTGTGAATAGCACTGTGCTGGGCACTAAAGAAAAAAATTAAATTTATACAACTAATTTTATGAACTTAGATATGCACATTGTGAACTTAGAGTTCATATCTATCTTCTGTGATTCACTCTAGTATAGAATAGAAAGTTGCTAAATAATTTAAAAGAAAGGAAATTTTATATCACCCTTAAATTCAGAGACCAGAGTTGCCAGGGGTTATAGTTCTATTTGGGTCATCAAAAATGAATGCAAAGTGGATAAAGATCTTCCAGATAGAGGGAAAGAGATGAGGAAATCACAGAGGTGAGGTGTTGCAAGATGAGAAAACATAGTCTTAACATGAAAAAAACTTCATTTTTTTATTGGAGAATTTAAGGACAGTGGTTGGGGAGAGGAGAGAACACTTGGTGAAGAAAGTAAGAGATGCTTTAGCATCATTCCTGCTAAGAATTATACTTTGCTTATACAGCCTAACGAAATTGTGTAATATAGACAATAAGTATTTATTAAACGTGTGTTTAATAAAGTAGTTAAATTCACATGTTAATTTCCTGTTTGCTATTTAAAGTAGGCAATGTGAAAAGATCACCTAGACTTAAACGTTATAAGAGATGTAAACATGTCACTGGAAACAAACGTAATCTGAGTATTTTGAAACAATACAATGAATAGATATGATCACTAGGGCATTTACTACTACAGGTTCTACCCCCTTTTCTGATTTATTGTTTCTCAATCCATAGTGTAAGTAACTCCTGCATCTTTTAGGGCAAACTATCTTCTTTCATTTTTGTTCTCTGTAGGTCAATCTCTGGGACCAAGTCAATCAAGCTAACTTCTCTGTCAGAGTTCCTGCTTCTTGAGTTCTCCAGCCTTGAAGAAATCCAGCAGATCCTTTTTCTGTCTGCTTGTGGCTATATCTGATTGTTCTGAGTGGAAATATCACCACTGTCACTGTCATCCGCCTGGATCAAAGCCTCCACATACCTGTATACTTATTCCTAGGGATCCTCTCCATTTCTGGGACATGCTATACCTTTGTCATTCTGCCCAAGATGCTCATAGATCTGTTGTCTTTGCTCAGAACAATCTCATTTATTAACTGCCACTCCAGTGTTCTTCTTTCTGGGTTTTGCTGTCACTAATTTCATGTTCCTGGGCATGACAGTTTATGATTCCTATGTTGCCATCTGCCATCCACTTCACTACCCTGTCCTTACGAGCTGGCAGATATGTAAACAACTGGCAGCAACGTGTGCTGTGATTGTTTTTTTTTGTTTGTTTGTTTTCACTGATAGGCTCCTTCTTAGATTTTCAGCTGCTTTTCTGTGGCCCAAACAAGATCAACCACTACTTCTGTGACATCTCACTGCTTATTCAGCTTGCCTGTACTGATACCTACATCAGGGAGCTAGTCATCTTCATTGGTGGAATTCTAGCACTTACGGTTCCTCTGATTTTATTTGCATCTCCTATGGCTTCATTGTTCACACCATCCTGAGGATCCCATATGTGAAAGCAAGCAAAAAGCCATCTCTACTTGTGCCTCCCATCTTATTATGGTCGTTGTCCATTATGGCTGTGCCTCCTTTGTCAACCTGTGACCATCAGCCAAATAATCATCCAGCAAATAACCATCTAGCAAGAACAGGCTGGTGACAGTGACCTTACACAGTTGTGACTCCGTTGTTGAATCCATGGTATATAGCTTCAAGAATAAGAACGTTCAGATGGCCATTTGGAAAGTGATTTGCCAAGGAGGATTTCCTCCTAAAGCTATAATAAGATTATTTCACATCTACAGAAACATTATTTCAGAGGACATAGTGATAATTATAATGTTAATAATACTCTTGTTTTTCATTCACATAGCACTTTACTAGCCTCATAGTACATGCTTCCCATGATATTATTTTAATGAACTTTTTGGGGTGCCATCTGAAACTTGGGTTTATCAAAAATCAGATCCAAGCCTCAAAGACTTTTCAAACTTGAACAAGTAAGTATTTTGATTTCTCAGTATATTTAAAGGATCGTTTTAGTTTCTTTGGTGACAGATAAGTAAAACATCATGGGTGGTAATTTAGTATAGAAGGTTCAACTATTACAACTTCTCTATCGTCTAGAACAATCTTAGTAAGGCACCTTACAATGAGATTATAAAGAAAATGGAACCAATGTAATGGAATTTTCTTATATAATTATGAGCTACCAGTGTCGGAGAGAACCTAGGGCTATCATGTCCACTTCTCAGTCATTGTAGGATTCTCACCTGCAGCATTCTAGCCTCAATTAACTGCTCAATAGGGAGTTATATCACTGTTAAATATTTCTAAGTGTTACAAAGTTCCACTTTTATGTATCATCCTCCTTTTGCTCCTATTGTCTCTAGAGATGTATAACTTGTATATAATATTTAACCTACACAGCAACAATTCAAATATTTGAAGAAGCATAATGTATGCCTCCATTAAACACTTAACCTACCTGAAGATGCTTTTGAACTGCATGATATATCTGAGTTCACAGGCTCCTCAAAATCTTGGTTATCTTTCTCTAGATTCTTTAGATACTTTCCATTTTGTTAATAGTGTTCTTAAAATGACTTACCAGGAAATGAGGTAACACTGCAGGTGAGTTAAGATAATCACTTTCCTTATTCTGGAAGTCAATTTTAAGCCAATACAACTTAAAGTTCACTACTTCTCTATCAGTTCTACCACATATGTGCTCCCCTCTGACCCTTAAGTTGCTTAGACTAATGAGTTTAATGTTATATTTCTACAACCCTATGATTATGAAACCTATTATGCTTAGTTTAGTTTAATTTTATTCTTTAAAACAATATTATATTTGGAATTTGTTCTTTTAAATTACTGTTTTTGATTTTAGCATATAGTTTCAGAATACAAAGGTCTTTTCACATCCCATTTATAATATGCAATCTGCTGGCTGGCTCTCTTATTGTTTCTTTGTATCTCTTCTAGACTTGAATAGTAAACAGTATTTGTATTGTATGAAAACACAATTAATAGTGGTTGTGTGGATTCCAGTGCTCAATGGCAAAGAGAACTATGGTTGAATACTGATGCCTGGCAAGAGGTGAATGTGATTCATGGCTATATGGTCAGATGTTCATACCTTTGTCTTAGATACTCAATAAAATGAAATCACTTATCACTCAGTCTCCACAAGCTCCATTTTGGACACCCTCATGCTTGATTTCCTCTCCATCACATAATGGGAGGCACTGAAAATATGTTCTTCTTTAACATTTACAAGTTCTAAAAAGTAAATAAATGTAAATGTAATAGGTAACTCTTTTAAAAAACATATTCTTGGGCCGGGCACAGTGGCTCACACCTGTAATCCCAGCACTTTGGGAGGCTGAGGCGGGCGGATCACGAGGTCAGGAGATCGAGACCATCCTGGCTAACACAGTGAGACCCCGTCTCTACTAAAAATACAAAAAATTAGCCAGGAGTGGAGGCATGCGCCTGTAGTCCCCAATACTCAAGAGACTAAGGCAGGAGAATCGCTTGAACCTGGGAGGCGGAGGTTGTAGTGAGCCAAAATCGCGCCATTGCACTCCAGCTTGGGCGACAGAGTGAGAGTCGGTCTGAAAACAACAACAACAACAACAACAACAAAAACCATATTCTTGGAAATAATATAAATCTCATGGGTGAATCAGAACAGATTAATTCATGATGCCATAAGAATTACCTGGATTGCCAGATTACCTAGGCAACTTTGTAACAATCAGGATGGTAGAAGCAGGATCTGTGGGTGGATGGGACATGGTCTTATGAAGTGAAAGTAAGAAATTACCCGAAGTACCTGGAAAAGTTTCTTCTATTGCCACAGAGAAAAATGCCATGGCATTATTTTCTGTCAAGTCTCTCATGTCTCCCACCACGTATCTCTTATAACCTTCCTTTGTGGCAGTGATATTCTAAAACAGTTATGCCGTTACAACTATTCTTCATGCTTATATTACATGTTTTGTTGGTCAAGATTTGCTTTTCTCTTCATTTTAACAAAAATACACTATGATAAAAAAATGAATAGGAAAAGATACAGAGAATGATATTTCTCTGCTTTTTTTTTTCGTGTCTTGAAAAACAGGGATTAAGAATCTAACATTCTGTGAATAAACACAGAGAATGAATGTGTATAAATTGTTTTCAAGTTGGATACTTTCAGACTGGTTCTATCTACCCACACTCACCCTTCAGTAATAGATCTAACAGAAAGCTGCAGCAACTCAAAGGAAGCCAAGCAATTAATCCTAGAGGAAGGCACTCTTACTACGCCTTGATTTGCCAAGCTTTTTTTTTTTTTTTTTTTTTTGAGACAGAGTCTTGCTCTGTTGCCCCGGCTGGAGTGCAGTGGCACGATCTCGGCTCACTGCAAGCTCTGCCTCCTGGGTTCATGCCATTCTCCTGCCTCAGCCTCCCAAGTAGCCGGGACTACAGGCGTTGGCCACCACAACCAGCTAATTTTTTGTGTTTTTAGTAGAGACGGGATTTCACCGTGTTAGGCAGGAAGGTCTGGATCTCCTGACCTTGTGATTTGCCCGCCTCGACCTCCCTGTCAAGCTTTTATAGGTAGGAAAAGCAGCCTTAGTATAGATATTGGAAAATAAAGGAGAGAAATTGACTGACTAATAGCAATTTAATAAATAAATAAAGCTGCCTTTAAGAGTCTATCAATTATTTACTCTTTCATCAACTATATATTGAGTTTGACGATGGAAGTTACAACAATGAAAGATCCATTTTTTCTGCTTTCAAAATATTGAATCTACTACTTACTTCCCCCAAATCCTCACTCAGGTAAGAGAGTAGTTTTCTTCTTTCTTTTTTGTTGCATACCTTATTATTATTCCTACTGAACCAGTAGTAACACAATATACGAAATACATTCTCTTGGGCATAAGGTCAGTATATAGGTGGGAATCCCATAGGGCTAAAAAGAAAAACAATCTAGGATTTCTGGATGTGCTCTGAAGTGGCACCTTCTAAGCTGCAGTATTTGTTCAACAGTGTTTTTCCAACAAAAAAGAGGATGAGCTCACCTGAGAAGCATCCTGAAGGGAAACACCGTTGCACTAGGCAGAGATCAGGAGACCTAGAAATTCTTCTAACACAATCTGTGACTGTGTACTTGTTTCTTTTATTAAGTAAAAACTGTTGAAAATTCTATTTGTACACATTTTAAGTAATGCTTTTTTTCTTTTTCTGTGGCCTCCTTTTCTACTTATTTTACAATTAAAATATTCAAAAATATGTAAAAGGCATTGAGTAAGTTAATGAACATCAGTAAGGTAGAGAATCCTATCAAGATGGATTAATATAAATTGTACTTAACTTTCTACATTAAAAAGCTAAAAGTTAGAAAAATATGTGACATAGCAGTTTGTAGACATTAGACAAGAGACAGAATAAGACTGTTATTCTTGAGAAAAGAGAAATAAATGATTTCCACATGTTATGACTTAAAAAGTATTTGAAGAGTACAAAGCAAAGAAATGTGGATCCTGTAACAGACTCTAGACAATCCTAATTTTAGTTCTAAAGAAAAACTGAAGATGGAAATGGGAGTTAAGAGAGTGAAAGAGAAAAAACAGCCCATGATTAACTTCAGCTGGAATTATTCCAACACTTATGTCTCAGTATTATCCAGTTGAACATAAGTAATTCCATAGGACTTTAGTACTGGACATTGTGTGACCATGATGGAGTGAGAAAAAATATGTTAAAGTATTTTAAATAGAAATTTATATGCTTCTTATATTTAAAAATATAATAACACCAAGATAATACTGGATAATACTGAGACATAACTGATGGAATAATACAAGCTCTATATGTGTATATACATGTATGTATATTTATGTGTTTATATATAGAAAGAGAGAGAAAAAGAGAGAGAGGCAGCAGAGGACACCAAAATATATCAAGTAGTCTTACTGAATTAAGGATTAGATTAGATAAAGATTATAGAGAAGACTAGATTACATAGAGTATTAAGGAGACTAGATTAGATAAAGATTAGAGTATAGAGAAGACAAAGGGGCCATTTCAAGACAGATAACTAAAGAGAAGGGATTAGCACACACATAGGGAGGTCTAATAGCTGCAAAGGGATCTCCTCAAATCTTTGGAAGAGTGCTAATTCGTACATTTGTTAGAGTAAACTTCTTGTAGAAGATGAACAACTACTGGAAGCAATAGACTAAACAAGTCCTAGAGTTCACACAAAGAAGAGTTTATATTCCCAACAGCCATCAAGTATAATTAATAGAAATAAAAAATATTATCTGAATTTTAAAAATACATTAAGCAGGATTAGCTGCAGACACTGCCAAAGAAAAGGTCAATTAACTTAAACACATAGCCAACAAAACAACCTGTAATTATAGCAAAACTTCAAAAACCCCAAATAACGACAACAACAACAAAACAAAAACAGAGGCTTGATGACTACGGTAAAGTGCCAAGCTGTCAAATATTCATGTAATTGAGATCCCTTATAAACCCCCAAACCCAAAAATGTCAGAAATTTCAAGCAGAATAAAAACCAAAATTATGCTAGAACATATAAGAATATAAGAATTCAATTATTAAAAACTAATGATAAAAAGAAAATTTTAAAAATAGTGAGAGACAAAAGGAGAGAAAGATGGTGAAACAGAAAGCCCACTGCTTACATTCCTTGACAGCAGCAATAAGTTCACAGCCATCAATGGGAAAATACCTCTTTGTGGGAGCCTTGAGATTTAGATAGGAGATTGTGAAACCCTAGTGAAGATCAAGATGTAGGAAAGCCATTTTGAGGGGGCAGACCTGCCAACAGTGGTCTCAGCTCTAGACTTAGCAATGGCCTTGTTTTATTGTGGACTTGGATACAGCCTTATTTTGCCATCAGTCAAGGAGCCCAGGAGGAGTCACATATACTAGTGCTTCAGAAAACAAGCTTGTTGACCTCGGTCCCAGGTGTGGAACTTGAAATGGCTCTGAAACTCAACTCCAGGCATTAATAGCTGTGGTCTGAGAGTAGGCTTGTCCATTCAAGAACCAAGAGAAGGACGAGCTTGTCTATGACCCTCAGAGGCAGACCTGCTGCCATCAGTCTCACAGAGGATCCTGACACAGCCTTGTAACTTGGATTCATCCCCTCTCAGGTGTGGTCTGAGGGCAGTTTTGCCTGACCAGGGACCAAATGGGGGATACACCAAACCTTGACCTCAGAGGCAGGCCTGCAGATCTTTGTCTTTACTGCAGCCCTGTGACTTATATTCATCTCCTCTCAACTGTAGGCCAGGACAAGTACTGCCTGCAAAGGGACCTACCCAGTCACTTAATGGGAGCTCTCCCAAAGACCTGGAGGAAACCATACCCATCCACAAACCTAGTAACAGGCCTACCATCTGTGGACTCTGAAATGGATCCTCATTCTAGCACCAACCCTACTGCCCAATGTACTGGAGGTAATTCAGTCCACCCGGGGGGAACCAGACAGAATCCATACCCACTGGAGGCCCTGGTAACAGGTCTATTAAGCACAGATCCCATTGTAGATGAAGAGGCAGCCACATGATCTAGCTCGAAACCCACTTTACTAGGATCCTGGGGGCAATCTCACCAGCATAGAGGCTCAACAGGAGAAAGCTTTTATCTGCCAAAAGCAGTGTTTAAATGCCAGAAAAGATGTTTATTCAGACATCAATGCGCAGACATCAATGCAATCTATACAGATAATGAAGAATTAGGCAAATGTGACACCACCAAAAGAAACTAGTAAAGCTTCAGTAGTAAATCACAAAGAAATAGAGATCTAGGAATTGCCTGAGAAAGAATTCAAAATAACCATCTTAAGGATCTTGAAGAAATGCAAGGAAATGCACATAGAAAATGAATTGAAATTAGAAAAACAATAATAAACTACCGGTGTCTCAGAAGGAAAAAGAAGCAAATAAAGAGGCATAAAGCTTATTTAAAGAAATACTGGCTGAAAACTTCCAAAATCATGGGAGAGACATAGACTCAATACAGTTTCATGGAAATCAAAATGTCCAAACAATATCAACCCCAACAGTAACACTCTGAAGCACATTATAATCAACTTATTATAAGTCAAACACAAAAAGAGACTTTTGAAAGCAGCAGTAAAAAGAAACTTGTCACCTAAAAGGGAACCCCTTTAAGGATATCAGCAGACTTGGCAAAAACAAAACAAAACCTAAAAAAAAAAATTTTATATGCCCGGATGGTGTGGGATGATATAGCCAAAGAGCAGAAAGAAAAAAATAAAAACTGCCCAAGAATACTATACGTAAAAAATCTCTCTCAGAAATGAAGCAGAAATAAAGACATACTCAGACAAAGGTAACACAGGAATGGAAAACCAAACATTGCATGTTCTCACTCATAAGTAGGAGTTGAACAATGAGGATACATGGACACAGGGAGGGGAACAACACACACCACGGCCCGTGTGGGGTTGGGGGGCAAGGGGAGGGAGGGAGAGCATTAGGACAAATAGCTAATGCATGCAGGGCTTAAAATTTAGATGACGGGTTGGTAGGTGCAGCAAACCACCATGGCACACATATACTTATGTAACAAACCTACACATTCTGCACTTGTATCCCGGAACTTAAAGTAAAATGTAAAAAAAAAAAAAAAAAAAAAAAAAAATACTAGAGTTCTTCAAGTTGTAACAAAAAGATGTTAAAGCCAGGTGCCGTGGCTCATGCCTGTAATCCCATCACTTAGGGAAGCCAAGGTGGGAGGATCATTTGACCTCAGGAGTGTAAGACCAGCCTGTGTAACATAGCGACATCACATCTCTAAAATAAAGAAATAGATAACATGAAACATTTTTAAGAAGTTAATAGTTAAAAAAGCCACTAGTAAAAGTAAATAGTCAAATCTGGAATAATCTAATACTGTAATGGCACTGTGTAAATCATTTTAAATTCTATTATAAAAGCTTAAAACACAGAAATATTGAAAATAACTATATCTATTCTAATTTGGCAATGAATACACAATCTAGAAAGATGTGAAGTGTGACATGAATAACATAAAATGTGGGCAGAGTGAAGTAAAAGTGTAGAGTTTTTGTATGCAATTTCAGTTGTTAGCAGCTTAAATTAGAATGTTATAATTATAAGATGTTTTATATAAGCCCCATGATAACCAAGTAGAAAAACAACTCTAGTTGATACATAAAAAACAAAGACATGAATCAAAGTGTGCACCTATCAAAATTCAACAAATTATAAAGAAAGATAGGAAGATTGGAAAAAAGAAATAAAAGAACTACAAAGCAGTCAGCAAAAATCAAAATGCCGGTAGTAAATCCTTTACCTATCAATAATTACTTTAAATGTAAATGAATTACATTTTCCAGTCAAAAGATACAGAGTGGCTGAATGGATTTTAAGAAAAATAAATAAATAAAAAATAAAAGCCGAGGTGCTTCAGCATCCTGGTACTGATGTGCTGTGGAGCCCTTGTGGTCCCTTAGCCAAGATGCCTGAGGAAACCGAGACCCAAGACAAATCGATGGAGGAGGAGGAGGTTGAGACATTCACCTTTCAGGCAGAAATTGCCCAGTTGATGTCACTGATCATCAATACTTTCTACTCGAAGAAAGAGATCTTTCTGAGAGAACTAATTTCAAATTCATCAGATGCATTGGACAAAATCTGATATGAAAGGTTGATGGATTCCAGTAAATTAGACTCTGGGAAAGGGCTGCATATTAACCTTGTACCAAACAAACAAAATCAAACCCTCACTATTGTGGACACTAGAATTGGAATGACCAAGACTGACTTGATCAATAACCTCGGTACTGTCACCAAGTCTGGGACCAAAGCATTCATGGAAGCTTTGCAGGCTGATGCAGATATCTCTATGATTGGCCATTTCGGGGTTGGTTTTTATTCTGCTTATTTGGTTGCCAAGAAAGTAACTGTGATCAGCAAACATAACAATGATGAGCAGTACACCTGGGAGTCCTCAGCAGGGGGATCATTCACAGTGAGGACAGACGAGTGAACCTATGGGTCGTGGAACAAAGGTTATCCTACACCTGAAGGAAGACCAAATGAGTACTTGGAGGAATGAAGAATAAAAACATTTTTGAAGAAACATTCTCAGTTTATTGGATATCCCATTACTCTTTTTGTGGAGAAGGAACATGATAAAGAAGTCAGAGATGATGAAGCTGAAGAAAAGGAAGATAAAGAAGAAGAAAATGAAAAAGAAGAGAAAGAGTCCGAAGACAAACCTGAAATTGAAGATGTTGGTTCTGATGAAGAAGAAGAAGAAAAGAAGGATGGTGACAAAAAGAATAAGAAGATTAAGGAAAAGTACATCGATCAAGAAAAACTCAACAAAACAAAGCCCATCTGGACCAGAAATCCTGATGATATTACTAATGAGGAGTAAGAATTCTACAAGAGCTTGACCAATGACTGGGAAGATCATTGGCAGTGAAGCATTTTTCAGTTGAAGGACACTTGGAATTCAGAGCCCTTCTATTTGTCCCACAACATGCTCCTTTTGACTTGTTTGGAAAGAGAGAGAAAAAGAACATCAAATTGTATGTACACAGAGTTTCCATCACGGATAACTGTGAGGAGCTAATCCCTGCGTATCTGAACTTCATTGGAAAGGTGGTGGACTCAGAGGATCTCCGTCTAAATATTTCCCATGAGATGTTGTGACAAAGCAAAATTTTGGAAGTTATCAGGAAAAATTTGGTCAAAAAATGCTTAGAACTCTTTACCAAACTGGCAGAAGATAAAGAGAACTACAAGAAATTCTATGAGCAGTTCTCTAAAAGCGTAAAGCTTGAAATATATGAAGACTCTCAACATTGGAAGAAGTTTTCAGAGCTGTTAAGATACTACACATCTGCTTCTGGTGATGAGATGGTTTCTCTCAAGGACTACTGCACCAGAATGAAGGAAAACTAGAAACATATCTATTACATCACAGGTGAGACCAAGGACCAGGTAGCTAAATTTGTGGAATGTCTTCGGAAACATGGCTTAGAAGTGAACTATATGATCAAGCCAATTGATGAGTACTGTGTCCAACACTGAAGGAATTTGAGGGGAAGACTTTAGTGTCAGTCACCAAAGAGGGCTTGGAACTTCCAGAGGATGAAGAAGAAAAAAAGAAACAGGAAGAGAAAAAAACAAAGTTTGAGAACATCTGCAAAATCATGAAAGACATATTGGAGAAAAAAGTTGAAAAGGTGGTTGTGCCAAACTGATTGGTGAAGTCTCCATGCTATATTGTCACGAGCATATATGGCTGGACAGCAAACATGGAAAGAATCATGAAAGCTCAAGTCCTAAGAGACAACTCAACAATGGGTTACATGGCAGCAAAGAAACACCTGGAGATAAACCCTGACCATTCCATTATTGAGACCTTAAGGCAAAAGGCAGAGGCAGATAAGTACAAGTCTGTGCAGGATCTGGTCGTCTTGCTTTACAAAACTGCTCTTTTGTCTTCCGGCTTTGGTCTGGAAGATCCCCAGACACATGCTAACAGGATCTACAGGATGATCAAACTTGGTGTGGGTATTGATGAAAATGACCCTACTGCTGATGATACTGCTGAAGAAATGTCACCCCTTGAAGGAGACAACGACACATCATGCATGGAAGAAACAGACTAAGCTCCAGCTGAGGGAAATATATTTTCAAGGATATTTTTCTTTATTTTTTGTTAACATTAAAAAGTCTGTATGGCATGACAACAACTACTTTAAGGGGAAGATAAGATTTCTTTCTACTTCTAAGTGATGCTGTGATACCTTAAGCACTAAAGCAGAGCTAGTAATTTTTTTCTTAGTTTCACATTGGCTTATTTTAACAGATCGAAGTAATGTGTGTTGCAGGATGTGTGAAACATGATGTTTACTTTGTGGTCTAAAGTGTTTAGCTATCAATCCATATTCCTTAGTAGGCCAAATCTTGTTATCCAAGTGTTCCTGAGCTATATCTTGATGTTTAGAAGAAAAGTATTTGTTACATTTTGTAGCATCTACTTTTGAACTTTTCATCCCCTGTAGTTGCCAGTTCTGTATGAACTAGTCCTCTAGAAATAGGTTAAACTGAAGCAACTTGATGGAAGGAAATCTCCACAGAGAGTTCTTGTTCTCCAAAGAAAAGTATTGTTTGGAGGAGCAAAGTTATAAGCCTACCTAAGCCTATCACAAAGCTTTTCAAAAAATAACTCAGAGCCAGTCTTGTGGATGGAAATGTAGTGCCCGAGTCACATTTTGCTTAAAGTTGTAACAAATACAGAAGAGTGAAAAAAAAAAAAAAAGCCAAGATCTAACAATATGCTGCCTACAAAAGACTCTTTTTAGCCTTAGGAACACATGTTAAAAGTGAAGGGATAGAGCAAGATATTTCATGCAAATGTAAACCAAAAAAAATCAGGGAAAGTTATACTTCCATCAGACAAAATAGACTTTCAATCAAAATCTGTCATAAGAGACAAAGAAAGTCACTGTACAATGATAAAGGGATGATGTCATCTTGAGGATATAAGAACTGTAAAGATAGATGCATTCAACATGGGAACACCTAAACATATATAAAGCAAGTAGTAACAGAACTGTAGGGAGAAATAAACAGCAATATAATAATGAGACTTCACTATCCTACTTTTAAAAATGGACAGATCATTCAGAGAGTGAATCAATGTGGAAACAGGAGACTTCAGTAACACCATTGGTCAAATGGACTAATAAACATATACAGAACATTTCGCCCAACAGAAGTTTAATACAAAATTTTCTCAAGTGCACATGGAACATTCTCCAGAATAGATCATGTTAGGTCACAAAACAAATCTTATCAAATTGAAGAGGACTAAAATCATCTCAAGTATCTTTTCTGGCTACAATGATATAAATATAGAAATCAATAACAGGAAGAAATTTAGAAAATTACAAATAGGTGGAAATTAAACAACACACTCATAAGATACCAACAGGTCAGAGAAAAAATCAAAGGGAAAATCAAATGTACATGGAAATAAACAAAAATTGAAACACTACAGCTTTGCCCAGATGTGTCTCCTCATCCCCATGGAACAGGAAGCTAGGGAACCTGGAATGCCCATCCAGGCCATCATCTGAAATAACAGAGAACACTTGAGAGTAAACAAAGATCAAATACATAGCCATCTGCTTATGTTACGGCTGGCTCTTACCCTTAAGCCCCATCTACTGCTCCACAGGTCAAATTGCACTGCCTAATATAAAAACTGCTAAAAGAAGTGAAAAGGGGTATAGAAACAAAGCCAAAAGACCCTACTCAACATACTCTACAGTTGCACCACTTAGAGAGAAGGGGAAAGGAAAAAAATATATAAGGAAAGAAAAAAAAATCCTATCCACACAAAAATAATTACAAAAATTAGAAGTGCCATCCTCTCCAGATGAAAGGGACCAGTATAAGGATTCTGGCACCATAAGAAATCTGAATCTTGTGACATCACCAAAGAATTACACTAGCTCTCCAGCAAGGACTCATAACCAAAATGGGAGCTCAGAAATGACAGGCAAAGAATTCAAAGCATGAATTGCAAGAAGGCTCAATGAAGTCCGAGGCAATGTTGAAAATCAACACAAGGAAACTACTAAAGCAGTCCAAGAAATGAAAGAAGACATAAACATGTTAAAAAGAAATTAATCAGAGATCCTGGAATTAAAAACTCACTTAAGAAATTTCAAGATACAATTGAAAGTTTTATCAATAGATTAAACCAGGCAGAAAAAAAAAAAAGAATTTCAGCCTTTTAAACTAGCTCAGGCAGACCACACACAGAGAAAGAGAGAGAGAATAAAAGAAAAGAAAATCAACAAAGTCCTTGAAAAATATGCGATTATGTAAAGTGACCAAACCTATGGGTTACTGGCATTCCTGAGAGAGAAGCAGTAGAAGTGAAAAACTTGAAAAACATATTTGAGGGAATAATTCAAGAAAAATTTTCCAATCCTGCCAGAGTAGTAGACACCTGAGAAAGACTTTACACAATATATATCACCAAGGAACCGAGTTACCAGACTAAGCAAGGTCAACACCAAAGAAAAAAATCTTAAAGGCAATTAAAGAAGATGGTCAGATAACTTACAAAGGGATTCCCATCAGACTAACAGCAGACTTCTCAGCAGAAACCTTAAAAACCAAAAGAGATTGGCGACCTATTTTCAGTATTCTTAAAGAAATGAAATTCCAACCAATGTTTCATATCCTGATGAACTAAGCTTTATAAGTGAAGAAGAAATAAAATTTTAGTGACAACCAATCACTAAAGGAATTTCTTACCAGTAGACCAGGCTTACAAGAGATCCTTAATGGAGTTACAAACATGGAAACAAAAGAATGATACTGGCTACCATAAAAACACACGTAAGTAGCCCACAGACCTAATAAAGTAATTGTACACAATTAAGACTATAAAGCAGCCAACTGGAAACTTCATGACCATCAGGATCAAAACCTTGAATTTAAATGGTCTAAATATCCCACTTAAAAGGTACAGAGGGACAAGTTAGAGAAAACACAAAACCGATCTATCTGCTGTCTTCAAGAGACCCATCACTCATGTCATGGCACCCACAGTCTCATAGTAAAGGGTTGGGGAAAGACTTATCACACAGAGAGAAAATAAACAAACAAGAAAGAACAAGGGTCACTATTCTCACATCAGATAAAACAGACTTTAAACCAACAACAGTAAAAAAGGACAAAGAAGTATATTCTGTAATGATAAAGGATTCCATTAAACATGAAGACTTAACTACGCTAAATATATATGCACCTAACACTGGAACACTCAGATTCATAAAACAGGTACACCTAGGACTACAAAAATATCTAAACAGCCACACAAAAGTGGGGGACTCGACACCACTGACAGTATTAGACAGATCATCGAGGCAGAAAACTATCAGGGAATTCTGGACATAACTTTGACACTTGGCCAGTTGGACTTAAAAGACCTCTACAGGGCTGGGCACGGTGGCTCATGCCTGTAATCCCAGCACTTTGGGAGGCCGAGGTGGGCGGATCACAAGGTCAGGAGATCGAGACCATCCTGGCTAACATGGTGAAACCCCGTCTCTACTAAAAAGACAAAAAATTAGCCAAGCGTGGTGGAGGGCGCCTGTAGTCGCAGCTACTCGGGAGGCTGAGGCAGGAGAATGGTGTGAACCCGGGAGGCGGAGCTCGCAGTAAGCCGAGATTGCACCACTGCACTCCAGCCTGGGTGACAGAACGAGACTCCATCTCAAAAACAAAAAACAAACAAACAAAAATAACAAAAAAAAAACCCTCTACAGACTACTCATCAACCACAGAATATATGCTTTTCTCAACTGCACACAGAATGTACTTTAAGAGTGACCACATGCTAGGCCATAAGGCAAGTCTCAATAAATTCAAACAAATAGCAATCATACCAACCATACTCTTGGACCATAGGGGAATAAAAATTGAAATTAATGCCAGGAGGATCTCTCAAAAACACATAATTACATGGAAACTAAAAAACTTGCTTGTGAATGACTTTTGGATGGACAACGAAATTAAGGGTGAAATAAAACAATTCTTTAAAATAAAGGAAAACAGAGATGCAACATACCAAAATCGCTGGGGTGCAGTGTAAGCAATGTTAAGAGGAAAGTTTATGATGTTAAACTCCTACAACAAGGATTTAAAAAGATCCCAAATTATCAATTTATCATCACACTAAGAGGAACTAGAAAAACAAGAACAAACTAACCTAAAGCTAGCAGAAAAAAATAACCAAAATCAGAGAAGAACTGAACAAAATTGATATTCAAAAATCCATTAAAAGGATCAATAAATCCAAAAGCTGATTACTTGAGAGAATAAACGAGATCAATAAACCACTAGCTTGATTGGCAAAGAGAGAAGATCCAAATAATCACGCTCAAAAATGGCAAAGATGACATTACAATCAATCCCACAAAAATACAAAAGATCCTCAGAGACTTTTATGAACACCTCTATGCACACAAACTGGAAAATCTAGAGGGAATGGATAAACAACTGGAAGCACACCACCTCCCAAGATTGAATCACAAGGAAGTTGAAACCCTGACCAGACCAATATCAAGTTCTGAAATTGAATTGCTCATGAAAAGCCAGCAACCACCACCATCACCACCACCACCAACAAAAGCCCTAGACCAGATAGAATCACAGCAGAATTCTAATAGACATACAAAGAGAAGCTGGTACCAATGCTACTGAAAATATTCCAAAAAATTGAGGAGGAGGGACTTTATTCCGACTCATTCTATTAAGCAAGCAACATACTCATACCAAAGCCTGGCAAATACACAACAAAATAAGAAAACTGCAGACCAATATCCCTGATGAACACAAATGTAATAATCCTCAAGAAAATACCAGCAAAGCAAATTCAGCAGCATATCAAAAATTTAATTCACCATGATCACATAGGTTTTATTCCTGGAATGCAAGTTTAGTTCAACATATGTAAATTAATAAATGTTATTTACCACATAAGCAGGATTAAAGACAAAAACCATATGACAATCTCAATTGATGCAGAAAAAGCATACAAAATTATACCATGTCCCTTCATGATAAAAACCCTCTACAAGCTAGGCATCAAACGAACATACCTTAAAATAGTAAGAGCCATCTATGACAATCCCATGGCCAACATCATACTGAATGGGCAAAAGCTGAAAGCATACTCCCTGAAAATCAGAACAAGACAAAGATACCCTCTCTCACCACTTGTATTCAATACAGTACTGGAAGTCCTGGTCATACTAATTAGGCAAGAGAAAGAAATAAAAGGCATCCAAAAAAAAAAAAAAAGAGAGAGTAAGTCAAACATCCTGCAGAGGATATGATTCTATATCTAGGATATAAACTCTATAGCTTCTGCCTAAAGACTCTGGAACTGATTAAAAATGTCAATAAAGTTTCAGGCTACAAAACAATTTACATTTCTCAGAGGATATACCCAATGATAGAACTGCTGGGTTGAATGGTAGTTGTAGTTTCCTTAAGAAATCTCAGGCCGGGCGCAGTGGCTCACGCCTGTAATTCCAGCACTTTGGGAGGCCGAGACGGGTGGATCACCTGAGGTCGGGAGTTCGAGACCAGCCTAACCAACATGGAGAAACCCCATCTCTACTAAAAATACAAAATTAGCTGGGCTTGGTGGCACATGTCTGTAATCCCAGCTACTTGGGAGGCTGAGGCAGGAGAATCACTTGATCCTGGGAGGCGGAGGTTTTGGTGAGACAAGATCATGCCATTGCACTCCAGCCTGGCCAACAAGAGTGAAACTCCGTCTCTAAAAAAAAAAAAAAAAAGGAAACCTCTACACTGGTTTCCACAATGGCTGAACTAATTGACATTCCCCCCAGCAGTGTATAAGCATTCCCTTTTCTTCTCAATCTTGCTGGCATTCATTATTTTTTAAACTTTTTAATAATAGCCATTTCAACTGGTGTGAGATGGTATCTCATTGTGGTTTTGATTTGGCTTTCTCTGATGTTTAGAGATATTGAGCATTTTTTCATATGCTTGTTGGCCATATGTATGTCTTCTTTTGAAAAGTGTCTGTTTATGTCCTTTTTGACCTTTTAGTGAGGTTGTTTTTTGCTCCTTTAATTGTTTAAGTTTGTTGTAGATTTTGGATATTAGACCTTTGTCAGATGCATAATTTGAAAATCTTTTCTACCATTCTGTAGGTTGCTTATTTACTCTGTTGATAATTTCTGTTGCTGTGCAAAAGTTCTTTAGTTTAATCAGTACCCACTTTTCAATTTTTGTGTTTGTTGCAATTAATTTGGGAGACATAGTCATAAATTCTTTGCCACGGCTAATGTCCAGAATGGTATTTCCTAGGTTTTCTCCTAGGATTTTTATAGTTTGAGGTCTCACATGTAAGTCCTTAACCCATCTTGAGTTAATATGTGTTTATTGTAATAAATCGAGGTCCAGTTTTTTTCTTCTTCATATGGCTATCCATTTGTCCCAGCACCATTTATTGAATAGGGAGTTCTTTCCCTATTGTTTATTTTTGTCAACTTTGTCAAAAAAGAGATGGTTGTAGATATGTGGCTTTATTTCTGGGTTATCTGTTATGTTCTGTGAGGCTGTGTTTTTGTATCAGAATCGTGCTGTTTTGGTTACTGTAGCCTTGTTGCATAAATTGAAGTCTGGTAATGTGAGGCTTCTGGCTTTGTTATTTTTGTTTAGGATTGTTTTGTCTACTCAGGTTTTTTTTTAGTTTCATATGAATATTAGAGTAGTTTTTTAAAAAAAACCGTTTATTTTAAGTTCTGGAGCACATGTGCAGGTGTAGGCTTGTAATATAAGTAAACTTGTGTCACGGTGATTTGTTGTACAGATTATTTTTTCACCCAGGTATTAAGCATAGTACCCATTAGTTATTTTTCCTGATCCTCTCCCTCTTCCCCTTCTGCACCCTTCAATAGGACCCAGTGTGTGTTGGTCCCCTCTGTGTGTCCATGTGTTCTCATCATTTAGCTCCCACTTGTAAGTGAGAACATGTGGGATTTGGTTTTCTGTTCCTGAATTAGTTTGCTAAAGGTGATGGCCTCCAGCTCCATCAATGTTTCTGCAAAGAATACGATCTCATTTTTTTATAGCTGCATAGAATTCCACAGTGTATATGTACCACATTTTCTTTATCCAGTTTACCACTGATGGACATTTAGGTTAATTTCATGTGTTTGCTATTGTGAATAATGCTGCAATGAACATATGCATGCATGTGTCTTTATAATAGAATGATTTGTATTCCTTTGGGTATATATCCAGTAATGGGATTGCTGGGTCAAATGGTATTTCTGTTTTTAGGTCTTTGAGGAAATCACTACACTGTCTTTGGTTACATTGGTTTTGCATCAAAAACTATCAATTTGGAGTTCTTTAGCCAGGAGAAATATCTTCAAAAATTGAGATGAAATAAACTCTTGTTCAGACTGTCCAAAGCTGGGAAAATGTATCACTAGCATACTTTTACCACCAGTAAATACTATATATAGCTTCAGGTATATAAAAAGTTATCAGATGAAAATTTGCATCTACACAAAAATATGATGAGAAAATAACATGCTAGATAGAAGTGTAAATATAAAATTCATTTTCTTTCATTTAAAAAACCTTTGAAAGATAATTGATGGCTTAAAGCAAAAATAATAATAAAGAATTGTATGTTTAGAATAGTTGAAGTAAAATATGTAGCAATAATAGTATAAATAATAGGTAATAAGGATTTTCATTATATATTAAATTATATAATATATGAATGGTGACAGTTATATATTATACATCATATCTAGATCTATGTTAGCTAATGAAGTAATCTTTAGCTATATGTATTTACTTTCAAATTAATTATGATTCAATAAATGTAAAAGTTCAGTACCCTGTTTATATTACCTACATTTTAATGTTTAATTAATAGTCACATGTTGTTGACATTGTATTGGATTGAACAGACATGGAATATTTCCATTATCCCAGAAAGTTGCCCTAAACAAACATTAGTAAGCCAAAAGTGAGGTAAGTGGAAACATTAAAAGAATACTTAATTAATGCTTTTAAGAAGGCGGTAAAAAGAAAAAAATAGTTTAAGAGAAGATGTTGTCAGATTGGATTAAAAACTAAGACCAACTTATACATAACCTATAAGGATGGTATAAGTCTAGAAGAATCTTAGGAGAAAATTTTTGTGACCTTAGACAAAGATCTTTTAATCACAGATGTTAAAAGACGAATTCAATACATTATACTTTAAGAAAATTAAAAACATTTGCTCTTCAAAAGGCCTTTTAAGGAAACAGATAAAGACTACTAAGTCAAAAAAATTAGCAAAACATATAACTGACAAATACTTTCATTGTAATGCAAGAATAATTCAAATACTTAAAAAGAAATAAATCCAATTTAAAAATGGGCAAAATATTTGATTAGATCTCAACAAAGAAGTTTTACAAATTGAAAATAAATAAAAAGATGTTAAACCTCAATAGTCCTTAGGGAAATGCAAGTTAAAATCAACAAGATACCACTATATGCCCTCTAAAATTATCACATCAAAAGACTGACATTATTAATAATTTGTGAAGTTATAGATCAATGGAAATTCTCACAGATTGTTTGTTGGAATGTAAAATCATTCAGCCACTTAGGAAAGTTTTCCAATTTTGCAAAACTTAAGCATAAAATTTCATATTTTCCACTTATAATCTCCCCAACCCAACCCTCATCTCCTAAAGAGAAACAAAAGTCTGTGTTCACAAGAAAACTTGAACATTCATAGCAGCTTTATTACTAATAGTCCAATGTTGGGAAAAAGGCTTATGGGGTGGCTGTATAAACTGGCCATAAAAATATGGGACAATAAGTTGCGGAAAGCCACAGGAGGCCTCTGAGGAGGAAAGCCTCCTTATTGCCGTCACATTCCCTTGACCAGAGCGTGACCTGCTCTCTTATCTATAAACACTGTGCTCAAGGAGAGACACTCCTTTGAAGCATTGGAGTGTGGCCAGATATGCCGGCTCCTAGTTAAGCCCACTCCTCACAGCTGCTCTCCGGTAAGTTAAAGAATAAATCAGTAGTTAAGTTTATGTTGCTTCAGCACAAAAAAAAATTTACCTAAACCACCACTGCTATAGATTAGGTGTATGACACACCGTCTCCCTTTCACCGTTTCACCCCTAAACATCTGCTTCTTAGATCTAAGTGATTGTACTCAATAAATATATTGTGTGGAGACTAGAGCTTGGCGCCTTTGCAGCCTCCAAAAGTGCATTGAACCCCTGGCGCCCCACTCTTTTTGTATTCTCAACCTGTCTCTTCTCATTCCTTCGTCCTCACCAAACTTCGGATACCCTACGGGTGGTGAGGCTGATCCCCAACAGTCCAAACTAAAAATCACCCAGATTTCTATTAACTGATGAATAGAAAAACAATTGTGTTACATCCATATGATGGAATGTCACTCAGTAATTCCATGTAACTGATGCGTGAAACAAAGTGGAAGATAGTCTCAAAGACATTATGGTAAGGGAAAGTAGCCTGACACATAAGACTACATATTGGATGATTCCATTTATGTGAACTGGTATACAAGGCAAAGCTAAAGGAGCAGAAAGAATATTAATTGCTGGTGACTAAGGGTAGGGGGATGGGTAGGAGATTTGATGTTAAGGGGCATGAAGACACTTTATGGGTTGATGAAAATGTCCTAATGAACAAAAACATTCATATTAATTGTTTTTGCTGAAGAATATACCCATTTTCAAAATTCGTTGAACAGTACCCTTAAAAAGGTGAATTTCATTGAATGGAATTACCCTAAAAACATATTTTTAAAAAGGTATTGTAATATCAATGAGAAAGAAGTGAAAAGTAATTTCTAGTGAAAGCTCTGATGAGGAAATATAGAAAAGCTTCTCTTTTAATGCTTAAAATCTTGAAAATATAATGATGTACTTTCTTAATTTTTATTGGTGTTTCCTGAAGCTTGGGCCATTCATTGACTTTGAACTTTCTCATCTACAAATGAGTCAATTATAATTAGATGGTGAGTTTATTTTAATGAACAAATGTCCGTGTCTTTATAGAAAAATTGAAAGGGTCAGAGAAAGTGGAGGGAGAGAGTAAGGAAATCAAAAAATCTATAACTGAAAAGATAGAACAAAAATATAAGCAACTAGAAGAGATGAAAAACTAATAGACAACAAAGTCAGAAGAAAAATATTCATAAAGGAGGAATTGGAAGCACCAAATAGTCAAAATGTATTCAAAATTCCCATTTTCATTTCTATGTCTGAACATATACTTATTCAATTATTCTTTTGACAAATTTATTGAGCACCTAATGTGTGCCATAGTTGAATGTACACATGAAATATTAGTAAACTAAACAGACAAAAATTCCTCCTGGAATCTTCACTTTTGTGGGAGAAAACTATAGACATGAACAAATACATACATGCGAGGGCAAAACAGTATTCTGAAAACAAAAATAAATAAACCAATGAGAAAATTGATAGCAGAGACAGGGCGGTTCAGGAAGCCTTCTTTAATGAGCGATTTTAATGAAGTTAGGAAATCATCCTTGTGTATTCTAGGTCAAGGAAGCAACAGAAAAGAAACTAAGGCAGGAGAGGCTTTGATAGTTTTAGGTACAGAAGAAGGCAATTTATTACATAACTCTTATTCTGTTTTAGATCTTTCCACTGCAGCGGGGTTAGCCTCTCCAAAGAATGCTAGACTTATAACCTCCTTCCTCCCAAAAATTCAGATATGTGGAAATTTCATGAGATATCACAACAGGGAGACAATAGTCAATAATAAATTAATTGTACATTTTAAAATAACTTAAAGAGTGTAACTGGATTGTTTCTAACACAAACGATAAATGTTTGAGGAGATGGATACTCCATTCTCCATGATGCACTTACTTCACATTGCATGCCTATATCAAAACATCTCATGCACCCAATAAATTATACACCTACTGTGTACCTACAAAAATTAAAAATAAAAACAAAAAAGAAAATTATGAGAAAATTTCAGCTCTGAGAAACTGGCCTGATCAGTGATATTATTAAAAGGGTATCTGGTCCTGGCCTACTTGTCTTGCTCCAATGTCCTTGACACCCTGGCTAGTCTCTTCCCATTCTTAACTTGACAGTGCATTTGAGAAAGAGGTCAAATATCCTGAAAGAGATGTGCAGCCACCAAAACTTCTTCCAACTTAAGACCTGTTGGAGTGAGAGAACCTGAACAGGGAAAGAGAATTTGAATTGAAATTTAGTTTGGTTATTTGTTGACTTGACAACAAATAATGCTTGAGAAGTTAGATTCCCTTTGTGGTACTATCGCAAAAGAACAGAGGTGGGGTCTAGGATTCTAATTTATAAGAGTAAGCAGTTACTGTATTTGGGTCTAGAAATGTGTGACCTCAATCCCTGAGAGCAAAAACTGTCTTTATGTGGAAGAGAGAACCACACAAAAGAATGCTGGTTCAATATCCTCTATGTCTTCCCTTCTTGGGAATTTGAACCAAGCAGTATTTTTTTTTCAGACATAGACAAATTGGCATTTTAAGGATTTCTGAAGGTAAAGATTCAAGATGTTTTTCAAGAGCGCACAGGTATAGATTATATGTCAGCATTCTGAAATGGTTTCCAGGGTTATGAAAAAAAATCTCTGCCTTGATCATTTAGGGCCTAGATTTTTAGTGATAGAGTAGGACTATTTGTGAGGACATGGAACGACACAGTATCAGGGCTGAGTAGGATTTAGTTTAAGCTTTCAATCTAAGATAAAATGACAGGTCTAGAGAAGTGTGGGGTGGTTAGTTGTCAGGCTCTGAATGTAGGCATTATCTTAGGTCACAAATTTTGTCTCTCTGCCTTTCTCTCTCTCTCATCTCTCATCTGTCTAGTTTATTATTTTTAAGCATACAATTTCAGCAGTTTTCACTGTTTGCAAAGTTCTGCAAGTGTCATAATTATTTAATTCCAGAACATTTTTATCATCCTCTAAAGAAACCTCATACTGATAAGCAGCCACTCCCCACTGCCCTCTCTCCCTACACTCAGCCCTAGGCAATCACAAATTTACTTTCGGTATCGAAAGATTTGCTTATTCTGAACATTTCATAAAAATTGAATCATACAATATTTGGTTTTCTGTGTTTTGCCAATTTTACTTACTATAATGTTTCAAGGATCATTTATGTTGCATCATATGTCAGTGCTTAATTTATTTTATGGTTATATCATACTTTGTTCATTTGTTCATTGTTCATGGATACTTGGCTTGTTTTCATTTTTAGCTATTATAGATAATGCTGTTATAAACACTTGTGTTTAAGATTTTTGTGTACTTGTGTTTTCAATTCCCTTGGGTAAACCTAGCAGGAAAATTACAGGGTAAACTAATTTTTTGAAGAATTGCCATGCTGTTTTCCAAAGCAGCTGTACCATTTTATATTCTCATCAAGATTACAAGAGAGTTCCAATTTCCCCACATCCTCACTGACGCTTGTTACTATCTTTCTTTCTTTTTTCTTTAGTTGTAACATCCCTAGTGGATGTGCAGTGTATCTTATTGTGGTTTCGATTTCAATTTGTTCAAAATTAATTGAGTATACATGTAAAGGTTTATTTCTGAACTCTCAATTCTATTCAAGTGATTTATATGTCTATCCTGAAGTCAGTACCATGCTATCTTGATTACCATAGCTTCACAGTAAATTGCTAAACTGAAAAATGTAATTTGTTCAACTTTATTCTTCTTTACCCCCAATTTTTGGCTATTTTCTGTCTCTTTCATTTCCACACACACTTTACGATCATTTTGTCAATTTCTGCAAAAAACCAGCTGGTATTTTTGTAAAAAGTGTCTTGAATCTGTATATGAATTTGGGGACTACTGCCATCTATTAACAGTTCTCCGATTCATGAATATAAAATATCTTTGAATTTAAGTTTTCTTTAATTTCTTTAACCGGTGTTTTACAGTTTTTAGTGTATAAGTTGTATTTATTTTGTTAAATTTATTCTTATGTATTTTATTCTTTTTGATGCTATTGTAAATGAAATTGTTTTCTTAATTTCATTTTGGATTGTTCATTGTTAGAGAAATACAACTGATTTTTGTGTATTGACCTTGCAACCTGCAATATTGCTGAAATCAGTTATTAGTTCTAACATTTGTGTATGTGTGTGTGTGTTTGTGTGTGTGTATGTATTGCTTAGGTTTATCTATACACAAGATCATGTCACTTGCAAATGCAGGTAGTTTTAATTCTCCCTGTGTAGAACCTCTGATGCAATGTTGAATGGAAGTAGTGAAAGCAGACATCTTTGTTCCTAACCTTAGGGGTAAAACATCCAGTTTTTTACCAGAAAGCATGATGTTAGCTGTGGATACTCCATAAATGCCCTTTGTCAGACTGAAGAAGTTCCCTTACTGTTCTAGTTTGAGTGTGTGTGTGTGTGTGTGTGTGTGTGTGTGTATGTGTTTTAATTAGGAAGTGGTGTGGGATTTTGTCCAATACATTTTCTGCATCTACTGAGATTATCATGTGATTTTTGTCCTTTATCTTATTATCATATATTACATAGATTGATTTTTATATGTTGAAGCATTCTTGCATCCACTTGTCATGGTATATAAGGCTTCTTATTTGTTGCTAGATTTAGTTTATTAGTATTTTATTGAAGATTTTTGTGTCTATATGCGAAAAAAAAAGGAAACAAATTGCCGTATAGTTTTATTGTCTTGTGATGTTGTAATGTATTTTTCTGGTTTTATTATCAGGTGATATTGGTCTCATAGAATGAGGTGGAACGTATTCTCTCTGCTTCTCCTTTTTGAAAGTTTGTGGAAGTTTAAAATTAATAATTCTTTGAGTGCTGCTAAGATTTGCCATGAAGCCATCTGGTCCTAGTTTTTTATAAATTATGAATTCAATAATTTTCTGGTTATATGTCTATTTGTATTTTCTATTTATTCCTGAGTTAGTTTCAGTAGTTTGTGTATTTCTAGAAATTTGTCTACTTCATCCAGGTTAGCTAGTTTGTTAATACAAATTGTTCATAATATTCCCTTATAATCCTTTTTATTTTTGTAGGTCAGTAGTGAGGTCTTCTTTTTTATTTCTGATTTTGGTAATTTGCATTTCTCTCTCTCCCCTTTTTTGGTCAGTCTAGCTAAAGATTTGTCAATTTTGTTGATGCTCTTAAAGAACCAACTTTTGAGCTTGTCAATTTTCTCTATTGTTTTTTATTCCCAGTTTTCTTCTTTCTCTGGCTTTGGACTTAGTTTGTTCTTATTCTTTGTAATTTTATAAGGTAGAATGGCAAGTTATTAATTTGAGATATCCCTTATTTTTAATATAGGTATTTTCATCTACAAATTCACCCCAGGCACTGTATTAGCTGCATGTCATATATTTTGTCATATATTTTGAGTTTCATTTTTATTAATCTTCAAGTATTTTTAAATTTCCCATTTGCTTTCTTTTTTGATTCATTAGTTATTTGGGAGCATGTAGTTTAACTTCCACATATTTGTACAATTTTCTATTTTTCTTTTGTTATTGATTTCTAGCTTTATTCTATTATGAATTAGAGAACATATTTTATATGATTTCCATGCTTTTTAATTTATTGCGTCTTGTTTTATGTCCTAGGTCTGTCTTCAAGTACGTCCCATGTACAGTTGAGAAAATTTATGTTTTGTTTTGCTGGAGTATTCTACAGATGTCTAAGTGTGTTTAGTTTATAGTGTTTCACTTTTATATATCCTTGCTGTTTTATTGTTTGTTTGTTCTATCAGTTATTGAAGTGGGGTATTGAAACCTTTGTCTATTATTGTTGTATTGTCTTTTTCCACTTCAATATTGCCAGTTTTCAATTCATATATTTTAAGACTCTGTTGTTTGATGAATGTATGCTTACATTTGTTAAGTCCTTTTGATAGATTGAATCTTTTGTCATTATAAAATATCCTACTTTATCTCTAAAAACAATTTTTGTCTTAAAGTCTATTTAGTCTGATATTAACATAATCACTACTGCTCTCTTTTGGTTACTGTTTCAAGTGGTATAGCTTTTCCATCTTTTTACTTTTAACTAACTTTTGTCTTTGAGTCTGAAATACATCTCTTGTGGAAAGCATGTAGCTGGATGTTTTAATCATTCTTATTAATTCTATTGTTGAGAGGCTCTTTTTACCCTAGGATTATGAGGATGACTAACCACACAACACTCAGTGCGTTCTGTTAATTTCTGTTTCGAATTGATATTTAGATTGAAATATCAATCAATTTATATTACTTATAAGACAGATTTATATCTGACATTTTGCTATTTGTTTTCTATATATCTTATGTCTTCTCATTCCTCAATTGCTACATTTTTTGCAATAAATAGATGTTTTATTGTGTATACCTTGAATTTCTTTGTCATTTCTTTTACTATATATATTTTTAGTTATACACAGTGTTTGACCTGGGGATTGCAATTAGTTTCTTAATTCACAACAATCTGTTTCAGATTGATATCAATTTAATTTCAATTGTATTCAAAGTATTTGCTTCTATATATCTCTCCTCCTCTTTGCTTTGTATTCTTATTATCATATCGGTTATGTCTTTATTTATGATAAGCCCATCAACACAGGCTCTTGAAATTTTGATTATTATGCCTCTAGATATAGATTTCTTTAAGTTTATACTATGTAAAGTTTGTTGAGCTTCTTGCATATACTTGGGTATACAGATTTGTGCTTTTATCAAATCTGGAAAGCTTTTGCTTATTTATCCAGGTATTCATTCTTCCTCTTTATCTCTCTCATCTCCTTCTAGAACGTCATTATGTATCTATTGGTCTGCTTGATGGTGTCCCGTGGGTCTCTAGGTGTATTAGTAGTCTGTTCTTGCACTGCTATAAAGAAATACCTGGGTAATTTATTTTAAAAAAGGTTTAATTGGTTCATGGTTCTACAGGCTGTACAGGAAGCATAGAGGTTTCTGCGCAGCTTCTGGGGAGGCCTCAGGAAACTTTCAGTCATGGCAGAAGGCAAAGAGGAAGCAGACAAGACTTACATGTCCTGAGCCAGAGAAAATGAGATCAAAGTAGGAGGTGCCACACACTTTTAAACAACCAGATCTCATAAGAACTCTATCAAGAGAACAGCACTAGGGGGATGGTGCTAGACTATTAGAAACCATCCCCATGATCCAATCACCTCCCACTAGGCTCCACTTCCATCATTACAATTCAACATGAGATTTGGGCAGGGACACAGATCCAATTCACATCACTGGGGTTCTGTTCATTTTTCTTCATTCTTTTTTTCTCTTTTTCCCAGACTAGACAATTTCAATTGTCCTCAAGTTTGCAGATTTTTTTTTTGCCATTTCATATTTAATGTTGAGACTCTAGTAAAATTTTTATTTCAGTTATTGGATTTTAAATCAGGAATTTCTATTTGATTCTTTTTTATAATTTTTCTCCATTGATATTTTCTTTTTTAAAAAAAATTTATAATTTTACATATATATATATATATATATATATATATATTTTTTTTTTTTTTTTTAGACAGTCTCAATCTGTCGCCCAGGCTGGAATGCAGTGGCGTGACCTCAGCTCACTGCAAACTTCATCTCCCGGGTTCAAGTGGTTCTTCTGCCTCAGCCTGCCAAGTAGCTGGGATTACAGACATGCGCCACCACACCCAGCTAATTTTTGTATCTTTAGTAGGGATGAGGTTTCACTATGTTGGCCCGACTGGTCTCAAACTCCTGACCTCAAGTGATCCACCTGCCTCGGCCTCCCAAAGTGTTGGGATTGCAGGCGTGAACCACCATGCCCAGCCTCTCTATTGACATTTTCTACATGGTGAGACATTGTTCTTATGTTTTCCTTAGTTCTTTAGAAATAATATGTCTAATTCTTTAAACTATTTGCAATAGCTCATTTAAAAGATTTATCTAGTAACGTTCATGTTTGGATTTCCTAAGGGACAGTTTCTACTTACTACTTTATCTTTCTGTGCACAGGCCATAATTTCTAGTCTATTTGCATTTTGAAAAGTTGATTTTGACAATTTTTGCCAGTGTTATTGCTTCTTATATGAAAGAATGAATTTTCAGAGGTTCTTAATCCATCATTCTATTTTTAAAAATATTTTATTTTATTTTAAGTTCTGGGATACATGTGCAGGATGTGCAGGTTTGTTGTATAAATGTGTGCCTGGTGGTTTACTGAACCTATCAACTCATCACCTAGGTATTAAGCCCAGTATGTATTAGCTATTTTTCCTAATGCTTTCCCTCACCCAGTCTCCACCCTCCACCGTCAGGCCCCCGTGTGTGTTGTCATATCTGGGAGGAGGGGCCTCTACACATCCCCATTCTCTTTTTCTTCTCTTTGGGAACTGACAAGTCACAAGAGGTTAAAACATTAGGGGAGAACTGAAGGTGTCTGACTATGCCAGTTCATTGGGTACAGAGAAGTCTGTCTAATTGGAGGGTTTAGTGTTCCTCCAACTTAGCCATAAACACTAATAAAGATAGTTTTTTTTTTTTTTTTTGAGACAGGGTTTCACTCTGTCACCCAGGCTAGAGTGCAGTGGTGAGATCACAACTCACTGCACCCCTACCATCCTGGCTCAAGCGATTCTCCCACCTCAGCCCCACTATCCTCGCTCAAGCAATTCTCCCACCTCTGCTTCCCAGGTATCTGGGACCACAGGCGTACACCACCACACCCACCTAATTTTATAATTATTGTAGAGATAAGGTCTTGCTACTTTGCCCAGGCTGAACTCAAATTCCTAGGCTCAAGGGATCCTCCTCCTTTGGCCTCCCAAAGTGCTGGGATCACAGGCATGAGCCACAAAGTCTGTCCAAAGATGAGATTTTGATTTTCATTCTGTTGTCTGATTTGTTTTACTTCTCAAGTGGCTTAAGAACATGGTCAGGCATAAGAGTAGTGATATATGGCTTCATAAAACCCCCAACATAGTATCAGTTACAATCAGGTACTACAGATTACTGAATTTTTATAATCAATGTAATTTAAATGAAGGAAATGTATTCAAGAAAAACAAAAACAAGAGGACATGTTTTCTTTTCCCTCATTGGTTAATATTTTTGGTGAATAGTAATTATAGAGTTAATACATGTTCATTATAGAACTTTTATAAAATACAGGTAATTATAAAGTAAGCCATAACTCTGGAGAAAATAATTTGAAAGTATCACTTAAAATCTCTCTAGAATTTTTTTACATACACACATACACACTTATCTTTCTATCATTAATTATATCTTTATTAATATAGTTGTTCATAATATCAAACTATGCTACAATTTTATATTCTACCTTTTAATTTAATATTATAATTATTTTGTACCATTGTTTTCTTTCAAAATATGACTTGCAATATCTGTATAGTATTCCCTTTCATAGGTAAACCATACTTTACTTAAATATTCCAGTTATTTGGAAAATGTACATGCTTTTAAAATTAAATATGCTTAATTGAATATGTGTGTGCATATAGCTTCATAAATTATAACCCTAATACACACTCCTATATTTGAAATTATAGAGACAAGGGAACTATTTCTAAATTGACTTCCAGAGTTTGAAATAACTTATATAACCACAGGCAGTATTATACAATTTCTTATGTCACTTATGTGATGGGTAATATCTCACATAAATAACCAATTAAAATTTTTGGGTATCTTAATCTTGTCTAAATTTTAATTTTTTAATTTAACTTTTATTTTAAGTTCAGGGGTACATGTGTAGGTTTATTATATAGGTAATCTTGTATTATGGGGGTTTGTTGTACAGATTATTTTGTCACCCAGGTATCAAGCCTATTACCCATTAGTTATTTCTCCTGATCCTCTACCTCCTCCCACCCTGCACCCTCTAATGGGCCCCTACTGTGTTCCCTACTGTGTGTCCAAGAGTTCTCATCATTTAGCTCCTACTTACAAGTGAGAATATGTGGTATTTGGTTTTCTGTTCTTGCATTAGTTTGCTAAAGGTGATGGCCTCCAGTCCCATCCATGTTCCCGGAAAGGACATGATCTAATTTTTTTTTATGGCTGCATAGTATTTCATGTTGTATATGTAGCACATTTTCTTTATCCAGTCTATTATTGATGGGCATTGTGGTTGGTTCCATGTCTTCGCTATTGTAAATAGTGCTGCAATAAACATACATGTGCATGTGTCTTTATAGTAGAATGATTTATATTCCTTTAGGTATATACCCAGTAATGGGATTGCTGGGTCAAATGGTATTTCTGTTTTTAAGTCTTTGAGGAATCGTTACACTGTCTTTTACATAGATTGAACTAATATACACTCCCAACAACATTGAATACGTGTTCCTTTTTCTCCACAACCTCACCAGCATCTGTTATTTTTTTACATTTTAGTAATAGCCATTTGGAGTGGTGTTAGATGGTAACAAAATTAGACGTTACTTCACACCAGTTAGAATGGCTATTATTATGGACACAGGAACATCACACTCCGGGGAATGTTGTGGGTGGGGGGAGGGGGGAGGGATAGCATTAGGAGATATACCTAATGCTAAATGATGAGTTAATGGGTGCAGCACACCAACATGTCACATGTATACATATGTAACAAACCTGCACGTTGTGCACATGTACCCTAAAACTTAAAGTATAATAATAATAAAATAAAATAAAATAAAATAAAACCACTCATTGTGGATTCGATTTTCATTTCTCTAATGATCAGTGAGCCTTTTTTTCATATGATTGTTGGCTGCATGTATGTTTTCTTTTGAAAAGTGTCTGTTCACATCCTTTGCCCACTTTTAAATGGAGTTGTTTGTTTTCATCTTGTAAATATGTTTAAGTTCCTTATAGATGCTGAATATTAGACCTTTGTCAGTTGTATGGTTTGCCAAAAATGTTTTCATTCTGTAGGTTGTTTGTTCACTCTGTTGATAATTTCTTTTGCTGTGCAGAAGCTTGTCAGTTTAATTACATCCCATTTGTCAATTTTTGTTTTTTAATATCTTTTTAAAAATTGCTGAGGTTTATTGGCTCCAGTATTAGTTTCCTAGGGCTGCCATTAAAAAGTACCAAATACTGTCTCAGTATTTTTGATCTTAGGAATCACAAATAAAGTACTTGGGAGGGCCATACTCTCTCTCTCTCTTTCAGCTCTAGGCTAACATCCTTCCTTGCTGCTTCTAGCTTCTGGTGTTTGCCAGCAATACTTCTTCCTTAGCTTATAGATGCATTACTGCAGAAACATGGTTGCTCTCTGCCCTGTGTGTGTGCACATTGTCTTTCCTCTGTGTGTGTCTGTGTCCAAATTTTTCCTTTTTATAATGACACCAGTCATATTGTCTTAGGGCCCACCCTAGCAGTCAAATTTTAGCTCGATTACCACTATAAAAACCCTACTTTCAAATATGGTCACATTCTGAGAGACTGGGGTTAGGACAACATACTTTTTTGGAGGGAGGGAGGAGTGGGACATAACTTTGCCCATAACAACTACCTATTTTTAAAATTATGTTTATATACTTAACTTGTTTTTCCATTGAGAGTTTAATTTTTATAAGTTTATTTTAAAGTGTTTTTTAATATTTAAGGTTGGTATATGTTATTATAACATTAATAATAAAAATTAGTAATAGTTTTCACTTTGTTATTTGGTATAAACTTAATCTTTTGTTTTTAAACGCCTTAACAAATTAGTCATTTATGTTATTTGGAGGGAAGTGGGTGGGGACTCCCTATGTTGACCAGGCTGGGCCCAAGTTCCTGGACTCAGGGGATCCTCCTGCCTCAGTCTCTTGAGTAGCTGGGACTACAGGTATGTGCCACTGTGCCTAACAGGCATTAATTTATGTTGAACTTTTTCTTTTACTTCTACAATATAGAGTGTTTAAAAACCCTTTTCTAACCATCTGAGAGATGAACGATGGTTTTATTCTTTATATTTAATTGTTTGTCCTGTATGGCATTTATTTTGATAAGTTGTGTGGAAAAAGTATTCATCTTCCTCCTTTCCTCCCTCCTACCACCCACTCTCTCTGTCTCTCTCTCTGTGTTTCTTCCTGATTTCAAATAGCTTTTCTAACATTTTAAAACTTGTCTCTCAGCCTGATACCAGAGGTTACTTCTTGAGAACATGTTTCTCCAGTCATGATTGTGTATACACACACACACACATGCACACACACACAGAGGAGAGCAGTGTTACAGTACTGGAGATTGGGGGATAACCAAAGACAAGACTGAGGGGGAAAGTGTGTAGTGATCATCTCTCAGTTCAAGCCTGAAAGGAATCTATACATTTTTTAACTACTGAAAGCCCCATTTCCCTGGGGCCCACTTCCTCTGCAATGTATGGTCTTTCTGAGGGCTGCCTTTACTTCATGGTTCCTCAGACAGTAAATGATGGGGTTGAGGAGTGGAACAATGACAGTGTAGAGAACAGATACCACTTTGTTGGAATTGTAGGCATACATGAGTTTGGGACGGGCATAGGTGAAAAGTGTCATGGAATAGAAGAGAATTACGACGGTCAGGTGGGAGGCACAGGTGGAGAATGCCTTTTGGCGGCCCTGAGCAGAAGGGATCCTGAGGATGGTGGCAAGGATAGCAGCGTAGGATGCCACCACAACACAAAGAGGAATAGCAATGACCATGAGGGCCAAGAAGAAGTCCACCATCTCAGCCTGTGAGGCATCCTCACAGGAGACGTTAAGGAGTGGAGAGATATCACAAAAGTAGTGATTGATCTGAGGCATGCCACAGTAGTGAAGTTGTGCTATAAAAACCATCTTAATCATGGCAGTCATGAGTCCACAGAACCAGCATCCTCCAGCCAGTGTGCCACAGAGCTGGTTGGTCATGATGACTGGGTAGCGTAGTGGATTACAAATGGCTACATAGCGGTCAAAGGCCATGATAGCAAGAAGGATGTACTCAGTGCAGACAAAGGTCACAAAAAAGTAAAGTTGAGTCATGCAGCCATTGAAGGAAATACTCTTGTCATGACTGAGGAAGTCAACAAGCATCTTGGGGCTGATGACTGTGACATACCACATCTCCAGGAAGGAGAGGTGGCTCAAGAAGAAGTACATGGGCTTATGCAGCTGCCCATCACTGTGGATAGCTAAGATGATAAGAAGATTCTCCAGCAGTGTCAGCAGATAGGTTGCCAGGAAAATGGAGAAAAAGAGAAGCTGGAAGGCTGGTCGTGTTGGAAACCCCAGAAGAATGAAACGTGTTGTCACTGTATGATTATCTACTTCCAGAATTATGGTGGTCATGACTGGCTGTGGGCACAGACAAAGTCAGTTCCTTCCATGACACAAGCACTAGTCTATGGTTATTTGTATTGATAGAGCCCACCACCAGCAAATTTATCACAATAGGAGGTTTCTGCTTTTTTATCTTACTGCCTCTTGAATTATGAAGAGAACCAAAGCTTTTGAGAAAAGATGGAATTTAGGGAGCTTATATTTTAACTTGTTTTCAGATTTTCTCAAGAGCAGTAACTTGTCCAAGGTCATACAAAATAGAGTTTATAACTTTCTAAATCCCAGTTCTGTGCTTTACCAATATATCACTTTTGGGCACATAAATGGTCTCCAGACCACCCTTTCACTACAGGCAAAACATCCCCATCTGCTGAATATGGAGAAGAGAAAGAAGGCCCAACTACCCATTCTCTAGGGGCAATTTGGGTGACTCTGGAGTGGTTGCATGACCCCACTTATCTGTAAAATGGAGAGAACGTTCTTGCTTGTGTCTAACAATGTGCTTAAGCTTGAATGAAGCAATAGTTGAGCATACCCACAGGATTAACAGCAAAATCAGGTTTGATGCAATTATTCACCAGCTTTTCAGAGAACAAAATTGAATGGATAACATGAAGGGTAATAGTTTCTTCAATACAATCCATTGTATAAAGTGCTTGCTTAGGAGTTTGACAAAAGTGCATTCAAATCCAACTTTTGTCTTTGTATAGCTAAGTGAGAGTACCACATAATCTTTTAGAATATTAGTTACTTTATTTCTAAAATGGGGATAATACAATGGGGTTCACATTTTGTGAACATCAAATGGGATTTAGAGTTTAAATTCAGTTCCTATGATATTTGCTGTGACCTTTCCAGGCTACTTTACTTACCCCACATACATAGCTCCTCCTCCTTTTAAAAAAACACACACTCCACCCCACACAAAGTTTCCCCCACCCCAACTTCAACCCCTGCCAAAAACAGCAAAAAACTGGTGCAAACAGCAGCCATTGTTAATGAAAAAAGGGAGAGGACCGTGGGACTTTTCCAAGGGTAATAAATTTAAAAACTGTAATCTGTTGGGAGTAATATCAGAGAAAACAAGCAAGAATTCTATTAGTGACTCTTCTGCATTTCTGTTCATTAATTTAGCAAAATGTGTGACCTCTTTTTGTGTTAGGCTGATAATCATTCCCAAACCCATTGATACTAAACACCTTCCCATTTCAAGTCTTGCTCTGTGTCCTATTGCTTCAATTCTCTTTTCTGCTCTTCTCCAGAGCCACAGTCACTCTTGATCCCCATTTCTCAACAGCTCTATTTTATGGCATAAATATGTAGGACAACTAGGGGATGGTTTTTTTTTTTTTTTAAGGAATGATCATGAGGTTGCAGAGCCAGAAAACTACTGCCCATACTATCCATTTCCTCTTCCCACTTAGATTTCAGCTTTAGATTCCTGAAAGAAAGGCAGAATAGAAAGGCAGGATTATTCCTTCTGAGAGAGGGAAATGGACACAGATAACCCAGAAAAGGCAAAGAATATATAACAGTGTAAATGCAAATAATTTTCTTTTCTGTTGGAATATAGTTCCTGAGAAACACATGCACAAACACAAACACACACACAGTCAACACAAAACTTGTCCTTGCTCATTGCAGCTTGGTATTCACTAGGCAGTGTGAGAGTGGGACTTACAAGCAAGGCAAGGTTTATGAATCCTCCTTATCTTTTTCTTCATCCTGATTTAAAAAAATATCTTTGAGTCCAAAAATTCAAACCAACTTAAAATCTATTTGTGAAGAGTGTAGGCCAGTCTCCATCTTGCTCTCTCTTACTATATCACCACCATTTTCAATGAATTGATGAAATGAACATGTTTCTAGCTATTGAGGGTAGTATTACTGTTTGGGAGGCACTTTCTTGGTCCATAGTGATAGGATACCAGTCTCCAGAGCCATGTCCTTGGGCTTAATCTTTGTGTCTATTTTTTAAAAATATTCTGGAAAACTACAGGCAAGACATTATACCCTAATGTCCTCTTTTCTTGGAATCACCCACAGTGTCCTGTAGAAGATGCCTAGCCTAAAAAGCATGGTTAGAATAATTCTACTAATTAATGTAACATATTCTCCATTCCTTTGCAATAGATATTGTCATTCTTGGGTAGCTGCTTCAGACATGAAGCTGGAAATAAAAACATCTAATTTAATTTTAAGAATAAGAATAAGTAAATAAAGTGGGGATATTTTCACAGAACTATGCATTCATTCATTCTTCTTCTAATTCCAGCAGAGTCCAGATGAAGCTCCACAAAGTAAAAATACAAGGAAATAAAAAGGAAAGTGAGTATACAGTATATATAAAGAACATCTGATTAAGCAGCTTTATCATTTGAGCATGGAATTTAGCTTTGAGGTCCCTAGCAGTCAAGCAGAAGAGGAAAACAATTCAAAGCACAATATGCTGACATTCAAGTTTCAAAATTATTCACACATATGTATATATAGAATTATATTTTGATAAGTGTTAAAGTTAATGTATAAAGAGGTAGAGTGCTTTATCAACAGGCACATGCATTGTAGATATAGTAAGGTGTCTAGATTCCTAATTTCTAGGGCTAGATTGTCTGAGTCACATCCCAGTGCCTTCTCAGACTGTTTAGACAGTCCATTGGGCAGGCTTGTGAGGAAGAGAGCAAGGTTCACATAGTTAACAGCCTTCCCTCCAGTGGAAGTTTTATAGCAACTGGATTCTGAGGAGGCTATGCTGAATATATGGAATCATCTTTACTGCCAGATGATAACTCACATTTGTGTATGTGAAAGCACATTCACATCATTCTATCTGATGTTCACCATCATGGAATTAGCACCAATGTCACAGTGCTGACTTGACCCAAAGATATTAAATGTCTAGCTTAATGGTACACAGCTAAATTGCTTAATGGCAGAATTGAAATTAAACAGCAAATTTATTTTTTATAATCCACTGATTTTTGTGTATGAGTATGTAGAGGATGATCTATGAATTGGGTGAGGCTTTTTTTTTTTCTTCTGAGAATTAAATTGTACCTTTAAAAATAGTTTTAATGGCACTCTATGCAAGGAATGAAAATTTAAGGAGAATCAAAGGGCCAGGCTGAGAGCCAAGAGTCAGTTGAAGGTTCCGGTACTCTGAATCTCAAACATATTACCTAGCAGCAGGTTAAACCATCTCACTTTTTCTTGTAGCCAACTCTCAGTCACACATTGTGGACTTGTCTCATGAAATAATAGCATTTTAAAATCAGCGGTATTTTAATTCAAAGTTCTTTTTTTTCCTCAGATAAGGAAATCCCAGAGTGATTTAAGTGATTTTCTCTAAGTTTAAACAACTATATAGTGGCAGAGTAGCAATTTATTAATGATTACATTTTAGTCCCTATCAAGCTTTAACCCCCAATTGTCTTATACAATTCATTCAATTTAATTCCTTCTGTTATCTTACACACTTCATTCAAATTATTTACTTATCTGACCCGATTCTCAAGAAGGACAAATCATCTCAAGTTTTAGCCTGATTTAAATAGAATCATAAAAGTTAGTGCGAGTCTTACAACTATGATTTTCTCAAAAAATATATATATTTTAGCTTTCACAATTGCTTGTCCATTGTAGTGATTACACACACACACACACACACACAAACACACATTGCTAAACAAGTAGAATGAGATCCTTCAGCTCTAGAAACACAGGATTGTAGGACTGCAAAGAACCTGAGAGGTAATATGATTTAGCTCCCTATCACATTTTGTGAATCACCAATGTATAGACACAAGTATTCACCCAGACTTTGCCTGATTTTTTCCAGGAATGGAAATCCAGTATCTATAAAACTAGCCATACTTTAAATAAGAGAAACTTTTGATTTGGGAGATGGAACACTTTCTCTTCTGAAACCCAATGCACCCACATTCAGGGGTCCTGGTTCTGTTTCTGAAAGTAAGTCTCGTCTCGTTCTCAAAGGATAGACTTCACTGTTTGAAAATAGCTGTAAGGTCCATTAAACCTCCAATTGCCCCCCTCATCACCCCCATTACCCCTGTCTCATAATGTCTTTCTTTTTTAGATTAAGCCACTCAATTTACATATATGTATGTATGGAGATATATATATGTATATATATATATATATATATGGCCAGTTTATCGGTTCCCTAAAGTTTGTGATCATCCTCTTTGGATGATTCCAGCTTAACTGGGACATTTAATGGGGACAAATATCATCAGGCTATGGAAAATACAATTGGAATTTAAGGCTTAGTTTCACTCTGGAATCAGAGGATAAGAATATCTTCTTTTTCCCCTTGAGCCTTCCACCAGAGAGGACCAAGAGGCTCTCTTTCTGATTTCCCAGGGAGGGTGGATATGACCTTTCCCACAGCTAGTGGGCAATGAGCCCAGGATAATAATGGGTCTAGGAAATGACCTACTCTGTTGTTTGTGGGAAAATGAGGTATAGGGAAGAAAACGTATATGGTCAAATTGCTCCTGGTAATGGAGGCATTTTAAAAATTGCCATACAAGCTCTGTGGGGATTGGTTTGGCCAAACTGAGGGTCTCAGAAGTCTTCAAAAATGGAACATAGGTAGTGAAAGAAGTAACAAAGCAATCACTTGTGCTCAATCTAGTCTTCTACTAATTCCTGCAGGGAGGTGAGAAAAAAAAGTGTAGGTTAGCCAGAGGTGGACATTGAGGGTCTTGGACCCTCAATAGGCATTTTCTAAAGGGTAGGAACACATTCTTACTCCTTCAAATCAGTTTTAAAGGGATACAATTCTAATCCAGCTCCTTTTTCCCAGGCCTTTTCAGGAACGAATATGCTTCAGGGTGATATGTGTAACAGCCCCTAGGTTTCTGGTAGGACAGAATGCCTTGCTGCTATGTAGTAAGCCCCTCTGCACCTCTCCGTTTCTACTGTGAGTTGGCTTTGAAGACTTTAGTGAAAAAATATCTATTTCATATCCCTGATCCTCTATACTTTATAACTTTCCAAAACCATGACTTGTATTTTGAAATAATTTAATTTCCAACTAGGTCCTTTGGGAAAAGTGGCTTAATTTCTATGGGTCTCACTTGGGTATGATTAATCTTTGCAGTTTATTTCAGGATTTCAAGTTGAAAATAAATGTGGTCACATAATGTGATGCATTTTTTTGCTCTATGGGAATTTTTCTTGCTCTATGGCACTATCACTAGAAGTGAAATTCTAGTGTTCTATAGCACTGTAGGATGACTGTAGTTAACAATAATATGATACATAGTTTCAAATAGCTAGATATTTGAAGGAGGATACTGAATGTTCCCAACACTAAGCAATTGTCAATGTTTGAGATGATGAATATGCTAATTACTCTGATCTGATCATGGTTCATTATATGGATCAAAATACCACTATATACCCCGCAAATACGTACAATTATATATATATACATATTAATTAAAAATAAAAGAAAAAATGTAGCAGGAATAATATTATAAGCCATCTGATCCTCCAGACATCATTTTGTTTGTCAGTCCCTGCTCTTATTTAACATAAAACACACATGCTTACTCACATACCTATGTTCTACCCACCACTTCTCGCATACATGTATTCATTCATCTACACTGGTCCATTCATTTCATCCTCTACTCCATTTTCTCTTTTTTTGTCCCTTATGTCAGAGTAGATTTGGAATCTGTGCTTTGAAAGGCAGAGTTGGGCAGATGCATTAATTTGAGGCATCTTCAGAACAAACCTTTGGGAAATTTTCATTCTCAGGCTTATTTCACCTAGAGTAAGTTATCACAGTAGAGTCTTAAAATGACATGAGAATCCATATTACACTACATTTCTGAATCCTTAACATATTTCATATGGCTAGACATACATAGATGCTGAAAAAAATCTTTGTTGAACTGGAACTAATCTATATATATACTAAATTCCTCTCCATCTATAACTTGTTGTATCACTACGCATTATAGGCTTAAAGATGACAAACTATCTTTAAAAATCAATAAAATAAAATTTTGGATGAATCAGTAATTTACATACAATTTATCTTCCATTATTCCCTACTTTCCTTCATAAAAATAAATAATTAAAAGATGGCTAAATTCCCCTTTGGAAATATCTGAGAGTCTTTTTTTCAACTCACCATTTTCTCAGGAATATAACCCTTTTCCCACCTAGCTTTATCAAAGATGGCCAGCTTGCGCTGAGAAAAGAGAAGAAATCATGTAGACCAAGAGAAGAACAATGTACATAAGCCTAGAGAGTTTCTGGGCAAGTCTGGTTCTGTCTCTGCTTGAAGAAGGCACAGAATGGAGCTATTTGTGCTTCTGCCTGCTTTCAAGCTACTGGAGGAGACAAACCAACTCACTTCTATTCACAAGGGACCTCCCAAGAGGCACAGCCTTCAGGAACATATTTGGCCTTTCCAGGGCTCAAGGGGATCCTGGGAGGATATTAAGGAAGAGCTAGCAAGCTAAGTGGAGTCTCCAGGCACAAAAGAGACCTTAGACTGGCTGGAAGTACTCTGCCTGTCCTCCCCAACGAGACTTGGGAAGAGGAAGGTGGCGAGGGGAAATGTGTGTGCGTGTGTGTGTGTCCTCTTTCTGAGGAACAATCTCACAAATAATAAGGTCTTCCAGAAAAAGACAGTGCTATAACCCAAGTAATTCAGAAAATAAAAATGATAAGTACACTTCCTTATTCGGGAACCCAAGTGTATGAGCACATGCACATTTGCAAACTCCAAACACACTCAGATATTGTGCTTATAAGTATACACAAAAGTAACTGTAATGCATCAGTAACTCAGTAGATGTGAATGATGAATACACTGCATTCAGATGATATCTGTATTTTTTTAAAAAGTAGAACATGCTATGTATTTACTCTTTTTTTTTTTTTGAGACGGTATCTCGCTCTGTCACCCAGGCTAGAGTGCAGTGGCGCGATCTCGGCTTACTGCAAGCTCTGTCTCCCGGATTCATGCCATTCTCCTGCCTCAGCCTCCCGAGTAGCTGGGACTACAGGCACCTGCCACCATACCTGGTTAATTTTTTTTGTATTTTTAGTAGAGACAGGGTTTCACTGTGTTAGCCAGGAGGGTCTCGATCTCTTGACCTTGTGATCCTCCTGCCTCGGCCTCCCAAAGTGCCAGGATTACAGGTGTGAGCCACTGCTCCCGGCCTGTATTTACTCTTATTATCTACAACTAGTACACATTCAGAAGCATACAGATACTCAGAGAACACAAATGACAATAAGATTATATGGAAAATAAACTGGCATGGAAAAAGGACAGTTATCTCTTTAGGTATGTATGTTGCTTCCTGGGTTTGGATACCTGCACATCCAGGATAATTAGCTTTAGAACCACAGACCCAGGACTATAGTAGGAAGTGAGCAGGCTCTGTTGGGTTTTGATATGCACTACTATGAAGGATATTGATCATTGTAGGAGACTGTGCTTTTCTGGAGTTGGGAAAGATGAGAACTAGCCAAAAAAGAATAACAACTCCCAATAAAAAATTAAGTTCTTTATTTTAAAATAACAGAATTCCCCTAAGGAAAATAACAAAACCCGTCAGATTCCAAAAGGCCTAGTTCATATTTTTAGGAGTAACCACTCTTTACTCCTCACCGTTTTTCAATTTGATAAAAAATTTAAAAAGGAAAATTTTTCCCATAGAAAACTGGAATAACACTTCATTTATTTCCAGGCAGTCTCTTAGCTCATTACTGGTTCTGTGGTGATATTCTGTGTTACCATTCTATAGGAACCTGACCATTCATTCAATAAATATGTATTGAGTATCTTCTAAGTGTCAGGAGCCATTCTGGTCACATGTCACTACTCTTTTCAAATAGTTTTACTGTAATAGTTTTATTTAGCCCTTAGGAATTTGATGATAGACTTCAAGAACAAGAACCTCTTCTGATAACAGAGGAGTTTCAAACTGAGTGGTATTAAACCTGTGTCCTATTTGCTATTACCTAAAGTTCAGTAAATAGGAAACATAGGTTTAATACCACTCAGTTTTAATTCCATTCTCTTGAAATAAGGAAAACATGATACAGATAATTAAAAATTGATGCGAAACGTAAAAGAAAGAGGACATGGGTTTCAAGTCAGCAAAACATGGATTTGTATTGCTTTTTGTCAGCTCTTGGATGTAAGTAAGTTCTCAAACCTCTGGAAGTATTACATTCTTCATCTTTAAAAGGTGATACATCAAACCAAAGGTTAATCTTGAGTACCAGCTCCGAGTAAAGACTCTGCAGCTAGAGTGCCATGGTTCAAATCCTGGCTCATCCGTGTCCTATTACATGACCTTGGGCAAATTATTTTGTCTCTCAGTTTTTTTTTTAAATTGGAAAAATAAAACAATAAGAGTACTTATCTCTTAGAATTATTGTGATGATGGTATGGATTATATATGTAAGCTGTTTAGAATAACACTTGCCATGCAAATACATGTTTTTATGTGTGAGTATTTGTATTATGTCAAGCAAATAGAAGGTGTTCAGAAAAATTAATTTAATTTCCAATTTCCTTTATAAGTTACTTGCACATGAACATAAGAATTTTTGCCATTTGTGAAATTTTTAATATATTTGAAAGAAACAATGAAGCTGTTTCTGACTAAGTGACTCATGAGTTAACTGGCTTCTTCATCAAGAGATCATCTCATTTTTCCAGTTTTCATGTGAAAGTAGAGACAGAACCCACTGTATGCTACTTCTTAAATAAGTTCTGTTAACTTAATTTGTAAAATTTGATGAAATATAGAATGACTGAGACTCTTAAAAATTATTTAAAAATTACTGAACTAAGGATTCTCAAGGAGAGAGACTTCTCCCAAGTCATTGCTTTTCACTGCAATGTCTGGTACATAGTAGGCACCTAAAATATCTGCTCAATGAGGAAATGAGCTGAGTCCCATTCTATTTAAATGAATAAAAATGTGTAACTTTAGTGGAGAGGAAAATAAGGAATCGCAGAAGCTCCTGGCTGATTAAGTACTATTGTGAGGAGATTTGTAGAAAAAAATATTACTATCTTAGATCTTTTAAAAAAATCTTCCTAACTAGTATTGTGAACTGAGGAATGAATACAAAGAAAACATGGTCTTTTCTTGGTTTATAATCATTTCTCAATACAAAAATATGTAGTTAGAACTATGAGTGCTTAAAATGAAAAAAAAAATCTGAGTTTGTTATTATTTTCTGTCAAGAAATCATTTTAAAAGTTAATATTAAAAAACAATAGATAGACTACATCTACGAGTAGAGTGACAAAAAGCACATGCGTATACATTGTAAGAAGTTTGGCTCTGAGGAAATATTCAGAATGATTATGCATTTATCTTTGATGAGAAGAAAGAGGGTAATTTTTAAATGAGTAAGTTAAAATTTACTAGGGACCTATTTTTCTTTTGTGTTAGTATTTGGTAATTCTTTCCGAAAATTGTAAAGTTTCTATATTCTCTCTAAAGTCACAAAAATTTAGAAGCAGATAATCATGTCTTGTGTCTTCTATAAAGTGTCTTGTAAATAAAAAACACAAAATTTTTATTTTCTTTTTAAATTCAAGCACATTTTAGTCAATTGGATGAATAGTGCTGCTATTTTAAAAAAGATTAATTTCATTCAAAAAATCATGATACCGCGTTTTCCACAATGTGTTTATTTCACATTGCATGCCTGTGTCAAAACAGCTCATGTGTCCCATAAATATATACAACTACTACGCACTCAATTTTTTAAAAAACAAATGAGATGGCCAAAAAAATAATAAATAAATAAATCATGATAAACTTCACTGCATGCTACTTTACTGTTCCCTCTCTGTTACCTTTATCTGGTGAAAAGCTGGCTGCACTGAGTACAAATTAAGAACCTTAAAAAAATAACAAAACAAAATCAAGTAAAATAAAATAAAACAAAGCAAAGTGCATCAAAATAAAATAAAACAGCCTCAGTAGTAGTTACTGGAATTGCAGATATCAAGTCTGGAAAAAAATAACCTGCTTTTCTCTGGCTAGGCTTTTGAATTGCAACATTAAGGAGACAGTAACTATAACACCTGATAGAAATGGTTCGTTGTTGTTGCGTAGAATAAGAGAAGACAACACTTCAAAATGACTATTTGTTTTCATTTTCACTCATCTTATGGGGAACTAACTTATCGACCTTTTTCACCTTTCCAGTTTCTTCAAATGTCGAACAACCGTAGAATGGTCGACATTAAGTTCTTTGGCAACTTCTCATGTAGTTGTAAAGGATCAGCTTCGATGATTGCTCTCACTTCGTTGTTGTCAACTTCTGATGGCCAGCCACTATGCTCCTCATCTTCAAGGCTCTCGTCTCCTTTGCAAAACTTCTTTTTTTTTTTTTTTTTTTTGAGACGGAGTTTCGCTCTGTCGCCCAGGCTGGAGTGCAGTGGCGCGATCTCGACTCACTGCAAGCTCCGCCTCCCGGGTTCACGCCATTCTCCTGCCTCAGCCTCCTGTGTAGCTGGGACTACAGGCACGCGCCACCATGCCCGGCTAATTTTTGTATTTTTAGTAGAGACGGGGTTTCACCGTGTTAGCCAGGATGGTCTCGATCTCCTGACCTCGTGATCCGCCCGTCTCGGCCTCCCAAAGTGCTGGGATTACAGGCGTGAGCCACCGCGCCCGGCCAAAACTTCTTGAACCACTGCTGCACTGTACATTCGTTAGCAGTTCCTGGGCCAAATGCATTGTGACTTGTGAAGAAAAGTGGATTTTATATAACAACTGGCCACAACCAGCTCAGTGGTTGGATAGAGAAGAAGCTCCAAAGCATTTCTCAAAGCCAAATTTGCACCATGAAAAGGTCATGGTCACTGTTTGGTGGTTTGCTGCCGGTCTGATCCACCACAGCTTTCTGAATCCCAGCAAAACCATTACATCTGAGAAGTATGCTCAGCAAACCGATGAGATGCAGCAAAAGCTGCAACACCTTTAGCTGGCATTGGTCAACAGAAAGCCCAATTCTCCACCACAACGTCCAAATGCATGTCACATTACCAATGCTTCAAAAGTTGAATGAATTGGGCTATGAAGCTTTGGCTTATCCACCACATTCACCTGACCTGTCACCAAACAACTATCACTTCTTCAAGCATCTTGACAACTTTTTGCTGGAAAAACACTTCCACAATCAGCAGGATGCAGAAAATGCTTTCCAAGAGTTCATCAAACCCTGAAGCATGGAATAAACAAATATATTTCTCATTGGCAAAAATGTGTTGGTTGTAATGGTTCCTATTTTGGTTAATAAAGATGTGTTTGAGCCTAGTTGTAATGGTTTAAAATTCACAGTCCAGAACCACAATTCCTTTTGCACCAACCTAGTTCAATTTTTCAGCCATACTACTAAACACCCATGATTTTTATATAGTTCTGCATCTCTAGCCTTAGTGTGTTGAACTTTCCTCCCATATTTATTACCTTCTAGATGGCTGCTGGAATTCCAGCCATCAAATCCAGGTTCAGAAAAGGAAAAGGGGCAGTGCTAGCATGAGCACCAGCCACCTCTTTCTCTCTAAAAGATAACCTCTCCAGCAGAATTCCACTTATGTTTTATTGGGAAAATATTAGATACATAGCCAGTCTTAGTTTCAAGAGAAGCTGAGATATCAACTGTATGGCAGAGATGTAGGTTTATTGCCTGGGTCAGGCATGTTTTCAGCTTCAAAAAATTAGGTTATCGTAGCAATGAAAAATGAGGTCACTTTTGGCCAGGCAACCAAAAAACAACCACTTATTTTCTTAACTGAAACTGAGTTGCAAATAAGAACCATTTGCAAAGCATGTTTTATATTAAAAGCACTGTTGTTGGAGTAAAATAGAATATTTGAAGAAATCTATGAAGTAAGTAGTTAGAAACCCATCAACACCAATTAATGCACTATGGGAAGCTCTCACAGTGGAGGAATAATAAATCCAAAGCACTGTGATCTTCCAATGGGAAAAAATATGACAATGACATCATGAGAGTCATAGAAATAGCATGTTTTAATCATTTTTTAAAGGAGGAACTTCACTGACTCAATCTGATGACATCTTGGCCCAATTTTAGATTGTATAATTGGGAATGCTAAACTTTCTGATCAACTTGTTACCTACTCCGCATAGTTACAAAGTTGCTTGGAGCTTTCCTTTCTATATGTGTCTTAGAGAAAGCCAATTCTCCAATCTCAGTTTGAGTAAGAGTGAGTTTAATACATGATTAATGGAACAGGCATATCCTTTAGAAAGCATATCGTGATATTTGTAATGATAAAATGATAATAATGATGGAGCTTGGCATTTATTAAATGCTTACTGTGAGTTAACGGTATTACATGCCAGAAGGTCTTCTTAGGGTCCAGCAAACAAACTGACACACTATAAAAGACCTCACCTGGCATAAAATTAACTCAGGGAAGCAGGATAGCAAATCCAACATTCTAGAAGGGCAGTTTTAGGAGTTTCTCTTACAGAAAGGAAGTCCTGAAAGCAGTTGAAGGAATAGACTCTGTCATTTAAAGTCTTAGCTCAGGTAGGTGGACATAAGATTTTCATCAAGGGGTGCAGAGTCCACCTTAACTTGGAATTTTCAAGCCCTGTAAGAGCCTATATCACTTGTAACAATTTCATGGGCATCCATAGCTTCTAGAATTCCCTCAAAAGACATGCCAAGTTACAAAAGTAGCTTGAAGCTATTATTTCCCACTAGATATCCTTAATACATTCATCATCCTCCCAGTCCAGAGGTCATTTGCTGCTCAGAGATAATTTGTGCCATAAGTAATTTTGTGTAGTAATGTTTATTAGGTTTCTAGAGAACCAGAACTAGAAATTAATCCAAGATCAAATTTATCCAAAAGGAAAGAGAAAAAAAATGCTAACCCTTTGCCCGCATATGTGTTATTTATTTAATATTCACAACAAGCCCATATGATGGAAAGGGTATTATTTTTATTATCAAAGAGAAACTAAGAGCAGAGATGTAAAGTTTCTTGCCTATGATCACATAACTTGTTATTAGTAAAGCCAGGATCAAATTGAAATTTGCTCGTTCTAGGGTCTGAATTCTGAACTCCATGTCTCTCATAATTCTATGAAAGGAGAGGAGAATGTAATGTAAATTGAGCTATGTTCAGAGCTGTTTCTAAGGCTATTTAGAAATTTTATGAAAACAAAACAACTTAAACTGTTTTAAGTATCAGATCTTTTATTGTTATTTTGTTTTTAATACTGGAAAATCTAAAATGATTGTTGATAAAGTAGCTTGCATTGATGGACACATGTCTTTTTCTCCCTCAAAATCTGTCTCGGAATAGGCAAATGTGCACTGACCAACAATCCGTGTTTACTGGAATTTGTTCCAATATGCATATTTATTGTTATTGCATATTTATTTTGTTTCACATATCCCACATCTAAATAATCATTGAATTTGGTTCAATATGCAGAAATTTGTGTAAATGAGCCTAGATTCAAGATAAGAAAAATTTCTCTGAACAATTCAAGTAACTTTCCAAAAATCAAAGGAACTTGCTAGAATACCTATGATTCAGGCTATGAACCTGAGACATCCCAATTGCCATAGAGATATCTGCATCCTATCTATGGCTCTTCAATCTTCTTTCTTATGAAGGCATTTTCTGTTCTTACAATCCTTTGACTAGGAACACAATTTAAAATATTTCACTATCGGTATAGCCCTGGCACTAATTACTTAAAACAGGTGCTGGCCATAGCGAAGGAGAAGATCTGTATATAAGCTTTCTAGAACATTTTACCTACTACCTGGTCAATATTTGTTAGGTCAACCAGCTTTACATGCCCCTGAGATTCAAAGAAGGGAGATGGAGAGGATAGTTAGCCATATTGAGTCAAGAATATATGGCTGAATATCAGCACTGCATCTCTCTCTGCTTTGACTTTCAGTGAATATGAGTTTTGTAGATAAGATGATATGAAATTAGGTCTTGGGGTATAACCTACTTGTGTAGTTTCTTATGAAAGTGGGATTTGAGAATCTGGATCTTTGAAATTGTTACACTGAAGTCTACCAAATTTTTTTCTTGGCATGTCCACCAGTAAGTTCCCTTGTTTTCTCATATTATATTTTCTCACTTACGAAATAATGGGCTTGGTCTAGACTAGGGAATCCCAAACTGTCTATGAAATAGGAATTCCCAGGAAGTTTTGAATATTATTCACGGCAGGGTTACATTCCACACATACTCAGTAAGACTCTCCACATATTTTTTTGGGGGAATCTGTATTTTAACAAATTCCCAGGTGATTCTTCTGTAGCTAGTCCAACCTTAGTTTGAAAACCCCTGTAAAAAATAAATGATTCATAAAGTTTCATTTGTATCAGAAGGTCCCAGACAATATTTAGAGAAAATGTTGGCAAATTATATTTATGTTCCCTTAAAGCCTATTCTGATTCCTTGAGGAGGCCCTATTAAGATTCTGCTATTTTCACCTCTCCCAAGACCTGTTGTATATCAGTCCTGAACATCCCTAGGATAGTGACATCTGCCCATCACTGTCTTCCTGAAGGCCTCCTTCACCTCCTTGTTCCTCAGGCAGTAGATGGCTGGGTTGAAGAATGGTACAATGATAGTGTAGAGCACAGAGATAATCTTGTTGTGGTTGAAGGTGTACATGGCCCGGGGCCGTGCATAGGTGAAGAGAGTGGAGGAGTAGTAGATAACAACCACTGCCAGATGAGCGGCACAAGTGGAAAAGGCTTTGTGGCGTCCCCTGGACGTAGGGATCCTCAGGATGGCTGCAATGATGGCAGTGTATGATGAAACCACAGCCAATAGAGGGAGTAGAATCATCACCAGGGCCAGAAGGAAGTCTACTAGCTCTGCTTGCTCCTTGTCAGAGCAGGTGAGGTTGAGTAGTGGGGAAATATCACAGAAAAAGTGGTTGATAATGTTGGGTCCACAGTAGGACAATTGGGAAATAAAAAGAAGCTTCATCATGGAGCTGAAGAAGCCACTGCCCCAAGAGGCAGCAGCAAGGCGAGTGGCCAGACTGGAAGGCATGAGACTAGGGTAAAGGAGGGGTCCACAGATGGCCAGGTAGCGATCATAGGCCATAACTGCCAACAGCACACATTCAGTACAGGCTAAGGCAATAAAGAAGTACAGTTGGGTCATGCAACCTACGTAGGAGACTCTACCATCCTGGGTAAGAAAGGCTGCCAAGAGCCGAGGAATGGTGACATTGATGTACCATAGCTCCAGGAAAGAGAGATGGCCAAGGAAAAAGTACATGGGACGATGAAGGCTTGGAGCAAGCCATATTGTGAAGACAATAAGTGCATTCTCCAACAATGTCAGAAGGTAAATTGCAAAAAAAAGGACAAAGAGGAGCAGCTGGAGGGGAGGCGTGGTAGGGAAACCCACCAAGACAAACTCCTCGACATGGCCTCCACTCAAATTTCTCATGGCTCTCTGTCCACTTGAGTGCCTAAAATAAATCACAGGAAGAACAAGAGGTTTGAAAGATAGCTGCAACAAACCACCAACATACTCTCACAGGTTATAACCACTGAAGAGCTTAGTGGCATATTAATTATTATAACATTTTTCCTCTTCACTTTGCTGTTTTTTCTCTCACCTTATAGGAAAAGTTAACAGACCTGAGTACTCAATTACCTAGCAATCTTAACTACAGTGGGTATTTGATAAATACTTTCTGAGTGATTTCAGAACTGCTTGGCATTTTGATTCTTGTTTTCTTGTCCAGGACATGCTCTTCCTTTACATCCCTTAGAAACAACAATAAACTCCTAAGCCCACAGCACCTTTACTCAGTATCTGTTGAATGAGGGAATAAAAGAAAGTGTGACAGCAAGCTAGAGCCTACAAGCTTATTTCTCAAGGGAAATTGTACTAAGGGGAAGTAATAACTCAAGGAGATTGCTTGAACTATAATGCAAGGCAACACGGCAGTATGAAGATTGCTCTGAAAAATATTCATTTCCAAATAGAGAGACAATTCAATACAAAGGAGATAATGAAGTTCTGCTCCAGAGAATAGTTATTTTTCCGTTCACTTTACATATATTTTTGAATACATTTGTAGTGCTAGAATTAGGCAGTCTTATTTCCAGGAGGTATAACAGATTAAAAAATTGAACTTCTGAAAGTTGTACATGTCTTAATTCCTGGAATCTATAAATGTTACATCATACGGCAAATATTTTGCAAATGTGATTAAATTAAGGACTTTGAGATGGAGGGCTTATCCTGGATTTTCTAGGTGGGCCTTAAATACAATGAAAAAGGTCTTTACAAGACAGAGATAGAGTGAAATTTGAAACGGACACACAGAGGAGAAGGCAATGTAAAGATGAAGCAGAGACAGATTTAAGGATGCTGGCCTTGGAGACTGCAATGATTTGGCCACAAGATCTTTATCTTGAATGAATGCCCACAGCCATCAGAAGCTAAAAGAGGCAAGAAGAATTTCTCAAGAGCCTCCAGAGGGAGTGCGGCTCTGCCTGTGCCTTGAATTGAGCCAAGTGATACTGATTTTGGATTTCTGGCCTCCAGAACTGTGAGAAAATAACTCTCTGTTGTTAAAACCCACCATATTTGTGGCAGTTTGTTACAGTAGCCATGGGAAACTGATGCAACTGGTGAGGCAGGAAAATGAAAGAGGAAGTCATTTTCTCAACCATTCTTCTATGCTTTTCCAGTCTTCTTTTAACATTGTCAGTGACCTGACGTCTCCAGGGAGACCCTGGTAAAATTACAAGTCTGACTTGAGATTGGGTGACATGTCATTAAGCATTTTTACTTTTGGTGTGATATAAGTACCTGTCTTTAAACATTATTTTCCTCTAAGAAACTTAAAAAATGATATACTAATTTGCATAGTTTTAACTTGACATCAAATTTTTTATTTTTATTTTTATTTTTAAAGGATGAGTCCTTGCTGTGTTCTTCAGGCTGGACTCAAACTCCTGGGCTCAAGGAATCCTTTCACTTCAGCCTCCTGTGTAGCTAGGACTACAGGCACAACATCTACTTTTTATCAGACATTTATGTGGCCACAGGGAGTCTAATTTTTTACTGCATTATGAGAATTGAACTTTTAAATGAAACTATTAGATTACTTCTTTATGTATTCAATGAAATCTAATGAAATCTAAATATCAGTGCTATGGTAATGATATCCACTGATACTTGTTTAAACAAGTACACAAATGAGCGTATCTTTTTAAAACTGGAAATTTTAAATCATTTATTTCACCAAAGTCACAATTCATGGTATTGTAATATATTTATAATTGCAAGTCTTTTATTGATTTCTCTGTATCATCTACCTACATGTTTATTGTTTCCTGTACTTTTAAGACTATGAGTGCTTTATAAAAGATTTTCTCTAGCTGTTATATAATTAGCATACATTTACCTAAAGCAATATAAATATAAATATATAAAACATCTAAAAATACATTGGACAAAAATTTTTAAATTTACTGGAAAACTATCTCATAATAATGTATATTATGCTTTTGTCCAATGTTTGCGTGTATTGTAAGACTTATTACCACAATGAGAAACATTTTAGCATCGATTCTATTCTGAATTTTCATTTTGGAGGTGTAAACACTAAGCAAACTAGTTCACATATAAGTGATATTGATGTACCATAGCTCCATGAATGAAAGTTAGTTTTGTTATAGAAATAACACTAGATTATTTAAACTTTTTATTAGTTGTGTGCCAGAAAATATTCAGTAACATATCATCAAAATTATTTTCATTCATCTATTAGCTGACAACTTGATTAGCTTCTATTTCAATTGCATTGAAAGAAATAGATTGCAAACCACTGACCTGCAAAAGGATTTGATACCCAGTTATTAGCCATTTACTTTCTCAACACTGACATTGGCAATGGCATTAACTTACACTCTTGGACACTTCCATATGGCAAGATTTTGCTATGCTTTTCCTTGTTAAAAAAAAATTAAAGAGAAGTGGGAAAGGAAAGGACACTTTCTCTAGCAGATCAATTTTAAGAGCTCTTAGAGGAGTTGAAGATGAGAGAATCAGTCCTTTGGAACTATTCTTGCCTGGACATTGGAAGATTTTTATTTTTATTTTTATACCCTCAAGTGTCCAAAAAGTCCAGTTTGGAAACAGTGACTTTAATGCATCAGATACTTTTCGGAGTGAGAGTTTAAAGAGAAGGTATGAGTGGTAAGGTTAGGGACAGGGTAGGAAGGAAGCCCAACATGCCTCAGGAGTAGGTAATAACAGAGGATGGGAAAAACTTGAAAATGATGGCTGGAAATTCTCAAGAGACAAGGTAAGGGAATTGAGATGCTAAGGCAGACTGAACAATGACAGAACATCTGAAAGGGGACTTGTCCTTACCCCTCTATTATCAGTGTAACAGAGCAGTAGCAAATCATAGTAGGCACTCAATAAATATTAGTGGAATGAGTTTCAGTCTTGATTTGTTTAGTCTTGAATTTACATCATTCAGATTGATATTATACTTTGAAAATATAGGTAATTGAACTAAAGGAAAACTAGGGTTCTTTTCCAGTTATTGCACTGCATAAAATTGGTGAAATTCCAACCTACCAGGGTCAGTCCTGAGGGATGTGGGAAAGTTGTTGGAAAACGGAGTGAAGGGTGGGAAGCAGCAAAAGAAACCACCATCAGCGTCAACAGGCAACCTACAGAATGGGAGAAAATTTTTGCAATCCACTCATCTGACAAAGGGCTAATATCCAGAATCTGCAAATAACTCAAACAAATTTACAAGAAAAAAACAAACAACCCCATCAAAAAGTGGGCGAAGGATATGAAGAGACACTTCTCAAAAGAAGACATTTATGCAGCCAAAAGACACATGAGAAAATGCTCACCATCACTGGCCATCAGAGAAATGCAAATCAAAACCACAATGAGATACCATCTCACACCAGTTAGAATGGCCATCATTAAAAAGTCAGGAAACAACAGGTGCTGGAGAGGATGTGGAGAAATAGGAACACTTTTACACTGTTGGTGGGACTGTAAACTAGTTCAACCATTGTGGAAGACAGTGTGGTGATTCCTCAGGGATCTAGAACCAGAAATACCATTTGACCCAGCCATCCCATTACTGGGTATATACCCAAAGGACTATAAATCATGCTGCTATAAAGACACATGCACACGTGTGTTTATTGCGGCACTATTCACAATAGCAAAGACTTGGAACCAACCCAAATGTCCAACAATGATAGACTGGATTAAGAAAATGTGGCACATATACACCATGGAATACTATGCAGCCATAAAAAATGATGAGTTCATGTCCTTTGTAGGGACATGGATGAAATTGGAAATCATCATTCTCAGTAAACTATCGCAAGAACAAAAAACCAAACACCGCATATTCTCACTCATAGGTGGGAATTGAACAATGAGAACACATGGACACAGGAAGGGGAACATCACACTCTGGGGACTGTTGTGGGTTGGGGGAGGGGGGAGGGATAGCATTGGGAGATACACCTAATGCTAGATGACGAGTTAGTGGGTGCAGCGCACCAGCATGGCACATGTATACATATGTAACTAACCTGCACAATGTGCACATGTACCCTAAAACTTAAAGTATAATAATAAATAAATAAATAAATAAATAAAACTAAAACCACACACACACAAAAAAGAAATTTACTGACTGTTCACAAGTTTGTTGGAAGCCAATCCTGCTCTGTAGCCTACAGTGACTTAGATTGTCTGCTGATTCAAAGACAAGACTGCAAGTTGGTCCCCTTGTGCCCAGAGGTGCCTATACCCCTCCCTCCTGCCCACCCCTCAGTCATATTATGACATCACCTTCACGAGTTTCAAGCTCAGTTGCTGAAAACTGAACCCTTTTTGCTATTTAACCTGGCCTGCTACTGCAGAGAAATTTCTTCTCCAACCAAGGCAACTTCAGCCCCTATTGTCCACCAGAAATTGTCTGTTCTTTTATTCTTTTCCTGCTCCCAGTCTGCCCTCCCTGTTTGAAGAGGCCCTCCTCGATAGACTACTTCTGAATCATAGTACTCAGATCCCCTCTGTAGCTCTGAGTATATCACGGCACTGTGCCCACTGAACTCTTCTTGTATTTGTTCTTTCTTTTTGTTTCTTACTTGCTTTAACTTCTAGGTGTGTCTTCTCCATCATCAGTCTGGGAGCCCTTCCTCCTCTATTAGTGCTACAAAATTTTTATATCAAGGGAGGATTCTACCATTAGCCTGCAATGTTAGCAGTCACACAGTGATGATCTCTTTAAACATACCCTTCTCATTTGGCAACTTAGATTCCAAGTAATAATTAATGGGGAACACCTTGAAGAATTCTCCTGTTGTATTTTCCCTCAGAACCAAGAACAGCTCTTTATGGGTTGGTCTTCTCAGGACTAGATGATATTGATGCTATTGTACAATTTATCTTTTATTTGCCTTTGAATGCTCCCCTTCAACATTACCCTCCCCTTTACTCCTGTTTTCCATTCCTCTCATTTATTCCTCCAGTCACAGCAGAGTTCTTCAAGACACCACTCTGTTATTTTACCTCTGGTCTTTTGCACATGAATAAACATAATAAACAACAAAGCCTCTGTGAGGACTTTGTCCAAAAAGTCCTTCACACTCACAGCTGCTATTATGACCATGACTCTATTAATAGATCTATGGGGTAGCTATGTACCTTCCTGGATTTGTCCTCCTTGGTAGCAGAGATCTCACTCATTGCTCTATTCTAGTGAAGTTCATTGCTTTGGCCATAATACATAACCAACGTATATTTATCAAATTAGTTAAGAAATAAATAAGGTAATACTTTAAGAACTTGGAAATTTAAGAGGTAGAATGTCATTTCAGGGGTGGAATGTCGAACCTGTTTTATTATTTGTGAAATAGTTCTGCTGCCACTGCTGGTAATATTTGTCATTCCTACTTCACTAGATTATATCACATTAACAGAGACGATTACCTGAGAATTATTTGCCCATAATATGAAACAACTTATTATTGTAAAGCACATTGGTGATACCATAGCTCTGTGGGCCTGAAACCATGTAGATATCACTTGGATCTTCCAAATTAGCTATTCACACCAGCACATTTGCCTGGATTCCTGTTTAACCTCTACCTTTTAGGTGTTACATAAGTGAAGGTTAGTAGTAGATTGCCTGGTGTTCAGTGGTGCTCTATGGGAAGCAACACAAGCCTTCATCTGGAGACACATTGGGCAGAGCCCTGTGCATAGGTATATCCCACTCCCAGAGAAAACTACCTGTTTTGTTTTTCTTTGTTTCCCTTGAATTCCTCATTTATCATCACAAATTGAAGAATCTTAATGCACCTACCAAAAAACTGGTGAATTAACAACTGAAGACTGTCTGAGATTATTATAATTACTGTCTTCGTCTCTATCTATAAGGCATATGAAGAAGATATAATAATAATTCATTACTCTGTGCAGGGTAGTGAGTATTTTTCATATGCTAACTTAATTCTCACAACAGCCCAGTGAGTTTAAGCACCATTATTTCTATTTGTAAATGACACAGAAAGATGAGTGATTTTTTTCCTCAAGATCATACATCTAGAAAATTGCAGAAGTGGAATAAACTTTGATAATCTCGCTATGCAGGTATGGTGGGAAATTTAACCTCTATCCTGTACATCTTCCATGGAAATAAGTAAATGTCCATGGTTATAGCCAAGTGGACTCATTTACATAACAATAAAGGGTTTTTGTTTGTTTGTCTTCTCTGTGTATGGCAGTCAAATTCATTCAATAGTTTTTGTTTTTTTTTAAATCTCATTCGAATTCGTAGATATAGACTTAATATGATAGGTATTTCTTTGGGTCTTGCCTTAGGGCAAGGGAAGTGCTACAGCCTAAACACACAAAGATTGGCTTCTGCCTCTCTTATCATGGCTTTCTGCTTTCTGGGTTCCCCTTTCCCACACATATTTTCCTGCCCTGACCAATGCCTTCACAAATCTCTAACATTTTACCTCATTGCCACTTAAAAAAAATCCCTCACCCTTGTGAACATTTCAGATGCATTTCTCAGGTGCTATCTCTAGAATCATAAACACATGAACAAAAGATTAAAATGACAGGGTACTCACTCTGAGATGTTCGAATGATTAAGCTTTTTCAAATTTTAAGCACATTTTATATCTCAAGAAATTCAAGCAATTTTCAGGATTATACGGAATTGAAAATCATAGGGAATGGATGAAGGATTTGAGGGTGTCTAACCTGAATAAGAACAAAATTTGTCACAGAAGTTCACCTACTTCTTTGCTTGCCTGTCTTCCACATTCACACATATACCCTGCCTTTTGATATTTGTCAATAGGCTGATTAACTTTTGCCTCTGGGCAGGTATGGTTTGCCCTAGAAACTCTTCAATAAAGTTGATACTTCATGCTGGTCTCTAAGTTGTTTGTGGCACGGTAGGGCTGAGGTTTTGCAGATGGGGCCCTGAAGCAAACAGAGGCAGCAGTAGCAAGCCCTTATTACATTTCCCTTATTATATTCTCATCAGGGACATAGCCCTTAGTATGCATTGTCATGGTGACCTACCTCTCCCCAAGAAGACTGTGTCCAAGTCGCCTCAGGGACCCTTTGTTCTAGGGCATAGGTGATACAATGAAAAAGCATTGTCCAGAGGGACACGGGTGTGCACTGAAGTGGAGTAACGTCCTCGGGTTCATTGCCTGAGTGTCATCCATGTAGTGCTTCCACAAACCCTATTTTCAGAAGTGCCTAAGAGGCGCCTAGATATAATGATAATTCAAAACTAAAATTCTGTTGAGGAAATAACACAATAAAGTAAGAGTTATGGACAAGTTAATTCTGATAGCTTATTTAGACTGTTACATTTTTTGAGAAGATGTTTATTTGTTAAACTCTGTTCACCGTTGCCTCTTATTACTTGTTTGTGCTTATGTATGAGGGAGAAATGCTTTATCTCTCTTCCATAAGTCTACAAGCTCCGTGAGGAAAGCCTGTTTGCTGCTTGCCCTTCTTTACAACCCTTTGTAAATAAAACTTGGTGCACGGGGAAGATCTCAGGATAATTGGTGGGAAGATGTGTAGAGGAGTGCTTGTGAATTCCTGAGTCCTGCCTCAGATCTGAGTCTGTTTCTGAAAATAATGGGGTTTTCTTTCTCTTACCACTCTGGTTTTCCTGACTGTCATTCATACCCAGGTTACTTCTTTGCTTCTTGTTCTTCTGAACTGTAGCAAATGGAGTAGGGTTCCTCGTGGGGTATGTGCTAAGCAGCCTGTCACCGAAAGTGTTCAAGCAGAGCCCAGACGACCTGTTTAGGATGCAATATTGGAGAGGAAGTGCCTCCAGTAAAAATGATGGCTCTCTTCTCTTGGCAATAATGACAATTTGTTGTTACTGCAGAACAATAGAGTTGTAAGTAAATACTTTGCAAAAGATTAAATGATGCTATAAGGAGTTGGAGAAATGCAGTTATTGCAGAGATTTTAGCTCAAATGGTAAGGAGATGGTGACTTTCAGAAAACACAGAAGGCAGAACAACATGAGAAAGCCAGGGATGAGTTCAGTCTTGACATATTAAGCTCAAGGGAAAGGCAGGTATATGCAGCAATAAATCAGAAATATTGGCTTGGATCTTAAGTCTGTCTTCAGTTTATAAACTTGGGAGTCAGCATTAATAAATATGTAAAATCACACTTGATAAATGTAACCAGAGGAACAGAGTTGAGAACAAAAAGAAAGAGAAAGATGGAAAGGAAATGCTTGAGAAATGCAGACCAAAGAAGGAAAAAGACCAAAAATTGTCCAAGAAAGGAATTGTAAGAGTACAGTGTTTTCTGGAAGTTAAGGGGCTAGACAATTTCAGGAAGGTGAGGGTGGTGATAAAACAAGAAAAAAGTATTAAAATAAAAAAGAGGAAGCTGTTTTTACACTTTTTCCTATTGGTGCAAAAAATACACAATTGCCATTTACTGAACAATCACTGTATACTGGACATTTTGCTAAAAACTTTATACATATTTTATTTAATTATCTTAGCAATACAATGTAGCTATAATCCAAACTGCCAAGTTTAGAATGGTACAAAAATACAACTGCTTAAATAAGATAGAATTTATTTCTCTTTCATATAGCCCTACAGTGATGAGTGGTCCATAATTGGCATGGCCTGTGGAGCAGCTTGATTTCACAAGATTGTAAAAAGCACAGGCAGATGGTTGGTCCTCCCAGACTCAATAGAAGGCTTCTATTGGAAGTCCAAGGCACTGTTCTGTTTTTCCCTGTCCTCACCATCAGGAAAGCAGAAAGAGAGAAACTGATCTTCAGAGAGAGAGATACAGAAGTTTCACCCATCATTTCCACTTATATCTCATTGATTAAAAACTTGGTCACTTAATAGTCAAACCCGGCCACAAAGAAAGCTAATAAATGTAGTAACTAACTGGCCATCTGTGTACTCAGCTAAAATTCCAGAGAGTTCTATTACTGAGCTTGTAGTGAGAATATATATTATCACTGGCAGTTTCAGATACAAGAAATTATGATCCTGTTAAAGAGGTAAAAATGATGCTTAAAAAAAGTAAGTGATTATCATAGAATCACACACTTAGTATATGGCAAAGACAGAAATTAAACTCAAATCATATTGATTCTGAGTTTATTTTTAGATGACTGTGGATTCATATGCAATTATCAGAAATAATACAGAAAGATCTCACGTATCCTTTACCCAATTATCCTCAAGAGTAATATCTTACAAAACTATACTATGCTGTGACAGCTAGGATGTTGACATTGTTACAGTGAAGGTACAGAACATGTCAATCACCACATGATTCCATTCTGTTGCTCTTTTATAGGCACATTAACTTTTCTCTCACTCACATTCTTAACCGTTAGCAGCTTGGCAACCACTAATCTACTTTCAATTTTAATAATTGCTTCATTTGAAGGATGCTATACACACACACACACACACACACATATCTCTGTGTATATATATATATGACAGAATCACAAACCTAGTAAGTGACAGAGACAGAAATTAAACTGAAATGTAAATATTTATATATTTATAAATATAGTATGTGTTTATAAATATATATGTATATACATATCTGTATGGATTTATAAATATACATGTATACATTTATAAAGGTACATACGTATATTTTTTAGTGCTCTTGTGAATTCTTCTCTTCAGTGATTATACTTTCAACTCTAGAGTTTTCATTTGGTTCTTATTTATATGTGTTTATAGTATGTACCTTTAATGATATTTTTCATTTGGTATAATTGTCTAGAGATTGATTTAGATTGTGTGTTTCTATCAACAGCTTGTCCCTTTTCATTGTTGAGTAATATTTCAAGATATAGATATACTACAGTTTAAGTAGTTTCTTCTTGAAGAAAATTTTGGTGGTTTCCAGTTTGTGTGTGTGTGTGTGTGTATGTGTGTGTGATGCAGTTTCACTCTTGTTGCCCAGGCTGGTGTGCAATGGTGTGATTCTGGATCACTGCAACCTCTGCCTTCTGGGTTCAAGTGATTCTCCTGCCTCAGCCTCCTGAGTAGCTGGGATTATAGGTGTGTGCCACCATGCCTGGCTAATTTTGTATTTTTAGTAGAGACAGTGTTTCACCATGCTGGTCAGGCTGGTCTCGAACGCCAGACCTCAGGTGATCCGCCTCCCTGAGCCTCCCAAAGTGCTGGGATTACAGGCTTGAGCCACCACGTCTGGCCTCCAGTTTTTGATTATTTTAAATGAAGACAATTTTAAAATCCCTGAGATTGAATTCTTAGTTGACAAGTTTTGTTTTGTTTTTTGAACACTGAGTATGTTATCCCACTTTTTAGTCTTCATTGTTTCTGCTAAAAAGCCATCTGTTAAATTTATTGGGGCTGACTAGTAAATAATCAGCCATTTTTCATTTGATGCTTTCAAAATTTGCTCATTGTCTTTGACTTTCAGCATTTTTACTATGATGTGTCTTTTTGTGTACCTCTTTGCATTTATCCTATGTGAAATTTGTTGAGCTTCCTAGATGTGTAGCTTTATGTTTTTCAATAAATTTGGAAAGTATTCTGCCATTATTTCCTCAAATATTTTTTTCTTCTCCTTTCTCTTTGCTCTTTCTTCCTGGTACTCTCATTACACCAGTTTTGGTGTGTTTAATTGCACCCCAGACTTCTCTAAGGCTCTATTTTTTTCATGTTTTTTTTTTCTCGTTCTCCTTTGAGCTGCATAATCTTTATCACTCTAACTTCAAGTTCATTATTTTCTTTTCCTGTTAGTTCTAATTTATTGTTGAGTGCTCTTGTAAACTTTTCTCTTCAGTGGTTATACTTTCAATTCCACAGTTTTAATTTGTTTTTCATTTATAATTTCTATCTCTCTGTTGGTATTCTGTATTTGATATGATATTGTCATATATCTTCCTTTACTTCTTTAATCATGATTTTCTTTACATCTTTAAATATATTTACAATGGTTACTTTGAAGTCCATCTTTTAGATACGGCATCTAGTCACACTCTCACCAGCAGTTTTTGTTGTCTGATTTTCTTTTTTTTTCATATGGGTAACATTTTTCTCTTTCTTTGCATAGTTTATATTGGAAACTGGAATTTTGCATAATATATTGTAGAAACTCTGGTTACTGGTCTTTCTCCCTTCTCTCCCCACTAGGTCTTTTTTTCATTATTTGCTCGTTTACTTGTTCAGTTGCTGGCTGGATTATTTTTGTAAAGTCTATCCTCCCCTATACTTCTGCTGTGTTAAGTCTTTGATGTTGCTTTTCAGAGGATACACATATGCCTAGTCACCTTGGGGTGACAATAATTTTGGCAGAGCTTATGTTGTCCCTTTTCCTGACTACATCCAGCTTTTAATCTAATAATTACCTGCTGATTGCTCCATTGTTTCCAAAATGCCCTAGAACATAAGTTTCTCTACTGAGTAATGCAATAAAATTCAGACTTCTTTGAAGGAATGATTACTGAGGTCAGTGTTTGCAATTTGTTATTACCCAAAGAGGGTTCCTCCTGGCTCTTTCTTTTTCCTGTTTAGAGGATGTATTAAATGATATTCAGGTGGAACAGTCTATTCTGAGGATGTTGGCCAACAATATAGGTAAATTCTATAGTGATCTTATGTGGGTACTGTATCTCCTGAGTGCTCCCATAAATCTGTATAAACCTTAACTCATATTGCATCATAATTTCTTAGCCTCCCCACTAGCAGAATGTAAGTTTTTTGAGAGAAAAAAATATATCTTGTATGTTCTTGTTTTCCTCATGGTTAGTGTAGCGTCTTGAACAGAATGAGTTATTCATATATATGGAAGAGACAAATGGACATTTTTTTCACAAAAAGCAATCTACATGTAGATGCAGAACAGAAGTAATTTATCTCCTATTTTGATTCTTCATTAATGTCTTACTATATTGCTTATTGACAGGAGAGAATATTTTCATTTCTTCCCATTAAATAAATTTCTTGGGTATAAAAATTTAGAAAACCCTAATGAGAAATTGGGTCAGAGACAAAGTCTTGAATTATAATAATATCTTAGATTATAGAAGAAAGACATGATATAAAAAGGAGAAAAAGAGTTTCACATGTATGCTGAAGTATGTAGCTATAGTTTATTCATTTTTATTACTTCATGCTGATACATACATGAATATGGCATAATTTTTCTATCTATTCTGTAGTATATTAGCTGAGTAATTTTTGGCTCTTGCCATTTTGCAAATATTGTGTCTAAGGACATCTATGTATGTCTTATGACACACACGTGCAGACTAGTCTTTAGGGCATACACATAGGAGTAGAAAAGTTTAACCACAGGGTATGAGAATCTCCAAAATAAATTTATAATACTAGACTGTTTTCTAAAATGACTGAACAAGTATACACTCTTATTAAGAGCACTGAAGGCCAGGTGTGGTGGCTCACGCCTGTAATCCCAGCACTTTGGGAGGCCGAGGTGGGTGGATCACCTGAGGTCAGGAGTTCGAGACCAGCCTGGCCAACATGGTGAAACCCTGTCTCTACTAAAAATACAAAAATAAGCCAGGCGTGGTGGCAGGTGCCTGTAATCCCAGTTACTTGGGAGGCTGAGGCAGGAGAATCGCTTGAACCTGGGAGGTGGAGGTTGCAGTGAGCCGAGATCGCACCATTGCACTCCAGCCTGGGTGACAGAGCAAGACTCAACTCACAAAAAAAAAAAAAAAAAGGAGCACTGAAGAGTTCTTGTTGCTTCATGTTTCTTTTTTGACACTCGTTAATCTAGCCTTTTAATTTTAGCCATTCAAGTGAGTATGTGGTAGTACCTCACTGGGGTTTTAATGTTCATTTTCATGCTTACTAATGAGACCAAGCACCTTTTAAGGTATTTATTGAACATTTGGATATTCTCTTTTATAAAGGATCTATTTGCATCTCTTAGAAATTTTTCTATTGTCTTTTAATTTATTTTTTGAGAATTTTATTTCTTTTAGAAATTATTTATACAGCCATATACCACACAATAATGTTTTGGTCAATGACAGACCACAAAGACAATGATGGTTTCACAAGAGTATAAAACGGTATTTCTACTGTACCTTTTCTATGCTTAGATATGTTTAGATACATAAACACTACTGTGTTAGGACTGCCTACAGTATTCAGTACAGTAACATAATGTACACATTTGTAGCCTAGGAACATTAGGCTATATCATACAGTCTATGTGCATTGTAGGTTTTTGTAAGTACATTCTGTGATGTTTACACATTGACAAAATCACAAAGTGACACATTTCTCAGAATACATCCTTATTGTTAAGTGACGCATGACTGCATATACCAAATGAGGGCCTTTGCCAGTTACATGTTAGAGACTTTTTTATCTTTCTGTGCATTGCTTTGTTTAATCCTTACATTAGAAAATAAAATGTAAGCACAGAAAATTATTTAAACAAATACATAGCTTAGTGAATCTTTCACGGGCAAAAGCCTTTGCAGTTACTACCTAGACCAAGGAAAAGAACTTTGCCCATCAGGAGTTTTTCATGTGCCCCTCATCCTGCCCACTCACAGACCCTCCTTCTAAAAGTAATTATGATCCTAAATTTCATACTTATCAGTCTCTGAAATTTCTTTATAGCTATATGATTTGGCTTTCTTTTCCACTCTCTCAATAGCGTCTTTTTGATGAATAAAATGTCTCAATTTTGATTTAATCAGCCTTTTTCATTTTAGTTAAAAATTTTACATACAGTTTAAACAGTCTTTTCTATCTCAAGTTGGTGAAGATATCTTCTTCATTACCTTTTAAAGTTTTATTGCTTCACTTTTCAAATTTAGTTTTCGATTTCCAGAAATTGATTTTTTTTTTCAGATTTTGTTTTTCTCATATGGATATGCTATTTTCCTAGCACCAGTTATATTGAAAGTCTATCATTTTCTCACTGTACTGAAATGCTTTACTTGTCATAAAGCAAGTGCCCATATGGGTATGAGTCTTTGGGTATTTTCAGCTTCCATTTACTCACTTATTTCTGGCAACTAGCAATCCCCGCCACAGTCACTATATCAGGCACAAGCAGGCTAATTGGTCCAAATTTAGGTTCAGGATCTTGAGTCTAGACTTGACGTAACATCCTCTGCATCCATAATAAGGGAGTAAATAGTATTTATTTTTGAGACTTTTAGCTTCCCTAGATTGAATAACCAATTGTCGGGAGTGGAACCAAAGCAAAAGAAAATGCTTGCCACTAAGGAATGGCTGCAGATTGAAGGTAGCAGAGATTTTTGTCTGCACCTGTATCATGAAAATAATCCCAAAGAAAGAGTGTCATGGTCAGGGGTAAACTTAATCAGTTAATGTGCATAATAAATTTATCCACTATTTCATTTATTTCATAACATTCCCATAAGTAACAGAACTCAAAATTACATCAATACTCTTACATCTCTTATCAGAAATGATTTGTCTCATGGGAGGTGCATTTCAGTGCTTCATAACATTTGCCTAAAAAAAATCCTTAACTTTTACGTCTATTATTATTATTATTATTATTATTATTATTATTATTATTATTTGAGATGGAGTTTTGCTCTTGTCACCTGGGCTGGAGTGCAATGGCATGGTCTCTGCTCACTCTGCCTCCTGGGTTCAAGCTATTCTCCTGCCTCAGCCTCCCGAGTAGCTGGGATTACAGGCACCCACCACCATGCCCAGCTAATTTTTGTATTTTTAGTAGAGATGGGGTTTTACCATGTTGGCCAGGCCGGTCTCAAACCCCTGGCCTCAAGTGATCTGCCCACCTCGGCCTCCCAAAGTGCTGGGATTACAAGCCTGAGCCATGGTTGACATCTTTAGATATTTAAAACATCACTCAGTGCAGTGGATTTATATGCTGTTTTTTCCTTCCACACTTTTTACTCAATTCATGAATACTGCAGGACACCCGGAAGTTGATTATCAGAATCTTTTATCTGCAGGGACATTCTTCTTCTGATACTGGATAGTAGAAGGGTTGGACAGCTTCTCTAACAAGCTAAGTAGATGCCTGTGGCTACTTAGTTCCCAGTCTGTGTCACTTGCTTCTTACATCCCAACCTCTGGAACAAGGCAAATGGTACAAGTTTCTCCAGGGGTCACAGGATAAATGCCCCTATTGAATTCTGGGGACATTGAGCCCTTCTTCAAACAAGCAGCAACAACCCAAGATTATTTTTTCAAGGCAACTGTGTTTCCCATCATTCTTCTAAAAGCATTTTTCATGTCCTTATTCCTCAGGCTGAATATGATGGGGCTGAGGAAGGGGGTAATGACAGTATAAGGGACTGCTATGAGTGTGTCATCTCCTGAGGCTTCTGGCTTCAAATAAACAATAGATGCAAAACCAAAGTGGATTATAACCACGGTGAGGTGGGAGGCACAGGTGGTGAAGGCCTTCTGCTTGCCCTCAGCTGAAGGGATCCTGAGGACAGTAGAAATAATGAAGACATCAGTCAGGATGATGAGCAGAAGGGTACCCAGCAAACCAGACACTGAGATCAGTGTTATAATGAATTCTGTGTGGTTACTGTCTATACAAGACAGCCTAATAACTGCCAGCATATGGCAGAAGAAGTGTTTGACAAGGTTGGGTCTGCAGAAAGAGTCCCTGAATATCAGTGCAGTCTCTGTAAGAGAGATAAAGAAGCCTGCAGTGCAAGCAGAGGCCACAAGTTGTCCACATACAATGTTGGTCATAAGCAGTGGATATCTTAGAGGGTTACAGATGGCCAGGAAGCGGTCATATCCCATCAAAGTGAGAATGATACAGTTTGTGCCACCAAGTCCCAAGAAGAAGCACATCTGTAAGCTACAACCTGTGACTGAAATGCTTCTGTCCTTGGCCAGTAGATCTTCCAGCATCTTGGGGACGATGGTCAGCGTATAGCAGGTCTCAGAGAAGGAGAGTGCACTAAGGAAGAGATACATAGGGGTGTGGAGGGACCTGTCCACCCAAGTTAGACCCATGATGATCAGATTACCTGCAAGGGTGAGAAGGTAGAGACAAAAGAAGACCACAAAAAGAAATGTCTGTACATGTGGGTACACAGAAAAGCCAACAAGAATGAATTCCTTCAGGATTGTCTGGTTGATCTTCATCGTTTGAATGTCTGAAATTTGAAAGAAACAACAATAAACATTCAACACCATTATCTTTTGATACCATCAAAGGAAAATTGTGATGACTAAGATAAATCATCAGAATTACAATTACCAACTGCTTTTTCTTGTAGTTTAGCAAAACTATGTATATGTAGGTAATGTGTTTTTCTCATTTTTCATCCATTCATTTTTTCCTTTATTCAGCAGCTAATTAGTGATGACTTAGTATATGACATCACTATGTATATGACAAGAAGGCTTGCTCTGGCCTATTTTTAAAAGGATTTTATGAGCATGTGGTATAATATGGGAGGAAACACTCCAGTTGATGCTCAGATAAAGGAGGTTCAGATGCATTAGGTGAGCTTTATTTGGATGAGCTTCTGAACACAGAGAAAACTTTTAAGTGGCTAATAGAGTCAGGGTCCAACACAGAAACTTCCACACAATGTATGGTCTATAAATATTTACTGCGTAAATATCAAGAATTGATTTCCAAGTAATTTTAGGACAAAACTTGGACAATCACTTGCAATTGTTGGAGAAGCCCAAAGTCATTAACCCTTCTTGGAGAATATATTTAGGTCCTAGAATTTTAAAAGAAAGTTAAAAAAACATGTGTCATTATTTCTGCTCTGAGAAGAGGGAAAGAAGAAAGATAGGGTAGCCTAGGACTCTTAGGATTAATAGTAATTAATTAAATCTGTGGATGGTTTTGATAAGCAGACTATACAAGCATAGTGCAGGTGGCAATTGAGATTGTGTCTATTTTGTTAATTCCCAGCTCAGCATTCAAAGAAAATAAGTGGCATTTAATAATTGTATAAATTTTTCAATAATGCTACATCTGATTTAATCTCATAGTCCTCTGATTTCTATAGCATGTTGTTAGTCCCTATATTTAACACATTGTTTCAGCCCTGTAGTATATTGAGCTACTGTTTTCCCTGCCCCATATGTCAACATATTTAATAACTAGCATTTGTGGGGTTTATATTTTTCCAAATTATTTCAAATGTTTATTGATTTTACTCTTCACAGCATAAATATAAAGTGAATGGGACGGTTGCGAAATGGGTAGGACAAGTGTGATTACTTATTTTAGAAATAAAATTATGTCTTGGAAGTGGCATATTTGTGACTAGAAGCAAAGAGATTTGACTTGAATTGTATACTCTTTTCATTTATCAATGCTTAGTGCTTCAAGAAAGAGACCATAAGTCTTATATTTTTGTATTTTTCAGAGTAATAATATGGAGCACTTTAAGAAGGTAATAATTCCTGGTGAATGTTAGATGGATGAGTTAATCATCAAAAAAGTGCTTAGTATATAAATGATTTTTGTTTTCCTTTGTTATTCAGCACTGTATAGCATTTGATTTTTGAGCATGGAGGTTAACAGACTTTCCACTCTAATTAGGTTTTGTTTAGGCTAAGATTAAGCATTCTCATGGCAGAGTCTAACTTATCACTGACAGTCAGAAGACACAGTAGAAAAAAGGTCTGAATTATAAGTGGTTCCTAAAATAATCCACAACCCTTTGGACTCTACTTTAAAGGTCCCTTTGGTTCTTTGTCTTCTTAGACCTTACAAGTTTCTTACTCTCTGACAGTCATACATGAATCACATGACTTAATCTTTTCTTATCTCCTATCAACTCTTTCTCCATTCTGTTTCCCTTTCACTTACTGTATCTACTCTTCTTAGTGAGCAGTCATTTCCCAATAAGAAGACCATTTTTCTGTTCTCTTACCTAAGGGAATATTATAGAGGACCATGTCTATTATAACCCGGGGCTTCCTCTTGAGGCCTTTTGGTGTGAGCCTCTTTAGTAACCACATTCAGTACGAGTATCTTTGGTTTCCAAATCTACTTGCAGATGATTGTTCCACTTTTCTCTATGATCAGCTTTCTGCTACATTTCAACTGTTCAGAGGCATCTTTTTCCTTCCAGAAGTATTAGGCTTCAATAGGTTCCTTCTGCTTATTCCTAAGCCACTGCAAAAAATTCCTCCTATCAGTAGAGCACTTCATACACCAATGCTCCCAAGCACTCTTGACCCTTCACAGTAACTCTGTAAGAAAGGAAATTATGTGGATTCTACAACTAAAGGATTAAATATAGCAAAGGGTAAATATGAAATAGATTAGCAAAACAATAAGTTATTTTAGTACTTGATGGCCTTGGTACAAAACCCAAGCTTTTTCTAACATACTACCAGAAAAAAAACAGTCTGATTTTACACGTGTTCTACCTCTTCCAACACAGCCCTGGGATTTGAGGCAGGGACTAGGGGGCAGCGAGGGGGTTGGAGGAGGTGCTGTTTTTAAAGTCACCATTAAATTCATAAGCTTTTTGAAAATGCAAATAATCACCAATACAAATTCCAAGATAGGTCTTTTCTTATCTAGTCCTTACTTGACTGTGTGCTAAATATTTCCTTGGTGAATCATCAGCAGTAGAGTATAAATGTCAGAATCTCCACTTCTGGTATATTCTAAATGTGTGCGTGATTTTGTATGTGTGTGTGTGTGTGTTGTGAGGATATTATGTCCCACCCTACCTCATCTATCTCTGAAGTTGTCCCTAAATCCACCTGTGTCAAATTTAATTTGGGTTATGAATCCACTGACATATATATATGTCATATATGACATATACGTGACATATATATATACACACGCACACACACTCGCACATACACACACACACTTTCCAAAGAGAAATGGTGATATGGAAAAGATATGTAATGTTATCCCAATGACCGTTTCTTTTTGTAGTGACAATTAGTTATGAGGAGAAGAGAGTAAAACCGTCTAAAATAGTTTCCTACCTTGTTTATTTTATCAGGCTCCAAAGCCAATTAATTCACTGTCACGATTATATTCTTCCAAAAGATAATCTTCACAATATTGCTGGAAGCATACTTTTTTTCACCACTCAAAAGAGACTGAGATTGATTTAATATGAAAAACACTGGTGCTAGCTTAGTGACATTGGGAAAGCTGCTGTATCTTCTAGATTTGAATTTCTCCAGATGGGAAGTAAGAAAAAAGATCCTGAGTTTATGCAAGCTTTAATATTCTATGTCTTTAGAGTTCTGTGACATGAGTTGTGAGGTTAGGCCATATGTGATGTGATCAACCCCCACAGCCCACTAAATTACAATGGTTTAGAACCTTCCTTTCTACTGATTTAGAGATATAGTTTGATTATTATGAGTGCTTGAGATTCCTGAGCTCTAGAGGTTTGGTTTTGGTTAGGAGATCCTAAGGGATTCCTCTCTCTTTCATCAGAGAAAGCAGATAACTTCCCCACCCAACTTTGTAATTTGCTCTCATTAGTTACAGTGCTTTGTGTAACATGTGACTTTTTAAACTCTTTTGGGAGTCTCTGGAGATTTTAAACTTGCAGAGTTTATATCCTGCCCATAAACAATGCTTTCTGCTACTTTATAAGTTTTGTTTTGGCAGGGAGGGTGAATAAAATTTGCAACCCTAATGCTTATTCGATTCATTCTTTCAGTGTCAAAAATGCTCACCTAGACCAGACTTTAGTCACACTCCTTTAAGCTCTCTTCTCAACTGGGCTTCAAATTATCCATCCTTGTTGAGTCTGTACCACCTAGTTGTAGCAAGAACATTGCTAAGTCAGTTTGGAGAGAATCCCTTACCCTTGATATTCAGTCACCTCAACATCTAATAAAATTCCTCATCCTCCACCATCCTCTGGGTAATATCTAATCATCCTGGCCTGTCTTCAGCAATTGTCCTGTTACATCAGTTCAGTGAGAATTCCTCCTTACTCCTGATGTGGAGTCCTATTCACTGACTCCACTACCCATCCTTTGGCTATGGATCCCCAGTTTTCCACAGTGTATTCAAAATTGAGCCCAGTATTAAATGGACGTCTGTTTTTCTCTATTGCGATAGCTCCTGAATAAAATATATTTTGCTATCTTAACTACTGCGTAGTTCTGGATTTCATTGACACCACTCACCACAAATATATTCACTATTTCCCTTTCATCACTGACTCCCTTTCTGGGTACTTAAGAAAGATCTACAGTGTGTAAAAGACTGCTCCAAGCATTGCAGGAGAACTCAGAAAAATACAAGCAATGATATCTTCTTACAAGAGGTTTATACTTCTTTGGAGGAAAGAAGGTTGTGCCCATGAAAAGTGTATTGTAGTAAGCAGCACTGTAGTAAGCTGAGAACTACAACAATGATTAGATGAGGTAAGATAAAAGCAACTGGACCAGGTTGTCAGAAAGACGTATAGAGTAGGGGTGTTAGGAAAGACTTCTAAAAATAAGCAGCAAGTCAGTGGTGTTTGCTCATGCCTGTAATCCCAGTGACTCAGGAGGCTAAGACAGGGAGGATTGCCTTAGACCAGGAGTTTGATACAAGCCTGGATAAACATAGCGAGATCCCATCTCTAAAAATAAATAAAATAATAAATAAAATAGAGTTGAAATTCCGGTTTCCGTTGTACTGTAGGTTGTACTATCTTGTAGCAGTTCAGTACAAAGATATAATTAGATGGGAAATAAGTACTTGAAAAGATACTCAGCCTTATCATTTATTAGACAATACAAATTAAAAACACAAGATGATTCTACTACATAAGTGTTCAAATACTTAAGAAAAAAAGATTGACCATACCAGTATTGGTGAGGATTTGAAAGAACTGTAACTCATACACTATTCTTAGAGATGTGTAAGTGATAAAATAGTCCGGAATTTTGAAAAATAATTTGTCAATCTCTTGAAAAGTTTAATCTATTCAGGTTCCCAGACAAGATGATGTATATTCACTATTTTTCTGTCCTTCTGTAAATACAACCAAATAACCTGGAAAGAATTCAATAAACAATCATAAAATGACTCTAAAAGGTGAAAAAGAAAGAGAAGGTGGACTGACCACATACCTCAGGACTTGAAGAACACCACAGTAAGCTCCCTAGGATTTATTTTATCTCTCATTTATTTTATGTTTCATCCCAGACTGGGATGTGGAAAGCCCTACAGCTCAAAACCTTGAACTGGCAACAGGCATAGACAAAAACAAAGAGAGGAAAGGTAAAGTCCATTGTCTTTGGTCAAAGGAAAAGAAAAAGGAAGCCCAACAGAGGCTTCATAGGGAGACTCATAACCAATGGCAATGAGAACTCTAATCTGTTCATAGCTGCAATACCAAGAAAGCTTGAATCCTAATTCAATCTCCATCTTGCACCAGCTATTTAGACCTCATCTGCTCATAGTTGCATGGCCAGCAGTGCCTAGAAGAGCAATCTATCCTCTGCCTCACACAAGCTGACAGTAGCAGGATGATCATTGCCAGAAAAACCTGGGAAGCTCAACTTGTCTCTTGGCCCAGTGTTGATAGGTGGTGAGCTCTTTGGCTCCAGAGTCTATGTCAACAAGGCCTGGGATGGTTTCCAGAACCTATACACTAAGCCTAAATATGGAGACCTTACCATAATATTAAATATGCCAAGATTCAACTGAAAATCATCCCTGATACCAAGAACCAATAAAATCTCAATTAAGCGAGAAAAGACAACCATTTGATGCCAGTACCAAGTGAACCAGATAGTAGAATTGAAAATGATTTTAAAGTAGCCTCCATAAGATGGATTCAATAAGTAATTACAAATTTCCTTGAAACATTAAAAAAATAAAAAGTATAAAAGCAATAACAAAATCGGATTACAGAAATGAAAAATATAATAAGTAATATCTCAATTTATTTCAGATCTGCTTGGGAAGTTCCCTTTATATTGGGGACTGCTAAATATTTATTTACATATGGAGATAAATACCTATCTATCATATATTATATATATGACTGTTTTAACTTAGCTCATTTAAAAAAATTTATTCAACACAATTTAAATGCAACAGTAATTTGTTGTTTTACATCTTCCATTAAAATATATCTTATTTTTCTTTTTGAACATTTCTAATACACACACACACACACGTATATATATAATGTGTATATATCTTTGGTTGACTGCCTTATACCTTTACTTACACTTTTCAACATTTACTTATAGTTTTGAACATTTCTAATACACACACACACACACACGTTATATATATGTATATATATATATGTATGTGTATACCTCTTTGGTTGACTGCCTTATACTTCTCTATAACAAAATATTCATTTGTTGATTGTAAAATAAGTTTTTATTATACATTATATAAAAGAGAAAGTGTTATTAAATGTGATAGTTAAAATTTTAAAGTACAATTATCCCTGAATAAAAACACTGCTTTAAAATTACTTCATATATCCATGACTAGCATTTATTTTTATAAAAACAAAACAGACCAGAATCAATTTCATTGCAAAATGTTTTATTTTTACAAATAGAAACACTGGAAATTCTTATTTATGGTAACATGAAGAAAGTCATTAAAGGAGCTTTAATGAATTTATTTTTTAATAGTAATGCTACTTGATTCTTTGAATTCCATCCAAGTTATATACCATTCATAGATTAATGATCTATCACATAAAGTTCAATTCAATGATTTAATTAGAGGATAATTTATCAGTTCCTTTTTCTATGTTCCCAAAATAATAAGGACTCTACTTGACCTGTACAAAAAGGTATTCACTGTTTTTCATTAACATTCAATTTTCTTTCAGTTTCTGAGTAATTCATCATAAGTTTTCCAGTTATTATCAAATGATTGTTAGGTATGATTGTTCAGCTCTTTCTTCTGAACACTTTGTTTAATGTTTTATGTCCAGAAGTTTGGGAGAAATGAAAATACTGTTGATTTCAATCACCTTGGTTCATAGATATTTTGGTAAAATCCTTTTAGCCTACAATATGCTCTAGCTATTTTATACTCTTCTATTCACCCCATCTCCCACAGAGGTGTTTGTGGAGACCATGTAGGAACCTGGGATTTCCACCGTCACTTGGAAGAAGCAAGGCACTCTGTGGTGTCAAAGACACTTACTGCAGAGCCAGGACTTTCACCACTTCCCAGAGGTAATAAAAATGAAGTAGAGGTTCCTCTTCAAAGGGACTTTTCTCCCAGTCAAATTGAGAATAAATAGTAACCTCTCTGAGAAGCAAAATTTACTCAAATACCTGTGCTAATATTCTTAAATATCTGCTAGCCATAATAAAGAAATCAATATACTTTGTGTTTTTAGATCCTACATTTTAGCCTAAGATATCTGCTCTGGCATGCCTAAACAGGTCCAAGTAAGCATTAGGGCATAGCCTGCTCCTCTTCCTTATTTGGAGGTGTTTTTGCCTTTCTCAGCATTCCACAAATTACTTCCTCTATTCCTTTGTTCTCCTCTGCTTTCACCTCTTTTGGAAAGTTCTAAGTTGCTAGTCAGTTGGGACAAGGATAGAATGTGAGGTCTTGTTCCAGCTGATGGAAACTGGACACAACCGTAGGGTGGATGCATCAGGTTATAAATGACCCTGTCTCCTTTTTTCATGTGTGCTCTTGTGGCAAGGCTGCTAGCAAGTGGCACCCTTTCTGCAGAAAGTAAATTAGCCTTGCTGAGAGATCCTTTGTCTCAGTGTCAATTCTTGTGACACCGAATGCCCATTCCCAACATAATCCTCAGTGATGTCAGTGGAGGCTAAGGGAGCCCTAAAGGGGCACCCCTTCAGAATGGTCAAGGCAGGGTAAGCAAAAGAGAGTGGGGAGCTGGAAATCCTACCCAGCCCAGCAGTAAGGAGGATTCTCTTGCTGTCCCTGAAGTCGACAGAGGCTGAATGGAGAATCTGGACTTCCAGCCTAACTAGTAGTAAACGTCAGCACTCCCACTTTCCCCTGTTGCAGCAGTGTTAGAAGAAGCCAGGTAAAACAGAAGGTTTAGGCCGGGCGTGGTAGCTCACACCTGTAATCCCAGCACTTTGGCAGGCTGAGACAGGCGGATCATGAGGTCAGGAGATCGAGACCATCCTGGCTAACACGGTGAAACCCTGTCTCTACTAAAAATACAAAAAAAAAAAAAATTAGCCAGGAATAGTGGCAGGTGCCTGTAGTCCCAGCTACTTGGGAAGCTGAGGCAGGAGATGGCGTGAACCCGGGAGGCAGAGGTTGCAGTGAGCTGAGATCGTGCCACTGCACTCCAGCCTGGGAGACTGAGTGAGACTGTCTCCAAAAAATACTAAAAACAACAACAACAACAACAACAACAAAAACCAGAAGGTTTAAATGAGATCCAAAGTGTCATAACAAGATAACTCAAATACCCAGGTTCCAACAGAAAATAACTCATCATGCTAAAAACCAAGAAAATTTCCATTTACTTTTTCTTTTGTTGTTGAGCAAATACCAAACAGGATAAAACCAAATAATTCTATACGAAGACACATCATAGTCGAAATTCCAAAAGACTAAAGACAAAAGTATCTTGCAATTAGCAGAAAAAGTGACATTTTACCTACAGGGAAAAACATGTTTAGCAAAGAAGTGAACGCTTTTGGCAGTTGATGAGTGTTATGTGTTTTCAGTATTCCATTAAAGCATGAGCCCTTAATGGAAAACTAAATTATCAGTTTAGCCAACAGCTCCAGCTTAATATCATTTAATTGTCTCAATATCAGATACAAACGGTCTAACTCTGACAATCATCTCATTTCAAGCTTTTAGCATCAAAAAGAATACAAACTCATAAGTAAGACACATTGAGGTATAGTTATAATGCAGTTTACTTGCCTCAAAGAACTTATGTCTTTTTTAGGAACTAACATATATAGTATTTTATTTAACTTAAACACCAATTCACATGTTTACTTTTAATGGAAATACGAGTTAGGTTTATGACAGTCATAAAAACAGAGTTGACTCATCCAAAAGTGAACATCACATTTCATTTTAAAAAGCATCATAAACCAAGGTAATTTTACAATGTATATTTTCTCTAAACTGCAAATATTTATTGATTCTCTCTTCAATGGAAAATTGTTTTCCTGGCTATTAAAAAGTCAAAAAATAACAGATGTTTGCAAAGTTGTGGAGAGAAGGGAATGCTTATACACTGCTGGTGGGAATGTAAATTACTTCAGGCACTGTGAGAAGTAGCCTGGAGATTTCTCAAAGACCTAGAGGCAGAAATTTGACCCAGCAATATCATCACTGGGCATATACCCAAAGAAATATAAATAATTCTACCATTAAGACACAAGCATATGTATGTTCATCACAGTACTATTCACAATATGAAAGACATGGAGTCAATCCAGATGTTCATCAATGGTAGAGTGGATAAGGAAAATGTGGTACATGTACACCATGGAATACTACACAGCCTTAAAAAAGAATGAGATCATGTCCTTTGCAGCAACATGGATGAAGCTGTAGGCCATTATTCTGAGCAATTAACATAGTAACAGAAAACCAAATACTGAATGTTCTCATTTGTAAGTGGGAGCTAAACATTGAATACACATAGACACAAAGAAGGAAAAAATAGACACCAGGGCCTACTTGAGGGTGAAAGGTGGCAGGAGGGTGAGGATTGGAAAATTATCAGGTATTATGTTGATTACCTAGGTTACAAAATTATCTGTACATCAAACCCCTGTGAAATGCAATTTACTCATGTAAAAAACTTGCACTTATACCCCTTGAACCTAAAATAAAAGTTGGACTGTGAACAAACAACAGCAAAAAACCTAAAAAAATTAGCGACAATACCACATGCTGACAAGGCTGTGAATACATAGAATCTCTCGTAAACTGCTGGTGAGAATGCAAAATAGTGCCGCTACTTTGGAAAAATAGTTTGTCAGTTCCTTTTTAAATGAAACATATACTTATCATACCACTTTATAATTACTTTGGGCTTTTCTCTCAGGGAGATAAAAATTTATATCTATACAAAACCCTGTATTCAAATGTTAATAACAGCTTTATTTGTAATAGCCCAAAACTGGAAATTAAACGACGTCCCTCAATAGATGAATGGTAAAACAAACTGTAGTATATCCATATCATGGCATATTTCTCAGCATTAAAGTGAATGAACTATTGATATTGATTTAGATGAGTCTCAAGTGTATTACGTTGAGGGAAAAAATTGTAAAAGGTCACATACTTTATGACTCTATTTATATACAATTCTGAAAATAGCAATTATAAAGAATGAGAACAAATTAGTGTTTGTCAGGGGTCATTAATGGTGAGGGTAGGTGGTGAATGTGGCTATAAAGAAGTAGCACAGGAGAGATGGAATACATCTTGATTTTGGTGAAGGTTAAATAAACCTACACGTGCCATAAAATAACATAAAAATATACACATATTCCAACATCAATTTCCTGGTTTTGTTATTGTCTTATAATTATGAAAAATGTAATGATTGAAGTAAACTAAATTAAGATTTTAAAAAAAGAATCATTTTCCAAGAAGACCTTGTCAAGCTTTTGTATCTGCAATTCACATCAAGAAGACAACATATTTTAAAACTGAGATATTATTTAATACAGTAGGATGCACAGATCATGAGTGTAGAGTGAGTGTTGACAAACACATGTGCATAGGAAATCAAATCTGAATGCAAGATCCAGAACATTTTTATTACTCCAGAGAGGTCCCTCATGTTCCTTTCCAATCAAAATGCCAGAGACAATCACTGAGCTGATTTCTGTAACCATTATAACATTTTCTTGTTCTGTAAACTCATACATGGAATCATACTGTATATGTACTCTGTTGCTTCTCTCTTCTTTCACTCAACATGTTTTTCAGATTTATCCATGCCATTGCATATTGATTCATTTTAATTGCTAGGTATTATTTCATTGTATGAATATTCCACAACCTATTTACTTGCTTATGATCATAGGGCTATTTCTAGTTTTTCATTATTATGAATTAAACACTAAAACTTATTTCTACAACTCGGTGGAAATATATATACTCATCTATGTTTAGCTAAATGGAAATGGGTATTTCTTATAAAGTAGTTATATAATTTCCTCTGCCTTTCTGCTCCTTGATGAGCAGTTTTTAATTTTCATAGTTTCATTTGTTAATTTTCTAAGTCTATGTGTTTTATGTTCTGGCTAAAAAATATTTTCCTACCCTATGATAATGAAGATATTCCCCTATGTTGTAGTGTAGCCACTCTATATTTTTGTTTCTTCATTTAGGCCTGTGCTCCATTTTGTATAACTTGTGTATATAAAACAAAATAGGAATTAGGGGATTGGTTTTGTTTTTCTTATACCAAAATGCAGTTATTTTAGTACCATCTGTTGGAAAGATTTTCTTTTCTTCATTTCATTGCACAGGCACATTTGTGGAAGTTGAATTGGGATATATGTATGAGTTTAGAATTAGCCTATGAATTTCTATAGCAAAGTTTGTTGGAATTTTGATTAAGAAGGCATCAAATATATGGATAAGTTTGAGGGATTCATATGTTTACAATATCGAGTTTTAAAATAAATATTGCATGTATCTCCATTTATTTGGGTTTAACTTAATTTTTACCCATTAATTTTATAGTTTTAATTAAAGGATACTTTATCATTTTTGTTAAATTTAATTCTAATTGTCTTATATTTTTGATGCTACTAAAATTGACATTTTAAAATTTCATTTCTTATTTCTGTTACTAATATAGAAAATTGATTTGATCTGTCATCTATTTACCTATCAAGCTATCATAACCTGAGATCTTGCTAAATGAACTTATTAGTTCTAATAGTTATTTTTGTAGATGTAGTGATATTTTCTAGGTACTCAGTCACATCATCTGCAAATGAAGAAAGTTTAATTATTCCCTCCAAATAATTGTACCTTTTATATCTTTTTCTTGCATTAGTGCAGTGGTTTGGGCTTTTAATAAGATATTGTACACAGTTGGCAAGAGTGGACATCTTAGGAGAAGGAGTTCAATATTTTGCAATGAAGTGTGATGTTAGCTTTATGTTTTTCATAGAAACAAAGTATTTACCAAGAATAAATATTGATTTTTACAAATACATTTTTTCTCAAATATTGAGGTGAATGGATTAATGTTTCACTGTTTGTTCTGTTAGTGTAGTGAATTATATTAATGTATTTTCAAAAAGTAAATCAGTCCTGCACTCTTAGAATAAATCCTCTTTGACATGGAATCTTATCCTTTATATACATTGATGTAATATGTTTTCTATTATTTTGTTAGAAACATTTTTGAAAGTATTTTAATATATTATAGTGGTCTCTAATTTTGTTTTCTGATAATGTGCTTCTTGGGTTTCAGTTTTAGTGCTATTCTGGTTTCATAAAATGAGATATTAATGATTCTCTAACATTTTATTTCCTGAAAGAATTTGTGTAAGCTTGTTTTATCTTTTTTCTTAAATAATAAAACAACCTTGGACTAGAGTTGTCATCCTGGGAAGTTTTATAGTTTAAAATCTATTGTTTAAACATATTTTTTATTTTTGGTAGGCTATGGTTTTAAGGGGATTTGTTAGAATCTAAGTTTTCTCATTTATTGACAGTAACTTGTTCCCAACATTTGTAGGACTGGAATTAATATTCTCTCTTTCATCACTGCTTTTGTAATTTCTTTCTTTTTATTCCTGATCTGTCTTCTTAGGGATTTATCAATTTCTCTAAGAACTGCAAAGAATCAAACTGTGATATTGCTGATTTTCTTTTTGCTCTTTTTTAATTGTTTACTTTTCATATCCTTATTATTTTCTTCCTTCTCCTTATTTTTGGGTTAAATTTACTTTTTCTTTTACATTCTTAATTTTAAGCTTAGATTATCATTTTATTACTATCTTCTTTACTAATATCAGAATTTAAAACCATCTCAATATGATTCTATATCTAGAAAACACTAAAGATTACACCAAAAGGCTACTAGAATGGATAAACAATTTTAGTGCTATTCCTACCAAACTACCAGATCATTCTTCACAGAATTGGTAAAAAAGTATTCCAAAATTCATGTGGAACCAAAACAAGATCACAAATAGTCAAAGGAATTTGAAGTAAAAAGACAAAGCTGGAGGCATTACAACACCAAACCTCAAACTATACTATAAAACTATAAGACTATAAGAATCTAGTAACCAAAGAATCATGGTGCTGGTATAAAAACAGACACACAGATGAATGGAACAGAAAAAAAAAAAACTCAGAAATAAAGCCTCACACCTACAACCATATGATCTTTGACAACACTAACAAAAACAAGCAACGGGGAAAGGACTCCCTGTTAAACAAATGGTGCTGGGATAACTAGCTAGCCATATGCAGAACATTGAAACTGGACTCTTACTTTTCACCACATATAAAAATCAACTAAAGATGAATTAAGGGTTTAAAGGTGAGACCCAAACTATAAAAATCCCAGAAAAAATCTAGGAAATAACCCTTGTGATACTGGCCTGGGCAAATAATTTTTGGCTAAGTCACCAAAAGCAGTTTCAACGAAAACAAAAATGGACAAATGGGCCTAATTAAACTAGAGTTTCTGCACAGCCAAAAAATAAAATAAAATAAAAAACACTATAAATAGAGTACACAGATAACCTACTGAGACCTACTGCATGGGAGAAAATATTCACAAAGTATGTATCAGACAAAAGCCTACTATCTAAAAATCTATAAGGAACTTAAACAAGTCAATAAGCAGAAAACATATTAAAAATAAGCAAAGAACATGAACTGATACTTCTCAAAAGAAGACATACAATTTGCCAATTAACATATGAAAAAATGCTCAGCATCGCTAATTATCCAAGAAATGCAAATCAAAACCATAATGAGATACCATCTCCCAAAAGTCAGAGTGGCTATTATTAAAAATTCAAAAACCAACAGATGCTGGTGAGGCTCAGAAGAATAGGTAATGTTTATATACTGTTGGTTGGAATGTAAATTAGTTCAGCCACTGTGGAAAGCAGTTTAGAGATTTTTCAAAGAACCTAAAACAGAGCTACCATTCAATTCAGCAATCTTATTACTGGATATATACCCAAAGGAAAACAGATCATTATACCAAAAAGACACATGCACTCATATGTTCATCACCATGCTATTCACATTAGCAAAGACATGGAATTAACCTAGGTTCCCATCAATGGTGGATTGGCTAAAGAAACTGTGGTACATATACACTATGCAATACCAAGCAGCCATAAAAAAGAACAAAATTATGTCCTTTGTAGGAACATGGATGGAACTAGAGGCCATAGCCCTAAGTGAATTAATGCAAGAACAGAAAGCCAAATCATGCATGTTCTCACTTACAAGTGGAGCTAAACATTGAGTACACATGGACATACACATGGGAACAATAGAAAACTGTGGACTATCAGAGGAAGAAGGAAATGATGGCAGCATGGGTTGAAAAACTACTTATTGGGTACTATACTCACTACCTGGGTGCAATACACCCATGTAACAAACTTGCACATATACCCCCTCTATCTAAAATAAAAGTTGAAATTAAAAATAAAATTTAACTATAAATTTTCCCTTAAGCAATTTTTAGGTGCATTTCATAAACAAAACAATTTTTGTTTTTATTATCAAGGTGGAAATGTTTACTTATTGAACTTGTGTGTTACTTTTTGGCTATAAACTACATAAAAAAACAAAAGAGAGAGAGAGAGAGTTATTGGCTTTCTTCATTTGCCCACCACTTGTACCAATTAATGCATCCAGAGACTTATGTACTCAGATTGGCCCAGTTAATATTAGGTGGCCCTCCTACATTGAGACATGGATTGAGAGAAAAGGATATTAAGCAATAAACATGGGGAATAGGGATGTTGTATATGAAATAAAATAGATATAGTAAGAATGGAGTGAAAATATCCAGTTATTCCTCCCATAGGTAAAAATTATGAAACATGAACAAAAGCATTAGAAACAACGATTTGAAGTCATTAGAAAAAACAAAGGCAGTCATGAACTTGAGGAGCAGTTAATATTAAAATATTGCTATTTTATATTATCAGTAAGAACTGTGGGTTTGAAGTTTTATTGTTTAAGAACAGTCTCCAGCATACCCAATGCAAACCCCAAGATGGCAGATTATAGAGTTTAAAGCAGACACAGAATTGGAAATTTAGAAGAGCCATTTTGTAAATGAGAGAGCTAAAGAAGAGCTAAAATACCAAATCTGACTATTATCTCTGCAAAAGCCCTGACTTATCACGGGAAGCTCAATGGAAGATAAAATACATAGACAAGGAAAAAGGAATATACTCTTGAAAGACTGAACGACTTTTGGTATTATTTGTGAGTTTGATAGTTTATAAGCATTGCCTGAGTGTATTCCTCTGGTACCATATAGATTTGAAGGCTGCAAGTGGACACCATATTGGCTTGAGTTGTTAGACAGCAGAATTAAGAAGTGTTAAAGGAACTACACATCTAGGAAAATACAGAGAGAAAGAGTCTTAAGATCTGAGGATAAATTCTGTACAAATATTTGCTGCCAGCTAAACTATATGCAGATAGCTAAACTATACATTCAGTGGAGATAATCAGGAGGCCAGACTAGAAAAGAAAGATAAAAGAAGTAAAGCAGCATCTTGAAGCCAAACAACATGAAAAAATACATAAATTGCTGCAAGAAGTTGGTAATAAATATTTTGCATTGGTCCAGAAAAATGAACTGCCTGTTAGACACAAAAAAAGAGTAACTCCCCAAAAAATCAGATTTTAGAATTACTACAATTTCTTTTTAAAATGTTCGGTTTTCAACCAAAAATATTTACTAATACAAAAATTTTGTAAACTACTTATACACAAGAAAAAATGTAGCCTATAGAAATTGATTTCAAGTGAACTCACAATTTGCATTTTGCAGTATTCACATTCATGTTTTTGAGAAATATGCTCAAAGAATAAAAGGAAATTATGCCAATAAAGAGTAAACATGTAGATAATTAGTAGAGCAGTGGAAATTATAAAAAGAAACCAATTGGATATCTGGAGCTTACAAGTCCAACAATAGCTGAACTGCAAAGTGTGTGAAATGGCCTCAACAACAGGTTAGAGATAGTAGAAAAAAGAATAAGTGAATCTGAAGCAATTTCAATAGCAATTATCTGATCTGAAAAAATACAGAAGAGAAAATATAAATAAAATAAACAAATAAGACTTTTTTTTTTTTAACAGGGTCTCACTCTGTTACCCAGGCCAAAGTGTGATCATAACTCACTGCATCCTTGACTTTCTGGGCTCAAGCAATCCTCCTGCCTAAGCCTTCTGAGTAGCTGGGACTACAGACATGTGCCACCATGCCCTGCTAATTTTTTGATTATTTGTAGAGACAGAGTTTCACTATGTTGTCAAAGCTGGTCTCAGATTTTTGGAATCAAGCATTCTCCTACCTCAGCTTCCCAAATTGATGGAATTACAGGTGTGAGCCACCATGCCCTGCCTCTTTCAGACTTTTGAGACAATATTAAATGATCCAACATATGTGTAATTGAAATCTCAGAAAAAGACAAAAAGAAAGAAGACTTTAAGATGGCTGACTAGAAGAATTTCATGCCTGTATCCTTCATTTAGAAGAACCAAAATAGCATGTAGACAGTCACACTGCACATGCATTATCCGAGAGGGAACACTGGAATTCAACAGAGAAGCAACAGGAAACATCAAAAGCAGAGAAACAAAAGGGAGAGTGGTAGTGTGCCTGGCCAAGTTCAACTGGGAGCCAGGAGTGACTTCCATCATGGGCAAAGGGTAAGTGAGAGACTTCTAGCAGCCCACATTTGTACAATGGAATCATATAAACCTGGCCACAAGAGAATTCCTTGATCCTCCCAACTCCTAAAATGAACATAGGGAGCTCCTGGGAGACTGTGGGATGGAACTGCTCCAGAAAGGGAACTCATGATGAGTCCCACACGCTGTCTGAGACATTATTGGCTACAGTAAAATGTGAGCTTCAAAACTAATCTTTGGCAGACTCCCATGCTTTCCTGGGGCCCAGAAATGCTGGGACTGAGGTATTTCAGAAATTCAAACTATCACTTCTGGAATGGAATAATGAGCTGGGGGTACTCCCAACACTGGAGCCAAGAAGTGAACAAGGTGTGGGCTACAGCTGCCAGTGCCAGGAAGCAAGTGCTACCAGGACAGAGATGGGAATCTGAGTGGGGCACAAGTTGCCACTGAAACTTGGTCACTAGCTGGTTGGGGCTCCTGTAGCAGCAGCAGGAGTGTAAGCTAGTCATGGGCTATCACCACTAAGCCTGGGAAGCAAGCCCTGTTGAGACAGGGGAATGAGAGGGACACTCTTTGCTGGCCTTGGCAGTGGTCACTGAGGATGGCCCAACCCTCTCCATTGGCAGAGTCTCAACATGGATGGTACTACCCCTCACTGAACACTCCACCTGGGGCCTGATGATTGCCCTTCCCAGCAGGCTAGTGCCTGCTCTCATCATTGGTGGGGCTGGAGCACTGGGTGACCAAACCTGGTTTTGCCCCCCACCTCAAGAGCACATCTCCTGAAGTCCTGGAAATTGACCAATCCAATCCACCATGTTGGACACCTGAGCACTCCTGGGTGCCCAAGTTTTGGTATAAACTTCTAGCTGTTACCACCTGTATTAGTTCATTTTCATACTGCTATGAAGAAATACCCAAGTCTGGGTAATTCATAAAGAAAAGGGTTTAATGAACTCACAGTTCCACATGGCTGGGGAGGACTCACAATCATGGTGGAAGGTGAAGGAGGAGCAAAGTCACATCTTACATGGCAGCAGGCAAGAAAACATGTGCAGGGGAACTGCCCTGTATAAAAAACCATTAGATCTCATGAGATTTATTCACTATCATGAAAACAGCATGAGAATAAACTGTCTCCATGATTCAATTACCCCCTCCTGGGTCCCTCCCATGACACATGTGGATTATGAGAGCTACCATTCAAAATGAGATTTTGATGGGGACCCAGCCAAACCATATCACCACCTCAGATGGCACCTACCTGAAGGCCTGAAGACTGCCCTACCAAGCCCATCACATTCAGTGCCAACATCGACACACACCATACAAGACCCAGAGAATCATCAAACCACAGCTATTGCCGTCACTCACACCATGCCAGCTTCCCTGTGTCCTGAGAACCTCACCACTCACCTAGTCTACTACTGCCACTACTGAATCCAAATAAGTCACATGGAGGTCAAATAATTGGCTCGCCAGTACCTGCTAACACAGGTGTCAGTATATACCACCCTGGTGCGTAAAGATAGGCACTCTCAGCCCACAGCTGCCACCACTGGGGCCTGATGACTAGCCCAACTGGCATCCTAGACTGCAGCACCATTTACCACAGCCTCCATTAATAATCACACCTTAATCCACCAAGGAAATCACAGATGCCACTAACCCTATTTGTAGGCAAAGAAATCATACAACGACTACACTAATGCACACACCTAGATTCAAAGCCAAAGTACCCTACCCAGCCAACAACATAGATACATCTTCAGGAAAAAGTCCTCCCCTACAAAAGTAAATTCAAAAATTGAAAGAAGTGATGGTTATATCAGATGAGCAGATATAAATGTAAGACATAAAAAATATGAAAAATCAAGGAAATATAACACTTCTAAAGAAACATGTTAAATCTCCAGCAATAGATCTTAAATTTTAAAAAAAATTTAAAAATTTTTAAAAATTCAAAATTCAGGAAAAAGAATTAAAAATATTTATTTTAAAAAAGCTCAGTGAGACCAAGAAAATTGTGAACAACAATATAAAAGCTACAAAAATAATAAAAGATGTAAATAAGAAATAGGTTGTTTAAAAATAAGCCAATTAGAAACTCCAGAACTGAAGAATTCATTGAAGGAAATACAAAATACATTTGCAAATGTTGACAATAGACTAGATCACGCAGAAGAAAGAACCTCAGAACTTGAAGACAGGTCTTTTAAAAATAATCCAGCCAGACAAAAATAAAGAAATAATAAAAAAATGAGCAAAGACTTTGTAACATTTGAGATAATATAGAGCAATCAAATATTCAAATTATCAGTGTCTTCTAAGGCAAAGAGGCAATAAAAGAATTCAAAAACCTATTTTAACAAATGATAGATAAAATATTTCCTACTTTAGCAAGATATGTAGACATTCAGATATAAAAGGCTCAGTGATCCCTAGCAAGATATAATGGGAAAAGTGCTTCCCCATGGCACATTATAGTCATATTTTCTAAAGTCAAAGAAGAAAGGTGAATTCTAAAAATTGGAAGAGAAAAGCATCTAGTAATCTATAAAGGAAAAACCATTAGATAAAGAGTGGATTGCTCAGTAGAAACCTTATAGGCCAGTAAAGAATAGGATATTTTCGAAGTGTGGAAAGGAGAAAAAAAGCTAACAACAAATAATACTATGTCAAGCAAAATTATCTTTCATAAATGAAGATGAAATAAAGTCTTTCCCAGATAAGCCAATGCTGAGGAAAATCATTGCCATTGAACTGACCCTAAAAGAAATGCTCAAGGAAGTCCTAAACCTGGAAGCAAAAGAACATAATGGAAACACATGAAGGTATAAAACTCACTGGTAAAGTAATCACACATAAGATAAAGAGAAAAGACTCAAATGATACCACTACAGAAATCCACCAAATCACAAAGGTAGTCAATATAGGAAAAAGAAAGCAATAAAGAATATAGAAAACAAACAGAAAACAACTAATGATATGACAGCCTCACAATTACTAATAACCTTGAATGTAAATGGATTGAATTTTCTATTTAAAAATATAGAATGAATGAATGGATTAAAAAAAACATGATCAAACTATATGCTGCTTAGAAAAAAACTGGCCTTAAGGAAAAACTTAAGAATTTTTTAAAAAATCATGAAACAAATGAAAATGGAAGCACAACACACCAAAACCAGTGGGATACAGCAAAAGTAGTGCTAAGAAGGAATTTTATAGCAATAAATGCCTACATCAAAAAAAAAATAGAAAGATAACTTAACAGTCTAACAACACACCTCAAGAAACTTGAAAGGCAAGAACAATGCAAACTTAAATTTAGCAGAATAAAAGAAGGAATAAAGATCAGAGCAAAAGTAAATGAAATAGAGACTAAAAAATTACAAGGGTCAACAAAATGAAAAGTTAGTTTTCTATAGAGTCAAACAAAATTGATAAACCACTAGCTCAAATAATGAAGAAAAGGAGAGAAGACTCTAACAAAATTGGACATTAAAAAGAAGACATTTCAACTGGTACGACAGAAATTCAAAAGATCATCACACACTATGCTGACATATAGGCTGACAAACTGGAAAACCTAAAGGAAATGGATAGATTCCTGGAAATATAGAACTTCCCAAGGTTGAGTCAGGAAGAAATAGAAAACCTGAACAGTCCAATATCAAGTAGGGAAGTTGAATCGGTTATAAAATGTCTCACAACAAAGATAAGCCCAGGAGCACATATATTCACAGGTATATTCTACTAAATGTACAAAGAAATAATACCAATTCTTCTGAAACTATTCTAAAAAAATTAAAGAGTATGAAATTTTTTTCTAACTCATCTATGAGGCCAGCATCACCTTGATATTACAACCAGATAAGGACACAACAACAACGCACACCACAGGCCAATATCCTGATGAACACAAATGCATAAATCCTCAACAAAATACTAGCAAATGGAATCTTGGAGCTCATAAGAAATATATATATGATGATCAACATATTTATACTGGGCATGCAAGGATGGTTCATCACATGCAAATCAATAAACATGATACTTCACATTAATAGAATGAAGCATAAAAACCATATGATCATCTCAATAGATGTAGAAAAAGCATTTGCTAAAATTCAACATTGCTTTATGATAAAAACTTTCAACAAAGTAGGCATAGGAGCAACATATCTCAAAATAATAAAGGCTATATATGATAAACCCACAGCTAACACCATATGAATGAAGAAAATGTGAAAACCTTTGTTCTAAGATATGAAACAAGGATGCCCACTTTCCCCAAAACTATTCAACATGATACTGGAAGTTTCAGCCAGAGAAATCAGGAAAGAGAAAGAAACCAAGGCATCCAAATTGGAAAAGAGGAAGTCAAATTGTCCCTCTCTGCTGTTGATATAATCTTATATATAGCAAAATTTAAGACTCTAGCAAAAACTACTAGATTTGAATTCAGTAAAGTTGCAGGGTACAAAATCAATGTAGAAAATTCAGTAGCATTTCTATGTATCAATAATTATCTAGCCGATACCGAAATCAAAAGGCAATAACCTTTATAATAGCTGCCCTCCTCCAAAAAATACAGAGGAATAAATATAACCAAGGAGGTAAAAGGTCTCCACAAGGAAAACTATAAAACATTGATGAAAGAAATTGAAGATGACACAAACAAATGGAAAAACATCCAGTGCTCATGGATGGGAAGAAATAATAGCAAAGAACAAGAAAAAAAATACTAAAATTTATATAAAGCCCCAAACAAGCCTGAACAGCTAATGCAATTCAGGGCAAAAAGAACAAAGCTGGAGGCATCACATTACCTGACTTCAAAATGTATTACAAGGATATAGTACCCAATACAGCATGCTGTTGTAGAAAAATAGACACAAAATCCCATGGAATAGAATAGAAATTCCAGAAAGAAAGTCACATACTTAGAGCCAACTGATCTTCAACAAAGCCAATGAGAACTTACATTGAAGACAGGACATGTTCTTCAATTTATGGTGCTGGAAAAATTGGATAGCCACATGCAGAAGAATGAAATTAGACCCCTATTTCTCACCATAAACTCAAAATTGATTAAGGACTTAAACATAAGACCTTAAATAATAAAACATTAGAACAAAACCTAGAGAAATATTTCCTGGACATTGGTTTAGGCAAATAATTTATGACTAGGACATCAAAAGAACAGGTGACAACAACAACAAAAAAGTGGGACCACATTAAACTAAAAAGCTTCTGCACAGTAAAGGAAACAATCAACAAAGCAGAGAGCAATCTTTTGAATGGGAGAAAATATTTGCAAAATATTTGTCTTGCAGGGAAATTATATCCAGAATATACAAGAAACTCAAACAACTCAGCAGGAAAAAAAACCCAAATAAACCCATTAAAAAGTGGGCAAAGAATATGAATAAACATTTTTCAAAAGAAGACATACAAATGGCTAACAAGTATATGAAAAAATGGTCAACATCAAAAATCATCAGATAAATGCAAATCAAAACCACAGTGAGATATCATCTTACTTCAGTCAGAATGGCTATCATTAAAAATAACATGTTGGTGAGGATGTGGAGAAATTTTCACACATTTGCTAGTAGGAATGTAAACAAGTACAGTCACTATGAAAACAGTATGGAGAGTTCTCAGCTATTTTATCCAGCTATCTCACTACTAGATATCTACATAAAGGAAAAGAAATGGCTATATCAAAGGGATAACTACTACACTCACATGCTTATTGTAGCACTATTTACAACAGCAAAGATATGCAATCAGTCTAAGTGTGCATAGATGGATGAATGCATAAAAAACAAAAATGTGGTAGATATACACATTGAAATAATATTCAGGCATAAATGGATGAAATCATGCCATGTGCAGCAACATGGATGGAACTGGAGGTGATTATCTTAAGTAAAATAAACCAGACACACAAAAAGTAAATATTGCATGTTCTCACTTTCATGTGGGAGCTAAAAAATTTGATTCCATGGAAGTAGGTAGTGGAAAGATAAATTAAAAATACTGGGAAGGGTCAGGATGAACGGTTGCATGAAGATAATTCTGTTAAATAGTGTTAGGGTTCTCTAGGGGGACAGCACTAATAGGATAGATGCATATATGAAAGGGAGTTTATTAAGAAGTATTGACTCACACAATCACAAGGTGAAGACCCACAGTAGGTCATCTGCAAGCTGAGGAGCAAGGAAGCCAGTTCGAGTCCCAAAACCTCAAAAGTAGGGAAGCCGACAGTGCAGCTTTCAGTCTGTGGCTGAAGGCCTGAGAGCCCCTGGCAAACTAATGGTGCAGGCCCAAGAGTCCAAAAGCTGGAGAACTTGGAGTCCGATGTTTGAGGTCAGAAAGCATCCAGCATGGGAGAAAGATGGAGGCCAGAAGACAGTCAGTCTAGTCATTCCACACCCCTCTGCCTTTATCCTAGCTATGCTGGCATCTGGTTAGATTGTGCCCACCCACATTGAGGCTGGGTCTGCCTCTTCTAGTCTACTGACTCAAATGTTAATCTCCTTTGGCAACTCCCTCACAGAGACACCCAGGAACAATACTTTGCATCCTTCAATCCAATCAAGCTGACACAATAATAACCATCACCCAGTGCCAATATACAATGAGATGGAGTAATGTTTGATATCAGAATAGGGTGACTATACTTAACAAAAATGTATGTACTAGGGTGACAGAAGCCCTGAATACCCTGACTTGATTACTATGCATTATGTACGTATAACAAAATATCTCATGTACCCTATACATTTGTACAAACAAAAAAGAAAAAGATAAAGAAAAATATTGAAGAAATAACAGCTGAAAACTTCCCAAATTTGGTGGAAAATATTAATTCACTAGTTCAAGATATTCAAGAAGCCACAAGTAAGAGAAACACATAAGGTACATTCAAGTACATTTTAGTTAAATTTCTTATAGTAAAGAGAAAATATTAAAGCAACTAGAGAAAAATGACACATTATATGAGTGGAAAAATGATACAATTAATGGTAGCATTCTCAACAGAAACTTTTGAAGACAGAGACATTGAAAATGGCATAGAAAGATGAAAGAAAAAAACCCTGATGACTAGTAATTTTATATCCAGTAAAAATACATTTCACAAAGAAAGAAAAAGTGAAGATATTTTCAAATAAATAAAAATGGAGATAATGTATTGCTAGCAAAACTACACCATAAGAAATACTAAGAGAAATCCTTAAGGATGAAGGAACATAAAATCTGATTATACAAGAAAGATTGAAGAGCACTGAAAATGATAAATATTGGTTAAATATAAAAGATTTGCACAAACATAATTTTCTCTTAATTTCTTTATAATAGCATATGCCTGTTCAAAAATTATGACAACGTGTTAGTAGATTTACATAATTGGGACTAAGACATTGCAAATTTTCTACATTTAACTGGAAATAATTCAATGTTAAGTTTAAGTAGATTATGTTAAAAATACATGCTGTAATTGCTAGATCAACAACTAAAACAACATTGCAAGAAAAATAGTTATAAAATCAATTGTTATTTTGTTCCAACATCTAACTCATCTTCCTAACCCCAAAGCAGGGTCCTGGGAATAGTATGGTAAACAAAAGAAAGGCTTCTTAAGTCTACTTACTACTGCCTCACCAATTGACTGTGTTATCTTGGGTAAGTTATTTAATATTTTTCATGCCTCAGTGTTCTTATTGGAAAAATAGGAATAATAATAATACTCACATATTTTATTAAATTTATATAATGAAATTAGTCAATATCTGTTGATGAATACATGTTGCCAATTATCATTGTTGTTTCTATTAAATCAGTCAATGAGTGAAGATGTATGTAGAAGGTGCAACTATTTACACCATTAAGTATATCAGAGAGACATGCATTTTAAGAGTGACAAGTCAGATTAACCTAGTTGTAGGTAGACTTTTGGGACATTTTAAGGTTTCAGAACAATCTGAAGGTGGAAAGTATATCACTTGTCTGGATGCAGATATTGCAGCATTGTTGAAACAAAGGAAGAGGATGAAAATAAGGTAAAGTTGCTTTTAAAATGATGCATCTGAGAAAAAAATGGAATAGACAAATGAGGATGCAGGAATAAATTGACCCTGAAAGAGATCAGAATTTTCTTCAGAATGACTTTGAAACCAGGCACATATCCAAAGTAGTTATATCAAGCTCTTGAGACAGCAGTGGGGAGCAGCTGAATTCTTGTTTCATTTTTAAATTATACATCTTATGGTATAAATTTATAAGCATAAGTCCTTAGTTCTGTAATTTTGGACCAGTTATTTAAAGTCTATTAGGCTCAGTTACACTTCTATAAAGTGTAACTATTAACACTATCTCACTAGGCTGCTGTAAATTTTAAAAGAGATTTATGTTGTGAAAAAAATTAGTGTTTAATACTTAGCACATGATACAATACTTATTATTTAAATCATGATCCTAGTATCTCTTGTTCACATTCCCCTTTCTGCTTTCCCCAAAAGGATATTCCCAACTAATGACAAAAAAACACAATTAGACGTGCTTCCTGAGACAGCACCCATTGGGACTAGAGAATCCTCTGAGAAAGAAGCTGTTTGGATGGAAGAAGGTATTATTTACCACCTGGAACTAGGGGTGTGGAAGAAGATTTCTTTGTATCATTTGGAGACATCACACTGCTCAGAGTAGGAGATTTCAAGATGCATCTCAAGTCTTTCTCCTGTGGTCTATCCTGCTGGGAGGCAGTCTAGTGCATGGGAGCTAAAAGGCAGGACTTGCTTTGTGAGCCTCTTCAGGTCAGCGTGAGTCTGTTCAGGTGAGTGGAGAATCCTCCCTTGACTTATGCTTTGGTTTAGAGTAGAGTTTTTGGAGGCAGCAGTACCTGATTTTGGGCTGAGAGATGCATGCTGCACAACCTGCCTTGAGCCCTGACATTTTCTTCCGTGCTTAACATAGATTCACAGGTAAAAGAAGCCTGCCCTACTCTGCCCAAGGAATTTGGAAAGGGTAAAATGGCTTGGAAGAGGGGTTGTATAGATAAAGTGATTATCGTTGAACTAACTATTTCTTACTCCATATTCATATTAGTGTGTGTTCCATAGTCTCTAAAGAGAGTCATCATTGTATGGGGAAAATAAGGATAGATTAAGAGTCACCATACTTGTTTTCTAATACTGGTTCTGTGTGACTTCAAGAAAGTCACTTCACCTCTCTTGATCTTTGTTACCTGATCTATAAAACAAAATCCATCAAGATCAAGTTTCCCCACCTCCCCACAAAGTTCTAACAAGCAATATGGGTGTGTCCATATGTGTATTCTTATGTGATAGTGTATGTATAAAGACAATATAAACGTATATGTGGTGTGTGTATCTTTATATGTGATGTGTGTATCTACGAATTTGCATGCTATCTATATACATATGTGTTTGTAATGTATGTGCCTGCCTGATATATTTGTGGATATGGCCATTAATAGCAAATGTATAATTTATAGTTTTGAATGTGTAAGATATGCATAATTATGTGTGAATGCTATAAAGCATATATACACCTGCATGTATGTAGTCATACATATGTTTGTGTGCAAGTATGTGCATATGAATGTCTGTGATTGTGCATCTGTGTATGTGTATATGTACATACAGTCATATGGGAATGGACCCATACATTTGTGTCTAATTTAACAAATACTTTTTTGAAGTTTGAGTAGAGTCTAAATCAGAGCTGCCTTTTTAAGTTGCAACAGGAACAAGAGAAAAAGAATCCATATCATCCACCTTTTAAAGAAGTTAGGCATCTACTGGCAAGGTGGAAGAAATCAACAAATCTATCAGGGATATACCTCTCAGAATGGGGCAGACCAACGTAACCTCCTGGAGGGATTTTGTCTTCCTGGGCTTCTCCAGTTCTGGGGAGTTGCAGCTCCTTCTCTTTGCCTTGTTCCTCTCTCTGTATCTAGTCACTCTGACCAGCAATGTCTTCATTATCATAGCCATCAGGCTGGATAGCCATCTGCACACCCCCATGTACCTCTTCCTTTCCTTCCTATCCTTCTCTGAGACCTGCTACACTTTGGGCATCATCCCTAGAATGCTCTCTGGCCTGGCTGGGGGGGACCAGGCTATCTCCTATGTGGGCTGTGCTGCCCAGATGTTCTTTTCTGCCTCATGGGCCTGTACTAACTGCTTCCTTCTGGCTGCCATGGGCTTTGACAGATATGTGGCCATCTGTGCTCCACTCCACTATGCCAGCCACATGAATCCTACCCTCTGTGCCCAGCTGGTCATTACTTCCTTCCTGACTGGATACCTCTTTGGACTGGGAATGACACTAGTTATTTTCCACCTCTCATTCTGCAGCTCCCATGAAATCCAGCACTTTTTTTGTGACACGCCACCTGTGCTGAGCCTAGCCTGTGGAGATACAGGCCCGAGTGAGCTGAGGATCTTTATCCTCAGTCTTTTGGTCCTCTTGGTCTCCTTCTTCTTCATCACCATCTCCTACGCCTACATCTTGGCAGCAATACTGAGGATCCCCTCTGCTGAGGGGCAGAAGAAGGCCTTCTCCACTTGTGCCTCGCACCTTACAGTGGTCATTATTCATTATGGCTGTGCTTCCTTCGTGTACCTGAGGCCCAAAGCCAGCTACTCTCTTGAGAGAGATCAGCTTATTGCCATGACCTATACTGTAGTGACCCCCCTCCTTAATCCCATTGTTTATAGTCTAAGGAATAGGGCTATACAGACAGCTCTGAGGAATGCTTTCAGAGGGAGATTGCTGGGTAAAGGATGAAGGTTACCCCAATAGGACACTTTCTTCTGTGTAGGCTGGGCATAGACCAAGAACCCAAGCCAAAGGGCCAGGTATTCAAGGCCTCAGGCCAAAGCTGTCCTACCCCCAATCTTCTGGGAAAGCCTTATCCTGCCTCTTGCCCTTCCCCCTGACTGCTTGGAATGCAGAGGCGGGGCTTCCTGCTCTGCTCACTGTGCACAACTCAAAATGAGCCCAAAATCTGAATTTTAACTTTCAGCCTCCTAGATGCCACCCCTAGTTACTGAAACCCATTGAGAATTAAAAATTTAATTAAGATAATCAAGAATTTTTTAATTGAGCTGAACAAAATGAGGGAAGTTTGGAGTGTTCAAGTTCAAGGCAGGGCTGGCTGGAGCCCATCAGGGATACTGTAGAGATTTCTAAAATCATTACATAATTAGACTATTTGACCTGTAATGTTCTTCCAAGATTTGAAACCTGGGGAATATCAGCTTGACAGGTTAGTTTAAAGCTTTGTTAAATGAACAGGTGGGTCATTTTTACTCCCACTGGGTGTCTTTCATCTTTTTATGTTTTTATTTTTTTTAATTTCAACTATTATTTCATATACAGTGGGGCACATGTGCTTATACATTCCTCATTGTGCTATTGACAGTAGCAAAAACATGGAATCATCTTTTTATATAGTTGTCCTCACTATCTCTGACTCTGTTACTTTGCCCTTTTTGTTTTGATTGATTTTCCAAGCTGGGTGCACTCTATTTCAGAAAATATATTTACTTCCTATTTTTTTTTATAACTGTTAATGTTCCCTGGTAGCTTCAGAATCTTGAGTGTCAAAGACCTTTCTCATTTGGGTCGCTTATCAAATTGGATACTGTTCTTTTGAATCTATTGCAGAACTATCTATTCTGCCTATTCCACTTTCCACATATAATGTGGTTATATATAGCGGCGGACATTATTAGAGAAAGTGTAATGAACTCACAAGACCGTCAGGCAGGAGTTTGAATCCAAACTCTTCAACTTACTAGCTGTGTGACTCTAGGTAAGTTATTTAACATTTTTTTCAGCTTCCGAGTCTTATCTTTACAATGGTTGGTGACTAAACAGGATCATGCATACAAAGAATTTAGCACAACCCTTGGATCATAGCGATCGTCCAATAAATTCCAGTTGCTACTATTAAAATGTGTGAAGGAAAAAGATATTGGCTTTTAGTTTAGGTAGAGTTTACTCTAGGTGGAGGATCAGAGAAGACTTCATGTCTTAAATAGTATCTGAACTTGTTCCTAAAGGATGGGTGAGCTTTGAATGCACTGACTGGGGAGAAAGTACATTCTCAGAAGAGAGAATGTAATAGCCAAAGGCTTGATGGTAAGACAATATAAGCCTAGTTTAATGTGTGTGAGTTATTCAGAGGGGCTGGAAACAACTCACAAATGATGCTGAGAAGTTAGTTTGAGTCATGACTTACTTGTTGAAATAATTTGAATACCTTGCTTCAGACATGGTCCTTTTGTCTATAGGAGATAAGGCACAGTAAAACGTTGAACAGAGAGAGGCATCTGGGAAGGGATTCAGGAAGATTAATCCAGCAGCAAAGGGGATGATAGATTTCAGTAGAGAGAAACCAGAGGCAAGGAGATCAGCAAGAAACCCATGGATATCAGCTTAAAAAAAGGCAAAGAGGCTTGAATATGGATAGTGACATTCAGAGACTGAAGGAAATCACAAACATGAGATTTTGAGAAGGTAGAATTCACAGGATTTGGCAGTGAGATAGAAGTGGGGCATGGCTTGAGAGACAAGGAAAGACCTTAGGCCGAGAAGATATTTTTCAGACAGAAATCCATATTTTTTCATGCTTTCAGGAAAGAAATACATCCTCTAATTGGAATTTGATGAAAACAATTTGAGAGGAAGGAAGCTAGAGCTCAGAGAAGAGAACAGGATGAAGACAAGTAGATGAGTTAGTCAGATAGCCAAAAGGGCCTCATCAGGGGAGAAAGGCCATCTACTCTGAAGTTCTCAATATTGGAAGAAGTAATGCCTCATTGCACTGAGGCCATGTGAGCAAATTCATTTCACCAGTTCATTCAGTCTGCCCAGCATAACATTGACTAAATGCACAGTGACGAATGGTTAGTAAGGATGTTTCAAGTATTGCTAAGTAATACTTAGAGGTCTAACTTCCACATGTAGTAGTCTTAAGTATGGAAGGGTATAAAATCACTTGGAGGGATTTTTCCAAATAGGTGTTTTTGGAATCTATCTAATTTGTTTCTACCTTGAAACAATTGATTTGGGATAGGGACAACATAATAGTCTTCAAAATCTCGTTTGGTGATTCAAATTTCCTCTCTTGATTAAGTATGTGACTACGCGCTTAGAAAGGGCAAACTCTTCTTCCAGGTACACACATTTGACCCACTAAATGACTAATAATTTGATTTAGGCCTTGAAAATTTTTGGCAGGGTTAGCATTGGGGGAATGGAATCACATCCACCTTTGCTTGTGATTATTTTCAGCACAAATAGTTTTAGACTATCCATATGTGGTAAGTGTGATATTAAACAATGCTAATTTTCGATGGCCTATATCTTTTCTAACTGTACTATTTTTGGTAACTTATAATCAGGCAATTTAGACATTTGTGAACATTAATTTTGAAAATACTTTCTGCTTGTTATATTCCATAGTATTTGACTATTTAAGAAAAGAATCACTAAAATACCTGTATGTTGTTAGTATCAATGATAACTTTTTAGCTTTAACCAACTTTTTGTTTAAAAAAGGCTCCTATGACAGGATTTGTCCTGCACAGATTCATTTCTATGCAGAGGAAGGGACTGAGACTTAAGATGGTAATCAAGTGGCAACATGAATGGATTGGTAAGTGGGGACTATTTGTGCAGAACGCTAGCAGTTTTATACACAGCAATTAAGATATCTAAGAATTCTCACCAGCAAATGACACCATTACCTTTTATAGATCAAATCAGAATGTCGGCATATAAACCTGTTCAGAATAAACCTGGCCTGAAAATTTTTGAAGATAGCATCACCTCTTCTTTTTTTAAAATTAATTCTTAATTTTATAAATAATTCTATTAACTGTTACTTTAACAGGATATTGAAGTATTATTTTTATTACATTAAAACTTAAGAGAAAATACGGGAGCTTGGAGGACAAGAGAAAGCCCTGCTATGCTGGAATTTTGTCTTTCTGAGAGTAATAACATCTACAATAATTTTGAAGTATGGAAAAAAAACAAGAAGAAAACAGGTGTTATGCTGATCTGTGTGTTGTTTCATTGTACAAACTAAAATATTCATGTTCCCCAGAAAATCAAATATCTTTATTTTCAAATTTAAATTTAAACACATTCCAAAGTTTAAAAAAATTGTTTGAAAATTGCCTTGGATTTTATTTATCTACTATACCATGGCCCTTCTTTACAGTAAAATTAGCTGCCCACTCTTATATGAGTACAGTTCCCAGAAATATAGAAGCTCAACATTTTACTTAACTTTGCCCCAAAAAATATTTTTAAAAAGAATTACTTTATTCTATAATCGGAATAAAGCAAAATGATAAAGACGTGCAAAACAGAACAAATAAAAATAGAAACTTTGACACCCCTCAGCAGTGACTAGTTGCATACAAAATAGCTTCCACTCCTCCAACTCTATTAACCTTTCTATCTCCCACCCTTGAGATTTTTTAAGATCCTACAATAAATGTAATATGCACACAAACACAAGCACACACACACACACACACACACACACACACACACGAGGCCATCTTTATCTTCCACATTTGCCTGTACTCTTTGCCCCCCAGTAAATTTCCCACGACACTAAGATTTTCTACGATCCACGAGGAGCTGCTTATTAGTTGCCAAAGTAGGAATTGGTGAAGCCAACGTAGTCATAGCCAGAGAGATGGCTTCGACCCCGTGGGTCCATATATTGCTGCATATGTGTGGCACAGAATGACACTTGCTCTGGGGTAAGGGCCTGAAAAGTATAAAAAGAGAAAAATACAGTTATAGGGATTCAAAATAGCTGGTTCCTTGGGGCTTCCCATATTACGCCATAAATGCAGGAGATGGAGAGTCTCTGGAAGACGCAAGCCCTATTTCTATTACACACAATTTTTATCTCATAAATTTATAATTTCTAATGAGTAACTTAACTTTTAATCTCAGCCCTTTCTTGAAAAAGAGAGCTTACTCACTTTGATTATTCTGTAAATCTCATTCCCTAAAGTTGTTTTATTAAATAGAAGGAATTATATGCCTAACAACATTTGTTGACCACTTGATCTATTTCATCTTCCTGGCTGCTTTGAGATGTGGGGACTAGCATGTTTTATGAGTAAGGTAAAATACTCAAGAAGGTAGAATAACTCACCAGTGGTTACACTGCCAGAAAGTGGTAGAGCTGGGACTTGAACCTATGATCCTCTTATGCCAAAGAGTTCCTCTATTCACTGTGCTGTTTGATTACCAAGTGGATCCCTAAAGACTCCAATAAGTTAGCGTGTGGGTGGGTGGCTCCAGATAGTGTCTGGAAGACCACATCATTTTCTTTTTGTAACAGCTTTGTCGAGGTATGATTGATAAAGAATTGCACCTTTAATGTGTACAGTTTGATGAGTTTAGACAATTGGATGAGTTTGTGCAAAACGATACCATCATGTATGTGACCCTTTGTAATCTGGTTTCTGCTTAATTGTTTTCCCTTTCACTTTCTGTTACTATCTTCTTACCTTATGCTTTAGGTATTAGGAAAATCTGTTTTCTCAAGTTCCTTTGCACACACACTTGCCTTTGCCTGAAACACTTAGGCTTTCCTTTGATGACTTGATGAGTTCCTGCACGTCCTTCAACACTCACCCTGTGTTAATCATAGATGATACTTTCCCTGATGCAAGTATTTTAAGGAGAGGAATGAAGAAAGCTCTTGGAATCAGAGAGAAGAGAGATTACTTCTGGTTGTAATAAAATTCCCCACATCTTTGTTCCCATGACAGATGTGTTTGCTTCTGTTACAGTGTTTTTAACTTGTAAAGTTCTGTCTTCCCCACTACACCTGAATTTAGGGACTGTGTCTTACTAAAGTTTGCACTCCTCATGCCTGGAACATAGTAAGCATTCAATAAATGCTCTTTGAATTAATGAGGAAAAAAAAAAGAAATAGCCTTAAAAACTGAGTTGCAGATTTTGAATTGACTCTCACATTCAATAGAGTACCACAGTACGTTTTTGAGTTGGGTCAAGACAAAATGAAGTGGTTACCAAAGCAAATGACATCTTGTGAAAGGGGAGGTCTGAAAAAAAAAAACAAGTGGGTGGGTTTTTTCAAAGTAGGCCACCGGGCCTGAGATGACCAGAATTCAAATTAGGATGACAGTGTAGTAGGGGAAGCAACCAGAATCGGACCTGCTTCATGTCTTCTTTGGTAATATATGACTTGCCCTCTGCCAGGGCTTGGAAGGCATTCTCTATTTCATCACTGGACTTGATGTTTTCTGACTCCTTGTCAATCAGGAAAGCAGTATAGTCCTCCAGTGAGACATAGCCCTTCCTGTGGGAGAAATGGATCAGGAGCTGAGCCTTCTCAAGGCAGAGAAGGAAGTCCCCTTTTTAATCCTACTCAGTGTCTCAGAAACAGAGGAAAGCCAGATTCTCCAAGTGCCTCTTCCAACTAAGCTTTCTGGGATGAGATGGGTTATGCTCTCCATTTTGGCTCCCCTTCATCACCCTCTTACAGCCAAACATTACTAAGCCAAATATTACTAAATATTACTAAGCTCCAGACTCTGTTTCAACATGGGTCATTCAGCCTGATTCTCGGTGAATTTTGAAATTTCCCATCAGCACCAGTCCTCAAATAATTTCTGGTCTTCTTTGGTTTTTAGTATTAGCAAGAATTATTCCCTAACAGTTACTTGATCTCTTGATGATTCTAACACACTCCCATAAGCACATAACCACCCCAACCCCATGTGTTGGTCTCTGAATCACCTATGTCTCCTTAAAATCTCACATACATGAAGGGATTCTTCTCTCTAGTCTCATCCTCAAAAGTAGCTGAAATTCATAGATTGAACATAAATCATGAATTGGAGAAATTGTAAAGCTAGTCCTCGAGTTAAAGTTAGCACCATTCACTGCTGAGCTAATCTTGAAAGGGCACCAAGAGCTGCCTAATTCATTTATGGTTGCCTATTTCTTCCTATTTTCAGATGAGTTAATTTCATGTTTTATGGATCATTTTACTCTCTGTGCTTCTCCCTCCAAACCCCCATCCCTGCTGCGGTCTGACCCTTAGTCTTGTTCCTACCTCCCTGGATCCACAGCATCCAGGAACTTCTCAAACTTGGGCTCATGTTCATCCTCCTCCACCATGGGCAAGTAGTAATTGAGTCCTCTCAGGCAGGACCGGAACTCTTTGTGAGTCAGGCGCCCTGTCAAATTCTCATCAAAGTGTCTAAAGGATAAAAAAAGAAAAAAAAATTTATCAAGCTCAATAGAAAAACCAAGTGAGAACAGAAAGGAATATGTCTTATTGCGTCAGCTGAAGCTTTATTGACCTGTCACAAAACTATCAGAGGACTGAATACAAAGCCTGTCTGTGTCATGTACATTTTTTTAACCTAATGGATAGAGAGAAAAGCATAAAACATTGAGAATGAAGAAATGTATTTTTTGAAGTCTGAAAATCTCACAGAAAGCCATGACTGGAGCTAATGAGCATATCTAGATCTTCATTTAAGATTCCACCAAGCCTCACAGAGTGAGAGAAACATTATTTGTAGACTCATTCTGAATAATCTGAAAAACAAAGAAGCAGTTAACTATGAAATTATACTCACTTATAGATTGTGCTAAATTCCTTTAGAGTCTCTTCACTCACACCTTTGATGTCCCTGAAAGAAAAAAAAAAAACATGAATTTTCCCTGTATATGAAACACAGGTTAGCAGAACACAAGCCACATGGAAGAGAGAGGAATTTTAATGGACAATTTGCTATTTGAGTCATCTAGTTCAAGAGTTGGCAAACTATAGTCCATGGGCCAAATCTAGGCTGCCACCTGCTTTTGTACAGTCCATGAGCCAAGAGTAGATTTTACATTTTCATATGGTTGAAGACAATCAAAAGAAAATTTTTTGAAACATGAAAATTACATAAAATTTAAATTTCAATGTCCATATATAAAGCTTTATTGGAACATGGCCACGGTCATTCACTTATCATAGCTGCTTTTTTCACTACAACAGCAGAATCAAGGAGTTACAGCAGAAAATATATGTGCCTTACAAAGTTAAATTATTTATTATCAGACCATTTACAGAAAAAGTTTGCCAATCCTAATCTAGATAAAAATGTTGCCAAAATGCTATTGAGACCTAGAGCTGCTTTGATATAGTGAATTTATCTAGAAAATGAGTTTCTGCCCTTCTGCTCTATTTGGCCACACTTTAAATGTTTCTTTTAATCTAGACATTACATTTTAGATAAAATTCTATGAAAGGGAATGGTTTCCTAAGAGATCACATAAGATGGTGAAAGAACTCTGAGAAATTGGGTATAAAAGTCAGTTGTTGTCCAAGTGGGTGATGAGTAGGCTCAGGTGGATGGAGAGCACTGTCTTTTATTTCATGATGGATTTCAGTATAAAGAGAAATAGTCATTCCGTGGGGCAGTAAAGACCCAGAATATTGGTTCTCTGAAGCAACTCTTTTATCTGGTGCACCAAACTCTCGCCCTTAGTTAAGGTCCTAACACCTAACACCACCTGCATCCCTCCCTGCTCTGGCCACACGCCCTCAATACTTGGCCTGGATCTGTTGCTCCAGGTTGTGTTGCATCCGCAACCCAAGCTGGTAGAGCTGGTCCCACTGCTGAGCCAATCCAATGGTGCTGTATTTGATATCAAGGATCAGAGCGTCTTCCAAGTTGTCCCCCAGGTCCACAATCTTGGTTAGTTGACGCTTCATCGCCTGGATCTCCTTCTGTTTTCTCTGGAAAAACGACAGAGAAGAGAGACAATTAGTTGCCCAGGTTACCAGCTCAAAACCTAGAGGTGGAAGAGGAGATAACAGGCTGATTTTATTTTCAGGAATCTTCTTGTTCTCTGTGAAAAGATGAACTACTTGGGAAAACCACTTCACTTCTATAGTCCTCATTTATAAAATAATGGGAAGTTTAGGTGAATAAAACTTGTCATTCTGGTATTCTGCAACATATAAATCTAAGAGTTAGTAGTTATACACACACACACATACATCTATATCTATATATTCTTTCTATCTATCATCTATCTATCATCTATCTATCTGTCTGTCTATCATCTGTCATCTATCAAGAGAGCCAATAAAGAAAAATAAAATTTCCAGAGTCCATGCATCATCAATGGCTCACAGTGATCTGCACTGGGACTTATCTGCAACACTGATTGTGGCTGAGCTCTCAGGCTCACTTAAGCTCCACAGTGTTCACTCCTGGGCCACTTTCATCAACTTGGGATGATTTTCATGGGCTGCTCCTGCCATGCAGACATGTTTTATGCCAAATTTCTGCATCTTGCCCATGCTTTCTCAGTGAGGGAATATTGCTCATAAGGGTAAGTGTGAATTTATTCTGATGATTGTGGAGTGCAGTGAAAAAAATGTGGGATATGACAAAGCTTGTAGCCTTTCAAAGGTCAAATTTGCCTGACATCTTTTTTTTAAGTTTCATTTATATATAATAGATGTACATACTTCAGGGTATACAAGACAATTTAATACATTCATATAATTTGTAAAGATCAAATCAGTATATGTTGGATGTCTATTACCTTAAATATTTGTCTTTTCTTTATGCTAGAAACATTCAAAGTATTTTCTTCTAGCTATTTTAAAATATACAAGGTATTATTGTAAACTATGGTCACCCTACTGGTCTATCAATTACTAGTCTTATTTCTTCTATCAAACTGTATATTTATACCCAATAATCAACCTCTCTTCATTCCTCTATCTCCCCCTACCATTCCTATCCTCTAGTAATCTCCAATATACTCTCTGTCTTCATGAGATCCATTTTATTTTGCTCCCACCTACGAGTGAGAACATGCAATATTTGTCTTACTGTGCTTGGCTTATTTCACTTAATATAATGACATTCAGTTCCATCCATGTTACTGAAAATGTCAGAATTTCATTTTTTAATGGACAAATAATATTCCATTGTGTATACCATGATTTCTTTATCAGTTAATCCATTGATGAGCAGTTAGGTTGATTCCATATTTTGGCTATTGTGAATAGTCTCCCTGTTATCTCCTGTCATAAACATGGGAGGGCAGATATTTCTTTGATATATTAATTTCCCTTCTTTTAGATATATACCCAGTAATGGGATTGCTGAATCATATGGTCTTTATCTTTTTAATTTTTTGAGGAATTTCCATACTGGTTTCCATAGTGGCTGTACTATTTCCACTTTCTCTACATCTTCACCAGCATCCATTATTCCTTGTTTTTTTAATAAAAGCCACTTTAACTCAAGTGAGATGACAGTCAAAACTACCTGACATCGTATTCTCTAGTATTTCATTTTTTTGTTAGAAAAAAATTAAATGTCATTACTTAATTTTTTTCTCCTGCAAGAATAATAGTAAAAAAAAAATGTTGAGAAACACTGTTCTAACCCATTACTTCGCTCAGTTGTCAAGAGATGATTAGATTCAATTGTATCATCTTACTACGTCATATAATAACAGAAATTTGCCAGTGTTGGGCACTTTTACATTTGCTCCTTTACTTCATCATCATGTTCTAAATCCTTTGTAGCCACAAAACGTGAAACCACCCACCCACTGTTCCCAAAGCCTCTCCCACTCTGGGCAGATCAGAGTCTCCCATGAAATTCTTTCTTCAGGGCAAACAGTGACTCTACAATGGGTACTAACTCTATTGTGTAGATGCAGAAATTGAAATTCAGAGATTTAAGTAGACTGAGGTTTATATTCATGATGTGATGGCCTATGGTTAAAATGGACTTCAGGTGATACATACCTAAAAGTATCACCTGGGCTTCCCTTAGGTGATTATTTTTACACTCCTTATAATTTTGGCAATATCTTCAGTTAATGAAAAAACAATACTTACTTTATTTGCTTCCAGCTGAGATTCCAGAGTTCCTGTTTCTTTGAGCAATGATCTAGTTAAGAACCGAAGGAAATCATTATGCATCACATCACAGGTCAATATTTCATACATGCATACCAACTCGAAGCTCCTCTGTTTCAACTTCTCCAAGGTTATGTGGCTTACATGAAGCAAAATTTCACAGAGCCAAATTTTCACAACCTTGCCAGACTGATGAGAAGGGAAGACTTTCCCTAGTTCTTCTCTGACTAGGAGAAGGCTTTCACATACCCCTCTTAATTATTCTTCTTAAATACACACTTAAGCAATGTAGGCAAGATTCCGTCTAGTGAAGTATAAGGGCAGAATGAAATATAATGAGCTTTTCCTTCTCACTCCACATTTTTATTTACATACTACCAGATTACAATGGAATGAAAATGTCTCAGCACTAACTCTTTCTTAACGAATTCTTCCATAATAATATAATAAAGCAAACATGATGATAACATAAAATACTGACCCATCCAGAAAGTAAGCCCTGGACATGGAGGTCCGGAACAGGAATCACATGAGAGAAAAGGGAGATGATATGTTAAAATGGATTACTTTAAAGATCTCATTTCCTCAGATTTATGAAACATTTTAAATCTTTTGTTGCCACAAAACATGAATCTGTCCACCCACTGGTTCCCAAGGCCTCTCCCACTCTGAGAAGATCAGAGTCTCCCATAAAGCTCCTTGCTTCAGGACAAGGAGCACCAATGTCAAGGAATATGCTTGGTGTTGGACACACATTGCCAGGATGTGATGAAGTCACCAAGAAAAGAGGAAGAGAAGGGTGTTCTGTGTCTTCTCTGCCTTCTGTCAGATGGTTTAGACATGGTATAGGATTTCTTTTTGTTCATTTATCGTTGTCAGTGAGTATGTAGAAAAGTATATATCATGAATTGTCTAAACCACCACATTAACCCTCAAAACACCACAGTTTTGACACACCTACTGGATACAACTTTGACCATGTATTCTAATATATTACATCTTCTAAGTCTCCTTTTTCTAGGTCATTTACCCCAGAAGATGTGACATATGTTATCTTCAGGTACAGAACAGTTTGCTATTAATAAGCACAATTAACATAAATTATCTCACTTGATTCTCATTAGAACTTTAGTAGGTACACAACAGAATAGCTTCATATGAGGTATTCATAGAAGATTCTGCTTCTGGTTATGCCAGTAAATATATATGTGACCTTGAGCAAGTAAATTTATCTACTTGAACTTTCCACACTTGGAAACAGAGCTAATAAGAGCTGCTCTGTATGCTTTTCAAGGTTGCTCCGACAGTTAAGTGAGGTAATGGATATGGAAGTACTCTGTAAAGTGCAATATGGCATGTGAACATAAGAAATTGTTATTATTTTGGACTGAAATTACAGGCAACAGAAAGAAAGGTGAGAGTATCAAGGAGAGAATACAGAAGTGTACATAATAAGCAGAAGGATGAAATTGTCATTTCTTGGTTTTCCAAGAATTGATTCAGAAAACAGTCAACTCCAAATATAAAGCATAGGCAAGATATGGGGATTTTAGGGCAGAATACATGCTCTCAGAGTCTCTCCTCTTCCCTTCAAACATGTATTTCATCCCTATGGCAAATGGTGGTGGCACAGGGGTCATGGTTTGGGATGTAGCATAGCACACCTGGTTTCCAGGATCCATTGAAGGAAGGTACTGGCATTCTGTTCAAACTCCTGACACATCTCAAAGTTCTTGACCTGTCTTGCCTCTTCCTTTTGCAGCTCCTGCTCCCGTTCCTAAAACCCCAAATCACAGACAACGTGACTGACATCGAAGGCCTTTCTTTGCCATAAGAGAATTGGTTTGTAGGCTTAACTGCATATCTTTCCTCTCTCAAGTCTAACCTATCTTCCACAGGTATGTGCCTGTGTGCTCATATTTCATGCAGTCAACCTCTCTCACCTCTAAAATGTAAAGATAGCCTGTGTATTTCCCAAGAGTACTTGCAGGGTCCTCTAAGACCAAGTCCCGTAACAAGTAAGCTAGTAATAAAAGCAAACCTCTCCTGTTTATAATTTCTTTTGGGGAAATTTAATTTAAATGAACACAAAAGCAGCCTTAAAGGGCCTGCTACCCTTAGAAACAATAGTTACTATCTAAAAATGGTGATATTGTGGTTAGTTTTCTATTACACTTTTTATGTTTCATAGTTTCAATAATGAACATTATTAACACAGACAAAAGCTAAAAATACATACGTAGCAAGGCACTTTTGGAGGTGTATATAAAAACGAAAATGTCTTGAATGAGGGGGATATGTAGACAATGAATACATATAAAGCCTCATGAACTTTTCATAGCTCATCATTAGAACCATGTCTTGGGGCTTCTGTTTGCTTCTCAGAATCATTGTTCAATACTCAAAAACAGGAAACTGCCCAAATTATGGGGCATAGGGTATACCTATGATAAACATATTTTCCAGTTTTTCTTAGACAGTCATGTTTCATGACTTCTGTCCCAGTATAGTTATTAATAGTGTTCCTTCTATGTCAAAAGTCTATTTACTTGGATAATAAAGTGGTTATGTTCACTGTAGTGAAAGGAAGTTTCTGCCGTGTTCCAGGTTACCTCAATGATGTCAGATAGGTGCTTCCAGGTCCTTTCCAGCACCTCCACTGTTAACCAGGTATAAGGGCTGGAAGGCACACCTAAGGCCTTAATCTGCTGGTCTAGCTCCAGCAAACATTTAAAGTCTGCTTGAGCCCTAGCCAGGGAGGCCAAGAAGTCCTCATGGTCTTTCTGCAGCTGCCGAATTTCATTCAGGGAGACACAGTGCACAGGCTCTGACAAGTTTTCTTCCATCTTTTCACACCAGTTGTTCAAAGCTGAAGCCTTATGTGCAAATTCCACGAACAGGTCCTCAGCCTGCAGAGAGAAAAAAAAGACACTACCATCTTTCCTGATAAAGCCTCTCAGCAGAAGAGAAGATTGAGGATAAAAATAATGCCTGTCTTTAAATATCTGCAGGGCCACCAATCTAAAAGGGCAGAACTAAAACCAATAGGGACTGTGTACTTTGATGGTTGAACATGTGAGTTAGCGGTACGAGCCCTGGTTCTGGCATTTTCTCATTGTGTGAAATTGTTTAAGTCTTTCATCATTTACAAATGAGGGAGGTCGAATTATTTCTAAAATTATTTCAGTTTTAAAATTCCAAAAGTAGCAAAGGTAGTTTTCAATTATATGATTTCTTGTTCTAAAGTCTATCCTCCAGTTCTACCCGGCAAGTAGTAAACATGAAAAAAAAAAAAAAAAAAAAAGCATTGAATGAATGGATGAAATAATGATTGAATAAACAAACCAAGAAAATCTGTTATCTCCTTTATCTTATTATCCTACAAGCTTCTGTAGACCACACCCAGCTGACTTCTCTTTGACAAGGCTATGTCATTTTCCTACCTTCCTTTTAAACCTTGTTCAGGCCTCATTTTATGCCTGAAGCTTTTCAAACCACTGCTTAAACTTATCTTCTACCCTCTAACCTGTATCCTTAGCACAAATATATGTATCATTGTATTACTGTCTGGCATTATCCAAGTGCTCTGAATAGCTCTGAATTTTCTGTATTACTGAATGACAGAAAAAGCATGAATTTTTTCAAACAGCAAGTGATCAAATATACTTTTATACTTAAAATACATTACAGATTTTGGGTCAGCAGATAGTACTTCTAAAGAGGTTTGTCTTGAGCAAACATAAAAATGAATTTTTCATTCCCAAATACAAGAATTAAAAAGAAGAAAACTGGCCCAAATGGAGGGAGGATTTCAAAGGTATTAAACCGTTACATCTGACCCTGTACTCATTTCAGCAATCTATATGCCAAAATAGATCAATACAGAGAAAATTAACATGACCTCTACACAGAAAGGACACAGAAACCTATAAAGTATTTAATATCTTTTTCATAATGTTATAGATTGAGTGAATATTTTATAAATATCTTGTAATCAGAAAATAAACAAAACTCATTGTAGTTTGAAATTATTTTAAAAAGAAGATTAAAAATATGAAGGAGCTTCCTATATAGAATGCACATATATGTGTAAAGTTGCCCACTTAATTGATTTAATTTTTCACCTAAGATTTATTTGATGTAGGCCCTATGTTTTTCAAAAGTGTGGAAATTAACTAAGACTCTGATTTGACTTTTACTCATGTGTTATTTCCTAAATTCCCTAACTCCTTGACTTAATTTGTTACCAAGTACAATGATTCTTAGGGTCTAGGAGTGCTCAGTAATTCCACTGACCATTCTGATTTCCTTTTATTTATTTTTTGAGATGGAGTCTTGCTCTGTCGCTCAGGCTGGAGTACAGTGGCCGCGATCTGGGCTCACTGCAAGCTCCATCTCCCGGGATCACGCCGTTCTCCTGCCTCAGCCTCCTGAGTAGCTGGGACTACAGGTGCCCGCCACCACGCCCGGCTAATTTTTTGTATTTTTAGTAGAGACGGTGTTTCACCGTGTTAGCCAGGATGATCTTGATCTTCTGATCTAGTGATCCACCTGCCTTGCCCTACCAAAGTGCTGGGATTATAGGCGTGAGCCACTGCACCTGGCCTCCTTCCATTATTGATATTTTTATGATCAACATCCAATGCCTTAGCAGCCAACATTTGAAGGAATATTTTGATTACATATTTATATGGAATTTTATATGGATGTAGTAATGTAATAATGTTACATTATTATATTAATCCATATTAATCATACATATTTATTATGTATTATTAATGTACATATATTTAGGTACATATAATGTACATATAATTATGTATTATTAATACACACATATTACAACCATACATATTTATATGAATGTAATAATGTAATAATATGGAATTATTACACTTTTAGATTCATTATCTTTTTTAATAGTGATAACAGAAAGGCAGAATAGAATGGTGATGCTACTCAATTTTCTAAATGGGGATATCAAGGTTTAGAGATATTAAATGACTTTTACAAGGTCTTCAACCTAGGAAAGCTTGATATAAGGTGAGAACATGTTTTATGACAACTTGTCCAGTGCTCCTTTTATTTGGGTTAGGAAAAGTACAGGGACAACCTTGACTTTTGCCTGACAGTTTTAATTCTATCATACACAAAGACCTCCCATCCTCTTGTTCCATCCACCTCTTCCACTGTTTGCCTGGCTTCCATCTCAAGTTAGTTATGCAACTAATCAATCAATCTAAAAAAAATTTTTAAAGCTTCTTTTCAATCTACTTTTTGCTCAGTAAGAATGTCTTCCCAACATCTTTCAATGCAATAAAAGGTTTTTGTATTATCCAAACTGAGTTTCCAATATCTGTTTCCGAATTTCATGGCTAATATACAGGTAACAGAGAACTGATCATGCCTCATAATTTTTTTAAACCTTCTGTAGAGGCAGCTGTTTCTCCAGCAATTTCTGTCTGTGGACTGCCGAGGCTTCCAGCAACTGTTCCCAGCGCTTCAGCAGAGCGGCATAACGCTCTTCAATGGCTTTAGACTGGTTGTGTTGAGCAGAAATCAGTTTGTCCTTCAGGTCAGTGATCTCGGGAAGTCTCTCTTGCTGGAAACTCTGCAGACTGGCATCCAGAGTGTCCTGAGAAAGATCAGGAGAGAGGCCGTGAACAAGAAAATGGTGCAAGGGTCATTCACATCTGGGTTCCACCAGATTTTAATCATAGATAAGGCTAGGCAAGAATTAAGATGATGATTAAGAAAAAGGAAATATAACTTAGAGATGTAAGCAAACATTTGGGGCTGAAAGCTCCAGTTTATGTATATTTTACAATTAGATTTTATGTTAGGTATAAAATTAATTGATATGGTTTGGTTTGACTGTGTCCCCACCCAAATCTCAAGTTGAATTGTAGTTCCCATAGTCCCCATGTGTCATGGGAGGGAGCCAGTGGGAGGTAACTGAATCATGTGGGCAGTTACTCTCATGCTGTTCTTGTGATAGTGAGTGAGTTCTCACAAGATCTGATGGTTTTATAAGGGGCTTTTCCCCCTTTTGTGCAGCACTTCTTTCTGCTGCCTTATGAAGAAGGATGTGTTTGTTTCCCCTTCCGCCATGATTATAAGTTTCTTTAGGCCTCCCCAGCCATGCTAAAATACGTCAATTAAACCTCTATTCTTTATAAATTACCCAGTCTTGGGTATGTCTTTATTAGCAGTGTGAGAACAGACTAATACAGTACATTGGTACAGCAGAGACTGGAGTGCTACTATAAAGATACCTGAAAATGTGGAAGTGACTTTGGAACCGGGTAACAGGTAGGGGTTCCTGGGCTGGGCCCAGGGCTCCCTGATTTGTGTAGCCTAGTGACTTGGTGCTCTGCATTCAGCTGTTCTAGCTGTAGCCAAAAGGGGCCAAGGTGCAACTCAGATCATGGCTTCAGAGGGTGCAAGCCCCAAGACTTGGCAGCTTCCATGTGGCATTGAGCCTCCATGTACACAGAAGTCAAGAATTGAGGTTTGGGAGCTTTGTAGATTTCAGAGGATGTATGGAAACACCTACATACTGCAGGGGTAGAAGTCTACTGCAGGGGCAGAGTCCTCATGGAGAACCTCTGCTAAGGCAGCACAGAAGGGAAATGTGGGATTGGAACACCCGCCCCTGACAGAGCCCTCACTGGGGTACTGCCTAGTGTCCTCCAGACTCCAGAATGGTAGATCCACCAACAGCTTGCAACATGGACCTGGAAAAGCTGTAGACAATCAATGCCAGCCCATGAAAGCACCTAGGAGGGAGGCTGTACCCTGCAAAGCCACAGGGGTGGAACTGCCCAAGGCCATGGGAGCCCACCCCTTGCATCAGTGTGCCCTGGATGTGGGACATGGAGTCAAAAGAGATCATTTTGGAACTTTAAGGTTTAATGACTGTCCTGTTGGATTTCAGACTTGTATGAGGCCTGTAGCCCTTTGTTTTGGCCAATTTATCCCATTTGGAATTAGTATATTTACCCAAAGCCTGTACTCTCATTGTATTTAGGAAGTAACTAACTTGTTTTTGATTTTACAGACAATCTCATGGAGCTAAAGAGACATAACTTGGCATAATGGGTAACTGTCAGCCAGGATTTGAGGGGCTATAATAAGGAAACTGCAGAAAAGTAGTCAATATTGTATTTTCCCCTCAAAGCATTTTAGATGCCAAAACTGTATAGGGCACAAGTCTAGAAGCCAAGCAGAAATGGTAGCTAAAAATGTAAAATCCTAACTAGAATTTTCAGTAGTGACACAATGCTGACTTCAGGACCCATCAGGTAGGAGCAGCCCTGGTTAAAGGGCTTCCATTGAAATGCCTGAAAGGCCACAGAGGCAAAGTGAAAAAGGTGAGTCTTCAAAGAAATTGAAATTTTGTCCTGGATCATTTCAATCCCTGACCAAAAAGTAGGGGTTGGATGGCAGAGGGTGTTGTTATAGCTTTAAACCAAAGTTCATGAGTTAATTATAATACTTTAAATGTAAACAGACTCACTTTTTCCATAAAATTATCAAATTAGATAAAGTAATACCCAACTATACAATATTTACAAAAGGCACATACAAAATATGGAGATAAAAATGTTTCAAAAAACCCTAAAAAGTGGAAATAGATATTTCTGCAGATACTAAAAAAATGTTGGTGCAGTATACTGGTATCTGAAAAAGTACACTTTAAATCAAGAAATGTAATTCAAGATAAAGAGGAACATTTTATAATTAAAAGTATCAGTCTGTCAAGATGATTTCACAATTCGAAATGTCAACACATCTTTTAGCCTATCCTCAAAATTTATAAAAATAATGAAGTATTTAAACAACATGATTAAAAATGAAAATCTGGTTGGTAATATAAACCACTGCAAAATACACATTCTTTTCAAATGTACATACAATATACAATAAAATAGACTGTTGCTGGATATAAATCAAGTTTCTGAAAAATATAGAATATATTTTTAAAATACAGTGGAATTAAACTAGATATAAATATCAAAAAGATAATGAGAAAAGTCCCAAATATTTGAAATTAAATAATACACTACCAAATAATAAAAAGATAATAGAATAAACCAAATAAGAAATTTCAAAAAAAATTAACTGAATGATAAAAGAAATGACAAAATTTGCAAAATGCAGCTAAAGCTTTGCTTTGGGAAAAATTATATATTTAAAATCGATATGTTAGAAAAGATGAAAGGCTAAAATTTTGATAATCTAATTGTACATCTCAAGAAATTAAAAGAAAACATTAAAGTAATTCCAAATAAAGTAAAAAAAGATAATAATATATAAAGCTTTTAATGGAATAGAATACACAAAAACCCAGAGAAAAATTAAAAAGCTGAATGTTGGTTGTCTAAAAAAAAATTGATGAAAACCCAGTAGCAAGATTCATGAGAGAGAGGGAAAAAATAATAATTAGGAAATTATTAATATTAAGAAGGGAAAATCTTACAGAGGCTACAGACAATAAAATCCCAAAATTCAGAAATAAATAATCATGGAGGATGAGCTTCTGTGTGAATCAGGTCTTGGGCTTACCTAACATCTATCAATCTCACCTGTTTTGCCAGAAGAGTGAGGAAGTCACCAAGGTCTGCACCATTGCCATTGGTCTTTAGGCTTGTTTCCTTATCAGCTAAAAGGCAAAAACAATTAAGAAGAGAAAGACATTTGGTCTTGTTTGAGTCCTGGGAAGCAGAAAAGGAATATTTACAACACACAACAAGAAAGCTTCTTGACTCTCAAAGTTGATGATTAATTGGAATATGTGAGCAGTGGGACCAATGGATCGTTTTTCTACCTAGGCAGGATAAAACTTAACGAAACAGAGCTAGGGTCTTGAGAGCTTTTGAGTACTTCATAGAAAAAAAAAGAGAAATTGTAGATTAGATATGAATTGTAAGTAAATCTAACAAACATTTTAGATTGTTTCTTAGAACATTTTGCTATGGCTTTCCCTTTCTCAATGTCACACACAAAATCTCCAATTCTCCAAAAATGTGTTCTCTGGAGTTACGGTACATAATTACTGCATCATCATTTCTATCTCTTTCTCACTTTGTGTGTGTGTGTTTATGTGTGTGTGTATGTGTGTGCAAATGTGAGTGTAATTCTGTCCAGAAAGGATAGGAATGGGTAGTGATGGAAACACCTCCTTTCATACAGTAAAAGTCCCAGAGACCATTCTACACATGGATGGGATTTATTAGGGTTTCTCAAACCCAAGGGACCCTGAACCTGACACATCATACCTATCCAAGCCTCTACCACATCAGCCTTCCAGTTGAATTCCTGAAAGGCATAATCGTCTTCCAATTGCAACTTCCAAGCAGCTATTGCCTTAGCCAGAGAAGGGGTCTTTTCATTCAGAGCCTCTATCTTGGAAGAAATCTCTTTGTTCTGACTTTCCTCCTGCAACACCTGTGAGAAGGGGAGAGACAAATATATTTATAATGTGCAGGGCTGGAAATGTGAATCCATTAGTACCAATAGAAAGCACTCATCTCTCCCATTTCAAATATATAACCAAGTGTGACCGTCTTAGTTTGTGTAAGTTTCTAGGAGGTAGGGAGTCATCTCTGTTTAATGGTCTTTATATAGCAGTTAGATCAATGAGGATTTATTAAAAACTACATTTAAAAAAAGGAATGATTCTCAAATTTAAAAGAGCTTTCAGTGTTGTTTTCCTCTTAGAGGCTTAGAAAGCAATTTCTTCAAATTCTTATAATATTCTATGGCCAAAGCTAGTGATAAGACTTTTATAAACACCATGCTCTGTATAGGACAACAAGATGTCAACAAAGGATTTAAGGAAAACTGAAATGTGTATGTATAAGAACTTGAAAAAAGAATTACAGCAATTGAGTAGATAATTATTTGCTAACCACAACAACAACAAAAGGCAGTTTAGAAGAGATTGTTAAAGTTCTGCATATGATCTTAGCACTGCTCTCTGCATATGATCTTAGCATTTCTACATTTGGGCCAGTCCCTTTTGGAGAATGGAAGTTTGAGCTGGAATTCCTGAACTAGCTCACCTTATTTAGGATGTCTTCTCCTTGTGCACACACATTTTGTACTCGGGTCTCATGGACAGCAAAGTCATTTTCCAAAGCTTCATGCTTCATTAGCAAGCTCTGCATAAATAAGTCGGTGAGAATTAAGATATCCAAAGCCGGAAAATCTATATTCACTCATATTCAGACTCACGGGTCTATTATTCCCTAGGGTTGATTCAATGAAATTGGCAGACTAGGTGAATGCCCACTTTTTCTGGAATAACTATACTCAATTGCTTTCTCAAATTCTCACTTGTCACTGAGTGCAACTTACTGGAAAAAAGAGTCAAAGATATACAAGTGACATTCTTTCTAATTTATTATGTGACTAATCTTATTTTGATTTTGGAATGAGGGTTTTGACTGGGGTCGTATATAAAGATTCCTCCATATTGAGATTTATCTAATTCAATGAAACAATGTGTCTAGCAGAAAAAAATTTAGTATCAAGAACATCCTAAACTAAGCCCTGATCCTAAAGAGAAGTTAAGGGGAACATGGAGCTGCCACTGACGATTACTCCAATAGTTCTCTGACTGCTTTCTGGAAACATGATGTCTGTGTAGCTGGCAGAATGAAAAGAGAAGTGAGGCTGAAGCATGAAGAGTGGTACTTTGTCTTCTGTTGTACCTTCCAGAGAAATATCTATAAAAGCCCATAATCACCACCACCATGACCACCCACCACTGCCACTGCTCCCACTACTGCCTTCACCTCCCTCTTGTCATAAAAGCACTCTGTCAATTTTTTTCCTATACAACATAGTAAGTCAGGTTAAAGGAAGAAAGAGAATTTCTATGACTATTATACTTTTTCAAAATCCCTATTGAAAATAAAAGGACTTTCAGTTCATGGTGTTGAGGCACTAAAATAAGATGGTTACTCATTGTAAAACAAGATGGACTACATTATATATTATGACTGTATTACATTTTATTTTTTGAAGAAACGGTAAATGAATATTGGAAAGGTGATTGACTTTGTATGACTGAAAGCCTGAATGAATCATATTTTTATATATGTATACTGCATGAAATAAAGTATCTTTAACATCTTCACCTTCGCCTTCTATTTTCAAATAATAAATTCAAAAATAAAAGAAGAAACATTAGAACTGTTGTCAAAGAAATAAAAGAGATCACAAGAAAAGATTACAAATAATTATATGCCAATAAACTAGAATATCTAGAGAAAATAGATAAATTCCTAGAAACAGACAACTTGCAAAGACCAAATCATGAAGAAAGTCCAAACAGACCTATAACTACTGTGGAGACTGAATCAGAAATAAACCTCTCAACAAAGAAAATCCCAAGACCAGATGGCTTCACTGATGAATTAAATCAAATATTTAAATAATTAATACCAATTATTCTCAAACTGTTTCAAAAAATTTAAGAGGAGGGAACATTTCTAAACACCTTCGCAAAGTCAGCATTACCCTGACACCAAAGCCAGGCGATAATTCTCTCAATAGATAGATAGATAGATGATAGATAGATAGATAGATAGATATGTCTATCAAGAGAGACAAAATATATCTCTATCTATCTATCTATCTATCTATCTATCTATCTATCTGAATATAGAGGGCCTAATATCCTTAATATTCTTATTGAATATAGATGCAAAACTCCTCAACAAAATACTAGCATGTTGAATCCAGCAGCACATTAAAATGATTATATACCACAAACAAGCAGAATTTATCCCTGGGATGCAAGGATGGTTCAACATATGCAGATCAATAAATGTGATACAACACATTGACACAAAAAAAGATAGAACTAAATCATCATCTCAATAGATTCTGAAAAAAAATGGACAGAATTCAGCACTCTTTCATGATAAAAACCATCAACAAACTAAGAACAGAGGGATATTGCTTCAACGTGATAAAGTACATGTATGAAAAGCCCACAGCTAACATCATATTTAATGGTGAAACTAAAAGCTTTTCCTTTAAGTTTATGAACAAGGCAAAGATAATCGCTCTCACTATTTCTATTTAAGATAGTACTGGAAGTCCTAGTAAAAGGCATCTAAATAAGAAAGGAAGAAGTAAAATTTTCTTTGTTTGCAAGTGACATAATCTTAAATACAGAGAACTCTGAACACTCCATAAAAAACTGTTAGAACTAGTAAACCAATCAGCAAAGTTACAGAATAAAACTCAAAACATAAAAGTCGGTTTAGAAATTGTAAACAATAAACTATCTGAAAAAGAAATTAAGAAAATAATTCCTTTTACAATCACATCAAAAATAATAAAATATATAAAAATAAATGTAACCAAGGAGGTGAAAAGCTCATACACTGAAAACTACAAAACATTGATAAAAGAAATTAAAGAAGCCACAAACAAATGGAAAAATATTCTGTGTTCATGGATTAGAAGATTTAATATTGTTAAAATGTGAATACTACCCAAAGTGATGTACAAGGTCAATGAAATCCCTATTAAAATCCCAATGACATTTTTTACAGAAATAGAAAAATCAATTCTAAAATTTATATGGAATCAGAAAAGACCACAAATAGTCAAATCAATATTGACAAAGAAGAACAAAGCTGAAGGAATCACACTTCCTGATTTTAAAATACAGTAAAAAGCTACAATAATTAAGAGTATGGTACTGGCATAAAAACAGACATAGATGAATGAAACAGAATAGAGAGTCCAGAAATAAACCCATGTATATGTAGTTAACTGGTCTTTGACAAGGGTGCCAAAAATATACAATGGAGAATAGACAGCTTCTTTAACAAATAGTGCTGGGAAAACTGCTTTTCACTTGCAGAATAATGAAATAAGACCCTTATGCCATACCCAAGAATCAACTCAAAATTGTTTAAAGACTTAAATGTAAGTCTTGAAACTATAGAACTCCTGAAAGAAAAGGTAGGGTAAAATCTTCATGATACTGGTCTTGGCAATGATTACATAAATATGACACTAAAAGCACAGGCAACAAAAAGAAAAAATAAACAAATGGGAGTATATAAAGCTAAAACTTCTGCACAGCAAAGGAAACAATCAACAGAGTGAAAAGGCAGCCCACTGAATGAGAGTTAATACTTATAAATGATTTCCCTAATAAGGGGTTAATCTCTAAAATATATAAGGAACTAATATAACTCAATACTAAAAAGTAAATAAAAAATAAAAATAAAAGTAAAAAACCCCTAATAACTTGATTTAAAAATGGGCTAAAAACAAACATGAAAAAATGTTCAATATCACTAATTATCAGGGACGTGCAAATTAAAACCACAATGAGGTATCACCTTACTCCTGAAAGAATGGCCATATTAAAAAGTCAAAAAATAATAGATATCGGTGTGGATGTGGTAAACGGGACACTCTTACACTGCTGGTGAAAATGTAAACTAGTACAACCACTATAAAAAACAGTATGGAGATTCCTTAAAGAACTACCACTCAATTCAGTAATCCCACTACTGGGTATCTACCCAAAGGAAAAGAAGTCATTTATGAAAAAGACACATGCATACTTGTGTTTATAGCAGTACAATTTGCAATTGCAAAAATAACCAACCAACTTATTGCCCAATTAATGAGTAGATAAAGAAAATGTGGTATATATACATCATGGAATAGTACTCAGCCATGAAACAAAACAAAATAATGGCGTTTGCAGCGACCTGGATGGAGTTGGGGGGCCACTCTAAGTGAAGTAACTCAGGAATGGAAAACCAAATGTCTTACGTTCTCACTTATAAATAGGAGCTAAGCTATGAGGATTAAAAGGCATTAAAATGATACAATGGACTTAGAGGACTTGAGGGAAAGGGTGGGAAAGGGGTCAGGGATAAAAGACTACATATTGGATATAGTGCACACTGCTCGGGTGATAGGTGTACCAGAAATTTAGATATCACCACTAAAGAACTTATCCATATAACCAAAACCACCTGTACCTAAAAAAGTATTGAAATAAATAAATTTAAAAATAATAAAAATGAGCTAAGAAGTTTAATAGAAATTTCCCTAAAAAGGCATGTAAATGCCCCTCAGGTATATGAAAAGATGCTTCACATTATTAACCATTAGGAAAATGCAAATTAAACCATAATGAGATATCACTTCACACCTGTCAGGATGGCTATTAACAAAACATAAAAGGCCAGTGTTAGTGAAGATATGCAGAAATTGAAGCCCTTTCACATTCTTAGTGGGAATGCAAAATGGCACAGCTGTTATGGAAAACAACATGAATATTCTTGAAACATTTAAAATAAAACTACCTATCGTCCAGCAATTCTATTTCTGGGTATTTATCCAAAAGGATAAGGAAATAATGATTTCAATAAGATATTAGCATCCATATGTTCATTGCAGCATTATTAACAATAGCCAAGATATGGACACAACCTAAATGTCCATCAACAGATGAATGAATGAAAAAAATGTGGTATATTCATTCAATAAAATACCATTTATTCTTAAAAAATAAGAAAGTTATGCAACATTTAACAACATAGATGAACCTTGAGGACATTACGCTAAGCAAAATAAGCCAGTTATAGAAAGATACATGCTACATGATTCCACCTATATGAGGTAGACAAATTTATAAAATCAAAGAGTGGAATGTTAATTACCAGAGGCTGAGAAAAAAATTGAAGTTTTACTAACCATAAGGCATAAATTACAGTCAAGCAAGATGAAAACGCTCAAGAGCATTTCTATACAGCCTACAACATTGTACCTATAGTCAACAATAATATGTTATACACGTATAAATGTATTAAGAGAGTAGATCTCATGTTCAGTGTTTTTGTCACAATAAAACAAATCAAAATGAACAAACTAACAATTCAATTAGAAAATAGAGAGACATTTCACTGAGGAAAAATACAGATGTCAAATAAACACATGACAAAAAATGTAAAACATCATTATCCATTAAGGAAATGCACATATGAGCTACAATGAGGTATCACTATATATCTATGTGAATGACTAAAATAAAAGTAGTGACAACACAGAATGCTAGCAGGGATATAGGGAAACTGCAAACTGCATCATTTATGCATTGTTGTTAAGAGTGCAAAATGATATAGCCATACAAACAGGAAAGGAATTTGGCTTTTTTTTTTTTTTTGGTCCAAAACTAAATAGGCAGTTACTATATGGTTCAGTGATTGGGGTCCTGTACATTTATCCCAGAGAAATAGACTTATGTTTGCATTAAAATCTGTGCATGAATATTTATAGTGGCTTTTCTCATAGTCATCAAAAAGTGGAAACAGCCCAGACTCCCCTCAACAGGTGAGTGGTTCGACTGTGATATTCTTATACCACGACACTGCTCAGAAATAAGAAGGGATGAACTATTGTTACACACAATAACCAGAATTAATCACCAGAGTATGGTGCTGAGTGAAAAGGTCAATCTTCAAAAGTTACATACTATATGATTTCATTTGTATAGCAGCGTGGAAATGACAAACTTATAGAAATGTAGAACAGATTAGTGGTTGCCACAGTTTGAAGAGGCAGGAAGAGGAGGTGGCTATAAAAAAGCAACAGCAGTGATCCTTGTGATGATGCTAGCCTTCTGAATCTTAACTGAATCTTGACAATGTCAATATCCCATTTATGATATACTGCTTTTCTGGATGTTTCCATTAGAGAAAACTTGGTAAAGGACATGAGATCTGTCTGTGTTATTTCTTATAACTGCATGTGAATCTATAATTCTCAAAATAAAAAGTTCTGTTTTAATGCCTGTAATCCCAGCACTTTGGGAGGCTGAGGTGGGTGGATCACGAGGTCAGGAGATCGAAACCATCCTGGCTAACATGGTGAAACCCCTTGTCTACTAAAAATACAAAAAAATTAGCCTGGCGTGGTGGCAGCCGCCTGTAGTCCCAGCTACTCGGGAGGCTGAGGCAGGAGAATGGCATGAACCCGGGAGGCAGAGCTTGCAGTGAGCCAAGATCACTCCACTGCACTCCAGGCTGGGAGACAGAGTGAGACTCTGTCTCGAAAAAAAAAAAAAAAAAGAAAAGAAAAAAGAAAAAGTTCTGTTGTAAAGAAAGGGAAGCCTTTGAGAGCATTTGATAGGAAGCCTTAAAATGCTTGAACATGTGCAGTGGGGTGCACATGCATGATCCAAAAGACTTACAAATAAGATGAGCTGATAATTTGAATTATATGTTGTATAGGTTTAAGTTATCTTTTGCAAGTCTAAGCCTTTCCTTATGTCATCACATTAAAGTGAATTAATTTCTACAAAGAGTTCTTGGTAAATTCCCAATTTTTAGGGTTACTAGGCACAGTTTCCAAAGTCCTAATACATTCTTGTTTTGTAATCACTCTCAAAAGCCGTCAAAATTTACATTAACTCAAGATCACACTGATTAATTGTTCATTTCTTTATAGAGAAACCCAATCCTGCATTTAAAAGGATGTCTATAAATTGTGGAACTATTTTGTCCAGTAAGCCCTTCTTCCTAAAATTATATTTTGTTGAAACTGCAGCCAATGTCCAGACATAAGAAGATTTTTTTCCAAATCAATGTAACATGAAAATTCAAGGGAATCCTTTCAAAATCTATAATCTGCAAGGAATCTAACTTGTAAGGAAAGGTCTTTAACCATTATTTCTTTGACTCACAGACAGATCACAGATTATGGAATTAAGATTTGAGTCCTGCCTTCATGCCTGATTGGTTCCGTAATCTTGGGCAAGTCACTTACATGCTTGGACTTTAATTTTTCGTATTTAAAACTGTCAGGATTATTCGTATTTCCTTCATCTTCTTTCACCAGAAAAATGTCCTAATATTACAGGTAAAAACACTGACTACCCAAGAAAATAACCAAATTGAAGAGAAGAAAATTGATTCATTCTTCCTGTTCCTCACCTGAGTAGCAGCTAATGTATCTCCACAATCTCCTCGGACAGCCAAAGCATTCTTTTCATTGATCCAAGCTTCCTCTTCCTCAGCATTCTGCATGAATTGCAAGTATTCTAGGGATTCTTCCAACTTAAGTCCTCTATAACAAGGTGGCAAGCCCCAGTGAGGATAAGAACAAACTGGTAAGCAGTGGGAGTACAGTGGGGTGGCACAATCTCATTCAGGCAGACCAGCTTATTCTCACAAGGCAGCCACAGTTGAAGTGGGCCTCAACACAGTATAATAGGTGCCTACTGCTCAGTGGTGAAGATCTGCTGTGAAATGGAGGAGACGCCTGCTCTAGAAGTTCATTTTGTGGCACCATCTACTGTCTTAAGAAACTTTGCTGGAGGGAGGAAACCCACCCTAACCAAAAAAAGGGAAATGATGACTTCAGTGTTGGAGAATATCAGCAGTGACACAATGTCTCTTTCTACTCTGAGCACTGCCTTCTTTCGTATATGATGAAGACACCACGAAGTGCCAGAATCTTCCTTTTAGCCCCCCCCAGGAAAAATGGAACTACAGACAGAAATCGTTATATTTGGCTATATGTGTGATATGGTTTGGCTCCGTTTCCCCACCCAAATCTCATCTTGAACTGTAATCCCTATGTATCAGGGGAGGGGCCTGGTGGGAGGTGATTGGATCATGGGAGCAGATTTTCTCCTTACTGTTTTCATGATAGTGAGTGAGTTCTTGCAAGATCTGATGGTTTAAAAGTGTTTAGCACTCTCCCCGCCCCCGCCCGCTCCCTGCCTTGCTAAGATGTTCTTCTTTCTTTGCATTCTGCCATGATTGTAAGTTTCCTGAGGCCTCCCAGTCATGCTTCCTGTACAGCCTATGAAACTATGAGTGAATTAAACTTCTTTTCTTCATAAATACCCAGTCTCGGGTAGTTCTTTATATCAATGTGAGAACGGACTGATACATTGTGTATGTGGTTCAAATTGGCTATATGGCTATAGGGAAAAATAATTCTTCGTCCTTACATTACTAAGGGCTGATTATAATATGAAAACTGGGAGATAAAGCAGAACAGATGTGTGGCTAATAACCTGATATGAAGGATAACACATGTAGGAAAACAATAGTAAAAGACAGTTGCATGTAAATGCAGAAGGAGAGGTAGATTTAGAACAGAGGCAGTGATCATCGTGTCTGGGGTATATGGAGGAAAGCTTTGTGGTAAACTTGTCATTTGAGAAGGGACTTAAGGAGATAGATAGGTAGTTGGGGATAGCAGACAATGCTGAGCAGGCACTTAAGTATCCTCCCAACACCTGCCCAATATCCAAAATCCAGGAAGGGAACTGGGCCTTCTGTATCCCACTCACCGGGCCTTGGCCAACTCTTTGAGCTTCTCCCAGTGTTCAACAAACTGAGCCAGCCGCAACTGGATCTCCTCTTGCCCCACAGCAGCCTTGTCTTTCAGCTTCTCTGCCATATCCAGCACATTCTGAAGAACAACCCCGATACATGTTCCATTACCCCACAATCTCTCCCCATTTAGCCATAGTCCCTGAGCAAAGTATCTAGCCCATCCTACCCTCCAGATTATTTATAAACTCCACGGGACTTTGTGAGGGTCCTGAAAGTCCAGGGAGAATGATGAAAGCTGCAAGAAGATTTGCTATGCTAAACTTTCCCAAGTATTTGCAAATATATCAGTACTTGCACTAGTCTACTCTCCCTAATCTGCTTTTTCGTCTATTCATGGTCACAGAGTGACCCTGCTGCCAAGTCAGACCCAGAGTTGCCTTCTTCCCAGATGGCTCAAGTACAGTTTTCCCAGATGTCCCAACCTGCATCCCAATTGTCAATCATTCCCCAGGAGTGTTAAGAGTGCTCCTTCCAGGGAAGAGCATGGGTTCTTGTTCAGAACTCTTCTACTTATAGGAGACTAAATGTGGAAGAGAAAAGAATATTTGTAAACTCTTTGACTAACTCTCTCTGACCTTGACATCCTATTTTCACGTTTTGTAGCACCCTCTTATTTATCTGTAACACAAGGGGTTGCTATAGGATGATTTCTATATTTTCAGATCTGGTATTCTATTCCTACCTGGATGGCAGGCTCATGGGCCACCAGCTCCCCCTCTAGGCGTTTGTGCTTCTTCAGCAAGTTCTGAACCCCCTGAAGATCTCTCCCATAGTCCTGGGAGCTCACTCGTATCAACTTCTCCCTAAAATCAAGGAAGAAAACAGAAAGTTTGGAGTCTAGACATCTAATGTCATCCTACAGCAATAGCTTTCTATGACTATGTGTGTGGCTGGTGGTGAGGGAGGTGGTTGTAAATTCTGTAATACCCTGGTGCCAATGACCAAAAATATAATTAGTGGAAGAGGCTTGCAGCAAAACTTCTGACTGAGCCAATACAAATTAAAGTAACATACTGATCTCCACCATAGTCACAACTGTAACAGCCTTTCCATTAGTCCCTTTGCTTCTCCACTTGTATATCTTCTCTTTTTTGCTCAAGAATACACACTAATGTTTCCTATTTCAAAAAAATGTGAAAATTATATATGACCTCCACAGGTTTTGTTATTTTCATTTATTAATGTCAATAATAAATTCAGCTAGAATGGGTATAAAGAGCTGATTTCATAGGAGTCATGGCAGTTGGGATGCTTCCAAGTGCAAAAGGTTTGAGCATCACCACGAAGTACAGTCGAAGACTACATGGACAAGATTATTCTATCTTATGGTCTTATCCAAAAAGGTTTTTAAAACATGTTATTTGTTGCCCTGTGCATGGTGCTTCCCTCTAATTTATTGATTACTCATAATAATCAAGCAGCTTTGTAGAAGAGAAGCGTGATGAGGCAGGTTAAATGGGAAGTAGGCAAAATAGTGTAATGTGCTAAGATTTTCCAAATCATATTTTACAACAAAAATGGAATGAGTAATGAAACCTTGGTAGATACTTTGTAATATTCTCTATTGAGTGTCCAATTCAGTGTCATATAAGATATACTGGATATAGAATGACAAGGTTCTGACCAGCTGTGTAACCAAAAATGGAATGAGTAATGAAACCTTGGTAGATACTTTGTAATATTCTCTATTGAGTGTCCAATTCAGTGTCATATAAGATATACTGGATATAGAATGACAAGGTTCTGATCAGCTGTGTAAATGTCCAGGTGTCTCTGTGAGTATTGCATATTATTCAATGAACTACAGAGCAAATGCAGATGGCTTCTTAGTTTTGTTCCTGTCATGTATGTTAACTGCTCTTCACTTCCTCCACACCTGTCTTTCTCTGGCTTGCATCCAGTAAGGGAATTTGGGAAAAATAAAACCAATGTTAACCTTAAGCTGAGGCAAACATGAAGTAGTGCTATCTTCAAGAAACAAGTACAAATTTCATTTCAGCATAAATTGGAACAAGTTTGGTGGATTATCTACTCGCTTGTATTATCCACACATTTTTGAGCTGGTGGCACATACTCTATCCAGGATTCCTCATCATCTAGATCCTGGAAGAACTGGAACAAGGCATAGGCCTCTTTCAATTTTTCGTGGTGTGCAGCTGCCAATTCTTGGACATTCAGGAAACGCTTGTTGACATTATCTTTTTTCTTCACAATCTGATCAACGTTGAAAGTCCCGCTGGAGAGCAAATCTTCAGCCAATGTATTCAGGTCCTTGAGTGCATCCTAGAAAGTCTCGGGATACTCAGTGAATAGTATAGTATAGGCATTACTCAGATCCCACACTTTAACAACAGCTGGTCTGGCTCAAAGACTGGGCCAAATGGATTGCTTTTAAAGACATGGAGTTTGATTATGTGTTATACATGTTAGCATATGTTCAGGTTGGAGAAGGGCCATATGTGGGAGCGATAGAGGTAGCATGACTACATTACTCAAACTGTACATTTAGCCTGTGTCCTGTTTCTCCTTCTGATATTTTCAGTATTTGCCTTCTCTCCCCAACTAAAAAAGAAAACCAGCAAGGTGCGGTGGCTCATGCCTGTAATCCCAGCACTTTGAGAGGCCAAGGCGGTTGGATCAAGAAGTCAGGAGTTCAAGACCACTGTGGCCAACATGGTGAAACCCTGTCTGTACTAAAAACACAAAAATTAGCCGGGCATGCTGGCGTGTGCCTGTAATCTCAGCTACTTGGGAGGCTGAGGCAGGAGAATTGCTTGAGCTGGTACCAAAAAAAAAAAAAAAAAAAAAGGAAAATCTTGGCGGGCAATCATTCGTTCCCATACAAGACTGTCTTATACTGACTTTGATAGCCACAGATTGATTGATTTGACAGTACCAACTTTGGCAGCCACAGATTGATTGATTCAATATTCAACAAGAACTACTCTATGGGCAACATTCTTAGCTGCCCATTGAACACATCTATCTCTTCTGTGTCTACTCCTATTCTAACCCAGCCCCTTAGTGATGTCACAGGAAACATCACCAAGTCCCAAGGCCTTTGACTTCCTGCCTTTTCTGTGTGTATCTGTATTATCAAGTAAAATGATAATTATAAAATTCTTTAGTATAAAATTAACAACTGTCAGCATTTTTATCACTGCTCTCAGCACAAATTTTTGGTTGCTATTAGGATGCAACCAGAATCCTTGACAGGATTTCCAGAGTGTTTGTGTAGTTCATCTTCATTTCACATGCCCCCATCTGATTTTTTGTTTGTAATTCTATAAAGTAAACTTCCACTTTCTTTCAAATACCAGATCAAATATATAGCTTAAAGACAATTGGCTTATATGTATGCATCAGTAAAAGATAAAAAAGATAGTTTCCCAGGTCCACTTTCTGGAATCTTAAAGTCTATAGTTTAGGGATAATTGATTATCAGTGACAGTTTTAATGTCTTCACAGCCCGTTAATTTTACCTAATTAAAATGACTGCTGGTTGAGAACACTAAGAACAATTTTGCAAGGCTATGTTTTCAAATGGTCTCCTAACATGGGAGGGAGAAGAGCCAGAAATATTTCTATTCTGCCCAGAGGAGAGGGATGCCAACACTACTTACCTCTCGAGCCAACATCTCTCTCTCCAATAGCTGATGCTTCTTGAGTAGGTTTCCTGCTGAAGCCAAGTCCCTGGCCTGATCTTTCATGGCCAGCAATGTCTCTGCCTGGAAATAGAGAAATAAGCAATAAAGCTGCCAGGTGAAACTGCCTTTAAGGAGAATAAGATCAGCAGCTATGTCCCCAAACTTTTCCCAGGAAAATTCAAGGAAATTGCCCATGGGTAAATTCATTTGTCTGACAAGTATGTATTAAACTCTTGTGTCTCTACTGTTTCCGGGTGCAATTACCTCTGAGAGCCAGAACTCAAAGTCCCGGATGCTTGTGTTGAACCTCTGTTGACGACTGGCCTCATTGAGCTTCTTCCCTTTGTCATTTGTTCTCTCAAGCAGATGATCCCAATGTTCCTTCAGCTGTTCCAGTTGCTCCTAACCCAAGGAGAGTGAGGAGTCATTACAATCTTTAGGATCCCGGGCCCTGTGACTACTTGAGAGAATAATGTAGGAAGGCTGTGAAGGCAGGAACTAGCCAAAATTTGCTGATACTTGAATATCATACATTTCAAACCAGTTATACTTAATCTGGGAAAACAATAGGAGTTGTTGGACAAAAGAGAAAGTTTAAAAAAGGGTCCTGTGTTGAGTAAAGAGACTGACATACAAATGCCAAAAAACTATTGGCAGAAGGGATAGAAAATGTAAAACAAGCATGATAAGAGTTTGGAATTAAGCCGAAGCTTTCTTAGTGTTCCAGGTACTGAGTATGATGGGAGTGATAAGGTCTGGGCATCACTCCTTTTCTCCTTCTTTGTGCAACAATCAGAGGGAAGACTGTTTTTCTGTGATATGGTCACAGAACATATTTTATATTTCTACTCATGGAACATTAAAGTCTCAGGATACAAAATCAATGTGTAAAAATCACAAGCATTCTTATACACCAATAACAGACAAACAGAGAGCCAAATCATGAGTGAACTCCCATTCACAATTGCTTCAAAGAGAATAAAATACCTAGGAATCCACCTTACAAGGGATGTGAAGGACCTCTTCAAGGAGAACTACAAACCACTGCTCAATGAAATAAAAGAGGATACAAACAAATGGAAGAATATTCCATGCTCATGGGTAGGAAGAATCAATGGCCATACTGCCCAAGGTAATTTATAGATTCAAGGCCATTCCCATCAAGCTACCAATGACTTTCTTCACAGAATTGGAAAAAACTACTTTAAAGTTCATATGGAACCAAAAAAGAGCCTACATTGCCAAGTCAATCCTAAGGCAAAAGAACAAAGCTGGAGGCATCACGCTACCTGACTTCAAACTATACTACAAGGCTACAGTAACCAAAACAGCATGGTACTGGTACCAAAACAGAGATATAGACCAACGGAACAGAACAGAGCCCTCAGAAATAATGCTGCTTATCTACAACCATCTGATCTTTGACAAACCTGAGAAAAACAAGCAATGGGGAAAGGATTCCCTATTTAATAAATGGTGCTGGGAAAACTGGCTAGACATATGTAGAAAGCTGAAACTGGATCCTTTCCTTAAACCTTATACAAAAATTAATTCAAGATGGATTAAAGACTTAAATGTTAGACCTAAAACCATAAAAACCCTAGAAGAAAACCTAGGCAATACCATTCAGGACATAGGCATGGGCAAGGACTTCATGTCTAAAACACCAAAAGCAATGGCAACAAAAGCCAAAATTGACAAATGGGATCTAATTAAACTAAAGAGCTTCTGCACAGCAAAAGAAACTACCATCAGAGTGAAGAGGCAACCTACAGAATGGGAGAAAATGTTTGCAATCCACTCATCTGACAAAGGGCTAATATCCAGAATCTACAATGAACTCCAACACATTTACAAGAAAAAAACAAACAACCCCATCAACAAGTAGGTGAAGGATATGAATAGACACTTCTCAAAAGAAGACATTTATGCAGCCAAAAGACACATGAAAAAATGCTCATCATCACTGGTCATCAGAGAAATGCAAATCAAAACCACAATGAGATACCATCTCACACCAGTTAGAATGGTGATCATTAAAAAGTCAGGAAACAACAGGTGCTGGAGAGGATGTGGAGAAATAGGAACACTTTTACACTGCTGGTGGGACTGTAAACTGGTTCAACCATTGGGGAAGACAGTGTGGCAATTCCTCAGGGATCCAGAACTAGAAACACCATTTGACCCAGCCTTCCCATTTCTGGGTATATACCCAAAGGATTATAAATCATGCTGCTATAAAGACACATGCACACATATGTTTATTGCGGCACTATTCACAATAGCAAAGATTTGGAACCAACCCAAATGTCCCACAATGGTAGACTGGATTAAGAAAATGTGGCACATATACACCATGGAATTCTATACAGCCATAAAAATGATGAGTTCATGTCCTTTGTAGGGACATGGATGAAACTGGAAACCATCATTCTCAGCAAAGTATCACAAGGACAAAAAACCAAACACCGCATGTTTTCACTCATAGGTGGGAACTGAACAATGAGAACACATGGACACAGGAATGGGAACATCACACACCAGGGACTGTTGTGGGGTGGGGGGAGGAGGGAGGGATAGCATTAGGAGATATACCTAATGCTAAATGACAAGTTAATGGGTGCAGCACACCAACATGGCACATGTATACATATGTAACAAACCTGCACATTGTGCACATGTACCCTAAAACTTAAAGTATAATAATAATAAAATTAAAAAAAATACAATAAATTAAAAAAAAAGAAAGAGTAAATGATTCCTCTTCATGTGACTTTGTAGCCCAAAACTCATCCTGAGCTTTACCTTCATGGCCTCTTCATTGCCATCACAAGCGCTACACTCAATCAGGGAGTTCCCCAGGTTGATGACGCCATGCACCTGCTCAGATCGGCCATCGACTTCATGTGCAAAGGTCTGGTGTTTCAGGTATTTCCTCTGAAGGGAAAATGAAACAGAAATTATATTATCTTTTTATTTATGGTGACAAGATAAGGTAAATTGTATTTAAAAGGAAGGGCTAATATTTCTATCATAACTGAGGTGACGGTGACTTCTGAAGAACCTGCTCCACATCAGACTCTGAAGTCTCTGAGAGCAGGCATGGTAGCCTCAACAGTCAGAAAGTGTTAAAGTATCAAGGGTGATGACTATCCAACCAACAAGCTCGGAATGGTGAAATTTTCCAAGATTCCTATTTTGAACTTGCCTGAATGTTAGTGGCGTCTTTGTAGGATTCATCACAGGCTGTGGGCAGCATCTCACTGATCCATTCTTCCAGCTCCTCAAGGTCTCGGTAGAATTGTTTTAGGTTGGCATAGTCTCCAAGCTTTGTCCGCTCATCAATCAGTTGTGCTTTGAGAGCCTTCCACCTAGAGGACGGAGCCAAATCACTCTATGCCCTCCTCCACCCTTCCCATGCTCTGATGCCATATCCATAAATCTTCCCATTTGCCAACATGCCTCTTTTCTTCTCACATAGTCTTATTATTTTCATTATAAAATGCAGTGCTAAAGCCAGTTAATTTCTAAGGTATCTTTCATCTTTCATGTCTTTCATTCTATAAATCTAAGTCAGAAAGTCTGCATAGGTGTCAAGATAGTTTTAGTCACCTAGAAATGACAGGAAGCCAGAGTATTCCCCCATCTCAATGCTAGCAAAAAGGTCAGTTTGCTATATCTTCCTTTGGCACATAAAACAATCACTCAGGCCTGACCTGTCTAGTACACGTTGGAGCCGCGTAGCAATCTCTTCTTTGGCATAGTGTTCATCAGCAATGAGGCTCTCAGCAAAATGTTCTAGGTCAGTGATCTTCCCTTCCTAAATAAAGGAAAAGGAAAGAGCCCAGATGCTTGGAGATTAGGCTCTTGGTGCAATCCCAGACTCCCTCCTAGAAAAGAATGAAGGTATCCTTTGTGGATTCAGAAGATATACTCAGGGTCAAATAATATATGCCTTACAGGGAGGTGGGTTTCAACTTAATAGGAGGAGAAACATCTAATAATGGGCTACTTGTGTGGTACAGAGTTCCCTAAAGAACAGACACTTCTCATGACCATTGTAGAGGGTGAATCCTTTATTGAGTGAGATGATGAAATGACTATTTAATCAATCCTAAAAGTCAGAGTTTAGAATGCTGGATTTAAAGTAAGAGAGTCTGCTTGCTGCCTGTGACTTGGGTGAAACAATGTCAAGTGTCAAGCTGCCCTGCCTGCCTCAGTTTTTCTGTAAGAAGCAAACAAGAATCAGGGCTGGGCACGGTGGCTCACTCCTATAATCTCAGCACTTTGGGAGGCCGAGGTAGGTAGATCACTTGAGGTCAGGAGTTCGAGACCAGCCTGGCTAACATGGTGAAATCCTGTTTCTGCTAAAAGTACAAAAATTAGCTGGGCATGGTGGTGGGTGTCTGTAATCCCAGCTACTCAGGAGGCTGAGGTAGGAGAATCACTTGAACCCGGGAGGCAGAGGTTGCAGTCAGCCGAGATCACACCACTGCACTCCAGCCTGGGTGACAGAATGAGACTCCATCTCAAAAAAAAAAAAAGTAAATCAAAATGTTTATAAATTATAAAACCAGACAAATGTGTAGGATTTCTGTTATTATTACTACGGATTATTATTTTAATTCCTTTACTAGTCATTATTACCTGGGCAGTGATTGCTTTGTCCAAATCGTCCCGTTTCTTCATCAAAGCCTCCAGACTGTCTAAGGAACTTTTGTCATCTGACCTCAGGGAATTCTCACGTGCCACCATCCAGCTCTCAACTTGATCACAGTTCCCCTGGAACATCTATGAGGAATCAAATGAGAGGGGTATGGTATAGTCCATGTGGTGTGGAGGAAATGATGTTACACCTCTTTCAGGATCATGACACAAAGGGTTTTGCAAGGAGTACTTACCATCTTCCAAGAAACACTCATGTGACAAATCTTAGCTGTACTGGAACTTTTCCTCTTTTCCAAACATACACTTTATGTTTCTGTATATGCTACCTCCAATTCCTGGGGTGCTATTTCCTATTTCTTAAACCTTGTTAATACTGGCTGGTCATTTCCTTAAGACTTTGTGAAACGTTATCCTTCAGGGTAGCCTGTGACACAACCACTTACTTCCCCCAAAAGCTTTAATCACTTCTTGTTTTTTAGCCTCAAAGCACTCGTACATTTTGGTTTATTAATAATCATCTCACTGTACTAGTAAAATTTATCTATATGTCTAATTTCACTATTTAAGAAATGGGAAACTATCTTACTAATCTTTGTGGCACTCCGAGCCTCCACAGAGTAGAGTCTCAACAAAAATCAGCCAATCAATTCCTCAGTCAATCAACAAATGATAGTCAACCCACCTCATGCTCAGGACTGATCACCATCTTGTTTGGCTCTTCTAACAAGAAAGAGCAGAGAATATGACAATGATCGGTATAGAAAGCATAGTACAATGCTAGGTAATTAAGAGATGAGCTCCCTTTGTGTTTATAACGTGGAAAGTCTAGTGAACGGAGCCTGTAATGACCATATGAAATTGCATAGGAGAAACAGACTACTGAACCTGCTTAACAATTGGGAAATTTGCTGTACCTGCAACTCCAGGCACTGGTCTAGGATCTTCTTGCGTTTTTCCCAAGCCTTCTCCAAATCATCTCTCTCTAGCTTGACAGCTTGAAGCTTTTTTTCAATTTCAGGGCTAGCATGGTGCCCACTGTCGATAAGTTCTGCACTGAAGTCCTCTAAGGCCTGGAAGGTGGGAGCCTCTGCCTCCATGTCAGCACGGTGCTCCTGTGGGAAAAAGGGGGAAGAAATCAGTGAGGCCAACTCCATTGGAAATTTTAAAATTAGTAGAGGTTTCAGGTCAAGTGATCAGTGGCTGTGACTTTTGTAGTTTTACCTGATGTCTCTCCAGCAAGATCTCTATGCCAGTTAAGTCTTCGGCCAGCTCCTGTGATGATACCATGCCACCAATGCTACTGATCCAGTTCTGCAGATCCCTAGATAAACAGACACATTGGAATTGACAAGAAAACCTTGCAACTTGCTACAGTGCTGTTTGTCCTACAGTTTTCCATTCTCTAGAAAACATTTCCAGAATAACATTTTTTATCTGGCTTTATATGCTTTACAGATCTTACGTTTGCTGTTTTTATTATATCACCTAATGATAACAATCCCTTGTATTTGAAAGCCTCTTCACTTTTATTATCTTTTTCAATTCTTGCAGTAATCCTGCAGAGATTCCGGGAATTTTTTGTTTTCATTATGGAGATAAAGAAGTCACCTTAGAAAAGGTAATTAATCTGCCTATGTGGTATAACTAAAAGCAGACATCTTCAATAAAACCTAGACCTCTGGAATCCTGGACTGTTATATATTTCATTACTTCTGTTGGTTACTGTTCCTTTTAAGTGGTTTCTAGGGTTTGAAGATACATCTTATTACAGAGTCTCAAAGAAATCATGTCTTTCCTCTTACTTTTATTCTCAAGTGAATCTAGCACATATTTTGGCCAACATACACATACACACACAGGCCTCCACACTGTTGATTAAATCAAGGTCTATTTCCCTACCCTTTTAGTAGTCAGGAAGTTAGACGAGCAAAACTAAGGTCTATCTTCTTAAAAGGCAAATTTTAACTATGCATTAACTTTAAAGCATATATGGTGTATAAATTAAGCATCTCATAAAGAATGTCATTACTCTTGTTTGCTCAACAGGAACCCTTAGCTCTAGGAAAGAGAGGTCTCTTCTTTTGTAAATTTATTTATTCAAGCAACTAAGTTTTATTGGGTGCTTACTAAGTACCAAACATTGTGAAAAAGGCATATCTGTGCCTTCTAGGAACTCATACTTTAGGTTAAGAATGGATAAAAACAAAACAAAACAAAACAAAAAACAAACAAAAAACAGAGCATAGGCACTAATAGCAATTAAAAAACAAAACTGAAAGCAAAAGTATCATATGGAGTAAAATAAGATGTTAATGTTGCTCAGGGGTGGGAACACTACTCTGAAATACTGAGGAGTACAGCTTCATAAAGGGAAGGAAGCACCATTGGAATGGGTGTGGGTGCTATTTATTTAAACTGTGTCAAAAACTATAGCTTTCCAGTGCTGAACTGGGGAGGGGATTTCCAAGAGGAACTACAGTCATTTGCCAAAATTTGCCTCCTTTTTTCTTGAAAAGCATTGCATTGAGAGCTACAACTTCCTGGACCCTCTACTCTAATGCTCCTCTCAGCTGACTGATGCGATAGAGCCAAACGTGGGAACTGTTCCACAAAGTATATGTTTGAGAGGTGAATTTTGGATTGTGATAATGTCTAGACTTTAGTAAGATATTCACAGTTCTCTGGAATTTGGTCCCAATATTATTTTTAAGTTTATCTCTTACTACTTCTCCTTACCACCCCCTCCCCAAACATGTTCTTATGCTTATTCTTTTCTCATGATTATGTCTTTTTTTGCACAGTTCAGTCTACATGAATTGTTTTCTCTTCTGTTAAAAGTTTGACTGATAAGGTGTAATAAAATGTTACTTTATCTACAGTGCATCATCTATTCTACCCAACTCTGAATTCCCACTGCTGTTTGTTACAATGTGTGTTTTCGGCCTCATTATGTTCTACCATAGTTATTTGTATTCAACAGAATACTGAATACAGTAGAAGACTGAATACTACTGTCTCTTCAGTAGAACAAAAAAGCTTCTACATTATAGAAGCTTACTTAATTGGCCTACATGGCTTCATATTCTTTCAAACTTTGTATTTTATTGCTTCTAGTTTCAAACCTGAAATTTTTTATGCCTTGCAAGAGGTGAGACTTAAACGTAGTGATGCCCTCCAAAACCAGCAGTGAACAGCATCTGTACCCAGACTGCTCCCAGACAGTCTACTTAGAGGCCAGACACGGAAGTTACCCACCCCACTCTACCTGGCCTTGCTGAGGAACAGGTAGAATTTCTGGGCCTCATTTAGGCTCTCCTTACGATCCTTTGTACGCCCCTGCAGGTCTTCCCAGGCCTCATTCAGCTCCATTTTCTGTCTCTGCAGGTCCTCAGTGGCATCTGGATGGGACTCACTGAGCCGCTCTGCTGTCTCCCCCAGTATGGTCACCTGGGGAGGTACAATAGCTCTGATAATCAGCCTAGAGACACACCTGAATCTTAGCAAAAGGAGAATCCTGAGTCCCAGTATTCAGCTCCTCAAATAGATATCAGTGATGTACAAGTATGTCATCATACTTTACAAAATAATATCAACCTTTTAGTCCACATAACTCCCTAAGGTAGTTACAATTGGCATTACCATACTTCTTTTTAAAAATAAGAGAGTTGTGGGGAAGAGTGGTTAAGTGACTCTGCTGGTTAGTGGCAACCTCAATTAGGAAACCCAAGGGTCTTGATTCTTCATGTGAGGAGCTTCTTTTTGCTCTGCATGATAATGCCAAGCCTCTGAGTATATCTGACAAGCTCCAGAGTACACTTTTGGGTTGAAACAGAGTTAAACAACTCATTCAATTCCTTGCTAAGAAAAACATGCACCATACTCAGATATTGGCCTGATCATCCTGGGTATGGACATTTGCTATTTCTTCTGGGCTACTGGCCTCCACCTAGCTGCCACAAGATCTGGTCACTTGTAACCCACCAAAGAGGCAAGGGGATATAGGGTGCTCACTCAGACAGCAGGAGTTTAACAAGTTTTTTCCCCATGTTAATGGTCATGGGGCATATCCTTTTCATGGTCTTGCCTTAGGGACAGTGTACAAGAATAAATATGGCACAGAACAGAGAGAAATATAAGAATAAAAGACTGAAAAAGAGAACCAAAGAAGAGGGCATTGGTATACGGCTAAATATAGACTGGAAAGTGTTGGAAAAGCTTTGAAGGACTTGTCTCACCTTATCTCCCAGGGGTACGAGGTCCCTTTCAAAGCCCTCATGCCGTCGCTGAAGAGCCTGAACACTGAACAGATCTGAGCCAGGGTCTGCAGCACTGAGGGCCTGGCATTTCTTCTCAATCTGCTCCTTCGTGTCATCTGCTTCTCTGGTATACAAGAGAGTAGAGAGTTCAAAAGTAAGGATATGTACCAGAGGCAGGCTAGTGGGGGTCACAAGAAAGTTATCATCACTACCACTCACCATCCTCCCACCCACCCCCCCACCCCAACCAATTATCATCATTGTTTTTTATGTGCTAGAAACTTAGGCTCATTTAATCTTCACAACTCCAAGAAGCATAGTTACTATTACTATTCCCATTAAATAGATCAGAAAACTGAGGACTAAAGAGGGTAAGTATTTTCTCAAGATTATACCACTGCTGAATGGTGGAGCCTAAGCTTGAACCAGGCCATCTGACAGCAGTCACATGCTTAACCATCATATTTCCATAGCTTTCTATCTTAAGCATTCTACACACACAGACCTGTCTGAGTCTGTTTTTCCTTCCCTGCATCATCAAAAATACATTTATACACAATGAAGGTGTTTAGTTTCTGTTTTGTTTGTTTACTTTTTTGTATGTGTCTTTGTGTTTCTTAGTTTGAAAATCAAACAAGAAAAATGTTGAATGAGCTGATAGTCAATGTGATGTCTGTTGCCCTCTACTGTCAGCTTCTAGTTGAGAAATGTAATTACTTAAACCTCCTGTTTCAACTTCAAGTTTCTTTCTTTCTGTTTTGATTTTGAAGATAAGGGTCTCACTCTGTTGCAATAGGCTGGAGTGCAATGGCTTGATCAAGGCTCACTGTAGCCTCAGCCTCCTGGCTCAAGTGATCCTCCCAGCTCAACCTCCCAAGTAGTTGGGACCATAGGCCTGTGCCACCACACTGGGCTAATTTTTCATTTTTTATTTTTTTGTGGAGACAATGTCTTGCTTTGTTGCCCAGGTTGGTCTACAACTCTCGGCCTAAAGCAATCCTCCTGCCTCGGCCACCCAAAGTGCTGGGATTACAGCTGTGAGCCACTGCCCTCAGCCTAAGTGTTATTCATTTTCATGGAAACATATATAGACTACTAATTATGTTCCAAGGCCCAAGCCTAGGCTTTAGAAAATTGAAGCTAGTTGTCTGGGAGTATCCTGTTTGTGAAGTGAGAATCATACTACTAAAAAACCTAATTTTCTATTGGCACATTGTCTCCATCTCACGAAAAAAGATTATACTATGGTTCCACCATAGTAATAGACTTAGAAGTTTAGTGAGTGGGTTTTAAAGCAGCACTGCTTTTTAGAGTTATAATTATTACCTGTGAAACACTTCAACAGCATGGGCACTGCCCAGCAGCTGCCGCTGTTCATCTGCAAGCCTCTGCAAAGAACCCCAGCGGGAATTCAATTCCTAAAAGAGGCAAAAACATCAGACTTGAGACAGAGAACTAACTCACATGGCTCAGTGGCGTCTGAAGACCAGACAAGATTTAAAACATAGTTGTTTTTACGTTATTTTCTTCAGAAATTGCATAGCTTTGCTTCTTTCTTGGACAGCTTGAGCTTGGGCCTCATTTTTGCCAGTGCAGCAGAGAAAGTGATTTCTTCCCAAACTGATGTTAAAGGGTGAAACCATCAACTCCGGAGCAGTAAATAAGTGCTTGCTATTACAAAGACTGCACTGTAAACTCCAAAAAATGAATGGGAAGTGTTGCCTTGGTAGTTAGAAGTGATCACATTTCTCTAAGACAAACAATTCTGTATTCTGAATTGAATAAACCAGGTAGACTTTTAAAGCCCTACTTTCTATAGGGGGTAAGTACATTGTTCCGCTTCGTATTTCTTCACCTTCTTATCCCATAACAACCACTATAAAAACAGGCAGAAAACTCATCCTCACTGACTATGGCATTCCAGAGAACTAGACTGAACATTTATTAATGTTCATTAGATCTTTTATGGAATCATAGATCCAGATCTGAATCAGGTCAAGAATGGCCTCTCCTCTGTCTCTACTGACCTATATTCTCCTTCTTCAGCACGTTGATCAGAATCTGTGTCTTCCAGTAAACTTTCTTGATCAACCTCTTCCCACTATCATAGCTTCTTTATCTGCATTGTCTTTGAATTCATGTAATTGAGAATTTCTTCTGTGTGTGACAGTGAAAGAGAGGTGAGTATGTGTTGTAATTTAAGAATTTTAGATCAGTTCAAATGTATATATTCCAAAATTGCAGTTCAAATTCAATTATATTATTGGGTGGACATGTAAGGAAAAAACTTTACGTTTAATTTGGTGTAGCCTGGTACAGAAGATTAAGAGGAGGTTTGGATATTGTAATTTGGATATTGTGCTATCCAATATTTGCTTTCAGATATAGAAACTGAGGTTTTTAGAAATGAAGAGACTTGTCTGAGGACACACAGTCAGACAAGAATACAGCTATGATGTAAATCTAATTTACCTAATGTCCAGTGTAATATTATCTAAACCTCCTAATCCTGCCTTTTAAAGCTACATCTTAATTTCTGCTACCAATACTTTTGTCTCCTTTCCCACCCCATCCATGAAATGACATATGTGAGGGCATGGAGGACACTCAATATATGTTAACAAATGAGCCTGCTTTAATTAAGTTAATTTAGACAACAAAAATACAGGGACTATTTGGGCTATTGTCTTTGGCCTTTCCTGTAGCTAATTCCATACTGCTGTTACCTTCTGCATGTTCTAGTGGGTCTGCAGAATATAAAGTTCCATGTTGAAGTGAAATGAGGACTCCCAAAGCCCAACCTGGTAGTGAGGAGGAATGGAGGGAGCCTTAGTTACCTGCCGGATTTGAGCTCCTTCTGGTGTTAGAAGTCCTTCAAATAGTAGATCATCAGCTACCTTGTTGATATCCCTTAGCCGAGGCTCATTGGTATTCAAATCCTGAATGGGAAAATTCATCCAAAGCAGTGTAAATTCATCCAAAGCAGTGTAAATCCCCTCATCAAGAATCTACCATACTTACCTGTCCATCTCTGCCCCTACATCACCGTAATACACACCAAGCTCCTCTCCTCCAATCCACCACTGAGAAGAGTATCCTTAAAGATCTTGACACCTAGTGGCTGTCCAAAACTTGTCAAGATAACTATTATTTATCTGTAGTATGAAGCACAGCCATTTTTCTAGATTTCTTAAAATCTCCCCTGGATTAAATTATACCATTAGAGGGATTGATACCTGAGCTGTGTAACATCCTTTTCTACCAGTACAAACTCCAGCTTTAAAGATTTCTTTAACTGAGTTATTATCTGCCTATATTATGAGATATTGTAAGAAACAGCTCTAGGGAGTGCTCTCTCTCTCTCTCTCTCTCTCTCTCTCTGTGTGTGTGTGTGCGCGTGTGTGTGTGTTAAATCCCACGTGGAAGATATCAAAAGAAAAAGAAAAGAAGGAATGTACACTCACTGCTAGTTAAGATAATGGAAAAAAATCTAAGGGAAGAAAGAATATTGAAAGGGTTTTAGGTAGGCAAAAAATTAGAAATTGTTTGTCAAGTCAGGTTCTTCCTTCTTCCACCCCAAACTCTGCCCCATAATTAAACTTTACACATGGTACAACAATACCTTATCCCAACCTGGGCACTGGAAACAAAGTATAGTATAGGGCAAGTTGTGAAGAATTCAGGAAGACCAGCACTCCAGGGAGGATTTTGGAGTGGCAGGCACTGAAGGCTGCAGTTAGGGTAACTAGTTTTCTCTGCATTTCCCTTCCAATTATTAGCAACTACAATACCTAGAGGGAGATCTCAGCCACAGAGTTGCCAATAGCTTTGGGGAGAATATTTAACAAGTGTGAAATAAATTAAAAGATCATGTAGAATATGCTGAGGGATAAAAGCAAACAATGGCAACCTTCAAGAGAAGGTTCCTCTTTCTCACCTTTTGGAACTCATCAAACTTTTTCTGCAGCTCCCAAACATCATCTAGTTCCACTCCAGTGTTTTCTGCCTTTTTCTCTTGAATCCATTCCAGCATGTCTCCTGCCTCATAGGCCAATAAAAATTCATTATAACGTTGCAATAGACGACGTCTGCGTTCTTCTGCCCGATCCAAGAGGGAGCGGTATCTGGATGGAGAATTGGGAAAAGTGGAATAAAAGAAGGAGAAAATACAGAAGAGTAGAGGCTGAGTGACAAACATAGAGAAAGAAGGAACAAAAATGAAAGGGAAAACAAATCAAAAGCAAAAGAATAGTAGAAGAGAGGAGGAAATAAACTTAGAAGGAAAACAGCCTTGGGGGCAAAAAGATAAACACATAGGATTGCATTTAAAAATAGTAAAAATGCCAGTGACCCAATAGTATGACTGGCAACATTCCTTTCCCATTTCATAAAAGTGACATTTTTACATGGTAACTGACAATTGGATATGAAAAGCCTGGCATAGTAAACAAAGTTCATATAGATGTCAGGAGACTTTAATAACCTTGAAAGAATGTGGGGCAGGGAATCAGAAGAGCTCTGTGAAGTGTATGACCTCAGGAAATTGATGGAATGATTCTGGGGTTGCCTTTCCTCAAAAAGAAACCGAAACATTTAAAAGATTCTAGGTTTACTTTCGATTCTTAAAATCTTCAGATTTTCTGTGGCATCTCAAATCTAACAGATGCAGGGTCATGAGAAGAAATGCCTTTGGCGAAAAATGTCTGACCAAATACTGTTCAGTTCTCCAGGCTCCAGAACTTACTGGTTCTCAATCTGCTCCTGGCGCTGGGTGATGTTTCCTGGCTCTTCTCGTCGCCGCTGTGGGAGCATCGGGAACTCATCGTGGGCCAGTCTTCTGACATAGACAGCTGGGACAATGCCCTGATGATCAGCAGCTTCCACCTTCCACCAGTCCTGAAGGGAGAGCAGATCCCCACTCCGTCATTAATTCTTGGAAAAGCAACAAACGGGAGAGACTTCAACACTAAGTCTCTTGGCCCAGGCACAGGTTAATGGCAAAGATAAGCTAACCATGTCTAATGAGTGGCACATAATTTTCATATATGACCAAGAAATGAAATGAAGAATTGCATAGACAAGCCCCTGAAATCAAGTAATCTGATACCTAATGTTAGACCCTTAACTTTGGAGAGATTTTCAAACACCCAAGACAGCTCTTTTAATGATGGGGCACTTTGTTCATGAGGAATTTACAAAAAACACATGGAGCCAGGCTCTAGCTGGATTTCTTGGCAGTGGAGCGTCTGTGTAAGAGGATATTGCACAAAAATTCTTCTCTTCTATTCTTCTTGCAGAGGTCTGAAAAATGTGAATTGCTCTGACATTCATATACCTGAGTGTTACTTTATTTTTTATTTTTGAACTGTTGCCACATCTACCAAAACCCTGAGGCTAATTTCCTCAAAAAATAATGAAGAGGCCTAGACAAAGAAAAAATGGACTGGCACACATTATTTGATAATGAAACATCTGCCGCTCCAAACATTTACTTGTCTTTGGAATAACTATAGCCCAAACTATTTTCTTTTCTTCTTAAGAATTTTTGTAGATTAATTAGGTATCAGAGTATAAAAAATTACTTCAGTTTTTATGAAAAATATATTTAAAAATCTCAACCAATATTTTATCACTGTTCTTCCAGGCACAAGATCTAAAGAAAATCAAGTTGACAAAAGACTCATCTTTTGGTAGGCTCCTTCTAACCCCAGACATTGTTATTTTATCACTAGAAATACTGGCACAGAAGAGGAACAAGCAAAGAGGAAGAAAGAAAGAGACAGCTTAGCCCTTTAAATATATTATAGAATTTCCACTCATACTTTCTATATCTTTGGGCTAATTATATAACTTCAATTCTTTATGATTTTAACTGCAACATTGGGATTATAATTCCAAAAGATATGTGTAGGATCCTGCAAAATATCTACAGGAAAAATACTACCTAATCAGTTATAGTTATTCAAGAAATAAAATAATAAAATAAATGTTAGATGGTAAAAATATGAATATCTGGCAGGATTGGGAGAGATGGTTCTGAAAGAGCCACTTTTTGATGGAAAGATTAGAAGGAAAAGTCACCTTATTGATGGAACTGAGCAGCGTTAAGACATCACCTTTCTTCATGGTGACTTCTCGGGGGCTGCGGGCCTGGAAGTCATATAAAGCCATGACCCTTTGTTCTCCAGCAACTCCCTCCACTGGTGCAGCCTGTTGTTGCTGAATAAAAACAGGAAGCAGGTGTCAGTCACGCACTGGAAATATCTCCCTGTACAGCTTACCAGGGGTGAGTAGTCCTTTAGGCTTCCCAGGAGAAAAGAGCCTCTGGCTGGAACCTCTTACGTGGCTGCAGAGATTAAAGTATGTGGTCTTCAGAGAGACTGCTCCATTCTGACACTTATCGGGGACAGGCAGGTTGGGAACTATAAACCCAAAGCAAGGAAGGAAATACATAATTTGTCAGAAACGTATTAAATGCTCTAAGCCATCAGTTCTTAAAATGGGAGGAGTACATTTTAAGAAGTGTACTCCCTTAAGAAGGTCCAACAGGATTATACACATCAACATTTCAAAAAATTGTTTGAGAAAGTGAAAAGACCCACTCTCTGTCGTCACCTTTCCCTGTACCTCCAGTGATAATTCTTCCCACTCCTTCTGGCCTTTAAGTTACTATGTCAGGAGCTCCGGACCTTCTATTTGAGATATGAGTGATCAATAGCACAGGAAAGGCCACAGAATTTTAAAAACTGAGAACATTAACTGAGATCATTAAAAGTATCTTGTGTCTCAGTTTAGTAAGCAGCCTGCATTCTAAGGTAGAATTTTCTCTGATTTTTACTTTCTGCCAATTTCATGTCTCTGAGAAATCAAGCAAAACATAACCCCTCTTCCTAAGGAATGACCCACCCCTTCCTCAGGTTGGAGTTGAATATGCACCTCCACCGACAGAGCCCTCTAATTTCATCTCCTTTAGGTAACATGTTTCCTCATACCACACAATATATAAATCCTTCTGTTCTTGTTTAGGCACCCACTGTGCAGAGCCTGGTGAAGGCACAGTATAGGAGGTCTGTAAATATACACTGATTTGACAGACTGAGTCTACGTCTTTTGTTTACTCTGAATGTGTGGATTAACAACCTCTCATTAGAAAGAATTCCTTGAAGGTAAGAAGTGTGTCTCTTTTTTTCTACCACTACATATAGTAGACATTGTTATAACATTTATTTGATTCCAGTTCAATTAATCTTCATGACACCCAGTTTTGCCCTGTACCTGAGCCATTCTCATATTCTCAACCAATTGCATCTTCCATTCTCACATTCTTAACCAATTGCATTTTCCACAAAACTTGATTGTTTTGTGCCTCAGTGCATTTGCTCTCATGGTTTATTGACTAGAAAAACGCTTATCCTCTTTCTCTGCACAGTAAACTACCCATCTGTCTTTCCTTAATAATTCAGATCAGGCGGTTTCCCTTAGCTTACAAAAATTTTCCTGTTTTCCAGTACTGTTATTTCAAGAGAACACAAGAGGCCTTTCTTTGAGACTCTTTGTCCTGTTCATACATCTATTATATGCACTTACTGTTAAACATCTGGCCTCCTAATAGACTGTAATTTTCCTGCAAATCAGGATTTTTTATTCATACTTACATATAGTAGACATTTAATAAGTTTTGGCATTAAAAATTAAGAAACAAAAGAAGGGAGTAAAGAAGAAAGATAAGAAGGAGAGACATAAATGAAGAAAAGTAAGAAAGAAAGAAGGGTAGAAATATAAAAGGAAGGAAAGAGGAAAGCCAAAAATACATCAATGAAGACATGATACCATTTATCAAAAACCTCTTTTGGACAAAGTCTCCTTTGGACTAAATTGTGGATGCTACAGTTCCTGCATACAAGGGTCATAGAACTTAGTGTTTTCTTTGCCATTGTTTTTGGGGTTGTAGAAAGTAAAAAATCAGCAATAAAGACAATTTCTTTTTCTTTGTGGTGGGAAGTGTGAATCCTGTCATCGCTAAGTTAGTCTTACCTGGCAGGCGTTTGCCTGATTCCGCAGAGCTTTCATACTGTCTCCAAATGAATTGAGATCTAATAGAAAGGCCTCATGCTTCTTTAGAAGAGCCTGCATTTATTGATGGAAGATCATCAGAATGAATATAGGAGGAACACTATTATTTCAACTACTATTATTTTGGGTTATGCTATTTGTCTTAAATCCTGGTAAAAGCTGCTTTCCATCTATCATAAAGTTATTTTTAACCCTAAATTTGCAAGCATGAAGGAAATAGGAATTAATAAATTATAATTTCAATATGTTTACTAAAATCAAAATTAACTCAAACTTGCAAAAGTATTTTTATCAACACAGATTATAGCTGAAAAGAGGATGCTGTTGATACTGTTACTTTATAGGATAAACATTAGTGTAACTTAAAATATGCATACCAATAATTTCTAGTTCCAAAGGTTTGTGAAATACTATACCAGCTTCCTATGGGACAATGTGCAAAACAAATAAATGGATAAAAAGTGTGATTATAACCTTTGTGGTTCTTCTTGCCCCAACATATCTGTCCAATTTTATTTTAATCAAGTAATTAAGGTGTCTCTATCTTAAAACCATGATTAATTTATAAATGCTCAAGGTTACTCTGGAAAGTTTAGGATCGGATTATGACTATGACTCTGATCACACTTTTTTGATTTAGATAATCTCTAAAGAGTATATGAATCTCCATGGGATGAGAAAAATGTAGCATATCTTTTGGGATTCCTGTCAACTCTGAGGGAGTCTCAGCAGATGAAGGCCAACGGCGACCACTCTGGAAACCCCAAATAATCTGGCAGAATCTGTAGCTGTCCCACAACCTAAGCAAACCCTAAATTGATAATTTGGTTGCGTTTGTTGAGGATTCACAATGTTAAACCCACCCCCACCTTACCCCAGCTGCTTCTTCATCAGCACCATAGTTAGTATTATCTACAATAGGTTCCTTCTCTCTGATCCATGTTTCTGCTTCATGCAGGTCAGCCAGGTACTGCTGGAACTGGACATTGGCTTCAAGATCATTTTGTCGCCTAGCAGCTCGAGCACGGAGAGACTCCATATTCTGGTTCAAACTCTTGACCCTAGAGGCCACATCTTCTGCAGCAAAGTGTCCTATGGAGTAATTATAGAAAAGGTGAGTATGATCCTCATGAGTGTTTACCATACTCTAATCCTTTTGGTACCTTGGAAAAGAGAAAGGAAGTGATAAAAATGGTATGTTATTTAGTCGACGTTATATTTTTCTTGAGTTACCTGGGAATTGAAATATCCTAAGTGAGATTAAGTAACAAAAGGTACTAATGGGAGATATGCATGTGGTGGTGAATGGGTTGGTATTGTCTGACAAAGACAGACTTGAAAACAGAATACTAATGTGTGGGTGACTGAGAGTTCCAAAATCATGTCTTCTTTAGATGAAGCAGAAAAATCAGCTGATTTCCATTTCTTCCCATAAAGGAGTTATTACTATGAGAGTTGCTCTTCCACCCTAAACAACTAGAAAACAGGAAAAGCTGTAAGATAAAATGATTTTCAGACAATGGAGAGAGGACTCTGATTCCTGAGAGAAGGGAAATAAATGAGATATATTTTATAATTGCCAAGCTTATGCCTCAGGAGGTTTCTGGGCTGTAGGCCTGGGTAGCTAACCCAGATAGAACCACCAGTCACACTGAATTGAGGACACAGAGATCAACATTTGGGAAAGACAAGAGAACTAGAACTTGTGAGGTTGAGTGTCAAAGAGAAGGGTGTTACAGAGAGATAGACCTTTTCAGAGAAGTTCCCTAGAGTATTTGTCTGATTACTCATATGCACACATGTATAAGGAAATCCTGGAGGGTGAGAAAAGAGTGACTTAAAAGCAGTGGACAAACAACTTCTAGGCCTCAATTAAGAATGAAAATAGTTAACATTCCACCCATCAAAGTGGAAAAATATTGTAATACATGAGATAGGGTCCTCAGAAGAGTAACATATCTCAATATTACTTTCATCTCTAAATCAGTCCCCTAATAAACCCTGCCCCAGGAGTACCATAACAAAACAGATCCAAGGAGCTCAACAATCACCGAGCTGAATAAACAAGGAAAACTCCATCAAGTTATAGCATAATCAAGTTGTTTAATACCAGTGATAAAGAGAAAAGCTTTAAAACAGGTAGAGGGGGAAAAAAAGACATATTACATACAGAGGAGCAAAGATCATGATGACAGCAGACTTCTTATCAGAAGCTTGCAAAGTCAGAAGACAAGACAGCACATCTTTAAAATACTGGAAGAAAGAAGTTGTCAACCAAGAATTTTATATGTAGTGAAAATATATTTCAAAAAGGAAGGTAGAATGAAGACCTTTAGATGAACAAAAGTCTAGAGAATTTATGGATAGAAGACCTGCAATATAAGGAATGTTAGATGAAGTTCTTCAAGCAGAAGAAAAATAATACAAATGAAAATATTAACCTAAAGAAAGGAATGAAGAATACTGGAAATGGGAACTATGAGGGTGAATTTTTTTCTCATTTAATAATCTCATTCAAAACCAGTTGACTACCAAAGCAAAGATAATGATGTTGAATTATAGGGTATATAACATGTAAAAATTTAAAATATGTGACACCAATAGCACAAGGGTGAAAACAAATGGAAGTATCAATTTAAGAATCTTATATTAAACATGAAATGCATAATATTATTTGAAATTAGACTATGATAGATTAAAAAAATCTATATTTTAATTCCTGGAATAGTGGCTTTCAAATTTGTGCTTTTGGGATCCCTTTACAATTTTAAAAATTATTAAGAATGCAAAATATCTTTTGCTTATATAGTTAGACTGATTAATAGTTCCCATATAAGAAATCAAAACAAGAAGCTTTGAAAGAAAAGAATGTACAAGCATATACTCCATTAGACAGAACAGTGACATCATCACCCATCTCTAGGCTCTGGGAAACTCCATTCTATGCTTATAAAAGAATAAGTCTGTAAAAGAAAATAATAGTCTTAGCATTATTTTTTTTTTTTTTTTTTTTTTTTTTGAGACGGAGTCTCGCTCTGTCGCCCAGGCCGGACTGCGGACTGCAGTGGCGCAATCTCGGCTCACTGCAAGCTCCGCTTCCCGGGTTCACGCCATTCTCCTGCCTCAGCCTCCCGAGTAGCTGGGACTACAGGCGCCCGCCACCGCGCCCGGCTAATTTTTTGTATTTTTAGTAGAGACGGGGTTTCACCTTGTTAGCCAGGATGGTCTCGATCTCCTGACCTCATGATCCACTCGCCTCGGCCTCCCAAAGTGCTGGGATTACAGGCGTGAGCCACCGCGCCCGGCCTAGTCTTAGCATTATTATGAAAATATTTTAACTTTGTGAATCCACTAAGAGTGTGTCAGAGACCCTAAAAGGACTCCAAATCACAATGGCAAAATCACTGTGCTATAATAAACATACACACACAAACACAAAACAGCAATTGTAGCTAATAGGCCAATTTGAAGATAAGATGGAATCACAATAAATACAAAATTGATCTAAAGGAGACATAAAGTGATAGATAAAAAGAAAAAACATAGCAACTTGCCAGATTTAAAATAAACCATATTGATGATTGCACTAAGTGTAAATTGTCTAAATATCACAATTAAAAAAGAAAAATTACCAGATTGAATAGAATAAAAACAAGGCCTGATTATATGCTATTTATAAGAATCTCACTTTAAATATAAGAAACAGAGTGCAAGCAAAAAGATGGAGAAATATGCACTATGCAAAAACTAATCAAAAGATAGCTCATGTGGCTTTTATTAGTTTACTAAAGGCTTCAGAACAAAGAATTTCACCAGGGATAAAGATTGATATTTCATAATGTGAAGATTTAACTTCATCAAAAAGACATAACAATACTAAATGTATATGCATGTAATAACAGAGCTTCAAAATATAAGAAACAAAAACTGATAGAACTGAAAAGAGAAGAAGACAAAATCTACAAGTATAGTTGAAGATTTAAAAAACAGGCGAATTTCTACAGTTGTTGGTTTGAATCACTCAGGTGGGATCTGAAGTTTTTCTCAGCAAACTGAATTTTAACCTATACTTTTGAAAACTAGATACTGGTTGGCATCAACTGATTCTTCAATCAACAGAGGGAAAATCCCAGTGTAATCTGCACTGCTTATACCATACCTGGCTTATGATGTTCAAAACTGAACATCATACTTAAGCATCAGGAATTTCTGAATTGGATGAAAAGAATGAACAGAGGTATTGAAACTATATGAAGTGAGAAGCTAAAGAAATGGAACAGTTTACTATAAAAATAGTTCAACACTGCATAACTAAGATCTGCCTTCACAGATCTGGAAGCTCCCATATGGAAAAGAGACCTGATTTAATTCATAGGGCTTTGTAAATTAGATTCTGAATTCTGGAACTTCTACAGAGAAGCATATTAATGATTAGGATAAAGACATTTTACTTTAATAATTTTTGTTTTACAAACAAATAGTGGTTCACAGGATTGGAATATTCCTGTTATTGAAATATACAAACAAAACCATATGCCCATTTGTCAGAAATGCCAAAAGAGCATTAAGTGGGAAAATGAGTCAGATATTTTTAAATTCCCTTGAAACCCTAGGATAGTACAAACTTCTTCCCAGAGGTCTGGCCTGGTGATGTTTTGTCCAACTGAATCTCAATCATACATACCTTCCTCTACCATTTTGTTTCCCCTTTCTGTTATCTCTTGAATGCGTGGTTCATGGCTGGCAATGTTCTCCAGGATGACTCTATGCCTATTCAGAAGCTTTTTGGAAGCAATCAGGTCCTTTCCTGCAGAGGAAAGGAATTTCAAAGTTTCGGATTATCCTGGTGTATGGAAGTAGCATACCTCACTTTTTTAGAACTCTTGGACCCACAGGTTCTTTCCTTTGAAGTTCTAACCATTGAGTAAGATTCTTTAAATTTATATCATCTGTCTGATTTCACTCTACTTATCTTTGTTCTTCCCCTGGCCTCTTTTTATTAATAAATTTCAATTCACTGTTATACAACAGATAATGAAAACATCACTATTGTTGTTGAAAGATAGGTATGAAGGCAAGTAACTTCTTAGTTCAAATGTCCAATATTAGGCACACAATTGTCTTTCAGCATATTGTGATGTACAAGGAAGGAACTTCTACTTGCTAATTTCTATGGACTTCAGAAAGTTTTTAAATCTTCTATGCCCAAGTTTTCTCATCATGAAAAAGGCACAGTGTAACTGGTTTGAAGATCTATTTGTAATCATTAGAAATAACTTACAAAAAGTGCCTCATTGATTGCATAGCATTAACAAGCAAACAATAAATACTTCTCACTGTGAATTTCCTTCATCTTCTAAGATCCCGAAATCCTGCTGTCTGCTTTATCCTCCCTGTATCCTAACCATGCTTTATCTCTTTTCCCTCTAAACTTTCTTTCTTACTACTTCCCATTCAAAATATACTCTCTAGAAACTTTCTATGCCTTTCCAATAAGCCTCAGGCTTTTATCTTCCAGGAAGTTTTCCCAGACTAAACCTTTCATTGTCCTCATTGTCCAGCCTTTCATAGATGTTTCCAAACTATGCATACTAAGTTGCACTGTATTTGTGTACACCTTTTTCTCTGCCTCAGTATAAGTGTACTGGCTTCGACACTGGTGAACTAGCAGCTTCTGAAGGAAAGGACAGTATGTGCTTTATCTGCTACTTCACCCCTGCTATTGTCAGAAGAAAAATCTCATATGATTTATAAGAAGGGGCCAGCTACAGCCTAAACACAAACACTTAGTATCTCAGGCATTAACCATGACTGTTCAAAGACCTTCACAGTTTTAGAGCACGCAACAAAATGCTGAGCACTCTACTCTTCCCAGGGGCCCTAAATTCATGGCATTGCTCATGTCCAGTTTTAGGAGGTGTAATTTTTTAGTATAATTTTTAAAAATATTTTTATGAAGGACTGGACAAATTTTCATGAGTGTGAGAAGAAACAGCTAAGAGCAAGCTTTCTAGACTCCAACTACTGTACCCCAGATCTCTCTCAATATATAGACCTTGGTCCTTTCCTAGTGGCTCAGCCTGCTCAGGCTGTACTAACCAAGGTAGGTGGAAGTAGCTGAGGGTTCAGTCTCTTGGATCCAGGCCTCCTCATCCTCTGTGTCTCTACAAATCAGCTGCAGATGGAGAAGGTCTAAGAGCTTCTTCTTTCGGGTGGCCAGTGGCTCTTTCAGAGCTTCAAATCGGCATACCAAGGACTCTTGCCTTGCCCTTATATCCTTAGAATCAGGATGGCCTATTTCTTCAAAATATGCAGCCAGGTCTGTAAGGATATCCACCTGATCCTAAGGGAGAAATAGAATGAATGCGAAGAAATCCCATCATTTAGTAGGAAGTAATAGGAGTTTGTCATGGTGGAAACGGGGTCATGGGAAAATCAGTTCCCATATGCATTGTGTTCTGATCTCTAATTAAATCAGTGAAATGGAGTTGGAAGGGTTGCTACACTGGGGACCACCACATCAGGTAAGGGCTATTCATACGAAAGTAGTTCTCAAAACATATTTTAGAAACATCAAAATATTTATAGAATGCTTCAAGGAAATCAGAAAAATTAGAATTGCAGAGTTTGATTGTTTAAGAGTATTGACAAACTGGGCCTCAAGGAAAAAACTGGAAGTGTTTTTCTATCTCAGTTCACCTTCTGTATTCTTTCTCTCTCTTTAAAATGAGCTATAACTGCAAATAAATGGAAACTTCTCAGGCTTAAGTTTGTTGCATAGCAGAAACAATACCTATGAGATGAAACGTGATGTTATAAAAAATTGTCAGAAGCTCAGAAAGATAAATTTAACGGAGTGCCTTGCCACCAGCTAGTTGTCCTCCTTTGAATCATATCTGAGAAAGGAGAGATACAGAAACAGGATTTTGAAGGCTCTTCCTAGAAATCAAATTTTAGTTGTATACCTATATGGTGAAATAGATACAATAGGTACACTACATTTTTATTAGTGAGGCAAACTATACCTGGCCTGGCAGACACAGTACCCAGGATTTTTATTTGCCTTTTTTTCTCGTTTGTTCATTGGGTATAAGAGTGGCACATAAGCAAGTGAGAGGTAGCATTAGGACAAATACCTAATGCATGCAGGGCTTAAAACCTAGATGACAGGTTGATGGGTGCAGCAAACTACCATGGCATATGTATGCCTATGTAACAAACCTGCACATTCTGCACATGTATCCCAGAACTTAAAGTATAATAATAAAAAAAGAAGTTCTTCAAGAACAGAGAAACATCTGGCACTTTGTTTTATTTTTGCTATTTTGCCATTCAGTGCTCAATCTATAAAGGATTTTATCTATGGCTCCTCAATTTGGAAAAAAGTTTAAAAATATGGACTATCAGTAACTTCTTAAAGCACATACTCACTTCTCCATAAAAAAATTAAAGGCCTTACACTTTTACTCTGTGAGTAGGAGTGTAAATTAGTTCAACCATTGTGGAAGACAGTTTGGTGATTCCTCAAGGATCTAGAACCAGACATATCATTTGACCCAGCAATCCCATTACGGGGTATATACCCAAAGGATTATAAATCATTCTACTATAAAGACACATGCACATGTATGTTTACTGTAGCAGTATTTACAATAGCAAAGACTTAAAAGCAGCTCAGATGCCCATCTATGATAGACTGGATAAAGAAAATGTGGCACATATACAATATAGAATACTATGCAGCCATAAAAAAGAATGAGTTCATGTCCTTTGCAGGGACATGGATGAAGCTGGAAGCCATCATTCTCAGCAGACTAACACAGGAATGAAAAGCCAAACACCGCATGTTCTCACTCATAAGTAGGAGTTGAACAATGACAACACATGGACACAGGGAGGGGAACATCACACACCGGGGCCTGTCGAGGACTTAAATACCTAATGCATGCAGGGCTTAAAATCTAGATGACAGGTTGATAGGTGCAGCAAACCACCATGGTACATGTATACTTATGTAACAAACCTGCAGTTTTTGCACATGTATCCCAGAACTTAAAGTAAAATAAATTAAAACCAAAAATCAGATAACTTATAAGGAAATAAAACTAAAATCCCTCAGTAGCCAACTGTTCTCATTTCTTAGGACATTTTTGTAAATCAGAACATAATGGAAGGATTTTCAAACATAATCATTATCATCATCACTATAGATCCACTGTACTCTTTGAAAACCTCTAACGTAGTGCAGGATGCACCAGGCGAGGGAGAGAGGATATCTGGCTCATATACTTGGCTGCCAGTCCATTGCCATTTGATCTTGGGGAAAGTTCTTTCACCTGTTTTGATCTTAGTTTCTTAAACTATATAATGAAAACTTTGGGCTAGAAGATATTGAAGATCTTTTTCAACTTTAACATTCTATATCTAAAATTTCCTTTGCATGTATCATTTCTTTGCCTCTACCCACATTAGGAGTTCAAATTCCTGGTGACCAGCCACCCTAACTTTCCCAAATGGTGTCACACACTCCTATTTCTTAAGCTCTTACATGTAACATTTTATCTTCTTCAAGATGTCCTTTTTTGTTTGCTTTTAAAGAAAAAAATTAAACAAATTATACCCTTCCATCCTTTGAAACTCTGTTCTCCGGGTAGATTTCAGAGCTATATTTGTATGATTTTTCCTACTCCAGTCTTTTACTTTATTTAAAGCCCCAGAGAGCCATCTCTAAAGGTATACAAATGACTTTTTTCCTGTTTTCTGTAGATTATTCTGTTTTTTTCCATTTAACTCAGAGTGACCATAGAGTAGGCATCATGAAAGTGTATTTTTAAAGGCAGATTAGTGGGATCTTCTAGGGAATGGCGGAATCATTTTTAAATACAAGCTAGGATTCCTGGGATGAGAAATTGAATGGGCTGGAAGTGGATTTCCATTGAAATCTCCCAAACCTCACATAGAATATCCACAACCTAGGAACTTTTGGAATAAATTCATTTTAAATAAGAGTCTGTTATGATGTTGGAGAAAATATCTCTGAAACTAGAAACCTTGACATCAGTTCATTGTTCTGGCTCTGTTGTTAATTTTCGCTGTCACATTGGGAAAGTCACTTTACTTCTATTGGTTTCAATTTTCCTTATTTTAAAAAAATGTAGGATTTAAAATATTTTTAAGCTTTGAATCACAGAATACCTGAACAGGAAAAGACAACTTTATCCCAACCCCTTATTTTATAGGTGAGGATAGTGAAGATACAGAGATGCAAAAAGTGAAATGACCTATCAAAGATCACATAACTAGTAAGCCACAAGGATGTATATACAACCCAGATTTCTAGATTGAGAGAAGAGTTTATGTTTAGAAAAGTCAATAAAGCCTTACACTAACCATGAGGTTCTGACCAAAGACACTGAGCACCCAGCACCCCTGGCTAGATTGGAGGAGATTTTGGGAAAAAGCAGTTGGTTTACTAAAAATTTCGAATTTTTACCTTTGGTTCTTTGCTCTTTTGCTCTCTGAATAATAATAATTACTTATTAAGTAATAATTACTTATTACTTAATAATCAGTGTGCTCAGAGCATATACACCCATTGCTTATTATTACTTATTAAGTAATTAATAAGTAATAATTACTTATTACTTAATAACGAGTGTGCTCAGAGCATATACACCCATTGCTTATGGCTGGCCAAAGAGCTAACAACAAACCTGACGAGCAGCCACAGCCGACTCCAGGAGGCCGTGTTTCCTGAGTCGATTCTGTACCTCGGCCAGGCCTTTCCCATAATCCTCAGAGGTGACTTGCCACTCAACATCCTCCAGCCAGCGCTGCAAATCTTCTGCATTATTTTCAAATTGCAGCTGCTGGTTGGCCTCATGCAACTGGGTCCCTGGGAGAAGACATAAGGTAGAAGACATTAGGTACCATAACTATTCCTCTTTACACTATAATATACCTTCCTCCAATTGAAGGATCAATATAGTATTTTAATATTGCAAAGAGGGAAATATAACTGTCTCACATGTCTCACAAAAAGTCATCTTAAATTTGTAGAATTCTGATAATATTTGTTTCTGAATATAGTAATGTTCTCAAAGCAAAAATAAATAAGAAGTTATATTGCCTGATAAGATATAGTTCTGCTGTGTCAGATTTTAACCATCTTGGGTGTTTCCTTATGTGATTTTTACTCTCTATCCAGACCTCTTTTTCAAGGAAATTCAAATCCAAACACTCTATTTTCTAGGAGAAGCATAATGAGGTTGGTTCAGTTTGAAATTTATAAGTTTCTTTTTATAAAATTATTTCACTGAACTTCGCTTTCCCCCCTTAGTGCCTGTCTTTCATCACCAACTGTTCCCCACAATTTTATCTTCCAGAAAATGTCTTCATTCACACTCTGCTCAGATTGATTCTGTACTATTATCTTATTGCAATTATTTGCATTATTTCTGCAAAGGAATTGCTGTGTCTCCTGATGGTGAACAGTAGCAGTGATATATTGTCATACCAAGTTTGATTTTGTTTTTCTAAACCAAAAATAAGGATGGTATCCAAAAAAAAATCAGTATGACATATTTATTCTGTAATCAAGGAAAAGTTATGTTTATAGATGATGTTTATAACAAGGGGCACATGAATAGAAAACTCATTATTTGTGTTAATTACTAAAAATTGATTAATTTTCCAAAGTAAAGGGTAAAATATAAGTGAAGACTCTCCAAGAAGACATGTGAGATTGTTTTAAGATCTTATAGCAAGCCTAAACACTTTCAAATAGGTTTAAAAAGATCAACAAGTCATCAGTCTCTGTAAGAATAAAATGTAGGAAAATCACGTGTGACATCAACAATCTTTTAATGTCTAATGAGTCATAATATCTTGTCTAGCTTATAGAACCAAAATAGGTAAAACTCATGGTTCAAAAATACTTGTTCAAGGGAAAGAAAAACAACAAAGTAGGAAAAAAGTGAGGAAAACAAAAGCAATTTCAGCTCACCTGCCACTGCTAAAAAATTTTTTTTTAAAAACCTTACACCCTTGAAGGAAACATAAAATTGTGTTAATATATAGTGTTATAAATTCAGGTTGGATTTTTAAAATTTTACCAATAAAAGAAAGACACATGGAAGCAAATGAGTAGTATACCTTCTCATAGAGGCCACCAGATAAATTTACAGTGGTAAAGATAAAGGTAGTAGATTTCAGAATTTAGAAAATGACCTTTCACCAAAACCTCTGCTTTTTACCTTTCTGTTTTGTAGCCTCCAGCAACTCCTCCCAGAGGCTGGCAACTTCACTCAGACGAGTGGTCACATTGTCAGAGGCATAGTGACCACCCTCAATCATCTCTTGGCCAGTTTTCTGTATGTTTTCCAGCTGGGTCTTATTAACTGCCAACTCCTTTTCAAAGACTTGCTGCTTTTGAACCCTGCTCTTCAAGTTCTGTATGTCCTGAGATAAGATGAAAAAAAAAAAAAAAACCATTACCTGAAGAATGAGGGACAGAAATTTTGAGAATAAGAGGTTACTTCTCACTATAAATCTAACGAACGATGCTAACAAGAAGATAAAAGGGGGAAGTTTCCTAGTCCAACGTTTGAGAAATTCATGCAATGAATCCCTCTTTCTACATGTGGCAGACATGGCGAACTAAGCTGGCAATTTTTTTGCTGGACTTAGATATGGCTTGAAGATCATTTTGAATATGACACCCCATTCAAGCACTAACAATCAGAGCTGTCATGAAAGGTGAAAATTATCTTGCATTCCTCACCGCATACATGAACCTTCCATCCATTTGACCCATATAGAGATCTGTTTATTAAACATATAGTGGAGCCATAACTCATCTAGTGAATGCAAACACATATGAACAAGCTTCACAAAATGAAATGCAAGGATAAGATGTTCATAGCTCTATCAAGATATAAGAACAAAAGGATCAGAAGTATACATTTAAAACTAAATAATATCAGGAAAATAAACACTTTCAATAGATACCGGCCTAGAAATCAAAAGCCTAATTCTCATCCTGATGGTAAATGTGAAGGTTTGTAAACATACAAGTGTGTACATAATAGTTTATATTATATAACATTTTTGAGTGCAATATATGTGTTAGTACAACCCTAAGGAAGAGTAATCTATGGCACAGAGATAATTCAGGAATTTCCATAAACAAACTAAAGCAAAAATTCAAGCCCAGGTTTACCTGCTCCAGAGTTCATGCTTCTAACTTTTTGTTAAACCACCTTCTAAATAACTGCATAACTTTGGGCAACTCACTTCTCAACTTAGATCCTGGTTTCTTTAACTATAAAATAAGGGGCTGTTCTCTTCCAGCTATAAAATTTTATAAGTTTATATTATACCAAATATTTAGGTTACTTTTGAGTTCCTAGTAGTTTTCACACACTTTAAATGTATTGATGGGATTAGACACAACATTTACCTACTATACGGATGCAGAGGGGAGCAGAAAAGGTGAGAAAAGGTCAATAAGCAGCTCAATAAGGAACATTCCCTACCTTCCCCCATTTGGCTAAGAATCACCAGAAATTGTGCCAGAGGAAAGAGGTGAAGAACATCAGAATATAGGAAAACCAAAATCTAGATCCTTGATATTTAACTGTATAAATAGCCTTCAGGGATTCATTGCCCTTTTCTGAGCCTCTGTTTTGTCATCTATAAAATGAGGATCACCAGCTGAACGCTAAAGTTCATTTTACTCCAAGACTGTACTTCCAATGAAAGGAACTCCTGATAACTACATCCAGCTCCTGAAAACTCTGCCTACCTTGTAATCTTCATCATCTGCCAACTTTTTCTTCTTGTTGATCCAGTTCTTTAGGTCATCTGAGTCCTCATACAGTTTTTGCAGAAGCAATGACTCCTTCAGCAATCTACGTCTAGTGGCAGCCTTTTCACGTAGGGCATCCCGCCGGGCTAACAGCTGCAAAAACCATGAGTAAACTTACTGTCAGCACAACCAAATATGGACATGTGAGATTCGCTGACCACCCTGGTCACCATGCCCACCAAAACTCTTCTTGATTCTAGTGTGTAGGCACACAGAAGCTCTAGGCCCTTGGACATACCCCGTCACGGATAGCCTTGATGTTCTCTGAATCATAATGGTCATCACCAATCAATTTGGTTGCAGTCTTGTCTACAGTCTGAAAAAATAAAAATAAAAATGAATGCTTTTCCTTCAGTGACCACTGAGTAAGTGGCCATAGTTTGGGTAGCTGTTTAAAGATGAAGAACAGCAATGTGGGAGGAGAAGTTTGAAGGCCAGCAGATGTAAGTCCTTATTCAGGTTTCTGTTATAAATTGTATTTCAAAATATATACCTCAGGGCATGTCAATTACATTCTCTGTACCACAATATTTTTTAAATACAGGTTACAGTAAATGAATGCAGATGTTGCTATGAGATGATTGATTTATTCTTGTCTTCAAGGGGAAGCACTACCAATGATATAGCCATGTCCATGGCCAGTCTGTCCATCCATCTATCTATCCGTGTATTCATCTCTCAAATATATCTCTATCTCTATCTCATCTCTACCTCTATCTCTATCTCCTTCTATCTCTAGCTCTAGCTATATCTCTATCTCTATCTCCAGTTACATAGGAGAAGAGTCAGAAATTATAGAGGTAAGTTTTCACCCTTGTTTAACCAGAAATCCCCCAAATTGCTAGAGCTCAGAATTAATTGATTGGAATAAGAAAATGATCTAAAATAAATGATAACACTTTATAAACAATAAATTATTTTACACTGTTAGCTTTGACCAATGAGAATCAACAGAAAGGACACACATATCAATTAATGAGGGACTTGATATTAATTGGACTTCCACCTCTTCACCATATTGATTTAAGATTAACAGAGAAGACTAGGAATTTGCCTGTTATTTTTGTTGTTGCTGCTGCTGGTGGTGGAGGTAGTGGTATGTATGTGCATGTGGCAAGGGTGGTGTTAAAGTCAGCATCATCCTAGGAACAGCCAGAGACATACAATGTATTGGACCCATGAAGTCTTCCTTTCACTTCTCTGAGTCCTGCCTTCACATTCACCAGCTTTCTGGGACATTGTAACTTAAGGCTCACAGGAAAACTCTGTAGTCATATATGATGAAAAACAGAGATAAAGATATACTATAAAGGAAAAATATGCTGTAAAGGAAAAGAGTAGACAGTACTTAGATATCTAGATGTTACCAAGGAAGAGAAAATTATATTAAGATATTGCTAGAGAGGAAGAAATGAAAAAAAATAAAATTTCTAAGTAATGATTCTATACTGAATAAGAATTCAATAATTTCTATTTACACTGAAGAAAATATAAAACAAAACCATACACTTCATCAGAAAAAAAAAACATGGCTACCATCTAGAAAAACTTTCCAGATATGCTTTGTAGAACAAGAATGGTGTGATAAAAATTGGTATGAGTATTTTTCTGGCTATTTTCACTTTTTTTCTAAAGATTAGTATTAAGTTTTGGCTTTCTCACTATATAAACATTTTATGTTTATAAAATTAAAGAGTTTGAAAAACACACAAATAAACACACCAACAACGAAAGAAGAGATGCAACTTGATTAGGGATAATCCTCAGGCTATGTCTGGTAGTTACAGGAGCAATGCTGTCTGGGGACAGGTATTGTGTAAAATTATGTATACAGAGAGGGAGCCAATGCCCAAACTAGGGCCAATTTCTTACTATGATCTTCTCTTCCTGGGCAGTAAAGGCTTCCTCAAAGTCTTCATGCTTCTGAAGAAGGGCTTCTGCACTGCCCAGTGAGTTTCCCAGATCCTCGTTTTCCAGGAAGGCCTGTAGAAGACAGAAAGACACACCTAAGCTGTGTCTGACCGGTAAGAAACATTCCTCTTGGCATATCTCTGAGACAAGGACTAAGGCAGGAGGGAACAAGGTGGGAATTAGCACACATTATGATAATGGGTAGAAATTAACTTTAAACAGCAGGAGTTTCAGGCCTCCTTCCTGATACTCTCATACAATTTTCTCACTTATGTTTCTGGGTCTGTCCACATGGAATTCCTCAACCAGTCTAGACATTATTCTGAGCTCTCAAAACTGCCTCAAGTGGCCTACTCACCTCCACTCTGATGTACCCTGCCTGACTCATCAGTTTTCTCTTCCTGACCCTTTACCAATTTGATATTTATTTTGCCTTATTTCAATTGTAGTTAAAGCCTCTCTGCTATGTATTTAAGTATATATGCTTTTGTTGATGAGGGAATTGTAGGAGCCTTATAGAAAGGGCCCATCTTTTCTTTTTCTTGTGGATCACCCTTTAGTTCCCAAGACAAGCTCTGACTCACAGGAGTGGTTGTGAGGGAACTCATGGTAGTCATGGTGGCAAATGAAGGGTGAGAGAAATTACTTCTAGAGATGGTATGGACCCCTCCCGTTACCTCTTGTCTACTCATCCAACTGTCCACTTGCTCACTGTCTCTGTAGAAGAGATGAAAGTCCAAGCACTGCTCATACTGACGATGACGCTCGTCCCACAGTTCCAGCAGGGCAGTCCAGTTGTTGTCAAGTATTTCCATCTTTGGAAAGAAGGAGATAATGTATATGGAAGATAATTAATTTATTTTATTCTATATTTATTGAGCATATAATAAATGCAAAGCCATTTAAGGATACAAAAATAAACAGCAAATGGGCTTTTAAGATTCCAACTTTTAAGCAAATGATTGTACTATAGGAAGAATGGGATAAATTCCATAAAAGAGGTAAAACACTATATGTATAAGGAAATGAAAAAGACTAATTCTAATTAAGAGAGCCAGGAAGTAGAAGTATGGGAAAGCATGGAAAATCTCATACCAAACAGAGATTTAAAAGGTAGGGAATGGGTATCAGGACTTAATGCCATAAGCAAATGAACTGCAAATAATTTTTAGATAATGTAATGTGAGCTAGAGAAAAGTGCAGTGTCTAAAAAAGTGTAGACAGTCAATGAAATCCAAGTTCATAGAGCACATAAAACATCACACTGAGAAGTTTGCATTTTATTCCCAAAACAAATAAAAACCATCAGGGAAAGAGAGAAGAGACATTCTCAAACACATGAAAAAGCCTTTGTTTCTGGTCAAGCATGTGCCCAAGAATTTCCAGCTTGTTACACCTGCAGCTGTATTATCTCCGTCAAAAAAGCAGAATATGGCCAGGTGCAGAGATTCATGCCTGTAATGCCAGCACTTTGGGAGGCCAAGGTGGGTGGATCACTTGAGGTCAGGAGTTCAAAACCAGCCTGGCCAACACGGTGAAACCCGGTTTCTACCAAAAAAAAAAAAAGTAAAATAAAATAAAAATACAAAAATTAGCCGGATGTGGTGGTGCGCACCTCTAGTCCCAGCTATTCAGGAGGCTGAGGCAGGAGAATCACTGGAACTCGGGAGGCAGAGGCTGCAGTGAACTGAGGTTGGCCACTGCACTCCAGCCTGGGGGACAGAGTGATACTCTGTCAACAACAACAAAAAAGCAGAATAAACTATCAGAATCCCAGGATAACTGTTAAGTTTTTAAGTACTTTTGAGTTCTGCTTTTTCTTTGACAGATCCTTGTTAAAATAAAAAAAAACTATATTATAATGTTCCCACAGAGTTCTGGGAGAATTCAAAACTCGGTTATCTCAACCTCATCCACTGCACAGTGCTAGAGGCTGTGCTTGGCATCTAGTGAGATGCAAAGAGGCATGCGGATCTTACTGTAACTATCATTCCAAGGTGTGCCTAGACTCTGCCACTGGTGCAAAATCTCTCTGGATCAAGGTGCAGAGGTGAAGCCCTATGATGTAGGAGGTTAGGATGATGGTAAAACTGATTTCTTCATTCAGTGGAATGCTGGGTGTTTAAGATTGTCCTGTTATTTAATGCAAATTTGAAAATCACAGATGCAGGAATGTCAGCTTAATTTGAGATTGTATAGAGGAAAGAAGAACATGCACAGATGTCAACCATGTCAGATGCTGTACTAGGCACTGTGGGGAACCCAGAAATGAATAAGGTGCAGTCCTCCTGGAGTTTACAGTCTAGAGATGAGCATGGGAAGGTCACGAAACTGGGCATACGTCAGGAGGCAAAATGGAATGGAGGTTTCAAATTAGGTAGAAGTCAGAGGGTTGATGAAATAAATGCTCAGAGATGAGGAAGCACACATCATGTCTTGAAAATTTCAAGTGACTCAATTTAGCAAAACAGTAGAGTTAACTCCCCATATCTGTAGGTTCCACACCTGTAGATTTAACCAACCATGGGTATAAAATATTTTTTAAAAATTCCATCTGTACTGAGCATGTACAGACTTTTTGCTTATTCCCTAAATAATACGGTATAACAATTATTTACATAGCATTTACATTGTATGAAGTATTATAAGTAATCTGAAGATAATTTAAAGTGTACAGGAGAATGTACATGCATCGTATGCAAATATTATGCCGTTTCTTGAGCATCTGCAGATTTTGGCACCTGAGGGAGGTCCTGGAACCAATGCCCCATGGATAATAAGTGATAACTGTATATGAAAGGAAGCAGTGTAAAAGTTTGATTCATATTATTAACACGTTTAAATGACTTCTATTCTTTTCCCATTTAGAGATTATCATATTATTGTGAGATTATGTAATGACTACATATATAATTGGAATTTGACAAACTCTGTTAAACTAGATTACCTTTTCCCGAACTTCATCAGAGGCTTCATGATTGGCATTCACGAGGTCTTGACCAGTCTCATCAGCAGATTGAAATCGGTCATCGTAAGAGTCAATCTCATGCTGTGGCCACAAAACAAAGTGTCTCAAAATGCAGCAAGAAACCTGGCATTTCTGGCATTCAGCCAAATAACCTGCCCCCTCCTCCTACTGGGCAGCCTTTCTTCTCTACCTTATGCTGCTGATGCCTGTCCAGCAGAACTTCTCCACCAGCCACATCTGTTGGCAGCTCATCAGCATTGATCGCAGCAGTCTTCTCGTTCATCCAGCCTGAGAGTTCATCAAAGTCAGATGAAAATCGATGGTACCTGTGGGAAAAGTGAGGTAAAAGACAGGAAGGAGAAACCAGATATGAAAGGACATTGAACAAAGATTTAGGTTTGGGGTGAGGTAAGATGTGTGAGATGCTCCTTACTCTAATCCTAGGTTCCCTTTTTCCTGATTATTTCCTGTTATTTACAGTCAGAGATTAGTGGTGCAGGTTGTAAGTCCTTCACCCCAGGTTTTATATTTCTAGGGTACGTGTGTTGCTGTGGGATGTGACCCATGAGCATTACACCTCCACCACCTCAAGGTCACACCTACCCTAGAGGTACTTAAAATGGAGTAAGGTGCTCATAATGCAACCAATAAACAATACATGTTGTTATATAAATAAGAATCACCTTATGGGAAGGAAGAACTAGAATTAGCATTAGGATTCCTCATCTATCTAGCTCATCTTTAACCCTGTTAATAAGAAACAAGAGCTGCAAAACAGTTTCCTATTTTAAAAAGTTAAATGCTCATCTTTTGTTTTGAAATCACAATCATATGACAAGCACTGTCCTCTGGTTATTTAAGGACTAACCATAAGAATTAATACTGAAATGATGCCTGATTATTAGGGGTTTTTGTAAGCTTGTAATCCACATTCAGGAAATAATACTGAAGTTATTTTGATGCTCTTCAGCTTGTATTGCATGTCTTTCAGTTCCTTATCTAGAGTCAGAATTTTGAAATGTTTCTTCAGTTGCTTTTCCAGCTTTTTGACCCATTTCATAGCATCCCACAATAATACAAGCAGGGGAAGATGGAAATTTGCAGATGAGTGGAGGTGTGATGCTGATCACAGGAGTCTCCCTTTATTTGTGGGAGATACATTTCAATATGCCCAGCAGGTGCCAGAAACTGCAGATAGTACCAAACACTATATACACTACATTTTTTCATATACCTATATGCCTATGATAGAGTTTGATTTATAAATTAGGTACAGCAAGAGATTAACAAACAATAACTAATGATAAAATAGAACAATTAAATAAAATAAGAATTATTTAAACATAAGCACTGTGATACTAAGACAGTCAATCCATAACTTAGACTGCTACTAAGTGACTAACGAGTGAGTAGATATACAGCACATATATGCTGGACAAAGGAATGATTCATCTTTCAGTGGGACAAAGTGGACCAGCCAGAAATTTTATCATGCCTCTTAGAATAATAAGCAATTTAAAACTTATAAGTTATTTATTACTGGAATTTTCCATTTAACATTTTCAAACTGTGGTTGACTGCTGGTAACTGAAACCACAGATAAGGGGGTGCTACTATATTATATCAGTCACAAAGGACTTCCTTTGGCAACTTAAATATTTTGTCTCTACTGAGCAGGCAGGAGAGCTGATTCTCTCGCTATTTGACTCCCTTTACTCTTATTTCTTCTCTCGCTATTATATCTGGGCCCTGTAGAGATAGGTAGAGCAATAAAGGGGAGGGATTTCCCACCAATAAGTAGCCTGCAGTTTTTCATATCTGCTGGTGGCCAGGGCACGAATATGCTCCCAGCTGGAGACCAGATCTTCTTTCATCTCCTGGATCTGAGGTGCATCTGAAGGATGGGAAAGTGTCAGCTTCTCTGCTTTAGCACATAACTCCTTCACCTTTGGGATGAAAAAGAAACCTAGTAGGAAATCCAAGTACTCTGACTCCCCCTGGCAAAGCTTTGTGGGAGAGGTATAAAAAATCATATGAATAATAATAATTTAGAAATCGACATATGAATAGATTTCTATTAATATACTAATGTACTACATTGATAATTACAATTCACTAAGTACTTTTCAGTCTCTCATTATGCTAAGTACTTTACATGAACGTTCTCATTTTATATTATTCATTTAATAATACCATGAGGTAGGAATTACTCTTATTTTTCTTTTATGCGAAAACTGAGAGATTAAGTATTTTATTTGCTTAAGATCATTCAGCTAGAAAATGTCAGGAGCAAGGTTCCAAACTAAGTTTTTCCTTCCCCACCCCTCTATAACATTTCCCTAAATATTACTGTGGGAGGCAGAAAGACATTTCTGTCCACAAGGCCAAGAAAATTTCAGTAATGCTGGATAATTTTCAGCACAACCTCTGAGGAGCAGGGTTACTAGGGCAAAATGTGGATATGGGTGGGTTTTCACATGTTATTAGCCCTTTCATCATACTCAACTATAATCAGATGATGTCTAGGGATTGGAATTTCCATACCATTATTTGTCAACTTATGGGTTTTATTATTCATTATTAGGGAAAAAGACCAAAAACAACAACAACAACAAAAAGGAAGAATGAAAGAAAAAGTAGAATGGTGGAAGTTTGCAGAAACTGGACACAGGGACAGGCCTAAAATTAAATTACAGCAAATGTGGATCTTTCTGTGGGCTGACTCCCCTGTGCACTCTCAGTAGTAATTGGTTTACGTTCTGGCTACATTTGTGAGGGGAAGAAGTAAAGGATGGAAATCATTTAAGAAAATAGGCTTGTTCTAAGTTCTAGTGTGCCTGAGGTTTTCCAGGTTTTAAAAGGAAACCTAAAGGTAGGTTTAGCATTAAGTGTCTTGAAGTTTATTTTAAAAGGAGAAGACAATGTTTTTCTGATCTACTGAGTACAAAAAGAATCAGGATTCAGCTGCAACAGAACAAAATGTGGTTAGATGAAAGGGTAGAGTCTGGCCACGGTGTATTTTACTCAGTGAGATTAGGAATCAACCTTGAAGGTATATTTGTTTTGTTTTTAAATTGTGAAATAAGTTAGGAAAACACAAGAGAATATAAAACATATGTGTATATTTAAATAAAAATAATTCAAATGAAAATAAGGTATATCCAGTATCCACATACGAGTTATGAACTAGAATGAAGAAGCGTATTCAAGTGCACACAATTTCTTCTTCATTGAAAACAGTGAACTTATTGTGCTCTCTGGAGGCACGGTAATAGGCAAGATAATCAACAATTGCCTCTTCTAGCTCAACGGGTTAGCCATTTCTCTAACAGCGCATTACCTTGTCACTCATGACAGCAAGATTTCTCTCAAGTCCCTTGTGACTGTGAAACAGTCCTTCAGAGGCAACAAGGTCTTTGCCATAGTCCTCAGAGGTGAGTACAGGTTCCTTCTCCTTGATCCACTGGATGGCTTCAGTCACATCCCTGCAGTCATTAACAAGAGCTCCAACCAAAGAAGATAGCAAGCATTACAGGGCAAACGGTCCAACAGAACTCACAGCAAGGACCATCCTAGTTGACCCAGGAGCAATTATCCTTTCTTCCTACATACTAGCAAAAAGTAATATAAAATGTTCTTACTTAATGGTTATTTCTATTGAGATGTTAAGGTCCTGGGCTTCTTGACAGCTGAGCCTCTAGAGATATGTTCCATATCTGGGTCAGCTCCTTACGAATGCTTTTCTTCTTCCTAACTCCACCTTCCATTTAATTATTAACCTGCTTCCCTTCCGTCTGCAGCGCTTCCATTCCTAAATTACCAATGCTACTTTTTTAGTTATTTTGATCTCCAATCTCTACATCCTTGGCCATAGAGTAGGTCACAGATTTCTTTACCTTCTCCTTTGCTGTCCCAAAGGCAAGTACATGATCCACTTTTGTTTGAAGTGTTGACCATTAATTGCTAACAGAAGTAGAAAGAGCCTAATACAAAGACACGGTTTTTATAAAGCACTTCAAAGTTTTCTATAAAGCAGTGGCCAGATCCATACCTTTTGAATCGTTGTAAGTTTGCAGCATTGGACAGAGCTTTCTGTCTCTGGAGAGCCAAACCACGAAGGCGCTCCCAGGCAGCATTCACCTCATTTTGCTTAGACTGAATTAAGGGTAGGTCAGGATGGTTTTCCTGTTGAAGGAAAACAACACTGGAGTTATACAGAGATGAGATTATATTTAAAAAATTATTCAAACACTTTTCATTTTACATTAGTTCATACTTTTACAGAAGTGAAAACTGACCATTGTAGCCAGACACTGAACTTCATCATAGCCCTCCTCCCTAGCTCCAACTTGATGCACACTACCAAAACCTAGAAAAACAACCTGCCAGATGTTGCATCTGTGCCCACAGCAGTGGACTAGCCTATTAGCACAGGTTGCCCAGCCCTGATGTTATTTTTAGAGCTCCACCTTGTCAATGCTTGAGATCTCCTTGAAATCCTGGAAACCAAGGAAAAGAAGAGGAAATTCCTTTTATGAAATACAACTTAATTTTCTCAAAGACTAGTGCTGTGGGTCTTAACTTTTTTGTGGTCCTCACACCTTTGAGAATCCAATAAAAGCTATTTTTCTCTTCCCAGAATTATAGACACGTGCTTTCACGTATGATTTTGCATAAAATTTCAGGCATTTTTGCAAACCATCCAAAGTAGTGAGATCTGTGAATACTAGATTAAGCTGGAAGCATCAGTCTATTTTCATACTTTGCAATTTTGAGGCATTCCCATATGCCTAAGTCTCCTTACTCTTCCTGTCCCTGTTTCTCTCCATTTTCATTCCCATTCCCAAGTCTCTCCAGACAGAATTTTCTCCATTCTCCTTCTCAAGTACATGGTTCTTTCTATTACAGCAGTGTAGGCCCCACTCGAGAGCACAGAATATAACCTAGCTGTGTTGGATTTATTCTTTCTATGATAGATTGGAAAAAATCGCATGCTATTTTGCTGCTCATCCCTTCAAAAGGTAGAGTATGTTTCCTCAAGTCTTGGATCTTGGATGGTCTTTAACTTGCTTACTGATAGAAAGTAGCAGAAGTAATTTTCTATGAGTTCCAGCACCTAGGCCTCAAGAAAACTTTCATTTTCTATTCTCACACTCTTGTAACACTGGTATGTAAGAAGCATGGTCTACTGCATGATGAGAGGTCACCCAGAGATCTCCTCAATCCTCCCAAATCATCCTCACCAGGGCCCTAGACATGGGATTGAGGCCACCTTAGATCCTTCACCCCAGCTGAGCCACCTGATCACTTCAGACACATAAAAATGCCAGGTAAGATCAGGAAAACAGCCCAGCAGAGCAGCTCAATCATCTGATTCACAGAGTCATTAACAAGTAAGATGTTAAGTTTGTTGATTGGTTAGACAGTAATAGATAAATGAAAAACTTCCACAGCAAGAGAAAAGTGATGGAGGTAGAAAATTTAGAAACTACTGGAAATATGGCCTGAAAGAAAAATAGGAAAACATAGGTTATTTTTCCTACTCCAGCACTCATTCATTCTGAAGTCTTCTTTTTATTAAGTCAGGAAAATCATTCTCACTATAGAGCTGCAATCATAATGAAACTATAAATGGAAAAGCAAAATATAGCCAACTGTTGGAGTTTATTTATTTTACATCTATATACTTACATATACATGTAAACTTATATATATATACACATCACAAACTTAAGTATTTTCTTAAGTAAATAAAAGTAAAACCGCTTCCTTTCCTTCCTCAATCCTCCGAAATAATCTTGTATAATGATATTACATATGCATATATATGTATAAATAATGATAGCTCAACATTATTTTATATGCTCTGCTACTTTATTTTTGTGTTTTTTCATGAAGAAAGAGTGCCCCATTAACATGAGTAATCAGTGTACTGCATGGTACAGAAGCTACTATATAAATGGCAATAGCTTCACTGCCCATTGTGTATTTAATTTCTCCAAACACACAAAAACACACTCTCTCTTTCTCTCTCAACCCTCCATTTCAATAGACTTGTAAGGGGTGGGTCCAGAGGGGAGAGGAAACTGTTCAGAATATGTTACTCCAGGAACATGCCAACCTCTGTTTTCTCACAATGCCCCATCTCCTTCATATCCATCTACTAATGGCCAGAAGTTATTCTTAAGGATAAGAACCCTTTGCACGGAGTGAATATTTTGCTCCCACCTCACCTCGGCACACTCATTGGCATATTGGTTCACTTCAACAACTCTCCCTTCTTTAGCTACCAGCTCCACTTGGAAGTCTTCAAATTTCTTATGCAGAACTTCGGTGCGCTCCCAGTCTTCACCTAGCTCCACTGATGTCGCTATAGCCTCCTGTAGACACAGAAGTTGATTGAGTTGCCAGCAAACATTTAGGAGTTTCTGTAGGTCAAAAACTCAAAACTCCTGCTTGCATTCCCAGGATAACTCAAATGGAGATACTGGGGGAGACTGGGAGAAGCTCTCCTGGAAAAGGCCAGCAGCAGAAGTATATTTGTTAAGGTAGCACCTTGGCACAAGGGAAAGTGCTCTTTCGGGCAGTTCTTTAGCAAGTTTGTGGCATTACTGGCAAGAGACCCTGAAAGTACCCTTTTGTGTTTTGAAACATGAGGGATAAATTCATCCTGTTTCTACTCAATTCAACATATCAGTATCTACGAAAGTATTTTGTTAGGCATTTGCTTATCTAAATCTTTAGTCCTAACTATTAAATTATTCCTTTAGTATTTAGAAAAATAAAACCCTCCATCTTTATAGGCACTGAGACACAAAGGATTAGAGAAAGAGCTGTCAATACTCTCAGCCAGACCCCAGAGTAAGAGCAAAAACATAGGAGAAGGAGTTAAAAATCATGGAAGTGGAAGAGAGATGAGCCTAATTATCTTTCAATGCATGGTCTTTGTGTAAGTCTTGCCTTTTTCATATTCAGATCCATATGTTAAGACTTACTTCCATACAATGTTGACCTCCAGATACCCCTACATTTTGGCCCCAATTTCCTCTTGTTCCAAAGAACAAAGCCAGGAACAGACATCCTGACTTCCTTGTGAGTAGTCTGCAGTAATTTGCTATGGGGTACCTGGGACAGAGGAGTGGGAGGCCCTGTGTGATTGCTGTTTTAAGTTCGATACCTTGTCTCCAATCCACTCTAAGATGTCAGCACACTCCTGTACATACTGCTGGAACTTCAGGGCCCGCAGCAACTGGTCACCCTTCTCCAGGGTCAGCTCTAACAGCAGGTCCCACAGGTGGCGTAGCTCCTCTATATGGGCCTTTAGGAAAGAGGGGCAAAACCACTCAGCCACAGACACTGGGAGCAGGGAAACACTCAGAGACTTGTGCAGAAAGAGACCTGGATAAAAATTCTTCTCTCAGTTACTCATGCATTAGTTGCTCAACAAACATTTAAAAGAGGAAATAGGATAGATATATGGAAATAGCTAACAAGCCAAGCCAAATGCGATCTTACATAAGAGAACAATTTGTAAAAATGCTTTGCAGTTTTAAAGGATGGAATAATTACAAACAATAAGATGGGAAGGAGGAAGAAAGCATGGAAAAGTGTTCATTTGAACTGAGCCTTATGGAGCAGAAAGATTTTTGACAGGTCAATCATAAGCATAACATGTTCTAAGAAGAGCAAACAGCAATAGCAAAGGCATAGGAGAAACTTAGCATGAATTGTCTGCCAGAAAGTGTGAGAGCTATAATTTTTATAAGTTATAAGGAAATCATTGGCACCGAAACAATAACAGTGTTTTGGGACTATACAGTTTGAGAATCTACAGAGGGCTTTGAATGCCAGATTAACTCAGAACATTATGTATTACCTGTCTTATATAACTGAAATTGCCACCTATGTCATATCTTCAAGAATCTTATATTTTTCAACTACTCCATTGCTCTGGGTAGCATGTGGACCACATATGTCGTTAAACCCCGCAATGGTACCATTTGCTATAGCCCCAGTGATTCTGACAGAAATGAAGATGTTTCAAACATTTCTCAAATATTGTAATTAATGTAGATGCTGGTTACATGCAAAACTGTGCATAATACAAAAGTTAATTATACTTTATACAAATAAACAAGTTTTGAAATTTTCCTTTTATGGGTTCTTCTTTAAAATAAGATTCTATTCTGGCTAAAATCTGTGTCCGTTGACCATATTTTGATGACAGAATGGGCTAGAATTTTTATGCTATATATAGAAAGGCCAGACCCAGTTTTAAGATATATAATGCAAATTTGTTTTGACAATTAAAAAAATACATAAACAGTAAAAAGTTCACTCACACACAAAAAAATTGAATTGACAATATTAGCACAAACATTTGGAAGAGTTCGTAGATTAAGTCCAAAAATAGCTGTTACATTAATAATAGATTACAGAGTATGAATCCTTATTGAAATAGTGATGATCTTCATTTCTAGATGTTCAGAGAAAATTTTCTGACTACATGACATTTGGGAGTTTTTAGAAGTAATAAGAAGGGACAGTTTGGAGAGGTGCAATAGTAGTCATAGGGTATGGTGTATGAAAAGAAAGAGGCATCATAGACAAAGGAAAAATATTTTGGAAAACATTCAAATGAGAGAGCATTCCTTATTTGGAGAAGTTAAGAGACAAGGACATTGAGGTTAGAGGAAATAATTAGAAAGAACATTGGAAAAAACTAATTGATCTGGATAATGTGGAACAGGTTTAAGTGGGCTTGATCTTGAGCCAAATTATCCTGCACTGTTATAGGAGGAATTTTATGCCATTTAATGACAGCTTTAATATCACAGCTCTCTTCACCCCAAGAAACACGAAGATATCCCATCATTTTTTATGCCTCAACCCCAGGGGAAGATAAGAGGCAGGAGTCCTGGGTATAAGCCAGCCACTCAAGGTTTATATCTCATATAATCAGTTAAAACCCTGATAACATAATCAATAATTGGAAACTTCTTCAAGGGCCCATACATATACCTTCGTTTCTTCGTGGGCAGAATGACCCATGGTAAATCGTTCTTCCCTTGTTTTTTCCAGTTCAGACATGAGTCTTGATTTTGTTTGCACCTCTGCTTCAAGGGATTGATGCTTCTGATATTTCCCCTAAAGTTTAGAAATCAGAGTTTTTGTCTAATGAAGCACAGTCTTCATGGGAAATGTTCACTCTATGTAAAGCCACCAAACACAGGTTCTCAAAGGGTCCCAGACTCAGAGGCCATAAAGAGTATTTTCCTGTCCCCACTGGCTTTAGGAAGTTTTCAGTAAATACTGTCCTGAGCTATGCTGAGCCTTATGATCTATGCCGAGCCTTATTTTAAAGGCTCAATAGACTGCCATAGGAATAAAAGAGTGTAACACACAGTGTCCTTCCTCATCAGAAAAGAGGAATAACTGATTTTTTTTTGGAAGTAGAGCACAATGAGAAAGATGATAGTTATAATAATGGTTTTTAAAAAAAAAAATTGAGAGTTTTTTTTGCATGCTGTGCCTGTTCTTGTAATCTATAAATTGATCCATTCAATATAGCACATTATTTTGCTCTTGTTCTAGGTGTTTCCTGTCCAACATCAATTGCTTCTGATTATGACAACACCACATGCTATAATTTTAGGTGAATAGAAAGGGGTAGGCACTTTCACCAAATTTCTTCTACTGAAACCTCTCTTTTGAAGTTAAGAGCCATGAATAGCAATTTAGGGAAGAAAAAAAAAAAACTCTGGTTAACTCATCTCTCTGAGAAGAGTAGAGAACAGGTATCACATGCTATAATTTTAGGTGATCAGAAACGCGTAGGAGCTTTCACCAAACTTCTACTGAAACCTCTCATTAGAACTTGAGACCCATGAACAACATTTTAGGAAAAACTTAAGAGCCATGAATAGCAATTGAGTTAACCAGGTTAACTAAATTGGATTTTAGTTAACCTGGTTAACTCTTATATTTCTGAGAAGAGTGGAGGACAGTTGCTTCAGAAGCATTGATGACTCTTCACCCTATTTCCCTTCTTAATGTCCCAAAATATCAAAAATCACATGGTTTGTCAGAAATTTCTTGAATTTGCAGTTGCTGTTTTGCCTGTAGGTCAATTTCAGATGAGTATTGTAACCATCAAATTCTATACAGAATAAATCTCCTTTGCAAATAACACCCCGATGTTTATGAAGATGAAGACATGGACTATTTAGAGGCAGAATTACTGTTTCTAACAGACAGTCTAATTTTTCCATTACATCACTCCCACTACAATTAACCAGATATACACTTACATTACCATAATATTTGTGCTGGATCTGAAAAAAAATTGATGTAATTTTTTACTTTTGGCATTGATGAATGCTTCACCATGAAAATATGTAAAGTATCCTATGCCCTTATCAATAAGCAATATCCTTGGTTAATGATTAAAAAATGTATATTCTGAATGGAAGTTCATTGTAAAAAACAGTTCTGTGCTTTCAACAACTGAAAAACTGCTGCTTTTTGTTTGATTCTTATTTTCTCAGTCTCACCTCTCCAACTTCATAAGGGAAAATGCACTTTTAGATTTTCTATTAATTTATTTCTTTAACTTCCCACTCCACTGACTTATTTTTGTTTCTAAACGGAATCTAATTGTACCCACACATACCCATTAACATTAACATAAAGAAAAACCTATTTCCTTCTCTAGAGATCTTAGGGTCTGCTCTGAGGCAATCAAGAGAACTGAGTGACCTGTATATTAGTTGGGTCTTCATAGCTCTTATCGGTTAAGATATTGACTTTCTCCATGATCCACTTCCCCAGATCATCTGCATCTCGCTTGAAAACTTGTAAGTGATAGGAATCCTCAAGCTTCTGACCCCTCTCAGCGACCCGCTCCTTGAAACTTTGATACCGAGTCAACACTTCCTGACGCCTCTCCTGGATCTCTTCTGCTGTTTCCAAAACCTTTGGCCCACTGCTCTCCACAACCTGCAAGTTAAAAAGATTCTGTTACTTGCTAGTTCTCAAATATTTAACATGTTGCCCCGCTTATATGTGTCAAGGTGTTTACTCATGTTGGACCTATATTCAGATATCCTGAAGTTTCTAGGGACTATTGTCAGAAGAGCTGTAGTATATTTACGTAATTTTTAACCAGACATAGCTTCTGTTTAGGTTAAAAATTCTTGATTATCCAGAAGACTCTCCTCACTTTTTACATAAATTTGTGCTAGCATTTAAGTTCTATAGATATAATTATATTGGACTGATCATGGAGCAAGTTTAAATCAGCAAAATCACATAATTTCAGATAGATAAAAAGAAATATAATGTTATTGCTTTCAAGGGCTAAAAAGGTGTTGAGAAGTGCTTATTATTTTTAACTTAATTTAATAAATAATTAAGAATGGCTTGCAATTAATTTAGTTAATGATATATGCAACAGTTTGAAAATTTTGTTTCCTTCATACTTAAAAATAAATCTCATATATTTACTCTTTACTTGCTTTACTCACAAACACTATAAATCAAAAGTTCAGCTATCTTCTGCCCAATTGTCACAAATTTCAAATTATTAGCATGTCTGCAATTTATTTTTGAAATATAAAAACTTTTACTCTAAAACAATATATAAGTATCCTTTTCCCAGAGTGGGAGCCAACCTGTTTGTGACAATATCCAGCAAAATCACCATAGGGTTCACCTTCATTCTTCTGGATATGGATACCATTTTCCCTAGCTTACCTCAGCCAAAATGTTTAATATAGAGTTTAAATTTTAATCTCCCATTATTCCTCCTAAGTATAATTGCTACTCTGTGAATTGCCATTACTGGCATGGCTATAGAATTAGATCATTACATGGAGACTCACGTTGTTACTAGGTGTTATTTAGCTTCAATCTCCCTACTTATTCTCTCTGGGAACCGACTTAAGTCATTACTGGGTCTTGGTGCTGCACAGACATAAGCTCAAGGTTATTGTTCACAAAAAATAGTTAAAAGTAAAATTATCTATTTGTTAAAAGCCAAATAATTATTAATGTTCCTGGGAAAGATAGTATAGAAAGTTTAAAGGAAACATCTTTCCTAATAATATTAATGACAAATTGCATGGAAGAGAAATATGTACTTACGGTTTCCTTTGGAAATTGCTCCATTTTTCCTAAAGGTTTAGAACCTGGCAAGATAAAATGTGTCAGAGAGAGAGAGAGAGAGAAATAATTCAAATGGAACTGTCCAGTCGAATTCAAATAGAAATATAGAAACGTTAAGTATGTGGGGGAAAAAAAAAAACCTCTTGCTTGGTCCTAGAATCCCATCAGCCATACACAATCGACATTATCTTTAGAAGACATACTCAGCTGAGGCAACTGCTAAGTTTTACAGATACTGGGTGACTCAGCAGTTTTGGGAGGCTCTGGCTTTCAAAGTTACTCAATAAGACTTAAAAAATGAAAGTAAGGTTTTTGGATGAAAAATTAGAAAAAAAACCCCATATATTTATAGGAAATACAGCTCAACAACTTCATCCAACTCAACTGCAGATTTTTCACAGTCTTTAAGTCAACGAATTATCCTGGCTTTTTCTAGAGAGTCTTTCACAAAATAAGATTTTATTCCTAACCTCAACAATTTGGTCTTTAAAAATCTGATTTAGTTGTACTCTTAATCATTTAAATGGAAGGAACAAAAAAAGTTATATGATGTGTTCATTAATATTTTGTAAAACAAAAATTAGGATACCTTATTTGACAAACCAATGATGTCACAAAAAAGTTGAAAATATGGCTGACTTCTGATATATATGGTATAAATCATCCTACTGTATGTATTAATTTTAATGGAGAACAAAAAGAGGTAGACTTTTTCCATAGGCATAGTTATTTTAGACTAACTTACAAAAATGAAACAAACAAGCAAAAAGAAAATAGTGGGATGCTCTTAGACCTTTCTACAAGCCAGTGGGGCTATCCATGCCAAACTTCATTCCAGTGTAAATGCAGCTTGAATAATCTAACTTCCATGATCTACAAGAGAAGATTTTGATTCTACATTTGTGGTTTCCCCTGTTCTTGGATCTCACATAGAAAAACTGAGAGTCCTTTACATTCTCTTCTTGAAAGTCTGGATTACTTTACTTTTCCATATAGTTTCATTATATTCAAGTCAAATTTAGTAGTAAAGGCAGGAACATAATTTTAGAGACTGCACTATAACACATGCACTGAGGAATATTTGTCTGAAGTTGGGATAAGGAGAGGAAATTATTTTATCTTTAAGAGAAAAGAATCAACATCTATGAAATATTTATATATTAACATGATCAATTTACATTAATTTCTAATCTTTAAAAATTCTGTGAGGCAGGTATTATCATACCCGTCTTTATGTGAGAAAACAGTCCCTAAAAAACAAAGTTTCATTCTATGGTGATTTGGTTTGAAAGTATTTAAATAGTCAAATCCATATCAATATGATTATCATGGCACTCTGCTCCTTATTTTTTTAGTCAATCTTCTCTTAGTCCATCAACATTATTTGTTCTGTTTCCCTGTTCCAGAATCATCTTAGCAAGAATGCCAAACATGTGATAACCTTGTGACCAAAGAAATAGTATGGCCCATTGTGAATAGTGCCACAATATACATATGTGTGCATGTGTTTTTATAGTAGAATGATTTATAATCCTTTGGGTATATAGCCAGTAATGGGATTGCTGGGTCAAATGGTATTTATGGTTCTAGATCCTTGAGGAATTGCCACACTGTCTTCCACAATGGTTGAACTAACTTACACTCCCACCAACTGTGTAAAAGCATTCCTATTTCTCCACATTGTCTCCAGCATCTGCTGTTTCCTGACTTTTTAATGATCGCCATTCTAACTGGCATGAGATGGTATCTCATTGTGGTTTTGATTTGCATTTCTCTAATGACCAGTTATGATGAGCTTTTTTTCATATGTTTGCTGACTGCATAAATATCTTCTTTTGAGAAGTGTCTATTCATATCCTTTGCTCACTTTTTGATGGGGTCATTTGTTTTTTTCCTGTAAATTTGTTTAAGTTCCTTGTAGATTCTGGATATTAGCCCTTTGGAACCAACCTGAATGCCTATCAGTGAAAGACTGGATAAAGAAAATGTGGTACCTATACACTATGGAATACTATGCAGCCATAAAAAAGGATGAGTTCATGTCCTTTGCAGGGATATGGATGAAGCTGAAAACCATCATTCTCCACAAACTATCACAAGGACAGAAAACCAAACACCACATGTTTTCACTCATAAGTGGGAGTTGAACAATGAGAACACATGGACACAGGGAGGGAAACATCACACCCTGAAGCCTGTTGCGGGGGTGGTGGGATAGGGGAGGGATAGCATTAGGAGAAATACCTAATGTAGATGACGGGTTGATGGGTGCAGCAAACCACCATGGCATGTGTATACCTATGTAACAAACCTGCATGTTCTTCATATGTGTCCTAGAACTAAAGTAAAATCATCACAATAAAAAGAAAGTAAAAATGCTTACTAATTCTATAATGTTTATTTTAAAAAAAAAGAAATAGCATGGCCCAATCAGCAGAACTGATCATAAGGAAATAAAAGTGTCTTTTCAACATATGTGTTGGAAAAATTGCATATTCACATAAAAAAATGAAATTGGACCCTTATGTTATGTACAAAAATCAACTCAAATGGGATTAAAGACTTAAATTACAACCTGAAACTGTAAAACTCCTGGAAAAAAAAAAACACAAGGAAAAAGCTTTATGACTTTTATCATATATAATAAGAATTATATATTTAGTATTTTATACAGTTTTAAAAGGATGGGGATAATTTGGAGGGCTGTTGTATCTGGCCATGGTTATCACCTCAGGGAGGGTTTGTACTTTACATAGTAGTTTAATCAGCACTGAACAGCTTGCCTCAGCTGCTGCTCAGGCATCAGAGCAAAGTGATCTGTTTGGTCTTGCCAAGTACTTCTTGGATACGGTACCAGAAACAAATGCAACAAAAGCAAAAATAAACAAATTGGACTACATCAAACTAAACATCTTCTGCACAGCAAAGAAAACAATAAGCAATAAAAAAAGTTCTCTTATGGAATGGAAGAAAATATTTGCATACATCTAACAAGAGGTTAAAATCCAAAATATACAAGGAGCTTCTTCAAATCTATAACAAAAACGAAAATTAGAAAATGAGCAAAGGACTTGAACAGATGATTTTCCAAAGAAGACATACAATTGGCTAACAGGTATAAGAAAACGTGCTCAACATCACTATCAGGAAAATGCAAATCAAAGCGATACTGAGATATTATCTCACATCTGTTAGGATGGCTACTCTCAAAGGAATAGAAAAATAAGTATTGCTGAAAATATGAAGAAGTTGGAACAATTGTACACTGTTGATAGAAATGTAAAATGGTGCAGCCACTGTGGAAAACAGTGTAGCATTGCCTAAAAACGAAAAATAGACCTATCATACAATCTAGCAGTCCCACTTCTGGGTATACAGCCAAAAGAATTAAAATCAGGATTGTAAGGAGGTATTTGCACTTTTGCACTTTTATGTTTATCTCAGCACTATTAACAAAAGTCAAGAAATGGAAACAATTGAAATGTCTATGACTGATGAAAGTGGCATGTACATACAATTGAAATAATTCAGTCATAATAACAAATGGAATCCTGTCACATATGACAACATGAGTGAACCTTGATGAAATTATGCTAAGTGAAATAAGCCAGTCACAGAAGGACAAATACTGCATGATACCACTTATAGGAAGTATATAAAATAGTCCAACTCATAGAAACAGAGTAAATAGTGCTTGTCAGAGGCTGAGGGAAGGAAAAATAGGTATTAAGTAGGTATGAAGTTTTATCCATGAAAGATGATTGAATTCTAGAGCTGTGCTGTACAACACATTGTATAAGTGTTAACAATACAGTATTGTACACTTCAAAATGTGTTAAGAGGATAGATCTCATGTTGTTTCTCACCACATTAGAAAAAAAAGTGTATAAGAATCATAGTGTTTGTTTGTTTGGTTGGTTGGTTTTTGTTTTGTTTTGTTTTGTTTTGTTTTGTTTTGTTTTTTGAGTTGGAGTCTCACTCTGTTGCCCAGGCTGGAGTGCAGTGGCACGATCCCACTTCACTGCAATCTCTGCCTCTCAGGTGCAAGTGATCCTCCTGACTCAGCCCCCCTAGTAGCTGGGATTACAGGCATGCACCACCATACCCGGCTAATTTTGTATTTTTAGTAGAGACAGGGTTTCATCATGTTGGCCAGGCTGGTTTCGAACTCCTGACCTCAGGTGATCCACCTGCCTCTGCCTCCCAAAGTGCTGGGATTACAGGATTGAGCCACCGCACCTGGCCAGAATCATAGTCTTTAGAGCAAAACTGCAATATGGAAGTACACAGGAGACATTCAGGGGAAGGTTTTGACACATAAAAACTGTTGAGTTCCTTGAGTTTTCCATCATTGTAGGCAGCAGAGATTCATGTAAAGTTTGCTCTGACAGTACTCTGGCTGCTGCTCTGGCATTTAGTGACTTAAAATTCAGTCCCATCCTGCACTCAAAGTCCCTTGAAACTAACATTGATTCTCCAGTCTCTAAGCATTGTTTATGATTATTAGTGCACATAACAAGGCATGTCGCTGAGATAGAAGAAAGGGCATGATGGAAAAGTCTTATACCTTGGTGGTTTAACGCTTGGACCTCTGACTTTCTTCTTCTACTTCTACAATCTCCCAAGAATATTCATTGGCTCTGATCATATAGAGACCCTTATTTAAAAGGACTCAGGAAAAAAAAAAATGGATGGAAAATACCATGGAAGTATAAAAGGAAGTACAATCTATAAAACTGCATGCCCCAAATGCCCATCAATGATAGACTGGATAAAGAAAACGTGGCACATATATACCATGGAATACTATACAGCCATAAAAAAGAATGAGTTCATGTCCTTTGCAGGGATGTGGATGAAGCTGGGAATCATCATCCTTAGCAAACCAAAAGAAACAGAAAACCAAACACTGCATGTTCTCACTCACAAGTAGGAGTTGAACAAAGAGAATACATGGACACAGGAAGGGAAACATCACACACTGGGGCCTGTCATGGGGTGAGGGGCAAGGGGAGGGAGTGCATTAGGACAAATACCTAATGCACGCGGGGCTTAAAACCTAGATGATGGGTTGATAGGTGCAGCAAACCACCGTGGCACATGTATTCCTATGTAACAAACCTGCATGTTCTGCTCATGTATCCCATAACTTAAAGTAAAATAAATAAAATAAAATGAATAAAAACTGCATGCTATGCTATATACATTGGTGCTGAGAGTTTACAGGAGACACTAGGGTTTGTTACAGACAGATTATTTAAAGAAAAAATTGGAAAAGAGTTCTATTTTTTATTAGAGAATTACGAACTTGAGTAATAAGTAAATTTTCAAATAAAGTTAAGGGGTAAATAATCTTAGAGGACCTGAAGTGAAAAAAAAAAACAAACTTTATTTTTTGAATTGTATTATCTAAATGCTCTGGCCCATTTAGAAGTCAAAAATTAGAGAGATTTTAAAATGAGAATTATATATTTAGATATATTTTACACCACTTTACAAGGGCAGGAATAATTTGGAGGGCTGCTGTATTTGGCCATGGTTATCACCTCTGGGAGGGTCTGTACTTTACATGACAGTTTAATCAGCACTGAACAGCTTGCCTCAGCCTCTGTTTAGGCATCAGAGCAAAGTGATCTGTTTGATCTCCTAGACTCAGAAACTTAAAGAGATGCTTTATATCCAAAAATTCTAAAGTCTTCTCAACTGGAATCACTAAAATCCCTACCTGTTTTCTGTGGATCTTTTGGAGTTCAGCTTTTTCTGCTGATTACCAATAAAGACAAATATTTTAACTTAAATGTAAAACTATTTTTCTCATAAAATTTTTATTATTTTAAATTTTTACTTTGTGTTTCTCCAGAAATAGTTTTTATTTTAAAATTCCTCCAATTTTGACTTATAAATGAGTTAGAACAGTAGATAATGTCATTCAAAAAATTTTACAAGGCCTTTTGCAGTTTACTGTAGCCACCTTGATTTATCACTTTAGGTCTTCTAAGGTTATTTGTCCCTTGACTCTTTGCTTACAGAACTGCAAACTTGAGCAATGTATAAGTTATCAGATGTATATATTGCTCATTTATAATTCTCTAATCAATGAAATAGAACTCTTTTCTTTTCCTATCTTGATCATCTCTCACTTTCTTATTTATTTTATTATCTTTCTGTTGACTTATTTGGTTTTACTGCTTTGAGTAAGAAAAACCCTAAAACCATGGTTTTCTTTAATGCAATTAACTATGTAATTGAAATTGGAAGACAGCTTAGGCCAACAGAACATACACTGATTTAAGTTCTGGTTCCAGCATTTAATGATCAGATGATTATTGGAAATTTACTTAAAATATATTAAGCATATAATAAGTACAGTAATGACTAATCCCTATTCCAGAAAATCATTATATGGCCCAATTTAGGTGGCAGACTAAAAAGCATTTGCATGTAAGTCTACATAGTAAAATAATTATTATTGTAAACTGATTTGAATAATGTCAACCACATATATTTAAGCCTTTAAATTTATATATTTCATTCTGAATCATTCAATTTTCAAAACCAGAATGTAAAGGACAGGGATTTGATATGGGATAATTTCTCATAAAGCTAAGTACTTATCTCTTAAAGAACAATTTTGCAACGTATCATTAGCATATCTTGCATAAAATTGCTTCATGCTCCTGTCCACTAATAATTATCTCTGATTACAGCAACCCCGAAGGGAATTATCTAAGCCTAAATTTTCAGAAGCTTTACAAAACCAGCATACTTGGTGATGTGGTCCCACTCAGGGAAATAAACTTAAAAAGAGCTCGATGGAAGAATATAATTTCTCATTTGAATAGAGGCAAGTAGGAAATAAAGCCAAGTGTGGAACTAAATGTATCATTGCCTTCAAAGTCATGACTAAACTATGAAGTTTAATTACTATGTTTATGGTACTAGAGTCTCAAGATATTAATGAAAGCCCCATTTAACATCTAGGTTTATGTCAGTCATACAAATCTAAGTGGATTAACTGTTGTATAGCTTCATTTTACCATTAAAAATTGTCTCTGTGGGCCAGGTGCTGTGACTCAGGCCTGTAATCCCAGCACTTTGGGAGGCTGAAGTAGGTGGATGACTTAAGATCAGGAGTTCAAGACTAGCCTGGGCAATATGGGGAAACCTCGTCTCTACTAAAACAAAACAAAACAAAACAAACAAGCAAAACAAAAATTAGCTGGGCGTGGTGGCGAATACCTGTAATCCCAGTTACTCAAGAGACTGAGGCATGAGGTTCACTTGAACCCAGGGAGGCTGAGGTTGCAGTGAACAGAGATTGTGCCACTGCACTTTGGTCTGAGGGACAGGGCAAGATTCTGTCTTAATGAAAAAAAATTGTCTCTAAGTGAAAATATACTTTCTTATCTTTACACATTCTCTCCCCTATCCCTGCCATTTTCTGTTGAATATGAAAATAGTCTGAGTTTCCTTTTCTATAATGTATAGCTTCAAGAGATAAAGGCTGCCTCTAATTATTCATTTACTCATTCAGCAAACTATTATAGAGAGTTTCTACAGGCAAAGCATTCTGTTAAGCATTGGGAATGTGGAGATAAACAAAGTAAGATACCTTCTTTCAAGTAGCATACAAATTAGAAAAACATAAGATATATAAACTGTGACATAAGAAAGTATAAAAATCATGCCAAATAGAGGGTCCAAACAATGTGTTATAGAAACAAAGAAATGTGTGTTTACTGCTCTATGAATAGGCTGGAGAAGACCTCAGGGGAGAGACAATATTTTATACCTCTCACTGAATTCAAAAAATAATAAACCAAGGACCTGTGTACAGTTTTATCTTACTTTCTTTGAATTCTATAGTTAATCAACCTCTGAGGACATTTACTAAGTCCACAGAGATAATAAGAACAACTAAACATCATTTACTACCTGTACACCAAAAAAGGAAGCACAGCAGCAACAAACACACTGAACGTATTAATGTAAATATTTGTATAAATATTCTTTGGTAATTAAGAGGTGTGTATTTGGTCTTATTTGACATGATGTGTGCATATCATTGATTGGCACATGTGCTTTTTTATTGCTTCCTTTATCTCTTTATTCCTCAGACTACAGATGATTGTGTCGGTGACAGCACTGCAAACATTAGGCTGATGGTTGTGTCCCAGAAAAAGGAGTACTTGGCAGAGAAGAGCAGGTACATCAGGGCTACACTTCCAAAAAAGATTAAGAAAATAGCAAGGTGGAAAGCATAGGTAGAAAATGCCTTTTGGCATCCATCAGCAGAGCAGTTTCTTAGGATCACTGCAATAATTTGGACGTAAGCCAAAGTCACAAGCATTATAGCTGTGATGATCTCCACAGCATGTACAATGTCCACAACCTTGATTAAAACAACTGGGCCAGTGTCTACACATGCTAGATTCAGGATAGGATCAAGGTCACAGAAAATGTTGTGGATTTGATTTGGACCACAAAATGGCAGTGTGGATATCCAAGCAATCTCAGGGAGCAGCGTGAAGAAGCCACAGATGCAACAACCTAGAATCACCTGAGTGTAGAGCTAAGGTGTCGTGACTGTGGGGTAGCAAAGGTGATTACAGATGGCCAGGTATCTGTCCATAGCCCTGGTGGTGAGCAAGCAAACCTCAGTGATGCCGAGGGAGTAAAAGAAATACATCTGCAATAGGCAACCATCCAGGGAGGTGGTCTTCTGCTCACTGGCTAGGTTGAAGAACATCTTGGGGATGGTGATGGTGGTATACCAGATCTCTAGGAAGGAGAGGACACTGATGAAGAAATACAAGGAGCTGTGCAGGCAGAAATCCAGTTTGATGGCAAAGAACACCATAAGACTACCAATGATGGTGAATAGGTAAATGAGGAGCAGAAGGATAAAAAACAAAAGCCAGCTGGGCGCGGTGGCTCATGCCTATAATCCCAGCACTTTGGGAGGCTGAGGCGGGTGGATCACCTGAGGTCAGGAGTTCGAGACCAACCTGGCCAACATGGTGAAACCCTATCTCTAGTAAAATTACAAAAATTAGCTGGGCATGGTGGCAGTCGCCTGTAATCCCAGCTAGTCAGGAGCCTGAGGCAGGAGAATCACTTGAACCCGGGAGGTGGAGGTTGCAGTGAGCTGAGATCGTGCCATTGCACTCCAGCCTGGGTGACAGAGTGAGACTCTGTCTCAAAAAAAAAAAAAAAAAAAAAAAGAAAAAAAGAAAAGAAATCTAGGTGTGTATGAGCTTAGACTCTCCCTGGGTGGGTCTAGTGCGGCTGCTGTTGGGGATCGGGGTGAGGTTCCCAGGTCAATGGAGTTGTGTACCTAGGAGGAATACGGCTGCCTCTGCTGAGTTATGCAGGTTGTCAGGAAAGTGGGAGAAAGCTAGAGAACATATATGAAAAGAAATCTAGAGAACATATATGAGAATAGATAATAAGGATATGTAAAAATAGTGGAAGGAACATAAAGTTGGATCAAGTTAAATTTATTGATATGGGCTCACTAAGCAGAGATTTTGAATTTAATGTTCCAGCTCAGGGAGTAGGAAAGGGATGCAATAGGTTGGTTGGTTGGTTGGTTGGTTGATTGATTGGTTGAAAGATGGCTCAAAAGATGACCCACCAAAAGCAGAGGAAATGCTTGAAATTGGACTGTTATTCCATAGATTCCACAGTGAAGGGAAGGAAGAGTATGTCTGGTACACAGGAGATTCTTTAGCACGTCTTTTAGTATTTCCGTGCCCTGTGATTAAGGACAATAAAAAATTACAACACCACAATCCAGAAAGGACTACTAATGACCAAGATCCTTGAGGAATTAATGTTCGGGTCACCATATCAGTTAAGGAACTATGACCAATAGATGTGCTTGATGAAGGCAAAGTGAATACAGAATGAGTAGTAGGAGAAGGTAGTTATAAATACTAGCTATGATAACATGACTAGTTATAAAAATGGAAACTATAATTATAATTGCCAGGAGTGTTTCCTCCTTATTTTGTTGTGAACATGTTTATATATACTCACACACATATATATACACACACATTAGCAAATGTGTTTTCTTTCCTCTCTTACTTTTATCATATAACATAAGACACATTGCTTTATATCAATATTTAATAATTGTTAATTTTACATCATAGTATTTAAGTTATATTAAGAAAAAAGTAAACATCACTCAAGGATTTACTGCCTCTTCTGATCCTTTGAAACCCTAAATAGAACAAAAAGGTAAAGGAAAGGCAAATTTGTTTTTGTTTTGAGATGGGATGTTCATCTCCTTCTGCCTTTGGACACTGGGTGCTCCTGATTCTCAGGCCTTTGGATTTGGACCTGGGTTTATACTATCAGTTTCCCTTGTTTTCAGGCCTTCAGACTCAGGTTAAATTATGTCACAAGTTTTCCTGATTCTCTAGCTTATAGGCAGCAGATCATGAAGTCTGTGGTCTCCATAAGCATATGAGCCAATATTTATAATATATTTTTATAGATAAATAGATAAATATCCTATTGGTTCGGAGTCTCCAAAGAATGTTAGATAATACATCTCTCTATTTCCTCAAGAATATAGCTAGAATATTTAAAAATGTAGCATGGTAGTTAAGAGAAAAGCTTTTGAACAAGCAGAGACCTGGGTTCAAATTATAACTCAGCTTCTTACTAAATGTGTATCCTTGGACAAAAGCTTAAGCCCTATTAGCTATAGTTTCCTCCCTCTTAAAGCAGTACTGATATTAATACCTATTGCAAAGAATTTCTATAAAGTAATGTATGTGTATGTGTGTGTGTGTATGACAATGTCTTAAAAGTGAAGAGTGCCCAATAAGTGGAAAATTGCATTAATATTATTATCAATAAATATAATTACAATTGTGAATATACTAGGTATATTAGTCAGGGTTCTCTAAAGGGACAGAACTAATAGGATAGATGTATTATTAAAGCGTATTGACACACTATCACAAGGTGGGGTACCACAATTGGCCATCTGCAAGCTGAAGAGCAAGGAAACCAGTCCGAGTCCCAAAGCTGAAGAGAAACTTGGAGTCTGGTGTTCAAGAACCATAGAGCGTGGGAGAAAGGTGTAGTCCCGAAAACTAAACCAGTTTAGTCTTTCCACGTTCTTCTGCTAGCTTTTATTCTGACTGCACTGGCAGCTGATTAGATTGTGCCCACCCAGATTGAGGGTGGATCTGCCTTTCCCGGTCCACTGACTCAAATGCTAATCTCCTTTGGCAACACCCTCACAGACACACCCAGGAACAATACTTTGCATCTTTCAATCCAATCAAGTTGACACTCAATTAAACATCACATATGGTATTTTATTATTACTAGTAAAAATTTGATTAATAAATGCAGTGCAATGTTAGGTAAAATAAATATATTTAAAATTAACAGGGAATAAGTTAGCAGTTTCTGTCCTCTCCAGGCCAGAAGGCATATATTTCCTTAATCCTGTGTATTCACTAAGAGCACATTTACAAGGTAACAGGAACATCAACACACGATGAACTTTTTTTCTCTGTTTTATTTTCCCTTGTTTTTCCCACAGCTTGGAATTTTTTTTTATTACATGCATGCACACACACACACAGAGAACTAGGAAAATTACTTTATGTTCATAATTTGAAATGAAGGTATGTTTAATCACAGAAGTTTTTAAGGCAGGCTAATAAAGCAATCAGATTTAAGTTGTAAGAACAGCTCAGTTTGCAGTAGGGAAAGAAGCTTGAAGTTGAGAAAGTATGGATGTAAGACAGGTAGTGTTAGCTATATTATTTTTTAGGGATATTGATAATATTTAGGAAATGATTATGTATTGAAAAATTTAAAAGTAGAGAGGACAGAGAAAAAATGGTGTGACCCTTTCACATAATGGAGCTTTATGTAGATCAGCTCTGTAAAAATATTGCACTTACAACAGCATCAATTAGTCAATAAATTGGAAAAATAATGACATTTTTCGTGTCACTTGAAGAATATTAAAAATACATGACTTAAACTCAGTGATACTTCTTGCATTTCTTTTTCCCTCTGTCCTCTTGTTCTTCAACCAAGTATCCCTTAAAGCCTTTCTCTTACCCAGACCCCCTGCACCCACAATCAACAGGTTTTCTCTGATTTTTCTTCTCTTCTGTATCCCAGACTTTTATTTGATAGCATTAACCCTTTTTATAAGATCTCTCCTTAACTTGTCTTTCCATTTTATTTTAAAATATCATAAGATTTAGGAGTAAAAGTAATGAAAGGATTGTGGCACAAAAGTGGGGAAATCACACTGACAGCTATAGGATTTGTGTTGGCAGGCTAGAGAAGGGTAAAAATTTATTAACATTTGCACAGTAATAAGCTTTATCCTATCCCAGCTGAATCATGAGCCCTGGAGAAAAATCGCTTTTTATAAAGCATGTATGACATGAAGACTCAGCAAGAGAAAGAAGCGTCAATGAGGTAGGATAAAAAAGAGTTTGGAATCCTAAAAGCCAAAGAAGAGAGCTTGAAAGAGTTGTTGCCTAACACAATTGGTCGATTGTCTAAAACAATCAGAATGCAGCATGGCGGTATGTTGGTTTATTCATTCAACAGATCATTTTTATGTTTATTACTTAATATGTACAATGCATTTGATCACAGTGAATGCAACATCTAGGTTTTTTATGTATCATGAAAAAACTGATTATTTAATGAGTAACAATTAAATTGCTTATTGATCAATACTTGGATACTCAATTTAAAAATTTGAGTCATTCTTCAACTATAGAAGCTAGAGGCACCATGGATAAAACTTAGTCTTATGAAGGATACTTTTTAAATTACCAGGTCTTACAGACAAATATTTTAATTGCTTTAAAATTAAAGTAAATGTTTATGCAGAACATTTCAACAAAATGAATTTACTTTGAATAACTTGAGTGGCAGAAACTGTAATTAATAAAGTCAGATTGAAAAATATGTCTAATTGAGTAATGATTAAATAGAAGTTATTGACGTTAGCTATTGCTGAATTTGTTTCCTTTTGTTTGGTTTGGTTTGGTTTGGTTTGGTGAGCTTTGGGAGACCAGTTTGAATAGAAGGTTGATAGGAAAAGACAGATTGCTGAGAGCTGAAGGTGAAGAGGAACCAGCAACTATACAGAATCTCAACTAAAATATCTTACTTGAGGTCCCTGGTCTTACGGAAAAAAATATCTTAGCTTGACCTATGTGCTTTTTTATAGCTTCTTTTATTTCTTTATTCCTCAGGCTATAGATAATGGGGTTGAAGAAGGGAGACAAAACTGCAAAGGCCAGAGCAATGGCTATATCCCAGAACAAAGAGTAGGTGGCAGAGAAGCGTAGGTACATGAGAGTCACACTGCCAAAGAAGAGCGAAAAGACAATGAAGTGAGAGACACACGTGGAAAATGCTGTGCGGCGGCCTCCAGCTGAATGAATACGTAGAATTACAGCCACAATACCATCGTAGGACATGAAGATGAGCATCACAGCTGTAATAATCTCCACTGCATGAATGACATCCACTACCTGAATCATGACGATGGCTCGTGTGTCTGTGCAGGCCAGACGCAGCACTGGGAGGAAGTCACAGAAGATATGTTCAAGGTGATTCGAACCACAAAATGGCAGTGTAGAGATCCAGGCAATCTCAGGAAGGGGTGTGATAAAGCCACAAACACAGCAACTTAAAGTCAGTTGGGTACATAGCTTGGGGGTCATGATAGAGGGATAATGAAGAGGGCTGCATATGGCCAGGTAGTGGTCAAAGGCCATAACTGTCAAGAGACACACCTCACAGATGCCGGTGGAATGGAAGAAATACATCTGCAGGAGACAACCATTGAAGGAAATGCTCCTCTCACTAAGCAGGCTAGACAGCATCTTTGGGATTGTGGCTGTGGTATACCAAATCTCCAGGAAAGAAAGAGCACTGATAAAAGTATACATGGGAGTGTGGAGGTGAGTATTCAACTGGACCACTGTGATGATGACCAGGTTTCCAACAACAATGAAAGCATAGATGAAGAGCAGTGGAACAAAGCAGACAACAGACTTAACCCAGGAATAAGGGAAAGCGGAGAAGATAAACTCCTGAATGGTGGTTCGATTGGGGCTCTCCATCTCCAAGTTGAAAGTGAGAGTTTCAATTTCCAGTGCACTCAAGCCTTCTAGGAGGCATCTACTATTGGATAAAGGAATACACTTACAAGAAGCCAGCGTCTGAATAGAGCCCTGTAATGGGGATAGAGAGGAAGACAAGGAAGAAGGACATGGTCCATATTCTATAGTTGCTTACGACTTAAGTTGTAGTGTGGAAAAAATCCAGTCAGAAAGCACAGTCAATATTTTGGATGTGAGATTCTCAGATATATTAACATGCATCAGAATCACCTGGAGGGCTTGTTAAAACTCATATTGCTGGTCCTCATACTGAGAGTTCGGTCCTAATCTGTAGTTCTGAGGTAGGACCCAAGAATTTTCATTTCTAACAAATTTTCAGGCAATGGTGGTCCTGCTGGTCAGGGGACTATATTTTAAAACAACTTTGTTTAGGCGAATATAGAATTAGACAGAGCATTGAAGGAATAATCAATAATTAAGAGGACGTTCTTTTCGATATTTAAATCTTATTGATTCCCTAATAATCTCCCCACATTGTTCCATATATTTTTTCTTCAAGCTCCCAGTTTATTGGATTCTTGGCATATGATTTGATTGGCATATTTTTATAATAAAGACAAAACCATTACTGGTGAATTCTTTCAACCCTCTTTCTCTAATAACTCTTCCTCTCTTCATATGTATATTCTTAACCATAATTCAGAGAATATTTGGAGAAGAAAAGCCATATAAATAATCATAAGTTATTTTACCTTGTTTTATAAGATAGTCTATTCTATCTCCTTCCTTTCCTTCTCTTCTACGTCTTCTTGGTAAGGAGATCTTAAAGGGGTTTTGTACCAGAAGCCTTTGGTCAAATGTAGTAACTTATGAAAACTAACTATATTAATAAATAAATGCTTAATATAGTTGTACACTTGCTCTGGTACAATTGAATGGTGGTAGTTAGAAGGAAGGGCAGAGCTGCAGTGCCCTGTAGAATACAATTTAAACTACACACATTATAGGAAATTGTCCTATTAATTTATTCTCTTTTCAGAATGTTTTGTTTTACTTTATTTGTCTCTTCTGCAATCAAACATGCACATTTCTTCTTATCTTGGGAGAAAATACTGTTTCTATTCAGGTTATTTCCCTCCTTTGTAACAACTGCATTATTTTTCCAATGTGTAAAAGGTATTTATTCTATTCATTCTTCTTTGAATCTCTGAATAATGTATCCACCCTCAACTTCCCATATCTCTTTTCTTAAGGTATACTAGCGACTTTCTCATTGAAATTTAATGGCCTCCCTCTGTCTTCATTGCCACTAACTTCCAAAGGTCAATTGCCCAATGTTTGAAATTCCTTTTTTTGCCTATTTGACACCACACTATCCTGGTTTTCCTCACTGATTATTCAATTTTTTATATCCCAAGTGTAAACATAACCGCAAATTCTGTGATCATTTTCTCTTTTCTCTATATTTCCTTTCACACAGAAGAATCTATTGTTTCAAGATCTTATTTATTCAAGATTATTTATCAGCTCGTATTGGCCTTCTATTCTCGGTGGTTATTATGACTCCAGAATTCCTTGTTTTTGATATCTCTCACGACCTCCACATTTTCCTTTTTTTTTTTTTTTTTTTTTTTTTTTTGAGTCGGAGTCCCACTCATCACTCAGGCTGGAGTGCAGTGGCGCGATCTCGGCTCACTGCAAGCTCCGCCTCCCAGGTTCACGCCATTCTCCTGCTTCAGCCTCCCGAGTAGCTGAGACTACAGGCACCCACCACCACGCCTGGCTAATGTTTTGTATTTTTAGTAGAGACGGGGTTTCACCGTGTTAGCCAGGATGGTCTCGATCTCCTAACCTCGTGATCCGCCCGCCTTGGCCTCCCAAAGTGCTGGGATTACAGGCATGAGCCACCGTGCCTGGCCGTGACCTCCACATTTTCTTCAGACTTTCTTACTTAGAAACCTCACTTTGACCCAAACGTACATCCTCACCTATTATAGGCTGTTAAATTGTGTCCCCTGAAAATTTGTAGGTTGAGTTTCTAACCCCCAGTTCCTCGGAATGTGGTTGTACTTGGACATACAGTATTTAAAGAGGTAACAAAGTTCAAATGAGGAAATTAGGGTGGCCCTTAATTCAATAGGGCCAGTGTCCTTACAAGAAGAGGAAACCGGCCGGGCGCGGTGTCTCACGCCTGTAATCCCAGCACTTTGGGAGGCTGAGGCGGGTGGATCACGAGGTCAGCAGATCGAGACCATCCTGGCTAAAACAGTGAAACCCCGTCTCTACTAAAAATACAAAAACAAAATTAGCCGGGCGCGGTGTCTCACGCCTGTAATCCCAGCACTTTGGGAGGCTGAGGCGGGTGGATCACGAGGTCAGCAGATCGAGACCATCCTGGCTAAAACAGTGAAACCCCGTCTCTACTAAAAATACAAAAACAAAATTAGTCAGGCGTGGTGGCGGGCACCTGTAGTCCCAGCTACTCGGGAGGCTAAGGCGGGAGAATGACGTGAACCCGGGAGCTGGAGGTTGCAGTGAGCCGAGATTGTGCCACTGCACTCCAGCCTGGGCAACAGAGTGAGACTCTGTCTCAAAATAATAATAATAATAATAATAATAATAATAATAATAATAATCATAATAATAAAGAGGGAATTTAGACACAGTTTCAGAGGGAGAACCATATGAAGATTCAGTAAGAAAACAATTCTCTAGAATTGTGAGAAATTAAATTTCTGTTGTTTAAACCACTCAGTGTGTAGTACTTCTTATGGCAACCCTAGCAAACAAATATAACACCCTTACCCTCAGCACTAAACCAGTTTCTCTTGCTGACTTTTTAAATTTTTGTCCACCTAGATAACAACTTTACTCATTTTATGTCTATTATTCCTTACACTCTCAAACCAAATTAATCATCAAGGTCTGCACAATTTGTTTATTTTTTACTATATCACTAATATCTTTTATTTCCACTCTTTTTACCCTAATTGGATGCCTAGTCATAATGTATACACTATTGCAATGAGTTTCCAGAAGTTTCTGCATCCAGTCTTACTTTTGGCTACCCAAGCCTCCATTCTCTGAAGGTCATCTTTGTGAAGCTAGTTTCCTCTTGTGACTCTCCTCTCATATCTATACTTAAGTATCATTTTCTCATCATTTTCTTCATCCAAATTGTCTCTTCTTTAAAAGTGAAACAACCTCATATCCTCTAGGGTAACTCTTTCCTAATCACCGAATCAGGAAATAATAAATTCCCTTTATTGTCTGGCATTAATAATAGTCTGGCTTTCTATACACTTTAAGAAATGGAAATTTATTAATAACTTCCTATTTATATTAGCTATACATGCATTTGTTAATTGATTATATGACTAAGTCCCATCAAACTCCTATTTTTTTACACACAAAAGTTAGCATCATCTTCCTTTAATATGGTCCTAAAATTTATTTATTGTTATTTTGTGCAGAAAACAGAGAGACCTTGTCTCCTGTTGCTATTGAAACTTGCAAATTATCTATCCAGTTTAGCAAAACTGTTATTTCAAACATGTAACATACGTTTTTCTGGTCTCTGAACATTCCTAAAAGGAATCTCCTTCCTCTCCTTTCCCCTCCAATTTCTGAATTTCTGCCTCCATGTTTCCTAAGTTCTACATGTGTCTTTTCAAGTTTTAACAAGTGTGTGTGTGTGTGCACACATAGAGAGAGATGATGTGTGTATTACATATATATATATATACTCCTATAAAAATATTTTTAAGTGTTCTTGAGTTTTTACATACTCATCTGATTTTTCCATAAGTCTTAATGTCTCTAAAAGTAGTCACCACATCTAACTATGGCCCTCAGGACAGGGTTTTACAAGTTGAATCGGGCTATGAGTTCAAGAAGGTGCCTTCTGAACAGACCCAGACCTAATTCCCTAATCTTTTGAAGAGATGCAATTATGACAAAGAAATAATCAGTAAGATTTAAACCAAAAAGAAACACATTCAACTTTACCTATTGAACACTCTATCTACATGCAAAATTGAGTAATAGTAAGTCTAGTGCAAATGTCAATGACATTAAATGACCGAAAGATAACTGGAAATCTCACCTGATTGCTGCAACATTTATTCCTGAAATATATCAGAAGTTAATCACAATACTTATTTGGTTTTAAAGATATCCTTTGAGCTTTGACCCTATTTGAATCCCACCCCTTACCTAGGATATTTAGTAACTGAAATCTTTACACTTTGTATTAACTTGCCCTATAATACTCTTTCCTAAGTCCTCCTCGCTCAAAACCTTCCCAACAGCTATTCTGAATATCTATAGGCATATTTGGATATCTGTTTTTACACAGTTGTGTTATTCTTCCTCTATCTCTTATTCCCCAAAATGAGTTAATTCACTGACCTTGCTGCTGTTGGGTTCTGGAGTTAAAATAAACATGGATGAAGACTATCTTTTCTACTTTGATAAGGGTTATATAGAGCTACTAAGACAAACTTTCTTGCTCTTCTGCCATGTTTCTACCCTGAGTCCCTCAAGATGAATTTCCTTTATTCAGTGATATATAGATCTGACTCTTTCTGTAGAATTCTTCTCTCCCTCTTTCCCTCTCCTCTCTGTCTTTGTCTCCTTCTATCTCTCTTTCCCTCTGTATGTGTGTATGTGGGTATGTTTTCCTAAGCATAACTAGAATAAGAAGATAGACTCTCTTGGGAATTCTACACAGATGACTCAAGATTTAAGTAGGAAAACAACTATCCCTATAATGGCTCCAATTAGGTAAAGCAGTTTAGGCTGGTAATTAGGGAAACCCTACTACTGCCAGGAAACTCCAATTCACAGAGTTGTAGGCATCAGAATAAATGTTCTTTTTAAAAACTTCTTTTTTCTGTGGCACCTTTTGTTGGACTGAATTTTTAATGAATCAAAATGCTAAAATCCAAGACCCAGGTTTGAGGGATGTTCATACAATAGAGGGAAGGAGATAATGAAAGGAGGGAGCTAGACTCACATCCTGTTTGTTTCCAGGCCATTTTCCCCACCTTAGAAAAAACAATTGGTCTTCCACATGTTCCATCTGCTAGTTCCTATTGAAATTTGGGGCCAATATTTTATCTAATAATGTTGATTTTCTCTTGTTTTACTTTCTTTATGCACAGAGGTCAGAGACATTTCTAGGCAGAGAAATGACAGGCAGGGAAGTCTCCCAAGGCTAAAGCAAATTAACAGCATTGTGTGCTAGTCCCATCAAAATTGTTTCCACTTTCCTTCATTTATTCATGAAAACTTTGAGAATAAAAAGATTAATGTGATATGATTCCCTTTTTAACAAAATCAATATGTACCATAGAATAAAGAAATGCTGACAAATTTGCATTTTGCAAAATGTTAATCTCCCAAGTAGATATCAAAACAAAGTGCTGGAAGGGGGCAATTAATTCTCCCTCATGAATTCAGAGGAGGCTTGACCAAAAATAACTACATCTGAAAGAACATAGCTTGCTAAGATACCTGACTTGGAAATGGTGAGATGAAGATCCAATTTCAGCTCTGTTCAACTCCCAAAGAACACATTCTTATGTAGGTAAGGATCAGAAGCATGAAAAACAGAAGGCCTGCCTGCAGGTACTGGTGTCAGTAGGGTGTGTGCTCCCTTCCTATGCTCTGCAGAGCTGTCTCTGCGTAGGTGCTGTCTTAGGAAATCAGGATCTGACAGACAGATCTTACCTTTCATTTTAGGAACGAAGGTCCCTGTTTCCTTTTCCAGCTCTTCTCTTCTCTTTCTATTAACTTTTAACACTGTTAAGAGGTTTCTTATATAAAATTCACAAAGTCAAGGTCCTAAAGTGCTGGATTTGTTCACTTTTAATCAAAAATATCTGTTATTAAAACCCAACAAACGCACACACAATTATGTTCAGGAATACAACTCTTCCTATGCTTTCCTCCTGTTAGTTTTTTTCATGTGTGTTTTGGATGGGAAAGGGAAAAGTAAATGGGTAAATTTCTGTGAATTTTCAGACTTCAGATGAGGAGGGTGATATCAACATAATGAAGACAGCAATGCAATGAATTAACCAAGAAGGTTTGGCAGTCCACAGGTGATATGGATAACAAGAGTTGAAGATCAAAGACCAGTGGTTACAGATACCTTCAGAAAACATTATTTGTTGACTGAAAGAAAACTAGGCAAACTAGGTTGTTATACAGATGACCTTAATAATAAAAGAACATTTATTAAACCCTTACTATGGGTCAGGAACTCCATGTACTATTTAAACTCATTTAAGAACTATGATTATGCCAATTTTACAAATAAGAATAGTGTGGTATAGAGAGGTTAAGAATCCTTCCTAGGGTCACACAACTGGTAAGCGTTAGAATTAGAGTTCTGCTCTAGAAGTTTAATGTCAGAGCGTCTGCTATACTTTACTGTCATTGTCTCTGTTATTTGGACTGTGTCTTTTTTGACAGAAGAGTGGCTACTGGGCTAAAACTGTTGCTTTAGCTCTGTGCTCCGAGTCATAGAGAATGTTTCAAGAAAACCTACTCTCTGTCCCATGAGGGAGAAATGATTAACTACTTTCTTTTACCTGAAGAATGGTAATAAGAAGTATCTTACTTTGTCTGGAATTTTAATAGCATTGGATAAAAAAAGAATAAAATATGGGGTGCTCAGTAATCTGGAAAATAGCGGAGTGGTCCTATGAAAGTAGGCAAATGTGGAGACTCTTGTAGGCCTTACAGTCCTTTCATTGTAATTGTTAACATTGTTTAAAATATGTCTCCGGAGGAAACTTGACATGAATTTAACTTATAGGTTATAAAGATAATAGCATAGACTGTTCTTATTCATTAAAAGGGCTTTTAACATCTGTGAGCAAAACACTTGAAAATAGTTTTACATGTTTTTTATAATCTACTTTATCATTGTCTAATATATTAATCTCATGTAAGCACATGGCTATTTAATAGAATAGAATTTTGCAGGGGGCTGTCCAAAGTGCTAATCTCATTCTAGCTTTTAGGGAAGATACAGTAATAAAAGATGCAATTGCATGTTGAAAGTCTTAAAATGGTTTTACAATAAAGGATGTAGGTGTTTTAAAACCTAGAAGTAATGACATTTATTTAGTTAGCTACCTATTCCTGAGTATAAATGTGCTTGAATAGACTTTTCGTCATATTTTTAAGGTTCACATAACTGATTTATAAGAGTTATATTTTTTGTATAAATTCAAATCACATATATTAATTATTTGACAAAATCATTTAAATTGAATTGCTTCATTTTTTGAGTATCCTTATTGACATATAGATTTTATAAGCTTATTTTTAATTGAAACATCTATGTTTCAATTGTTATTTATTATTTTATGTTTTGCTCCAGAATTTTTTTTTTAATTTTATTATTATTATACTTTAAGTTTTAGGGTACATATGCACAATGTGCAGGTTTGTTACATATGTATACATGTGCCATGTTGTTGTGCTGCACCCATTAACTCGTCATTTAGCATTAGGTATATCTCCTAATGCTATCCCCCCCCGCCCCCCACCCCACAACAGTCCCCAGTGTGTGATGTTCCCCTTCCTGTGTCCATGTGTTCTCATTGTTCAATTCCCACCTATGAGTGAGAACATGCGGTGTTTGGTTTTTTGTCCTTGTGATAGTTGCTGAGAATGATGGTTTCCAGTTTCATCCATGTCCCTGTTTATAGCAGCACTATTCACAATAGCAAAGACTTGGAACCTTTGCCCACTTTTTGATGGGGTTGTTTGTTTTTTTCTTGTAAATTTGTTTGAGTTCATTGTAGATTGTGGATATTAGCCCTTTGTCAGATGAGTAGGTTGCGAAAATTTTCTCCCATTTTGTAGGTTGCCTGTTCACTCTGATGGTAGTTTCTTTTGCTGTGCAGAAGCTCTTTAGTTTAATTAGACCCCATTTGTCAATTTTGGCTTTTGTTGCCATTGCTTTCGGTGTTTTAGACATGAAGTCCTTGCCCATGCCTATGTCCTGAATGGTAATGCCTAGGTTTTCTTCTAGGGTTTTTATGGTTTTAGGTCTAAGGTTTAAGTCTTTAATCCATCTTGAATTGATTTTTGTATAAGGTGTAAGGAAGGGATCCAGTTTCAGCTTTCTACATATGGCTAGCCAGTTTTCCCAGCTCCATTTATTAAATAGGGAATCCTTTCCCCATTGCTTGTTTTTCTCAGCTTTGTTGAAGGACATGAACAGACACTTCTCAAAAGAAGACATTTATGCAGCCAAAAAACACATGAAAAAATGCTCACATCACTGGCCATCAGAGAAATGCAAATCAAAACCATAATGAGATACCATCTCACACCAGTTAGAATAGCAGTCATTAAAAAGTCAGGAAACAACAGGTGCTGGAGAGGATGTGGAGAAATAGGAACACTTTTACACTGTTGGTGGGACTGTAAACTAGTTCAACCATTGTGGAAGTCAGTGTGGCGATTCCTCAGGGATCTAGAGCTAGAAATACCATTTGACCCAGCCATCCCATTACTGGGTATATACCCAAAGGACTATAAATCATGCTGCTATAAAGACACATGCACCCGTATGTTTATTGCGGCATTATTCACAATAGCAAAGACTTGGAACCAACCCAAATGTCCAACAATGATAGACTGGATTAAGAAAATGTGGCACATATACACCATGGAATACTATGTAGCCATAAAAAATGATGAGTTCACGTCCTTTGTAGGGACATGGTTGAAAATGGAAATCATCATTCTCAACAAACTATTGCAAGGACAAAAAACCAAACACCACATATTCTCACTCATAGGTGGGAATTGAACAATGAGAACACATGGACACAGGAAGGGGAACATCACACTCTGGGGACTGTTGTGGGGTGGGGGGAGAGGGGAGGGATAGCATTGGGAGATATACCTAATGCTAGATGACGAGTTAGTGGGTGCAGTGCACCAGCATGGCACATGTATACATATGTAACTAACCTGCACATTGTGCACATGTACCCTAAAACTTAAAGTATAATAATAATAAATAAATTAATTTAAAAAAAAAAGACTTGGAACCAACCTAAATGCTCCAGAATTTTTTTAATGTAATCATCCTTTGAGCCCTCAAGACAGTACATTCTCTTCTTAAATTTATCCTGCCCCATGATATGGAGTAAGCTCTTTTTCAAGAAGTTCCAGTTTCCTTATTAAAAATAACTATTAGTAACTCAAATGAACATGTTAGGGAAATAAATGGCATTTTTTTTGTCCCTTGAGTATTATTTCATATGAGAATAGACAGCTAGAAATTTATTTTTCTAAACTTGTTTCACGTTGACAACTTCAACTGGATGCTAACATTGTTTTTCAACATACAATGGTTTAGTAATTCTGTAATTAAACTATAGTTTACACTTATATCAGTTAGGCATGCTCTTAGCTTATTCAATTCCTGATTTAAAAAACTATTCTCCTGGACTTTTCCTTATGGTTACAAAGTTAATCTCTAAGTTTCAGGCATCACTTCCACATTCAAGGCAAAATGTTGTGTGATTGGGAGGCAAACAGCAAAAGCTATCCCGAAAACCCTAGTAGATTTCTGCCTGTAACACAATGGGAAGAACTCATTTACAAAGGTGGACAAAGAGTAATTGGTTTGAATATGGTTTTTGGAATAGACAGTTGAGCCAGTTTTTAGATTTGGAATTTAAAGATCTGTACAATTTTAAGTATTAAATTTGTTTTATGAGACTTTATAAGGAAACATTAGTTTTTAATATAGTAACACATTTAGTTGAAAATATATGATTACATTGAATTCTGTTATTGTTATAGATTACAAAATCAGATAGTGGTAGCCTTCAAGTTGTTTATAAAAGCATGTATAGGAAATGTATATAATTTCAGCCATTTTAGATTTATTTAAAAAGTTCAATATTTTACTAAATTATGTGTATAAATATTCATTTTTAAATTATGAATAATTATAAAAGAATAAAATATGTGGTTGTTTTTGAATGAATTGAAATTCATAAAATAAAGAGCTCAATGGAAAATAATTGGCAACAAATAATAAAGTAGTTAACAACAACAACAAACTACGATTGACTGTTAGATATATGTCAGTTTATTATTCTCTGGTAATTTTTAAATATATGAATACATGTATTTTTTGCCTAATTAGATTGACAATGAATACAAGAAGCGGTATACACTATGTGGGATAACGTGTTGAAATAGGAACTTCCAATGAATGCTACTGGATAGATATAGTGTTTTAAAATATTTGGAATGGTGATTTGTCATTATTTGCTCAATTTTTAATCTTGAATAATATTGGATACTGTAGTTATACTTCTAAGAATTGATTTCACAATAATATTGCAGTATTCAAATTTGTATATCAAGTTTCACTGCAGCCCCATTTAAAATTAGAAGTGTTTGAAAACAATCTAAATTTCCATCGATAAGGAATAAAATAAATAACATAAGGTGCATGCAAGACATAACACAGAATATTATGCTGCAGCGGTTTTATAGGGAAATAATAGATCTGTATGCTGTGATTATAAAAATAGAGTCATAAACAAATATTGGAAAGACATAAACATATTGTCAACTCAGAAAGCAAATATCAAAACACTAATTTCATGTGTTTTTTTGAAAAATACACTTTTACATCTAAGTTTATACTGAAATTTATTTTTTGTGTGCTATCACGTGCTAGATCTTGTTTATTCTTTCCATTTTTTATGCCAATTAACCATCCCCACTCCCCCTCCAACCTCTCCACTTCCCTTCCCCGTCTCTAGTAACCATTATTCTACCATCTCCATGAATTCAATTGTTTTTATTTTTAGCTCCCACAAAAGAGTGAGAACATGCAAAGTTTTTCTTTCTGTGCCTGGCTTATTTCACTGAATATAATGACCCCCAATTACATCCATGTTGTTTCAAATGACAGAATCTCATTCTTTTTTATGGCTAAATAGCACTCCATTCTGTATATTTTTATGTATTTCCCTTTAATTCTACTTATCCTCATTTTTATACACTATTTAAATTAACTTGACAAATATTTTCTCTATGTATTCTTATAAAACATGTGCTTTTGTTTCATACCCATGTACTTTTTATTTATGTAAATGGTGTTGGTTTCATTGTATTGCTTATTTTTACCTTTTAGTATTATTTACAGGAATTATTTTTGTTTCTTTGAGTTCAATAGCTCATAATATTTAACACCTGCATGCTTCTCTGAACTATTCATTTGGCGTATGTTAAGTACCTGTTTTCTCCGTGATAAGCTCCAGATTGCCTCCAAATACTCTACATTCTGGAGAACATCTTCAGGTATGTCAACTTATAAACATGTGTAAAAATGTCTTTGACAAATATTCCTAGAAGCAGGATTATTAAAACAGAGGATACACTTGAACTTCATTTCTACCAGATTTTTCTCCAAAATGGCCACACCAGTTTACATTCTTATCAGTTGTGCATGTATTTCTTTGTCTCTTCATCTGCTCTAACACTTGGCCTTAATAAAGATTTTTAAGCATCTCTTCATGTAATTACTAGACTTTCAAGTTTATGTGCCTGTAAATTGTTTGTCTATATCATTTGCCAAATTTCTTCTGTTTTCTCTATTTTCTCACTTCTTTAAAGAGGTCATATTTTTTTCATAAAAGTACAATAAATTTTCCATCCAAAACAAACTAAATAAATGTGAACTAAGAGGTAGGATTATGATTTCAGACAAAGATACACTGGCCAACTTACCTAACACAGCAGTTTCTAGTTATAGAATATCATGTAGAATACATCTGAATTTTGTGCTATTTGGAGTAACCCAAAACATTTGCTTACATACGGATGGTAAGCAATAAGGATAAAGTAAAATGTTCTATAATTCTTTCATCTCTTGTACATATTTCTTATTTCTATACAGTATGAAGAGCTTTTGGATTTAGCTTTTATTTTAAAAGACTTTTTAAATGCCGTAACTTTATTTTCAAGCACAGATCAAGTAAAGGTGATTATGAGCCACAAAAATGATGAAGAAAATGTTACAAAAAGGAAAATGCAACTTGCAAAGATTGACTCCTTTGTATCTCTTCACAACCCAGCACTCAGTCTCAAGTCTTCAGCACCTGCTCTATTTATAAATAAGCTAAAATCTGTTTAACGGGTAAAAAGTCTTTAGCATATAAATGAGCAGAGTGTGGTTAAATAACAACACATTTGACACAGATAAACTTTCTGAAAATGATAGAATTGTTTTAAAAATTAACAATACAATTCAAAAGTGTATACAACTCAACAGATTATCTTATGATTCAGATAGTAAGTACTATATATTAAATTTATGCAATCTCAGAATGGTACATTGTCAAATGAAGTACACACACAACCAAGTATAGTGACTTATCAAATGTTTTACACATGGGTACTAAAACAACAATTAATTAGCTTTGTGCTAGTAAATCTGTAAGTGAGAGGCAACAGGATAAGATAGGCTACACTTCAGATTCTGGACCCCAGGCACCAGGCTTTAGGCAGGTTGGGTTCAGGTGACCTTTACATGTTCTCATTCTGTAAACCCGTGGCTCTCGGGGCATGGCTTCATATGGGTTTAGTGTTGAAAGGGAAGGAGCTACCTAAGGCAAGCATGACATCGTTTGGTTGTGTCCCCACCCAAAATCTTATCTTGAATTATAATCCCCAGTGTCTATGGGGATTAAGTGCCCATAGTGTTTCCATCTGTAATACCTCCAAGCAGTTTTTAATCTTATTTTATTCAGCTTCCTCATTATTTTCAGTGAAAAGTTGGGTCTACCACAAGCTATTTTATTTTGATTAGAAGCATAAATAGTTGTCTGATTTTGTTTTAAGGTAATTTTTTTATTGCTAACTGTTGTAGCACTTTCATTTTATTCTCAGTCTGCTATACCTTCTCTTTCTGGAATACGTATTTCATTAATATTGCATTTCTAGGATTTAGTTTTTTTGTCATCAATCTTGATAGGGCACTTTATTTATTATTTTTTGAGCTTTATGATACTTTCTGAAGTCAAAATTCTAACTCTCTAGTTTAGTTTTCTGGAGCATTCCATTTTCTTCTTCTTCCATTGCATTTTTATATTCTGTAATGTCTTTTATTATCACTAACTTTGCCATCACAAACTAATTTATTTCATGTATTAATAGTAAAAGTTCTCTATGATTTCATCATATATTTAAAATTATTTTTGTGACTCTTGCTTAGAGTGATTAATGGCTAAAGATTTGGTATTATTAACAGAACATTTTCATTTTAAAAATTACATTAGCCTGTGTCCAAAGGTGCATCATGTACCTGAAAATGCACTTTTCCATTTCCATGTAGTTTTCATACACACACACACACACACACACACACACACACACAAATCTCCAAATGACAAATGCTAAATACACACACAAACACACACATATATGTACAAAGCATTTGGGAAGGTGTTTAGGGGATATAAATACCCTCAAAACAAGCAAAAAGAATATATAGACATTAAAACCTGATTGGTCACTTCTTTCCAAAATCATGTTTTCAACTGATCACGAAAAAGAGTTGTAGATCTTAATCTCCTGATGAAAATGTCTCAAGAGTTTTATGCAATATAGAATGTATCATGTTTTAACATTTTTCAAACTAATGTTTGCTGGTTAGAAATATAGTATGTTGTGCACATGAATTCTCCTTGGTTTTCTCCTTTTGGTTTGATTTACAATCTTTTAAAGAATGCAGATATAACGGATTTACCTTTTTATAGATTATTGGGATTTTCAGGAGCAAGTTACCCTTGAGTTTATCTTCTAATCATATGTTGAGAGGTTAGAGCATGAAGTAAGCAAACACCTCTCTGGCTCATAAATATGCTTTTGAGAGGAGAAAGCACAAATTGCTACACCCTACCTCTTTTGGGGTTCTGTTTAAAGAACTAAACTAATGAGTACATCCCTAAGGTCACTATAAATGTTGATGGCTTTTATTCAGATATATACCAATATCACCTCCAAAACTATATTTTTAATTAGGCTAATTTTCTGTTTGCTAATTCTTATAGAAGAACTATTCTGGTTGAATTATATAAGACATTGTGAATACCTCCTGTAAATCTTTTAGTCACAGAAGGGGAAGAAACAAGTTTCTTCTTCCTCTCTCCCTCCCCCTTTCTCTCTCTCTCTCTCTCTCTCTCTGGGCTAAATTGTTTGGCTACTATGCATGCAGGTACTTGTGAGGACAGTTCCTAAAGGTGTCCACTGGGGTAAAAGTTGCCCTCTATGGTCTCTCTATGGATTCTCCAGCACCCCTGGTCCATCCTCTTCTTCAACTCACGTTGCTGGAAACCTGGGAATGATAATACAGCAAGTTCAAATTCCCATGAGAAAATAATATGTTTCCTGAGGAGGCCACCATTAAGCCATGAAATGCAACCTTTAGTCAAGTACAAGTCTTTTGGTGTAAGTTTTTGTTTTCTTTATTTATAATTAGTATGAACCATGTTTAAAATGATTGGGAAGGAAACAGGTTAAAATGTCATATGGGATTGAAAGACCATCTCCCCTTTCTTAGCTGCTTTTAACAGCAGTATTTTAATTTTAATGGTTTCCTTGTTAGATTAGAGCTCTAATTCATTTAGAAAAATGTATATAGTCAAAGTATATGATGAAGAATCACCAATGTGCATTTTTTTCTCTGTTGGCTATGGGAACCTAAACCAGAACTATTGAAGTTAGGGTAGCCCAGCTTTACATAGCATGTGATCCACCAGGTGAAGACCAGGGAACAAATATTTAGGTAAGCAACTTTCTCACCTAACATGCTAGAAATATTTCAGATATTCATAAATTTCACCTCCCCATCCCTACCTTTCAATTGTTCTCAGTTTGGAATTTCCAACACCTACTGAAAAGATTACTTCAAATTTTCTACTAAATAGGCCCTTCCCTTGCCTCTATTGTATTCCTTTGAATTTTATTTTATCTGCACTATGTCTTCAGGAAACCATTTGGATTTTGTCTATTGAAGTCACTCTTTTCTGTTTGTCAGGATTTATATAGGTTTTTAGGGGTTTTTTTTAGGGGAAGTAATGTGATACATGTTGGAAAGGGTAGTTTTATGTTTTCTCTGTGTTCACATGTTGATATGACCACTGCTGGACCACTCAATAAAAAATGAGAATCATTATTATCTTTTCTAGGTTTAAAGCCTTTAAGAAGTTTATATGATCTAGGGTTTGGTCATTTTATTGGATTCGTTAAAGAAGAAAATTAAAACATGAGATAAAATCACTATCTTCATTTCAAAATTTTACTGTATTTTTTAAAGATAATTATAATAATTGTGCATAAATAATTATAGAAAATGAAATTAAGGCAATGTTAGTAAATATGGAAAGAAGAGGAAAGTTTTTAAATTTATTAGTCAAAAAGCTAAATGAATCATCTGTGTTTTTGACACTACCATTTAGTGAATACACCAAATATTTTTTACTGTAAATAAAGAAAGTGAAGATGTTTAACCTTGGAAAAGGCAAACAATAACTAAAATTGATATTTGTGGAAACCAAAGTATATTACTGTAAATAGTATCTTATCTTGTAGTTTTCTTTTAAACATGTGTGGCAGTACTAATAATCTAATCTTACTAAACATGTAATTATTCTAATGAATAGGTAACTACATAACTAAAAATAAAGATATAACTTAATTAAATGTTGTTTGGGCTTTTTCTTAGATCTCTATTTCTGGAAAACCCCAATGAGGTAATCCATGACTCATAATTAAACAAAAAAACTTTTCTAAGATGTGTTACCTAAATAGACACATACTACCACAGAGCACATTGTCAGCTTCTGAAGCTCAAGCTCTGTAGTTCTAACCCTCTAAAGTGGCAAACAAATTTTCTTTAACCACAGCATTTCAGAAGAAAGAAACTACAGTTATTCAGCCACATAATAAGGTTCCTCATGATATGCACAGCAACTTTTATAACGATGACACAGAGAGTATAAATATTTTTCTAGGTATAGGGAAAATAATTAGGATGACAGAAATTTCAGTGTGACAAAGCACTAGGTATAGAGTAATCTCATGTTCTAATATGTTAGACAAACATTAAAGCAATGGAAAGGGCCAGATGCGGTGGCTCACAGCTGTAATCCCAGCATTTTGGGAGGCAGAGGAGTTTGGATCACCTAAGGTCAGGAGTTCAAGACCAGCCTGACCAACACAGTGAAACCCCATCTCCACTAAAAATACAAAAATTAGCTGGGTGTGGTGGTGCATGCCTGTAATCGCGGCTACTAGGGAGGCTGAGGCAGGAGAATTGTTCAAAACCAGGAGGTGGAGGTTGCAGTGAGCCAAGATCATGCCATTGCACTCCAGCCCAGGCAACAAGAGTGAAACTCCATCTCAAAAAACAAAACAAAACAAAAGCAACGGAAGGGAACCTGTGGCTCTGTATTAACCTCCAGGCTTGTTCAACACTTTTTGAAGACAGAACAGTTTTTTAATCGCATTGTTCATGTCCTTGTTTCTCAGGCTATAAATGATGGGATTGAAGAATGGAGCAAGTACAGTAAACATCAGTGCAATGGCTGTGTCCAAAACTGGTGGATAAGTGTCGCTGAAACGCAAGTACATGAGTGATACACTGCCAAAGAATATCGGGAAGACCATGAGGTGGCCTGCACAGGTAGAAAAAGCCTTTTGCCTCCCTTCAGAAGAGGGAATCCTCAATATCACAGTGACAATTCTTACATAGGACAGGGCAATGATTAGGAAGGTAATGATGATGGTCACAGCATGAATCACATCCTCAATCAGAATCATGGACGTGTCTGTACAGGCCAGGCTTAGCACAGGGACCAAGTCACAGAAGATCTGATGGATTTGGTTGGGCCCACAGAAAGGCAGTGTGGAAATCATCACAATCTCGGGAAGCAGGATAAGGAAACCGAAGAGGCAGGAACCTGCAGAGAGTTGAGCACAGAGCCGGGGGGTCATGATCATTTGATAGCGAAGAGGGTTGCAGATGGCAACGTATCTGTCAATGGCCATGGTGGTCAGCAAGATCCCCTCTGAGTTTTCAAGTGAGTGGAAGAAATACATCTGCAAGATGCAGCCAGTCATTGAGATGGCCTTCTTTTCACTGATGAGGTTGGAGAGCATCTTGGGAATGGTGGCTGTGGTGTACCAGATCTCCAGAAAGGAAAATATACTGATAAAATTATACATGGGGTTGTGGAGATGGGTGTCCAGCCTTACAGCAGAGAAGATTAATAAGTTATCAATGATAATAAAAGTATAGATGAAAAGTAAAGGAAAGAAGTACAGGAGACTACCATCCTGAAGCTGAGGGAATCCAGTGAAGATAAATTCAGTCACTGTTGATTGGTTTCCGCTCTCCATATTTCTAGTAGAGCTACCTGTAAATGGAGAGGGCATAGTCCAGCACATGAGAGGGTAGAGAAAAAAATAAATAAGATGTACAGCTAAACATCTTTGAGAAGTAAGAAGAACTACCTTGAAGGTTTCATTTTTTTTCCTGACTTTAAACTCATGTACATATTGTCCAATGTTTGATTTTTTTCATATCAAACATTTTTTTTTGTATCAAACATTGGACAATATGTACACTAGTTTAAAGTCAGAAAAAAAAATGAAACCTTCAAGGTAGTTCTTCTTATTCCTCAAAGTTGCTTAGCTGTACATCTTATTTATTGGCACAACTGCAGAAATAGGGGTCTCCAAATGTTTTAATAATAAAAAAACTAGTTAAAATTATTTTTATTTTAGCTTAATCTCTAATATAGGTATTTGCATTTATAAGTTATACACATTTACTATATTAAGGCATAATAACACAAAATTATATATCTGTATCTCATATAATAAATTTTAAAATTAAAAAGTATGAATACGAATAAACATAACAGAAGTTATATTATGCTCTTTCCCTACCCGACTGGGCCATTGTGCACATGCTCTTTGAAAATCTCTGTTCTAACGTGTTACAATGTAAACCTGAAGTTGACATTGAAATCCTGTCTATTGTTACCTATATGTCTTTTGGAAAATTACTTAATACCTCAGAGTATCAGGTAATCATTTGCAAAATGGGATTAAAAATAGTACCTATCTAACAAGGATGCTGTAGGATTTAGTAAATACTTGCAGAAAGATTTGGACAGTGTTTAATAGGCAACTTCTGGAAAGAGTGATACAATCTACCTCTCTGCATTTCTTGTTCTCCTTTAACACTGCTGTGTGCTTCCTCCCGAGCATTATGCTGATACTATACTGATCACGTTCATCAATGCCCTGCTAATTACTAATGGAAACTATCCAGTCATCTCTGGCACTCGACACTTTTCATTACTCCTGCTTGAGACTTTGTTCCTCTGTTTCCACGATTCCATTCTCAAGGGACGTGACGCCCAGATAGCTTTAAAGGCAGTTCTAGCTTTGACTTTTGCTTCTGTTTTATTTATTTTATTTATATTTTCTTTCTTATTCTGCCTCTTCTCTCTTATATTAGCTTGTGTTGTCTTTCTTAAATTCTTTCCCAAGAGTCTATTTTCCCCAGGTTCCTATCATCCACTTCAACCTCTTATAGTTTTATACACTCCCTTAGTGATCTCATCCGCTTACAGGATTTAAACTATTAATACTTCTAAATGTTTTTCTCTAACCAATCTCTCTTTCATAAGCTTCACACCAACTATCTGACTCTTAACTCTCTGTAGCTTCACCTGCTAACATTCTCCGACTCCTCTCTCCCCTGCAATCCCATTGTTCATGTTGCTTTCTAAAATCACAGTTCTCTCCTGTTTGTGCTACTTCCTCTGACTTTAAAGTAACATATCTCTCCCTCCTCTGCCCCCTCTCCTCACACAAAAGCAATATATACTGCTGGTTAAAAGTCTAGATGCCAGAAAAAAAATTGCTAGCATTTAAATTCTCTTTATGGCTTACCAGCTCTGTGACTTAACATGAAGTTACTTAGCTTCTCTATGCCTTTAATATCTCATTTGTAAAACTGAGAAAATATTAATACTGGTTAATGAAGTCCTGAGAATAACTAAACATTTTATAATAACAATAGAATTGTACAGTATAGTATACGGTATTATTACGTCACTAATGCTGGCACTATTCCAAGCACATTGTATATATTTTTCACCTCATGCTCTTAATGCTCTAATGAGGTGAAATGATTATCCCCATTTTACAGAGGAGAAAACTTAGGCACAGACAGGTTAAGTTCTTTGTCCAGAAATTCTCGGCTAATGCAGGGCAAAGTCAGAATTTAAATCTATGCACTGTATCTCTAGAGACACATTCTAACCTACATACAGTTGACTGCCTCTACCAATACATGTAAATGTATTTTAAAACCTTAGTGTTAGGAATATAGGAAACACTTGGAAGTGTTGAATGCCATTATGCTTTATTGAAGCGTTTGTCAGGATCCATCATCAACTTACTTGTTTTACCTTCTCTAGACTATAGGTTTCTCCTTCAGGACAGTGAATGTCTTTTATCCCTCATAGTGACTACAACAGGGTTAATATGTAGAGACGGTAGGTATCAAATAAATTAACTTGGAACTCAGCCACTTGGTACAATTATAACTAAGTGCACAAGACAGCCATGAGTAAGTGAACAAAGAAAATTGGGGACTGTTTGAAAAGGGAACTATGACAATTCAGTTCTAATGAGAGCCTCAATCAAGTCTTGACTAGATGATCTCTCAGAAAATGGCATTATAAATGTGGCATGCTGTTTCATATATACCCATGCCCAGAACCACACTGAACAGAGCTTCCTCCTGTAAATACCTTTGCCTTCCACCCTTATTCAAAGTTCTAAATTCTTTAATAATCAGGTCTTCAGGTTATGAGATGATGATGATGATGATGATTATGCATGGTGAATGAATTCGGTCTCTTTATGACTTAGTCATCTACACTCACCTTTGCCAAAAACACAGGGACTCCTCAGTCTGCCTGGGTCACTGCATCCTTAATATTACTTCAGCCTTTTCAAAAAGGGATTTATAGTCTCTCCATAGGGCATCCAGGGAATAACAGGAAAGGGAACTGGGCTCTGTGGAGGATTCTTCCCCTCCACTGCACTGAAGTGAATCACCTTCTCTCATGGGGTTAATTAACAGAAAGTTTCCCCTCTTACTCTCCTTTTGTTAGATTTTCAGATCGAAGTTGTCAATAAATATATATATTTTTCCTGATTGTACTCATCTTCCCAAATTTGTAAGCTTCCTTCTCTAGCACTTTCATGATTGTCTCAGCTGTTCTTGAGTGTACCAGTGTACTATGCAAAGGGTAGTTTTGACATGATCCTGGCCTTCTTATATGAACACACAGATTTGGAAAGCCTGGAAGGAATATACTGACACCAGAAGATCATCTTGAAAAGCTATTTTACAGAAAATAAGGCCATTTCATAATAAACATGGCACTGGGGATTTAGTGCCAATACTGAAGAAAGTGAGGAAACCATGTCTTTTTTTGTTTTTCTCATGTCGTGAGTGTGTATGGGTCTTTCCTACCTTGAACAACTCACACTGGTTCTGCTGACTTCTTTATTGAAGATCAATATCTCATCTTTTCTACAAGAGTATTATTTATATCTGTGCTTCATCCACTGATCTGTTGAAATTGCAAAGTTCTCATTTTTTTCAAAGTTAATTACTTTTATCATGTCATCTTCTTCTGGAAATATGTATCAAGTTCTCAAATAGGAAGACGTGCTTTCTGAGTTTTGTCTAACTTTTCTTCTTACGATTTGGGAGCCTATTTTGGTTGTCTAACTTGTAGGTTTTTTTTAATTCAAAAATGTCAACAGGCCACATTGTATTTCCAATGATTTTGTATAATATAAAACAGTCTGTTTTGATCCCATGACTCAAGTATTCTCAAGCTCAGAAATATTTTCCTTTAATTTTACTTATTATTTTCCTCTGTTTTGTTTTTTTTCTAGAATTTTCATAATCATATTTTGCTCTGTAATATCTATTAATACATTCTCCATATATAACTTTTTCTCTTTGCATGTAATATTTGGCTCTTCATGTGGCTTCTCTAAATTCTGGGACATATCTTCCAGGCAATCTTACAAAACATTAATTTAATTTCCTGTAGTATTTAATATATTCTTCAATATCTCCATTGTATATTAAATTTTGTATTTTTTATTTCTCAACTTTTTTTCTGATATCTTCACAAATCTCATCAAAATTTTAAATAGGAAACATTTTAATGATTTGTGTCTTAGAGTTAGTCTATGTAATGAAAGAGCATTTACTTTCAATTCCCTAACCTCTCTGTCTCTCTCAGTCTCTCTCTCTCTCTTTAACTGTAGTAATCCAACTACTTATTGGGCTATGCATTTGACAAAGTTAATGATTTTAATACAAACGGTGTATGGCAAAACTAAAATCATTGTTTTAAAGAAGGCAATCTGTGTTTGTCTGTGTGTGTGAGAGAGAAGGAGAGAATATATTTGGATACAAAAAATAAGAATATTAAATATCTAAATATGCACAGCAAATATGGAAATATCTGCCACGAAGTTCAGTATTAGTTATAGATTATTGCTTTGTGCTAAAAAGTTGTGCTTTTTTGTTTTGTTTTAGTAGCCTCAGTTTACCTGGATAGTTCCTCACTTCTCTGGCTTGTAAATTTAAGATTTACTTTTCATGTCCTTCTCTGAACACAGCTCAGTGGATAACTCCATTGTGACTGGGAAATTTCATACATTCTTTGGCTCCATTCTCTCTATCCAGATTTCCCAAGTAGAGCATCGTTCTCAATTTCTGTTTTTCCAAGCTTTAATTATTTTTTCCATCGGTTGTATGTGGAATTTCATCCAGTTAATTTCTAGGCTCTCCTCTTCTGTTTTCTTGTCCAACACCGGGCAGATAAGTATTTCCCTCAGTCGGATCTCATGTACTCATACCTGAGGAAGTGTTTTAACTTTGGAGGTCAATTGTGGGAACTCTTTTCCCCAGGATATATAATGCTTTGGTTTAACTTAATTTTGATTTTTGTTTTTTGCTGTTAAATTTTCAATATATATTTTTGTTCATTCCTGGACTATCCAATAAACAGAATCAACTGGTGCTTTTGATATAAACAGAAATTATTTTCTTTTCTAGAAAAAAGAAAGTGGTATATAATATTTCAGAGTACTGACATAGCTATCATGAAGGTTTTTAGGTAAACTTATAGATATTTTAATGTTCATTACTATATCTTTACACTTTTCAGTTCTTAGGTCATCTAACAGTTCATCTAGTCCTGACTCTTTTATTTCTATTGAGTTTTTTGTGGAAGAAAATTTAAATATGTGTGTTTAAACTGTTATCTTAATACACAAATCTAAACTTGAATTTTAGAAAATTAATTTCTAGTGGCAATGCATAGACATTTTAAAGGCAGCAAAAGTGAAAACAAGAGTAATGTAGTTCAAATGATATATATTTCTATTACCTATCTGTCTATCTATCTATCTATCTATCTATCTATCACTTTGGAATGTGCTGGAGACTACTTTTAACCAAATAATTTTATTCAACCAAATTGGATGAATTCAACCAAAGCAGTCTAAGTAAATGAAGTTTGAATTCAACTTGGCTCCAGATAAATAATAACAACAAATATACTATAAATAATAATCATAGCTAAGTATTCCTAAGCATGAGTTTTTGTTTTTAATATATCACTCTTTATTAAAGCATTCTCTAAAACATCAATAACAAAAGATAGTAATTAGTTGCAAATGATATTAACAGATAACACTTATTTTGCACAAGCTCTGTGTTTTGCACATTCTCTGCACTTGCATGGAGTAAGTCATTTAATATTCATATTAGCATTTGAAGTCCTACTTTTAAAATATATTACTTTTATACCAATAGATGATAAAACTAAGATGCAGACAAGTTAATTATCAACTTGTTCAAAGTCACAAAGCAATATGTGGCATCACTGAAATACAAACCTTAACCTCTTCTGCAGATCTGATTCTTTTAACTACTGTGGTTCGTAATTCATAGTTGTTATTAATGCTTATGTAATGTAATAAGCATTTACTTAAAATGTTTATATACAAATAATAAATTAATGTTCATAAAACATATTAATTATGTTTAATGGCTTAAACATCATATTTCCTTTCTATATTTTACCCACCTGTATAAGTCTAGACAGGTAGTCCATGCTATCTTAATTTGGCATGTGTAAGCAGGATATACATGTACATGGGAAGAACCAGTATAAAGAGACACAAAATATCCATGTGACAATGAATGAATTATATGTTAATTATATGGTTTATTGTGTTAGAGTAACATCCACAGTGAAAGGTGCCTATGAGCTAGCATTAATCTACAGATAAATTAACCATCTTCTGAGGGCAGAAAAGCTTTTTAATTGCAATCTTCATGTCCTTATTTCTAAAGCTATAGATGATAGGGTTGAAAAAGGGAGCAAGAACTGCAAACATCAGTGCAACAGCTGTGTCCAAAATCGGTGGGAAAGTGGCAGAGAAACGCAGGTACATGAGGGATACACTGCCATAGAACATCAGAAAGACACTAAGATGGGCGGCACAGGTAGAAAAGGCCTTCTGGCGGCCTTCAACAGAGGGAATCCTCAGGATTACAGTGATGATTCTGATATAAGAAAGGGCAATAATCAGGACAGAGAATACAATGGCCACAGCATGGATCACATCCTCAATCAGAATCATGGACGTGTCTGTACAGGCCAAGCGCAGCACAGGTTCAAAATCACAGAAGATCTGGTGGATTTGGTTGGGTCCACAGAAGGGCAGTGTGGAAATCCATGCAATCTCTGGGAGCAACACAAGAAAGCCAAAGATGCAGGACCCCACAGAGAGCTGAACACAGAGCCCGGGGGTCATGATGGTTGGGTAGCGGAGAGGGTTACAGATGGCAACGTACCTATCAATGGCCATGGTGGTCAACAAAATCCCCTCTGAATTTCCCAGTGAATGGAAGAAGTACATCTGCAAGAGGCAGCCAACCATGGAGATGGTCCTCTGCCTGCTGATGAGGATGGAGAGCATCTTGGGAATTGTGGCAGTTGTGTACCAGATCTCCAGAAATGAGAAAATGCTGATAAAATTATACATGGGGTTGTGGAGACGGGTATCCACCCTGACTGCAAAAAATACAATAAGATTCCCAATGACAATGAATATGTAGATAACAAACAATGGAATGAAGAAGAGGAGGCTACCATCTTCAAACTGTGGGAATCCAGAGAAGAGAAACTCTGTTACTTACTGTAGCAGTTTGGTTAATACTCACCATGGTCTCAGCAACCTTAACAGCTATGGATAGAAAGACACAGCTCATTTCCTAGAAGAAATTGACAAAGTCAGATGTGTTAGCTTATATAAAAGTCAAATGAAAAATATGCTTTAGGTGGATCATGTACTTCTCTTTATTTATGAATTAAACAGATATTCATTTAGTGCCTACTATGTACCAAACACAGCTGTGGGTTTGTTGAATTCAGCAGTAAGGAAAATAATCTCTACATTCATGAAGCTTACATTCAAAAGAAGGATACCAACAATAAGAAAATAAGATATTAAGAATGTCATATTTATAAACTATATAAACTAAAGTAAATGTATAAAGGTGTTAATAATCTTTTATAATAATTCCCCAAATTGTTTTGAATCATATACCATATAAATTTTCTAATGGTTCTTAGATGCAGATTAGACAAAACTTTTAGTTGTCTTTCTCTCTATATAATTATTGTAAAGTTGTATTCTCCATTTTCCTGAATATTTTTAGTTTTTAGTATTCTGCTCCTTTATCGCACCACAGAGTGACACTGAGTGTGGCTAGAAAAGAGAGTAAAGTTTTCAGGCACAAATATGAAGGTAAAGCCTTGGTAGGAAATTCTATTCTCAGCAGCAGAAAATAATTAAGCCACCAGAAATTGACCAGAACAGAAAGAAGGGATCAGTGAGAAATTCGGCAGTGGAAGATTTGGTATCCTGTCAGTCATGTTAAGCGTCTGTCCATGACAAATACTGAAAAGAAGCAGAGGTTTTTTATAAATATCTAAGTCACGGGATTCAGATTGTTTATATCCTGACAAAGACCATCACCATAAGAAGGCAAAGGCCAAAATGTGGTATTCCAGCACAATTTAGGTCTCTTGATACCATGTCCCTCAAAAGTGGCATAAAATATAAAGATGCTATCCCTAAAAGTAGTGCAAGAAACTCATCAGCTGCACCCAGGGCTTATTGTCCAGGCCATTCAGAAGCTAGCCTAACAGATGGATCGAAAATTAGTTAAGGAGAGAGATTTAGAACACAAAGGAAGTTTGAAAGATAATATCTCCTTTGGGGTAAAAATGAATGTCTGAGGACAAGAACATTTGCTTATGCTGTACACCAGCATTTCTCCATGAAGAGAGCAAATATTTTTCCTGAGCTAATACTATTTTTTAAATTATTTATAAATCATGAATTTAAAACTTCATGTTATTTTAATAAGAAATAATATTTGAAGTTTCAAATTAAAACAAGGCATTTGAAACATAGATCAAGGAAATAAAAACATTTGGTACATTTTGGTATTTGTCAGATATCTCATTACAGAACAAAATATACATCTTGAACACATTCTATCAAGAAAGTTTATATTAACGAAGTTTAACAAATACTACTTTGGCAGCTTCTGAAAAATCAAGTGCCTAGAGAGAATTAGGACATTTTTATTGTTTTTATGTATGCGCATCTGTCAGATTTTCACAAAGTAAGATTGTTGCAAACAAAAATATTACTGCTCTACAGATATTGTCATTGATTTATTTGTTGTTTATGGAACATCCGGCACATGGATATCTATCTATCTATGTATCTATCTATGTATCTATGTATCTATGTATCTATCTATCTATCTACCTCTCTCTCTCTCTCTCTCTCTCTCTCTATCATCTATCATCTATCTATCCCTTCCTGCTTCTCTTAACTGTTTCACTTTGGTAAATAATCTTTCAGAGTGAGCTTCAACTTTTCTCTTGTAGTGCCAGACTACCAAAACACTCATGTTTAGTAGCTTTTTGATATTATGCAGTATATAAAACATGTTGCTAAAAATGTTTATGAGAAAGTTGATCAATCCAACAGTTAATTCACATGTTTTTCCATATCCTTATTATTTTAAAGATATAATTCTGAATTTGTGAATCTGGATGCTGGATGCTAGAAAATTAGCAGGTTCCACTTACTCCAAACTGGTTATCATTGATGAATTGACTGAGAAAAACAAAGAAATTGATCTGAGGACCAAATAGAAACAGGCTTTTGCTACATTGTAAGGTAGCTTGCCAATAAATAATAATTTGAGTATTGACAGTCACAGAGTTAGACCTTAAATCTGTTGATGCAGAATGGACACCAACAAGAAAAGTTCTTTTGACTTTCCTCTGAGGAAAGTACTAGCTAGAGAAGAGATATTAAACATAGGCAGAAAAGTGAAACAAAACAAGACAAAACAAAAATGTAAGCAAGCTAAACCAAAAATAAACAAATCTTGATATCATTTGGAGCCCAGTTTAATTTAAACATTGACTAAGGAGGAAATAATTTACTTTTATTACTTTATGAGCAGAGAAAATCCATAACAAAGTAAAAAAATAAAAATCTCAAATCTAAAAAGCAAGTTTTGAAATAGAGTATATTCAAAGGCACAGCAGAATGAATTTTATACATTCTCTTAGTATGTAATTATCTTATACATATATATTTATCTTATTTTATTTTAAATTGATAGAATTACATGTATTCATCATGCACAAGATGTTTTGATGTATATTCCTCTTAATTATTTTATACATTGGATTATATTATAGAAAAAAAGGAATATATATATATATATATTATGTATATATACACCTGATCTTATTTTAGTTTTAAGTTTAAAAGATGATTCTAAGAATAAACTATGCTTACTTTTCCTATTGAAAATGAGAGAATGCCTATAGATAACAGATAATGGCCTTAAATGCTAAAATACCATACAGGCAATTGAGTGGCTTACTTATAAAAACGAATTTTTTCAATTATAAGTTATTACTAGTTTATTTATTTACATTTATTATTTCCTATTGTGTGTCATTTTATAGTTTACTGGGCTTCGAGAATAAATAACCAAATAAAACATTAAAAATAAAGAAATGCTCTTACCACAATGAATTAAAATTAATAAAAAGTGGAGAATTTTGGAGGAGGAGGAGATTTGGAGTAAAGTGAAGAGATAGGTTTAGAGTGGCTGAACTTTGGAGTACCAATGGGATCTTAAAAGGAAGATATCCAGTAGGTCATCAAGTAGACAGGTGTAAAGTTCAGAATGACGTCTGCATCAGTCATATGTATTTAGAAGTTACCCACATATAAGTTATATGTGACAACTCAATATGGAAAAGGTATCCAGGGAAAGTATATAAATAAAGTAGAAAGTAAAGTGACAGAAAATTGTGGCCTGGGAAAACACCAATGTCTAAGAGGAAATGGGGAAGAGGATCATGAAAAGCTAACTGGCAAAGGTGCACCAGAAAGGTAGAAAATTTAAGGGAGAAAGTAGTACATGACAGTTTCAAATCCTGAAGATTATTCAAGTAATGCAGAGGTTGAAATATAAGAATATTTTTAGATGAAGTGATTTGGGAATTGTTGCTAACTATATCCAAATAATTTTCAGTGAAATATGAGAGAGGAAGGCACATGAGAGTGGGTTAATTCATTTAAACAGGAACAATTTATTGAGAACATAATTTAGAGGCACTCCAGAGTAGAAACTGGACTAAAATAAGTTAGTATTTAAGAACATGGAATTTGGTTATAGGCTGCATGGGTCTGAATCATGGCTCTAACACTTCTTATTACACTTGTGATTTTAGGGTAATTGTATAAACTATACTCTCAGTTTCCTCATCTGTAAAATGGAGACAATAAAAACAGTACATTTGCATAGCTGCTGTAGAATTACATCAGTTTATATAGGCAGAATGCTTAGAACAGTGACTGGCACGTTATCTGAAGTATAGGTAGAAGGGAGACTGGCAAAAAGTTTGCAGCTACGAAGAGGTGTGTTTCAGAAAGAATAACAAGTATAAATATTTTTTAAAGCCACAAAAATAGGCTGATGCATTCCAGAAATTAAACTTATTGCCTCTGGGCAGAACAGGGAGAGAGAGAGAGAGAGAGAGAGAGAGGGTGTCAGAGAGAATATGATGATGATGCCGTAGATAAAGCTGGAGAAATCAGCAAAAAGCTTATCTTGAAGGAAGTAGTAAGTTTTGTCTTGACAGAATGAGACTTTACCCTGCCAGAAATAAGGAAACCACTGAATAATCTTAAACAGAGAATTAAATTTATTTGACAAAACTTTAGATTTTGAAAAGTGAGTCTGGTTGCATTATGTATAATGGATTAGAGCAGAGATGACTTGAGGTAGAAAAACAAGGTTAGTGGATAAAAGGCCAATACATAAAAAAACAATTACTGTATATATTATATATGCTAAGAATGAACAATTGGGACATAAAATTTTAAATATGATTCAAAATAACATAAAAGTATAAAGTAGTTTTAAATCTCTCAAAATATATTGCAGAATCAATATGCTGTACCCTGTAAAACACTGATATAAGAAATCAAAGAAGACTTAAATAAGTGAAAAGGTGCTGTGTTTATGGATAGGAAGACTTTAAATTGTGAAGATACGAATTCCGCAAAGCTAGTCATTCATTGCAACTTAAATCAAAATCTCAGTCATTTATTTTTGTTTTTGTTCATGTTTTTATTTTGAGTTACTGACAGGATAATTTATTTGCAAAAAAAAATCTGACAAAAACCGTATAGAATACCTCAAACCTCAAAACTCAACAATAAGAAAGCAAACAACACTTTTTAAAAGAAATTAGCAATCTATTTGAACAGATATTTCAGCAAAGAAAACTTTCAGGTGTTAAATTAGTCCATAAAAATATGCTCAACATCAACATCACTGGTCATTAGAGAAATGCAAGTTAAAACCACAATGAGATACAGCATCATTACTCATCGATAAAAATAACTACTGCAATTTTTTTAAAAAGGAAACAAAATAGCTAACAATATTAAACCCTGGGCAGAATGTGGAGCAACTTGATCTTGCATACATTGTTTGTGGGAATGCAAAATGTTACAACCACTGTGGAAAAGAGTTTAGCAGTTTCTTACAAAGTTAAACATACACTTACTATTAATCCAGCAATAACACCCCTGGGTATTTACCCAAGAGGAATAAAAGCTTATGTTCACTCCAACACCTGTAATCAAATACTTATAGTGGCTTTATTTGTAAAACTGGAAACAACCTAAATGGTGGTAAATGGATTTGAAAAAAAGTGATAAACAAATGTGATAAATAGAATACTACTCAGCAATAAAAATTAATGACTGCTGGTACACACAGCAACATGGATGAATCTTAACTATGTAAGTGCAAGAAGTCAACGTCAAAGGCTACATACTGTATCACTCACTTATATAATATTCTGTAAAAGGCAAAACATAGGAACAGAAACAGATAATGATTGCCATGCCAGAAGGTCTTGTCAAAGGAAATGTCAGTTTTGAATGGCACAATTAAGAAATTTGGAGAGGTTGCAGGAGTGGACTTTTTCCTTGTCTTGATTTTAGTGATTGTTACATGATTATGTGCAGTGTATCTACTGTCTCTATACAGTAAGATGACCCCCAAATCTGCACTGATCCACCTGACCCTCCACCTTCGTTTCATGGGAGAAACGAAACAGGAGAATCAGCGTTTATTTTGGAGGGAGTTTAGCCTTTTGCTGATACTATCAAAGTAAATGATTAAAGGATTCACTGTTACTTTCATTTTGGCTCCTTGTTCTTTTAATCAGCTACTCCTGGCAGTTCAACTCTCTCTCTCTCTCTTTTTCTTTCTCTCTCAACTCAGTTGAGGTCCTGACAAATTGGGGCAGTAAGCGGGAGGTGGTAGAAGAGTCTGAAGGACATTGTAGAGAGATGCTACCAGATTGTCTGCAAAAGTCCCAGGGTCCTGCAGGGCACTTTGCCATTGATTCTTGGGAAGTGCCAATGAATCCCAAGGGGAACTTCTCTAAGCATACCAATGAGACTGGGAACACGCTAGTAGAAGCAATGGGACATTCTTGGAGGTTGCTAGCATATTGTTTATATAAACTATTTGTTCTGAAGGAGAACTTTAGTTCTTTCCTTTAGCTCCTGTTTATTAAAGACCAAACAGAGGGGCCAGGAGAAAGCTAAGGAAACTGGGGTGAAACTAGCCTGCCCTTTGCAGCCCCTACAGGTCCTGGCCAAAAAAAATAACTGTCCATCTCAACCTGCTGCTCCTCCTTGTTCTCCAACTCCTGCTCCTGCCCCAGAAAACTCATCACCAAATCCTGATGGACCAGCCTCTATAAGTGATAAGGGTTCTCTCTGTCCCTCCCTGTGGGTCTAGGGATGGGTTAGAGGACCTCATTGACTTACCCAGACCTCTCAGTTTTCAAAAATAAACAAAACTAGGGGTTGGGACAATGTCCTTCTGTACCTAGGGGACTAGAGACTCTAAACCAAGGTTAACACTCAAAAGAGAAATAAAAGAAAATTGTACATCTTAAACTTTTTAGCTACCCATTCACAGGTGACTGTGAGTCTCACTGGCAACAAAATGAGGATAAAACATATAATGCTTTCTGTTTTGAGGTCACCACCACTGGTACCCTTGCCCAGGCTCAACTATGAGTGGGTTCCATCAGGCCCCTATAAATCTTCACTGTTATAATCCCTACTGTTAAATATATTATCAGTACGAATGTGTAGTCTATGTATACCTCTGCAAACCTTTGCCCCCATGCTCTGAAATTGCTGCAGTTTAGGCCATTTTACCAAGGCATATGGAAAACTATAAACCTACCTGATACATGGACATTAGCTATTAGCCTGGCCATTTGTTGGAGCCACTGGGAAGCCTAGTACTGACATATAGAAGCCCCACTGTGAGGACAAGACATTTAGATAGAAATCAGTTCCGTTCCTACTTTTTGTTACCCACGTGGATGCTGACCAGAAAGGCCCCTATGCTAACAAGGATCACATGACCAATGAGCAGACTGCACTTGCCAATTAAACACAGAGCCCAAACTGTCCTCTTCTCCACAGCAAGCTGATGTGTGGCGGATCACCTCCTTGATCCACAAGAGGATGGCCCATAAATATTCAGGAACCACCTTAGACTGGGCCTACACGTATGGACTGCCACTGCCAACAGAAATCTCAAAAACAGCATGAAAAGCTGGTCTGCTTGTCAAAACCTGTTTAAGGCTAACCACACTGCCCATGGACAGAGGTCAAAGCCAATGGGCCAGGATGTTCTTGGCATGTAAATCACATTGTCCCATTCAGAGTGGTTCTCTAGATCCTGACGACAGCAGACACTTTCTCTGGATTTGACCTAGTCATTCCTGTGCATTCCACTGACCCAGACCACACTATCCAGGTCCTAGAAAAACACATTTGCTTTCTGTTCATTTTTCCTGAGCATATCACATCTTATAATGCCCCCAATTTTCTACCAAAGCCACACATCAAGGAGCCCAATCATGGGCTGTAGGATGGATTCTCCATGCTCCATAACACATAAAAAATAAGCAATAATTATTTTTAAAATATAACATTTTGGTTACTATATGAGACATATTGATAACAATAAACTAAAACCGACATCTGAGGAGACATGGGGAAATGGAAGGATACTGATAATCTTTTTTTCAGGCTTGCTCTTAAAAGTTTTCCTTGTTTCTAAAAAAGAATGAAACAAATAAATAAAAAGAAAAATGAACCAAACATACTTCCCTGTGCTGCCTTTCCAAGCTGCTGAGAACTGATAACACTGACTCTGAGATAACAGAGGATGCTGTCAGCTTCTACACATTCCACAAAAAATACCTGCAGATGTCATCCACACTTGTGAGACCCATAGACAAATGCCACAGACAAATAAAACTATTTAAAACTGACTGCCCCAGACAGTTACTCTAAAACCAAAGATTAAACTAAATTATTCAAACTGAGCTGAAAACACCAGGGCAGGAGGCTCTACGATGGGAGGCTATACTGGGGGCCCTGCTAACCTGACTACCTGCCTAATGTATGCCCGGCTTGGCCTGCCTTAACATTGTTAACTCTTTGTTTACAGGGGACCACATGTGTTCTCTGAAAGGATGCTTCTTGTGTGTGTACCCCAATTGTCGTGACAATGCTAGAATCCTGGGAGGCCTTTAAGTCAGCTTATTGACATAGTTGCTCTGTTTCCGAACTGATGCTCCAGGCAGGTGAAAAAGATTCATATAGAAATAGGAGAAAGCCTTCTGGCTCTTTTAAAGTAGATCCTAGCGGGCTTTGGTACATCTTTTCCTTGCTTGGTAACTGTTGGGACTCACAGTTCCATTCAATCTTCCAGGCAAGCCTGATCATCTTACTTGGAATGATCTTGATCACAGTCTAGGTCTACCATTGCCTCAGACTAATTGTTGTGCTGTTGTTGTCACCTCAGCATCTGACCTGACTCGGGTCCATGTTAAAGTAGCCTATGTTTCTCACCCATGTCCTAAAAAATCAAGTTGAAGAGTTCCAGCTCCTGGTTAAAACCTATGTGTGAATTTTCAGGCTTGAAAACAGGAAATGACAAAGGCTAAAGCCTTTGGGAAACCTGGCAGTCTCATGGGAAAAGCTTCTCTCCCCATACCAGACTTGGTGCAGAACCAAGACTGCATTGCAGTCTCTCCAGTGAGTTAGTCAAGGACTCAGGAACCCCTGGCTGGTCGTGTTTTTTGCATATTTATATTCCTAGCCCCAGAGCCTTCATCCTAAGTCTCTTTATCTGAAGACGCTGGCTGATGCCCTTTTGAGGTGTCTCTGCTGAGACCTCTGCTCTGGTGGGGCTGCATGGGGGGAGGTGGCAAGAAGAGAAAACCTTGAAGACATGTTGCCCTACTCTGACTTAGCCCAGTACTTTTCCACTTCTAGCTCTCTTCCTTCCCTTACCACAGGATCCATAAATTTGCTGCAACCTTTTTTGGGGGCTCCCTCAGCAGTGGAACAATCCCTAGGTCTGCACTGATCCACCTGACCTGCGCACAAGTCCATGGGGGAAAATAGAACAGAGAGGAGTAGCACCTGCTCCGGTTTTAGCTTGTTGCTCACATTATCACCATAAGTGATTAAAGACTTCACTGCTAACTTTCATCATGGCTCCTCCTTGCTCTAATTGACTACCCCTACACCTGGCAGCTCAATGCTCTCTCTTAACTCTACGGAGCCCCTGACCCACACACTTGAAGAGATTAAAGAAAGAGGTAAAAAGATTTATATACTATCTCAATTTTCAAATTAGTGTAGAGATGACTGCTACTAATTCCAGAAATTTGAGATCATTAGGATCTAAAGCAGTCAGAGCTACTGTCTTACTGTGTTTCTGGCATTCCTATGTATTTCTTCAAAGTGTTTGGTGCTAATCCTTGTAATAAAATCAAGATACCTGTGTTTTGGCAAAATCGATGTTCTACTCCTCAGAGATTAATATGATAATTAGAAGTTTATCTGTTGGAGACTTGGAAGGAAAGACATAAGCTCACTCAATCCCACTGAGAGAAAGGAAGGTAAGCATAAAAAATTGATCTGGGATAGAGACTGTGTTCTGTTTGAGTCAATATCCTGACATAAGATTTTCAGTAATAGACTCTTCTGATATATTTGACTTCTCTTATTAACAATATTGATGATTTATATTTATCTGGCTCAAACAAGGTACCAGTATGTGCAATGATATCCTCCTGGATCATAATTAATTTAGAAAATTCTGAGGATATGAAAGCAGAGAAACAATCTTATGACCAGTGAAAAAGTCTCAATTATTCAATATGTCATGCTCCAGAAAAAATAAAACCTTATCCCTGATTTCTAATGCTGTGTTTGTCCTCCTCTCCTCCACCAAGACTAATTCTATTCAGCCACCCATGCAGCCTCAAATATGTCCCCAAATATTGTTATTTAAGTCAACAGAAAGATCACTGGCTAAGTGTCCTTTTCCCTCTATCTATTTGGCAATTTACTTTCTCCTTGACCCAGAACAAGCCTACATCTTCAACTCATGTGCATTCTCCTCTTACCTCTAGCAGAGACAATGAGGTCCCTAACCATTCCTGGATTTATGAAATTTAAGTCCCTTCTGTTCAGCTGAAAGCACTGTTAAACCTGTTTCTAAAGGTTTCTTGGGGGAGATTTCTCTACTGGGATATTTCCCCTGATAACTAGAGAAAAGCAGCAATTCTATTTCCCCATGGCTTAATTAATGGAAACTCCTCTGACACTTTCTCATTAGTTTTCCATAGTGTCAGGAACTCCAAGCATCTAAGTAAAGGCTTTACCTAGCAGGCTCATGGGGAAAGCTGCTCCTCCTACACCAGGCTCTGTGCAGGACCAATGCATTGCAGCCTGTGAAGTGAGTTAGTCAAGGACTCAGGCTGGTCATGCTCTTTGCATATTTATATTCCTAGCCCCAGAGCCTTCATCCTAAGTTTCTTTATCTGAAGACATTGGCTGAGGTCCTTTTGAAGTGTCTGCTATGTCATAAGTGTGTGTCATAAGTAAAGTATGAACCTCATTTGATAGATTTGCTCAGAATCAACAGGTTATATAAATACATGTTCTTTTGAAGAATTGCTTTCAACAGAATTAAGAATTTATTTATTTATTTATTTATTTTTACTTCACTGTCCTCTGAAATGGTAGTTAATTTTTTCAAGGCCTGTTCATTTTTCTGGAAGAAGACATAATTCATTGCAACAACACCGTTGATTACATAAAAGGCAATGCTATACTTAATTTGTTTACTTAGCTCAAGATACTTTTTTACCACAGTTCTAAATATAGACCATACTCTACTCTTTTAGTCCACACATACATGATTAGTTCCAGTGATTCCAAGGAAGATTTTAGCATAATGTGAAAATGCCAATAATCTCTATGTTGCAAAGAAAATTATACAATCTTAACTCTTCCCTGTGCTCATGCTCCTTGCAAAGTGAATTGGCAGCTCTTGCCATTAAAAGATAGAATCTCTTTCCCTTCCTCTATGTCTCCTTGTGACTGGCTTGGGCCATAAGAGAAGAGATTATGGGCCAGTTCTGAGCCTAGGCCTCAAGAGACCTTGTTTGCATACTTAGACTCTGTTTCAACACTCTACCAGTAACTGGGTGAACACACTCAGAACCAGACTTCTGGAAAGTAAAACACCACATGAATGGGAATAGAATTGTCTTAGCTAATCTTGTCCCAGCCTGCTGTAGCCAGCCAGTTGCTGACCTTGGAAACATGAGTGAACCAGGACTAGAGCAACTACCCATTTAGTTAGAGCCCAAATTCCTAACCCATGAAATTCTGAGACAAACATATAGGTTCTGTTTTAAGCTATTAACTTTTGGGGTGGTTTGTTATATAGCAAAATATAACTGATAAAGTATATTAAATCATCCTTCCCACCTCCACAGTTTTGTTCCAAGTCCAATCTACTACTCATACCATACCAGGAATGTTATTCTAAGAGTGTAATATCTTACTTAATCTCCTTGATGCCTTCACTTGTAGGTTGGATTAAACTCCAATTTCTCAAAGCATGACCTATAAGGTTCTGCATATTTTGCCTCTAGACTTCATCTCATGACTCTTACTGTGTCCCATCTACCCATGCCTACATTTGGTTCCTTTAATGAACCCAGCTGTTTCTAACCTCAGGGAATCTGCACAAATGACTGATCTTACATATTTTTCTGACTGATTCCTTCTCAATCTTCAAGTTTTGGCTTAAATTCTACTTCATTGATGAAGTCTTATCTGTCACTTACCTCTAAGTGGATATTCATGTTTGTTAATTCTTTTGACTCATATTGCTAATTTGCTTTAGAAAGGATTATACTATTTTGATATCTTAGCATTGTCAGAGAGTACATATTTTCATCACCTTAAAATTATCGTATGCTTTTAAAAACAAAACTTAGCTTTTAATATAATGCAATTATTATCATAAAAATTAGAAACAATAAATAAAAATTAAAAATAGAAATCGTGTTAAATTTGTATTCAAAAATTCAAAGGTAATTTAAATTAGGTTAAATTTAATTTAAATTAGTTTAAATACCTAATCTCATTTTGTTTATAAATTGAGGGTCACAACCTATTAATGAGTGAAATCAGTTCCAAAAATGTTTTTAATAACATAGAATAGGAAAAAACAGAATAGAAAAGATCAAAAGTATTGCATGGAATAAGTATAAGTATTGTTTTATAAAAATACTTTTCTACTAGAAATATGAATATGAGTGTGTAAATGTATGTATGTATGTCCTAAATTATGATTTAAAATATATTATTTATTGTGAATCACAGTCAACAAAGTTTTTAGTGATCCCACTTGCTCCTTGTTACCCTAATTCTCTTTTCTCAATGGTAGTAAAATTCTATGAAAAAGTTGCACATGCATTTCCATTCTAGCCTGCACTCTCAAGTATCTAACTCATGGAACAGCCTACTCAACACTTTTATTAGATGTCTAACAGTCCAGTTAAACTTGAAATATGCAAAACTAAACTTCTAGTATCCCTTCTCCCAACATCTTCCTGAAGTATTCTCTGTCAGTATTCTCTATGTTTTTAATGACAACTCCATCATTCCAGTTCGCCATCCTTGACTGCCCGCTCACAGTCAATTTGCAGTCTATCAGGAAATTCTGTTGTTCTGTTGTCAAACTGAATCTAGAATTGGACCACACTTCTCCATCTTCATTGCCACTATCCTGATCTGAACCACCATCATCTCTTACTAGGGTTATTGCAGAAGCTCCTGAAGGACTGCAGCTACTATACTTGCCTCCCTTCAATGTCTTCTCAACTCAGAGGCATGCCTTACTCTGTTAAACTCAACATCAGACCCTTCAATGTCTCCTCAACACAGAGGCATGCCTTACTCTGTTAAACTCAACATCAGAAGATGTCTCTCCTCTGCTCCATATTTTCCAATAACTTCCCGATTCTCAGAATAAATTAGAAAAATCTAAATCTTGTAACAACCTTCAAGTCTCTATATCAGGGTGTCCAATCTTTTACCTTCCCTGGGCCACGTTGGAAGAGAAGAATTGCCTTGGACCACACATAAAATACACCAACACTAACAAGAGCTAATGAGATGAAAAAGTGTCACAAAAAAAAAATCTCATTTTTAAAGAAAGTTTATGAATTTGTGTTGGGCCACATTCAAAGCTATCTTGGGCTGCATGTGGCCTGCAGGCTGTGGGTTGGACAAGCTTGCTGTGTATAATCCATCTTTTTTTTTTCCCCCTAAACTCATCGTCTAGTTTTCCAGACCTGTCCCTGACTCCATTTCCACCACATTAGTCTCCTGATTCCTTAAACAAGCCAGAGGCTCACCCACTTCAGGGCTTTTTCACTAGCTTTTAGTGCTGTCTGGATTATTCTCCCAGACAGAGTGGGAGCATCACCATCTTGGACAAGTCCCTCATTCTAAAGTTCACCTTGTTAAAAAACCACCTAAATCCAAAGGGCGTCAGCCTAATGGCTAATGTCAGCATGACCATAAACCACACATAACATCTCTAGCCAGAAACATTCCAAACTCTTCCCCAACCAGAGACATGCTAGCCCCAAGATAACCCTCCTCCGGTTGGAAAGATGTCTGCCCCAAGATAACCTCCCCTCCTCCCAGAGACATTCCAACCCCGCCATAAAACTTCTCCCTCACACAGAAACATTCCAAGCTTATAATAAGCTCTTCACTTTAAAACCAATATATACTCTTAGTGTGTAAGAGAAAGCAGTCCTGACCGAAATTGGCCAGAAGCCCCTTTCAGGTTTTAAGTAAAGAAAACCTATCTTGGACTGTTAAGCCATGTTTCGTGTTTCTTTCCTCTTTCTTTAGCTTTCACACTCCCTCCATATGGCTAACTCCATTTTCCTCAAATCTTTGTTCAATTGTGGCCCTCTAAATAAGGTTCAACTTTACCAACCTGTTCTAAAATTATTATCCTGCTACCCATACCAGATCATCTTATTCTATTTTCTTTTATATTTTCTACAGAATATATAGTTTCATGTAATAGTTATCTTTTTTTGCTTATTTTTAGTATGTATTTTTAAAATACCTCTCCTCCTTATAGCATAACTACATAAGGGCAGGGAATTTTTTCATCAGTTCTATTTCAAGGACCTAAAACAGTGCTTGGCAGAGTAGCCTCAGTAAATATTTGTTGCATGAATGAAAAAATGGGTTACATAGTTATTTCCTTGGTGGGTTAGCATCTTTAAAACTCATCAGGATTTTAGAGCCAAAAATAAAATTATTTAAAAGGATTGAAACCTACTATTCATGTTTTTATTAGTAAATTTGCATGTATTTAATATTTTTTGAGTTTGTATTATTTAAGATAATTTGTCTATTTGAACACCAGATCTACTTTGTAATTATAATTTAAGATTTGTAATTGAAAAATTAACTTGGACTTTTAAAAATTAACTTCATTCGGGTTAAATTTAATAGTCAATAAAAATTACCCAGTTAATCAAGATAGTAAGCTTACTATTTTAGGTTGAAATCTTACTTCATTGATCACAGTATTGAAACATTTAAAAGGATTTAAGATTTGCTTTAGTTATAATTTTCTTTTTAGATTAAAAAGATTATTTTAAAAGCCTGATGAGGCTTTATTAAGTCAGCAAATTGAGATGCTTAAAAATGAAATACATAGATCATATTTAAACATATTTAAAGAGAATTAAATGCCAAGTTTATGAATCAAACCAAATATTTGTGTAACACCTTTAAAAATGAATAAAATATATTAGGTTTATTAATAGAATACTAAGGTTTTTAAGCGGGAATTGAAAGAATTAAAGACCTACTTTTTTAATGTTTACCTCAAATAAATTTAAATTGTATAATCGAAGAAACATATATAATTTTCTTCATGCAAAATGTGTTGTCATCAGTGTTTAAAATCTCATATCAATGCAGGAGAGGATTTAATGATACAGGAGTGAGAAGGGACAAACAGTAGGGCTGGGTCCAAGGCAGGGGAGGAAACAAGGTCTGGAGCTGAACTGAAGTTGGAACTAAGGTCTTTTTTCCACTTTAGCACTCATAAGCGGATAGGTGGATAGAAGAATGTATCTGCCTCCCTGAAAACAGTTGATTGAGACTTTTTTTTTTTTTTTGGCCGGCGCTATTGATATTTCCATTATTATCTGCTTATTTTCTCCCCACACCTCTAGCTGGCCTCCTGGTCATTAGGATTCCGCTGGCAGTTGCCCTGTGTCCCTGCTATTTTCTCCGCAGGAGCCGAGCGAAACCCCTTTTCTAGAGACAATTTACTCAGCTCTTAAAAATGCTAGTGTAGTTTTGTGGGAGGAAGGCAGGGACGTTTATCTCAAACGATAAAATGTGTTTTTGAACTTTCTGAGTATAAGCTCCAAAGCAGAGAAGAAGAAACGGAGCAACACTCCAGAGCAAACATGAAATGAGAACAAAGATGTTGAGATATAAAACTGCACAGCATTTTAACATAACATAACGTAGCATAACGTAATCATAACATGGAACGTTTTTAATAGCAGTGATATTAATTTTAAAAAATCTACCAAAATATAACTATATATCTTTGTATAATTTGTATATTTATGTTTTTGGTCCTAAGCCTATATATTATATATCTATTTAATCTTCAAGGACCCAAGAGCATTTGCTCTGAAATCTACAAAACGATGTGAAAATTAATCCATAAAGGAATTCATAATAACAGCATTATACAAACATCACAAGTTCAGTGACTCTATGTTCCGCATAATCATTGTGATATATCAGAGGACAATTTATGGAGGGGTAAAGGTCTCTGGGCTGAATGTTAAGAAGCCAGGTTTCTTTTCCAAGCCCAAATCACTTCACCGGTGTGCACCTTGTTAATCTTTTGAAAGTGAAAAAAAAACTGACCTAAGGGTATTGTGAATATTAAATGAAATATTTCATAATGGAAACACTTAGAAAGTAATAAATATGATTTACTTAATTATAAAGTAATAAATATGATTATTGTTTAGGCCAGTATTCTCTTTTGATTTGGAGAAAACTCCAAATCAAAACTCCACTACTTGGAGTTACAAAGTGAAGAAAATATTCCATTATAATCTGTGAATGATAGAAACATAGGTAAATCTATAGCAGACATCCCCTGTCAGATCAAACATTAGTCCTTACATTAGAAAATTAGAAAGTATAGCAAATCAACAGCATAAATCAAAACACGTACGGTGGGTTTATGTGCAGATTTGTTACACGGGGATTTTGCGTGAAGCTGAGGTTTGGAGTACGGATCTCGTCACTCAGGTAGTGAGCATATTACCTGATAGGTAGTTGTTTTACCCACCCCTTCACAACCTCTGATAGTCCATAGTGTCTATTGTTTCCATATTTATGTCCATGTAACCTCTATGTTTAGCTCCCACTTATAAATGAGAACTAAAAAATAAAAGGGATGATAAAAGACATTCATAACATATTGTGAAACACAAGCAAGGATGTCAGCAGATTACTCATCAAAAACAATGCAAGTGAGAACAAAGCAGAACAACATCTTTAACTCATGGAAAAAAAGAAAAAAAAATCTTATATTTTGGACTTCTATATCCAGAAAAAAACATCTTATAAAATGAGGACAAAATAAAATACTTGCTCAGATTTACAAAGCGTTGTTGAAACTTACAAAAACAAAAACGATTAATCATCCACAGACCCACAGTGTGAGAAAAGTTGAAGGAAGCTTCTCAGGTGGAAGGAAAATGACACCAGATGAATACAGATTTTCACAAAGAAATGTGGAGTGCAGGAAAAGAGAACAATGTAGACACATGTATAAGAAGGTTTTACAATCATTTAAATATCTTTAAAACTTAACGTACTTATTTTGTTTTTGTTTTTACAGCTTAACTTACTTTTCAAGCAAAAGTAATAACATTTATAAATCATACTTATAGTCTTAGAAAAACAAGACCTATAAATTAAAATGATAGACACAAAACTTAGTACTGTTGTTATTCATATTAAAAATCATTAAAGAGATACTTCACTTTGAAAATACATGCCAAAATGTCTTTAAATAATTTCGTTAAAAAAAGAAAAAGTGCGTGGTAATTTTAAAAAACTGATTTGTTAGCATTTTAAACTTAAGGAGATGATGAGATTTCTTTGAAGAGGTGTGTGTGAACTCCATTAGCTCCCAGAGGCATTGAACATCTTTTGAGAACAGAGGATTTTCTTGGTGGCGTTTTTCATATCTTTGTTCCTCAGACTATAGATTACTGGGTTGAAAAGTAGGGCAAGGGCCGGGCGCGGTGGCTCACGCCTGTAATCCCAGCACTTTGGGAGGCCGAGGCGGGCGGATCACGAGGTCAGGAGATCGAGACCATCCCGGCTAAAACGGTGAAACCCCGTCTCTACTAAAAATACAAAAAATTAGCCGGGCGTAGTGGCGCGCGCCTGTAGTCCCAGCTACTTGGGAGGCTGAGGCAGGAGAATGGCGTGAACCCGGGAGGCGGAGCTTGCAGTGAGCCGAGATCCCGCCACTGCACTCCAGCCTGGGCGACAGAGCGAGACTCCGTCTCAAAAAAAAAAAAAAAAAAAAAAAAAGGAAAAGTAGGGCAAGGACAGCAAACATCAGTGCAATGGCCTTGTCCAGTAATGGTGGGAATGTGACAGAGAAGCGCAGATACATGAGTGACACACTGCCAAAAAACAGCAAGAAAATAGCAATGTGGGCTGCACATGTGGAGAAAGCCTTCTGACGGCTCTCACCAGAGGGAATCCTCAGGATCACCGTGATGATTCTTAAATAGAAAAGGGTGATGACAGAGACAGAGGTCAGAATGGAAATAGCACGGATCACATCTTCAACCAGAATTATTTACGTATCTGTGCAGGCCAACTGCAGCACAGGTTCAAAGTCACAAAAGAGTTGATGAATTTGGTTGGCGCCACAGAATGGAAGAGTGGAAATGCACACAATCTCTGGCAGTAACATGAGGAAGCCAAAAATGCAAGAGCCAGTGGAGAGCTGGATGCACAGTCAAGGGGACATAGTGATTGCATAGCGAAGGGGGTTGCAGATGGCTACACACCTGTCAATGGCCATCACTGTGAGGACTAGGGCTTCTGTGACCCCGAGTGAGTGGAAGAAGTACATCTGCAGGAGGCAACCTATGAAAGAGATGGTTTTCTGTTCACTGAGAAGGTTGGAGAGCATCTTGGGGATAGTCACGGTGGTGTACCAAATCTCCAGGAAGGAGAAGACACTGATAAAACTGTACATAGGATTATGGAGATGGGGGTCCGGTTGGACAGCAAAGAAAATCATGAAATTTCCAACAAGAATGAATATATAAATAAAGAGCATAGGAATGAAGAATAAGAGGCTGCCATTCTTAGATTGAGGAAAATCAGAGAAATAAAACTCAGTCACCATTGTCTGATTCTCTGGATCCATATTTTCAGCGGTTTCACTTGTTGGCTCATAAAACACAGTCAACATTCTAAGTACATGCAAAGAACAAATAAAAACCTTCTTTTCAAGCAACTAAACAGCCTTGAAATTAGGCTGGTTAAATAAAATATACTATGTGAGTCATTTTGCAACATATAAAGTTATCCTGTCAAATTTAGTAATTATAATAACTTATGTTGTCAATTATTCTGTTGGATAAGCTAACAGTATTGCTAGTTAGACATATAAATTGGTACAAACTCCCCTGAATGGCAATTTGGCAATTTATATTGAGAGTTTAAGACTGTTTAGAGTTTAAGCCTTTCACTATGTAGTCTAGGGGAAATATTTCAGATATTAAAAAAGAAATATATGACAATATTAGCTAGAACATTTATTATAACAGTAAATTAGGAACAATTTAAGTAAGTAGACATTTTCATTTTTTTGAGATGAAGTGTTGGGGACACAGAAGAATGGGTCATGACAAAATGATACCCTCTGTGGATAAGAATAAACTCATTTTTAAGTGCGCATGTTTGAAACTAAAGTATGATTAGCAGCTTCCCTTAGTCTGACTCATTATTAACAATTGAATGAAAAGAAAAAATCCAAACATTCCACCAAATATTATTTACTTTAAGACACAAGAGGCTAATCTCATGTGACATATATGGGTATACAAATTAATCTAATCTACACTCTAAAGGGGGTGTATTAGGGTTCTCTAGAGGGACGGAACTAATAGGAGATATATATATAGTTAAAGGGAAGCTTATTAAATATTAACTCACACTATTACAAGGTCCCACAATAGGCTGTCTGCAAGCTGAGGAGCAAGCAAAGCCAGTTCGAGTCCCAAAACTGAAGAACTTGGAGTCTGATGTTTGAGGGCAGGAAGGGTCCAGCAAAGGAGAAAGATGTAGGCTAGGAGCCCAGGTTAGTCTAGTCTTCTCATGTTTTTCTGCCTACTTTATATTCTAGCCACGTTGGCAGCTGATTAGATGGTGCCCACCCAGATTAAGGGTGAGTCTGCCTTTCCCAGCACGCTGACTCAAAAGTTAATCTCCTTTGGCAACATCCTCACAGACACACCCAGGATCAATACTTTGCATCCTTCAATCCAATCAAGTTGACACTCAGTATTAACTATCACAGGGAGTTAGTTAATAGTTGAAGTGAGCTAATCTAGAAATTACATTCTAGGTGTAATTTGCAACATTTGAAATACTTTAATCAATAGTCTACCTCAAGAGGCAGTTTTGACAAGGGCTTCAAATATTCTTATCTGTATCCACACTGTAGAGTTTATTAAATAATGTAAAGCAGGTTTTGTCAATTTCAGCATTATTGACATTTTGAAACAGACAATTCATTGCTCAGAGAGAAGGCAAGGCTGTTCGTGCATTATAGAATGTCTAGCAGCCACCCCTGGTCTCACCTATAAGGTGTCAGTAGCATAGACCCCTCCCTCGTCATGACTACCAAAATCATCCTAGAAATCACCAAATGTCCCTGCAGGGAAGAAGTAGAAGAAAATTTGTGCCAGTTAAGAACCACTGGCATACAGAAATTTTTTTTAATGAAAAACCAGGTGATCAAGATACGTTGATTGGCTGAAAGTATTCCTAACCTCTGGCTTGCAGGGATATAAAACAGGATGAGCTAGGCAGCCTATAGAGCTTGGAGAGGTGCAATAGGCACATGATCCATTCATTCCTGTGTTCCCTCCTTAAAAGGGTATTTATCACCTAATCTCACTAGAAAGTTAGCTTTTCTACTGCAGAGAATTTTATTACATTTTATCTTTGATAGAAACCTTCATTTATTATACTAACCAGAAAGCATAAGGAAAAAGAGTTGAGACTTCCATGAGCTTCCAAGAAAAGGCCTAATAGTAGTATGTTTTTGCCTGTTTGCTAATAAACGTTTGTTTGCATGGCAGAATTCTGACTCTTCACTTGGTACTGAGGTGAAGATGGGACCTCTAAATGGAGAAAGCTACTGATATCTACCAAAAAAGTCAGACAACTCTGAACTGCCAATGGATACAATAAATAGATAAAATTATTTGGAAACCGTAATGCCGGAGGCTATACACAAGTAAGAACCCAGCTTGGCATATGGCAACCACAATTTTTTTTCTCTTGCTTTTTATACATACAGCAAAATAGTAAGTCTATGTTGAAACAGGAAAATATGAGGTGAAAATTCCCTTGTTTTTCTTTAAGAAAACTTTTACATAAGAAATGGAGGCTCATAAAAAATAATTTATACTCTAGCAATTTTTACCTTAATTACTCTTATCTGGGCTTATTGTTTCCAGACTTGTCTTACTACATCTCACTTTCACATAGCTACTGAAATAATCTTTCCTAAATGCAAAGCTGTCAATCCTCTGTCTGAAAACCTTATACTGGCTCTCTGTAGGGTTCCAAATCAAACCTGAGCCTTTAAGCAGAACAGATAATATGGCTGTATATGAGATTGTAAAATTATTTTGTCATCCCAATATCTTATGACTGTATTATCCCCAACAGGCTTTCCTAGTATGATAGAAAATGATACCCGTGTAATTGTTCTGTGTTCTGCTTACAGAGGCAGTAGGGAGACAAACAGGGAAAGAAGCATTAAGCTCTATGTCCAGTACCGTTTGGAATTAGAAAATTGAAATCTGGAAATTTTTGTTAAAAAGGTAGGTCTTTAGGAACTTGAGTCTTTAAGAAGGAAAGAGGATGCCTATAGGAAGGCAATTTGATATAGAGTCTTGGGAGCAAAGTTATACCTAATAGGACTCTCCTATTTTCTGTAGGAATGGATACCCCAGAATCTCAACCAGAAGCTCCACTAGTTGTCCTGACATTCCTTTATTCTTAAGAGCCTGTCCTGATGCCACTAAATACAATACAAACCTAGATTAGAATTTAGCTCAGAAAATAGTAGAGTTGTGAAAGAGTCATAGAGCTAGTGGGCCAGACACAATTTGACAGATTTAGTCCAGGTGTTTGTTATCTTACGGCAATCTCTAATTGTAGGACAAACACTCACCAAAGCCCTCCATCCCTAAGTTATGGTCCTTTCCTCTACCTCATGTGTTGTCACAATCTCAACAAAATTTCCACAAGTCCTTCTTTAAAGTCCAATAGGAAATAATATGGTTCTGTGAAAATTGTCCCCCAATATCTAGTAAACAAAGTCATTCACTCATATCTCAAAGTAGAAAGTCCACCCATCAGTCCATAGCTACCTCTTCCAGAAACCAACAGAGCCACCTCCTCTTTTCCAAATGTCTCCATCTTCATTGCTCTGCAGCCCAATAAGTAGGAAGGTTGTAACCACAGCCACACCTCTAAGCATCACAGGGAATTGCTAAGTGGGAGAAAGGCTTTCTTCTAAAGGGCTCTTTCCTGGGGGGCTTAGGGAAAAGCAACTCTATGCCCCATGAGACTAATTAGGAAAACACTTGCTGACACACTCCCCTTTCATGAGGTCAACACACCTATGGGAAGCTAGGTTTTTCAGTCAGGCTAGAAATCAGATGAAAAGAGTACTTGGCTTTCCATTCTGTCCAAGGGGTAAAAGAATAGTTTAAATTACAAAATCTGCTGAGAAAGGGAAAGGATAAGGAACAAAAGGAATGAAACTAACGCAATGTGGTTCAAAGGCAGGAGAATTTTCTCTACTCTTTGGAGCAGTTTAGTGATCACACAGCACAACCCTGAAGTGTATTGCAGAAGATTCAGCCAGCTGCCATCCAGCACAGCTTAGTAGAATTTCTTCAGAAGGATCCAGGGATCACAGGGCCATTTGCAGTAGTGGCAGTAATGAGGGGGCTCTCATGAGATTTCATGGGTTTCAGGGGTTCCAGCAGCAGATATCCCAAGTGTATGGAGTCAGGAAAGGATTGAAGGGCAACCTTTCCTGCTACATGAAAGCTGTATTGATGAGCACACATGAGCTAGACCTTGGACAGACCTGAGGAAAAAAAAAAAAAGGGCCCTCATATAGAGGACAGGAAATAGAAGCAGAAGGATACTTTTCTAATTCTTTTTTTCCTACTTTTTAAAAACTGAAATTGGACTTAATATTAACCTCCAGGTGGGTAAAGGCAGAAGAAATAGACATATACAACACATAAGATTTTTTTCTTCTATCACAAAAAGAGATATAAAACAATCACGAAGTGTTAAATGTTTAGTGGAACAGTAGCAGTGGATATAGAAATGCAACAGAATTTGAAAGCATATTTGAAATTAGAAAAAAAAAACTTATGAGACACAGGCATATATGGTGCGAAAAATGAGTCAGAGCAGAGGTGACTTTCGACTCTGAATGATTAGATTTTTAATAGGCGATTTTTAAGGCAGATCCTTGAGTGGAGGCAGGGGGACTGATTGAGGCCATGACTTCGAGGCTGCAGTGCACCGTGATCGCCCCTGTAAGCAGCCACTGCACTTCAACCGGAGCAATAGAGTGAGATTCTGTCTCTAAAAAATAAAAATAAAAAACAATAACAATAAATAAAGACAGTCCCTCAATAAGCATTCGATTAAGGAATATGTAGCTAAATAAACGAATAATTAAATGAATCGGCGAATAGCTAAAGAATCAGATAGTGACTCAAAGATAGTCTAATTTGTAGCCACACTGATGTTTACTTTTTGACCCTGATTTTATCCAGTCTTACCACTTAAGATAAATTCCTCCTCTTACGCTTTGAACCTATTTATCTCATCTCATGCAGAGACACTGTTCCTTCAGTTGTCTCACTTACCTATGTATCCTCCAAATTTTCCTCTTTTTAGTCTGCTTATATAGCTTATGAATATGCTCAAACATATTAAAGTATATACTCTTTCTCATTTTCATTGTTGCTCTAAGTCTGCCATACTGCCTTTCTTCTTCCCGATCTTATTTTCCTAAAAGCATAGTTTACTCTTTTATCAGTATTTCTGTCTCCACCTTTTCACTTCTTGTTCACATGAACCTACAACCCCACTTAAGAGATAGAATATTATGAATAACTTTGAAGACCACTACACTTTCCTCCCCAATCCAGTTCTTTATTGCCATATTACATATTACCATTCACCTGAATTTTGTGTTTATTATTCTATTTAGCACATGTGTGCACACTCAAAAACAATATACTGTTTAGTTCTGTTTTACTCTATGTAAATAGAATGGTATTTTAGGCATTACTTTATAATTTGCTTATTCACTCAACATATGTTTTGAGAATCATTCACATCAATGTATCTAGCTGCAACTTTAAAAGAAAATCCCTGCTGTCTTGTATAAATGGAGCACAATTTAATCATTCATTAGCCTTCAACGTTTTGTATTCTGGAATATTTGCATCTTCAACTTCACTAGATGCTGCCAAATTGTTTTTCAGAATCTGTCTACCACCAACAATAAATGCATTTTTATTGTTGCACATCTTTTCTAATGTTCTGGGTGGTCATATTTTTGCTACTCAGTTGTTGTGTAAACAATATGCTATTGCTTTGATTTGCAGTTGAATGTTGTATGTGTGTATGTGTGAGTGTGTGTGTGTGTGTGTGTGTACTCCTCATTTGGTTGTTTATCTTTTTCTTATTACTTTGTAGAAGCTTTTTGTATATTCTAAATAAAAATAATCAGTTATAAACGTTATTACAAATACAGACTCCTAGTGTATATCTTGTTGTTTTTCTTTTTAATGATGCTATTTGATGAAACGAACTATTAAATAGTTTTATTCATCAGTCTTTAAATTTATGGTTTATATTTATATGGAATTGAAAAATTTTAACTAAAGTTCCAATACAATTGATTAAACAATGCACCTTTTTCCACAGACCTGTTGTGCTGGCTATGTTCATCTTTTCCCCAGTGGTCTGCTATACCTACTCTCACGTATGTTAAAATCCCATACTATATTAGTCTATTTCTTTGCTTCCATTGGCTGTTTACTCCCACTGCTATTTTATTACAAATATTGCTTCATAATAACTTTTACTAAATAGACAAGTGGCACCATTTTAATCTCCTCCTTTGAAATGTCTTCTTCTTGGCCCTCATTCTTACATATCCCACTCCTCTCTACTCAAAATGAGATTTTGATTGAAATTGGGTTGAAATGATTGACTTGTAGATGATTGGCATGTTTATGTAACTGAGACATTCTATTCATTCATACAGCATATGGATCAATTTATTTATGTTTTTGATATAGTCCAATACAGTTTTATAAAGTGCTATGTTTAGATGTAACATATCTTTTACAGTTTTTTATTTTTGTTGATACTTCAAATGGCATCTTTTTATTACACTTTTTGTCAACTGTTACATATAATAATGCAATGTTAAATATATCCATTTGTATCTATGCACTTGCTGAACTTTGTGTTATAATTTGTCTTTATTTTCATTTGGAAATTTTATATCATCTTTAACTAATTTCATTCTTTCTTCTTTATGGTCTTAATGCTGTGTGTTTCTTTTTCTTATTTTCAAAGTTTTACTTTTTATGATGGACACCCATTTTTAAATATATATCTCTTTATATAGGTATATATACATACCTATGTATATAATTTTTAATGGAGATTAAGATATATTATATAATATATTTAAATTTTATTTGCTGAGTGTTACAAATAATAATAGAAAAATCATGCTGCTGTAAAGACACATGCACACGTATGTTTACTGCAGCACTATTCACAATAGCAAAGACTTGCAACCAAGCCAAATGTCCAACAATGATAGACTGGATTAAGAAAATGTGGCACATATACACCATGGAATACTATGCAGCCATAAAAAATGATGACGTTGTGCACATGTACCCTAAAACTTAAAGTATATAAAAAAAAAAGAAAAAGCTAGTCGAATTCCCTATTTCACCCAGTGATTGTTTCTTTGTTCCTGTAATTCTCTCATTTGATTTCTGCAATACATCATTGCCTTGATTCTCTCTTCGTTTCCTGAACTCTTCAGGATAAGACAATAAGATAGACCTAGGTTCAAATTCTTACTCTGCCACCTGCTTAGCTACCTGACTACAGAGAAAATACATGGTCATTAAACTTTAGTTTTCTCATCTGTTAAGTGGAAATAATAATGACTAATTTACAGAACTATGAAAGGATAAAATGAGATGAAATATAAAAATGCCCTAGCAGATTTTGTCACATATTTAATAAATGAAAGTTATTTACTATTAATACCATTTTTCTCTCACCTACCTATTGTAATCCTCCAGTCTCTTCTCATATTCCCTAAATTCTTTTTCAATTATCTAGTGCATTCTCATAGTTCAATTATAATCTCTACTTAAATAACAGACATCTGTGTCCACAGATGTGTCCAAGAAGAGACTTGTCATCTCTTCTGAAATCCAATTCTTCATCATTAATGGCAAATAGACATTTCTACTTAAAAGTTCTCTCACATTTTCAAGATAAAATATCTATAACTCATCTTCTTATAATTGCCCCTACAAGCTTTTGCTTTAGCTGGTCCTATATCTGTCGATAGTGCCATCTAACAGACGAACTCAACCTTATGAATCTGTTACCTTTAATGTTCCTTTTACCATCATAGCACAAATATAATCAGGTGTCGGGTCCTATTGATTCTTTATTCACAATTACTCCCATCTCTTCTGTCCTTTAATTCCATTATTACAGTTCTATTTTAGGCCTTTACTCCAGATTATTGCAGAATAGGCTCTGATGTCTGATAGGTACTCAGTAAATGTGAGTTGAATAAATAATACTTCCTACTTCCATAATTTCTCTACTTAAATGCATTCTACATATCATCAACGCAATTTTGTGCATTAATTCCAACTCAAAAATTATCTCATAACTTTCCGTTATGTGAAAAATATGCTTTCAAAATCCCAATGTCTGACATTCAAAGACCTCCACACTCTGCCAAACCCTACCTTCCAGTTCTGTCTCTTCCCTATTACATTCCACATGCCATATGATTGAAGCCAGGCGTATGTGCTAAATAATCTATAAACATGGATCTTGTATTATCACCTCAAAATCCTAGTTGATCGTCTTCTATTAAACATACACTACCTGAGTTTAGGTAAGTCTTAGGGCTATGCATTAAAGGTTAAAATATAAATTAATATTGATAGATAATCATCAAATTTCTTAGAATCTAGACTTATAACTAGATAATTTTAACAACAGGTGTAGGCACTAGATGCTTTACAAGCACAAAAAAGAGACTCCCTGGCCGGGGATGGTGGCTCACGTCTGTAATCCCAGCACTTTGGGAGGCCGAGGCAGGCAGATCACCTGAGGTTAGGAGTTCAAGACCGGCCTGGACAATGTGATAAAACCCCGTCTCTACTAAAAATCCAAAAATTAGCTGGGCACTGTAAGTTCCCGCTCTGGTCTGAGGGACTGGTACCCCAGCCCCCAGTTTTCAGGCCCTCCCTGGCTTGAATGTGGGACCTTACCAGGGACCTGCCCCCTTCTGCCCAGGAATCTGTCTGCTTCTGTTGCCATTCATGGCCCCCAGGCTGTAGGTGTGAAGGGGGGCCTGCATGCCAGCTCTGAGATGCCCTCTGTGCCCCCTGGGCTTCCCTCCTATGCTTCTTGGTGCCCAAAGTCTGGAGAGGGAGAAGGCATCAAGGGGCTGGTGTATCAGCACTGCTTGTAGCATGTGCATACCTGGACAGACTACAATAGGACTGGGTCTCAGCCCTTACTTTGCTCCTAGATTGGAGTGGACATTGACAGCAGGGAGAAGCCAGGCAGCAGGAGCAGGCACTTTCAAACCTGCAAGAGAAGGGGGACCTTCCCAGGACCCCAGGAGCGCAGAGGTGCCTGGGTCCGCAGCCGTGGTTTGGGTGGCTACACTTGCATGGAGGAGTGGGAGGCCATGATCCACAGTCATGACTTGGGTGGCTGTAGCCCGAACCTCCTGGGTGGGGCTTCTGCCAGTTCCATGGAGCAGGTGGCCCAGATCTACAGCCTGGGTTTGGGTGGCTGCAGCTGCGCCTGGAGGATGGGGCTCTCACCTTCTCCTTGGCCCCAAGAGCACAAGGATGCCTGGGTCTGCAACAGTGGCTTGCAGCGACACCCTGGGGTGCTCCCACCCCAACTCGGAAGGCGCAGGGCTCCCCCTTGTCCCTGGTTCCTGCCCTGGCCACACTGCTACCGTCAATACTGGCAATATATTCCTAAGTCAGGGAATATATACTTGAGACTAATCAGTAGAGATATAATTGAAAGGTAATGCTAGTGTTTAACTAGATTTGAATTCAGAGGATTAAGGTTCAGTTTCTTCCATGCCTTGTATTGCCTGTGTGTACTGGAGAAAGCTTTTGGCTTCTCTGAGCCTCCACATCTGCAAAATGCGAATCACTGTAGTCTTGCTTACCTTATACAAAGAGGTTTTTTTAATATGATGAAAAACAAATCACATAAATCTTAACCATGTTAACTATTTTTTTCAGCATACAAATAAGTTTCTTAAAGGATCAAATAAGACTTGCATTTAAAAACTTCTAAAAATATGATGATGTTGATTATATCAACAGAGGGAATAGAAATCATAGTGAAAATGAATAAAAGTGGAGAGGAAAGAGTGTTTACTGATTGAGTATTCCAGAGAATCATGATCCTGGATGAAGTTTATTCTGACTGCCACAGCTGTGCCCCAGTGCCCAGCTTTATACTCTATTCCTCTATGAGAGATAAGGTTTTATAGCCCCAGGACAACTTTTGAAACCTGACCCTGGGGAATGTCTAATTACTATGTAGCATTGTTCTTCTAATTTGTCCCTTAGAGGGGAGAGAAAGATACATAATTTTCCTTTAGACATTGCATCATCCAAAGAGAAACTCCCAGGAAAGACCATCTTTCCATTCTAGTTATTCCTGGAAGAGGCTTCAGAGACATTTGTACCCTTATTGACAGGCTAGGAGAAGAGGTGGCTGCAGAGATTTTGAGGAGCATTCTCATGGTGTCAGGCAGGGTAAGTACTAAAGACTGCATTGAAAGGGCATCATCCAACCTCCTTTTACTTCTACTTTGCCGCCCAATAGCTTCCTTACATCCTCAACTCTTCAGAACCCAACTGTTGCCCTGCTGTTTCACGGCAAACTGTCATATTTTAAGAACTTTGTTACATGAGTGAAATATTATACTAAGGGTAAATGAAATCGGGAAGGGATAACAGAAAGAATATGGTTCAGCTAACAGTTTGAAGATACTGATAATGTCTAAGGTCTTTTAAACATTAAATCTTGTTGAAACCCTAATAATTGTGGATTCTTGAAGAGTCACAGAGAAAGTTACTGCTTTTCTTCAAAGTCAAGTCTAATCTAATTCAAGTGTCTTTACGTCATACAAGAAATATTTTTAGATTGAACTCCTTGGACACTACTAAATATCTTTAACAGTAGGATTTTATTGATGGTTCTTTATGTATTTCAGGAACAAGAATAATATTTATTTACCTTTATATAGCCCTTGAACCTATGGCATCATCGACACATAGCAGAAGATCAATCGATATATGAGTGTTAGTTGAATAAATGTACCGATGATGAATAATGATGCAGCTTTACTACTGAGAAGGGCCCCGTGCGTACAGCAACAAAGTAGTCACTCTGTCTGGCTTTTATTAGCCACTTAGCACCTATTTTCTTGTATTTTGTTATAGCCCTGTGTTTCCTTCTCTGTCCTTCCATATTCTCTATAATGACTACTCAGCACGATTATTCAATTGCTTAGAAAAGAAAAACACAGGAAGGACAGAGAAGTGGATATTTTAGTCAGAAGAAAACTCCAATATCTTACACTTTTCCCCTTGGAAGCTCTGCCTTTCTGTGGCGCACTGTTGCTTGTTTCCTTCCAAAGCCTGCCTCTCCTATCTACCTTCCTCACAGTTTAAGGTGCAAGGCAGAGGCATCCTTTAAAAATTAATTTTCCTAGTCTGACAGGAGAATTTCTTGAACCCGGGAGGCGGAGGTTGTGGTGAGGCAAGATTGAGTCATTGCACTCCAGCCTGGGCAATAAGAGCAAGGCTCCATCTCAAAAAATAATAATAATAATTAATTTTCCTAGTCTGAAATGCATTTATTTGTATCTGCTTTTGACCTATTGAAGAAACCATGTCAGCTTTCTCACCTCACACCCGGGACAGACAGACGTTAAAAAATGACCAAACCTACAGAAAATATTTCCAGATAATGAAATTTGAGTATTGCTTTGCTTTTTGCACATCAGTTGAAGATGTTTACTAGAAAAAAAAAAGGTCATTCAGGGGTCCAACAGCAAGTATTTCAGATGATTTTGGCATGGAGGTAAAGCTTAAGAGATATTTCTAACTGGTTTCTTCAGGATTCCAGAATCAGCTTGAGTAACTCATTACAGAAAGGAATGAAGCAATATTCAGTGGGTAATCAACATTCCAATTATAGGAGTCTCTTGTTTCCTTTTCTGTGTTCACAGATGACACAGTTGACGGCCAGTGGGAATCAGACAATGGTGACTGAGTTCCTCTTCTCTATGTTCCCGCATGCGCACAGAGGTGGCCTCTTATTCTTTATTCCCTTGCTTCTCATCTACGGATTTATCCTAACTGGAAACCTAATAATGTTCATTGTCATCCAGGTGGGCATGGCCCTGCACACCCCTTTGTATTTCTTTATCAGTGTCCTCTCCTTCCTGGAGATCTGCTATACCACAACCACCATCCCCAAGATGCTGTCCTGCCTAATCAGTGAGCAGAAGAGCATTTCCGTGGCTGGCTGCCTCCTGCAGATGTACTTTTTCCACTCACTTGGTATCACAGAAAGCTGTGTCCTGACAGCAATGGCCATTGACAGGTACATAGCTATCTGCAATCCACTCCGTTACCCAACCATCATGATTCCCAAACTTTGTATCCAGCTGACAGTTGGATCCTGCTTTTGTGGCTTCCTCCTTGTGCTTCCTGAGATTGCATGGATTTCCACCTTGCCTTTCTGTGGCTCCAACCAGATCCACCAGATATTCTGTGATTTCACACCTGTGCTGAGCTTGGCCTGCACAGATACATTCCTAGTGGTCATTGTGGATGCCATCCATGCAGCGGAAATTGTAGCCTCCTTCCTGGTCATTGCTCTATCCTACATCCGGATTATTATAGTGATTCTGGGAATGCACTCAGCTGAAGGTCATCACAAGGCCTTTTCCACCTGTGCTGCTCACCTTGCTGTGTTCTTGCTATTTTTTGGCAGTGTGGCTGTCATGTATTTGAGATTCTCAGCCACCTACTCAGTGTTTTGGGACACAGCAATTGCTGTCACTTTTGTTATCCTTGCTCCCTTTTTCAACCCCATCATCTATAGCCTGAAAAACAAGGACATGAAAGAGGCTATTGGAAGGCTTTTCCACTATCAGAAGAGGGCTGGTTGGGCTGGGAAATAGATACAGATCCTGGAGACTCTAAAAAGCCTCTTGGAAGAGCAAAATTTCACTGTTATTTATCTTTTCCATGTCTATCCTCTTTCTGTATTGCTGCAACTACTTGTTCTATTATTTTTAAAAAGAATGATAAACTGCTGTATACAGGCTGTGGATGGTAAGTGGATGGCCAGTTTACATCAATGCCTCTACCATGCTTGTTATAGCTGAAGCAGTATAGATCAACTCTCTTGCTTTTAACACAGGTTGGCTTCCTCCTCGCACTCCAGCAGCTAGGCCCCTGCTAGTCTCTTCAGTGCTCTGACATGCTAGTGGGGCCGGGAAGCAGAATAGAAGAGGCATGACAGACAAGAAAGTTCTGAGAATTGCTACTGCTAACTTCCCCAATTCCCTTTCTGGAAATGCATCCCCTGTCATTTGGCATTCCATATAAATAAATCGTTTCCTGATACTAGAGAGAGGTCTTCTCTACTTTTAGCTCATTTAATTCCCAAACTCATTTCAGCAAACGTGAACTGATTTTGTACATGATGTGTTACAGAATTTTAGACCCCAAGAGGTTCCACCAAAATTAATAACAATAACAGTCCACTATATGTCTTGAGCACATTACTATTTAAAATATTTTCACAGGTATAAATCCTCTTGAAATCTAAAATACCCTGAAGTAAATAGGTCAGGGATCACTATTATTTAAATGTTGAAACTAAAGCTCACAGAAGTTAAAGACTGGCCTAAGGTCATATACGTAGTGACAGAGCTGGGATTTAACCTTAGGTACTCTACTGTATTCTCTGTCTCCATTAAATATATAATTTTGTGTAAATTACTTGATGTTCAAAAAACTAAATTATGCAAACTTCTTTTCCCCAAAGTTTAATGAAACCTTACCAGTTTTTAATGAGTCCTAGGAGTTAATGGTTCTTTCCTCCATGAATTCCCCAGCCCTCACGTGATTGTGGCATCATGGAAAGACTATGGGACAAAGAGATTTAAGGACTGTATTTTATACCTTTTTCTGACACTAAGTTGTGCCATTTTGGATGATCCACTTAATTTGCTGGCCTTCAGCTTCCTCTATAATTATGTGGTTGGATTAGATCAGTGATTGCTCAAACTGATTGTCAACATTTGTGGTTCAGAAAATCTGAAAGTGAAGCCTGGCCATCTGCATTTCTAAAAATCTCCCAGAAAATTCAGATGATGGGTAAGATTCAGGAACAGCTGGGCTGGATGATCACTAAGATCATTTCTAGTCCTGAGGCTATTTAATACTCATTTTTAACAATTCCCTAACATGTATTATCTCATTTATCATTAACAATTCTATTTAATAAATATGAACTTCTTTTTACATGAGAAACATGGTACACAGAGCTGCAATAACTAGTCCAAGTACACAGAGATAATTATTATGAATCTAAGGCAGAAATTCATTATGTCTGGTTCCAGATCCATGTCTTTATTGACCATGATCTCATACCTAGTTCACAGGCTTTCATCCTAATCACTAAACTTAATAAAATTTCTAAAGGAAATACGGTATTCAATAAGTAAATGTAATTACAAATTATCGTACATTAAGTGGTGAAAGAATTTATTCCTTGAGTCATCAAGATTTATTTATTTTTTAAAAATTTGAGTAGGAACTCTATGTCAGGCACCCTGTTAGGTGCAGAGCATTCACTTAGTGGCTATCATATGAATGGTCTTGGCTTTGGAGGTCTCGGAGTCTAATGAGTCATTATCGCTGCTATTAATGAGAATGTCATTACCCATAAAATTTACTGTTTTTCTTGTCATGAGACAGGATAATCCCTATGGACTCATTGTTCCCAGGCCATTTTATTTCCTCTAAACCTTCTGAAGTTTTTTGTGTGTGTTTGAAACCTCTTTAGATGGTACCCTTTTTTATTCTCTTCTCTCTCTCAACCCTGCACATTGATTCTTTTCACAAAGGTATCCTTAACCTTTACGACTGAACCTCAGACATAATTATTTTTACTACTGTTGCCTCCAGCTTCTCAACCTGGTTCCAAATTACTGCAGTCTTCAAGAAAGATTCCTCACACTAATATCTCTGGCACTGATTTTAGGACCAATATTGGCCCTTATTTTGATATGACTTTTCTCTTTTTGTTTCTCTTGCTATTAATATAGTTTTGTTTGTCCCACATCTCTCATTAGACTAAGTAGGGGTCCACAGATAGCAGAAACGTTTTCTCATCTTTCTGATTGCTGGAACACAGTATATAATTCTGCAGATTATCTGTCAACTATCCAAGCTTTGTTCTTGATTTAGGAACAGCTGGGCTGGATGATCACTAAGATCATTTCTAGTGCTGAGGCTATTTAATACTGATTTTTAACAATTTCCTAACATGTATTATCTCATTTATCATCAACAATTCTATTTAATAAATATGAACTTCTTTTTACATGAGAAAAGTTAGTGCACCAACTGATTGACAGGTTGGGCTGGCTGAGAGAATCAGTGGATCAAGGCCTGTGGGAAGAAAGGAGATAGAGTGAGAAGGGGCAGCCTTTGATGTCAATGATAAGCAGTGCACATATCAGCCTAAGAAAACAGACGGAGAAGGAGTAAAGAATGGAAAATTTGCCACCCAAGTGGAAGCAGAACTCATATGAGCCAGGCTAAAATAATAAGTCTATCCAGATCCTTCATTACTTTATTTTCAGGTACCCCCCTTAACTTCTTCTTAGTCCCAGCCCTTGTTCAGTATAAGGCTCTCTCCTATTAGTTTGATGTTCTTACTTTTTCCTTAAGGTCATCTGTGTAAAAGAATAGCCATTTTTCCTCATTTGCTCTGAACCTGAAGTTATCTTGGAAGACATCTAGTTCTGTCTTTAGGTCTTTGAAGAATCACTACACTGTCTTCCACAATGGCTGAACTAATTTACACTCCCATCTATAGTGTATAAGCATTCCTTTTTCTCTACAGCCTCGCCACCATCTGTTATTTTTTGACATTTTAATAATAGCTATTCTAACTGGTGTGAGATGGTATCTGTTCATGTTCTTTGCCTACTTCTTAACGGGGCTGTTTGTTTTCTGTTGTAAATTTGTTTAAGTTCCTTATAGATGTTGGATATTAGACCTTTGTCAGATGCATATATACCCAGAGAATATAAATGACTCTATTATAAAGACACATACACGTGTATGTTCATTTAAGCACTATTCACAATGGTGAAAACATGGAATCAACCTAAATGCCCATCAATGCCAAACTGGGTAAAGAATATGTGGTACATACACACAATGAAATACTACGCAGCCATAAAAAGGAATGAGATCATATTCTTTGCAGGGACATGGTTGGAGCTGGAGGCCATTAGCCTCAGCAAACTAACACAGAAACAGAAAACCGAGTACTGCATGTTCTCACTTACAAGTGGGAGCTAAATGATGAGAACACACGGACGCATAGAGGGGAACAACACACATTGGAACGTTTCACAAAGTTGAGGGTGAGAGGAGGGAGAGGAGCAGGAAAAATAACTAATGGGTGCTAGGCTTAATCCCTGGGTCATGAAACAATCTGTACAACAAACCTCTATGACACAAGTTTACCTATGTAACAAACCTGCACATGTACCCCTGAACTTAGAATAAAAGTTAAAAAAAGACATCTATTTTTTTCTACACCTAAATATATGAACTCCTCATCAGCATATGACAAAAAAGGTAATTTAGCCTCTGCTTGAACATTTAACTAAGGTGGCCTTCCCAGTGTTAACTAGTTCCAATAACGAGAAAGCTTCTCTTTATTAGAGTAGACCTAAGGTCTCACTAAGACTAAGAACTTCAAAATCCTACTGTCCAAACATGAATCATGGCTTTTCCACTAACCAGCTATACAACTTTGAAAACTGACACAGGTGTTCTGGGTCTTAATATTCCTATCTATAATATGGGAGTTTCATAGATTGTAAAGACTATATATATATAATATATATTATATATATAATCATTTATATATATAAAAATACTGAGCACAGTGCCTATAATGTTTAGCAGTTACTTTTACTATTGTTATGAGACAAAAATTACTTATAGGGCCAACATGTTGGAAAACTCCAGAGGATGCTATTAAATCTTTAGTTTCTGCTTTCTGAAATCCTAGCAGCAATAGCTGAGTTCTCCAAATTTCACAAAGTGACTTTCTCAGGGGCAAGAACTGAAACTGTTATATAATATTTTGACACAAACAAAACAGCAATTTACCATTTCACAGGTAGAAAATGCTGTGGCTCATGCTTGTAACACCAGCTACTTAGGAGGCTGAGGAGGGAGGATTGTTTGAGGCCAGGAGTTTGAGGCTGCAGTGATCTATGATTGCACCTATACACTCCAACCTGGGCAACAGAGCAAGACCCCAACTCTGAAAGAAAATAGGAAGAAATAGAGTCCCATTTATGATGCAGCATTGTTCCTTCACTTTAGAAATTTACTAACTTTCATAAGACAGAGTTATTTTTATTTTGGACTTGAAAAATTATCAGTCTTGTAATTGAATGCTTTAGCAAAAGAGTCAAAATCTCTCAGAGTATGGGGTTAAACAATGCTTCTCTAAAACTGGGGTAGAGACCATCATTCTCTCAGTTTAAATCACTTTCTTTAAACAGCGAGTGAAGTCCCAAGGAACAAAGCACCCTTGGCAGCCACTCAGACACTGCATTTTTGTTTCCAAACCCATAACCTGGTTGTTATGTTTTAAACTATTACTTTCATATCTTAGTCCTTTTCCTTTCCTTCCCTGGGCCTTTTAAAGATTAGAGAAACCTAGCCTGGAAGGATGAATACTTTTCTTAATTCAGAGTCGTCCCTGACTCTGACTTACTCTATAGTTTTGGCAAGTTGTTTCATCAACCGAGTTCTACATTTCTAATATTTCAGATTAGAGATAATAGTTGCGGCTGGGTGCAGTGGCTCGCGCCTGTAATCCCAGCACTTTGGGAGGCAGAGGCAGGCGAATCACGAGGTCAGGAGATCGAGACCGTCCCGGCTAACACAGTGAAACCCCGTCTTCACTAAAAATATAGAAAATTATCCGGGCGTGGTGGTGGGTGCCTGTAGTCCCAGCTACTCAGGAGGCTGAGGCAGGAGAATGGCATGAACCCAGGAGGCGGAGTTTGCAGTGAGCCAAGATCGCACTACTGCACTCCAGCCTGGGCGACAGAGCGAGACTCCGTCTCAAAAAAAAAAAAAAAAAAAAAAAAAGTTGCTATGCATGATGCTTTCATAAAAGTGGCTAACTGACTTATTCTTCAGTTTTCATTTTAAATGCAACTTTCTCAAGAAGAGAATGCTCCCCTTCCTGTGTCCATGTGTTCTCATTGTTCAATTCCCACTTATGAGTGAGAACATGCAGTGTTTGGTTTTTTGTCCTTGCGATAGTTTGCTGAGAATGATGGTTTCCAGCTTCATCCATGTCCCTACAAAGGACATGAACTCATCCTTTTTTATGGCTGCAGAGTATTCCATGGTGTATATGTGCCACATTTTCTTAATCCAGTCTATCGTTGTTGGACATTTAGGTTGGTTCCAAGTCTTTGCTATTGTGAATAGTGCCGCTATAAACATACGTGTGCATGTGTCTTTATAGCAGCATGATTTATAATCCTTTGGGTATATACCCAGAAATGGGATGGCTGGGTCGAATGGTATTTCTAGTCCTAGATCCCTGAGGAATTGCCACACTGACTTCCACAATGGTTGAACTAGTTTACAGTCCCACCAACAGTGTAAAAGTGTTCCTATTTCTCCATATCCTCTCCAGCACCTGTTGTTTCCTGACTTTTTTTTTTATTATACTTTTAAGTTTTAGGGTACATGTGCACATTGTGCAGGTTAGTTACATATGTATACATGTGCCATGCTGGTGCGCTGCACTCACTAACTCGTCATCTAGCATTAGGTATATCTCCCGATGCTATCCCTCCCCTCTCCCACCACCCCACAACAGTCCCCAGAGTGTGATATTCCCCTTCCTGTGTCCATGTGATCTCATTGTTCAGTTCCCACCTATGAGTGAGAATATGCAGTGTTTGGTTTTTTGTTCTTGTGATAGTTTACTGAGAATGATGATTTCCAATTTCATCCATGTCCCTACAAAGGACATGAACTCATCATTTTTTATGGCTGCATAGTATTCCATGGTGTATATGTGCCACATTTTCTTAATCCAGTCTATCATTGTTGGACATTTGGGTTGGTTCCAAGTCTTTGCTATTGTGAATAATGCCGCAATAAACATACGGGTGCATGTGTCTTTATAGCAGCATGATTTATAGTCCTTTGGGTATATACCCAGTAATGGGATGGCTGGGTCAAATGGTATTTCCAGTTCTAGATCCCTGAGGAGTCGCCACACTGACTTCCACAATGGTTGAACTAGTTTACAGTCCCACCAACAGTGTAAAAGTGTTCCTATTTCTCCACATCCTCTCCAGCACCTCTTGTTTCCTGACTTTTTAATGATTGCCATTCTAACTGGTGTGAGATGGTATCTCACTGTGGTTTTGATTTGCATTTCTCTGATGGCCAGTGATGATGAGCATTTTTTCATGTGTTTTTTGGCTGCATAAATGTCTTCTTTTGAGAAGTGTCTGTTCATGTCCTTCGCCCACTTTTTGATGGGGTTGTTTGTTTTTTTCTTGTACATTTGTTTGAGTTCATTGTAGATTGTGGATATTAGCCCTTTGTCAGATGAGTAGGTTGCGAAAATTTTCTCCCATGTTGTAGGTTGCCTGTTCACTCTGATGGTAGTTTCTTTTGCTGTGCAGAAGCTCTTTAGTTTAATTAGATCCCATTTGTCAATTTTGGCTTTTGTTGCCATTGCTTTTGGTGTTTTAGACATGAAGTCCTTGCCCATGCCTATGTCCTGAATGGTAATGCCTAGGTTTTCTTCTAGGGTTTTTATGGTTTTAGGTCTAATGTTTAAGTCTTTAATCCATCTTGAATTGATTTTTGTATAAGGTGTAAGGAAGGGATCCAGTTTCAGCTTTCTACATATGGCTAGCCAGTTTTCCCAGCACCATTTATTAAATAGGGAATCCTTTCCCCATTGCTTGTTTTTCTCAGGTTTGTCAAAGATCAGATAGTTGTAGATATGCGGCGTTATTTCTGAGGTCTCTGTTCTGTTCCATTGATCTATATCTCTGTTTTGGTACCAGCACCATGCTGTTTTGGTTACTGTAGCCTTGTAGTACAGTTTGAAGTCGGGTAGCATGATGCCTCCAGCTTTGTTCTTTTGGCTTAGGATTGACTTGGTGATGCAGGCTCTTTTTTGGTTCCATATGAACTTTAAAGTAGTTTTTTCCAATTCTGTGAAGAAAGTCACTGGTAGCTTGATGGGGATGGCATTGAATCTGTAAATTACCTTGGGCAGTATGGCCATTTTCACGATATTGATTCTTCCTACCCATGAGCATGGAATGTTCTTCCATTTGTTTGTGTCCTCTTTTATTTTGTTGAGCAGTGCTTTGAAGTTCTCCTTGAAGAGGTCCTTCACATCCCTTGTAAGTTGGATTCCTAGGTATTTTATTCTCTTTGAAGCAATTGTGAATGGGAGTTCACTCATGATTTGGCTCTCTGTTTGTCTGTTATTGGTGTATAAGAATGCTTGTGATTTTTGCACATTGATTTTGTATCCTGAGACTTTGCTGAAATTGCTTATCAGCTTAAGGAGATTTTGGGCTGAGACAATGGGGTTTTCTAGACATACAATCATGTCATCTGCAAACAGGGACAATTTGACTTCCTCTTTTCCTAATTGAACACCCTTAATTTCCTTCTCCTACCTGATTGCCCTGGCCAGAACATCAAACACTATGTTGAATAGGAGTGGTGAGAGAGGGCATCCCTGTCTTGTGCCCGTTTTCAAAGGGAATGCTTCCAGTTTTTGCCCATTCAGTATGATATTGAGAAGGGGAACATCACACACTGGGGACTGTTGTGGGGTTGGGGGATGGGGGAGGGATAGCATTAGGAGATACTCCTAATGCTAAATGATGAGTTAATGGGTGCAGCACACCAACATGGCACATGTATACATATGTAAAAAACTTGCACGTTGTGCACATGTACCCTAAATAAAATAATAATGAAATAAAATAAAATAAAATAAAAAAGAAAATAATAGGGGCAAATTTACCTAGCATAGATTTAGTGATACTTAGTCATCAAAAATGTCCAGGACAAAAAATTTTACCAAAAGTCAAACACAACTTGTTTTTAATAATTTTATTTCTTGTCATTTTTATTCTAGATGAAACACTAAATGAAATATATTTATAAATAGAATGCTACATATATAAATAGAACAATTCAAGTTCCCATTTGATAGAGTATAATATTTTGAATTCCTGGTGATTATTTAATGTAAAAACATTTATCTGCTTAAAATTCTCAATAAACTTCAAAGACAAGTGAAAAAAAAGGAGAATGCATGTTTATCTTAATACTACTTCCCACAATTATAATTAATTATAACTAATTATAAATTAATTATAATTTTAATATTTATATTCTCAACTCTTTTAAAACACCCTAAAGGTAGGACCTGGACATATATATGTCTTGTTCATTGCTTTTGTAGAGTTGACACTGCATCTGATATATAGTAAGAGCTAAATAAACGTGTTAATTTGAATGCATGGATGGATGAATACCTTTAAAAGTGTGGTATTAAAAATATTTTGTAATCTTCTTAGGAAGTTCTATAGAATTCAAAGATTTCTTGTAGTTAATATTTGATCCTCCATTCATGGAAGGATACATAAAGAATACATAATATTAGCTATTAATTGAATCCCCAGATCTCTCATATGCTACATTTTAGAATTATTTTTCACACGTTTCAGGAAATAATTAGCTTACAATTCAATAAAGAAATGGTTCGATGTAAAAAGTAATCCTATTTCTTTCCACTGACTCAACTCCTATACTTTCATACATTATACTGGCCATAGATATTAGGACCACTAAGACAGGTACATGAAACTTGTCAGAACAGAACTGTGACAAACTATACTTTTCAAGTATAGTATACTTGTATACTATACAAGTATTCCTTCTGGCTGGTTTGCTCCTTTCCTTTGGAGAAAATACTTGGAAAGTATTTTTGTTTATTTATGTTTTACTAGATATTGTTCTAAGACCCAGAGTAATGATGTGAAGTCTTCGCAGAATAAAATAAATAAAAACAAGTCCTTATTTATTTACTATCACCTACATGTCAGACACTGTGCACTGTGGTTTACAAATCTTAACGTTAATATTCAAAACACTCTTCAAGAAAATACCATTATCAAATAATGAAATTAAGACTCAGAGATGCTAAGTTACTTTCTAAAGATTAAGTAATTAGCAAGTGACTGAATAAAACATGATTTAAATCCAGATATATATGAGTTCAAAAAACATGCTTTTTTCTACTGTACCAGTCTTCTCCACATGAAATGATTGCAAGTGGTACAAAAAACATCATGAATCACATTTTGTTTAGGACATGCCTGACTATATTTATATTAAGTCAAGTAAATTTGAAAAATGCCTATAAACGTATAATAGGTAAGACACAGATTTTAAAAAAAACCTAAGTGTGATACATAAACATCTGAGTTTTGAAAATCACTGCACTACATCATGTTGAAGGGATGTGTACTTTCCCTAGTCTCTGGTCTCAAGCCAAATGTGGCTCCAGCAGACAGTATGAAGGTCGCTATAACACTGGAAGTCAGTCAGCACTTGCTGCAGCTCCACCACCCCACATAGAAAAGCACTGAATTTTTAGTTTCTCGTCTCTGGCCACTGTTGATCCCTGGGGCCACCATATCCTCAGGCCCGGCCTTGGCCTACTCTCAGCCCCAACTCATGCCAATATCCCAATTCTCTTTAGCTGCCTCCTCACAGCCTCCTTGATCTCCTTGTTGCGCAAGCTGTAGATGAAGGGGTTGAGGAAGGGTGTGAGCACTGAGTAGACCACTGCCAGGGCCTGGTCATAGTCCAGTGAGTAGCTCTTCTTCAGCTGCACATACATGGAAAGGATGCTCCCATAGAAGATGAGAACCACAGTGAAGTGGGAGGCACACGTGGAGATGGCCTTCCTCTTGCCGGCAGCTGAGGGAATTCTGAGCACTGTGCAGATGATCTGCACATAGGAGCAGAGGATCAGCAGGAAGGTGGCTAGGATCTTGCAGGAATTTATAACAAAATCTACTAGGACATTTATAGACGTATCAGTGCAAGCCAAACTCAGCACAGGAGGGAAGTCACAAAAGACGTGCTGAATGCGATTGGGGCCACAGAATGGGAGGCGTGAAATCAAGGAAATTTCAACTACTGGCCCAGCCAAGCCTCCCAACCAACAGCCAATGGCAATCTCTGCACAAAGTGTTGGGGTCATGAGGGTTGGGTAGTGGAGGGGCCGGCAGATGGCTAAATACCTATCGTAGGCCATAGCTGTCAGGAGATAGCACTCAGTCGCTCCAAGGGAGTGAAAGAAATAGATCTGCAGGAGACACCCAGAGAATGAAATGGTCTTTTTCTCACTGAGCAAGTTTGCCAGCATCTTAGGGATGGTGGCAGCTGTATAGCCAAGCTCTGAGAAGGAGAGAATGCTGACAAAGTGGTACATGGGTGTGTGAAGCCGGGAGTCCAGGCAGACCACCAGGAATATCAGCAGGTTTCCCAACACAGTCATGAGGTAAATGAGAAGCAACAAGAGGAAGAGATAAATCTGGACACCCTGGAGATGGGGGAAGCCCAAGATGATGAATTCTGCTACCTGGCTCCAGTTCCCTGTGTCCATTGCTCACCATTCATGTCCCTAGATGTGAAGTGTGGAAGGATAGGAAAGAAAGTTGAACTATAGGGTTCTAACAAGAAGGCAACCCTCAAATTACTATTGCCCTCCCTTCTCTCACCTCCAGAGTAAAGCCCTCTAAGTAAATGCTTTGAGAGGTCAACATTTCAATTCCATCCCTCCCTGCCCTTCCTGTCAACAGCCTCCTTCAGACTATTCACCTTTATGTTTAGTCTTCCCTGATTAACACAGCTCATTTTTGGCCTTCCTAATCCATCCTGTAACCCAGTTGACTTTCTCAATAGAATCTATATAGATTTTAGAAATTTAGGTATTTCTAATCCAAGGTATATATTAACATTTATACATATTGTTCATCTAAGGTAAAAATCATCATTTATACTGATAATATATTGATACCGTACTGGACCAAATATATATAATTTGAATATTATTTTCTAATTTCTCATTTTAATTTGTTTTCTTCTTCAACTTTCTGGCTACCAAAGAATCAATTGTTTTCCCTTCTGCTCCCTCCTATTCCTTTATGAGAACTCAGGTCTGCTAGCATCTTTCAGGGGCATGTAGGTCAGAATTTAGACCTCTTTTGGACACTGGTGAGAGCTCCAGTCAAAAATAAGAAGGTTAGAGTAAATAAAAAAGCCAAAGAAAGACAGGAGGCAAATCTATCTTTCTGCATTTCAACTTCAGACTGTGGCCACTTCATCAGTTCTTCCTGCCATTTCCCCCTCTATCAACTTCAAATGCTCTTTTCTGGTTTATTGCTTCTGTAGATATTAAATATACATGCTCTACTGTGTTGAGGTCAATGTAACAATAATTGATTATTTTCAGTACTCTGGGCATTATACTTAGAACAGGGACTAAACAAATAAAATGTGGCACCTGATGTTAACAAACTAATATTGTAATACAGAGTATAGAGAAACAACTAACTATTATACAGCTCTTTCATGGAATACTCTATCAATGTAAAAACATGCTATTATTCTCATCTACTAAACAAACAAAAAAGCAAGAGCCTTAAATTCTTTCTCTTTACTCATCCCACAGCCACTGCTCTATTTCTTTCTATGTCCCTAAAAGAAAACTCTTCCAAGAGTCGGCTATACGCATTGCCTTTAATGCCTCTCTTTAAGTTTCTTCTTAAACCCACTCTAATTAGATTTATACTACCACCACTCCATTAAAACCTCCTTTCTCATAGACATTAATTATCTAAGATTTCCTGGATCCAATGGTCATTTCTCATTCCTCAGCTTACTTGGACTATCTGTTTCTTGACAGTATTGATTTATCCAGCCTGTTCACACACTTCCTTGACTTGATTCTCGGGGTACTATACTTTTGGTTACTTTCTATCTTATTAGTCATTCCTTCTCATTCTCCAACTTTAGTTTCTCCTCCATGCCCCATCCTTTTAATGTCACAGTGCCCATGGTCAGTGTTTAATCTTTTTTTTTTCTCTTCTATATAAACTCAACTCCTCTGCTCTATACCATCCAATACCAGAGCTTTAAACACTATAAATGTGTTGAAGACATCTAAATCCATATCTCAGGCGATATTTTTCTCTGCTACTCCAGACTCATATATTTCACTGCCTACTCACATCTCCTCTTGGGAGTCGAAGAGCCATCTCAAACTGAACTCCTGGGGTCTCTACCCCTAGTCTTCCCCATCACAAATGATGGCAATTGCAATCTTTCAACTGACAAGCTAAACTCCTGCAGTCATCCTTGTTTCTATCTTTCTCTCATATATCCAGGAACTGACTATGTTTGACCACCTCGGTCCAAGTCACTTTTATCTCTCCCCTCTTACTGTAATTGACTCCTAACAGATCTCCCTACTTGCATTTGTTCACTTGTAGCCTCATCTCAACACACCAGAGTGATCCTGTTAAATTCTAAATTAGGTTCTGCGTTTCCATCGATCAAATGTGTTCAGTGACATATCATTTAAAACCTTTGCTGTAGCTCTTTCCTTGTTCTAGAATCTCTTTCACCATTTGGATAGCTCTTTCATTTATTTCATCTTTGCTCAAATTTCACCAGCTCAACTACCTGGGCCACCCTATATAACTGCAGTGTGCCTCCATCCTTACATCCATATTCTGTACTGCTATTGCCTTTCTCTACTTAATTTTTAACTTTTTTTCCAGAGGACTTGTCATGTTCTAACCTGTAAAATGTACTTATTTCTTATTCCTATTGTTTATTGGTTCTCTCCTCTTTGATTATAAGTTCCTTAAGGGCAAAGATTTTTTTCTTTTCTATTTTGTTTACTGGTGTATGTCAAGTGCCTAGAGCCATGTCTGAAATATAGTTACAACTCAATAAATATTTATGTAATTAATATGCAAATCTATTAAGATAACTGCTAATTTGCATATGCAGTAGGAGTTACAAGCCATGGGCTGGATATGGAGATAAATCAGGAAAATTTCATAGAACACATAATTTATTATTATTATTATTATTGGAGACAGCATCTCACTCTATCACCCAGCCTGGAGTGCAGTGGCAGGATCTCTGCTCACTGTAGCCTTGACCTCCTGGGCTCAAGCAATCCTCCCACCTCCACCCCACAAGTAGCTGGGACTACAAACGTGCACCACCACGCCTGGCTAATTTTTGTGTTTTTGGTAGAGATGGGGTTTAGCCATATTGCCCAGGCTGGTCTTGAACTCCTGGGCTCAAGTGATCCACCTGCTTTGGCCTCTAAAAGTGCTGGGATTACAGGCATAAGTCACCATGCTTTGCCAGAAGATATAATTTTTATTTGAAGTGAAGAAACTGTCAGAATTTTTTAGATGGAAAAATGAAATAAAAAGTATTTGAAGCAAATGGAACTGCCTGTGCAAAGGCAGAGAGTTATGAAAGACACCGAGTCTTCTCCTTCTGCCCTCCGGTCTTCTTATCACTTCTTCCCTCTCCAGGATCCTGAAATTCATCCAAACTAACTTTGTTTACTCTGATTTTTCTTGGCATTTTTCTAAACCTAGGGAGCATGTCCATCCCATATACAAAAGCCTTTCTCAATCCAAGACTTAATATAGGATGTTTCTCTACTTAGATTCCAGAGAACTACTTCCGGGCCAAACTTTTATATGGGTGATTTTGCTTCAGAATAATTACTTTATTATCCAAAATTTCTTTGTCTTAGTTTTTCTCACCGCATATCCATGTCTATCCACTGCCCAATTCTGCCTTCTGTTTTCTTCAAGTCTTGAATGCATACCTGCCTTCTATAAAGGATTATCCCTAAATTTCTACTTCTTCTCAGACCCTTGTTTTCTAGATGTTCTATATTCCTTCCCTTCTAAATATAAATAAAAGGTTCTATTCTAGAGCTGCCTCTTTCCTTTTCTGGCCTCCAGTCCCACTCACAGATGAGTTGTCTAGACTGTGAGCCCTTAACTAAATTTTCAGATCTACATGGATGGCTGGTCAGAAGATTGAATATGAGAAGCCAGTATTTTGTCGTCTCCTTTCTCAGAAGGTAGAGTTTCCACATAACTCCAAAGACTTATTATCACACTATACATTGTATCATCACTCATTAATGACCTGCTGTTGTTCACTCCCTCCATACTCTGCCTAAGCAATCAAAGTCATCAGGATCCGATCAAGTATTATTATTTTCCACGGAAAACTAGCACCCCCAACTCCCTCATCTTCCAAGTTCACAGTTCTCAGAGGTTTGGACCATTTCCTTCTCTTTTTCACACCCCCTTTAAGATGGCAAAAAATACTGATGATTTTCCCTTTTTAAAAAATTTATTTTATTATTTCTAATTATGATTGTAACTGCTAGTACTGATAAACCTTAATTTAGTGTTGAGAGAAGCTTTAGGAACTATCACTTTCCAGTGGCCCCCATAATTTTGGATTTCACTGGATTGTTGGAATATCTGAAATGTATTATATATTTCCAACAGCTCATAAAAAGAAAAAACCTTTAAATATCACAAAAAGGAAGGCTAAAATAGAAGGATAAATCATGTGTATCAAACTTCATATTTGTACTTATGTTTCTAATTTTGATTCAGCCCAGCAAAAACTCATATCTTCTCACTCATAAAGGAATCCATATCGCCACAAATGGGCATCAACCCTCTGCCTGGATTTACAGCACTGGAAGCTTCCTGACCCATAAGACAGTTCTCTCCATTTTTGAAATGTTTTAGTTTACAACTGTCCTTTCCAATGACCAGAAACCTGGCTTTCACCATTATTCTTTGTTTTGCTCTGTGAAACAACCCTATTGCTCTGGTCCAGAGTCATGTGTTCAAACATTCTTTTCATCACCATTATAGCAATTTCAATGTTTGCCAAGTGGGTTTCTGTATTTAGCCCAGACTCCTTTGTTTGCAGTGTACCCTCACTAAAAATATGCTTTATCTTTTGTCAATCTGAAGACACTTGAATCATTTTCTAGCTCAAGTCTGTCATTTTTTTCCCTGACCATCTAAGTTAAATACTGTTCTTTCACACTTCTAAATTCTCAGTAGTACTTTCTCACTGTCCCTCCAATTATATCCTGTAATGCACTGCAATTATTTTCCAGGCATATGTCTTATCACTCCAAGGCAACTCTCTGTGAGCTTTTTGAAATTAATGAGGAAACTTCATACCATGTCCTACCTCCTAGAGTACTTAGCACAATGCCTGATATATCCGAGTTATGGTGGGTAATGAAAAAGAGGGCAATTGAGATGACTTGTGCAGCTCTTTAGCTCATCAGTTACTCATCTACTCCTATTCCTGATATTGGAATCAGGGCTCTCATAAAACCTACCACATATACAAATTTACATTTATCTTACTTAGGTCCATTGAAATCATAGTTTATTCCCCTAATTCTAGAAAGCTTTTAGAATATATGCCTTGCATTCTTTTCTTCAGATACCACAGCTGCATTATTCATAGTTCATAATTGTTTAGGCATAGGGCCAAAGATCTGGGGGTAAGAAGGGAGATGCAATTTTAGAGATTATCACACTCAACGTCTTCATTTAAAAAACGAAACAAACAAACAAACAACAAAAACTGGGATCCAGAAAGGGGAGAAGACTTGTTCCAGTTTACACAGTTAGTTAAAAATATAGCCAATTTACTAATTTTGAAGCCAGACTCTTCACTATAGCATTTGAAAAGCAGAATATCTGTTTTTAAAAATAGTTTCTGTGTTTCAATTATGTGTTTTATGGACCCTGATTATTCAAAAACCTCTCCATATTTCTGAATCCTCTAGGTCTCTTAGTGATCAGACTAAGAAGGAATGTGAAGATGAAAATGCCTGCTTGATAAAGTCTTACCTAGAGATTGTTGGTGGGGAGTGCTCTGCTAGAGCTTGACTCTGGAAGCCCAGCCACTGCTCGGAGTCCGAAGTTTGAAGAGAACTTCCTGTATACTTCCTATGTCTCATTTGCAGTATTATACCCAGCCATTCCCGGGGCCTGGAGGGGTTGAAGTTTATCACTTTGATGGAACCTGTGGGAATAAGTTAAACCATAAAACAAATTCTTCTCCCATAAAACCTGGATTCTTGATAGGGACCTCATAGAGGCAGAAGCCCATGGGCCTTCTGAGCAGACCTCCTGGGGTCACTAAAGTGCTCTCTCAGGAAGGGAACTGACATACAGCAAGTTCATTAGCCAGTAGTCCTTCATTACCTATTAGTTACTACAACAATAACTACCAGTCCAAGTTGAGATAGAACATGTCTCAAGGCAATTACTTCCTTTAGTAAATAACAATAACTGGTGTGAAAACTAGGTTCAAATGGGTTCCTGTACTGCATGACTTGGGAGTAAGCATACAACTTTCAATTATGATAGGATCTTTATAAAATTTGACTGACCTTCTTTGACCCTGAAAGGGTGAGGACAGGGAGACACTGGGGACATAAATATCATCAAGACCGACTCCTAATCTTGTCTGTTGCTCATATTTATAGCCGTTATATGTTGTCTTACACACTGCAGTCTCCTCTCTACTCTAGTGTTATCTGCTCCGTAAAGAGTGCTGCTTCAGAATCTTGGATACAATCCCAGCCATTCTTCCAAATACTTATGAGACATTAGGCACCTCACTGAGCCATGGTTGGCAATATTGCCAGAAGGGTGGATTTTGAATACTCTTGCCACAAAATAAAAATGATAAGTACTATATGTGAGGTGATAAATATGTTAATTAGCCTAATTTGATCATTCTACTCTGCATACATGTATCAAAACATCACATATATAATTATTTGTCAGATAAAAAATTTAAAAAGTATAAGGAAGATTTACTTTCCTCAGATAAAATTAATAATCAAATGTGATAATGTAAAAAAAAGTACTTACAAACTATAATATGAACTATGAGAAGAATTAAATAATTTTTGTCACTTTCTCCATCCCACCCACACTTTCAATATTCTTCATCAAAGTTTATATTTTTCTATCTCCTAATTTATTTCTGGAAGATTTTTTTTTTTCAAACTGAGTTGCCAGTATTTAATATTTTGTTTGTGGTAAATAGATATTTAACTAATAACTTAATTTTTGAGTCAAAGTATTATTTTGTTTTTTGACTAGTATACGTAGAGTTTAAGTAATAATTTTATTTACTTAATGACTAGAGGTTTATTCAGGTTTTCTAAATCCCTATAAGGCAATTAAGAGTTAAATACCCACTACCTTTTAAATTAAATTTTCCACATCTGTCAGTTTCATTTCAATTACTTCTTTTCTGTGAACTAGAATATCCTCTATTCCTAAAATATATCCATCAATTCTGCTACCCTCCCCTCCAAATGATATTCTGTCTCTATATGTGTTGGGGTAAATGTTTAACAACTGACTCCTCTAACAAAGATTCTCAATTTCATTGAACTCTAGTTCTCTTTTTGACTAAACCTCAGCCTTGGCTTACAAAATCTATAGACTGTCAGCAAAAATGATTTCATCCACCCTCCCCATCTTCCCTCCCCCACCACATGTATTAAAAGACTTAAACAAACACTAACATAGTTTCTAAGAACTCAAGGCCATAGTCTATCCTAGCACCTCTTTAAGTGCCTGCCTGAGAAAATTCAAGGCTACCAAAATAATTTATGTCTATGTGTGTGTATGTGTGTGTGTTTTTGTGTGTGTATATATATTTGTATATTTGTATATTACTGATTAAATCTGTCCTTACCACTTTAGTGCCTGCATTGTTTAGCTTTGAGATAGCCTGCCATTTTTAAAAAGCTCCTGATTTATAACATTTGCTGATTGGCATAGTGCTAATACTCCCACTGTATCTGATTCCAAGCTATTGGTTCCACAGAATTTCTAATAAGTTGTCAATCATTTCCCAAAAACTATGAGCAGACTTCAGCACGTAACTGCCTGTCTTTTTTATGGTATCACATTTCTTGAAACTGCAGCTCCATTGACTTCCTCAGTACTCACTAACCTCTCTCCCTCTTGCAATGTCTTTTACCGCCACTGTTTACAGAAAATGACTGTATATAGCAAAAATAGTAGCAATGTACTGTGTGTTTATTTTACAAAAATATATGATAAAATAGTGCGGATGACAGCAGGGAGGATTTGGAGAAAAGGACATACATATATATGCAAAGGTTCTCTACCTAGTTCATGAACCTGCTGAGATAAAACACACAACAAATCAAGAAAAGCAGATTTGTTACTCATAGACATGCAGCAATGAGAAACAGAAGCCTGGGGTTCATCACAAGCCCATTCCCACAGCTCAGGAAAGCTGCCCAGGCTGAATGAACTCTCACTACACATGCCCCACATTGTACCACAGCGGAGGGACCCAAAAAGCACTAGTCTTTGGAAAACAGTTAGACAGCTAATTATAAACATACATTTATCGTGTGACCTAGCAATCCTATACTTATGCATTTTCCCAAATGACATGAAAATTTATGTTTACGCATAACCATATCATGTTAAAAATGAATATTATCTAGGGATAGCTTACATGCCCACCAAAGTTTGTGAGTGAAAAAAAAAAATACAGATCCAGAAAATTAACCTAGTATGATGCACAGTAGCTAAGCAAGGACTAGTTACCAGTATTATCCAAGGAAATTCAAAAGGCAGATGTGAGACAAGTTGAGGTGGGATGTGCAGAAAACTGGTGAGTACAAATAGGGAAGACCGATGCATTCTATAGAACAGTGGGTTTCAGTAATGATTAGAATCATTATGTCATTGTTAAAGGCCAAATATATTATTGACCAGGTGTGGGTAAAATTCATCACATGTTTCATTCATTACGATTGCATTGAATACTCATCCTATTTAGGTGCTGTGTTAGTTTCTGGACACACAACAAATAAAAAATCTGAAATAATTTGAGACCAAATCTAGTTTATAGATACTTGTAGGAAAGAATGACAAACTATATCTATGTATATATACATAAATGTCCACAAACACATAAATTGCCATACATATTTTGAAGAGAAGCAAAACATACTTCAGAGATAAAAATGAGTGACATAAATTAGACTGAGTGTTCAGAAGTCCTCTCAAAGCTAGCATCACTGGAAATTGATATTTGAACAGAAAATCACACAATTAGGAGGAGTGAACCAAATGAAATGTTGGGGAAAAAACGGAGTGAAGATCCTGAAGCCAGAAAAATCCATAATGTATTTGAAGACCTGAAAGAGTAATCATGTAGCTAGGAAAGAGGGAGCTGAGGGAGTAGAGGTATGAATCTATGTTGAAGAGGAAGGCAGGGAAGAATTCCGTTTATAGCCTTATAAAGTATGGTGAGGCTTTGAATTTTATCTTAAGGGCAATTGAGAATTTCTCATGTTTTTATAAAATGGTATATACAATTCAGATTTCAAATACATTACTTTATATTTTATGTGGAAAATATATTAGAATAGAATGAGAGTAGGAGAAAGGAGCATGGGTAGAATATTATTACATTAATCCAATTGAGAGATGTTGGTAATTTACACCAGGGTAGAAACACTAAAGAGTATAAGAAATAAATTGATTTAAGAATATATTTTGTGAAAAGATTGTTGGCATACATTAATAATTGATTGGAATTATGGTTGTAAGAAAAGGAAGCAAAATAGAATATTTAAAATTTTCTAGAAGAAACACAAGGAAACAAAAGCATCAAGCTTTCATGGTTAGAAATTTTAAGAAATCAATTTTGACATGTTAAGTTTTAAATTATTGACAAGTCCAATCCAGGCAGTGTTGATAAGTAGGAAGTTGAATATATAAATCTAAATCTCAGAGAAAAATTGTGGTTTGGAGATAAAAATTTAAGAGGCCTTGTGATAGAGATCATATTTAAATCCATAAGAATAACTCCGAGTATCTAGGGAGATAGCACGGCAGGACAACGAAGACTGGGAAAGACTCACAAGAAAGATAAGAAAATTGGGAGGTAATGATGTCATGAGAGTTAGGGAGAGTTAAGGAGTAAAAAGTTAGGAGAATTGAGGCATAAAAACTGGTCATGTGTGTCAAGAGTTCAGGAGAGAGGAAGGAAAAGAAGTTTCTCATGGATTTGGCAGCATTGAGGTCAATAATGGCCTTCACAAAATATTAGTTGGAAGGTCTGAGCCAAAATAAGATTGGAATGGGTTGAGAAGTGGATATGAAGTAAAGAAGAGGAAATATGGTGTGTTGAGAAGTTTGATTGGAAAAAGGAACAGAGAAATCGATCTCTAGCTGGATGGAAATGTGTGGACCTAGGAAATATACATGCTTTTTTTTAAAAAAAGAAGTATGTAGATACTAAAATATTCTTAAATGCTGACATAAGTGATCGAGTAAAAAATAGAAATAAAGATGTAGAAAATGAGAAAATCATAAAGAAATGAAGTCTTTGAAGAGGTGAAAGGAAATGAAATTCAGAGCATGTGTGATGATGGGAAGATTACTCAAGGAACTTTTATGAATTGAACATTGAGGTGAGAAAGGACATGGGAAGAAAGTCAAAGATGAGCAAGACTAGCTTTATCTCCCTTCTGGAAGATGGTCCTCTTGATAGCTTTAATGATTTCCTTGTTACGAAGACTGTAGATAATTGGATTGACCATTGGTGTTAGTACGGAGTAAACTATAGCAAGTGTTCGGTCAAGGGTCAGGGAATAGCTCTTCTTTAGCCGCACATACATGAAGATGATGCTCCCAAAGAAGATGAGGACCACAGCAAGATGTGAGGCACAGGTAGAAAAGGCCTTCTTTCTTCCTGATGCTGTTTTTATCTTCAGCACAGCCCCAATGATCCTTGCATAAGAAATCATGATAAAGAAGAAAGTGATAAGAATTATGAAAGCATTAATGGCAAAGTCCACCAGAATGTTAGCAGATGTGTCCTTGCAGGCCAAGCTCAGCAAAGGTGGAAAGTCACAGAAAATGTGTTGGATTTCATTGTAAGCACAAAATGGGAGCTGGGAGGCAAGGATGACCTCAGAAATGGGACACAGGAAGCCACAAGTCCAACAAGCAGCAGCCATCTTGGCACAGAGTGTGGTGGTCATAATTATAGGGTAGTGGAGGGGCCGACAAATGGCCAGGTATCTATCATAGGCCATGGCTGTAAGAAGGTAGCATTCAGACGCTCCCAAGGAGTGGAAGAAGTAGGTCTGAAGGAGGCATCCTGCAAAAGAAATGGTTTTCTTCTCACTGAGAATATTAGACAACATCTTAGGGATAGTGGTAGCTGTATACCACAACTCCAAGAAGGAAAGAACACTGACAAAGTGGTACATAGGTGTGTGCAGAGCTGCATCCAGTCGGATGACTGAGAAGATGAGCATGTTACCACAGATGGTGAACAGGTATGCCAATAGCAGCAGGACAAAAAGCCAGCCCCTGACATAGCCCACACTGGCAAAGCCAAGGAACACAAATTCAGCCAGGCTTGAATGGTTGTATTGATCCATGGGAGGCTGAGGTAAAGAAGGAAAGAAGAAAACATTGGATTGAGATGACTGCTGAATCCATGCCAAAACTTCATTTCTCTCTCTCTCTTTTTAACTTAAAAGTAGCACTGAAATTACTACTGTTGCCCTCACTACTATTACTATTACTGTAAAAATATTAATAGCTAACTCTTATTAGCACTTACTATTCATCATTTTTACAAGTGTCTTGCATTCAATATTTACTTAATTTTTATACTTCAATGAGATAAGCACCATTGTTCTGCCTATTTTGCAAATAAGAAAACTTGGGAATAGAGAGAAGGAAGTAATTAGAACACTTTTGTATTTCCTATAGATACTATTTCACAGAAACAACATTTAGACCATCCTCAAGCATTCTAGCTCTATACTATATGACTGTTCCCAAACATTCTAACTCCTCTTCCCAGGTCATAGCTTTTCCTTCAGTAAAGACTTAAAGAGTGAATTTTGGGTATGAGATTAATGTAGTAGCAAATATTTTCCTATTGTTCAATTCACCTCTATAAACATTTATTGAACAAATATGTGTCAGGCAGAAAGAACACAAAATTCAGCAAGGTACAATCTCTGCCACCAGGCAGCTTACAACCCTGTAGAGAAGCAGACATCTCAATAGGATTTGTAAAGTACAGAACACTTCAGTGTGCCTGAGAAGTGGCTCATTTCTCAGGTCAGGATGACTGAAAAAAAACTTTTAGAGGAAGCCCGTAAGATGAATTTTCCAAGAAGATCTGGGATCAGCTGTGTAAAAGAGAAAAAGAAATATTTCAGACAAAAATAAAAGCATCGAGCAGCAAGCAGCTCACATGAAGGAAACACATGTTCCCCTCTATGGTAACCAAACTGGGAAAGCTCACTCAATGCTTTAAGACCTTAGCTCCATAGATGCAGGGCATCACTGAAGAATGTTTGCTAGATGAGTGACTGGTCAGATGTAGACTTTTAAAACATAAGTAAAATTTAACTATTCTGACCTCAAGCTCGGAGATGAAGGTGTGAATTTGCCTTGTGGGTATGGCTGACAGGAAGATGGGTTAGGGTGGTTAGCTTGTTTGGTGTAAGAATGCAGATTCGGCCGGGCATGGTGACTCACGCCTGTAATCCCAGCATTTTGGGAGGCTGAGGCGGGTAGATCACGAGGTCGGGAGATTGAGACCATCCTGGCTAACACGGTGAAACCCCGTCTCTACTAAAAATACAAAAAAAAAATCAGCCGGGCGTGGTGGCGGGCACCTGCAGTTCCCAGCTACTCCGGAGGCTGAGGCAGGAGAATGGAGTGAACCCGGGAGGTGGAGCTTGCAGTGAGCCGAGATCGCGCCACTGCACTCCAGCCTGGGCGACAGTGCGAGACTGCGTCTCAAAAAAAAAAAAAAGAATGCAGATTCAAAAACAAACATGATAGAGTGGCAATAAACATGCATCTTGTGTTTTCATAAAATCAATTATATAAATACAGGTGAAGAGTATATAGCTGGCTTGGTGAAATTTCATACAAAATAGTATTGGACATTCTAATTATTCTTAAGCAAAATGTGTAACAGATGCAAAAAGAAAACAATAACAAAAATTCACAATGCAACTTTAAATGCATAAAATGGCAACCAGTGCCAGTCACACCATACCCTGTGTAGATCATACTGCAATTGAAGAGAACCGCCCAATTCTAGTTATCATACTGACAAACCAGCCTCTTGCTTATTTTCATCATCCTGACACTCGTCACAATGGCTGTCACATTAAAAGTATTCAATAAGATATTAATAACCAAACGAATTCATTTAAACAATTCATTTAATAATTAGTAGACCAATACTTTCCTTGCAACTCTACCACTCAGCCAATGCCGAACATTTCTTTCAAACTCAAATGCCCTGCAGTAGAAATGAACTTCTGGGTTTGATATTTTAGAATACTAAATTCATTGAAAGCAACTGATACTTAAAAGACTCTTCTTGATTCTCTTCTAACCTAAAGAGACTGTACATTCACCTCTCCAATTACAGGAGACAGATATGTTAAAAAAAGAAATTCTCGCTTCATTACATTTCCTTTGCTTCTAAGTCATCTCTCTTCTCTCCATCTGGGAACTGCTTCTTATCCTTCAAAATGAGATCAAATCTTAACTCCTTAAATATACTTTTACTGAATCCCTCAGAAAAAGAATTATTTATTCATTTTCTATGCCCTCATAATATTTACATTTAGCATATTGTTACCTTTTTAACAAGTCTGTCTTCCCCAAAAATTGTTAAGATCTTTGAGAGCAAATGTAGTACTTCATTAATTATTATATATTTCCCTGCTGATGCCTGGAACAGTAGGCATAGAATTGTGAAATCAATTAATGTTTTATTTTAGCCTAAATTTAAGTTACATTTTCTCTTTTGCACCTGAACACATCCCTTTTGTTGTCTTCTTAGCAATACAAAGCTTACAGTATTCTAATAAACTTAGCGTCTCACATTTAGTCTGGCCTCAACTTTCCCTAATCCTGTTGAAAGACCTATCATTGTTCCCACTGACCCAGAGAAATTAAATTCAAGAAATAGTTTTGATCATCTTTTGTGTGCAAGGAACTGTTGTTGGTAATGTTTCCCCTTTATACAAGTTAGCTTTTCTGAAGCCAACTGTATGTGTAGAACAAGTAAGGCCTAGCAAACATAATAATTTCAGGAGCACCCTAAAGGCCTCTGGACCCCAAATTATTGCATGATCAAATGTCTTTAATCTTCCACATAGAAAATCTGTGTAAGGCCTTCTCTGGGATAAGCATTTTCAAATGCAGCTTCTCCTGAGAGAATACAATATAGATGCTCCTCGACTTACAAAGGGGTTACAGCCCAATAAACCTATCATAATGAAGATAAGCTGAAAACGCATGTAATATACCCAAACATCATATGTTAGCCTAGCCTCCCTTATATGTGCTCAGAGAACTTGCATTAGCCTACAGTTGGGCAAAATCATCTAACACAAAGCCTATTTTATAATAAGGTATTGAATATCTCATGTATTAATCTGTTGAATATGTATTGCTTTCATACTGTTGTAAAGTAGAAAAATTGTAAGTAGAATTATCGTTCATTGGGGACTGTCTATAACTCATTAGATGTTCTCAGTCACAGCCTCTATTTTATGAATAATTGTTTTAGAAACCTCTGCCTTCTACCATCTGTGTCAGCACTTGACCAATCTGTGACAGCACACACATAAGATAATTTCTTGTCTCTCTACCTTTTAAAAGCAAATGTTTGCTAATCTCTTGGTTGTAGAATGAATTAAGAACCAAATGGAGGGAATGGTGGACAAGATGACCTTTAAAGTTTCTTCCAAATCTGATACTCTAAGATTATCAAAATTGAATTATTTCAAGTCCCAGTTGCTTAACTCACATTTTCACTAGACCAATTGTTGGATTTCAAAGTAGTATCTATTTTCAAATCCCTTATTATCAGTCCCACCTTTCCAATCCCTGATCAATATAGTTAATGTGCCCCTTAGTTCACCTACCAACCACTGAACACTATTCAGTGTCTGCTTTGATCTTGCCTGGATCAGTATATGTGTGGGAAATGGAAACTGGATCTATAAGCCTTTTCTCCTTTACAGCAAGTCTCATCCTCCTGAGGCAGAGTCCCCAGAGCTAACACTGTTTTGCCACAAGTGGCAGAAGGAAGGGAGACCTCCAACCCCAGAGACAGGTGAGAATCAGGCTCAGGGCAGACTCCTGGGAAGCCAAGTTTACCTCTCACCTGCAGAGGTGGGCTCAGAAAAGTCTTTCCCAAATGTTTGCTGTCTCATCACCCTCCCTTGCCACTCCTATTCCCTCATCACCAGTGACTTCTGAACATAGACTCTTGGACTCTAGTTCTGAAAATGTGACCCTAATCCTCCCACCACTCTTCTCATAAACACATGCACTCTCACATTTCTTGACTCACCTCCGAAATCCGAAGAGACACTGTTTCCCCTCATCATTTAAGCCAATTACTTTTCCTGATAATGTGCTGAATCCCACCTAATATTCTTCCTTTGAGAATCCTCTCTGATAAGAGCTGCCTGTTTTTAAAACAAACAAATAAGCAAACAAACTGGGGTTGTGGAGCTTCAGAAACCTTAATTTGAATTGTAGTTCCAATTAAAGACCTGTTTACCTGAGCATTTGCTAAGCAACACATGTTGTTCTAAGCACAATGTATGCACAGTCTTCACAATTACTCTGTGAAGTTGGTGTGATTGTTATTCCCATTGTACATTTGAGAAAACTGAAGCACAGAGAGTTTAATAAAGTGTCCAACATCACACAAGTGCTCTACAAAATTATAAACCCAATCACTCTGACCCCAGAGTCCATGATCATCACCTCTAAGCTCCACTGCCTCAGAAATGTTCTTAATGGTCAAAGGAGCATAACCAAGGTCACACTACCATAAAGTGTCACCTGTTTTAAAGTCTGTACTCTTAACTGCTACTCTTTACCTATGTACCCTCAGGCAGTTGTGTATTTATTTGAACCAGTATTTTATTATGTATAAATGTGTATTGTGAGAATTAAGTAAGATTAAATGCAAACATTAACTATAATAGTTTTAAAGTGTGTTAGTTTACATTTCCCATTTCATGTTGCAGATATGGAATACCTGTTTGGCAACTAAACTTCTCCAAATAATTAACTTTGCCTAAGTGACTTAGCATCTCACAGCCTTATTTTCTTTACCTTTAAACTGAACATATTTGGGTTGCTTTGAGAATTAAATGACAGGACAAGGCCTTCCAGCAAAAGAAAGGAACATACCCATAATCTAACAAAATTAGGTTTATTGACTCACTGCAATGTGGGTGATCACACACCACTGGAGTTGTGGGACATTTCTGTAAGAGAGTGTTAGATAGAAATTATTATAGGATGTGGGCTCATATTAGGCAATTTTAGGTGAGGAGGAAGGGTTCAAGAAAGCTAAGCTTGCTCTGGATTTGGTCCTGTCAATTACTAGAAATAATTCCATGATTAGGTATCTTAATGAATCTTACTTGTTAAGGTAGACTAAAGCTGTAATTGAGAAAGATCATATCAGTCACTCATTTTAGCTAGAAGACAATATATTTTTCTGATTGTACAGTGTTATACGTAATTAGGATTATTAAGTGGTATTTTTTTTCCTCTCATTTCATTGTGGTCACAGAGTGACTTTGTCTGATGTTGGTATTCTTTGAGAACATCATGAGCTAGCTTGTGTTTTGCTCAGATAAAATACATAAAGAGCAAAATACAAAGTCTTGTACATAGTAAGTGATTCATAAACTTTAAGTCTGTCTCCCTCCTACCCATCATACTCTTTTCCTTTTTAGTGTTTCTAACATTAATTGACAACGTTCCCTATTAGAGAACTGTACTGCAAAACAATCACAATAAACATGTAACTCTGCATTGTTCAAAATTTAGTTTTCATGAACGAAATCCATCTCCTTGTCACTTCCTGCCTTGTTACTTCCCCCCTTGTCACTTCCCCTCATTGGTCCTATGGCAACTTGCTGGATCCAACATAATACTAAGTTCTGCCAATACTAGAACCCAGCTTTCATGCCCTGCCTTGATGAATTTTCTTCCAGCTAAATGGCCTCCAACTTGTCTACTTGTACGTTGAAGTGCCCTCAGCATACTGGTCCCTCTTTCTTAGACTGGTTCATCACTGTTTCTCTCTCTCTGAAATGAACAACAAAGCTAAAGATATTTCATATGAAAATAGAAATGAGCTAAATATCCTAAGTTTTAAAATCACACTCCCCTCTGCATGAACACTCGTAGAATACATTCCTCTTCCTGTTCTTGGGTCTCTTTCACCAAGTAACACCTGTTTATCTTTCTGGTATCCTCTCTAACATCACCTCTTTGAAGAAGTCTTACCTGACCACTCTGTCTAAACATTCTATGTTCCAAGCCTTATTCTATTCATTGCATCCTGGTCATTCTTTTCATAACAACTGCACATATTTTAATTATATACTTGCATGTTTATTTCTCTCTTTTCACCAATAATTTATAAGGTCAATGAAGACAGGGACTGTATTTTTTTCAACACCATCATTCAATTCCTATTATTTTCTTTGCACAAAGTAGGTATACAATAACTATTTGTTGAATGCATTAATTAAGAAAAGGCTAGGGACTGGGCGCGGTGGCTCACACCTGTAATCCTAGCACTTTGGGATGCCAAGGCAGGTGGATCACGAGGTCAGGAGATCGAGACCATCCTGGCTAACAAGGTGAAAACCGGTCTCTACTAAAAATACAAAAAATTAGCCGGATATGGTGGCGGGCACCTGTAGTCCCACCTACTCGGGAGGCTGAGGCAGGAGAATGGCATGAAACCGGGAGGCGGAGCTTGCAGTGAGCCGAGATCTCGCCACTGCACTGCAGCCTGGGCGACGGAGCGAGACTCCCTCTAAAAAACAAAAAAAAGAAAAGGCTAGTCTGACTCCTCCACCCCTCTCCACCCACACATATGTACACAACATTTACAACCAGGATAGGCCAGATTCTTCTGTTATAGTTTTTCAGAACACTCTGTATTACTGTATTCATCCCATTTCTAATAATTCATTGAGTATCCATCTTTCTTTTGTTTTATTTTTGACACATAATAATTGTACATATTTATAGGGTAGAGTGCGATGTCTTGATATATGTATACATTGTGTAATAATCAAATCAGGGTATTTAGCCTATCCTTCTCCTCATATTTGTAACATTTCTTTATGGTGAAACCATTCAAAATCATCTCCTCTAGCTACTTGGAAATATGCAATATGACATTGTTTACCATAGTCACCCTACTGTGCAATAGAACACCAGAACTTCTTCCTCCTGTCTAACTGTAACTTCATACCCTTTAATCGACTTCCCATCTTTCACCCTCCCCTTTTCTTCTCTAGTCTCTGGTAACCACATTCTATTTTCTATTTCTATGAGATCAGTTTCTTTAGATTTCACATACGAATAATATTATGTGATATTTGTCTTTCTATACCTGGCTTATTTCACATAACATCATGTCCTCTCGGTTCATTCATGTTGCCACAAATAACAGGACTTCATTCTTTTTTATGGCTGAATGCTATTTTATTGCATATATACACTGCATTTTCTTTATCCATTTATCTGTTGATAGACCCCAACATGTTAAAAATAAAACCACCATATGATTCAGCAACCTCACTATTGGCTATATATCCATAATAAATAAAATCAGTATATCAAAGAAATATCTGCACTCTCATGTTTACTGCACCAGTAATCACAATAGCCATGATATAGAATCAACCTAAGTTTCCATCAATATCTAGCTTTCAAACTAAACTGTAAGCTTTTTGAGGGCAGAGGCCATCTTTGTTCCATATTTGCATGTTCAGTGCTACATACTTATTGCCTGACCCAGTGTTTGTCATATAAAACATATTCAGTTCACTTAATGAATAGATTTAAACCACATTTTCCTCTTTCTCTACTTCTTTGGAGAATTTTTTATGGACACAGTACTTGCTTTTTTTGTTTTGATATCCAAATACAAAACCCTTTTGTGCTTTCATTAGAGTTCATCTTGTGAAATTCAGTATATTTTCCTAGTGCTTTAAGGTATTTTTAGATTTTTATTCCGTCATCTTCCTTCTTATGTATTAAACTATTATATATTAACTAAAATTTGACAAGTATTTAGGTTCCCATCTGGATTATTAACTTTTGAGTGTTACTGTTGAGTAGAGACTACTGTGACAGACTCCTAGATCCTTCTCTTGAAAGCCATTTTTAAACAGACATTCTTTAGGAAAAGTTACGCATCTACCTATAAATTCTCCTAACAATACTCTCATCCAAGCCACATTTTTATTTTTCTCCCCAAAGTGTATCCAGGATATGTTCTTAAGACTGGAATCATGCAGGGAGAGTGAAATAAAAGTGAAGAGCCCTAGTAATAACTACATAGAGCTAGGAGAGACATTGTGCAAAGTACCTAAGGATGCTGGCTCAGAATTCAGACTCATCAGTGGGGAGATACCAAGTTGAAAACTAACATAAAAATAATATGTAACCACTTATTAATTTGTACTGAGAATACAATTTATCCTGAGATTATAATTTAATCAATATGAAATTTACCTATCTATACAGGATACTAATAAATACTTTAGGGCAGGAGCAGACAAACTTTTTCTTAAAGGGCCATGTAGTCATTATTTTAGACTTTTCAAGCCCTCGTCTTAATCTCGTGTTGGATGTTGTCCCCTCTAAATCTCATGATCATGACTAAGACCCCCAAAAGCAAATGCAACAAAAACAAAAATAAATATATGGGACCTAATTAAACTAAAAGGTTCTGCACAGCAATAGAAATAATCAGCAGAGTAAAAAGACACACCACAGAGTGGAAGAAAATATTCACAAACTATGCATCCAACGAAAGACTAATATCCAGAATCTACAAGGAACACAAAACAACCAAATAATCCTATCAAAAATTTGGCAAAGGACATGAATAGAAAACTCTCAAAAAAGAATACACAAACAGCCAACAAATATATGAAAACAATGCTCAACATTGCTAATTATCAGGGAAATGCAAATTAAAACCGTAATGAGAGACCACCTTACTCCTGCAAGAATGGCCATAATCAAAAAGTTAAAAAGTAATAGAAGTTAGCAGGGATGTGGCGAAAAAGGAACATTTTTACACTGCTGACAGGAATGTAAAGTAGTACAACCACTATAAAAAACAGTAGGGAGATTCCTTAAAGAATTAAAAGTAGAATTACCATTCAATCCAGCAATCCCAGTTCTGGGTATTTACTCAAAGAAAAAGCAGTCATTATTTGAAAAAGACATGGACCTGCATGTTTGTAGCAGCACGATTTGCAATTGCAAAGATATGGAACCAACCTAAGTGCCCATCCACCAGTAGATAAAGTAGATAAAGAAAATGTGGTATATATACACCACGTAATACTACTCAGCCATCAAAAGGAACAAAATAATGTTATTTGCAGCAAGTTGGATGGAGCTTGAGACCATTATTCTAGTAACTTGGGAATGGAAAACTAAATATCATATGTTCTCACTTGTAAGTGGGAACTAAGCTATGTGGATGCAAAGGCATAAGAATGACACAATGGACTTTGGGGACTCAGGGGGGAAAAGGTGAGGAGGATGAGAAATAAAAGCCTACATATTGGGTATGGTGCACACTGCTCAGGTGACAGGTGCACCAAAATCTCAGAAATCACCAGTAAAGAAATTATCAATGTAACAGAAAACCACCTGTACTCCAAATACTATTGATTTTTTTTTATCTCATGTTGAACTGTAATGAGTTTGGATGTTGTCCTCTCTAAATCTCATGTTGGATGTGAGGCCTGGGAGAGGTGTTTGAGTCATGTTCGGTCATGGGGGTGAATTCCTCATGGCTTGGTGCGATTCTCCATAGTGTGTTTTTGTGAGATCTTGTTGCTTAAAAGTGTGTGGCATCTCCTCCCCCTCTTGCTCTCGCTCTACCACGTGACATGTTGGCTCCTCTTTTGCCTCCTGTCATGATTGAAATCTTCCTGAAGGCTCACCAGAAGCTGAGCAGATTCTGGCATCATGCATCCTATACAGCCTGCAGAGCTGTGAACCAACTAAACCCCTTTTCTTTAAAAATTAATCTCAAGTCCCAGTCTCAAGTATTTCTTTATAACAATCCAAGAAAGGCCAAATACACTGTCACAACTACTAAGCTCAGGCTTTGTAGCACAAATGTAGCCATCAGCAATATGTAAACAAATAAATGTAGCTGTGATCTGATAAAATTTTATTTACAAAAACGAACTATCTTGTTTGGTCCATGGGCCTTAGCTGGATACAGGCTTGCAGTTTAGCAAACCATTACATGTATATACTTTCTCTCTCTCTCTCTCTCTATCTATCTCTCTATCTCTCTCTCTCTCTCACACACACACACACACACACACACACACACACACATACACAAATACACACGAACATTTTATTTTGAATAGTATTTCTCCAGTTCTGGTATTTTGAGAATTCTCTCATTTGACCTGATTCTTGAAAATATATCTCTCCCTTTCTCAGAAAATATTTCTCCAGTGAAAACATCCCCAGTGCATTTAGGGAAATACATATTCCCCCACAAGTTTTCTCTTATTTAGACTTAAATGCACTTACTAATACAGAGACTTTTAGAGCCTTATATCCACCAGGCATCCTGGAACTCAGAAGACGCAGGCAGTGTCCTTTGTCTGACAGGATGATGGCAGAGATAATTTGAGCAGACCTGGTAAGGGCAGTGATCACAGTGGAAATGCTAAGCCTCCTTTTGAAAGAGAAAAACAAAAAGTCTGACTAGCCCACCTACTAAGAGGAGATAAGCTATAACTGAAAGAAAAATATAAAGCATATCCTTCAGAAATCAAAATTTGTTTAGAAATGTTTATAAATTTGTTGATTATTGTTAATAGAAGAAGCATAAAAATATAATTATGTCAGACCCTGTAAACTACACAATTGTGTGTACTAATAAAATTTAAGAAAAGTTCTTAAATGGGATTAATGTTAAGTCTGCCTAGAAGTCTATCATAAGCACAGATCTCATCTATCTTGTTTCTGTGCATTCAAGGAGAGAAGTCAGGGCAGTATTGCTGTTAATTTTTATTAGACATATAAAATGTAAACTTTCATGTTTGTCATCAGTTGCAAGACATTATTTAGTAGATTCTAGGATGTCATAAAGCATGTATTTATATTTTTAATATCTTTACTATTTTTGCTTATTTTATATATTAGATAGTATATCCTGTACAGTATATATTTTTGTTTTATCACATACTTTTCATTACATAATAGATGTACCTATTTGAGGGATACATGTGATACTTTGATACATTCATGTAATGTGTCAAATTATGGTAATTAGTATAGCCATCACTTTAAGTATTTATCTTTATTTAGCTGGAAACATCTGAATTATTATCTTCTTGCTGTTTAGAAATATACACTAGGTTAATGTTTACTACAGTCACCCTACTGATTTATCAAACACTAGGTCTTATTTATTGTCTAATTGTAGTTTTGTACCCATTAATCAATATTTCCTTTTTCATTATTAGCACAATCATCTTTATTTTCTATCCAACTTGATGTTTATGTTATACATAACCTTTGACTTGAGGTGGAAGGATGACAGAAGGGCCTCATTTTAGCTTTTCTGTTTTTATTTAGAAGTTAGAATATTTCTAAAAACCCAAAAAAGGAAATACCATAGAAATTGACAAAATATGTAATAAACTTTATTTCCTTCACCCTCTACCTTTCCTGGTAACCAACAACCAACTTTCTATCTTCATGATATCCACTTTTTTACCTCTCACATGTGAGTGATAATGTGATATTTGTCTTTCCATGCTAGGCTTCTTTCACTTAACACAATTACCTCAAGTTCCATCCATGTTGCTGCAAATGACAAGATTTCATTCTTTTTTATTGCTGAATAGTATCTCATTGTGTGTATATGCCACATTTTCTTAATCCACTTATCCACAGATGTACACTTTAGCTGATTCCACATTTTGGCTATTGTAACAGTGCTGCAATAAACATGGGAGTGCTGATATCTCTTCAATACATTTCCTTGATTTGAATATATACACAGTAGTGGGATTGCTGGATTATACAGTAGTTCTGTATTTAGTTTTACGAGGAATCTCCATACTGTTTTCCAAAGTGGCTGTACTAATTTAAATTCTCACCAACAGCCTATGAGCATTCCCCTTTTTCTACATCCTCATCCATTTTACCCTCTCTTTTTTATAAAAGCTATTTTAACTGTGATGAGATGATATTTCATTGTGGTTTTGGTTTGCATTTCTCTGATCAATAGTGAGGTTGAGCTTTTTATTTCTATAACTCCTAGCCATTATATATATTCTTTTGAGAAATATCCATTCAGATTTTTTTGCCCATTTAAAAATTGGATTATCTGTTTTCTTACTATGGAGTTATTTGAGTTCCAGATATAGTCTGGTCATTAACCCTTTGTCAGATAGATAGTTTGCAAATATTTTCTCCCATTGTGTGGGTTGTCTCTTCACTTTGTTGATTGTTTCCTTTGCTGTACAGAAGCTTTTTAGCTTCATATAATTCCACTTGGCTATTTTTGTTTTTGTTGCCTGTGCTTTTGAAGTCTTACACAAAAATCTTTGCCCAGGCCAATGCCCTGAAGTATTTCTCCAATGTTTTCTTCTGATAGTTTTGTCATTTGAAGTCTTAGATTTAAGTCTTTAATGCATTTTGATTTAATGTTTTTATGTTGTGAGAGAAAGGAGTCTAGTTTCATTCTTCTTCATATAGTCATCTAGTTTTTCCTGCACCATTTATGGAAGAGACTGTTCTTCCCTCAATGTATGTTCGTGGTGTATTTGTCAACAATGAGTTGGCTGTAAATGTGTGTATTCATTTTTGGATTCTCTTTTCTGTTCCATTACTCTATGTATCTGTTGTTATGTCAGTACCATGCTGTTTAGCTTGCTATACTTTTGTAGTATATTTTGAATTCAAGTACTGTGATATATCTAGCTTTGTTCTTTTTGTTCAAAACTGCTTTGGCTATTTGGGGTCTTTTCTGGTTCCATATAAACTTTAGGTTGTTTTTTTCTGTTTCTGTGAAGAATATCAATTGGTATTTTGATAGGGAATTTTTTTTTTTTTTTTTTGAGACGGCATCTCGCTCTGTCACCCAGGCTGGATGGAGTGCAGTGGCGCAATCTCGGCTCACTGCAAGCTCCGCCTCCCGGGTTCATGCCATTCTCCTGCCTCAGCCTCCCAAGTAGCTGGGACTACAGGTGCTCGCCACCACGCCTGGCTAATTTTTTGTATTTTTAGTAGAGATGGGGTTTCACCGTGTTAGCCAGGATGGTCTCGATCTCCTGACCTCGTGATCCACCTGCCTGGGCCTCCCAAAGTGCTGGGATTACAGGCGTGAGCCACTGCGCCGGGCCTTTGATAGGGATTTTATTGAATCTACAGATTGCTTTAGATAGCTTTGACATTTTAATAGTATTAATTTTTTTAATTCATGAGTGATATGGTTTTGGCCCTGTGTCCCCACCAAAATCTCATCTTAAATTGTAATAATTTTCACATGTTAAGGGTGGGACCAGATGGGGGTGATTGGACCATGGAGGTGGTTTTGTGATTTTGTCATATATGGCTTTTACCATGTTGAGGTATGTTCCTTCTATGCCTAGTTTGTTGAGGGTTTTTATCGTAAAGTGATGCTGGATTTTACCAAATGCTTTTTCTGCATCTATTGAGATGATCACAGGTTTTTGTTTTTAATTCTGTTTATGCGATTAAACACATTTATTGACTTATGTATGTTGAATCCTCCTGCATCCCTGGAATGAAACCAACTTGATCATGTCAAATTACTTTTTGGATGTGCTGTTGTATTCCATTTGCAACTATTTTGTTGAGGATTTTTTTAAAAATTGCCCAACGCAATCTACAATTTTTTGATATAGACCTTTAATGCTATAAACATCGCTTTTAGCACTGTGTTTGCTCTATCCCAGAGGTTTTGATAACTTGTGTTGCTGTTGTCATTTATTTGAAAAAAATTAATTTTTCTCTTAATTTCATTAACTCAAAATTCATTCAGGAGCAGATTAATTCCATGTATTTTTATAGTTTTGAGAGTTCCTTTGGAATTGATTTCTAGTTTCATTTTGCTGTGATCTGAGGAGATACTTGATATGATTTTGATTTTTTTTTTTTTTTTTTTGAGACAGAGTCTCACTCTGTCACCAGGCTGGAGTGCAGTGGCGCGATCTCAGCTCACTGCAAGCTCCGAGTCCTGGGTTCAAGCGATTCTCTTGCCTCAGCCTCCAGAGTAGCTGGGATTACAGGCATGCGCTACCACATCCAGCTAATTTTCATATTTTTAGTAGAGATGGGGTTTCACCATTTTTGCCAGGATGGTCTCGATCTCCTGACCTCGTGATTTGCCTGCCTCGGCCTCCCAAAGTGCTGGGATTACAGGCGTGAGCCACAGTGACCGGTCAATTTTGATTTTTAAAAGTTTATTGAGACTTCTTTTCTGGCCTATCATATAGTCTAGCTTGGAGAATGTTCCATGTGTCAATGAGGAGAATGCACATTCTGCAGTTCTTGGGTAGTAAGTTCTGTAAATATCTGTTAGGTCCATTTGTTCTACAGCACAGTTTAAGTCCAGTGTTTGTTTGTTGACTTTATGCCTCGATTATCTGTCTAGTGCTGCCAGTGGAGTGTTGAAGTACCCCACTATTATTGTGTTGCTGTCAATCTGTTTTCTTAGGTCTAGTAGTAATTGCTTTATAAATCTGGGGACTCCAGAGTTAGATACAGATATATTTAGGATTGTTATATCTTCCTGTTGAGAGTTTATTTTTTAACATTATATAGTAACCTTCTTTGTATTTTTTTTACTGTTGCTTTAAAGTCTGTTATACCTGATGTAAGAATAGCTATTCCTTCTCCCTTTTAGTTTCCCTTTGCAAGAAATACTTTTTCCACCCCTTTACCTTGAGCCTATAAGAATCTTTACATTTTAAGTGTGTCTCCTAAAGAAAGCAGATATGTGATTTGTGATTTTTTTAATCCATTCTCCCAATCAGAAACTTTTAAGTGGAGCAATTAGATCATTTACATTCAATGTTAATATTGAGATGTGAGGTACTGTTCCAGGCATCATGCTGTTACCTAGTGACTGTTTTCTTCACTGTGTTATTATTTTATAAGCCCTTTAGGAGTTTCTATTCTGATGTGTATTAACCTTTTTTTCCCAAGATTTAGAACTCCCCTTAGCATTTCTTGCAGGGCTAGTCTAATGTTGACATATTCACTCATCTTTTGTTTGTCTGAGAATGATTTTATTTCTCCTTCATTTATGAAACTTAGTTTTATGGAGTAAAAAATTATTGGTTGACAGTACAGTTATTCTGTTTAAGGAAACTAAAGATAGGACCCCAGTCTTTTCTGGCTTGTAAGATTTCCACTGAGAAGCCTGCTGTTAGTCTGATAGGTTTTCTTTTATAGGTTACCTAATGCTTTTGAGCTTCTGGTATTTGAACATCTAAATCTCTAGCAAGGCCAGGGAAGTTTTCCTCAACAATTACCTGAAATGGGTTTTCCAAACTTTTGCTTTTTCTTCCACTTCAGAAACACCTATAATTATTAGGTTTTGCCACTTTACATGATCCCATATTTCTTGGAGACTTTGTTCATTTCTTTTTTCTTCCTTTTTGTCTGATTGGGTTACTTTGAAACCTTGCCTTTGAGCTCTGAAATTCTTTTTTCAGTTTGGTCTAATCTACTGTTAAAACTTTTCTCTGCTTTTTGCAGTTCCTTAAATGTGTTTTTCATTTCCAGAAGTTCTCATTGTTTTTCCTTTAAAGTATCAGTCTCTCTAGAAAATTTTTTATGCATATCCTGAAGTTTTTTTTTTATTTTTTCATGTTGATTTTCATTTTTCTTTTGTATCTCCTTGAGTAACTTAATAATCAACCTTTTGAATGTCTTAACTGGTATTTCAAAGATTTCATCTTGGTTTGAATCCACTGCAGGAGGGTTAGTGTTATCTTTTGTGAGTTTCATAGAAATCTGTTTTTTTATATTGCCATAATTATTATTTCTGGGTTCCTTCACATTTTGCTAGACTATTTCTTCTAATTATTTTTCAACTTAGTTTTGATTCTGAGTTTTTTAAATTTATATTTTCCCCTTTAGGATGTGACTTCAATGTTTATAGTTTGTTGGTACTTGGCTTTGGCTATGTGTATTTTCAATGGCAAAGACTCTATGAATTTCTTGGTTATAGAGAATCTTTGTACAGTAACTTTCTCAGATGCTGGTTGTAGTAGCTATGTGCTGGGTGTGTAAGCAGGTTCACTGTCTCCTGTGGGGCTGGAATGTCAGAGGTCTCATGAAACTTATTTTATTCCTCAGTGGTGTGCACTTTTTAAATTTTTTTTCCTAGTATTTTATTCACTGGGTTGAACAGTTTAGGCTTCAGGCCAGTAGGAGGTGCCCATGGGTAAGATCCAGCTGCAGCTAAAGCAGGTGGGTAAATGCAATACCTCAATGGTGAGCAGAGGTCCCAGCCTTGATAGAGGTAGCTGCAGAATCTCTCAGTGAGATGCACCAGGTCTTTTCAGGAGGAGGAGCAGGAGCCACCACAGCTCTCCTTCCCAGCCATCGGAAAATTGATCCTTCTTCCACCCACACTCCTAAGCTGATGTTCCGGCTATTCAGATTAGAAAGGCACTTCCTTTTATCTGCAGGAATCCTGATGTTCTATGTAGAGGGCGATAGTGACTCTACCTCTCATGCAAGCCTGAACCTGGAGGGCACTCCTCCTATGGGGATGTGTCACATCAAAGTATTTCAGAAAGGCTGTCTACAGATGCACCCATGCTGATTTCCCATAGCAGAAGTCTCAGCTTTGTTTGTAGTAGTAATCATTGGGGAGAAAAGTCCCCTTCTCCTACACTCTTCACAAGCGTCAGGGCTGCCTGCCTGTCAAAGTAGATTTAAAGACATTCCCCAACTAGCCCAGCACTGCACCTGTGCCTCTTCAATCCCATAAGCGGAAAGTTCAGGGACTTAAGGCCTGCAATATGGCCTCTTCTCTCTCATGGGATGATCTCTCAGTGTGATGCACTCCCCCTTCCCCTAGGAGTAGCAATCCCTGAGGGCCAGACTACTACGAATCCTGCTGCTCCTCTGGGTCGAGCCACCCAGTGGGGATTCCACACTCCACGCTGTTGCCAGGGAGCGTCTGCAAGGGATCCTGTGATATGATCTTTCCTCTAGTCTCCCAGCAGCAGGTACCAGCACCAGCTCTTACGGGGATAAGAAGTTAGTAGACTCTAAGGTTTCCTTAGTTAGAAATAGCCTTAGTGTGTTGGCTTTCTTGAATGTCAGCTGTAGAAATAATGTATTGAGCATGTGGATAGATTCAAGACCTCTTGGCTAGCCAGGATGATGCAGTCAATGGCAATAGCAGAAATTACACAGAAGTTTCCTCCTTCCTAAACACAGTGTTATTTTGCCTCCAGATGTTGTAAAAGGCTGTCCTGGTTGCTTCCAACCAGGAGGTGGTACCCGTAAAAGAACATCAGCTGCAGTAATGGCAGTGGAATTTGTGTTTGCCATATGTTACCCAGGGAAGGTGGTCTGGCATCTCAAGCAATTGGTGGGTGTCCCAAAGCTCCCATGGAATTCCTAAACATCTTTATACATAGTGTTACGCTACCAAGGTGGATCTAGGGGCAAAGCCAGGCGGGGGGCTGAGCCAGGTAAGTCTGTACTCTGGCTCCCCACATGTGGGTGCAGGCAGTGGCCCCAGAGGGCAGTTCCCTGGCTGCTGGGGTAATGTTCCAAGGAAGAGTGTAGCTTCCTCTGCTGCACAAAAGACTCCAAACAGGCAGGGGGGTGTAGTAAGTGGAAATAAGCCCCACTTAGCTCTCACACACTTGGCAGGTCAGGTCTCACATACACAGTGTTTTGCTGGCAGCAGCTAGCTGAGTTCCAGGCAGCCTTCACTCAGAAGACTTATGCCCCAAACCATAAGCCTTCCCAAGGGAGACAGAAATCATGGCTTTCAGGCCACACCCCTCCTGGTTTGCTCATAACACAGGGGCATCCAGCTTCTGTGCCCATGTCTGTAGCACACTTCTCACTTGCTTGCTGGTTCTGGCCACTGTGGTTCACCCCTACTCAGATTATACTGCAAATCTCAGTTGAGAGCTTCTCTCAACCTGTGACCACTGCCTGATGCCAGTAGACTTCTGCAAGGTCCCTTGTGAGGTAGGATCAGGAATGGCTTCCCTCCATCTCCAGTGGCATCTGGGAGTGCATGCAAAGTATGTCCCCATGTTGTTCCTTCTCATATTTTGCCCACTGCTCCCTAAATCAGCCCCAGCATTGAGTAGGGATAAGGCCTTCCCCCATGGCCTGGATTGCCCAGCTCCCCTCTGGGAATGTGTGTTATGGCAACAGTCTCCCCACTGTGGGAATGTGTGTCATGACAGCGGTCTCCCCACTTCTTATGCTCTGGAGACTCAGTTTTCTGTCTGGTTCACAGTGTAGGCTGCTGCACACTACTTCTTTCACAGAGTTTGCGGCTTCTTTCAGTTTTCCTGTTAAGTTCCTGTGCTGCTTCTTGGAAAAAAGTCCACAGCATGAATCTCTACACACCATTTTGTCTTTCTAAGTGGTAGAATCACGTTAACAATGCCTTCAACCTGCCATCATGGAAAAAAAGTAAAAGTGTGGTCACCATGTTCTAAGGGCCCGCCATGATCACGTACTTGAGGTCTGACTCCTAGTATAACCTACAGTGGGAAAACAGTTGGTGCTGTTCTACAGCATTGTCTCTGCCTTCATAAAACCCATCATCTCCAGCCTCAGGAACAAGGATGTAAAAGGGGCTTCTTGGAAAGTACTTAGAGTCAAAGGGACAGCTCAAGGACCTAGTATGCTTCAGAGTTTTCCATAATCATGGGCAACCTGGAGGGGTCTTATTTGGTACCTTAAAAGTACATCAGTTATCTTTTTGTTAAGCTTTCTATTCTTTGCTCATGCTCAGCTCCCTCTTGAACTTCAGTTTTTTAGATTTGCTCCTCTGAGGTAATTTTCTATGTCTTGTAGGCTTCCTTCATTTAGTTTCATTCTTTTTTCTTCTCTGACTGTGTATTTTCCAACACCCTGTCATTGAGCTCACTGGTTCTTTCCTCTGCCTGATCCATTCCGCTGTTGAGAGCCTCTAAAGAATTTTACAGTTTAGCAAATATACTTCTAATTTCCAGGGTTCCTATTTGATTTGTTTCTCACTATTTCAATTTCTTTGTTAAAATTTTCTGATACATTTCTAAATTGCTTTTTTGTATTATTTTGAATATCTTTGAGTTTTATTAAAACTTCTCTTTATTCTTAATCAGGGAACTTCCCTATTGCTGTCTTATTAGTGTTGGTTACTGGTTCCTTGCTTTGTCAATTTGGGGAGCTCATGATTTTCTGTTTGTGTATGTACATTTGTCTTTAAATTGAAAAATTATTTATTCCAGTCTCCTTTATCTGATATATTTTTGTTTTTATTGGATATGTTTGCTTAGCGTTTTCTTTACAACTTACCTTTTTTTTTTTTTTGTAGGTCACTGCCTCCTTTTCAGCACTAAGTGGCAACTAAGTCCAGGTTTACCTCTGTTTTAGCAGGTGTTCAGAGTGCTGCCTGTCCAGGATGGGGGAGGTCCCAAAGGGGATAATGCAGCAGAATGGGAAAGCTGTCTAGGATTTTGTGCCCAAGAGACTAACAGAACATACCTCCTACAGTGAGGTTCTACTGAACACTCTAATTTGGCAACTCCTTCAGCCAAGATACAGAGAGTTTCCCAGGCTGGGGATGCTGCTAGCCCCACCTGCCCCCTTTGTCTCTGTCATTCTTCAGGAATTTTTCTCCATTCAAGTACTTGTGCACCTTTCTGTGTGTTGAGGCAGGAACAGGTCTCCTGCCAGGAAACCCAAGATGTTGAGAAAGCTGGCTGTCCATCTTGAACTTACCTTTTCCAATGTAGTAACTGTGAATCAGGGGAAATTTCCCAAATGCCTGGTTCATGACAAATCGGGGGGAAAGCGTTATACTTATAAAAATCCGATTCTATCACCCTCTGCACAGCGTTTTTACTTCTCTGCAACCCCAGAAACTATCTCATCCTTCTATTTGGGTTCTGGGATATTGCTAGTGATAATTTCTGCACTGTATGTGTATATTTTGTTGTTTGTTTTTTATTTTCTATGAGATCGAGGGTAGTGGAGCCAGGTTGCTTCTACTCTATCATTTTGGTGACCTAAGTCATATTTTTTCTGTACAATATTAAATAAAAGTAATATTGGTAATTAATCTTGTTTTGTTCTTAACTGGGATTATTGAATTTAGCTTAGGAATATTTGGAGGAAGACTTTTGCATATATGTTAATGAATGATATTATCATCTATTTTTTCACATTACTAGTTTTATTTATTTTGGAATCACTGTTAGGCTATCTTTGTAAAATGCACTGTTGAGCTGCATTGCCAGTGTTTTAATTCTCAGAAGAATGTAAAAATAGGAACTATGTTTTTCGTCAATATTAGATAGAACTCACTTATTAAGCAAGCTGCCACTGATGTTTTCTTTCTAGTGATTTTTTAACTTCTAATTTAATATCATTTAGATTTTATATTAATTCTGATGTTGATATTTCTAATTTATAATTTTTTAGAAATGAATCCAGCCAATTTAAAATTTTAATTAACTGGCATATATTATTAGTAATATGTTATTATAACTTTAAACTTTGATGCATCTGTAATTCTGCCAATTGTTCATTCTTAATCTTTCTTATTTTTGCCCCTCTCTCTCCTTTATTTTTTATTAGTCTTGTCAGGAGTTTATTTTTATTTTTAGGAACCAACATTTTTATTAGTATATCATTTTTGTCATATATTTATTTTTATTGTATTAATTTCTGCTCCCAGATTTTTTCTTACACTTTCTTTTTTTGCCCTAACATTATTTTTCTAATTTTTAAACTTGAATGCTTAGTTAATTAATTTTATACTTTTTAAATAATATTAAATTTAAGGCTATAAACTTCTAAAAAGCACTTTTTCCCAAATATTTTGAAATTATACTTTTTGTTATTGTTCAGATATAGATGTTTTCTACTTTTCCTATGATACTTCTGAGAGTAAGTTGTATGGAAGTATTTTCTTTAAATATCAAACATATGGACATGTGAAATTTATCATTTATTTATTTCTAATTTATTTATATCACTAGTAGAAGCAGAGGTCTATATTATATTAATATTATTAATTCTATTAACTGTATTGACACTTGTTTTATGGCCAAGCATTTGTTTAATTCCACTGTGCTTGAAATCAATCTTTATTCCATGTGCCTCCAGTAGGTGGACCTTGTTAATTATTCTACAAATAATTTATATATATACTTATGATTTATTTGCCTGGTGTTTTTATTCCTAAGGGGAGAGATTTCAAATGTCTTACTCTGATAGTGGGCGTGTTAATTTTCCTTACAGTGCTTTTACGTGATTACTGTGCAGCATGGAAAGCCACAGACCTCCTTCCACTGCATGGCAGAAAGCAGAGCAGAACACACAAACCGGGCAGGCTGGCTCCCTGGGAGAAGAGCACAGGAAAGAACTGTGCTACATATGCCCAGTTCCCCCTTCCAGTCCCACCAATTGGAGTAGACGGCTGGTTCTCAGACTTTAACTTGCATGCATAACATCCTGAAGTTATTAAAACACCAATTACTAGACCCCACTTTCAAAGTATCTAATTTAGTTGATCTGAAATAGACCTTCTCATTAAAATAAAAATCTTTTTCTATTGCTAAAGTTTTTACCTGAGAAGATTCCAGGTGACTTGATCCCCATTTATCTCACACCTAGTCAATGTTTGGAGAAAGCTTAAAAAGACTGTATGATTTGTTCACCACGTTAGCCAAAGAAATGACGAACGTACCCATAAAATATTGGCATTACGTTTAGACCTTAATAAACATAGACAAAAAATACCTTCCCAATAATTACTCTGCAGGCTCATATAAATCGTGTTTAAAAGGATTTTCTCTCTCTAGCCTACGTTTAAGTAGAAGGTCATTCAAGTGAAAGGTCATATGTAGGCTGACTTGTGGGATCATATATGTTCTAAAAACCCACAGTTGTCAGGGATGGTAAGGAGGGTGAAAACTCAGTCAACATGATTAGATCCTCTTGGTTTTTAAATGAAAGTTAAATCTTTTGGATTAAGTTTAGAATCTACCTACTAACTAATGTTGAAAAGACATTTATCTATTTACCTTCTGTGGGAGATTTAATGAGAAAATAGACAAAGGACATCCAACTATAAATCGTATGTTTGTGTAGTCAGGGATCCTTGTATAATCAAGGATCACAAAATTAAGCGACATCATGGGATGGTTTGTGTAGTATGAAACCCAAACTTACTTCTGGAAAGGAAAATTGAGACTGCAGGAGTCTGAGAGAAGAAAGGGTGGCTGGACAAGACTTGTGAACCTCCACAGCCAGCCATGTTGTCTACAGATATGAGTTACTCTATGGGAAGATAGGGCCCTAGAAGAAGTCTATGACTCATTGTATCTGCTTTCCCGCCTACATGTGTTGCATGGTGCTTGGTGCCAGAGGCTTTCTACTTCAGATAAAATGGAAAAAAAAAAGAAGCCAAAAGGTATACTGGAAAGCGTTAGAAAACGTTGGTGCTATCCCATTCTCAGTCTGTTTCTAAGTTGCCATGTAACCTTAATTAATTAAGTTATTCCCTACCTCTTGATTTCAGTTTTATGTTTTTGTAAAGACAGAGGGGTTTAGACCAGATGACTTCTTAAGCACCGTTTAAATCAGAAGTTCAATGATTCTCAGTGACTTCCTGGTGGAATTCACCTAGCTGCAAATGGTGTTTGCTCAAAGCAAGTCTTCAAAAGTTGTCTTGGCTTACCCCAACAGTTGAACCTATCTACCCCATACCACAAAGGAAAAGTTGCTTTTACCTAGGAAAGAAAAAAAAAATCAAGGATTTGATTTCTACTATTTTGCTGTTGTTGTTTTTCTCCACAACATTAATTTTCAAGGTTTGACAATATTAAAATTGGTTTGCCTTTATTTAGGATCCACCAAATGTCAGAAAAGAGAATATAGTCCGTATCTGAGCTGGATGCTCAGAGAAAATTTACCTGAGGGTATATTGCCATAGAAAAACCTCAAATTGGACAACTTATCCACATTTAATAGGTGGGGACCCCAGAACATTCTGTGATCTTAGTCAAATTTACTAAATTGAGAGGGAGATAATGCTGCTGTATGCTACTCCACACACATTGTTCTCTACACATATCTTTTCTCTTAAAATAAGCTAAAATAAATACAAAGTCATCCCTGCATTTGGAAAGAAAGCATTTCAACATCATTTTTCAAAAACAGGAAACCCAAAACTTACGCTATCACTAAAAAGAAATTTTAAAAGGTTGTCCAGAGAGTTTTTATTTCAAAAATAAGTTTTCTTTTTGTATCTTCAATAAGCTATGGCTATGTTATCCTCAGACAGGGAATCTCCTAGTAGGATCCTACAGTTCCACGCTTGGTCTTCAGAGAACCTTCAGAGAAGTAGCAACTGGGTGCCCAGTTAGCATTCTAAAGTCTAAGGCATGAGAAGAGATCACAATACACTTCTACACTTCCATGAGACTTTCTTTTGTTTTGCTCATTCACTTCTCACCAATCCATGCACTCCTTCCCACCACTTTTCATGACCTCCCATCATCACAAAAGTACATAGAACAAAATGAAAAAAAGTCTGTTTCTTGGTGTTAGTCAGTATGTTGCTGCACATACTGGTGTGTGTGTGTGTGTGTGTGTGTGTGTGGTCTGTCTGTGTGTGTATGTGAAGAAGAGAAAAAGGTGGGGGTGGCGGTGGGGAGAGAGAGAGTGGGTTGGCTCCTTAAAACAAAATTGTTAAATGCCGGGGTTTTTTTCCCACCCACCTTGCCAGAAAACAGGAGAGACAGAAAAGTATCCATCTAGTCCCTAAAGAAATGTCCCATCTGTCAAAGTCAGAACTGCAGGGTTACATGAAGAATCAATGAACAGACAAAGTACATTTTAAAGAAGGATTCCTAAGGGAGACATGCATCAGGAATTCTCAAAGGGAATGAGGAGAGAGAGGAATTGGTAAGCTAAGGCCCCTATATTGTTGGTCTAGAAGGGCTGTAGCGCAACAGAAAAAGCATTCTATTTCTAAATTGACTTTGTAAACTTGTTTTGCCACTAACTCAAAATGAACATTGGGCTTAACCATTTCTCCTTTCTTTACTTCAACTTCCCCTTCTCTATATAAATGTTGTATAAAGCCCCTCACCACCCTGGTAGTCTGTGGATCTCTAAAGCCATTGAAAAATGTTTCTAGGGTGGATATGGAGTTGGGTGGTCTATATCAATGTCCCTGGAGTTTTCTTTCCATATTCTAATAGTCCTTATCTGGGAAAGATCAAAGCCTTTACCTAGTTCTCTTTTTTAGATACTCTAATCTTTTCTGTACCACCCCTGCCCATTACCTGATGGTTTTGATGACATTAGAATTTACAACATCCTCCTCTGCATCTTTTCTACCCCAAGACACTCCCCTACTTATATTTCATGTTCCTGGAAATGCTGACCTCCCAGGGGCTCCTTGCTATATGTTCTCTGGAGTTGCTAAGTGTGTAAAGTTTTTTGTAAGTGCTCCTCTGGGGTAGGAAGTTGGACACAGAGAAGTAAAGCAGCCCTACTCTCTTTCAAATGGCTTTTCTGCAACCCTCACTGGCTCTAGAATCCAATCCCAGGGACACTGCCTCTTCTGGGACTCTAGAAGTTCTGCAAGTCCCTCATAGCACTTTTTTTTTTTTTTTTTTTTTTTTTTGAAACGGAGTCTTGCTCTGTCACCCAGGCTGGAGTGCAGTGGAGCGATCTCGGCTCACTGCAACCTCTGCCTTCCAGGTTCAAGCGATTCTCCTGCCTCAGCCTCCCAAGTAGCTGGGACAACAGGCATGTGCCACCACACCCAGCTAATTTTTTGTATTTTTTAGTAGAGACAGGGTTTCACCATTTTAGCCAAGATGGTCTCGCTCTCCTGACCTCGTGATCCACCCGCCTTGGCCTCCCCGTCATAGCTTTTCATGAGAAGAGACAATCCAACTTGAATACATGAAGAATCACATCTTTAGCACCCCAGAGGTGAGTTTCATCTTAAAAGCTTTTTTTGCAAGGAGATTTCTCATCCATCCCTACTAACCTCACCACATCACCATATTATCACAGCACAGGCACCACTATCACTTTTGCGCTTACCATCTCTACCTTTGTTACTCTCACCACTGTCCCTCCCTTTGCCATGTCAGCTATCTTTAGCCATTGTTCCAAATGATTGATGTTGAATACCTAATACACTTGTCTAAGTCTCCATCACCAGTATTATTACCATTACTTACATTATCACTACCATTATTATTACCCAGGCATCTTCATGAGACTAATCTACTTTTTCATTATTACTTTTACTTATATCCATATCCTCAATATGTTCATCAACATCCTAATCTTGACATCTGAACTCTTATCTCAGCTGTGTGTTCTCTGTGGGCATGTACTTAGATGGATATGGAGTCCAGATGAATAATGGAATTACAGCATTTATCTATCAGAAGTAAGGTATTTGAATCATTCATAGCCCCAAATGTACTTTTATTTTTCAGAATCAGGTGGAAAGAAAGCAGTTGCTATATTAAATTTAAGATACGGAGGTAACCATAAAAAGATTAACAAGTAAATCATATTAAACGGAAGAAAAATACTAAGTGTTCTGAGTTCAAATTGGAAAAGCTTTCCTGTAGGAGACGGAAAGTTTCTGAGCCAAAGGAAAGGAAGATATTTGTTTCTGAGAGTACTAATGTGACTTTGGGATTGAAAGAGTCTCTCAAATTTTTGGACAATATGAGGGTCTCATTCAACCTTAATCAGCATTTAGCTTATGTCCCACTTACTCTGAAATACCTAACCTTTCACAAAGATGGATAGTTGAAACTATCCTTCACTAAATTACTGCATCTCCCACAGTCTCAAGCACCAACAGATCTTTTGTTTTCATTTTTATTTCATGGATATATAGATTAGCCATCTATCCCAATTCTTCAAATGAATAATTGTGCTGTACTCAAAGTGGCCACTTTAATACTCATTTTTATTCCTCCCTATATCACATCACATTGGTGTTCCTACGTTCCTCTTTTCCTCTTGTGAGCCAGACTCTGAGACAGACTTTCTGCATCATTTGTATTGTCTAACTGTATACCTGTATGGCTTGGCATTGACTGAATAAATTACAATGCCCATGCATGATCCCTCAGAAGGCTATCAACATGACAAATACCTGAGCATAAGAATTGTAAACATTACCTAGAATCAGTTAGTGTAGATATGCGTACTAAACAATCAAGGCTTCCAAGTTTAGTTCTTGCCTAGTCAAGAACATTGTTTCTTCTCTTTTATGTCACCACTTGTCAGTAAAGAGTGCTTACTTGGCATTTATTCTGTATCAGAAATAGAGTGAGGGAAAATGACAAGTTCTGGTATTACTGTGCAATGGGTTCACTGTCCCATGAGCTTAGAAGCCAATACTGTGACACCAGTTTTTAAGAAAGAAGAAGCCTTATTTCAAGGTTGACCAGCAATGAGGCAGGAGGCAATGTTCAAATCTGTCTCCCCTAACTGAGGTCTGGGGACAGGTTTTATAGGCAGAGAGCAATTAAGAGGGAGATAGGAAAATGCAACAAAGCGTTATCTGATTGGTTCCTGAGAAGAGATTATGCCAGGTCCTTGACTTTTAGGATTGTGCTGCAACAAAACAGGTCTCCTTTCCTTTTTAATTTGATCACCATCCTTTGGTCTGAATACTTAGGTTCTGCATGTGGTTTACTTTTTTGTTCTGGTTGGCTCCAGGGTCACAAATCTGGCACACTTGGTTCATCTGGGCACACTTGGGTTACATACAACCTGAGGGTCCATTGCAACTAAAAAACAAGTCATCATTTTGTTGTATTTTGTTATTGACAAAGTTAAACCAGATTGAACTGGTTCTGTGGTTACACTGATATCTTCATCAAGCAATTCATTATTTGAGGAGAAAGGTGAGATCTAAAATTATTTGTTAAAAGCTTAAGTGATAAAAGTAGTATTCAGCATGTTCAAATTTTCATAGTATCATTGCTACTATTTGGAAAAACAGCATATGCTTACTAAAATTTAGAAATAAATAGAGAAATAATTTTTGAAGTAATGGGATTATAAGTAATTTAAATTTTTATTTACCTAAACATTTAATGTCCTATATTTATATGTAATACATTATTTTTAAAATGTGCTGTAAATGTTAGGAAAAAAATGATATGAAATGCAACTAACATAATGTGAGAAATAGGGAAATTCACAATAATTCATTTATCTATTTATTTAATACATTTTTGAAACAGCTTTTATGTCCCAGACTTTATTCTAGGAACTGGAGAAAATGGGATGCGTATAACACTGTTGCTTCCCTTAAGATATTTATTATATAGAGTGGGAGGAGACAGATCCTCAAATCACCTGATTATTTTTTAAAATATAAGTTTTTTAAACATGTAAGAAAAAATTTCAACTTCACACATAAGATGAATTTTTGAACCTTTTAGAGATATTATTTATTGAAGCAAATAAACTTTTAAAACAACTATGTAAATGAAGTGATACATCAAGGTCACATGCCCTTGTTTGCCCAGTACAACTGTGGTTTATATCTGTTGTCACTGGATACATTGATAGTATTTCATTTTGTTCTCTGATGTACTTGAGTTTGAATGTCCTGTATGACAGAATGTCAGCCTTGATGCTAGTACCAAGTGAATGGTCTGATTATGCTGCCTTTCAGACGTGACTGCTTCTTACTGTCTATGTTGCTAGAGTCAATATCCAATTGTCACCATGGGAGAAGTGGCCAAAAGTTGGACCTCACCTTGGGCACTTACCCCAATATGTCACACTAAGGCACTACTTCTCAAACTTTTATTTTCATATCATAGCGCTTATAAAAGTGATGGTATCTGTAGGACACACTGAGGTGAACAGAAAGGCCACTTACTGCTTGAGGCAACCAGTCCAAGGACTTCAATTCCCTTAGGTCCTATCTGACCATTCATAGGGTGTGTGTTAGGGGCAAGGACTCAGTAACTCAGCACATCTGTTATTTATATCTGTTGAGAAGCTCTGCGCTAAAGATGACCTGAACTTTATGTTCTAAAGGAAATACCCAAGGAGGTCTCAAGAGAAAAAAAAGAATATAGAATAGAGTACAGAATGAAAGGCAAGGGGAGTTTGCAGCTATAAATGGATCTTAAAAAAATACCTTCTGGTGGAGTTTCAAGAGGGGAACTCAATCTCTATCACACCCATTTGACTCTTAAGAGTTTGTTCATTCATTCATTTGTTCAAATATGAGTGGATACCATGCATTGTAGTACAAATTAATAGTGAGATATAAGCCACTTTGAGTTGTTAGATGACTGCTTATGTCTTCACTACAGGATGGTAAGTCCCCCATGTTCACTGCACAGTATGCACCCCACAGATATTAGTAATTATCAAGAATTGCTATAACAGTTTTAGTAATTATTATTACTATAATTACCTATTAATTAATGTGATCTAAGCCATTTCAATTTAAGCCATCTTCTAGTGCTGCCACCACAGGGAAAAAAGAGTTTCTGTTGGGCCCATAATAGTTCCTGCAAAAAGAGTAGTCTGAGTGAAGTGAGGTGCAGAAGGAGAGAAAGAAAAGGAGCCCAAAAGCAGTAGACTCAGACTGTCAGCAGAATAGAGTTTTGCACCATGTATTTGGGAAACAGCATAGACTTCTTGAAAGCAGGGACTACTCAGTTTATGACAAGATAAATTTGGACCCTTAGGTCAAAAGAAGATGCCTCATTTGGAGAGTTACCAAGTCTATTGTAATAACAATGTGAGATAGCTGTAAAACTAAGCATTATCAAAGAAATAAATCCCCACTGAAGACATTTATGTGGAAAACTCTGAAGTAACAATGATTAATATTTACATGCTTAACGTTCTTTTATTGTCCCCATTTTGCATGTAAGGGAACTGAGGTGGAGGGAATTTAAGTGTATTGCATATGATCACACAGCAAATAAATGATAGAATTGACTTTTGAACACAGGCAGAGAGCCTTCAAAGACCGTGGTGTAAGCACTATACTGTCCTGATTCTGGTATGCTGAGACTAACTTGCTTATGAAATACTTAGTATGTGTTATTTAACTTTAGAACACTTTGATGTAGTTTTTTTTTTAAAGGAAAACAAATCTGGCATTAGAGAGAGCTTATGTTTTTTGCCCAAAATCATAGAGGCAAAAATGGCAACACCTGAATTTGTACCAACACCTTTCCATCTCTGCTCTGCAAATTCAGATCTTACACATCTGGACCTAGTTCAGGTCCTGCTTTCCTTAAGAAGTGCTATAGGTGCCTGTAATCCCAGCTACTTGGGAGGCTGAGGCAGGAGAATGGCTTGAACTCGGGAGGCAGTGGTTGCAGTGAGCTGAGATCGCGCCATTGCACTCCAGCCTGGGGGACAAGAGCAAGACGTCATCTCAAAAAAAAAAAAAAAAAAAAAAGTACTGTAAGCATAGAATCAAAACTCCCTAAGCTGAGAGGAATGTGAGCACTCATTCATTGCCAGCCTTTCATTTTACAGACAGAGAGAATGAGGCTGAGGAGGGTAACTCAGTCAGCTGAAGTGGATTTAGGGTTGAATCTGTCTGTCTTTACTGCAAGTTCAATAATCTTTATAATTTTATTACGTAAATATTGGGATGTTCTTCCTTCTTCAGAGGGATATTATAAAGATTAAATTTTTAAAAACATGAAGGCAGCTGTAACTATTTCTGGCATAGTACAGACATACATAAAATAAAGCAGTAAGATCTGTAGGAATGAGGAAAATGGAAAGTATTCAAGATTAGGCAATACTTAGTCTCTTCCAAGATCTGGTCCTATTTTCTCACTAATTTATCTGACCATACTCTAGCAGGTACTTGGCCCCCAGTTCAGACACCATCAAGGAATGGGAGATTACTCTGCTCAGCAGAGGAAGCAATAGAGGAGCTGGAGAGAAAAGAAGCGTGATCAGAACTGCAGGTTTTTTCTCCATCAAACTACATTTGGTCACATAATAACCCAGAATCCCTGGATGCCACAAATAGATAAGCATTCTGCTCATGGTGCGCTGATCTACATCTGCAACTTTATACAAGTTAACATTTTAGACTCCTTTTTGCCAACCTAGTTTTCCACCTTCTTAACCTTTCTCCAAGAATCTTATCTTGACTAAATCTGCCACTCCTAGCTTTAATTTATCTTCTTTCTTTCTGTATTGCACTGTCTCTCTAAGTCATAAATGCAGCTTAACCACTTGTTCTTGCATCCCTGTTTTTCCTCCCTTTGTTGCATTTCTTTCCCATTAGAATGGGGAAATCAGAGACCATAACCCCTTTCTCTTTACATCTTCCAGCTTTCACCAATTCAGGCATGGGTGTGTGCAGCATGTTTGACTACTGATCGTTTTTATTTCTTTACTGGTATTTTCTTTGACTCTGACCACATGATTGACAAGCCAACCAGCTGATTCTCACAATTACCAACAAGCTGGGCTATGACAAATTAGATCATTGAGCTTCCCTTAAAATAATTCTGATCCTGTCAATGACTGCCTTTTTTTTTTTTTTTTTTTTTTTTTTTTTTTTTTAAGACGGAGTCTTGCTCTGTCGCCCAGGCTGGAGTGCAGTGGTGCGATCTCGACTCACTGCAAGCTCCGCCTCCCGGGTTCACGCCATTCTCCTGCCTCAGCCTCCCGAGTAGCTGGGACTACAGGCACCCGCCACCGAGCCTGGCTAATTTTTTTTGTATTTTTAGTAGAGATGGGGTTTCACCGTGGTCTCGATCTCCTGACCTCGTGATCCACCCGCCTCGGCCTCCCAGAGTGCTGGGATTACAGGCGTGAGCCACCGCGCCCAGCCATGACTCTCCTTAAAGCCTTCTTCACCTCCTTGTTGCGAAGGCTATAGATGATAGGATTGAGGAAAGGGGTAATAAGGGCATAAACCAAGGCAACAAGCTTGTCTGTGCTCTCAGGTCGACTCCCAGGTGAGCCCACATATACTGTGAAGGCAGAAGCATAGAATAGTGCCACCACAGTTACGTGGGAGGAACAGGTAGAGAAGGCCTTGGCACTACTGGCAGCTGAGGGTAGCTTCAGCACAGCATTCAGGATACCTCCATAGAGTCCCAAAATGAGCACAAAGTTGCAACCAGTGGCCACACCAATCACTGTGCCATGGGCCCTAGCATGCCAGCTTGTGTCCACACATGCCAACCGCATTAGTGGTGCCAAGTCACAAAAGTAATGGGCCACCTCTTTCAAGCAGAAGGGCAGAGTGGCAGTGAGGGTGGCTGGCACAAGTGCAGCTGAGAAGCCAGCCACCCAACTGGCCCCAGCTAGTCGTAACTGTACCTGTCTGCTCATGAGTGCGTGGTAGTGGAGTGGGTGGCAGATGATAAGGTAGCTATCCAGTGCCATGACACCCAGCAGGTAGCACTCAGTCATCCCTAAGGAATGAAAGACATAGCTGAATAAAGCATACAGCTGATGAGACGGGTGAACACCCTTGGAGCAAGGTGTGCAGCAGCATGGGCACTGTGGTGCTGACATACCACACCTCTACAAAGGAGAGGACACTGATAAATAAGTACATGGGCGTGAACAGTCCAGAATCTAACTGTACCAGGACAATGATGAGAATGTTCCCTGCAAGTGTGAGGAGATAGATGCATAGGGTCCCCAAGAAGGCAAGAGGTTGTAGGGTCCCAGTGGTGGTGAAACCAGCAAGGATAAAACTCTGAGTCCAGTTATGACTGACGTGATCCATGATTCCTAGGAACAAGCGATAAACATAGAATATAAATTACTTCAAGCTTCTTCCTCTATTCGTAAAATCTGAGCACTTAAAAGGAACTTGAGACATTATCTAATCAATGTTCCTCACTTTACACTAGAGGAACTGAAGCCCCAAAAGCAGAAATGGTTGGCCCCATATCATAGTCTGTTGGTAGCAGGTGTGGGACTAGAAATCAAGGCTCCTGATCCCATTTTAATCCCTTTCTATGTTATAATATTATGCTCCAGTGACTCAGTGATTTTCTCCCCTATTCCACCATCCAATAACAGGAGAGCTAGAAAATTCCTACTGCTAGCCCTCTGTACTTTCCAATGAGAAAATAACCAACAACATTGGAGAAGGGAGAAAAGTCACCTCCCAAAAGTGACTGTTGAAGCTTCTTTCAGGAAGCCCCTCTGAAGTGTTTAGACTATCCTGATAAAAACTAGAAGAAGAAAAAATGGAATATAAAAGAAATGCAGAATCTCCAAAAACTATAATATCCTAGGCCCGTGGTGCCTGATGATAATTCACCCAGCAGATACACTGTGCTGGGTGAAAAAATAATCCCCGAAGGGTATGTGCTAGGAATTCTCGAAAAGGAAAACCGTGAAGTCAAGAAGAAGCAAAGAAGCCAGAGGTCCTATGGTATAATAGGAAAAGCCTCCTCCGAAGTCAGCGATTTGGTTGCCACTAAGCATTAGGTTGAGCAACTTTTTACTCAACCTCAGCTTCCTCTTCAAAAGAGAAGAGCCTTGAGCATTTGTTTCCTAAGACTCTTACAACACAGATAATGTATGTTTCCCTAAATTGGAAAATGGTTATGGGTTTTGAGGGGAATCAACACCTATGTCACTTGAGTTTTCCTCCCACACCCTAATAAGCCTCATTCAGGAAGGTCCAAAGCCTTCATCTAGTTGTCTTCTTTGGCTACTCTCATCTTTTCGGCCCCACTCCTGCCCATTACCTGATGGTTTTGATGACATTAGAACTTATAGCATTCTCCTCGGCATCCTTTCTACCCCAAGATACTCCCCTACTTATATTTCATGTTCCTGGAAATGCGGGCCTCCCAGGGGATCCTTGCTACATGTTCCCTGGAGTTGCTAAGTGTGTAAAGCTTTCAGCAAGGACCTCTCTGGGGCAAGCAGTTGTGCAAAAGGAAGTGCAGCAGAGCAGCTCTATGTCTCAAATGACTTTTCTCAAGTCTGCAACCCTCGCTGTGGACTTTACAGTTTAATCCCAGGGGCATTGCCTCCTCTGGGCCACTAGAAGTTTTGCAAGTCCCACATAGCCTTTTATAAAAAGAGAACAAATCCAACTCGTATATCCTTGTGTATACATGGAGAACAACACCTTGATCACTCCAAAAACGAGTTGAATGTTCTTAAAAATTACTTTGCAAAAAGACTTCCCAATCAGCTTCATCTCTACTCCCTTCTGGTAAGAACAGCCAAATGACCAGAAAGGAGTAAATAATATGTGTGTCCATTTTTTTTTACTAATGTGTAATACTTTCATTTTAATACATGTGAGGTACATGTGCATGTTTAATACATGTGCGGTACATGTACAGGTTTGTTACATAGGTAAACCTATGTCATAGGGGTTCATTGTACATATTATTTTATCACCCAGGTATTAAGCCTAGTACCCATTAGTTACTTTTTCTGATCCTCTGCCTCTTCCCACTCTCCACCCTCCAAAAGTCCCCAGTGAGTGTTGTTCTCCTCTATGTGTCCATGTATTCTCAACATTTAGCTCCCACTTATAATTGAGAACATGCAGTATTTGGTTTTCTTTTCCTGTATTAATTTGCTGAGGATAATGACCTCCAGCTCCTACCATGTCCCTGCAAAGGTGTTTTTCCATTATTAACCTTACCACAATATGAGAAAGATCAGCAGTGCCGTCACTTCTGCTTTGACTATCTCCGTCTCCACAACAATCTCCATCACCACTACCCTCACTATCTCCCCTATCATTTATTCATTGATTTAATCATTGTCAAATACTCTCTATTTGCCGAGCAGTGTTCTAAACCACCACCACCAGTATTGCTATCATTGTTTATGGAACCACCATATCATTATTTTATGTGGCATTTACATATGTTTATTTCTGTTTTCATCATCACTTTCCTTTTCATCACTATCAGCATCATTTTCATAAAAGCCTTATGGTCAGTACATGGACTCTGACCTCAACTGAACACAATACATAAGCAGGTACTGGATGGATGTAGAGGCCGTATAAATAACAGATTGAAGCCCTGATCCACTGGAGAAGAATACATTTGCATCACTTGTAGATACAAATATGGTTTGAAATTTAGGAATCAGAGGCAAAAAAGAAAATCACACAGATAATAGCAAAATTAAATTGGATATCAGAACATTCACTGTAAAAGATTTTCACACGGATCACATCAATATAGAGGAAACCATTGAGTCTCTTCATACCAACCTGAAAAATTTCCTGAGAGGGCTGGAATTATTTAAACAGCAGGAAAAGATGATATTTTGTTTGGAGAGTTTCACTTTAGAAAATATTGTAACCTCAAGATTGGAAGACTCTCCTTGAGTAAAAAACTATCCAGGTGCTTGGGTAATTAGAGGTTCTCATTCAGTCTTCTCCTGCCTTAAGCCAAGATTCCACTTCATCAGAAACATGTGACCTTTCTGCAGGATGAATGGTTGCAACTGCCATTTGACAAAATTAGTTTATCTTTCATAGTCTCAAATACTAAAACACCCCCAATTTGCAGCTTTATCTATGGGTTTTATAAGACATATTCTGATACAGACTTCCCCTGTGCTTTGTAGTGTATCACCCTGTCTTGGCAGTAAAACTGATGGCTGCGTGTTCGCCTTCAGAAAGCAATCAGTGTGATACAAATGACTGTTTATAAGAAAATTACACACAAAACAAAATCAATCCAGAAATATGTGCTAAAAATTTAACATTGTATATAATGAGGAATGAGAGGTTTGTAAATTAAAAGTAACATGAAGAGATAAAAGTGGAAGTGTTCCAAATATAGGCCTTGCTTAGCTAAGAAAATTGTTTAATTTCTTCTCATGAGATCTTCTTCCTGTTAAGTGCTCATTTAACATTTATGCTGTATTAGAAATGAAGTTAGAGAAAAGAATGAGGCCTTCTGCCTCTATCAAGAAATTCGTGGTTTAGCAAGAGAGACAACTAAGAGTGCTATAGTGTTCGGTGAAGAAAGGAGAATTTCAAAAGTGTCAACATTTCATAATATGATTGCTAATATTTGAAAAAGCCTACATTATGAGAAATGATTAAAAAGAAATAAGTAAATAATTGCTTTAACTAATTTCATAAGTGATTTTAAATTTTTTCATCTAAATATTCTATATTATGGACAGACTTATGTGTAATACTATTTTCCAAGAAAAAATGTGATTGGAAGGTTAGAAAAGGTGATCTAAAGTACAGCTAAAAAACTGTGAGAAGAGTAAATCTCAGTGATTCTGTTATTTATTCATTAAATACATTTATTGAATACTCTATTTCCCACCCTCATACTAGGGAAAATATGAGATGTCTAACACACAGTTCCTTTCCTTAAAATGCTTAATTTGGAATGGGGGAAACAGACCCCAAGATAGGCATTTATAAAACAGTAGGAACACTTATATAAAAAGACATTCAGTCTAACTCATAATAAGATGAATGCAATTTTAAATTACAATTAAACAACTTTTCTGACTTTTCAGATTGACAAGGTTCCAGAGGTTCAAAAACATACATTGTTGGAGAGGCTGCAAGGAGCAGACCTTTTTATGCATTGCTTATAGGAGTACAAAATAGCATACATTGGGTGAAAAAGCAAAACTTGTGTAAACTACACATTTATTTGTATTATGACCCAGTAATCGTATTTCTAAGAATTTATCCTGCAGATGTGTATACACACATACATGAAATTATGTATATACACAGAGTTGTTCACTGTAGTTCTGCTTTTTGTAATAGAAGACTGGAAGTGACCCAAGAGCACTTCAAAATGGGAGATTTGTTAAATCTCCCGTTTGTGAAACAAACAACGGAAAACCACAGAGATGTTTACCAAAATGAGGAGGCACCTTCTTCAGTGATATGGAAAGAGCTCCAGAGGGCATATAAGAATATTTATATTTGCTTGTTTTTACATAAAGAAAAATGGAAAGACTGTAAGAAAACACTACTAAAAGTTGTTTCCTATTGTGAATATAGAGGCTGGCAAGGGGAAGAAAGGGGCAAATGGTCCTACAAGTTAAAGCAACACTCTTCTCTATATACCTTTTATGGATTATTTTGATTTTTTAATAATGTATATGTATGGTCTTTTTTTTTTTTTTTTTTTTTTTGAGACAGGGTCCAGGTCTGTCTCCCAGGCTGGAATGCAATGGCATGATCTCAGCTCCCTGCAACCTCTTGCTCCTGGGCTCAAACCATCCTCCTATCTCAGCCCCACTGGGACTATAGGCATGTGCTCCATGCCCGGTTGATTTTTATTTTGTTTTTTTGGTAGAGACAGAGTTTCACCATGTTGCCCAGGCTGGTCTCGAATTCCTGGGCTCAAGCAATCCTCCCACCTCAGCCTCCCAAAGTGTTGATATTACAGGTGTGAGTCACCATGCCTAGCCAGATGTACTGTCTATTGAAACAAATACATGAATTTTAAGAATGCATGTCAATACAGTGTTATATTCTGGTTTGCTCAAGAGAGTTTTAGTTAAATGCTTCTTGTCCCGGAATAACTACTAACAGTGCCCTGTTTCATTCTTAAAATTATTGGGGCTTCACTTGGATGATCAACTATATGAACATCCTAGATGATAGAACTTTAACTTTGATGCCTCTGCAGAGTTTGTGATTTTAATATTTGGGTAAGTATACATATATGTATATTATATGTATATGTCTCTCTGTGTGTATATATGTGCACACCTGTGTGTGTGTATGTATATACATATATACACATATATACATACAGTTTCTACCCTTCTAGAGTGTTAAAACTGATGTCAACATAAAAGATAAGGCCAAAGAGTTGGGCCTTAGACAGGGTCTTAGACCTCATCTTACACAGTTTGAGCTGCTGTAACAAACTACCGCAGATTCGGTGGCTTATAAACAACAAAAATTTATTTTCACAGTTCTTGAGGCTTGAAAGTAGAAGATCAAGACATTGGCAGATTCAGTGTCTGTTGAGAGTCTGCTTCTCAGTTCAAAGATGGCTTTCTTCTTGTTATAGCCACATGTGGTAGAAGGGGAGAGGGAACTCTCTAAGGTATCCTTTCTAACGGCACTAATCTCATTCATAAGGGTTCTGCCCTCATGACCTAATCAACTTCCAAAGGCCTCACCTCTTAGTACCCCTTGGGGTTAGGTTTCAACCTATGAATGCTATAGGAACATAAATATTTACTCTATAGCATAACCTAATGTCTTACATTGATGATTATTTCCCACTTCTTTTAACATCATAGAAAAAAAACTAAAGCAATAATATTTGTATGACACACTGAGGTATACAGAAAGGCTGCTTGTTGACAAATGCAAACTGACCAAGGGCTATAATTTTCTCAGGATCCACTTGGTCATTCAAAGGATGAGGGGCAAAGAGATCAGGTGTTTAGCACACCTGATACACCTGATACCTATATTTGTTGGGAAGCTCTGCCCTAAGGAAGATTAGAAGAAGGGACCCTAAAAGTTTGCAGAGAATAAATGATTGTGGAGTGAAAGAGAGGTAAGCCTGGAGCACTGAGATAATCTAAGAAAGGAAGATGACTCCTGGTGTGGTCACAGGAAGGGTGCTTAATCTCTGTCAACCTCATTTAATCCTTAGGAGTCCCTTCATTCATTCATTCATAAATGGATGAATATGCCAGGCAACATGAGGTATATGTTGCCATGAGTTGTTATATAACTACTTAAGTCTCCACGTATATTGTAAGCTTCCCAGGCTCATTGCCCTATACAACCTCAACAATGTCAATTAATGTGAGCCAAGCAATTGCCAGTGATTTTGCTACCACAACCACCTCTTAATAAAAACAGGTTGAGATGACTGCAATGTAGGAAGACAGAAAGGGTAAGAAGAAAAGTAGGGTCCCAAAAGCTATATATTAGGTCCTAGAGTAAATTTTACAAGGGCCCAGAGATATACACAGGATGCTCCAGGGTCACTTTGGTCACTTGGGTCCAAAGTAAATGCCTGATTTGGAGCACTGCCAATTCTACTGATCCACATGAAAAAATGTGAGGTATATGTAAAACTAGGCATGAATTTCCATTGTAGAAATTGATGTGAAAAAAATTCAACTAATGTCTATCTTGTAGATAGTGTTTACTATTTTACATGCTTTACATGTTTATAATAATTATTTAACCCTCACAGGTATTCTCTGGAGAAGATCTTATTGGTGCCCTCAGTTTGCAGATGAAGAAACTAAGAAAAAGGAAGGTTTAAGTGCATTATTCATATCATGCCATTACGAATATGGTAAACATAGGCCGGGCACAGTGGCTCATGCCTGTAATCACAGCACTTTGGGAGGCCGAGGTGGGTAGATCACGAGGTCAGGAGATCGAGACCATCCTGGCTAACATGGTGAAACTCCAGCTCTACTAAAAATACAAAAAAAAATTAGCTGGGTATGGTGGCGGGCACCTAAAGTCCCAGCTACTCAGGAGGCTGAGGCAGGAGAATGGTGTGAACCCAGGAGGTGGATCTTGCAGTGAGAGGAGATGGCACCACTGCACTCCAGCCTGGGTGACAGAGTGAGACACCATCTCAAAAAAAAAAAAAAAGAATATGGTAACCATAATGATTGAAACCAAAGAGCCAAGCATTAAAACCTCTTTTCTATACATCCTGTCTCTGGAATAATAAGACTTTCTATTATTCATGAGCACCTCTTAAGTGTCAGGAGCAGTGTTAATCACTTTGTATGTTTTGTTTCCTTTAAGCCTTAGAGAACTGTGGAGATCATAATATTTTTAAACATAAGGAAAGAGATGGTCAAAGAGAGATAAATTTTTTGCCCAGGCTGGGAGCAGTGACTTACACCTGTAATCCCAGCACTTCAGGAGGCTGAGGCAGGCAGATGCTTAAGTCTACGAGTTCCAGACAGCCTGGGCAACAAAGCAAGACCCTGTCCTTATGAAAAATTTAAAAATTAGCCAAGTGTGGTGGCACATGCCTGCAGTTCCAGCTACTTGGGAGGCTGAGGCAGGAGAATGGCTTGAGCCCAGAAGGGCAAGGCTTCAGTGAGCCGAGATGTGCCCTTGCACTCCAGCCTGGGTGACAGAGCCAGATCCTGTCTCAAAAAACAAAAACAAACAAACAAAATTGTCCAGAATTACATAACCAAAAAGTGGCAACACTTGAATTTGGACCAACACCTTCCCATCTCTGCTCTGGATATTTGGATCTTACCCGTATGGGCCTAGTTCAGATCCTACTTTCTTTAAGAAGCGTTGTAATCATAGGATCAAAACTCCCTAAGATGGAAGGGATGTAAGCAGTCATCCACTGCCAGTGTCTCATTTTGCAGACAAAGAGAACGCGGCTGAGAAAGTCTCACCACAGTCACTCAGTCTGCTGGAGTGAATCTAGGGTTGAATTTATATTTTCTTAGAGCAAGTTCAGTAACATTTTTATATTCATTATGTAAAAATTGGGATAATCCTCTCTTAGAATGAAGAAACAAATTAAAGCTTATAAAGGTATGAAAAGGGTCAAAGAGTACGAAGGTTTTCAGAAAACAGCTTATAGTTGCTGACATAAACCAGAAATATAAGAAGCAAAAATTGGTTATTGATCAAATATATGATAACTTTTAAGAAGCAATTTTATAAAAGGAATTCAAGACTCAACTCCGTGACCTGCCTCTGCCAAGTTCTAGTTTGCCTTAGCTATTTGCCTTAGCTACTAATGAGCTGTGTGTCTTTTGGCAGGTCACGTTACCTCCTTGGCCCTCAATTCACTCATCAGAAAAATGAGAACGTTGAACTAAATCATCTCAGAAGAGAAACTGCTGGGAGAGCCAGGGGAGAAAAGAGGGCATAGGAAATAGCCAGAGCTTCAATTCCCCATTTATGCTATTTTAGTTTGTTTTCTGTGTTGTATTTACCTGCTTTATATATTAATTTTCTAGTGCTGCTTTTTGGCTTGTTCAAAAATATGGGATCAGATTATTTCCAGGGTGTTGTCTTTGATCTCTCTGCAAAACTGAGTGTGCTCCTTGCTAGTGCTGTACAGCAATTGTTGAAGTAATGAGAAGGAAGAGAGAACACCCATGGTTCCAGGAGACATGCCTACCTGTGGAAGGCATAGGCATGGGTGTAATCTGAAAAGGAAAATACAGTCTAGTGCCCCCAAGGAAAGAGGCAGCAACACTAGGACCTCAGGCACCTGGGCTGAGGCCCAGAAGCAAAGGCTGGATAATGGCATAACTTAAAAACTCCTTCTAATGCTGAGGGGCAGAGAATGGGGGAAACTGGGGCAGGTTCTGAGACCCTTGTTATATTAAAGAGTGTTTTGTTTCTGCTATAACTCAGACCTTAGATATTTCAGGAGACTAAGGATGCGTCCTTTAATAGATCCAGGTGTCTCAGGTCAGTGAAAGTAAAACCAGAGTGATGATGAAACTTTAACATTTTCTGAATCTATTATCTTTAATTGGGTCTTCCATTTATTTATATACCCCCTAGATACTTTCCTCTTTATCCACTCTGGACTATTACTAAATACCAAACCATCTCCCTACTTTCTTTATATTTCTTTGTCCAGAATGTCCTCCTTCTACACCACTCACCTATGCATGAACACCAGACTCATGATTTCTTTTCTGTCATACTGGACTAGACACATAGCCTTTCTGAGCCTCAGTTTCCTTTATACATTTATATAGCCACCTTAGTGGTCACTCAATAGTTTTACTGGTATTCTACTAACGTTGGCAGTGGTCAACAAATAGGTATTAAATTAACTTGCTGAGGGTTGGTCTGAATGGGATTTAAAAAAGGGTCAATTTTCAGTGTCACTTCACCTGATCTTAATGAGAAGGGTTAGAAATCCCCCTATTGATGTAGTCAGTCTCTGTTCTGAATAAGCCAGGAACAGAGTAAGCTCATGCTCAAGAAGTAGGAGCTTGCTTGAGTGGGGAGGCACTCTAAAATATGAAAGAGCTTGATGAGCTCTGAAAAGCTGTAGCAATGTGTAGAGTCTGTACAAATTCTGTACATGGAGAGGAGAGATCAGAAGGCATGGGTACCTCTGCTCAGAGGCCCAACAATATGCAATGCGCCTGGGAATCTTTGAGCAATGTGTACAAAACAGGTCTTAAACATTTCCTTATCAGTTTGATCTGAGGCAGTTGCATTGAACTTCCCTATCCTTACCCAGTCTAGATTTTTTGCTTCCTCTTCCCTTTAGCCAAACAGTGGAGCCTTGGACCCATTGCTGAACTACCACTGTTATACATGGCCTATTTGGAGGACATGGGTACCTCAGTATCTCATAAAGAACATGAGAGCTAGACTTATCCAATGAGGCAAATCCTCCCACAAAACTTTTCTCCTAAGCAACTCAGGGGAATAGAACAAAGTGCTAACAAGTTTTGCTAAGGAGAAGGAAAACAAGCTGCTTAATTGAGCTGGGGAAGCTGGGGGAGAAGCAAGGGAACAGTTCCCAGGAGGGAGCTGGTGCCAGCTCAATGATTCACAGCCACAACTTCTGTAATTATCAACATTTTCTCTTCAGAGACCACCCCCTCCATGAGTTGTGGAGCAGGGAGCTTTGGGGAGGCTCCAGTTTTCTCCTCTTTCTCGCTCAATTAATGCTAATTGGGAACATGGGAATGTAGATCAGGATGTCAAAGAAATAGCTCTAAAATACAGTCCAGCTAGGAGTCCCTTCCCCAGGCCTGATTAGGAGGCTTTGCCTGAACCACACAGAAGGGCATCATTTCCTACATTCACAGGAGTCACTGTGGAGATGTAGATTGGAAGTCAGGAGGCCTGACTTTTAATCCAGGCTCTGCTACTAACCAGCTCTTGCACAAAGTGGGTCACACACATTCCTTGACCTTCATACATTTTAAAGTTTTTTTTGAACTATGATAAATGATGTTTTTCATTTTGATACCAGGGTAAAAGCATCAAGAGAAGCAGGTCAAGTTAGTTGCTTGACTCCTTCTTTAAAGGAAAACAAAACAATCCCACACACAAAAAGAGGAATGTATACCACGGGAGTTCCAAAAAAAGGTGTTGCCATACTTGTTTGTTCTTTCAGAGCATTTTTTAAAGTGTCATTTCCTTTTTAGGAAAAAAAAGCAGTCAGCTTATCTGCCTGTCTGCACATCTCAGCTTATCTGCACACCCATCCACATATACATAGTACTGTTTCTCATGACTCACTCTCAGACACTACTAAAAGACAAAACCACAAGCACAATTTTCAGTGTTGTTTATAATAGAACATACAGTCAAAAAACTTTGCGCCGAGTTCAGCTCGGTCAGGGAGACCCTAACCCAGCAGCACTAGAGGAATTAAAGACACACACACAGAAATATAGAGTGTGGAATGGGAAATCAGGGGTCTCACAGCCTTCAGAGCTGACAGCCATGAACAGAGATTTACCCACATATTTATTGACAGCAAGCCAGTCATAAGATTTGCTAAAAATATTCCTTATGGGAAATAAAGGGATTGGCTGAAATAAAGGGATGGGCTCTGGCTAGTTATCTGTAGCATGAACATGTCCTTAAGGCACAGATCACTCATGCTATTGTTTGTGGCTTAAGAACTCCTTAAGCAGTTTTCCTCCCTGGGTGGAACAGGTGTTCCTTGCCCTCATTCCGGTAAACCAACAACCTTCCAGCGTGGGCGTCAAGGCCATCATGAGCATGTCACAGTGCTGCAGAGATTTTGTTTATGGCCAGTTTGGGGGCCAGTTTATGGCCAGATTTTGGGGACTATTCCCAACAACTTTGAGTTTTAATTCCAATTCCATAAATCATCATTGTAAATTGTAGGGCAATGTAGCTAACCCTTTTTTGCCTCATTTGCAAAACTGAAAATAATACTTAATTGTAAGGTTGTTGGAAGAATTAAGTAAGATAATTTAAGTTGGCATATAGTAGGTGCGTAAGAAATAAAATCCAAATTTGTTGATTCCTATTATTGTTAGCATCATAGTTACACATATCATGCCTAATAGAACACAAAGACATGACTCCTAAATCCATAAGTATATCATTCCATTAAGAAGTTCAACAAAGGGCTAAAATCCCAAACAGTTTTTATTTGTGTGGAGTAAGAGTGCCCCTTCAGAAGTCCTGCAATTACTTATAGACCAAACTGCTTAAAAGTGGACAAAGCCACTTCTGAAACTTCCCTAGAGTCAATTCTCTTTGAGGATATAAACTTCATTTCCAACAAGGGCAAGGAGACCTCGGTGCTGTTTTGGCCATGGCCTGGAAAAAAAACCCAGCTAGAGATAATAAAATGTTTCAACGTATGCATACCAGCCTTCAGAAGTTATTGGGAAGAATCAGGGGATATGAAAAAGAACTGTGATTAAAGTCTGGCATAGAGAAGAAGTTCAATGAATACAAGTTCCTGTCTACTTTTAGCAGTAGCCAGACTACTAAAATCCTATCACAGGGCGATCACTTTTGATCTCACTAACAGGGCTGCTTACAAGCTCTAGTCTTCCTGGATGTTTTATGGCAAAGAAATCTTGTTATCTTTAAATTCCAAAACATCTTCTTTTTTGTTTAATATACTTTGTTTTTCAGAGCAGTTTTAGATTTACAGCAAAATTGAATGGAAATTACAGTTTCTATATGCCCCTCACCCCACACATGCACTACCTCCCTCATCATCAACATACCCCACCAGAGGGGTACATTTGTTACAATCAATGAACATGTGTCCAATACTGACACACTTTTACTACCCAGTCTGCAATTTATATTAAGGTTCACTCTTGCTATCACACATTCAATACATTTACACAAATGAAAAATGACATGTATCCACCATTATAGTATCATATAGAGTAGTTTCGCTGCCCTAAAAAATACTGTTCTCTATTAACTCCTTTTCTTCTCACAACCCCATGGCAACCACTGATTTTATTCTTTCTATACTTTTGTCATTTTAGAATTATACAGTAAGTATCCTTTTCAGATTAGCTTCTTTCATTTAATAAGGTTTCTCCATATCTTCTTATGGCTTAATGTCTCATTTCTTCTAGGGTTGAATAGTATTCCACTGTCTGGATATACCACAGTTTATTGATCCACTCACCTGCTGAAGGACATTTAATTGCTTCTGAGTGTTGGCAATTATGAGTAAAGAGGCTATAATCATGTCTGAAGGCTTCTTGTGTGGACATAAGTTTTCAACTCCTTTGGGTAAATACCACAGAGAACAAGTACTGGAATGTATGAGTATTTTTAGTTTTCTAAGAAACTGTCAAACTGTCTTCCAAACTGGCTGTACCATTTTGCAATTCCACCAGCAATTGATAAGAGTTCCGTTACTCCACATCATCACCAGCATTTGGTATTGTCAGCATTTTGGATTTTAGCTACTCTAATAAATGTGTAGTGGTATCTCATTATTCTTCATTTGCAATTCCCTGTGAATATATGATGTTGAGCATCTTTTCATATGCTTATTTGTCATTTTATTGTAGATGTACTTTATCAGGTTGATGAAGATCCCCTCTATTAAGGCAACTTCTTTGAAGTCAGGTAATTTGATGCTTCCAGCTTTATTCTTTTTGATTAAGTTTACCTTGGCTATTTGGGCTCTTTTTTGGTTCCATATGAATTCTAAAATAGTTTTTCTAGTTCTGTGAAGAGTGTCATAGGTCATTTGATAGGAATAATATTGAATTTGTAACTTGCTTTAGGCAGTATTGCAATTTTAATGTATTGATTATTTCTATCCATGAGCATGAAATGTTTTTCCATGTGTTTGTGTCATCTCTGATTTATTTGAGTAGTGCTTTGTAATTCATATTGTAGGGATCTTTCACTTCCCTGGTTCACTGTATTTCTAGGTATTTTATTCTTTTTGTGACAATTGTGAATGAGGTTGTGTTCTTGATTTGGCTCTCACCTTGGTTGTTGTTGGTATACAGGTATGCTACTGATTTTCCTACATTGAGTTTGTATACTGAAATTTTTCTGAAGTTGCTTATCAGATTGAGGAGCTTATAGGCAAAGACAAAGACTGTGTGGTTCTCTACGTATACAATCATGCTTTCTGCAAACAGAGATAGTTTGACTTACCCTCTTCCTATTTGGATGCCCTTTATTAGTTTCTCTTGCCCGATTGTTCTGGCCAGGACTTCTAGGACTACGTCAAATAGGAGTGGTGAGAGAGGGCATTCTTTTCTTGTTTTGGTTTTCAAAGGGAATGCTTCCAGCCTTTGTCCATTTGGTATAATGTTGGCTGTGGGTTTCTCATAGAAGGCTCTTTTTATGTTGAGGTATGTTCCTTCAATGCCTAGTTTGTTGAGGACTCTTAATATGAACAGATGCTGAATTTTATCAAAAACTCTTTCTTCATCTATTGAGATAATCATGTGGGCTTTGTTTTTAGCTGTTTTTATGTGATGAATCATATTTATTGATTTGGGTATGTTGAACCAACCTTGCATCCCAGGGATAAATCACACTTGGTCATGGTGGACTAGTGTTTTGATTTGATGCTGGATTTAATTTGCTAGTATTTTGGTGAGGATTTTTGCATCTATGTTCATTAAGAATATTGGCCTGAATATTTCTTTTTTGTTGCATCTCTGCCAGGTTTTAGTATCAGGATGATTCTGGCCTCACAGAATGAGTTGGGGCAGAGTCCTTCCTCCTCAATTTTTTTGAAATAATTTCAATAGAAATGGTACCAACTCTTCTTTATATATCTGGCAGAATTGAGCTGTAAATCTGTCTGGTCTGAGGCTTTTTTTGCTTGGTAGGCTTTTTATTACTGATTCAATTTCAGAACTCATTATTGGTCTGTTCAGGGATTCGATTTCTTCCTGGTTAAATTTTGGGAGGTTGTATGTGTCCAGGAATTTACCTATTTCTTCTAGGTTTTCTAGTTTGTGTGCATAAGGCTGTTCATAGTAGTCTCTAAGGATTTTTTATATTTTTGTGGGCTATTGATTATGGCACCTTTGGCATTTCTGATTGTGCTTATTTGGATCGTCTCTCTCTTTTTTTCTTTATTGATCTAGCTAGCAATCTATCTACATTATTTATTTCAAAAAAAAAACAGCTCTTGGATTCATTGATCTTTCATATGGTTTTTTGTGTATCAGTTTCCTTTAATCCAGCTCTGATTTTGGTTATTTCTTGTTTTCTACTAGCGTTCAGTTTGGTTTGTTCTTGTTTCTCTAGTTCCTTTAGTTTTGATATTAAGTTGTTATTCTGAGATGTTTTGACTTTTGATGAGGGCATTTAGTGCTATAAACTTCCCTTTTAACAGTGCCTTAGCTTTGTCCCAGAGATTCTGATATGTTTTATCTTTGTTCCAATTCATTTTAAGGAATTTCTCAATTTCTACCTTAATTTCACTATTTATCCAAAGGTCAATCAGGAGCAAGTTGCTTAACTTCCATGTAATTGTATGACTTTCAGAAATTTTCTTGGTATTGATTTTTTTTTAATTGTGTTATGGTCCAAGAGTGTGGTTGATATGTGATATGGTTTGGCTGTGTCCCTACCCAAATTTCATCTTGAATTCCCATGTGTTGTGGGAACTGGTACAAGGTAATTGAATCATGGGGTCTTGTCTTTCCCGTGCTGTTCTCATGATAATGAGTAAGTATCATGAGATCTGATGGTTTTATAAGGGGGAGTTTCTCTGCACAAGCTCTCTTTTTGCCTGCTACCATCCATGTAAGATGTGACTTGCTCCTCCTAGCCTTCCACCGTGATTGTGAGGCCTCCCCAGCCACGTGGAACTGTAAGTCCAATAAACCTTTTTTTCTGTATAAATTACCCAGTCTTGGGTATGTCTTTATTAGCAGCATGAAAACGGGCTAATACAATATGATTTTGGTTTCTTTGAATTTGCTGAGGATTGTTTCATGTTCAGTTGTGCGTTTGATTTTAGAGTATGTGCCATGTGGTGATGAAAAGAACTCTGTTGTTTTTGGGTGGAAAGTTATGTAGATTTTCTTCTAGGCCCATTTGAATAACCAAAACAGCATGGTACTGGTATTAAAACAGACACACAGGCCAATGGAATGTAACAAACAGCTAAAAATAATCCCACATACCTACAACCATCTGATCTTAAACAAAACTGACAAAAACAAGCAATGGGGAAAGGACCCTCTGTTCAATAAATGGTACTGAGGTAACTGGCTATCTATCTGCAGAAGATTGAAACTGGACCCCTTCCTTACCCCATATACAAAAATCAGTTCAAGATTAATTAAAGAGTTAGATGTAAAACCTAAAACTATAAAATCCCCAGCATATAACCTAAGAAATACCATTTTGGACATAGGACCTGAAAAAGATTTTATGACAAAGGTGCCAAAAGCAATCTCAACAAAACCAAAAATTGACAAATGAAACCTAGTTAAAGTAAAGAGTTTCTGCACAGCAAAAGAAACTGTCAACAGAGTAAACAGACAACCTACAGAATGCGAGAAAATATTTCAAAACTATGCATCTAACAAAGGTCTAATATCCAAAGTCTGTAAGAAACTTAAACAAATTTATAAGCAAAAACCAAACAACTCCATTAAAAAGTGAGCAAAGGGCCAGGCGCAGTGGCTCACGCCTGTAATCCCAGCACTTTGGGAGCCTGAGGTGGGTGGATCACGAGGCCAGGAGATCGAGACCATCCTGGCTAACACAGTGAAACCCCATATCTACTAACAATACAAAAAATTAGCCAGGCATGGTGGTGGGCGCCTGTAGTCCCAGCTACTCGGGAGGCTGAGGCAGGAGAATGGTGTGAACCCAGGAGGCAGAGCTTGCAGTGAGCCAAGATTGTGCCACTGCACTCCAGCCTGGGCAACAGAGTGAGATTCCATCTCAAAAAAAAAAAAAGTGAGCAAAAGACATGAATAGACACTTTTCAGAAGAAGATATACATGGGACCAACAAGCATATGAAAAAAAAATTCTCAACATCACTAATAATTAGAGAAATGCAAGTCAAAACAACAGTGAGAAACCATCTCGTACCAGTCAGAATGGCTATTTTTAAAAAGTCAAAAAATAACAGATGCTGGCAAGGTTACAGAGAAAAGGGAATGCTTATACATGGCTGGTAGTAGTGTAAATTAGTTCAGTCATTGTGAAAAGTACTGTGACAATTCCTCCAAGAACTTAAAACAGAATTACCATTTGACCCAGCAATCCCATTATTGGGTACATACCCAAAGGAATATACATCCCTCTACCATAAAGGCATGCATTCATATGTTCATCGCAGCACTATTCACAAAAGAGCAAAAGCATGGAATCAACCTAAACATTCATCAATGGTAGACTGGGTAGAGAAAATGTTGTACACATACACCATAGAATACTACACAGCCATAAAAAGAATAATATGTGTTGTGCAGCATTATGGCCTCAATAACTAGAGGCCATTATTCTAAGCAAACTGACACAGGAAAAGAAACCAAATACCACCACTTGTAAGTGGGAGCCAAACAATGAGAAGACATGGACCCAAAGAGGGGAACAACAGATACCAGAACCTACTTGAGGGTGAAGGTTGGGAGAAAGGAGAATATTAAAAAAAAAAAACCTATTACATATCATGCTAATTACCTAGGTGATGAAATAATCTGCACATCAAATCCCCAGGACACAGAGTTTACCTATATAACAAACATGTACACATACCCCTGAACCTAAAATAAACATTTTTTTAAAAACATACTTTTTATTAACAGAAATTAATATGATTAAAGATGGAAACTTTAAAAGAAATGACTATATTTTATTTGGTTTGATAATTAAGAAAAGAGAGAAATAAAAATGAAAGCTCGATTTTAATTATTCAATTTAGGTGAATTTTCTGCATGCTCGATTGTATTTAGTTTAGTTCAACCAACATTTATTGATCATCTTAATTTATGTCAGGAAATTGATGACACAAAGAAGATAAATAATTAATGATGACTCTAGTCACTGATGTTTCAATACAGAGGGGGTACACAAACAAGTGAAAAGAAAATTTTAATGAAATGCAGTAAATGCTAAGACATAGGAACGTGTAGAGTATTACAGAGGCACCCAAAGGTGACCTGTGATAGGTATGGATAGTTTCCAAAGGAAGAGTGAGCTTTAATATAATCATTTGAAGAAAATGTGGACAGCAGAGTAGAAAATGTATGAGGGGAATTTCAGGATGAGAGAAGATGATTAAATCTATTAAGTCATGAAATAACAATATGTGTGAAATAACATTATGTGTTAGAGATATGGAGAAATTAAACTGTCAGTTGGTATAGTAGGACAAGCAGAGAAAAGACAGAGACTAGCAAGAAATGAGGCTAGAGAAATAAAGATATACCAGGTTATGAAGGTCCTTGAGTACCAAACAAAGAATCACTTTATCCAATGAGCAATGCATGTAATGCTGGAGAATTTAAAGAAGTGAAATTAAGTGATCAATGAGCTAGTTAGAATAGTTTCAGCCTCAGGCAACATAAATTCTTAAGTTAAATGATTTAAAAAGTAGGAAATTTACAAGAAGATTTTTTGTTTGGGGAGAGAAGAGGGATGCTAGTTAATTCATTGATTCAATAATATCTTCCATGAAACATTTCTTCCACTGCACTCAATTCAATTGCCTCAGCTCATTCCAAATGAAAACACAAGGATAGTTGGAACAAATAACAAGCTATTTCTTCTAGCTCATGTCCTTTGCCTAGCAAAGAAAATTTTTTTTAGATATTTTCCTACTGCAGGCTTCTATTTAGACACCAGTGGCTAAAACTGGGTCACATGTCTATTTTTAATCAACTGCTTAAAAAGGACTTAGTCTCCCTGATTGACTTAAGTAAATAATCATCCATTTCCTGGAGCTGAAAAACACCAGCATTCCACAAATATTTTGATAACTAATACTTGAGATGGAAGGGAGCATTGTGTGAGCAAAATATAAACAGACAATCACAGAATATGCTATCATCTATTTTTTGCAATATACTTCTTGAAATGCTGCAGGGTAGATTTTAGAACTTCAGGCTGGAAGAAAGGAGGTGAGTTAGAACAGTAATGATCCTAGCAAGAGATAGTGAGAACTTGAACCAGAAAAGTGGGAAATAAATATTTGGGAAATATTTATGAGATAAAATCATTATTTGAGTCAGCAGTTTGTGCGTTGTCTGGTGGAGAACCAACAGAGGGTATCGCTACAAAAGTTAGTTTCTAAAAAAGGGCATGTATTAGTCCATCTTCATCCTGCTGATAAAGGCATACCTGAGACTGGGCCTTTTACCAAAAACAAGAAGTTTATTGGACTTACAATTCCACATGGCTGGGGTGGCCTCACAATCACAGCAGAAGGTAAGGAAGCGCAAGTCACATCTTACATGGATGGCAGCAGGCAAAGAGAGAGCTTATGCAGGGCAACTCCCATTTTTTAAAAACCGTCAGATCTTGTGAGATCTATTTACTATTATGAGAACAGCATGGGAAAGACCTACCCCTATAATTCATTCTTCTCCCACTGGGTCCCTCCCTCAACATGTGGGAATTGTGGGAGCTACAAGATGAGATTTGGGTGGGGACACAGAGCCAAACCATATCATTCTACCCCTGGCCCCTCCCAAATCTCATATCTTCACATTTCAAAACCCATCATGCCTTCCCAACAGTCCCCCAAAGTCATTAACTCAAAAGTCCATAGTGCAAAGTCTCATCCAAGACAAGGCAAGTCCCTTCCACCTATGAGCCTGTAAAATCAAAAGCAAGTTAGTTACTTCCTATATACAATGGGGATACAGGCACTGGGAAAATACAGCCATCTCAAGTGGGAGAAATTGGCCAAAACAAAGGAGCTACAGGCCCCATGCAAGTCCAAAATCCAGTGGGGCAGTCAAATCTTAAAGCTTCAAAATGATCTCCTTTGACTCTCTCTCACATCCAGGTCATATTGATGCAAGAGGTAGGTTCCCATAGTCTTGGGCAGCTCCACCCCTGTGGTTTTGCAGGGAACAGCCTCCCTCCTGACTGCCTTCACAGGCTGGCATTGAGTGTCTGTGGCTTTTCCAGTTGCATGGTGCAAGCTATCAGTGTATGTACCATTGTGGGGTCTGGAGGATGATGGCCCTCTTCTCATAACTCCATTATGTGGTGCCCTGGCAGGGACTCTGTGTAGGGTCTCCAGCCCCACGTTTCCCTTCTGCACTGCCCTAGCAGAGGTTCTCCATTAGGACTCCGCCTCTACAGCAAACTTCTGCCTGGGCATCCAGTAGTTTCCATACATCTTCTGAAATCTAGGCAGAGGTTCCCAAACCTCAATTCTTGACTTCTCTGCACTCTCAGGCTCAACAGCATGTGGAAGCTGCCAAGGCTTGAGGTTTGCACTCTCTGAAGCCATGGTGCAAGCTCTACAGTAGCCCCCTTCAGCCACTGCTGAAGTGGCTGGGATGTAGGGCACTAAGTCACTAGGCTGCACACAGCACAGGGACCCTGGGCCTGGCCCGTGAAACCACTTTTTCCTCTTACACCTCCAGGCCTGTGATGGGACTGGCTGCTATACACGTCCCTGACACGCCCTGGAGATATTTTCCCCATTGTCTTCATGATTAACATTTAGCTCCTCCTTACTTATGCAAATTTCTGCAGCTGGCATGAATTTCTCCTCAGAAAATGGGATTTTCTTTTCTATTGCATTATTAGGCTGCAAATTTTCCAAATTTTTATGCTCTGTTTCCCTTTTAAAACTGAATGCCTTTAACAGCACTCAAGTCACATCTTGAATGCTTTCCTGCTTAGAAATTTCTTCCATCAGATACCCTAAATCATCTCTCTCAAACTCTAAGACACACATCTCTAGGTCAGGGGCAAAATGCTGCCAGTCTCCTTGCCAAAACATAACAAGAGTCACCTTTGCTCCAGTTCCCAACAAGTCCCTCATCTCCATCTGAGACCACCACAGCCTGGATCTTATTGTTTCTGTCACTATCAGCATTTTTGTCAAAGCCATTCAACAAGTCTCTAGGAAGTTCCAAACATTCCCACATTTTCTTGTCTTCTTCTGAGCCTTCCAAACTGTTACCTGCTACCTGTTACCCAGTTTTAAAGTTGCTTCCACATTTTCTGGTATCTTTTCAGCAATGCCCTACTCCTGGTACCAATTTACTTTATTAGTCTGTTTTCATGCTGTTGATAAAGACATACCCAAGACTGGGCATTTTACAAAAGAAAGAATCTTATTGGACTTAATGTTCCACATGGCTGGGGAAGCCTCACAATCATGGTGGAAGGCAAGGAGGAGCAAGTCACATCTTACGTAGATGGCAGCAGGCAAAGAGAGAGCTTGCTCAGGGCAACTCCCATTTTTTAAAAACTATTTTAAAACGATCAGATCTCATGAGACCCATTTACTATCATGAGAACAGCATGGGAAAGATCTGCCCCCATAATTCATTCATCTTCCACCAGGTCCCTTCCACAACACGTGGGAATTATGGGAGCTACAAGATGGGATTTGGGTGGGAACACAGAGCCAAACCATATCAGGGCAGAAAGCTGTCCTGAAACATGGTAACTCCTGTCGTGAGCTCTTTTGGTTCCCAAACACTGAAGTGGGGCACCTGATAAGGTTTCCTTGTGTTCCTCTTTACCCTTTACCTTAAGACCTGCTCGAAGCATCAGCATAAGAGAGAAACTGAAACAATGAACACCCACATGTGTTAGTGGCTGTCATTCTAGATCCTCTTGGTTTTTTCTGATTTACCCTGCTTTAGTGGGGTTTAGACAGTTTCCAAATCCAAACTTTAACTCTCTCTATGCTGCTGGTTTGGATTAAGACAATCAGCTTTATTCTTCTCTGTAGATGGCCTTGGATCATTTTCCCCTATTAGCTGTTTTGGGATCCTTTTCCAGTCATGACCACATTTTGCTTACAGATCAGCTAGTTGGTAACCACAGCACTGTCTGCTAACTGATACCATTCATTTGACAATTCAGAGTTATGATACTTTGTAGTGCACCCACTGTTCTTCACAGGAAAAAAAAATTGCAGTACAAAGGGTTTATCAGGCCCCCTATCATTCCAGAGTTTCAGTGCTGTTCCAGAATGTTCAAGGTTTCAGTCATGATATGAACCAACTATCCATAAATAATGCAAAAAGCATGAGTAATCATGAATTTAATAATCAAGGTAAGGCAGCTCAGTTATTATACTCAAGAGAGCAACTAGTATGAAACTCTTTCAAATTATTTGAATAAGGATTTACATATTCATAATGACTTTCTGCCTCTGTCAAGCTCCAGGTGTATCAGTTATTAATAACTGGGTGAATATGTAGGTACTATTTAAACAAAAACAATTTCACAGTAGACCCACCCCTATCCAAGAGATGAAGTCAAGTTCTGGTAGCAATAGACATCTCTACCAAGATCTCCTGCTCCTGCCACTCTGTGAACAGGAAAGGAGGGAGAAACTTTGGTGTTTTGCCTTTCCCAATTTATATTAAGATCCTTATTCAAGCGGCTACCGGTTTCTAATGACCTATATGTAAGTTAGCTTTATAAGAAAGTTCTGAGTTTGAAACTCCTTTCAGCAAGTATTTGTAAGTCAAAAAAGCGAAGAAGAGGCACCATTTACTGTCATTTCTCCTTGTGACTGAGATTACTTACTACAAAGAGGAACTGACCACTTTCTCTGACATCTGAAATAGAAAGCTACAAAGGCTGATAGGCGTGGCTTCAAAATTGTTTCATGATTACATAACTTCTTTCTAGTTAGGAATTAGGACAGTGTAAGAAGGCCATCTACAATCAAGATTGAGAGTGGCTCTAACAAGTGCCATTTTTCCTTGTTAGCTTTCATTTCTCAGCCCTTTACAAGATTAAAATAGTCTGCAGTTTAATCTCTCCAAAGCTTTACGGACAGTGATTCTGTCCTAAACAAGACAGTGACTCCAGGATTTCTGAAGACTATTGTGGAAGAAGCATCCATTAAGGTGAGATTTCTGGGAAGTTCTTTAGAGAAAGATCTAGGTATCTAGTTGGTAACCACACCATCTCAGTAGAGAATAATTGCCTGAGACCAGAAGTGTTGTTATCAATCATATTCAGAAAACTGAGAACTGAATGCTTTAACTGTCTAGGTAGCAAATGGATATCTTTTATTCTACCACAATTGGGGTATGAACCAAAAAAATGTATTTTGTCTACAGCAGGTTTTAAAAATTAATTCTTGGGTGTCTTTTGGCATAAATTGATATTTAGAGGAGATACTTGGTTTTCTTGGCTGGAGGATGACTTGGTGACTGGGTTTGGGCCTAAGTTAAAAGACAAGACAGTCAGATAAGAAAATTATTATGAAGTAATATTTAGTAAAAAATAAACCAGGATATAAATCTCTATTATATGATTTTATCTCTATTTTAAAAAGCATAGACATGTGCACACATTAATTTCTCAATTTTACAAGCATTTACTCAAAAATAATCTTTACATTTTCATGAATCAGTTTCATTTTATGCTTCATTTTACAACAAGTGTAAGAAGAAATAATTCTCTTTTTCAAATGGTCTATGCTTTACTCAGTCATAGATAACATTTTTTGTGGCAAGGTATAATGAAAAGACAGGGAGAATCAATTATATATTTCCTACTTTGGGATACATTTTGACTTTTTTATGGCTTTGTACATATGAATGTTTTCTAATTACTCCATGAGTACTTGAGAAGAGTTTATAAACGTTGGATTCCAAATTCTATTTAAGTAAGATAAAGTTTCTTAAGTAAGCTTGTTAATTATGTTTGAAAAATCTAAATCTAAATCTAAGCTATTTTTTACCTTGTTCTTTCAGTAACTGAGAGATGTGGTGAAATCTCCAACTCTAATAGTGATTTTGTTAATTTCTCATTGTAGTTCTTTTGATTTCTACCATATATTTTTACATAGAATATGTATATCTAAGTATATATGTTATGTGTGTGTTTAGAGAGAAGAAAAAACTTCTATATGCTACTTTATAAAGTAATAACAGATTATATTTATAATATAATTTAAATTATTATATCTTTTTCCAAGTTGCATACTTTACCATTATGTAGTGAAACTATGTACTGATACTTATTGACTTAAGCCTATTTTAAGCTACACTATTTTTCCTAAAAAGTCTTTCTTTAAGTTAGAGTTTGAAGAATATAACTTTTCCAGCTCTTTCTCAAACTTAAGTGAACTTATGCTTTATTTGTACTTTGTCAACAACATATGACTGGATTTATTTTTAATCCAAATTGAAAATTTTTCCTCCTAGTTGATGAGTTTAGTCCAGATATGCAAATTCTATAAAGGTATATATTTTAACTTGGTTTTGCCATCTTACTTTGTTTCAATTTATAGCACTTATTCTGTGCTTTCTTCTTCTCCTTTCTTGTCAAGTTTCTTATTTTTAAAAAATCTATATTCTCCTTAAAGACAAGCCCCTTAGCAAACTCTCACATCTTCTGGTCCCCCAAACATACAACTTCACCTGTTAAGAGTATGTTCATATAGTTCCTGTTTTCTTTTATTTGACTCTGGCTTTACTTATTTTTAAGATAGTAAAAACACTAATTAAAGTATTTGCTTGATCTTTCTTCCCTTTTGGCCTCCAACATTTCTTAGATTTATTTCTTTTCATAATGAGTAGTTCTTCACAAAGAGCTGTGGGTATGGATATTTTCACTGCCAAGCTTCTGAAAGCTTTGAATATAATAATTGTTTTCTTTTAATTGTGTTAAGAAACATGTAACATAAAATGTGTCATCTTAATCAGCTTCAAGTGTACAGTTCAGTAGTATTAAATACATTCATATTGTTGTGCAACCAACCTCCAGAACGCCTTTGCATCTTGCAAAACTAAAACTCTAACCGTTAACCAACAATTTCACCATTCCCCTTTCCTCCAGAGCTTGGCAAACATCATTCTACCTTCTTTCCCCATAAATTTAAAAACTCTAACTCTTCATATATGTTTAATCATACAGTAAGCGTGTGCTTTTTGTGACTGGCTTTTTTCATTTCATGTTCTCAAAGTTCATTCATGTTGTATTGTATCATGTGTCAGAATATTCTTTCTTCCTAGGGTAGAATAATATTCCATTTCATGTATTTACCATAAAATACGTAAGAAACCATATTTCTTTTTATTCATTCATCCATTGAAGGACACTTGTAATACTTTCACATTTTTCTGTTGTGATTAATGCTGCAATGAACATATATGTACATGCATTTATTTGAGATCACACTTTCACTTATTTTGGGAATATATCTAGAAGTGAAATTACTGAATCATATGGTAATGTTATTTTTAATTTTAAGAGTAAGAATCATATTTTTTTCATAGCATCTGAACCATTTTACATTCCTACCAATGATGTACAAGGTTTCCCTTTTTTACTCATCCTCACCAACACTGGTTATTTTCTGTAGTTATTTTTTTGACAGTACCAAAAAACATCATCCTAGGAGCTCCGATGTTTTGTGCATGTATGTTTTTAATTGTTATATCTCATTGTGGTTTTTATGGGTTTGATTTGTATTTTTCTAAAGATTATTGCCGTTGAGCATACTCATATGTGCTTATTGGCCATTTGTATAGCACCTTTGAAGAAATGTCTATTCAAGTCCTTTATCAATTTTTTTTTTTTTTTTTTTGAGACGGAGTTTCGCCCTGTCGCCCAGGCTGGAGTGCAGTGGCGCGATCTCGACTCACTGCAAGCTCCGCCTCCCGGGTTCACGCCATTCTCCTGCCTCAGCCTCCCATGTAGCTGGGACTACAGACACGCGCCACCATGCCCGGCTAATTTTTGTATTTTTAGTAGAGAAGGGGTTTCACCGTGTTTATCAATTTTTATCACACTGTTTGGATTCTGTTGTTGTTGGAGTTGATTTGTAGGAGTTGGCTGTATATTCTGGATATAAAGCACTCATCAAATATATAAAGTGTGAATATTTTCTCTCATTCTCTAGGTTCCCTTTTTTACTCTGTTAATTGTGTCTTTGATGTATATAAAAATTAAATGTTGTTGTAGTCTAATTTATCTATTTTATTGTTGTTGTTGTTGCCTGTGCCATCGGTGTCATGTCCAAGAAACCCATTGCCAAATCCAATGTCATGGAGCCTTTCCCTTTTGTTTTATTCTGAGAGTTTCATAGTTTTAATTCCTACATTTAGATATTTGATATACTTTGAGTTACATTTTGTATATGATGTAGGTAAGGGTTCAACTTTTTGTATACAGATGTCACAATTGCCCAACAGCATTTTTGAAAAGACTGTTCTTTCTCATTAAACAGCCTTGACGTCCATGTCAAAAATCAATAAGCCATATTTCTCAGGGTTTATTTCTATGCTATCTATCATATTCCATTGTTCTTTATGTCTGTCTTTATGCCAATACCACACTGTTTTGATTATTGTGTCTTTATAACAAGTTTTGAAAGCAGGAAGTCTGAAACCTCCATGTTCTTGTTTTCAAGATTAAAAAAGGCTATTTAAAGTACCTTTAAATTCTACATGAATTTTAAGACAAATTTTTGTGTTCGTGTAAAAAACACTTCTGGGATTTTGCATTACAGATTACATTGCAAATTGCATTGCATATGCAGTTCCTTGGGTATTGACACCTTAACAGTATCAAGTCTTCTAACCCCTGGACACAGATGCCTTCCCATGTACATTTGTGCCTTCTTTAATTCCTTCAAAGTGTTGTATAATTTACCACCTTGATTAAGTTTATTCCTAAGTATTTTACTACTTTAAGCTATTGTATACAGAAAAAGAACTGTTTCCTTAATTTCCTTTTTGTTCGTTGTTAGCGTATAAAAACACAACTGATTTGTATGTGTTGCCTTTGATTCCTGTAACTTTGCTGGATTTGTTTATCAATTCTAAGTATTTACATAGAATCTTTGGGACTTTCCACATATAAGATCATATCACCAGTAAAGAGAGAGAATTTACCTTTTTTCTTTCTTATTTGGATATTTTATATTTTCTGTTTATTGCCTATTTTTGGTGGGGGCGGGGGGTGGGTGTTAAACCCTCAGTACTATCTCAAACAGAAGTGAACAAAAAAATCATCCTTGTCTTTTTCCTGATGTTTCAGGAGCAAGAGAAATGTTTTCAGTCTCTTACCATTGGGAATAATGTTAGCTATGGTGTTTTCGTATGTAGACTTTACTATGTTGAAGTAATTTTCTCCTATTCTTCGTTTACTGAGTGTTTCTAACATGAAAGGCTATTTAATTTTGTCAAATGCTTTATTTATTTTTTGCATCAATTGAGATGATCATTTTTTTTTTGTCTTTCATTCTGGTAATGTGGTGTATTATCTTAATTGATTTTTACAAGTGAAAAATGAGCATCTGTGTATTTTTCCTCATCTTTCAGGAATAAGAGAAATATTTTCAGTCTTTTACCATTAAGAGTGTTAATTGATTGTTGCATGGTGAGCCATCATTGCATTCCAGGGATAAACCTTAAATGGTCATGATGCATAAATAAATTTAACGTGCTATATAATTATGTTCGCTAGCATTTTGTAAAAAAAAAATGCATCGACATGCATAAGGGATATTGTTTAGAAAATTTTATTTTTCTAGTGCCTCTGTCTGGCTTTGCATTGGAGTAATGCTGAGTCATACAATGAGTTTGGAAGTGTTCCCTCCTTTTCAAATTTTGAAAGACTTTGAGGAATTTTGGTCTTAATTCTTCTTTATATATTTGGTAGAATTTACCAGTAAAACCACTTAGTCTGGACTTTTCTTTATTGAGAGGTTTTTGACTTCTGATTCAGTCTCCTGACTAGTCATAATGACTGTTCGGATTTTCTATTTCTTTATGATTCAAAATTTGCAGGTTGTATGTTTCTAATAATTTATCCATTTATCCATTTCATTTAGGTTATCCCACTTATTGATGTATAATTGTTCAAAGTATTCTCTTTATTTCTGTGAAATCTGTTGTAATGTTCTCTTTTTAGTTTCTGATTTTATTATTTGAGTCTCCTTCTTTTTCTTCTATGTCAATTCAGTTAAAGTTCTGTCAGTATTATTCACATTTTCAGAAAACCAACTCTTTTTTTTATTGATTTTCTTTATTATTTTTCTAATCTCAATTTTACCTCTAATTTTTATTTTTTCCTTCCTTTTGATGGCTTTTGGTTTAGTTTGTTCTACTTTTTTAAGTTCCTTATGGTGTAAAGTCAGATTATTGATTTGAGAGTCTTCTTTGTAAATGTAGTTGTTTAAATCTGTAAATTACCCTCATCACCATATTCTTTGCATTTAATGAAATGATATGTTGTGTTTCTATATAATTTCTCTAAATATGGATTTAAATTTGACTTGTGATTCTTTGTACATGTTTCATTGTTTGTGTTGTTTATTTTCACAGGGTCATGAATTTTCTAGTTTTCTTTCTGTTGATTTCTACTTTTATTCCATTATGATAAAAAAATATACTCTGTATGATTTCAAACGTTTAACATTTATTAACACTTGTTTGGCATCCTAATTTGTGGTATATGTTGGGACAATGTTCCATATGTTCGTGTGAAAAATGTGTATTCTACTGTTGTTGGCTTTACTGTTTTGGATATATCTGTTAGATATAATTGGTCTATAAGTGGTCTATAATGTTTTTCAATATTTATTTTTTCCAAATTTTCTTCTGTCAGATTGTTCTACCTATTATTGAAAGTGGAACATTAAAGTCTCTTACTATTACCTTAGAGTTGTCTATTTCTCCCTTCAATTCTGTAAATGTTTCATATATTAGGAGCCCTGATGTTTTGTGCATGTATGTTTCTAATTGTCATATCTTCTAGGTGAACTGGCCTTTTTAACACTATGTAATATTCTTTGTCTCTTATAACACTTTTTGACTGTTATTTTTATTTTATCTGATCCTAGTATAGCAAACTCTGCTCTCTTATTTAATATTTCAATGGAATATCTCTTTTATTCCTTCACTTTCTATCTTTGTCCTTACATCTGTAAAATGAGCCTCTTGTATGCAACATATACTTGGATCCCCTGTTTTTAAATTCATTGTGATATATATGTATATATAATTTTAATATGCTTTTTGATTAGTAAGTTTAAACCATTTACATTTGAACTAATTATTGATAAGGAAGAACTTAGAACTTATTGTTGCCATTTTTTATTTGTTTTCTGTATGTCTTAATAGGTTTTTGTCTCTTAGTGACTTCTTTTTGTTGATTTTTTTCTGTAGTGAAACATTTTTATGTTCTTCTATTCCTTTGTGTACATCCTACAGATATCTCTGTGGTCATCATCAGGTTGCATATGATATTCTAAAGTTATAGCAATCTATTTTTAACTAATAACAACTTAACTTCAATCATATGCAAAATGTTTACTCCTTTACAGCTCCCCAACACATATTTTATGTTAATATTACAAATTGCATTTATATAATATGTACCAATTAACATTGATTTATAAATTGTTTTGCTTTCACATTTTAAATCCTATAAAATAATAAAAAATGATTACAAATCAAAATAGCAAAAGTCATGTTTCATGTTTATGTATATACTTACCTTTCATCAAGAACTTACATTTTTGTATGAGTTTGAGTTACCATCTAGCATCCTTGTGTTTCAGCTTGAAGAAATCTCTTTAGTATTTCTTTTAAGGTAGATATAGTGGTAATGAAATCCTTCAGCTTATGTTTATCTGGGAATGTCTTAATTTCTCTCATTTATGAATAGCAGGTTTCCCAGATATAGCATTTTTGATGGACAGACTTTTCTTTAAACACTTGAAATGTATTGTCCCACTACCTTCTGGTCTACAAAGTATTTGCTGAAAAATGTGCTCATAATCCTATTGAAGATTTCTTGGATATAATGAGTTGCCTTTTTCTTGCGCTTTTTAAATGATTTTCTTTTCGTCTTTGAGTGTTGGTAATTTGATAATAATGTGTCATAGTGTAAGTTTCTTTGAGTTTATCATAGTTGCAGCTTGTTTGGTTTCTTATATCTGTACATTTAGTCTTTTCTCAAATTTGGAAAGTTTTCAGTCCTTATTTACTCAATAATTTTGTTATTCCTTTCTCTTTTCCATCACCTTTTCAGACTTACATAATGCATATATTGTCCCACTTGATGAACTTTATAAGTTCTGTTCACTTTCCTTTATATCTTTTAAAAAAGTTTGTTCTTCAGCCTTGATAATTACACATGACCTGTCTAAAAGCTAACTGATTCTTCTGCCTATTGGTGTGGGCTGAGGAACCCCTCTAGTGGATTTTACAATGCAGTCAATGTGTTTTTCAGCTTCAGAATTTATGGAATTTTTTCTGGTAATTTCTATTTTTTGTCTATTCTCATTTTTTATTAATCATTTTCCTGATTTTATTTAGTTGTCTCTACCTATTTTCCTTTAACTCATTTATCATATTTAAGAGTGCTGTTTTAGTCTTTGACAAGAAAGTCTGAGGGCTGTGTTTCTTTAGAGAAAGTTTGTGGAGATTCATTTTTTTCTTTAAAATTGACCATGTTTACCTGTTTCTTTGTATACCTTTTGTTGAAAACTGGACATTTGTAAAAACAGCCCCCTCTCAACCATTGTTAACTGGCACCATATTCAGGGGAGGACTTTCACTCTTCAGCTAAGTATGAAATATAAACGTTCTCTGAGGCCTATATGGACGTGTGTCTTGCCTGGGCTTATGTGTGTGCATTTTTTGTAATTCTCTCATATACACACTGCTTTTAATCTGTAATTTCCCTAAGAGCCACACCTGCCTCTTTTCATGACCTTAGATGTTCTACTGTATTCCTCTATCCATAATCTCTTGCCTTCTGGCACCCAGGGAGTAGCAGATCCCATGAAGCTCTCACAAGCTGGAGCACCCACCACTACTTTTTGCAGCCTCAAATCTGACATTTAAACTATGCCACCATTTCCATCAATGCTCCAAGTCATGTGAAGCAGTTACTAGTCCCTCAAGGAACCTACAGAGAAGCTATAATGTTGCAAAGCAGTTCCACACTTTTCCTTCTATTCCAAAGGAAGAATGAGGAATTAGGAAGTTTCCTCCTGATCACGTCACACCATTCAAGGGAGAAAGTTAAACAGGGACAAAGAAAAACACCTAGAAGTTTTCCACTATTTTGAATGTGGCTTAATCTTGGTTTGGAATTTCCTTTGTTGCAACCAATTCTTAACAGCTGAAAACATTAGTTTGGTTCATAAATTGTTCTTTATTTGGTGTTTCCATGGTATAATGAAAGTCTGGAACGTCCTTGTCTGCAATCTTGCTAATGTCACTCTCAGTGAGAAGAGAACAATTTTTTAAACCATAACATTCAAATAACATTTTGACCAGATACAAAATTTTAGTTTGAAAAATATTTTTGCTTGAAAACTGATTCACAGCACTTCACCTGAAACCCCTGGGACAACTCTGATTTTTAATTCATTTTTTTAGGGGGGGATTTTAGAAAGACTACTTAATGCATACATTGTATGTAGGCACTGCAAGTGTCCCAGTAGAGGTAATATCAACATCCTAATATCAAATGCATTAAGAGTTCTTCAACAAATCATGCCACTATTCACATTAAAGTGAGATGAATAAGGAAGATTAAAAATAGCCACTGTATTAGTTCCTTCTCACGCTGCTATGAAGAAATACCTGAGACTGGGTAATTTATAAAGAAAAGAGATTTGATTTACTCACAGTTCCGCACGGCTGGGGAGTCCTAAGGAAACTTACAATCATGATGGAAGGCACCTCTTCACAGGGTGGCAGGAGAGAGAATGAGTGCTAGCAGGGGAAATGCCTGATGTTTATAAAACCATAGATCTCATGAGAACTTGCTCACTATCACAAGATGATATTTCAAGATGAGATTTGGGTTGGGACATAGCCAAACCATATCAGCCACGTATTACTTCACATTATATCTCTAATTTGCAAGATGATTTTGCTACCACACTTCCCTGCTAACTCTCATCCCTTCCCAAGCCCCCAAACCGCACAAATCTTTTCATCCTTCAGTATCTTCTTAGGTTTTAAAATTGCAGACATATAATTATGGATCAGTACTATGTAAAAATTACTTTCTTAACCTGCTGCAGACTGTTCAATCAGATTATTTAATCTTTGTAGGTGTTCTACTCAGTATTTCTGGAAGATTTTATCATTTTGCTTTTAATATTCTTTGGCTTTACTATATGTGCCCATGTGTGAAATTTCTCTTTATCTGATAGGTTTAAACACAGGAACACTCATGTTCTCCCAAAAGAGAACAATTTACAGCCCTAAGAATTTGGACACTCTAATTATATAAAAGTTGCACAAACACATGGTCACCAACCTAAAGGAATACCTATAAATTTAAACAGAAAATTGGAATATACGTTAGGAACTGAATGCCCTTAGGTAGTACACAAGGGGTTAAAGAGGCACACATAAGTGAGAGTGGGACCACAACAGCTCGCAGAAGATAAAGCCTCAATTAAGCATTAAAAACTCTAAGGAAGTATTCAGAGGAAGAAAACTGGGAATGCTTTCCCAGATAGCAGGAAGGGAATTAGCAGTAAGAAGACCTGAAAAAGAAAGACATATTGTGTATTTCTAGAGCATAAGGTATAAGAAATTCAAAAGTAACAGACACACACAAAAAGAAAGATACAGTTTATGCAAGGCCTTTCAAGTCATGCTGAGTAGAAATCTATACTAATAAAAATCAAAACTCATTGAAGGATTTCAGGAAAAATAGAGTCATGTCTTTATCCATAAAGAAACCTACTTGGTTGTCTGACAGAAACCTTTTAGTAAAAGTAAGACTAGTTGGAGGTAAATAATTGACTGTAAAAAACAAATGTGCAAAAAATAAATGCTGCAATTCCACACTAGAGAGCAGATAGGAGGATGGCAAAATGACAATTTTATAGATGCATAGGACACAGAGAACAAGTTCTAAGCCCCAGGGAGAAAAAGTGCTAACGAGAGCTGATTAGGGAGAGCCAAGAAGGACTAGAGTCCATTCCACAACTCAGAACTGTAGTGCTGTGGCAGAAGGTTATTCACATAAGGTGAGTGGCTGCAGCCCATTTATACTTAGGCCACTTTGGTCATAGTGGATGACCAGGAAGAATCAGGGAAGAATCAGGGAAGAATCAGGAACCAAGAGGTAGGCATTGAGGGATAGGCTCAGGCCCCAATAAAATATCAGAAGAGGAACCAGGGACTTTGACACCACAAAACCCATACTATAAATACTGCAACAATTACCTGTTTCCAAACATCATTTCACCACATACACCTCTGTCCCAACTTATCAACATTAAAAGGGAAGAACTTCACTGAACCTCCTAATAAAGCAAGTCTTGATCCATTGTTCACAGTGACATATCTGGTAACTTAGTCCCTTTTTCTTATACGCATCCAAGGACAACATTTTGGCCTGGGACACTCACTCACAAAAGCATATCTCATTTTTTAAAATTGTCTGCATAAATGTGTAATGTTGTGTGTCATTTTTACTTTATAGGCCAAGCTATAACATCAGAAATGGTGAATGAATACAAGAAAATTCTTTTGCTGAAAGGATTTGAGCTCATGGATGATTATCATTTTACATCAATTAAGTCCTTACTGGCCTATGATTTAGGACTAACTACAAAAATGCAAGAGGAATACAACAGAATTAAGATTACAGATTTGATGGAAAAAAAGTTCCAAGGCGTTGCCTGTCTAGACAAACTAATAGAACTTGCCAAAGATATGCCATCACTTAAAAACCTTGTTAACAATCTTCGAAAAGAGAAGTCAAAAGGTAATAGAGAAAACCTTGCACATAGCTACTCTGCCTTGAGTCTCCCCAGTCTTCAGTAGAACCCCACCTTGGTCATAGCTGGTACATCCCTTTTCCAATTTATAACTCAGCAGTCATGGGGATGTTGGCACCTCAGAGACTGACCAGTTGGCAATTTAGAACATTCTGTTTCATATGAAAGAGATTGATATATTTAGAAGAATGTATTTGAGGTAAGGATAAAAAACCAAAGACAGGGATTTATGAGACGGTGAGTGTTTCAGTAAATCAAAAATGTCAGAAAATGAAAAAAAAAGCTACTTTAAAAAATGTGTTTTATTTGAAATATTTATATTTAACCAATTTATGCAGCAATAGTTCTATTAAGAGACGTGTAGAATTTTTCCACTTAATAAATCACTGTTCTTTTTTTAATTCAAAAGCCAATATTAGCACTTTGCCACATTACAATTCAGATCATATTTCCTTTCAGGTCATATTTCTGTCATTTGAACAGATATTGCACAGAACATGACCAGCCTGTCAGCATCATGAAAGCCTTAGATATTTAAAAGAAATGGTAGGAGAACAAGACTGAGAAAGGGTTGATTGAGGCACATGGAGTTCACAGGAAAGGAAGCATGTTCTCACTGCAAAGGGGAGGAGTGAGTAAAGCACTGAGGAGAATGAGACAGTGCCTATGCCTACCATGCTGCTGTTGGCCTCCTAGGAGCCAGGCTGGGTTAATGCAGTAGAGGTAACAGGCAAATCCGAACTCTCATGCAGGAGCTGACAGCAGGTAATATTGAAACTGCCTCAGCTGTCTTAGATAAGCTATTCCACTCTAGGCCTATTGTGCCCTTTTTCTTTTCTTTTGTCAGTTGCTAAGAAAATTAAAACACAAGAAAAAGCTCCAGTGAAAAAAATAAACCAGGAAGAAGTGGGTCTTGCGGCACCTGCACCCACCGCAAGAAACAAACTGACATCGGAAGCAAGAGGGAGGATTCCTGTAGCTCAGGTAAGCTTGAGAAAGAGGAGCAGGACTGAAGCCTCACAGAAGATACTCTGCTATGGCACGTGGCTCTTTACTAATATCTCAACACAGCTTAGATTTACCAAATTAGTAATTATGGATCTTCTTTGTGATGAGTAAAGAGTTAGGTATCGTAAAAATGTAATAAAAAATTTCTGTGACATAAATATATTATCATCTCCATTATAAAAATGGGGTAATAATCATATTGGATATACATCTTGCCCATCCTTACACAAATCTAGATTTTCTCATTCCAAGTCCAGTGCTCTTCTCATCACACCACAGTGGTGATAACAGTAATGCATCTGTTGAAATCATCCATCTCCTTTTTAGTGCAACAATCTATGCCCAATATTATCTATTGTCCATATCTTCAAGTGACAGATTGTAATTCCCTGGGGTTTCCAAGGACATCCCATCCAACATAAATAGAACTTACTATGTTGTAATGAAAAAATGAAAACTTGCTCTGCTTCTTTTGATACTAAACTCCATTAACAGGAAAATTAAACTACTTTCAGAAAAGAAAAACTCCAAACAAAGAAAAGACTGAAGCCAAAAGGAATAAGGTGTCCCAAGAGCAGAGTAAGCCCCCAGGTCCCTCAGGAGCCAGCACATCTGCAGCTGTGGATCATCCCCCACTACCCCAGACCTCATCATCAACTCCATCCAACACTTCGTTTACTCCGGTACACTCTTCCTGGTCCTCTTCTCCATTTTTTTTTAACCCAGTCACAGTGCATTCCACTGTTACTATTGTTACTCTCATGCATAACTCTTCATATTACTGATTTGCTGTGGGAAAACTGTTTTCCATATTATGATAACTTGTTTACATTGGTGAGAAGCCACATGCAAGTAAAGTCCAATTACCTACAGGTAATCACTGTGTGTAAAACACCAGGACAGACCACTAAGCATTTCTGGTCTGTGCAGGTAAGTAGCCTGGCTCCTAGTACCAGTACATACAAGCCCATGGCTCATCTTTGCTCCCCACACTTCCTATTACAGATCTGCCAACGTTCTCTTCAGAAAAGTATTCTGCTGCAACTCAAATAGGCCAGGACACTGTGGAGAGAGGACATACGAGATAAACAAACTTGTCCTTTTTCCATTGTTGTTAGCATTTTAGCCACTGTGAAATGCTGTGTATACACAGTCGAGGACATAGCTCTAACCAGAAATCCTCTACCTGAGACTACTTACATGCTAGCCAGGCCAAGTCTTTCCACTTGTAAAAGCACTGTTTCTTGGGAAGAAACAAACGAGTTTGGCCCTCAAAATGGCAGAGTACACTAGTGATCATTAGAATTTCTAATGAATGTTTGATCATTAGAACATCTAATGATGTTTGAGGCTTCTGGTGGGCATGGTTCTTCATTTTTAATGCTGTCCAAGTTGTTTTCACTTTGTTGATTGTCTTTGATAATTTCAGTAGGTAGAGGAGATATTTGGATTTGTTATTATATTCTAATCTTTCTTTAAAGTTTCTTCACAACAATGTTTTCATCATCTGCTACTCTAGATTGTTCATGCAGAAGATCATGCTTTGCTTCAGGAAGATTATTCTGAGTCAATGAGGGTGATTTAATTTCCAAGCCTGTTGTCTGTTACCTTAGGCTTTCAGTAGCTAAACTTTACCAGCTCATGTGCCTTTCCTTTCTGTTCAGTAATCCCTGTCTAGCCTAGCCCCCAGCTCCAAATATCTGTGAAAGTTGTTGGGTCGAAAGCTCTGCAGAGTCACTCGTGCAGAGTGACTTTGTATTCCTGCTCAAAGTTTTTGTTGTTGTTTGTTTGTTTGTTTGTTTGTTTGTTTGTTTTTGAGACGGAGTCTCGCTCTATCGCCCAGGCTGGAGTGCAGTGGTGCGATCTGGTCTCACTGCAAGCTCCGCCTCCCAGGTTCATGCCATTCTGCTGCCTCAGCCTCCCGAGTAGCTGGGACTACAGACGCCCGCTACAACGCCCGGCTAGTTTTTTTTGTATTTTTAGTAGAGATGGGGGTTTCACCATGTTAGCCAGGATGGTCTCGATCTTCTGACCTCGTGATCCACCCGCCTCGGCTTCCCAAAGTGCTAGGATTACAGGCGTGAGCCACCGCGCCCGGCCTCCTGCTCAAAGTTTTAAGTTTATTTTCTTGTGTCTGCCCAACACAGAATCAGGAAACCCAGGCCCAACGGCAGGTGGATGCAAGAAGAAATGTTCCCCAAAACGACCCAGTGACAGTGGTGGTACTGAAAGCAACAGCGCCATTTAAATACGAGTCCCCAGAAAATGGGAAAAGCACAATGTTTCATGCTACAGTGGCCAGTAAGACTCAATATTTCCATGTGAAAGTCTTCGACATCAACTTGAAAGAGAAATTTGTAAGGAAGAAGGTCATTACCATATCTGATTACTCTGAATGTAAAGGAGTAATGGAAATAAAGGAAGCATCATCTGTGTCTGACTTTAATCAAAATTTTGAGGTCCCAAACAGAATTATCGAAATAGCAAATAAAACTCCCAAGATCAGTCAACTTTACAAGCAAGCATCTGGAACAATGGTGTATGGGTTGTTTATGTTACAAAAGGTAAACCCTTAATTTTGTTTTAATTTTCTCTACCATTACCTGGAAATAAATGTCTTAATTTGCCAGACTTACTGTCTGAATATTGGAACACAAGAATTTATATTGACTAGAGATAGTGATGAAGTTGTCCCACAAAATAGGAAATAGGACTAAGTGACCTATTAACTTTCTTACGCCAAAATAAATGTAGGGACTTTGAAAAAAAGTTAGTAAGAAATATTGGCAGTAATGATCTGTTGTCAGCCACAATGAACTAGGACAATACAGGGTCCAAATCAACGGGAGCAAGCTAATAACATCATCTCTTTCAGCTCCATCCCAATGAGCACTGATAATTTTACTGTGAGTTTTGATAAATTTATTTTAAGTAATGAATTGTGCTACCAAGGTTGAATTCTGGTTGTGACATAATTTTGGAGTAATAAGTGGATTGGCTGGTATGCTCATAAATGCAAATACATTCAACAGCTATCCATACAATCTAAACATTTGTGCTTAGATCAGTTGCCCTTCTATCTTATTTATTTATTCATTTATTTATGAAGATAGCATTGAACAACTGAGAAATATTGAATTCCATGATACTTAAAGGATAAGGCAATCTCTTCATACTATTTACAAAAAAAAAATAATTCCAAGGCACAGAGTTTTATTGATATGTCCATGTCCAAATTCAAGATGCTAGTTAGGATAATGCATTCCATCCCTTTCTCCACTCTAAAACATTACACATTTCTATGAACTCAACTAACATTTTATATGATTGACTGCTTTATAACCCTACATACATGTCTTTCAATATAGCCCCTTAAATTTACCTCCACATTTTCTCACACTCTCTTTAAGAGATCTTGCTTATAAATGCAATTACAGAATTGATGAGTAATAGCTTAAGTGTGTGAAACACTACAGAGTATGAATGGAGGGAGTTAGGTCAATGGGGACAAGATATTGGAAAAGAATAAGTAATGAGGAAGGCTGAGAAAGAATGAATGATTGTGTTATAGAAGATTTTTCCTTTAAAATTTCTCATAATCTGAAGTAACTCAGGAGTGGAAAACCAAATATTGTATGTTCTCACTTGTAAGGAGGAGCTAAGCTATGAGTACACAAAGGCATACAGAGTGATCTAATAAACTTTCAAGACTCAGAAGCGGGAGGCTGGGAGGGAGGTGAGGGATACAAAACTATATATTGGGTACAATGTACACTACTTGGGTAATGGCTGCCCTAAAATCTCAGAATTCACCGCCATATAATTAATCCATGTAACCCAAAACCATTTGTACCCCAAAAGCTATTGAAATTTTTAAAAATTAAAATAATAATAAAGTGAAATTCCTCATAATCTACTGAATGAATAATTGTAGAAAGCATACATTTGTTTTTCCACAGGACCATGAGCCAAGAAGTTCTATAGGAATTTTTGATTCCTCTATATCTAGGTGCTTTATTTACTCTCAGCTGATCTGAAGGTGGTAGCAGGAGAAAAAGAGGGAAATATTTATTGTTGTATAATTGCAGAAAGAAAAATACCTTAAGCAGGAAAAAAAAATGCTGGATAATAAAAGATGGACCCTGTGAGATGGCAGGCCAAGCCACATGTATGATCTGTACCTGTCATTCCTGTCGTGCATATTGCATTAACTTTGTCATGAGACTCTTTCTCATCTATATGATACTAACAATCCTCTCAGAAACAGGATGTTAATCTTCTTTTGCAGAAAAGCGTACACAAGAAGAACACAATTTATGAAATACAGGATAATACAGGATCCATGGATGTAGTGGGGAGTGGAAAATGGCACAATATCAAGTGTGAGAAAGGAGATAAACTTCGACTCTTCTGCCTTCAACTGAGAACAGTTGACCGCAAGCTGAAACTGGTGTGTGGAAGTCACAGCTTCATCAAGGTGGGAACTGGATAGAGGAGAATGAGTTTGCTAAAGAGGCAAATAATTTTGCTTAGGCTTTGGGAACACCAGGTTCCTCATGTATTACTCAGAGAGTCCAGCGAGTGGAAGGAGAACCTAAACAATGCCCTTGCATTTGTAACTGGAAGATTTTCAGAAGGATATTAAGGTAAAGGCATTCATACAGCTCTAGAAAGGATACAATACTAGTGTTAATTGATTTAAAGATGTGTCTAGCGGCAGGGAACATAGGGCTCAAGAGCAAGGGTTCTGAATAAGACAGATCTGATTTGAATCCTGGATTTAAGAAGCACTAGTTGGCTGATATTGGGGAAACAGTTTCATTGGTCCTCTAAAATAATGGAAGTCTCCACTTCATTGGGATGGTTTAAACATTCAGACAATGTATACATATTAATTATCTCACAACCTGGCACATCATAATAAACTGATCTGTGGTAGATAGTTTTATTTTTAGGAAGGTAAAAATTGGAGGGACTTTTAGGCAAAGGAAATGATACATGAAAATTCCAAAAGTGTGACATAGCGTAATGAGTTCTGTACAACTGAAATTCAGTAGATGCAGAAGACTGTGGGACCCAAAGATTAAAAAAAAGGGACTACTGAGGCCCAAAGATGAAAAAGAAATAGAAGTGTGGCTTTTTCAAAAGTAAATTAATGGAAACTTTATTGTTGAAAATACATGAAAAATTGAAACAAAATTATGCAGAAGAATGCCTGATCACTTTGATATTTTAGCAAAAAATATTCCGGTGTCTATCTATGGAGTTGCATTACAGAGCAATTAGGCTTGGGGCAGAGATATCTATTAGAAGTTGTGTGCTGGATTCACTCATATCCTTACTGAAGAGAGCTTACTGTTGGAAATTCAGGAATTATATGCACTGCTTGCTAAACATGTGGTAGTTTGAAATCAGCCATGTGAAAATATGTATGCCACCAGACTCTGCAAATGTTACAAATCGAAACTTTTAAAAAAAAATGGGTAGTTGGTTAACCAGGATACCACAGAAGTTTATTTCAAAAATCCATTCAGGAAGGAAAAAGACAAACAGAGATTAGTTAATGGGGGGAAAATGAGTTTTTTGAAGGTAGATCTTCATAACTTTGTGACTAACGAGCTTTCATAGGGGATAAGGAGAATAATGTAGCCAATGGGAAGAAAAGATATGGCAGGTGAAAGGAGAACTATAAGCAGAGCTTCATTTCAATATCTAGGGTCTCATTATGTCTTTCTTATCTCTCTTTAAAGGTCATCAAGGCCAAGAAAAACAAGGAAGGACCAATGAATGTTAATTGAAATATGAAAGCTGAAATGCAACAAACAACTTCCGCTTAAAACAATTAAGTTGTTAATAACTGTGATTTTGTAAATTTCAGTAATTCATTTAAATGATGTTTCAGTAGATATATTCTAGCATATTAAGAGCTTTTATAACTGAGTTATAGATTAGTTTGCTTTCTGGAATAAAATTTTCTTCTTATACTCTTCCTTTTTTTTAGATATTACATTTTGCTTTTATGACATTCACGAGGCAAAAAATAAAATATCTTTTTTTGAAGGACATTATTTTCCCAAAGTCTTGTCTACGTTCTGTTAAGATCAATAGTGAGCTGCTTGAGGCTGAGTACTTTGTGCATTGTGAAGCACATTCTAGAGATGGGGAGAGACACATGGGGCCTTATCCACATTGGAGTCTATATTGTGATCTTCAGAGGATAAGTCCGCAGTAAAGGCTGTGACTAAATTTATGTAGCCCATGCTTAAATGAACAAATACTGTGGCCTAGGGAAGTAGCAGATCTAGAGGAAAGGATTCCTTTATGCAACTGTGTCCTCCAGAAGGGGGCCGTTGGGGTAATTGGTTTCTCTGAAGGGGACAACAACGGTGATTTGCATAAAGGTACCAATATATGCAAGATGCTTTCCCCTCCTTATTTGGTGTGGATTATCATATCCATCATATTCCATTTTTCTGACTTGTAGATACATCTACATATGTATTCAAAATCAGAGCAACTAAAAACATAAAACAAACATTGACAGTTCTGAGGGGAGAAATATACAGCAATGTAATAGTAAGAGACTTTAGTACTCACAATAATGAAGAGATTATCCAGGCAGTTATTCAATAAGATAATAGCAGACATCAACAACTCAATACACCAACGGACCTAACAGATATAAACAGAACATTCTACACAACACCATCAAAATACACATTTGCCTCAAGTATGCATGGAGCATTGACCACAACATGTCACATTCTAGGTCACAAAACAAGTCTTAATGAATTCCAGAAGAATAAAATTATAACGAGCATCTTTTCTGATTATTATAGAATTAACCTAGATATAAATAACAAATAAACAACTGGAAAACTGACATATATGTGAAAATTTAAAAACATGCTTCTGTATAGCCAATGGATCAAAGAAGAAATTAAAAGGGTAATTAAAAAAATGAGACAAATGAAAATGAAACCACAATATACTAAAATGTATGAGATACAGCAAAAGGAGTTCTAAGAGGAAAATTTATAGTTATAAGCATTTACCTTAAAAAAGAAAGCTCTCGAGTAAACAACCAAATGCCTCAGGGAACTGAAAAAAAGAAAAACAAAGGCCAAACCTACAAAGACTGAATTAAGAAGAAACAGAACACCCGAAAAAAACAAATGACAAACAAGGAGATTAAATCAGTCATCAAGAAACTTCCAACAACAACAACAAAATGCCAAAAACCTGATCACTTCAAGGGTGAATTCTACCAAACATTTATGGAATAATTGACTCCAATTTTTCACAAATTATTTCAAAAAAATCAAAGAGGAGGGAACACTTTCACACTCTTTTTATATGAAGTCAGCAATACCCTGATAGTAAGGCTGCACAAGAACACTACAAGAAAAAAATATATATAGGCCAATATACTTTATGAGCATATGTGAAAAAAATCCTCAACACTAGGAAACCAAATACAATGGCACATTAAGAGGATTATACGCTATGATAAAGTAGGATCTATCCTTGAGATATAAGAATCATTCAACATATGAAAATCAGCCAATCTGATACATAATGTATGTTAGCAGAATGAAGGACAAGAAACATATGATCATCTCAATCAGTGCAAAAAAAAGCATTTGACAAAATTCAACATCCTTTCATGGTAAAACTTATAGACAAATTAGATAAAGAAGTAATGTACCTCAACACAATAAAGGCCAATTATCACAAGTACATAGCTAACATCACACTCAATGATAAAAAGTTGAAAGTGTTTCCTCTAAAATTAGGAACAAGACAAGGATGCCCATTCTTACCACTTCTATTCAGCATAGTGACAGAAGTCCTAGCCAGAGCAATCAGGCAAGAGAGAGAAGTAAAGGCATCTGAATAAGAGAAGAAGAAATCAAATTATCTCTCTTTGCTGATGATATGATTCTATACTTAGAAAATTCTAGAGACTATGTCAAAATGCTACTAAAACTGATAAAATATTTTAGTAAGCTTTCAGGGTACAAAATTAACATACAAAAATTAATAGCATTTCTATACACCAATAATACCCAGGCTGAGAGTCAAATCAAGAACACAATCCCATTTACAATAGCCACAAAGAAAAGGAAATATCTGGGAATACAGCTAACCAGGGAGGTGAAAAATCTCTACAAGAACTACAAAGCACTGCTGAAAGAAATCAGAGATGACAGAAATAAATGAAAAAATATTTCATGCTCATGGATTGGAAGAATCAATATTGTTAAAATGACTATACTGCCCAAAGCAATTTACAGAGTTAATGCTACTCCTATTAAGCTACCAATGTCATTCTTCACAGAATTAGAAAATGCCTATTTTAAAATTTATATGGAACCAAAAAAGAGCCCAAATAGCCAAAGCAATCCTAAGCAAAAAGAACAAAATTGGAGGCATTACATTACCCAACTTCAAACTCTACTATAAGACTACAGTAATCAAAACTGCATGGTACTGGTGCAAAAACAGACACAGACCAATGGAGGAGAATAGAAAATTCTGAAATAAAGCTGAACACTTATAACCATCTGATATTTGACAAGGTGGACAAAAACAAACAAGAGGGAAAGGACTCTCTGTTCAGTAAGTGAACTCCCTATTCAGTAAATTCAGTAACTGACCAGCCATATGCAGAACAATGAAACTAGACACTTACCTTTCAACATGTATAAATTAACTCAAAATGGATTAAAGATTTCAGTGTAAGACCTCAAACTACAAAAATCCTGGAAGAAAACCCAGGAAATACCCCTCTTAACATCCACCTTGAATAAATTTTTTAGTTAAGTTCCTAAACGCAATTGCAACAAAAACATAAAATGATAAGTAGGATCTAATTAAACTAAAGAGGTTCTATGCAGCAAAAGAAACTGTCAACAGGGTAAACAGAGAATCTACAAAATGGGAGAAAATATTCACAAACTATGCATCTGACAAAGGTCTAATATCCAGAATCTATAAGGAACTTAAAATAACAAGCAAAAAACAACAAACTCCATTAAAAATGGGCAAAGGACATGAATAGTCACTTATCAAAAGAAGACATACGAGTAGCCAACAAACATATGAAATAATGCTCATCATCACTGTTTATCAGAGAAATGCAAATTAAAACTACAATGAGATACTATCTCACACCAATCAGAATGATGATTATTAAAAAGCCAAAAAGCAACAGAGACTGGCAAAGCTGAGGAGAAAAGAGAATGCTTATAGAGTGGTGGTGGGAATGTAAATTAGTTCAACCACTGTGGAAAGCAGTTTGGAGATTTCTCAAATAACTTAAAACACAACTACCATTCAACCCAACAATTTCATTACTGGGTATATACTCAAAGGGAAATAAGATCATTATACCAAAAAGACATGTGCACTTGTATGTTCATTGCCACGCTATTTACAATAGCAAGGACGTGGAATCAACTTAGATTCCCATCAGTTGTGGACTGAATAAAGAAAATATAGTACATATACACCATGCAGTATTATGAAGCCATAAAAAAGAATGAGACCATGTCCTCTGAAGCAACATGGATGGAGCTGGAGGCCATTATCCTAAGCAAATTAAGGCAGGAACGGAAAACCAAATATTGCATGTTCTCACTTATAAATGGGAGCTAAGCAGGGAGTACACATGGACATAAAAATGGAAATAATAGACACTGTGGAGTACTAAAGAGGGAGAGAGAGGGGAGGATGTGGATTGAAAAACTATTAGTTGGGTACTATGCTCACTACCTCACAACGGCAGCAACAAATAAACTATAGCTAATTAATGTTGATGAAAGACTACCTTCTCGCCGTTTAGGATCAGCAGCAACAAAAAAAGGTGGATGATCACTTCACTTCTATCCTACCATGTAGCTGAGGTTCTTATCTAGTATAACAATAAATAAAATAAAAAAAGATTAGAAAAGAATTGTTTGTCTATAAACTCTATTCATATATGTTAATTATCTGCAAAAAATTATAACAAATAAAATAAGAAAACTACTAAAGTAAAATTAATCAAGATAGAAAGTGAGATCAGTATATAAATCCAACTTATATGCATTTGCAACAGCCAGAAATGAACTTTAAAAAATAAAATATGCTACTGAAACTAATAAATACAAAATATTTAGAAATAAATATAATAAGAGATATGCAAGTCCTTTATATTGAAAACAACAAAACACTACTGACATTAGAAATATAAATAAGTGGATCATGTTTGTCGGCTAAAAGATTCAAAAGGTTTTAGATGTGCATTTTCCTCAAATTGATCTATAAATTCAAGGAAATCCTAGTCACAATCACAAAAGGCTTTTTGGTACAAATTGACAGGCTGAATATGAAATGTATATGAAAATGCAAGGGATCTAGAATAGCCAAAGCAACTTCAAAACATAAACACAAAACTGGATAATTTGTACTCACTGATTTCATGACTTATTATAAAGCTATAAAGATAAAGGCACTGTGATAATAGCAGAAATAAAAACATATTGGTCATTAAAATAGAACAGAGAGTCCAGAAATGGATGATTCATAAATGATCAATTGGTGTTTTATGAAATAGCCACTGGAATTTAATAGCAGTAAGATAGTCTTTTCAAAAAATGGTGCTGAAAACATAATGAGCATTGACTTGAACTTCATCCCACACAGAAAAATATTAATTGAAGTGAGATAATAGATTAAACATGAAACCCAGAACTATAATTCAGTATTAACACAGAGGAGAAAATCTGCGTGAACCTGGGATAGACTACAATTTTTAACATGTAAATAACAGTAAATGGAAAAGAAAAGTTAATGACTTGGATGTCATCAAAATTTAAAATGTCAGTTCTTCAAAAGACATATTTAAGAAAAGAAAACAACAAACTCCAAACTGGAATTAACTATTCTCAACACATATTTGACAAAAAATTTGTAACTAGCATATGCAAAGGATTCTTAGAATCCTTCAATTCTATCAATGCTTCAACGAAAAGGCAGCAAACAACTCAATGTAAAATGACACAATATATGAACATTCTACAGAAGATGCGCGGATTATAAATAAGCACATGAAAATTGTTTAGAATCTTTAGTTATCAGGGAAATGCAGATGAAAATCATAAAGAGATACAACTTCTTACAGGAATGGCTGAAATTATAAAGGTATAGTGAATATAACAAGTGTTAGTTAGCAAAAACATGGAGCAATGGAAATGCTCATATTTTTCTCTTGGTAATTGTCAAATACTACAACTACTTTATAAAATAGTTTTCTTAAAATTTTAAACAAACACTCGTAATATCATCAAGCATTCCACTCTTAGATAACCCAGAGGGGGGGAAAAATGTATACACTGACCAGTTTTGTGTGGTGGTATGTGTCTCTAATCCCAGCTCCTTGGAAATCAGGTGGGAGAACTTGAGCCCAGTAGTTGGAATCCAGCCTGGACAACACAGCCAGACTTTGTCTCTTAAAAATAAAATTAAAATTTGGATTTAAAAAAGCACACACATTTACCATGATCTTGAACAGGAACGTTCATAGCAATTTTATTTGTAATAGCCAAAAGCGAAAAAGTAAAACCAAAGAGAATAAACTGTAATATATTCATACTATGGAATGCTACTCAACAATATAAAAGAATAAATCTGTCATATATATTATGACACAGATAAATCTCAGATTTTATTGAGAGAAAAGGCCAGGAACATGAAACTATGTGTTAATTTTTAAAACAAAATAAAAAGAGTTTCTGGTTTCATTGATTTCTCTCTTGGCTTTTCCCAAATTTTTGTGTTCTTCATTATCTCCGTCTTTTCATTGACTATGAGTTCAGTTTCCTAGAGTTCTTTTTATTTATCTGTTTTTTGTTTTGTTTTTTAGATTTCTAAGGAAGAAGCTTATTTATTTTAAACCTCATATTTTTAATAGAAGTATTTGAAGCTATAATTCTCTCTGAACACTGAATTAGCTAATCTCACAGTGTTTGAAATGTATTTTTATTATTATTTAGTAAAAATATTTCCTAATTTCCCCTCATGGTTTATTTTATGAAGTATTTAGAAGTGTATTAATTTCTAAATATTTATAGATACATTAAATATATTTTTGCTATTGTTGTTTAATTTTATACTGATCAGAGAACATACTTTGTATAATTTTTTTGTTTCTAAATTTATTGCTTTTTCTTATTAACCAGAATATCACCTATCTTGGTGAATGATTTGTGTGCAATTGAAAAGCATATTTCTGTAGTTGTTGGTGGAAGTGATATTAAACACCAATTAGGTGAAGTTGGCTGGTATCATTATTTAATTCTATAATGACTGTATATTTATCTACTTGTTTTATCAATTACTGATAGATTTATTGAAATTTCTAACTATAATTGTAGTTTTATATATTTTTTAAATTTCTGCAGATTTTCCTTCTGTTTTAAGCTTGTGTTTTAAACTCATTTGTTATAGCTCTTTGATGACTTCAACCTTTCTAATTATAAATTGTACCTTATAAATCCTTGATAATATAGTCCTTGCTTGGAAGTCTACTTTTTCTGATATTCATCCAGTCATTTCAGCTTTATCATTATTTGAACTGGTGTGGTAAATATTTTACATCTTCTTATTTTTAACCTGTGTCTTTACATTTTATTTGAGTATCTGGTAAATGGCAAGTATGTGGGTCTTGCTGTTTTATCTGTTCTAAAAGCATTTGCATTTTAATTGGAATGCTTAGGTTATTTATATTGAATAAAATTTTTAATGTGTTTGGGTTTAATGCTACCATCTTGCTACCATTTATTTTCTATTTATCTGTCCTGTACTTTTTCCTACTACTACTATTACTGTCTTTTAGTACAGATGGTCCTCAAATTATGTTCTTTTACTTGTGATTTTTCAACTGTACCTAGGTGGAAAAGGGATATGCATTCAGTAGAAGCTGAATTTTGAAACTTAATATTTTCCTGGACTAGTGATATATACTATGATATTATCTCACAATGCTGGGAAGTGACTCAAAGCACAGTTTCTAGTCAGCCATAAGATCACAAAAGTACACAACTGATACTATACAGTGTACTAAGTAAAATTTTGATTTATGATAGTTTCAACTCACAGTGGGTTTATCAAGATATAACCCCATTATAAGTTGAGCAGCATCTGTATTCCATTTTATCTAAGCTATTGGCTTAATAGCTATATGAGTTATATTTTTAATCTTTTGCTCTAGGATCTATAATGTACATCTTTAACTTATTTCAATATACTTTCAAATGTTACCACTTCACATAAATGTATGAACTTTATAACATTGTTCTTCTATTTCCTTACTTGTGTTGTTTGTGTTCTTTTTGTAATGTATTTTACTCCAGCTTATTTTATAAACATAATAATATAGAGTTATTTGCTTTAAACATTTTATTACTTTTAGAGTATATATATATACATATATATATAAATGGAGAACATGTCTTCCCTATGTATTCATATATCATTTATTTCTATAATTTTTTATTACTTTGTGTATATTCAAATTTCTATCCGATATCATGTTCCTTCTGCCTAGAGACCTTCCATTAACATTTTAATGTATCTATTTTCAAGTGAAAAATATTCTTAAATCTTGTTGGTCTAAAAACATCCTTATCTTACCTGCATTTTTGAAACATATTTTTAATGTATATAGAAATCTAATTATGTATTTTTCTTTCAGTACTTTAAGTATGTTATTTCCTTATCTTATGGTTTTGTGTAGTTTCGTCAGAGGCATTTGAATAAGAGCAACTCCATCTTGGATAGGGGCTGGGTAAAACAAGGCTGAGACCTACTGGACAGCATTTCTAGGAGTTTAAGGCATTCTTAGTCACAGGATGATATTGGAGGTTGGCACAAGATACGGGTCATAAAGACCTTGCTGATAAAGCAGGTTGCAGTAAAGAAGCCAACCAAAACCCACCCAAACCAAGATGGTGATGAGAGTAACCTCTGGTTGTCTTCACTGTTACACTGCTACCTGTGCCATGACAGTTTACAAATGACATGGCAACATCAGGAGGTTACCCTATATGGTCTAAAAAGGGGAGGCATGAAGAATCCACCCCTTGTTTAGCGTATAATCAAGAAATAACCATAAAAATGGGCAACCAGAAGCCCTCAGGGCTGCTCTGCCTATACAGTACCCATTCTTTATTCCTTTACTTTCTTAATAAACTTGCTTTCACTTGACTGTATGGTCTTGCCCTGAATTATTTTGTGAGTTCCAAGTACCTTCTCTTAGAGTCTGGATCAGAACCCCTTTCCAGTATGAGTTTCTGATAAGAAATGTGTGCTCCTTCTTATTTTTGATCCCCTGTACAGATTGTGCCTCTTTTCTTCTAGTTCTTTTAAGACTTTCTACTTATCACTATTTCAGCAATTTAATAATAATCTGCCTCAATGTGTTTTTCTTTGTGTCTAATTTGTTTGTGGTTTTTTGGATTCTTTGTGTGAGCTCTGGATTTATACTTTTTATTAAAATTGTATTTCAGTTCTGGTTTCTAGCCTAACACAGAAGGAACTTAGAAATTATCATCTACAGAAGATAGCTTTAAAAAATTGAAAAATTAACAATTATTTTTAGATTCATGAAAGAATTGAGATCACAGGAAAGATACACTGCCCCAAAAATTCTGAGTCACATGCAAGCAGATATGGAGAATCAGAATTATGAGAGCACAGACTTACATGAAGAAATCTCAATGGCAACCTGTATCAGGATAAGAAAACCTTAACTGTAATTGATTAATTGCTGGATGTTCAGTGTGGAGAATTTTGAGGATTTGCATCACAACAGTGCCCTTCTTAGGAAAACCCCACACTTTTGTGAGCTTTACCTTGAAGAGCCTAACAGGTTCTCACTATGATAACCAGAAACAAAGTCCTTGAGTGATTCTGTCAGGGAGAGGGGGAAAGTAGCCAGTTTGAAATATTTCCAGAGCACTCTGTTCTCTGTAACAAGACCTGTCCTCAAAAGACTATTTCACCAGCCCCCTAACCAACTGAGATTTTGCCACAGCCTGATATGGTGGAAGGGAAATACCTAACTCCTACCCTCTCTAGCTGTCCTGTTACACCTAAGTTTGGGGGAAGGGAACTGAGAAGCACTTGTGAAGGTCAGGGCCCAGGGACACAAGCTTCCTAAAAGACTGAAACTTAATCATATGTCTATAGAACACTTCTCTTCCTCCCACCCCTTACACTACATCAATAGAGTTCCTATATAATAACAGGGCAATACAAATAAAAGATATACATATATCAGAAATTATTTAAGCAGTCTCTACACAACCTCACAGATAACTGGGGAAACAAACATAAGGGTTCCAGAAGAATTTTTAGCCTCTAACACTGATAGCAGCAGGAGTCAGACATATGCCTAAGCAGATAGGGGTGTGTCCCTGGTGAAACACCACCTTCAAGCGGAAGATAGTTGAAAGCCAAGCTACAAGTCCCAGGTAAATCCATGAACCAGATTAAGAACCCCTCTTCCCATTTGGCACACGTTCCTCTGACTGATCCTCACTGGTCACCTATGTTACATATACTTACCCTTCCCTAATTGCTTTGTACACTGTTGTGTTCACTATTGAGTGATGTCTTTGTTTTAGCCTTTTTTGCATATTCACAAACCAATCAGCACATACTCACCTATTCTGAACCCATAACAGCCCCAGACTCAGCCACACTGGGGGAGAAACCACTCAATTCTGGACGGTTGACCATTCTCACATCCCTTCTCCACTGAGAGCTGATTTGTCGCTCAATAAAATTATTCTCTGCCCTCCTCACCCTTCAATTGTTAGTATATCTTCATTCTTTTTGGATGTGAGACAAGAACTTGGGAACTACTGAATGTGGGTACAAGCTATTACACAGGTGGGCTGGGGGATACACCTGGCCCAGCCACCTGAGCCAGTGCACAAGCCAGGTGAAGCCCAGGCAGGCCAAGTGTGCAGGCTGTCTCCTGTAGCAGGTAGCATGGTCAAGCAAGGTCCAGGCAGGGGGACATCACTAGCCAAAGATCCCCATCTTACAAAGTAACTGAGAAAAATCCTGTGTCTACACCTACAGCTCCAGCAAAGAGTAAACAAAGCCTAACACCTAGCCAGAAAAACATGAAACCTCAGTTATTTTTAACCAGTACTTGCTGTCCTGTTTTCCAAAAATCATAAGGCATACAAAAAGACAAAAGACACAACCCAAAGTGATAGAGAGGGCATGCATCAGAACCAGACTCAGAAATGGCAGTGATGTTGAAATTGTCCATCTAGGGATTTAAAACCACGCTGATTAATATGCTAGGGAATTTAATCTTAAAAGTGTACAACATGCAAGAACAGCTGTGTAATGTATGAAGAGAAATGAAAACTTTAAGATAAAATCAAGATGAAATTCTGGAAATAAAAAATGCTATAGAAAAAATGAAGAGTGTATTAGTTGGACCCATCAACAGTTAGGCATTGCTGAGAAAAGAATGAGTGAAATGTCAGTAGAAGCTTCCAAAATTGAAATAGAAAGAGAAAAAGAATTAAGAAGGAAATATCCTGAACTGTAGAATATTTAAAGACATAATGTATGTATAATAAGCATACAAGAAGAACAAAAAATGAGAAAGAAAAATAAATAGTTGAAGTAATATTGACTGAATTTTTTCCTCAAATTAATGATAGACACCCAACCACAAACCCAGGAATCTCAGAGAACCAAACAGAATAAATAAAAATGACATCCACACATATACAGATTGGAGAAAATCAAAGATAAAGAGAGACTCTTGAAAGAAGTCAGAAGAATAAAATACTCTCATTATAGAAGAGCAAGGATAATAATAATATCAGACTGCATTTCAGAAACCATGCAAGATTGTTAAAATTCAACAACCAGAAAACAGTTCAAATTATAAAAGATTTGAACAGACAATTCCTCAAGTAAGATATACGGATGTAAACTAAGCACATTAAAAGATCTTCAACATCATATGTCATTAGAGAATTACAAATTAAAACAAAATGATCCCACCACACCTATTAGAATGGCTATAATCCAAAATGCTGACAATAGCAAATGCTGATGTAGATTTGGAGCAATAGGAAACCTCAATCACTACTGACAATGAAATTTGAGACAGCCACTTCAAAAGACATTTTGGTAGTTTCTTACAAAACTAAACAAATTCTTTTTTTTTTTTTTTTTTGAAACGGAGTCTCGTTCTGTTGCCCAGGCTGGAGTGCAGTGGCGTGATCTCGGCTCACTGCAAGCGCCACCTCCCAGGTTCACGCCATTCTCCTGCCTCAGCCTCCCTAGTAGCTGGGACTACAGGCGCCCGCCACCACGCCCGGCTAATTTTCTGTATTTTTAGTAGAGATGGGGTTTCACTGTGTTAGCCAGGATGGTCTCGATCTCCTGACCTCGTGATCCGCCCGCCTCGGCCACCCAAAGTGCTGGGATTACAGGCGTGAGCCACCGCCCCTGGCCCTAAAACTAAAAAAATTCTTACCACACAATCCAGTAATCATGTTCTTTGATACTAACCCAGAGTTGAAAACTTATGTCTACACAAAAACGTGTATACAAATGTTTCTTGCTGTCAAAACTTGGAAGCACCAACATGTCCTGTAATAGACAAATGAATAAACAAATTTGGTACATCCATACAATGGAATATTATTTAATAATAAAAAGTAATGAGCTATCAAACCATGAAGATACATGAAGGAATATTAAATGTATATTGATAAGTGAAAGAAAATAATATAAAAAGGCTACATACTGTTTGACTCCAACTACTATATGTTATTTTGGAAAAGGCAAAGCTGAGAAGACAGTAAAAAGACCAGTGGTTGCCAGGAGTTCAGGAAGAGGAAAGAGGAATGAAAAAGTGGTGCCAAGAGGATTTTAGGATACAACTATTTTAATTGATACTATAATGGTGGACACATGTCCTTATACATTTTTCAAAAGCCATAGAATGCACAACCTCAGAGTGAATTCTAATGTAAACTATGCTCTTTAGCCAGTAAAACTATATCAAGCCAGGTGTGGTGTCTCACGCCTATAATCCCAGCACTTTGGGAGGCCACAGGGGAGGAATTACTTGAGTCCAGGAATTTGAGACCAGCCTGGGCAACATAGCAATACCCCTACTCTACAAAAATTTTAAAAATTTGCCAAGTGTGGTGGTGTACTCCTGTAGTCCTAGATACTTGGGAGGCTGAGGCAAGAGGATCACTTGAGGCCAGGAGTTTGAGGCTGCAGTGAGTTGTGATTGCTCCACTGCACCCCAGCCTGAGTGACTGTGAGACCCCATTCCCTTGCTCAATTATAATAAGTGTACCACACTAATGCAAAATAATAATAGGAAATATTGAAGGTAATAGGTTAATGGGAACTCTCTGCTCTTTCCTCTAATTTTTCTGTAAACCTAAAACTGCTCTTGCCAATTAGTTTGATCCTTTTGGATCTCATTTTTAGGCTCATTTTAGGGTAGGTAAAAATTAGCCTTGATTCTAGAGCTAATATATTCTCTTGTTTAAGTCTTAACCAAATGAGTGACCAAGGTCTCTACCACATGCTCTGTATTCAGTAAAGCCTATCCAGTTTGGCTAGAGAGAAATCAAACAATCCTTGGCTCTATATGAGCTCTGGGAATTCTTCAACTTACAACTGCCTAATAACGGTACTTTCTCCAGAAGTTTTTCTTTGGCCATCTTGAGGGGTTTCTACAAGGAATACACAGAGTGTTACTAAGCCAAAGGCTGAAGAACAACAAGAGATTTCTGTTTGTTTTATTGTTGTTGTTCTTGTTTATTTGCTTGTTCGTTTTCTGCCTAGCTTATTTATCTGTAGTGCTCTGCTCTGTAAATTCTGCCTAAACTTTGATCTCTTGATGCTCTGCAGCAGGACTACCAAGTTCTGCCTGGGTTCCCACTCCATTCACCAAAATCTTAAAATCGACTGCAAAAAGGTGAGACCATCGTAAGTCTCACCTTAATTGTTTTCCTTCTCTCGTGTATCCCAGCCTTATATTATCTGTTTTCCAAATGTTGTTACAAAAGAACAAGATAAAATTATGCTATCATTGTTTCTTTATAATAAATTATCTACATAAAATAAGTAGTTCAATTTCTCTAACTAAAAGTATCAAAATCTAAGAACATTGATGGGACAAGTCTCAGAATTGTTCCATCATTTCGGTCTCCCTACAGCATAGTACAGTATGAGGATCACCACTAGCAAAGTTTTTAAGTGAGCCAAGCCAATGCCATTTTTTATTGTTACCTTTCAAAATACTTTTTTTATTGTTATCTTTCAAAATACTTCCACTTTCTTAGCCTTTCACAATATTATAACATCCTTCAGTTCAGTCTTTAGATGGTTGTAATGATTTACCATTCCATTTGCACAAAACAAACAGCTATTCCTACATTTCTTGAAAAAAAAGTCAAGGTCTAGATTACTGTGGAAGAAATTCTAGTGATGTGACACCTGTAGGGATTTGTAGAGAAAGATTTGGGAACTCCTTTGTTAACCACAAAATTACAGAAGAATTTTCTCCTAACTTGGGTGTTTTCTTTCCTCCATTTTTCTTTAATGCATTTTTTTTTGAGACAGAGTCTTGCTCTGTTGCCCAGGCACAGAGTTTGTGCAGTGGCACAAACTCAGCTGCCTCTAGGCTCAAGTGATTCTCATGCCTCAGCTTCCTGAGTAGCTTGGATTACAAGTGCGCACCACCATGCCTGGCTAATTTTTGTATTTTTAGTGAAGATGAGGTTTCACTATGTTGGTCAGGCTGGTCTCAAACTCCTGGCCTCAGGTTGATCCACCCACCTCGGCCTCCCAGAGTGCTGGGATTACAGGTGTGAGCCACCTTGCCTGGCCCTTTAATGCATCCTTTAGGGCTCAAACCTCAAAAGAACATTTTATCTGTTCTATCTAAAAATAACACTACTAATTACTTACTCAAATTAATATACTGAGAATTCACAACAATTAATCTTTTGCTTCCACAAGAGATACTTTATCAATGTAAGATCTGCCTTGTGTTGTTCTGTGGGAAGCAGAGAGAGAGTAGTGTCCGTAACAAGAAGCAGTTAGGTTCATTGTTTGCTGCTAAAGCCTCTTTTATATTTCTTGCCCTTACTCACTAATCTACTAAAATTTCTTCAGCACATCATTCTCTTGTCTTCTTAAAGGTTTTCATCTTGCTTCTTCTACCTGAAAACCTCCTAATTTGGTCAAACCCATCCATTTTCTGGGTCTCAGTGTTTGTGTTAATGTCTCCTTAGGAAATCCTGCCTTTGATCTTTTCTCAGGTTAGTAGAAATCTTGTTGGTGTTTACTTTTGTAGAAGCTTTTTTTCTTCTGTTTCCATCACTTAAGACACAGTAGTTAATGGATATTTGTCTTTTCAACCAATCTGTAAGTTTCAGGAGTAGGGGTACCTGGCTGCCTTTTAAATCACTTTATCCCAGTTGCTAGTTCATTATCTGCCTCATAGTAGATTCTGAATAAATACACTTACCAAATAACATAATAAATACCTGAGTGCAGTATGCCCTCCATATCCATAGATTCACCTAACTACCCATTGAAAATATTTGTTAAAGGAAAAGGATTTCCCTTGAACTGAACATGTATAGAATATTTTTTCTTGTCACTTTTTCTTGTTCGGGCTGCATTCCACTGTTACCGTTGTTACTCTCATGTAGAACAACCATTTACATAGCATTTATATTGTATTAGATATTATCATCTAGAGATAAAGTATGCAGTAGTATGTGTGCAGGTTATATTCAAATATATTCAAATTAGATATTACCATCTAGAGATAAAGTTTGCAGAGATATTATCATCCAGAGATAAAGATCTTATATTATCTAGAGATTGACACAGAAGATTGGTGATTTCTGCATTTCCAACCTGGTTCATCACATTGGGTCCGGTTGGACAGTGGGTACAGCCCATGGAGGGCGAGCTGAAGCAGGGCAGGGCATTGCCTCACCCGGGAAGTGAGGGTTGGGGAATTTCCCTTTTCTAGCCAAGGGAAACCATGACAGACTGTACCTGGAGAAACAGTAGACTCCTGAACAAATACTGTGCTTTTCCCACAGTCTTAGCAATCAGCAGACCAGGAGATACCCTCCAATGCCTGGCTTGGCGGGTCCCACACATACAGAGCCTTGCTCACTGCTAGCACAGAAGTCTGAGATCAACCTGCGATGCTGCAGCTTGACAGCGGGAGGGACATCCACCATTGTTGAGGCTTGAGTAGCTCACAGTGTTAACAAAGAAGCCAGGAAGCACAAACTGAGCGGAGCCCACTGCAGCTCAGCAAGTCCTACTGCCTCTATAGATTCCACCTCTGGTGGCAGGGCATAGTAGAACAAAAGGCAGCAGACAGTTTCTGCAGACTTAAACATCCCTGTCTGACAGCTCTGAAGAGAGCGTGGTTCTCTCAGCACAGCATTTGAGCTCTGAGAACGGACAGGCTGCCTCCTCAAGCGGGTCCCTGACCCCCGTGTAGCCTGACTGGGAAACATCTCCCAGCAGGGGCTGACAGACACCTCAAACAGGCAGGTGCCCCTCTGGGATGAAGCTTCCAGAGGAAGAATCAGGCAGCAATATTTGCTGTTCTGCAGCCTCCGCTGGTGATACCCAGGCAAACAGGGTCTGGAGTGGACGGACCTCCAGCAAACTCCAACAGACCTGCAGCTGAGGGGTCTAACTGCAAGAAGGAAAACTAACAAACAGAAAGAAATAGCATCAACATCAACAAAAAGGACATCCACACTAAAACTCCATCTGTAGGTCACCAACATCAAAGACCAAAGGTAGATAAAACCACAAAGATGAAGAGAAACCAGAGCAGAAAAGCTGAAAATTCCGAAAAACAGAGCACCTCTTCTCCAAAGGATGTCAACTCCTCGCCAGCAAGGGAGTAAAACTGGATGGAGAATGACTTTGACCAGTTGACAGAAGTAGGCTTTAGAAGGTCGGTAATAACAAACTTCTCTGAGCTAAAGGAGCATGTTCTAACCCATTGCAAGGAAGCTAAAAACCTTGAAAAAAGACCAATGACTAACTAGAATAAACAGTGTAGAGAAGACCTTAAATGACCTGATGGAGCTGAAAACCACAGCACGAGAACTTCGTTACACATGCACAAGCTTCAGTAGCCAATTTGATCAAGTGGAAGAAAGGATATCTGTGATTGAAGATCAAATTAATGAAATAAAGCGAGAAGACAAGATTAGAGAAAAAAGAGTAAAAAGAAATGAACAAAGCCTCCACGAAATATGGGACTATGTGAAAAGGCGAAATCTACGTTGGATTGGTGTACCAGAAAGTGATGGGGAGAATGGAAACAAGTTAGAAAACACTCTTCAGGATATCACCCAGGAGAACTTCCCTAACCTAGCAAGGCAGGCCAACATTCAAATTCAGGAAATACAGAGAACACCACAAAGATACTCCTCAAGAAGAACAACCCCAAGACACATAATTGTCAGATTTACCAAGGTTGAAATGAAGGAAAAAATGTTAAGGGCAGCCAGAGAGAAAGGACAGGTTACCCACAAACGGAAGCCCATCAGACTAACAGCTAATCTCTCAGCAGAAACCCTACAAGCCAGAAGATAGTGAGGGCCAATATTCAACATTCTTAAATGTCCAACAATGATAGACTGGATTAAGAAAATGTGGCACATATACACCATAGAATACTATGCAGCCATAAAAAATGATGAGTTCATCTCCTTTGTAGGGACATGGATGAAGCTGGAAACCATCATTCTCAGCAAACTATTGCAAGGACAAAAAACCAAACACCACATGTTCTCACTCATAGGTGGGAATTGAACAGTAAGAACACATGGACACAGGAAGGGGAACATCACACACTGGGGCCTGTTGTGGGGTGGGGGGATGGGGGAGAGATAGCATTTGGAGATATGCCTAATGTTAAATGACGAGTTACTGGGTGCAGCACACCAACATGGCACATGTATACATATGTAACTAACCTGCACGTTGTGCACATGTACCCTAAAACTTAAAATATAATTAAAAAAAGAAAAGAAAAGAATTTTCAACCCAGAATCTCATATCCAGACAAACTAAGCTTCATAAGTGAAGGAGAGATAAAATTCTTTACAGATAAGCAAATGCTGACAGATTCTGTCACCACCAGGCCTGCCTTACAAGAGCTCCTAAACATGGAAAAGAACAACCGGTACCAGCCACTGCAAAAACATGCCAAATGGCAATATCATCAACGCTATGAAGAAACTGCATCAATTAATGGGCAAAATAACCAGCTAACATCATAATGACAGGATCAAATTCAAACATAAAAATATTAATCTTAAATCTAAATGGGCTAAATGCCCCAATTAAAAGACACAGACTGGTAAATTGGATAAAGAGTCAAGACCAATCAGTGTGCTGTATTCAGGAGACTCATCTCATGTGCAAAGATGCACGTAGGCTCAAAATAAAGGGATGGAGGAAGATCTACCAAGCAAATGGAAAGCAAAAAAAAGCAGGGGTTGCAATCCTAGTCTTTGACAAAACAGACTTTAAACCAACAAAGATCAAAAGAGGCAAAGAAGGCCACTACATAATGGTAAAAGGATCAATTCAACGAGAAGAGCTAACTATTCTAAATACATATGCACCCAATACAGGAGCACCCATGTTTATAAAGCAAGTCCTTAGAGACCTACAAAGAGACTTAGACTCCCACATAATAATAATGGGAGACTTTAACACCCCACTATCAATATTAGACAGATCAATGAGACAGAAGTTTAACAAGGATATCCAGGACTTGAACTCAGCTCTGCACCAAGTGGAACTAATAGACATCTACAGAACTCTACACCCCAAATCAACAGAATATACATTCTTCTCAGCACCACATCGCACTTGTTCTAAAACTGACCACATAATTGGTAGTAAAACACTCCTCAGCAAATGTAAAATAACAGAAATCACAACAAACTGTCTCTCAGGCCACAGTGTGTTCAAATTAGAACTCAGGATTAATAAACTCACTCAAAACCACACAACTGCATGGAAACTGAACACCCTGCTCCTGAATGACTACTGGGTACATAACGAAATGAAGGCAGAAATAAAGATGTTCTTTGAAACCAATGAGAACAAATACACAACATACCAGAATCTCCGGGACACATTCAAAGCCATGTGTAGAGGGAAATAGCACTAAATGCCCACAGGAGAAAGCAGGAAAGATCTAAAATCGACACCATAACATCACAATTAAAAGAACTAAAGTAGCAAGAGCAAATAAATTTAAAAGCTAGCAGAAGACAAGAAATAACTACAATCAGAGCAGAATTGAAGGAGATAGAGACACAAAAACTCATCAAAAAAATCAATGAATCTAGGAGCTGGTTTTCTGAAAAGATCAACAAAATAGATAGACCGCTAGCAAGACTAATAAAGAAGAAAAGAGAGAAGAATCAAATAGATGTAATAAAAAAATGATAAAGGGGATATCACCACCAATCCCACAGAAATACAAACTACCATCAGAGAATACTATAAACACTTCTACACCAATAAAGTAGAAAATCTAAAAGAAATGAATAAATTCCTGGACACATACACCCTCCCAAGACTAAACCAGGAAGAGGTTGAATCTCTGAATAGACCAATAACAGGTTCTGAAACTGAGGCAATAATTAATAGTCTACTAACCAAAAAAAGTCCAGGACCACATGGATTCACAGCCAAATTCTACCAGAGGTACAAAGAGGAGCTGGTACCATTCCTTCTGAAACTATTTCAATCAATAGAAATAGAGGGAATCCTCCCTAACTCATTTTATGAGGCTGTCATCATCCTGATACCAAAGCCTGGTAAAGATACACACACAAAAAAAGAGAATTTTAGGCCAATATCTCTGAAGAACACTTATGTGAAAATCCTCAATAAAATACTGGCAAACCGAATCCAGCAGCACATCAAAAAGTTTATCCACCACAGTCAAGTCAGCTTCATCCCTGGGATGCAAGGCTGGTTCAACATACACAAATCAATAAACGTAATCCATCACATAAACAGAACCAATGACAAAAACCACATGATTATCTCAATAGATGCAGAAAAGGCCTTCAACAAAATTCAACAGCCCTTCATGCTAAAAACTCTCAATAAACTAGGTATTGATGGAACGTTCTCAAAATAATAAGGGCTATTTATGACAAACCCATAGCCAATATCATACTGAATGGGCAAAAACTGGAAGCATTCCCTTTGAAAACCAGCACAAGACAAGGATGCCCTCTCTCACCACTCCTATTCAACATAGTATTGGAAGTTCTGGCTAGAGTAATCAGGCAAGAGAAAGAAATAAAGGATATTCAATTAGGAAAAGAGGAAGTCAAATTGCCTCTGTTTGCAGATGAAATGATTGTATATTTAGAAAACCCCATTGTCTCAGCCCAAAATCTCTTTAAGCTGATAAGCAACTTCAGCAGAGTCTCAGGATACAAAATCAATGTGCAAAAATCACAAGCATTCGTATACACCAATAACAGGCAAACAGAGAGCCAAATCATGAGTGAACTCTCTTTCACAATTACTACAAAGAGAATAAAATACCTAGGAGTCCAACTTTCAAGGGATGTGAAAAACCTCTTCAAGGAGAACTACAAACTACTGCTCAAGGAAATAAAAGAGGACACAAACAAATGGAAGAACATTCCATGCTCATGGATAAGAATAATCAATATCATGAAAATGGCCATACTGCCCAGGGTAATTTATAGATTCAATGCTATCCCCATCAAGCTACCACTGACTTTCTTCACAGAATTGGAAAAAACTACTTTAAAGTTCATATGGAACCAAAAAAGAGCCTGCATAGCCAAGACAATCCTAAGCAATAAGAACAAAGCTGGAGGCATCACGCTACCTGACTTCAAACTATACTACAAGGCTACAGTAACCAAAAGAGCATGGTACTGGTACCAAAACAGAGATATAGACCATTGGAACAGAACAGAGGCCTCAGGAACGACACCACATATCTACAATCATCTAATCTTTGACAAACCTGACAAAAGCAAGGAATGGGGAAAGGATTTCCTACTTAATAAATCATGCTGGGAAAACTGGCTAGCCATATGTAGAAAGCTGAAACTGGATCCCTTCCTTAGACCATATACAAAAATTAACTCAAGATGGATTGAAGACTTAAATATAAGACCTAACACCATAAAAACCCTAGAAGAAAACCTAGGCAATACCATTCAGGACATAGGCATGGGCAAAGACTTCATGACTAAAACACTAAAAGCAATGGCAACAAAAGCTAAAATAGACAAATGGGATCTAATTAAATTAAAGAGCTTCTGCACCACAAAAGAAACTATCATCAGAGTGAACAGGCAACCTACAGAATGGGAGAAAATCTTTGCAATCTACCCATCAGACAAACAATCCCATCAAAAAGTGGGCAAAGGACATGAACAGACACTTCTCAAAGGAAGACATTTATGCCACCAACAGACATATGAAACAATGCTCATCATCACTGGTCATCAGAGAAATTCAAATCAAAACCGCAATCAGATACCATCTCACGCCAGTTAGAATGGCAATCATTAAAAAGTCAGGAAACAACAGAAGCTGGAGAGGATGGGGAGAAACAGGAATGTTTTTACACTGTTGGTGCCAGTGTAAATTAGTTCAATCATTGTGGAAGACAGTATGGCAATTTCTCAGGGATCTAGAACTAGAAATACCATTTGACCCAGCCATCCCATTACTGGGTATATACCCAAAGGATTATAAATCATGCTACTATAAAGACACATGCATATGTATGTTTATTGCAGCACTATTCACAGTAACAAAGACTTCGAACCAACCCAAATGTCCAGCAATGATAGAATGGATTAAAAAAATGTGGCACATATACACCATGGAATACTATACAACCAAAAAAAAGGATGAGTTCATGTCCTTTGCAGGGGCATGGATGAAGCTGGAAACCATCATTCTCAGCAAACTATCACAAGGACAGAAAACCAAACACCTCATGTTCTCACTCCTAGGTGGGAGTTGAACAGTGAGAACACATGGACACAGGGCGGGAAACATCACACCCTGAAGCGTGTTGCGGGGGTGGGAGCCTGGGGGAGGGTTAGCATTAGGAGAAACACTTAATGTAAATGACGAGTTAATGGGTGCAGCAAACCAACATGGCACATGTATACCTATGTAACAAACCTGCACGTTGCACATGTGTACCCTAGAACTTAATGTATAATTTTAAAAAAATCTCAAAGAATTAGATTCCCTAGCATGAGGAATTTATCTTACTGGATTTTTTTTTTTTTTTTTTTTTGAGACGGAGTCTCACTCTGTTGCCCAGGCTGGAGTGCAGTGGCGCAATCTCTGCTCACTGCAAGCTCCGCCTCCCGGGTTCACGCCATTCTCCTGCCTCAGCCTCCCGAGTAGCTGGGACTACAGGCGCCCGCCACCACGCCCGGCTATTTTTTTTTTTTTGTATTTTTAGTAGAGACGGGGTTTCACCGTGTTAGCCAGGATGGTCTCGATCTCCTAACCTCGTGATCCGCCCGCCTCGACCACCCAAAGTGCTGGGATTACAGGCGTGAGCCACCGCGCCCGGCCTCTTACTGGATTTTTTAATGCCACTATCCGGCAGTGATTAAATAGCAAGTTCAAGTGATTAAATCTGATCCAATCACTACACTTTTCCTTTAAAATTGCTATTAGGTTTTGTAAGTAAGGAAGTGGAGGCATTTTTGTAAGTGCATTAACTCTCAAAGGCCACAAAAGTACGTTTTTAAACTTATGGATCAAGTTGTGTGGATACGATTTCAGACCCCCAGAGGTTCTTTCAACGTGTCTAGTGTCCAGCACAGCGCACCTGGTCAGAGTTTCGTTGTAACTTACAGCACCATGTTTTCTTTGGAGTGTTGTTCAGGGGTCTCTTGCATCAGAATGGCCTGAACTGCTTGTTAGGAATGCAGCTTCCTGATCTTACCGTCCAGTTTCTGATTCAGTAGGTCTGGAGTGAGCCTTGGAAAACTGCATTTTATTTAGCATAATCCCCTGGGGGATTGGGGGCTCCCCAAAGTTTGAGAACCACCGCTAAGGGCTATTATGTTTCTGCAGGCAAACATATTTTTCTTTTTTTGTTTTATGTAATACAAAGTAGGAGTTTAAAAATTTATTTTTGGTAAAACTAGAACACTGTCTTCAAATTAGTAAGAGCCTTGTGTAGGAGAAATATTCTCTTCAAAAATCCCTCCACGAAATTGATCTTAAAAAGACTAGCTGAGTCAAATCCTAACAGATCTGTCCTGTATCTGGCTGCCACCTTTCAAAATTGCTGACCTTATGCTTACATATTCGAATGCTTCCTGGAAGTCAAAACATATTTTCAAAAGTTTCTAATGGAAAAGAACTAAGCCTGTCACTTGGTTTTAAAAGGTGGAAATTGAAATAAGACAAAATGGTTGAGATTAATTTCACATCACAAGAATACAGGTAAGAAAAGAATACAAATTTCCATAACTTCTATCAACTATCTTTTAGGTTGAGGATATTATGAAATAATCCTTCCCTTCCCAACCAACAATGAAGATGATTGATACAGCCATCATACTGAAGGATTCCTACTGTGTCAGCAATTATATTAATTTCTTATAGAAATATAAAGAGTATAACCTTCAAAAACTGGGTATTGTTAAATTATACATTGGATTCTGTTAAATGATAACAAATAAATATAAATATAAATAGTTAAATTAAAAATATATAGATATTACTTAATAGGTATAAGATACTCAAATTTATGAATGTACTTAAGTTTCTTTGTTTTACAGTGAGAACACTTGGACACAAGAAGGGAAACATCACACACCAGGGCCTGTTGTGCAGTGGGGGGGAGGGGGAAGGGATAGCGTTAGGAGATATACCTAATGTAAATGACGAGTTAATGGGTGCAGCACACCAACGTGGCACATGTATACATATGTAACAAACTTGCATGTTGTGCACATGTACTATAGAACTTAAAGTATAATTTTAAAGAAAGTTTATTTGTTTTAAAATTTCATACATTATGAATTTACTATGTCCCCTATTACAATGGTCTCCACAATGAAGAGACCCTCACTGTCCTATTATGTTCCCCCAAGTAGTTTTATAATTTCTTTCATATGAGTCCTCTATCTTTCTTCAGTCTACATTCCACTGTTACTATTGTTACTCTCGTATATAACTCTATTGCTACTGATTAACTTGTTTTGGTGGAAGTGTTTCCCTGTTGTATTAGATAGGGTTCTCCAGAGAGATAAAACCAATAGAATGGATGGATGGATGGATGGATGGATGGATGGATGGATGGATGGATGGACAGATGAATGGACATACAGACAGACAGTTCAGAAGGAATTTGTTAGAGGAATTGGCTCACTGGGTTATGGAAACTGAGAAGGTCCAGGACAGGGCAATTGTAAGCTGGAGACCCTGGGATTCCATTGGTGTTGCTCAGCCCAAATCTGAAAGCTTCAGAATCAGGGAATCTGATGGCATAATTCTCAATACGAGGCCAAAAGCCTAGGAACCTGGGGACCACTGGTGTTAAGTCCTGGAGTCCAAAGGCCAGAGAGCCTGGAGTTCTGATGTCCAAGGGCAGGAGAAGAAGAATGTTCCAGCTCCAGGAGAGAGAGAGAAATCACCTTTCCTCTGCCTTTTTCATTCAATCTAGCCCCCACCACACACACACTTACAGCTGTTTGGCTGACGCCCACCCAAGTTGAGAACAGATCTTCATAACTCACTCCACCAACTCGCATGCCAACCTCCTCTAGAAACACCCTCACAGACACACCCATGATAATGCTTTACCAGTTTTCATGGGTATTCCTTAATTCAATCAAGTTGACACCTAAAATTAAAGATAACACCTGTGCTATGATAAATTGGCAACATTGATTAAATGTCCATGAACACCAAGTACTAAGATAAAAATTGCAGTGTCCAATGAAGCATAAATGAAGGTCATCTAATCCAGGCAAGAAAATGGCATGCAAATTGTTGAAAGAATGCCTAGAAACACACACACACACACACAGTCACACACACATAGGTAAGTCCAACTATCCACAAGCAATCTCTCTGTATGTGTTTTGTATCCCAAGTCAGACAAGTCTAAGCTCTTCTGGTTTGAGGAGGTAGCTAGTGTGGGTCAATGTACCTATTTCTATGAAGCCCATGGTCCACGCTTGCCTGTCACACTTCCTCACTTAGCATACTGGGAGCCAGAGCCCTGATATTTTGAAATGCTGTTTATTAATAACAAGTCCATGGGTCTAGCTAGAAATTCGTGAGATTATTTGCATTAAGGAATTTGGGGCCTGGGAGTTTACTTCATGTCTTTGTCACTTCTTGTAAGACAGCACCATTTCTTGGTAACAATGGACACTATGAGTTGGACACTAAAAAGGCTCTGGTTACATTAGTAACTTTATTTCAACTGTAGCACTTACTCTATGCTTTTTTTTCTTCTACCTAGTGTTTTAAAATGTATATCTATATCTTCTCTTTAAGGATATGTAACTTAGTGAACACTCATCTTCTTTCTCACTACTTTCAGCCTACCGTGTTTATCTAATTCCTATTTCATTTCGATCAGGGCTTTACACATTTTTATAAGTTGAAAGACTTAATCGAATTACTTCTTTACTCTTACTTTTTAGACTGTATTTTTAAAAAAAATCTCATGTGTTTATTTGATTTTGGAATACTCTTTTTCCAAAAGAGGGCTGGTAGGTGTCTTTGTGTTGCAAATATTCTGATTGTTAATTGCCTGAGTCAATATCAAGGAATTGTCTATAGGCCATCACATTTAAATGCCAGTTTGGCTAGATATAAAATTTCAGTTTCAAAATTATCTTTTCTTCAAGTTAGATTGGCGGCACCTCTCTGAAACCCTTGGAGTCACATAAAGTTTCAGAATCTGAATGACTTAAGAAAGGCTCCTTAATACACACACCATATGTAGAGTGTTACATAGCTAGACCAATTAGGTCCAGGTTATGACTCTCAAATCAAATACACCAATATATCTGCAGCAAGACATATAAACATTCTTGCTAAAATGGGGTTTTTCAAAGATTATAGACTTTTGCCACCTCACATTAGATATTTTTCTAACAAATTTTGTTACCAAATTTTCACAAATGCACAAGCTTTTATTTCCATTTGGAGGGTGTTTCAAAAGTATATATATAAGATTTAGCGTGAACAGTATAAAATTACTTCAGGTATTTTTATTTGATTTTGATCCCTCCTTCTTTTCTTTAACTGTTTATGTTAACAAATTCTAAACTTACAGAAAAGCTACTGTATCCTCAACTATATTTTCTAAATGGACTTATTTTTTTCTCCTTTCTCAGGTATGCCAATGAGTCACAGATTTGATCTCTTTGCATAATCCCATATTTCAAAGAAGTTTTGTTCATTTTTAAAATTCTTTTCTCTTTACTTCTGTCTGACTGAGTTAATTGGAAGACTCTCAAGCTCTGAGAGTCTTTCCTCAATTTGGTCTATTCTGTTGTTAATGCTTCTGAGTGTACGATGAAATTCTTAAAGTAAATTTTTCAATTCTAGAAGTTCAGTTTTTTTCTTTCTTAAAATGGCTATTTTGTCTTTCAGCTCCTGGATTATTTTATTGAATTCATTGTATTGGGTTTTGACTTTCTCCTAAATCTTGATGAGCTTCCTTACCTCCAGAGTCTGAATTCTATGTCAGTCATTTCCGTCTGCTTAATTATCATTACTGTGGGGTTGGGGTATTCGTTTGGAGATAAGGCGACATTCTATCTTTCTGAATTGCCAGAGTTCTTATGCTGATTCTTTCTCATGTGTGAGGGCTGGTGTTCCTTTAACTGTAATGTAAGTTTAGTATAGACAGTTGGCTTCATTTCTAGGTGCTTTCTTAGGGCCAACACTCTGCATTGATAAAAGAAAAACTTCAGCCAAATTAAATTTAAATGAGTTTAATTGAGCAATGAATGATCGTGAATCGGGGAGCCCTCAGAATCACAGCAGTTTCAGAGATACTCCAGGGGTGCCTTGTGATCAGAACGAATTTATAGACAAAAAAGGTAAAGTGAGGTACAAGAATCGGAAGTGAGGTACAGAAAGAGTGAGATTGGTTACAGCTCGGCGTTTGCCTTATTTTAACACAATTTGAACATTCCGCAGTCTACGAGTAGTTGAAGTATGGCTGCTGGGACTAGCCAACACTCAGCCATTGTTACAGGTGCATACCATTAAGTTAGGTTTTCAATTTTGTCTCACAAGGTTAGGGTTCATCCACAAGGACTCAAATATAGAAGTATGGAGTATGGAGTTCTTCTAAGGCCATGTTTAGTTTGCTTTAACAGTACAGAATCTTTATTTGTGGCTGAAATTTTTGCCTTAGGTTTCACAGGCACTGTATACTGGCAAAATATTTTTGGTGTTGTAATTTGGGTACAATATAGTAAGAGTGGTGGTCAGCAGACAGACTTACTCAGCTGCACAGCTCTCGCATTTTGGCATGTTCACAGTAGTGCTCTGTTGGGGCGGAGGGGAAGAGAACTAACCCCCTCACCAGATCCACTCCTGAATCTTGGAGGATCCCCCTCAAATCACTGGCACCATGCTCTCATTTTCCTTACTCGGGTGTTCTGGGCCACAGGGCTCCCTCAGGCAGGGGACATGGCTGACAAGCTGTACTCTTTCCAGACTAGCCCTGCAGAAAGAGCAACATTCTGCTCCTCCACCAGCCCAGATGTCTCATCCTTCTCAGTGTTCTGAGAGTGTGGATTTTTTTTTTTCCAGATGGAGTTTTCGCTCTTGTTGCCCAGGCTAGAATCCAATGGCGTGATCTCAGCTCCCCGCAACCTGTGCCTCCCGGGTTCAAGCAATTCTGCCTCAGCCTCCTGAGTAGCTGATTACAGGCATGCGCCACCATGCCCAGCTAATTTTCTATTTTTAGTAGAGATGGGGTTTCTCCACATTGGTCAGGCTGGTCTTGAACTCCTGACCTGAGGTGATCTGCCCACCTCAGCCTCCCAGAGTGCCGGGATTACAGGTGTGAGCCACCACACCCGGTCGAATGTGGGTGTTTTAAGAGTGTGGGCTCCCCCAACTGCTTGAATGCTTTCCAAGCTGGCAAATCTGCCAGGCTAGGAGCAGCAGGGATGGGTTGAGTTGCCCAATCTGCCATCCAGGTGCTTTTCAGGGGAACATGGAGATGTATAGCCTAGCAGAGGTCAGGTAGGGGTAGAGCTGGAAGCTGGTACTGAGCCTGGTCTGGTAGAGAGGAGTGTAGCAATTTGACTTCTCCCCAGCACCATGACTGCAGGCTCTATTGGGACTATGGCAGCTGGTACTGGGCTGCTCTGGGGTTCAAGACCTGTGAGGCTCCCTGTGGAGTAAAGTGTTGCCTCCATCAAAACTTCTGGGGGCTCTCTGAATTCATCTAGAGGCCTGGGAGGGCCAAGGGAATTCTCCTCTTCCCAGGATTGCAAAGGTCCCTTTTAGAAACTGTGTATCCTCTTGGGGGGTCTCACTCACCCTTTCTCCTTGTTAGAGAGCTCCTGCTGGCTCCAGGCCAGGCCTCAGTGGGCTGTTGCTTGGCTTCACTCTCCTCTGTTCTCCATGTCCCTTTATTCCCTTGATGGATCTCAACCTGGTTTCTTAGATAATCTTCCTGTACAGTCAGTTTACTCACCACTTTGTTTCCTCTCCATGAGAGCAGCACACACTTGCTGCTTCTAGTCTGCCATCTTGACTCCATCCTCCTATATTTCCAATTTTTTAGTTCCACCCTAACTCCTTATGAGGAAGTTTTCTATCAGATCCTATCTCATTCTATAACTAGAATAATTTATATTATTATTATATAGCAAACTATTATGTGTGGAGCCAGGTCTTTTGAACTCCAAAACTTAAGCTCTTAACACTCATGTTCTCTTTCTTGTATCAACATGTTAAAGGAAAATATTGGAGAGAAAAAGAAGTGTCATTTTTCACAAATAGTGTTTCTCATATGCTATATTATATTCAGAGTTTTGGACATTATATATAAATATATCCAATGTAAGGTATTCCATATAGTTGGTTTCAAATTGAGTATATCAACATAATTGTATAATTTTGTATAATCTTAATTTAAACTTCATTAATTTTATGAAGTTCATATATTCTTTATATCTACCTTTCAAGAAGAAAGGCAGGAAAATATTTGATGCAGAAAGCTTTAAAAGGCAAGATATGCTATATAATTCTGGGTCTTAAATATGCAAAATAAAAAAAAAACGAGGTAAAACAGAGAAATTATTGAGGGCTTTCCATGCCAGAGTGAGGAGTAATGCACTTTTCCCAAAGAAAATGGAGAAGTATTCAATGATTTCAAGTAGGGTAGAAATATGAATTATAGAGAGAGCTGGCTCAATGAAAACAACTGATTAGAGAAATTAACCTGGAAAGGGGAAGATCAAGCAATTTTTGAAAATATCCCAGTCAGTAAATGCTTTGATTCTACATTTTGGAGGAAGTTGATTTCCAGCAAAGGGACAATGATATGGCCACAGAGGACACAGAGAATATGGTCCAACAATAATTGAGAGAGCATCTTAATGAGAGCTGATTAGGGAAAAGCCAAATGAGCAAGTCAGTACCTCAACAAGACTTTCTTGTGCTGTGGCAGAACGTTTCTTCTAAAATGTAAGAAGCTACAGCCCATTTTGTGCATAGGCCACATAAATCATAGTAGGTGGAGGAAGAGTCAGGTATCAATATGCAGATATCCAGAAAAAGGTTCCAGCCTCCTAAAAGATGGCAAGAATAACCAGAGTTCGACACCACACACAGCACATACTCTAAACACTGGAACAGTTACCTATTTCCAGACACACTTCCACCACATCCACCCTAACCCAACTCAACTATCATAATATAGGGAAAAAAATTTTTAGATCATCTTGATGCAACAATTCATAATCAATACTCCAAATGATGTAACTGGTGATTACAGTCCATCTTCATCACACACACCCAAGAGCAACACTTTGACATCGGCCACTCACTCACATAGGCATAGCCAGTCTTTCCAATTGTCTGTATAAATGTGTGACACTGTACGCCACTTTTCTCTTGTAGGTTCTACCCGTCACCTACAGATAATGGTGAGTAAATACAAGAACAATGTTCTGCTGAAAGGATTAGAAGCCATCAATGACTATCACTTCAGCATAATTAATTCCTTACTGATCAATGATTTAAAACTTAATTCAACAAGGAGAGACGAATATGACAAAATTCAGATTGCCGACTTGATGGAAGAAAAGTTCCCAGGTGATGCTGGTTTTGGCAAACTGAGAACTCTTCAAAGAAATACCAACACTGGGAGAGGAGACCTTGCTGAAACTCTTAGAAAAGTCAAAAGGTAATTGGGAAAAGGGAATTCTCCCCTCCCTGCCACTGTCCCTAAACCCTTCCCAACCTTGAATAGAACCTCAGCTTCATTATGGTTAATATATCCATTTCCCAATTTATGCCTCAGCGGTCATGATATTGTTGGTACTTTGCATGTCAACAAGTTGACAGCATAGAGCATTCCCATTCCAGTGGATTCATATGTTTTGAAGGGTGTATCTGGGGTATGGAGTAAAAGCAATAGATAAAAGTTGTCGATGAAAGACCGAGGCTTCTGGTATGATAAAAAGGTTAGAAGGTGGTGAATCAAGCCGGGTGCAGTGGCTTACAGCACTTTGGGAGGCTGAGGCGGGCAGATCCCTTGAGGTCAGGAGTTTGAGAAAGTGGTGAATCTAAATTTAAAAATGATGTTTTATATGTTAAATATATCAATTAACCTATTGTTTCACTTGCTCTATTAAGGCTATTTACACTATCACCATTATCCTCTGTAGTAACAAAGAGGAGACAATACTTCAATGAAAGCCTACCTGTCAGAGAGACAAACTACCTTTTTAAAAAAACACAGATTTAATTTTTTTTCAAAAGGCAAAGTTCAGAATCACCATATAGTCACCTCATAAACCTATATCATATTTCATTTCACTGGTTTCTGTAATTTGAATAGATTATCTCTGGAGCATGTCCAAGAAGTTAGACTTGTGAAAATATGACAGTTTTACAAGTAAATGATAGGAGAACCGGGATTGGGAAACATCTGACTGAGGCACATGGAGTTCGCAGGACAGAAAGGATGTTCTCCGTGAACAGGGGAGGAGTAATGAAAGCACTGAGGAGCATGAGACTTTGCCTGTGCCTGTGCCTGTGCCTGTGCCTGTGTTATGACTATCGACCTCATTGAGGCCAGGCTGGATTAATACAGTTGAGTACACTAAAGCACACCTGAATGCTTAAGCAGGAACTGAGACAAAACAGCATAGAGATTGTTTCACCTCCCATAGATCATCTGCTCTGGGTTTAGATGTCCTCCTTTTTTCTTTATTGGTTGTGAATAAAATTAAATCCATTCCAGCAAAAGGAAAAACCTCATCAAAGAAGAGGAAGCAGAGAAAAGTAGGTCCAACTACACCTTTAGCAACCACAGACAAGAAGTTCACAGCTGAAGGAGGAGAGGAGACTCCTATAGCTCAGGTAAGCTTGAGTAAGAGGAGCAGGCTTCAATTCCCACAGAAGAAACTGCCATGGCTCTTCCACTCTGTCTCTCCAGCAGGCAGTTTTTCTTCATTAGTTTCTCATCAAGCTTCAGATTTATCAAATTGCATAATAATTAATCTTGTTTGTAAAAAGCAATGAGCTAAACACTTTAGTAAATATATATCGCACAAATATAGTATCTTCACCCCCCAATAGAGAAGAGTGTTAACTTCAGGTTCAGAGGGGAAAATGCTTTGTTCATATTTATAAAAACCTAGTTTTTTAATTGCAAGTCAGTACATCCCCAAACACTAGTACTTAGAGGAATGATGTGTATAACTTTCTAGTGTCTCTTTTTTTTTTTTTTTTTAATGAAGCCATCTATGCCCTGTCTTACAATAGGCCAGGAAATGTGCACCAATCCTTTGTTTCCAGAAAGACAATTGACATATAACAAACCTACTACCCAGTAATGAAAATGTGCTCTACTTCATTTGTCACTGAAAACAAATAACAGGAAAATCAAACCACTTTCAGAAAAGAAAAAACCCAACCAAAGAAAAGGCTGGAACCAAAAGGAGTAAGATATCCGAGGAGCAGACTCAGCCTCCCTGTCCTGCAGGAGCCGGCATGTCCACAGCCATGGGCATTCCCCACCTCCCCAGACCTCATCATCAGCTCCACCCAACACTTCCTCAACTGAGGTACACTCTCCCTGGTCCCCTTTTGCTTTGTTTTCTTCAACCCCAAATATAAAAATTTTATCTCCTACTTAAAAATAACATGGATAATTAGCCAAATAATCCAATGTATATACTGAGAATTAGCTAGAGTTTAATCTTTTGCTTCCATAGGATACTCGATAAATTTGATATTATCTCTGACATCAGGAGGTTTTCTGTCCTGTGTTGTTTGGGAGAAATATAGAGAGGTATGGAGTTCAGAATAGTACAGGTAGATACAGCAGTGTGTTCACAGTTTACTGCTTCAGTCTCTTTTACGCCTCTTCCCTCTGCTCAATAACCTGTTAAAGTTTCTTTGATCCACAATATGTTCTTTTCTTCCTCAGCGTTTTCACACACCATAGTCCCTCTCCCTGTAAAACTCTTAAATGGCTAAATAGAGGTACTCTGTGGATCCCAATATTGATATTCCGTCCTCAGGGAATCATCCCTGGAACCACGTTCAGACTAGGTAAAATATTTACGGTGTTCACTTTAGTAGAATCTCATTTTTTCCTACCAATTATGTTAACTACAACTAATAAATGTTTGTCCATTCAATTTATTCTGTGTTGTAAGATTACAAGCTGCTTGTTGATCTGGTGAATCCCTGTAACCCAGAGATTTCTTTGAGTGACAGAAAGTACTGAAATGTGAATCTGCACAGCTAATGAAGGACAAATGAGAGTTATCTAATCCAGCCATGAAAACCATGAAGGTTATATTTTTGTGAGGCCTAAAACAGTACAAAAACAAACAAAGTGGTGGAATAGGATGGAGAGTTGAAATTGTGGAAATCCAGGCAGAAGGAAGACTATACACCACGTCTTGGAAAATAAAGGAAGTGGGTTGCAATTTATAATTACGTGTTCATTCTTATTAGGTTGTACTACTTTTAAAGTGGCTTCTCATATTTTGCTATATCTCACATCATTGTTCATCTGATAATATATGAAAACTCCAATGTGTTTCTTATTCCAGAAAGGGGAGTAATTCTTATTCATGATATGAAAACTCTAATGTGTTTCTTATTCCAGAAAAGGGAGTAATTCTTATTCATGAATAAACACTGACGGAGAAAGATTATGGATCATAGTGGGAAAAGCCACAATACCATCTACATTCTCTCTCTCTCATTTTTTCTACTTAGGTAAAACATGATTACTTTAGAACTTGAGGAAATGGTTAAAACCCACAAGTCAAACAAAAAGTAATTAATTTTTAATTAATTGAAACCTTCCCAAGCAGATATTAATAAATTTTTCTCTGTATTTTTAGATATACTCTTTATAAGCTTGCATTTTTTGCAATATAGTATCCTACAATGATTACTATTTTAGTACTTGTTTTATTCATTTAACTATCAGATCTATCTTTTCAAGTCTATGAATTAAAATACAAATTATTATTTAGTGGCAATGTAATGTTGAATTGCACAAATATTGGAATTTATTTTCAAAATAATTCTCTATTTACTTCCAATATCCCAACCTCAATGCCTGTCCTAGGAACATTCATGCACCTGTGCCCTTTGAGGCTCCTATTATGTCCTTTAGAGTAGTTGTATAATTTATTTCATATGTGTACTGTAACTTTCTTGTCAACTTGAAATTTGTTGTTACTAGTGTTTTAGAAAAGTGTTCCTTGTGTTATGTTATTTGGCAATATTAATATAATCAATTAAAGTTAAATCCTAGTAAAGTCCAAACACCCACAGATGTTGATTGTGTTCAGTGTGACAGGACAGATCATTTGCCTCACTTCTGGTGCACAGAGACAACTAGCATATTTCTATACAATACAGGGTCTAAATAATTAGGTTACGTGCCAATAATTTCATCTCTTTGTACTCTATCCCAACTGGAGCTCATAATTTTACTTTGGATTTTGATATATTTACTTTGTATAATGAATTGTACTACCAAGGTTGAATTCTAGTTGTGACGTGCAATAAGTATAATAAATGGATTGGCTAACTTTCTCCTAAGTGCAAATACTTTCAGCAGCTATGCATATGATCTAAACATTTGTGCTGTCTCCCTTCTGTCTTATTTACTTATTTATTTATGAAGATAGTATTGAATAAAAATTTTGAATTCCATGATACTTAGAAGATAAGGTAATCGAATCCTCTCATTTACAAAGTAATAATAATAATAATAATTAAAAGGCACAGTTTTACTGATATGTCCATGTCCAAATTCAAGGTGACAGCATGACACATTCAATTCCTCCCTAACAGTCCTCAAAAAAATTACAAACTGCTATGAATTCAACTAACATTTCACATGATTGACTGCTTTGTAACCCTACATACATATCTTCTAAGTTAGCCCCTTAAATTTACCTCCAGATTTTCCTACACACTCTATAAGAGATCTCGCATATAAATGGAATTATACAATTGATGAATAATAGCTTCTGTGTGTAAGATACTACAATACAGGAACCATGGATGTAGTCAGGAATGAAAAATGGCACAATATCAAGTGTGAGGAAGGAGATAAGTTTTGATTATTCTGCTTTCATCTAAGAACAATTGACTACAAGCTAAAATTGATTTGTAGAATTCACATTTTTATCAAGGTGGGAACTGGATAGAGGAACATTAGTTTGCCAAAGAAGTAAATGATTTTGTTTAGGCTTCAGGAACACTAGATTCCTATCCTGTTACTCAGACAGTCCAGCAGGTGGGAGGAAAATCCAAACAATGTCCTTGCACTCATTTCTACGTAGAAGAGTTTTTAATGATATTAAGGAAATAGTATTCTTATAAGCTTCAAAGGAATATTCAAAAGGATTATAATACTTGTGCTAAGTAATAAAGTATTTAAAGAAATTAGGATGACAGGGAAGTAATTTCATATAGTGTTCAAGAGAAAGGGTTATGAATAAGACAAATCTGATTTGAATCCTGAATTCAACACTCATTAGTTGATTGATATTGGGGAAATAGTTTCACTGATCCTCTAAAATAATGGAAGTCTCCACTTCATCAGCATGGTTAAAATATTAAGTGAGACAATGCGTATTTATGCATATAAGTTTACATATATGTAAAATTTATATAACATATCTCACTGCCTAGTACATCATGAGAAATTAATCTATGGTAAGCACTACTTTTCCTATCACGGCAAAGATATTGGAAGGGGATCTAAGCAATGAAAATGACACACGCAAATGCTCTAAAGTGTGAAACTGCACTGTGAGTTCTGTACAACTAAAATTCTATAAAGAGTTTCTATGAAGAAACTATGGAAAGATGCAGCACAGAATAAAAATTGGGGGCGGGGGCAGGTGGTAGAGTATAGCTGTTTGTCAGAAATAAAGAAACAGAAAATTCATTGTGAAAAACAGATAAAACCTAAAGATTTTATGCAGAAGAATGTCTGATCACATTGACACTTTAGCAAAAAAAAAAAAAAAAGGTATTATGGTAACAATTCTAGAAGTATGCATTAGAGAGGCATTAGGTTAGAGCAGAGATATCAATTAGAAGCAATGATGTGCCCAAGTCAGCTCTCACCAGAACACTTATTGCTAAGTATTTGGGGATTTTATGAACTGTTTGTAAAATCTTTGGAAGTTTGAAACTAGCATAGTGGAAATATTTAGGCCAGCAAAATATGCAAAGGCTACAAATAGATATTTTCTAAAATTGGGCAGCTAGTTTACCAGGACACCACGAAAGGTTTCTTCAGATTTCTATTTAAGAAGGAGAAAGACAAACAGGGCTGTGATGAATGGAGTAAAATATTTTTTGAAGCTATATCCTCATGATTGTGTGACTAATTAAGTGATGATGTTGAGAAAGATAAAAGATTTAAGGAGCATTCAAAGATGATTCAAGAATATTATCCAGGCAACTGTATAAATGGTGCTACTGTTCACTAACATCAAGAAAGCAGAGAACAGCACAGTCTAGGAAGTGAAAACATGTTGTTTGGACAAGTTGACTTTGAGCTACCTGTTGGATATCTAAGAAATATCTCTCTATCAATCTGAAGATATATAGATCTGTATAAACAGATCTGGAACAAAAAAAGTAATTTTGTACTGGCGAGTTATGCATTTGTACATTTAGAGATACATGTTAAAATTATGGGTTTAGATGATATTATCTAAAATAATTGTATAATTCTACATTTATACTAATAGAAAACTGAGCACTCACTATGTTTGGGGAAGTGAGACAATAATGAAGCTATAATAATTATTCCCATATCATAGATAAAGATACCGATGCTCAGAAAATGTAAGCAATACACACCAATTGAAACAACCAGTTAGTGGTGGAACTGACATTCCAGCCCAGGCTGTGTAGATTTAGAATGCAGATTCTTAAGCAAGGTGAATGAGAAGATCAAACTGCCATAGGTGGAGCCATAGAAAAGTTGGATATATATTTGGGGGTGACTACAAGTAAAGGATGCTACAAATGAGGATGAAACTATGTACACAGAGAGGTCAAAGATAAAGTGGAAATATGTATAATATGCATCAAAAATAAGTTTAACAAGGAAGAGGGTCAACACAGCTCATGTCAGACTCAAATAAACAAGGAAGTCTTGGAATAACTTCATCTTAGACCAAAAATTGCTATACTTTAGTGAAAGGCAATTGCTGATTCACAGAAGAAAACATGGCTGGCTCTCCATAACATCATACTAAATATCTCATTCTCCAAAAGCACACTAACGACAAGCACAAAGGTTCACAATAGGAGCCTTGATAACACTAACCAAAGTTAAATTTAAGTACAAATGATTAAAATGGAAATAGTGACATAATCAGGCACACAGACATATATATGCACGTAAATCGTTCCACATCTCAGATTCCCTAATTCAATAATCCTTTCATTTCAATTGAAACAACCATAGTTGTACTGTGAAAAACCTTACCTAATATCCTCCTGCCAACATTCTGCCTAATTAAAATCTTCCCTGAATGTTTTGCACTGAGTAAATAAGCTATTCCCTGTCACCTGTGGTACTGCCTTACTGCCTTTGTTTAACTCCTGCTCTGTTTAAATGTACCCATAATGGGCATGAGAGCATATCTCTATTCAGACTCCAGACCACAGCTGGGAGCAAGCAGACTCAAAAGATGGTAATACGTCAAAGGAGATTGCTGAGAGAGAAGCAATGACCATTGAGATTGGAGTAAAAGAATAATGTAGCCGAGGAGGAGGAGCCAAGATGGCCGAATAGGAACAGATCGGGTCTACAGCTCCCAGCATGAGCGACGCAGAAGACGGGTGATTTCTGCATTTCCATCTGAGATACCGGGTTCATCTCACTAGGGAGTGCCAGACAGTGGGCGCAGGTCAGTGGGTGTGTGCTCCGTGTGCAAGCCGAAGCAGGGCAAGGCATTGCCTCACTTGGGAAGCACAAGGGGTCAGGGAGTTCCCTTTCCGAGTCAAAGAAAGGGGTGACGGACGCACCTGGAAAATCGGGTCACTCCCACCCAAATACTGTGCTTTTCCGACCGGTTTAAAAAATGGCGCACCATGAGATTATATCCCGCACCTGGCTCGGAGGGTCCTACGCCCACGGAGTCTCGCTGATTGTGAGCACAGCAGTCTGAGATCAAACTGCAAGGTGGCAGTGAGGCTGGGGGAGGGGCACCCGCCATTGCCCAGGCTTGCTTAGGTAAACAAAGCAGCTGGGAAGCTCCAACTGGGTGGAGCCCACCACAGCTCAAGGAGGCCTGCCTGCCTCTGTAGGCTCCACCTCTGGGGGCAGGGCACAGACAAAAAGACAGCAGTAACCTCTGCAGACTTAAATGTCCCTGTCTGACAGCTTTGAAGAGAGCAGTGGTTCTCCCAGCACCCAGCTGGAGATCTGAGAACAGGCAGACTGCCTCCTCAAGTGGTTCCCTGACACCTGACCCCTGAGCAGCCTAACTGGGAGGCACCCCCAGCAGGGGCACACTGACACCTCACAAGGCAGGGTATTCCAACAGACCTGCAGCTGAGGGTCCTGTCTGTTAGAAGGAAAACTAATAAACAGAAAGGACATCCACACCAAAAACCCATCTGTACATCACCATCATCAAAGACCAAAAGTAGATAAAACCACAAAGATGGGGAAAAAACAGAACAGAAAAACTGGAAACTCTAAAAAGCAGAGTGCCTCTCCTCCTCCAAAGGATAGCAGTTCCTCACCAGCAACGGAACAAAGCTGGATGGAGAATGACTTTGACGAGCTGAGAAAAGAAGGCTTCAGACGATCAAATTACTCTGAGCTACGGGAGGACATTCAAACCAAAGGCAAAAAAGTTGAAAACTTTGAAAAAAATTTAGAAGAATGTATAACTAGAATAACCAATACAGAGAAGTGCTTAAAGGAGCTGATGGAGCTGAAAACCAAGGCTCGAGAACTACGTGAAGAAATGCAGAAGCCTCAGGAGCCGATGCAATCAACTGGAAGAAAGGGTATCAGCAATGGAAGATGAAATGAATGAAATGAAGCGAGAGGGGAAGTTTAGAGAAAAAAGAATAAAAAGAAATGAGCAAAGCCTCCAAGAAATATGGGACTATGTGAAAAGACCAAATCTACGTCTGATTGGTGTACCTGAAAGTGACAGGGAGAATGGAACCAAGTTGGAAAACACTCTGCAGGATATTATCCAGGAGAATTTCCCCAATCTAGCAAGGCAGGCCAACGTTCAGATTCAGGAAATACAGAGAACGCCACAAAGATACTCCTTGAGAAGAGCAACTCCAAGACACATAATTGTCAGATTCACCGAAGTTGAAATGAAGGAAAAAATGTTAAGTGCAGCCAGAGAGAAAGGTCAGGTTACCCTCAAAGGGAAGCCCATCAGACTAACAGCGGATCTCTCAGCAGAAACCCTACAAGCCAGAAGAGAGTGGGGGCCAATATTCAACATTCTTAAAGAAAAGAATTTTCAACCCAGAATTTCATATCCAGCCAAACTAAGCTTCATAAGTGAAGGAGAAATAAAATACTTTACAGACAAGCAAATGCTGAGAGATTTTGTCACCACCAGGCCTGCCCTAAAAGAGCTCCTGAAGGAAACGCTAAACATGAAAAGGAACAACCAGTACCAGCCACTGCAAAATCATGCCAAAATGTAAAGACCATCGAGACTAGGAAGAAACTGCATCAACTAACGAGCAAAATCACCAGCTAACATCATAATGACAGGATCAAATTCACACATAACAATATTAACTTTAAATGTAAATGGACTAAATGCTCCAATTAAAAGACACAGACTGGCAAATTGGATAAAGAGTCAAGACCCATCAGTGTGCTGTATTCAGGAAATGCATCTCACGTGCAGAGACACACATAGGCTCAAAATAAAAGGATGGAGGAAGATCTAACAAGCAAATGGAAAACAAAAAAAGGCACGGGTTGCAATCCTAGTCTCTGATAAAACAGACTTTAAACCAACAAAGATCAAAAGAGACAAAGAAGGCCATTACATAATGGTAAAGGGATCAATTCAACAAGAAGAGCTAACTATCCCAAATATATATGCACCCAATACAGGAGCACCCAGATTCATAAAGCAAGTCCTGAGTGACCTACAAAGAGACTCAGACTCCCACACATTAATAATGGGAGACTTTAATACCCCACTGTCAACATTAGACAGATCAACGAGACAGAAAGTCAACAAGGATACCCAGGAATTGAACTCAGCTCTGCACCAAGCAGACCTAATAGACATCTACAGAACTCTCCACCCCAAATCAACAGAATATACATTTTTTTCAGCACCACACCACACCTATTCCAAAATTGACCACATACTTGGAAGTAAAGCTCTCCTCAGCAAATGTAAAAGAACAGAGATTATAACAAACTATCTCTCAGACCACAGTGCAATCAAACTAGAACTCAGGATTAAGAATCTCACTCAAAACCGCTCAACTACATGGAAACTGAACAACCTGCTCCTGAATGACTACTGGGTACATAAGGAAATGAAGGCAGAAATAAAGATGTTCTTTGAAACCAACGAGAACAAAGACACAACATACCAGAATCTCTGGGACGCATTCAAAGCAGTGTGTAGAGGGAAATTTATAGCACTAAAAGCCCACAAGAGAAAGCAGGAAAGATCCAAAATTGACACCCTAACATCACAGTTAAAAGAACTAGAAAAGCAAGAGCAAACACATTCAAAAGCTAGCAGAAGGCAAGAAATAACTAAAATCAGAGCAGAACTGAAGGAAATAGAGACACAAAAAACCCTTCAAAAAATTAAGGAATCCAGGAGCTGGTTTTTTGAAAGGATCAACAAAATTGATAGACTGCTAGCAAGACTAATAAAGAAAAAAAGAGACAAGAATCAAATAGACGCAATAAAAAATGATAAAGGGGATGTCACCACCAATCCCACAGAAATACAAACTACCATCAGAGAATACTACAAACACCTCTACACAAATAAACTAGAAAATCTAGAAGAAATGGATAAATTCCTGGACACATATACTCTCCCAAGACTAAACCAGGAAGAAGTTGAATCTCTGAATAGACCAAAAACAGGATCTGAAATTGTGGCAATAATCAATAGCTTACCAACCAAAAAGAGTCCAGGACCAGACGGATTCACAGCCAAATTCTACCAGAGGTACAAGGAGAAAGTGCTACCATTCCTTCTGAAATTATTCCAATCAATAGAAAAAGAGGGAATCCTCCCTAACTCATTTTATGAGGCCAGCATCATTCTGATACCAAAGCTGGACAGAGACACAACCAAAAAAGAGAATTTTAGAAGAATATCCTTGATGAACATTGATGCACAAATCCTCAATAAAATACTGGCAAACCGAATCCAGCAGCACATCAAAAAGCTTATCCACCATGATCAAGTGGGCTTCATCCCTGGGATGCAAGGCTGGTTCGATATACGCAAATCAATAAATGTAATCCAGCATATAAACAGAGCCAAAGACAAAAACCACATGATTATCTCAATAGATGCAGAAAAAGCCTTTGACAAAATTCAACAACTGTTCACGCTAAACACTCTCAATAAATTAGATATTGATGGGACGTATTTCAAAATAATAAGAGCTATCTATGACAAACCCACAGCCAATATCATACTGAATGGGCAAAAACTGGAAGCATCCCCTTTGAAAACGGGCACAAGACAGGGATGCCCTCTCTCACCACTCCTATTCAACATAGTGTTGGAAGTTCTGGCCAGGGCAATCAGGCAGAAGAAGGAAATAAAGGGTATTCAATTAGGAAAAGAGGAAGTCAAATTGTCCCTGTTTGCAGATGACATGATTGTATATCTAGAAAACCCCATTGTCTCAGCCCAAAATCTCCTTAAGCTGATAAGCAACTTTAGCAAAGTCTCAGGATGCAAAATCAATGTACCAAAATCACAAGCATTCTTTTACACCAAAAACAGACAAACAGAGAGCCAAATCATGAGTGAACTCCCATTCACAATTGCTTCAAAGAGAATAAAATACCTAGGAATCCAACTTACAAGGGATGTGAAGGACCTCTTCAAGGAGAACTACAAACCACTGCTCAAGGAAATAAAAGAGGATACAAACAAATGGAAGAACATTCCATGCTCATTGGTAGGAAGACTCAATATCATGAAAATGGCCAAACTGCCCAAGGTAATTTACAGATTCAATGCCATCCCCATCAAGCTACCAATGACTTTCTTCACAGAATTGGAAAAAACTACTTTAAAGTTCATATGGAACCAAAAAAGAGCCCGCATCGCCAAGTCAATCCTAAGCCAAAAGAACAAAGCTGGAGGCATCACACTACCTGACTTCAAACTATACTTCAAGGCTACAGTAACCAAAACAGCATGGTACTGTTACCAAAACAGAGATATAGATCAATGGAACAGAACAGAGCCCTCAGAAATAACGCCGCATATCTACAACTATCTGATCTTTGACAAACCTGAGAAAAACAAGCAATGGGGAAAGGATTCCCTATTTAATAAATGGTGCTGGGAAAACTGGCTAGCCATATGTAGAAAGCTGAAACTGGATCCCTTCCTTACACCTTCTACAAAAATCAATTCAAGATGGATTAAAGACTTAAATGTTAGACCTAAAACCATAAAAACCCTAGAAGAAAATCTAGGCATTACCATTCAGGACATAGGCATGGGCAAGGACTTCATGTCTAAAACACCAAAAGCAATGGCAACAAAAGACAAAATTGACAAATGGGATCTAATTAAACTAAAGATCTTCTGCACAGCAAAAGAAACTACCATCAGAGTGAACAGGCAACCCACAAAATGGGAGAAAATTTTCGCAACCTACTCATCTGACAAAGGGCTAATATCCAGAATCTACAAAGAACTCAAACAAATTTACAAGAAAAAAACAAACAACCCCATAAAAAAGTGGGCAAAGGACATGAACAGACACTTCTCAAAAGAAGACATTTATGCAGCCAAAAAACACATGAAAAAATGCTCATCATCACTGGCCATCAGAGGAATGCAAATCAAAACCACAGTGAGATACCATCTCACACCAGTTAGAATGGCAATCATTAAAAAGTCAGGAAACAACAGGTGCTGGAAAGGATGTCGAGAAATAGGAACACTTTTACACTGTTGGTGGGACTGTAAACTAGTTCACCATTGTGGAAGTCAATGTGGTGATTCCTCAGGGATCTAGAACTAGAAATACCATTTGACCCAGCCATCCCACTACTGGGTATATATCCAAAGGACTATAAATCATGCTGCTATAAAGACACATGCACATGTATGTTTATTGCAGCATTATTCACAATAGCAAAGACTTGGAACCAACCCAAATGTCCAACAATGATAGACTGGATTAAGAAAATGTGGCACATATACACCATGGAATACTATGAAGCCATAAAAAATGATGAGTTCATGTCCTTTGTAGGGACATGGATGAAATTGGAAATCATCATTCTCAGTAAACTATCGCAAGAACAAAAAACCAAACACCGCATATTCTCACTCATAGGTGGGAATTGAACAATGAGATCACATGGACACAGGAAGGGGAATATCACACTCTGGGGATTGTGGTGGGGTGGGGGGTTGGGGGACAGATAGCATTGGGAGATATACCTAATGCTAGATGACGAGTTAGTGGGTGCAGCGCACCAGCATGGCACATGTATACATATGTAACTAACCTGCACAATGTGCACATATACCCTAAAACTTAAAGTATAATAAAAAAATAAATAAATAAATAAATAAATAAATAAATAAAGAATAATGTAGCCAATGGGAAAAACAGGCATTGTGCATAATGAGGGGAATTATAAGTAGAGCTTCATCTCAATTGGTAGGAGATTTCATTGTCCTTCTTATTTTTCCTTCAAGGTTATAAAGACCAAGAGGAACAATAAAAGACAAAAACATTGTAATTGAAATCTGCAAGTGGAAATAAAGAATCCTTCTTCAAATCAATTAGGTAATATTATCACCGATGTTGTAAAAGTTGAGATGCTCATTTAAAGAATAGATTCAGAAGATATATCCCAGCATATTAAGAGTTTTTATATCTGAGTTATGGATTAGATTGCTTTCCTTTCTAATTTCTTTTCCTAAATTCTGTTTTTTAAGAATACTATAATTTTCATCTATAATATTCATAATGTAAAAAATAAATTTTCATTTTTAAAGAACATTTTTCCCCCAAAGTGTTGGATATGCTGTCTTCAGTGCAGTAGTGAGCTGCTTGAGCCTGAGCACTTTGTTCACTGTGAGGGGCGTGCTAGCGGGGGTGGAGAGAGACAGACAGGGCCTTACTAATATTGGGGTCCACATTGTGATTTCTACAGGAAGAGGCCCCCATGAGAGTCATGTGAATATTTATGCAGCCAATGCTTACATGAATAAACACTGTGCCCTCAGGAACATTTCAGTAGGTCCAGAGGAAAGGATTCCTTTATGCAATTATATCCCCCAGAAGGAGAACGTTTGGGTAATTGTTTCCTCTGAAGGGACAACACTGGTGATTTTCACGAAGGCACCAGTGTGTGCAGGAAGCGTACCCCTTCCTAGTTGGTTTGGATTATCATGTCTCATTTATTTCATGTGTAGACACATCTCATTATTAGTACTACAAGTATATTTTCATATTCTCACTTTTTTTTTTTTGAGACAGTGTCTCACTCTGTCGCCCAGGCTGGAGTGCAGTGGCGTGATCTCAGTTCACTGCAAGCTTCACCTCCCGGGTTCACCCCATTCTCTTGCCTCAGACTCCCCAGTAGCTGGGACTACAGGCGCCGCCACCACACCACACCCCGCTAATTTTTTGTATTTTTAGTAGAGACGGGTTTCACCGTGTTAGCCAGAATGGTCTCCATCTCCTGACCTCGTGATCCTCCCACCTTGGCCTCCCAAAGTGCTGGGATTACAGGTGTGAGCCACTGTGCCCGGCAATATTCTCACATTTTAAATGTATGGATTCCAGACAAAAGTTACTCAGGTAGGTATACACATAGAGTAAAAGGCAATAAAAAGTAAATGAAATTTACTCTAAATGACAGTAAATATCATCTAAAGAAATGTAATATCTAAAATCAATATTTTAAAAGTAACTATCGCCTTCTGTTTCTAATAACTGCAAAGCAGCATATCCATCACAAGCAATAATGTAACTCAGAATAATATGAGGTGACAGTTTTTAGGCTTTGAACCACAGGCAGTACAAAGATAAGATCCCTGATAGGAGGAAAATTCACAGGGTAAGTGCCACAGTTTCCCAAGTTCTCTGGCCTGGGAGGACTTCCTAACTACAGGCCAGTGAGCACTTGACAAGGCAAGTGCAGCTGTCACACAGGGATGAGGAGTGAAGACCAATTTTTATGGTACCTGAATAGCTGGGATCTAGAGAAAAGGGACCTATAGAGAGGAAGTAGCATTCATTAGCTGAGTCCTGAGCTGCACATGTAGGAGGTGAGACAGTGTGAAGCTCACCAGAGAGTAGCTGTTATGGGGTTGAAGACAGAACAGAAATACAAGAAAGTGAACAGTGTTGGGGGTTATTGTAGGTTGCTAGAATGGGGATACATCTTTTGTACCATGTGCATCTACCTCACAATAAAGGAAGGTTGCACCTGTGGAATAAAGATTGTGTAGTAGACTAAGGACTACTCTAGACCCATCCTAGCAAAGATTGAAACCAAGCCTCATCATGATTCTGAGAAAAGAGAGAATCTGAGTTTTTTCAAAATAAAGGAGGACAGGAAAGTTTTTAGGATTTACATAAACATATCATAGCAACCCATAAAATCAAGCCTACAAGTATGAATGATCAGACAATAATTGAAATGTCATGAGAATAGCAGCAGCAACAACTACAAAGTCTTCAAAGATTGTCCAACAACCAAAAATCTGTACAAGATATTATTTATATAATGCAGGATCCAATTCAAAGTTACAAACCTGCAGTGAGAGAAAAAAATGTGACCCATATACAAGAGAGAAATTAGGGGGAAAATCCAGTAGAAACTGATGATGGAGTAGCACAGTATTGTATTTTCCAAAGTTGTTAGGGCAGTTATCAAAAATATATGCAATAATCTGAGATAAAATATTCTCAAATAATTAAAGGCAAATATGACCTGAATAACTGAATAGATAGGGAGACTCAGTAGAGTACCAAGTCAAGATTCTTGAACTGAAAATTTCAAATATTTGTAATAAAAAACATATTCACGAATTTCAATAGGCCTAGCAGCAGATTTCTCCACAGAAGTCTTGCAGGCCAGGGGTGAATGGAATGATATATTCAGAGTGCTGAAGCAAAAAAGTGATAACCTAAAATATTGTAACCAGCAAAGCTAGCCTTCAGAAAGAAACGAGAGATAAGGACTTTCCAAACTAACCAAAGCTGTGGGAATTTATCATCACTATGCCTGCCTTAAAGAAATGATAGCGTTCTTCAAACTGAAAGAAAAAACTTGTCCATGTGAAACAAGAAAACATCTGAAGTATAAAAATCACTAGTAAATGTATGTAAACAGAAAAATTTAGAATACTCTCATACTGTAGTTATGGTGTGTAAACCACTCATCACCTTAAAAATTAAAATATAAAACTATTAAAAATAATAGTAACCACAATAATTTGTTAAGACATTGACAATATAAGATGTAAATTATGACACCAAAAATTCAATGCATAGGAGAAGAATTGAGGTAAAGTATACAGGTTTTGTGGGGTTTTTTCTGTAATTGAAGTTAAATGGTTTTAAGTTTAAAATAACTTGTTAAAATGAAAATGTGCTTTTGTTAGCTTCATGATAACCACAAAACAAAAACTTACAATAGATACAATAAAAGTTAAAAGCAATAAATCAAAATATACTACTAGAGAAAAATTTTAAAAAGACTCAACTATATGGTGTCTACAAGACTCACTTTACCTGTAATGATATAAATAGGCTGAAAGAGAATGAAAGAAGATATTTCACACAAATTGAAAACAAAAAAGCAAGCTATACTTATATTAGATAAAATACACTTAAAGTCAAAAACTGTTAAAAAAAAAAAAAAAAAGACAGAAGAGTCCATTATGTAATGACAAAGAGATCACTACAGTAAGAGGATGTAACTATTGTAAATAAATATGCACCTAATATAAGAACACCAACTACATATAGAAAGTAAATATTAAGAGACTTAAAGAAAAAGACTGCAATACAATAATAGCAGAGAAACTCAAAACTCCACTTTCAGCAATGGACAGATCATTTAGACAAAAAATCAACAAAAAAAACTTCAGCATTAAATGGTATTCTAGACTAAACAAACCTAACAGACATTTACGAAACATCAAAACATTCCTTCCAGTAGCTGCAGGTACGCATTCTTTTCAACAGCACCTAGAGTATTATTTCCAGACTACACACATTCTAAGCAACCAAATGCCAAACAAGTCTTATTTATTCATTTATTTATTTATTTATTTATTTATTTGAGACGGGGACTCACTCTGTCACCCGGGCTGGGGTGTGGAGTGCAGTGGTGTGATCTTGGCTCACTGCAACATCCACCTCCCAGGCTCAAGCAATCCTCTCACCTCAGCCTCCCTCCTGAATAGCTAGGTCTACAAGTGCACCACATCCAGCTGATTTTTTTTGTGTATTTTTTATAGAGATGAGGTTTCACTATGTGGCCCAGGCTGATCTTGAACTTCTGAGCTCAAGCTATCCTCCCTCCTCAGCCACCCAAGGTGCTGGGATTACAGGCACAAATCTTTAAAAAATGAATAATATCAAGTATCTTTTCCAACTACAAGGGAAGAAAACTAGCGATTAATTAGAGGAACATGGTAAATGTACAAATACATGGAAATTAAACAACATGCTCCTGAGTAACTCATGGGTTAAGAAAAAAGAAAAAATACAAAAATTTATTGAGACAAATAAAAATGGAGACACAGCATACCAAAACCTATGGGATACAGTAAAAGTAGTTCTGAGAAAAAAGTGTATAGCAGTAAATGCCTCCATCAGAAAAGTAGAAAATCTCAAAAAAAAAAACAACCTAAGGCTCCACCTCAAGAAATAAGAGAAAAATGAGAGAAAATAAACTCAAAACTAGCAGAAGGAAAGAAATTATAATGATCAGAGCAGAAATAGGTAAATAGAGATTTTTAAACTACAGTTTTTTATCACAGTTCTATAAAGTTATATTTTCTATATTCTGCAGATATTTTATCAGATACATGGATATTTGTAATTAATGTATCTCCTTGGTGAATAGAAACTTTTATTAAGTAGCAACACTCTGTCTCTAATAATTATCTATGTCTTAAAAGTCTATTTTGTTCAATATATTTGGTTATCATCTTTTCCTATTTTTTATTTTCATTTCCTTATGCTTCAACTGAACCTCTTATGAATAGACTCATAAGAACATAGAGCTGATTTTTTAAAGAAATTTTATCAATCTCTCTCTCTATTGTTTAGTTCACTTACATATAATGTGATTATTTAAAAATCTAAACATGTTTTAACAGCTTATTTTTTATTTCAATTTGAGCAAATTTTCTACATTTTCATTTAGCCCCTTTTTTGCTTCTTAAACATTTATTTCTATAGCTTTTCTCTAATAAACCTGGAGCTTTAGCTGGTTCTCTTTTCCCTTGACTCTGTCCCTCCCCAGTCATGTTGATATTATCTAGAATTTTTCTTCTGTGCTATTGTGATTTTCCTTCCCCTTGCTTTTTTTTGGCCCTAATTTTATTTGTTACATTTAATTTAACTAAATTATTTGACCATACTTAGGCCCTACACACTTGCAACATTGCCTGGATTTGTTTTTCTTCTTATTTGGGTTCTCTGGATGTGGGTCCCCATATTGCAAATTTTCAGAAGCCTTGCCTGCTTGAGAATAGTTGCATCATTCTTGAATATGAATGGCAGCTTAGCTTCATACAAAAAGTTTTAAGATTAAAATTATTATGCTTCAATACACAATACCTTAACTGAAACACTGGGACAAAATAGATTATAGAATTCAGAATTATTTAGATTTATGGAAAGGTAAGATACGCACATAACTTATATATGTAAAATACTCAGCAATATTAAAATCAATACGTGGCTATTTAAACTCAAAATTTCTGCAACAATGTTTTTTTCTGTTCCCTGTTTGGTTTATTTTTGCTCTGATCTTTATTATTTTCTTTCTTTTGCTAACTTTGGGTTTTTCTTCTTTTTCTAGGTCCTTGAGGCATAATGTTAGGCTATTAATTTGAGATCTTTCTTTTTTTTTTAATGTAGGCATTTGTAGGTCAAAGGATACAAAGTAGCGGATAGCTAGAATGACAAGGTTAGAGATCTATGTACCAAATAAGGACTAAAGTTAGTAAAATAGTACTAGGAATTTTTGTTAAATAAGTAGATTTTAGCTTTTCTTGTCACAAAAAAGTAGCTGTTTCAGATTATTAATATATTCATCTGCTTCACTCTAGTAATCATTTTACTATCTATATTATACCCACACTTCACATTGTAAACCTCAAATATACACAATAAAATCTATTTTTTAAAAATTCTGCATCAAGCAATATTGTACTGAGTGGTATAAATAGTGGGTATAAATAGCCTGACATTAGTTCAATTCTGACTTTGCTTCCAAGTAAGTACTGATTGAAAATATTTTTTTAAGTAATAAATTTTTTGAGCTTTAAGAATTTTGTAATTATGAGTAATGATTTGGCTAGATGTGCCTTAAATATCACTCCAGTCTCCAGATTTCTGCTGTCAGTCTGAGTTTGATTCCGTTGTATATGATGTGTTCTTTATCTCTAGGTGCTTCTTCTTGCTGGTGTCCTTTTAATTACATTATGTGTGTAGGTGGTTGTTTATGTTTCCTTCTACCCAGTTTGGCACATTGTATTTTTTTATTGAGAACACTTATCTCTCTTTAATTCTTGGCATTTACCGATGTATTTTATTCACATACACCTCCCCTAATCCCTTCTACATGTTCCTTTTCTCCTAAAATTACTGCTATTGGGATGTTGACAACTCTATACTTTTTGTCTTTTATGTTTTCTTTTATTATTTCAACTTTTTTCTGTTTTGCTGCTTCCTTCTGTGGGAGTTACTCAATATGAACCTCTAATTAAGAAATACAATTTTTTTTTCCATTCCATAATCTAACCAATGCCTTGTATTCTTTATTTTGACTACCACATTTTATTAGTGGATATTTCCGCTTGACTATTTTATGATTTCTTTTTCTTATTTTAGCTGCTAATTAGGTATATTTGGCTTACTGATTTTAAAATCATGCTTCCTCTATTATTGTATTTGAGTTCAATAGGTACATGCTGTTTGGTTTGCAGTTTTACTTTCAAGGTAATCATTAAGGTTTTTGTTGTTGTTGTTAGATAAATTTGCTCTTCAGATATATACACAGCATTCCCTGTGACCTCATAGCCCCATAAAGGAATGTACTACATTGTTTGGTAAAGTCTTTTGCTTGGTAAAGTCTAATAGCCCAAAGGCAAATTTTGCATTTGGGACAGTCAGACATTAGGAAGATGATTTCAGAAGCAACAAGTTCAGACACCGCAAAACCACAGTTAATCTCACCATTCCAGGCAAAGTATTAATCATAGTTTAAATTTTAAATCTTTAAAAGGATTATCTTTAGGAAAAGTCAACTTCTCTGTGCGATAATACACCAGCACCAGGGCTATGAGGGATAATGGTGGAAGAATAATTTACACTTGTTCTATCTGCTGCTTATCCTGACCTATCTCTTGCTTTGTCCTAGTTTCGTCCTTGTAGACTCCGGTATCAGGGCCTCTGTGGGGAACTGACAAGCAAAGACTGCTGTAAGGCAACATGAGGAATAAACAAGACTTTACTGTTTAAAAATGTTCTAAATGAAGCCCCCAGATGTTCTCTGCTCCAAGCTGCAGCCTCCACCCACAACCCACACAGAAGACACTAAGACAAAGACTTTGCTATAGTTAGGGAGTCTCTCAAAGAATTTTGCTTGTTTGTTAAATCTAAAAATCTCTTCTTACTCTGTAGTTTCTCCAAATTTTATTTAAAAACTTGGGGAACAGAGCCAGCAGCCTGTGCCTGTTAGCCATGTAGGCTTAGGTGGTCACAGATGGAGCCCTTTTTCATCATTGCCACTTTAAGCCCATTATTTCTTGGCCACCTCAATGATGTAAGTGAACATCTCAAGACAGCTCTACTTTTCCAATATGTGCTGTCTTGATAGTATATGATGGGACACTTTCTAAGGCCCTGCCTGCTTAAACATGCCACACAGAAAATTTAGGGTTATTGAATTGTTGCTATTCCTATCATTTTGTCAGAGTACTTAAGTAGGTAGGGATATATTACAAATTTATAATACTATTCTTACATTTCCTAAAGTGTCTTTATGGCAATACTGTTATCCAGACTTTATATTGAGTAATGAATCCCATTCATCCAAGAAGTCTAACTGAGGAGGCATATTGCTCAGTTAAGTGATGACTATATAAGTGCATGAATTAATTTTGCCAACTTAGTATCCCACAATGAAGGATTCTATTCTAGCACTTAGGCATAGGAGGTGTAGAAGTTTTTAATTTTACTATGCCCAAGACGCTACTTCTATTTCCTTCTCAAAGAATACAGGCCTTACTCACATATTTTTATTTTTAAATTTTAGGGCCTAATAGGGACATTAAAGGTCCTAAATGCTGTTTCTTGGAGAAATTTCTCTTTTACTTGCTCACATTCTTCTCTGTAAGAGACTTCTGTCACTTTCCAGACTGATTTTGTTAGGTTTTCAACCTGGTGAGGACACTTCTCACTGAAGTTCAATGACTCTGTGCATTAATACTTGGGATGAGAGGAATTCATGTAGGTTATGAAGATATCTGCCAAGACCAGCTGGTCCGGGAGACCCTAACCCAGCGGCGCTAGAGGAATTAAAGACACACACACACAAATATAGAGGTGTGAAGTGGGAAATCAGGGGTCTCACAGCCTTCAGAGCTGAGAGCCCGGAACAGAGGTTTACCCGCGTATTTATTAACAGCAAGCCAGTCATTAGCATTGTTTCTACAGATATTAAATTAACTAAAAGTATCCCTTATGGGAAACTAAGGTATGGGCCAAATTAAAAGGATAGGTTGGGCTAGTTAACTGCAGCAGGAGCATGTCCTCAAGGCACAGATCGCTATTGTTTGTGGCTTAAGAATGCCTTTAAGCGGTTTTCTGCCCTGGGTGGGCTAGGTATTCCTTGCCCTCATTCCCGTAAACCTACAATCTTCCAGCTTGGGTGTTATGGCCATCATGAATGTGTCACAGTGCTGCAGAAATTCTGTTTATGGCCAGTTTTGGGGCCAGTTTATGGACATATTTGGGGGGCCTGCTCCCAACAGATATCTTTTCCCCGTGAGGAGTTCTTTTATTTCCCATCAGCTGTGTAAGTTTTTTTTTTTTTGCCTTTATTTTGTTCATTTACTAAATATCCATCTGACTAGTTTGGATTATTGAGCATTGTTCTGAGTTGCTATTTTTTTAGGTTAGTAATTTCTGTGTTATCTCTCAGAGTATCAACAGAATATATCCTTCCTTACAAACTGATTACAGGAAAAAGAGGCAGGATAACTTCCTGAATCATGTTTATTGCTGCTGTGTATCCTCTACCTCCGATCTCTGGATTGTGGCCCTTTATGAACTTTTCTTATGTTACTCTCTACCCTTAACCTAAAGACCAGCTCCATGAGTCCACATAAGCAGCAACCTAAAGCCCATAAGCAATCCATGGACCCCCATATCATCCTTGCTTTTCCCCAACTTACTTCTGCTTTGGTGGAACCATTCAGAGAGCTTCCAAATCCAGACTTCAGCTATCTTCTCTACCGCACAAGTTTGAATTAAAACTATTAGCATTCTTTCCTTTAAACAGCCTTTGATCATGCAGCAAAATTGGCTGTTTTGAAGGACCCATTTTTCAGTCATAACCTCATCCTATTTGCAGATCATTTAGTTACCACAATAATGTTATCACAATATTGAGTTACCACAATACTGTTATCACAATATTGAGTTACCACAATAATGTTACCACAATATTGAGTTACCACAATAATATCTGCTGATTGGTTCAATTTATTTAAGACTGCAGGATTTACAATACTCTGAAGCATATCCACAATCCTTAACAAAAACAAACAAAAACAAAAACAAAAAACAAGAAAACAAAGAATTTTTCACATCTTCTTCCCTACCAGAAGTTCAGTGTTCTTCCAAATATTGCAAGCCTTCAACACTCTCATGATATGAAACTGAAGCCACTTACATTTAATCTATGAGCAATGCGAAAATACTTGAGCAATCATGAGTTCAATCATCGAGATAATACAGTTTAGTCATAGTTAAGAGGGCAGTTGGTGACAAATTCCTTTCTCTGTATTTGAGAAGGATCTCCATATTTGTAATGATGTTCTATCTCTGACAAGCTATGGGTTTATCAACTCTTAATAATTGGATGAATGATTCATATAGTATATAAACCAAAACTGATTTCATAGAAGACCCTCCCCCATCCAGGAGATGCAGTCAAATATACTGGCAGCGATAGACAATTCTGCCACTGCCACTCTGTGAATAGTAGAAGATGGAGAAATGGCTAGGCATGTCTCATCTTTCTCCTTTGATATTTTAGCTGTATTCAAGGGACATTTACATCTCCTGGATAATAAAGTTTTAATATCAAAATTTAAGTCCCCTGGAGAATAACCTTCCAATATCAGAATTTATTTCAGGCATGAATACATTACCAGAAAATAAAAAAAAATTCTGCTGTCATTTTTTATTTCATTTTGATAAATTATTTACAGGAAAGAAATAGTTTAGTTTCTCTTGCTAAGGGTATAAAAATCTAAGATCATGGATGGGAGGAGTTACACAATTGTTCCATAACTTTGCTGTCTTCCTGGGGCATAGAACAGTATGATGAAGCCAACACTAGTAAAGTTTTAAGTGACTCAAACCAATGCCATTTTTTATTGTTACCTTTCAAACTACTTCACTTTCTTAGCCTTTCACAAGATTATAACATCCTTCAGCTCAATTTTTTGGATAGTTTTAATGATTTATTATTCTGTTAGTACAAAACTGTTATTTCTACATTTTCTGGAGGAAAAAAAATCAAAGTCTAGAATACTGCAAAAGAAGTTCCAGAGAGGTGACACCTGTGGGGATTTGCATAAAAATTTGGGAACTCCTTTGTTAACCACAAGATTACAGAGGAATTTCTTTTTTTCTTTTTTTTTTTTTTTTCTTGAGACAGAGTCTTCACTCTGTGACCCAAGCTGGAGTGCAATGGCACTATCTCGGCTCACTGCAAGCTCCGCCTCCCGGGTTCATGCCATTCTCCTGCCTCAGCCTCCCGAGCAGCTGGGACTACTGGTGCCCGCCACCAAGCCGGCTAATTTTTTGTATTTTTAGTAGAGACGGGGTTTCACCATGTTAGCCAGGATGGTCTTGATCTCCTGACCTCATGATCCACCCACCTCTGCCTCCCAAAGTGCTGAGATTACAGGCATGAGCCACCAATCCGGGCCAGGTACTTTCTTTTTCTTCCTTTTTTCTTACATTTTTCTTTAGTATATCTTGTCATGCTTAAGCCTGAACAAAACACTTTATCTGTTCTACCTAAAAGTAACTCCACTAATTACTTACTCAAATGAATATATTGAGAATTCACAACAATTAAACTTTTGCTTCCACAAGGGATACTTTATCAATGTAACAGTGTCTCTGACCACTAAAAGTTTTCCTATTGTGTTGTTCTGTGGAAGAGAGAGAATGTATTGTACGTAACAGCAAGCGGTTGGGTTCATGGTTTGCTGATCAAGACTCCTTTATACTTCTTACCCTTGCTCACTAAACTATTAACGTTTCTTCCACATGTCATGCTCCTTTCTTAAAGATTTTTATCATGATTCTTTCACCTGCAAACTTCCTATTGGTTAAAACTATCCTTGAATACCAGTGTTAATGTCTCTTGTTCAGAAATACTTCCTTAGATCTCCTCCCAGGCTAGGAAAAAATATTACCTAGCGTTTACATATGTATGATCTTATATTTTCTTCTGCCACTTATCACTGTAGTTAAGGATATTTGTCTTTTCGAGACTACAAGTCTCAAGAGTAAGAGTTCCCTGAGTGCCTTTTAAACCACTTTATCACAGTGGCTATTTCAGTACTTGCTTCAGAGTAGGCTCTGAGTAAGTACAATTACCCCATAGCATAATGAATAGCAAGGAACAAAATCAAGTACCAGTAATTGTTTCTATGAAAAAGAGGCCAGGCACAGTGGATCACACCTGTAATCCCAGCACTTTGGAGGCCAAGGCAGGTGGATCACTTGAGGTCAGGAGTTCGAGACCAGCCTGACCAACATGGAGAAACCCTGTCTCTACTAAAAATACAAAATTAGCTGGCAGTGGTGGCATATGCCTGTAATCCCAGTGACTCAGGAGGCTGAATCAGGATAATTGCTTGAACCTGGGAGGCGGAGGTTGCAGTGAGCCGAGATCACACCATTACACTCCAGCCTAGGCAACAAGAGCAAAAACTCCATCAAAAAAAAAAAAAAAAAGAGAGAGAGAGAGAGATTCATAAGCTGCCTGACAAAAATTTCCAAATAATTGTTTAAAGACACACAGCATATTTCCAGGAATACAGAGAAACAATTCAATGAAATAAGAAAAACAGCAAATGACCAAGACCAAAATAAGTAATATAGCACAGAGATTAAAATTAAAATTAAACACAATCTCTGGAGCTGAGAAATATAATGAATGAATTGAAGAAAATGTAGTAGAGAACATCAACAGCAGTACTGACAAAGGAGGAGGAAGAAAGTGTAAAACTGAGCACCAGTTATTTGAAAATATATAAGAGAACTAAAAGAAAAAAGGAATTCAAAGGAATAAAGAATGCTTAAAGGATTCATGGAACAGCGTCAATAGAGCAAATATCTAAATATAATATAAGAAGAACAGTGAGAAAAAATGGAAAGGTTATTTTTTAAAATAATAGCAAAAAGCTTTTTAAATCTGGAGAAAGTTGTAAAAATCCAAGTAGAAGGTGAAAGACTCCAACTAAATTCATTTCAATCAAGACTACACCAAGATGCATTATAATCAAACTTATAGAAGTTTGATGTGCCCATGCGTTCTCATTTAGCTCCCACTTATAAGAGAACATGTGGTATTTGGTTCTCTGTTCCTGCATTAGTTTGCTAAGGATAATGGCCTCAAGCTCCATCCATGTCCCTGTAAAGAGCATGATCTCATTCATTTTTATGGCTGCATGGTATTTCAAAGTGTGTATATACCACATTTTCTTTATCCATTCTATCATTGATGGGCATTTAACATGATTCCATGTCTTTGGTATTGTAAATAGTGCTGCAATGAACATACACATTCATTCTTCTTTTTCAATAAGATATTTACACAAGGAAAACTGCAGTTTCCCTGACAAAGTAGAAAGCTATGAAAATTTATGGAAGGAGTCTCAAAATTGCTTCTCTTCTCTGGGAGGAGACAGTAAATGGGTTTGAGAGCTATTTCACAGCACAGCATGAAATAGTTGGCACTAACCAACGTAAGTGACCCAAACTAGTGAGGTTTTTTTTGTTATCTTTCAAAATATTTTATTTTTTTAGCCTTTCACAAGTTTATAACATCCTGCAGTTTAGTCTCTGGAGAGTTTTATCAATTTATTTATCTATTCTTACAAGGCAAATAGTGATTCCTGCACTTCTGAAGAAAATATCGAGATATAGACCACCATGGAAGAAGTTCGAATGAGCAAAAAGCTGTGGGGATTTCTGTAGAGAAAGATCTGGGTACCTACTTAGTAATCACAAAATCACAGAAGCATTTTGTCCTAATTAACACACTTTTCTCTTGTTCCTCTTTTGCTCTATTTTCTATAACTCATGATTTGAACTTCAAAATAGCATCTCATTTCATCTTCTACCAAAAATAATTCTGATTATTATTTACTCAGATGCATATATTGATAATTAACTATATTTTAATATTCTGCTTCTACATGGGATACATGGTGAATTGATATATTTTGGGCCTCAAGAAGTTCTCTTTCACTTTTCATGGGGAAAATCAAAGATGTGTAGCATCCCTAGCAATACATGTGAGCACAGCGGTGGGTTCGTTGTCTACTACTGGAGTTTCTTTCACACTTTTCCCTTCACTTTCTAATCCATTAAAGTTTCTTCAACATCCTTCTTCTACTTAGGAGTTTTATAAACCATGTTTCTCTACCTGGAAATCTCCTAAATTGGTCAGATCATTTCTTCCTCAGGCTAGAAGTCTTCCTGATGTTCATATGTGTAGGACCTTGGGATTTTTTCTACTATAATACTTATGACAATTGTAATTAGTGAATTAATGTCATTTCACTGGCACTATAAGTTTCAAGAGTAGGAGTACACTGTCAGCCTTTTAAAAACCCACTTCATCCAAGTGACTAGGACAATATCTGTCTCATATTACACTCTCAATAAACACAATGACCCATTAAAACAATGAGTACCAATTACCAAAATAAGAATCTTCCGGGTCCAATGAAGCATAAGTGAAGATCATCTAATTCAGGAAATGGAATAATGTATAAATTGAGGTGAAAAGAATGTCCAACCACAAACATAGAAGTAGAAGAAAAGGGAAGAGAGTTGAAGGATTCGGGAAAATCCCAGAAGAAGGAAAAGAACACATTAACATCTAGAGATAATATGTGTTGCATTTTATAATTGAATGATTTTTATTAGTTTTTATTGAATTTTTCTGCTCTGAAATATGAATTTTCTAGTCTCTTATTATGTCCCCCAGATATCAGAGATAGTCTAACAACTCAGTTAAATATCTCTCACCATCTGAAAAAGAAAATACTTTCTTTTTATTTACACTTAAGAAAGGATAAAAATTTTGATGGGCTGGAGTAACAAAAAGTGGGCACTGAGATCCTGCAGAACAATTGGCAGCTATTCCAGGAGAACACATAGGGTTCCATTCAGGGTGGCCACACTGGCCCTACCTATTTTGAGCCTGACTGAAATAGGGTTGCCACATACTCATCCCAACCAAGGCCACCAGCCCCAGCATCCCCTACAAATATTTGTTGGGAGCAATAAGCGGGTAGTGTGGGGCACAATGGTGGTATCCCTTGCCTTGGCCTTGCCTCTGCCCCCTGCCCCTTGCTGCTAGTTATTTCACCACCGCTGATGAAGGTTGGCCTGACTCTCCCAACCCTCTAAGCCATGGGAAATAAATTGGCATGTCTAGCCCTACCACTGTCTCACTTCCATCCCCCATTGGGTACTCTTCAGCCCCTCATAGTGAGCAGCCCACGACTACACTACCAGAGGTCCTACCAGGCTATTAAAGGAGAATGTTTCTGCAATAAAAGCAATAATAATAAAGAATTACAAAGAAAGATCAAGCAGGAAGAAGTGAGCCTTCCATACCAGACTACAGAGCAAGCAATTTTTCCTAAAGAAAATGAGGAATTATTGAAGATTATCAATCATGGTAGAATCATGGCTTTATAGAAAGATAACTGGCTTTAAAGAACTGATTAAAGTAATTAAGCCTGGAAGGAGAAAAGCCAAGCAACTGTTAAAATAATCTCAGTCATTAGAGACTGTGATTTTGTACCAGGGAGCAAGTAGAAGTCCAGCAAAAGGACAGGAATATGGACATTTAGGACACAAATAACATGGTGCAGCACCAAGTATGCACCCATTGCAAGCAACACTCTCACATTTCAAAGAGCAGAGGAGATGCCTGAATCTCAGGCAAAGTTGAAGAGGAGGAGCAGACTTAAAGCTCCACAGAATAAATTGCTATGGCTCATCCATTCAATCTCTCCATCAGGCAGCTATTTATTCATTAGTTTCCATCATGTTTCAAATTGACCAAATTGCCTAATAATTGATCATCTTCTTTCTGCAAGGCAATGAACTAAAAAAAAATAGCCAGGGATGGTGGCAGGTGCCTGCAATCCCAGCTACTCGGGAGGCTGAGACAGAAGAACTGCTTGAACCCAGGAGGCAGAGGTTGCAGTGAGCAGAGATTGTGCCATTGCACTCCAGCCTGGGCAACAAGAGTGAAACTCCATCTCAAAAATAAATAAATAAATAAATAAATAAGCACAGACCAAAATTAGTATAAAAAGGAAATAATAGAGATCAGAGCAGAAATGAGTAAAATAGAGGCTAGAAAAACAACACAAATAGTTAATAAAACTAAGAGTAGGTTTTTTGAAAAGATAAAAAAAGTTTACAAACCTTTAGGTACACTAAGAAAAAGAGAGAGAAGACTTATATCAAATAAATCAAGATTTAAAAAGAAGTTACAATTGACACCACAAAAATAAAAAGGAACATGAGACCAATATAAACAATTAAACACCAATCAATTGGATAACCTAGAAGAAATCAATAATTTCCTGGATACATACAACTTGCCAAGATTGAATTGCAAAGAAATAGAAAATCTGAATACAGCAGTAACTGGTAAAGAGACTGAATCAGTAAATAAAAAGTTTCCTAGTAATCAAAATTGATGTTTACTGGGATGACCTGATGGCTTTATGACTTAATTCTACCAAACATTTAAAGAAAATCTAATACTAATTTTTCTGAAACTGTTCCAAAAATCTGGGAGGAGAAAATCCTTCCAACACATTTTATGAAGTCAGCATCACCTTGATATTATTAATAAAACCAGACAAGACATTACAAAACAGAAAACTACAGGCCAATATCCCTAATGAATATAGATGCAAAACTCCCTAAGAAAATGTTAGCAAACCAAGTTCAACAACACATTAAAAAGATCATCCACCATGATCAAGTGGGATTAATCCCAAGGATGCAAGGATGACCCAACAGACACAAATTAATAAATGTGATACATTACATGAACAAAATGAAAGACAAAATCCTTATGATCATTTCAAAAGACACAGAAAAAAATTTTGATGATACTTTAACACTCTTTCATGACCAAAAATCTCAATAAATTAGGTATAGAAGTAATGTACCAAATATAACAAAATCACAGCTAACACCATACTGAAAGTCAAAAGGTTAAAATTTTTTCCTTCTAGATATGGAACAAGAAAATGATGCCCACTTTCTCCACTTCTATTCAACATAGTAATGGATTTCATAGCCAGAATAATTAGGCAAGAGAAAAAATAATAGGCACCAAAAGTGGAAAGAAAGAAACTAAATTGTCTTTTATTTGCAGATGACAAAATTTACATATAAAAATGTATAAAAAGTCCACCAAAAAACTGTTTGATTTAAACAAATTCAGTAACATTACAGAACACAAAAGTAATGTACAAAAATCAATAGTGTTTTTATACATTAACAGTTAATTACATGAAAAACAAGTCAAGAAAACAATAGCATTAACAATAGCTACAAAAACAAAATATTTAGGAATAAATTTAACCAACAAGGTAGAAGAGCTCTACATTGAAACCTATAAAACATTAAGGAAGGAAAATGAAAAAGACACAATTAAAAAAAAAGATATCTTGTATTCATGGATTGGAAGAATTAATATTGTTAAAATGATCGGACTACTCAAAATGATCTATAGATTCAATGCAACCTCCATCAAAATACTGATGATATTCTTCACAGAAATTAAAAAACAGTCCTAAAATGTATGTGGAATAATGAAAGACCCTGAATAGCTAAAGCAATTTTGAGCAAAATGAACATGGCAGGAGGCATCACACTATCTGACTTCAAAATATACTACAAACCTATAGTAACCAAAACAGAATGGTACAAGCATAAAATAAAACACATAGACCAATGGAACAGAATAAAAAGCTCACAAATGAATTCACACATTAATAGCCAATTGGTTTTTGATAAAGGTACCAACAACATTCAATGGGAGAAAAACGGTCTCTTCAATAAATGACTTTTGGAAAACTGTATATCTACATATAGAAGAATGAAATTAGACATTTATCTCTTGCCACATTAAAAAAAAATCAAAGAAGTCTGACCAAGAGGGCTGAATAGCATTCTCAAGTGATTGCCTTCCTTACAGGAACACCAAATTGAATAACTATTTACATAAGAAAGAACCTTCAAAAAATAAATAAAATTCAGTGTGGACACCAGCTTGGCCACAGTGAAGTAGAGCACCAAGCAGGCTCCTAGGATTCCTCATTCCATGCCTTGGCTCCCGGATGGCATTTCTTAACCTGCCCTGGGCCAGAGGGGAGCCCACTGCTATGAAGGGAGAGACCCAGGCCTGGAAGCATTCACCACAAGCTGACTGAAGAGCCCTTGTTCCTTGAGTGAACATCAGCAGTAGCCAGGCAGTAATTCCTGTGGGCCTGGGGCAGTGCTGGCCACAGGAACACCTCTGCTTGTGGAAACAGGAGGGAAGAGTGGGAAAGACTTTGTCTTATGATTTGGGTGTCAACTGAGCTGCAGTAGAACAGAGCCCCAGATAAATTCCTAAGGTTCCAGACTCCAAGCCCTGGCTCCTGGCGCCAGGCCTGGATACAGGCATTCTGGGACCTGTCCTGGGAAGAGGGAGAGTGAAAAATGCTGAAGGGCAGGACACAAGTCTGGCTGGATTTGGCACCCTCTAAATGAAGAGCCCTTGGGCCTTGAATAAACACTGGCAATAGCCACGTAGGGGTTACCATGACCCTTGAGTAAGAACCAGTGCTGTTCTGGCTTTTGGTCTGACCCAGGGCTGTTCCAGTGGTTATAGCCATAGGGGTGCTTGTGTCACACCTCTCACATCTCCAGCTAGCTCAGCATGGACAGAGAGACTTTGTTTGGAGAAAAAGTAAGGGAAAAGAAAAAGAGCCTCTTTCTGGAAATCCAGGGAATTCTCTTTGATATTACCCAAGACCACCAAGGTGGCACTTCTATGGGTTTGCAAGATTTACAGTATTACTGGGCTTGGGGTACCCCCAAATGCTAATATGGCTGCAGTGACAAAAGACTTAGATCACAACATTCAATTTCCTTTGAATACTTGGAAAACCTTCCCAAGAAGAATGGGTACAAACAATCCCAGACTGCAAACATCACGATAAATATTTCACTTTTCAATGTCCAGACATCAACAAACATTCATAAGCATAAAGACCATCCAGGAAAACATGGTCTCATGAAACAAACTAAATAAGTCACCAAGCACCAATCTTGGAGTGACAGAGATATGTGACCTTTCAGACAGAGAATTTAAAGTAGCTGTCTTGAAGAAGCTCAGTAAAATTCAAGATAACACAAGATAACAAGAAGGAATTCAAAATCCTATCAAATAAATTTAACAAAGAAATTGAAACAATTAAAAAGAACCAAGAGGAAATTCTGGAGCTGAAAAATTCAGTTAACATACTAAAGAATACATCAGAGGTTCTCAACAGCAGAATTGATCAAGCAGAAGAAAGAGTTAATGAGCTGGAAGATAAGCAATTGGAAAAAGCACAGTCAGAGGAGAAAAAAGAAAAAAAATAGAAAAAGAATGAAGTATACCTAAAAGATATAGGAAATAGCCAAAAAATGGAAAATCTAAGAGTTACTGGCCTTGAAGAGGAGAGAGAGGGACATCAGGGTAGAAAGTGATAAGAAACTAGAAATTCCATTACTGAGTGTATACCCTAAGAAATATAAATTGTCTTAATATAAAGACACATGCACATGTATGTTCATTGCAACACTATTCACAATAACAAAGATTGGAATCAACCTAAATGCCAAATAATGGTATGCTGGATAAAGAAAATATGGTACATATACACCATGGAATACTATGCAGCCATGAAAACGAATGAGATCATGTCCCTTGCAGGAACATGGATGGAGCTGGAGGCCATTACCCTTCGCAAACTAATGCAGGAACAGAAAACCAAATGCTGCATGTTTTCACTTATAAGTGAGAGCTAAATGATGAGAACACATGGACACATAGAGGGGAAACACACATTGGTAGCTATCAGAGGGTGGAAAGTGGAGAGTAGAAGGAGGGCAAGGATCAGGAAAAATAACCAGAAGGTACTACACTTAATACATGGTTGACAATATCTGTACAACAAACCCCAATGGCACAAGTTTATCCATATAACAAACCTGCACATGTACTCCTGAAATTAAAATAAAAGTTAAATTTTAAAAAATAACATATAATGGAGCTTCAATATGTCTGGCAGCATATTTTTCAGTGGAAACCTTACACACCAGAAGAGAATGGTATGACATATTTAAAGTACTGAAGGAGAAACCTCAAAATTTTTTATCCTAGAATAATATGTCCAGTGAAAATACCCTTCAAACATGAAGCAGAAATAGCTTCACAGACAATTAAAAGCTGAGGGATTTCATCAAAACCAGACCTGTCCTACAAGAAATGCTAAAGGGAATTCTCCAGTCTGAGAAAAAGCGATGTTAAAAAGCAAGAAAATATCATCTGAATGTACAAAATTCACTGATAATGCTAAGTACACAGGCAAACACAGAATATTGTAATTTACACTGTAATTGTGGTGTGTAAACTACCCATATCTTAAGTAGAAAGACTAAAAGACAAACCTCTCAAAAATAATAACTATAATAACTTTTCAAGTCATAGTATAATGAGATATAAATAGAAACACAAAAAAAGTAAAAACTCAGAGGGGATGAAGTTAAAGTGTAGAGTTTTTACTAGTTTTCTTGTTGCTTGTTTGTTTATGCAAACAGTGTTAAGCTGTTATCAGCTTAAAATAATGGGTTATGGTAACCTCGAACCAGGAAACCTACAACAGATATGCAAAAAATAAAAAGCAAGAAACTAAATTATAACACCAGAGAAAATCACCATCGCTAGAGGAAGATAGGAAGGAAAGGAAGAAGGAAGAGAAGACCACAGAACAACCAGTGAACAAATAACACAATGGCAGGAGTAAGTCCTTATTATCAATAATAACATTGTATGTAAATGGACTAAATTCTCCAATCAAAAGACATAGAGTGGCTGAATCGATAACAAAACAGGACCCAATGATCTGTTGCTTACAAGAGACATACTTCAACTCTAAAGATTAAAATTGAAAATAAAGAGATGGAAAAAGATATTCCATTACAATGGAAATAAAAACAACAGCAGGAGTCACTATACTTCTATCAGAAAAAAAAAACAGATTTCAATAAAAAAATAAAAAGAGACAAAGGTCTATTGATATTATAGACCTTGTATAAGGTCATATAAATGATAAAGGGGTCAATTCAGCAAGAGGTTATAACAATCGTAAATTTATAAGTTTCCAACTTTGGAGCACCCAAATATATAAAGCAAACTTTATTAGAGGTAAAGAGAGAGATAGACCCCAATGCAATAATAGCTGAAGACCTCAACACCCCACCTTCAGCATTGGACAGATCATCTAGACAGAAAATTAACAAAGAAACATTAGACTTAATCTGCATTGTAGACAGAATGGACCTAATAGATACTGACAGAATGTTTCATTCAACTGTTGCAGAATATATATCCTTCTCCTCAGATGTATTATCCTCATGAATAGATCACATGTCAGGCCACAAAACATGTCTTAAAAAATTCAAAAAAATGAAATCATATCAAGTTTTTTTTTACTATAATGGAATAAAACTAGAAATCAATAACAAAAGGAACTTTGACAACTATACAAACACATGGAAATTAAACAATATGTTCCTGAATGACCAGAGGGTCAATGAAGAAATTAAGAAGAAAATTTAAAATTTTCTTGAAGTATATGAAAATGAAAGGAAACAAAACATACCAAAACTATGTGACATGGTAAAAGCAATACTAAGATGAAAGTTAACAGCAATAAGCACCTACTCCAAAAAATAGAAAATCTTCAAATATACAACATAACTATGCATCTTAAAACCTAGAAAAGCAAGACAAAACTGAACCCAAAATTAGCAGAGAAAATAAAGATCAGAGCAGAAATAAATGAAATTGAAATGAAAAAAAAAAACATTGAAAAGATCAACAAAATAAAACGTTGTTTTTTTGAAAAGTTAAGCAAAATGAACAAACCTTTAGCCAGACTAAGAATAAAGAGAGAAAACTCAAATAAATAAAATCAGAGATGAAAAAGGGGACATTACAACTGATATTGTAGAAATTCAAGGAATCATTAGAGACAACTATGAACAATTATATGCCAATAAATTGGAAAACACAGAAGAAATGGATAAATTCCTGGACTCATACAAACTACCAAGATTGAACCATAAAGAAATCTAAAACCTGAATGGAACAATAACAAGTAATGAGATGAAAGCCGTAATATAAAGTCTCTAGAGGTTCCTCAGAAAATTAAAAATAGAACTACCATGTGATCAAAGAATCCCACTACTAGATATGTATATCCAAGGGAAATAAAATCTATTATGTCAAAGAAATATCTCCACTTCCCTGTTTGTTGCAGACTATTCACTGTAGTCAAGCTATGGAATCAATCTAAGTGTTTATCAACAGATGAATCGATAAAGAAAATGTTTTATATATATATATATATGTATATACAAAATGGAAATGCAATTTAGCTTCAAAAAAAGAGAGAAATCTTTTGATTTCTAACAACATGGATGAACTTGGAGGACATGATGTTAAGTAAAATAAGCCAGACACAAAAAGATGAATGTCTCATGATTATACTTATATGTAGAATATTAAAAAATTGATCTTATAGAAGTCAAGAGTAGAATCGTGGTTACTAGATGATAGGGTGCCTAGGAGGAGGGTGGGAAGGGAAAAGGATATACAAGTACAGTTCAATAGGAAGAATAAGTGCAAGACATCTATTGTATAGCATATTGACTATGCTATATGATGATATATTATATCCCAATAAATACAGAAAGAATGGATCTTAAGTGTTCCCATCCCAAAAATAATACCTATGTGATGTAATTCATTTGTCAATTAGGTAGATTAAAACATTCCACAATATATACATGCTTCAAAACATCATACTGTACAGAATAAGTATACACAATTTTATCCATCAATTTTAAAAAATAACACTAATAATTAACTACTTAATCAAATGTATATATTGAAAATTCACTACATTTTAATCTTTGGCTTCCCCAGGAACACTTGATGAACTTAACATAATCTCTGACTGCAGAAAGCCTTCTCTTCTGTGTAGTTCCAGGGGAGGGAGAGAGAGGTGTACAGTCCAGAATAGTATAGGTGAATATAGCTGTGGGCTCACTGTCTACTCCTCCCGTCTGTTTAACACCTCTTTTCTTTGCTCACTAATCTGTTCAAGTTTCTTTGACACACAGCATGCTCCTTTCTTCTTCAGGATTTTCGGACACTATATTTCTTTCACCTTAAAACTCTTACTTCTCCAACCCTATCCACTCTCTGGATACCAATATAGACATATCGTACTCAGGAAATCCTCACTTAGACCTCTGTAGCCTAGGTAAAATCTTCATGGTGCACCCTTTGTGAGGAACTTCTTTCTTTTCTACTATTTATGACAATTGAAGTTAATAAATATTTTATTTCCCTCCTTACTCCGAGTTCCAATGTTAGTCTACTTTCTCAGTCTGTGGACCACTATATTCTAGGGGCTATTTCGGTGTCTGCCTCATAGGAAGCTCCCAATAAATATACTTACTCAATTAAAAAAAATGAAAACTAAGTCCTAAGTTATGACTCAGTCCAACTAAGGAAAGGACCAAATGAAGATCATCTGACATAGGCAAGAAGTTGATACCTATTATGAGACCAGCTTTAATATATGCATGCATCTGGGACTAACAACTAATTGAAATTCCAATGAAATTTATTCCAAAAATAAGTGTTCTATATTTATTTGATAGGTAAAGAAAGGGGATAGACTAGCATAGGCCACAAGCAATGAAAGCACAACACCAGCCACAATTTAAAGATGCTCTATTCCTCTTTTTCTTATATTATATTTTGTCTTAATGCATAACTCTTTCAGAAAGAGTAGGAAATGCAAAGAACTAGTCAATCAAACTGAAAATAATTAAATTTAAATTATCTGAAACTCCAGCATCCATATTATGCCCCTCTCAGATTTATTTTTAGGTAAATACATGCATTTTTTTCTGAAAATGGTTTTAAACAATATATTGTCCTATTATATCTCTGTGAATAGTTGCATAATTTGCTTTATTTTCTGTATTCATCTTTTAATTGCTTGTGAGGCTGAATATCACTGTTACTATTAATATTCTCATGGATGAATTTACTGTTACTGATTAACTTGCATTGGGAAAGGTGTTAGGCTGAATGGGTCACATAGATGAGAAGTCAGATACAGTTAAGTCCGATCAACTCACAGGTGATCACTGTGTATAGTATCTGAGGTCAGACCACACCAGGAGCTACCGGTTTGTAGATGAGGCTAACCCATGCCTCCAGCACTTTTTCTTATAAACAACCTTCCCTTCATTAATGTATTATGCTGCAATTCACAGGGACCTAGATGTCATCAGGAAAGGACTTTAAAGATAATCCACTCTGACCCTTGGTTTTCTGTAAACATGCTACCTCCTAGAGCCCTGACATTAGGAAATACTGCATTGCTGGCAAAAAGGATAGTGAGGGAGGGCCCTCTGAGAAGGTCTAGCCTAAGGTATATGTATATCTGTACAGTACTAGGAGTTGCTGTCCTGCATCTTGTTTTCGTTTGCTTGTTTTAGAGAGGAAGTCTCACTAAGTTCTCTGGCTAGAGTGCAGTGGCTATCCACAGGCATGATCATACTGCACTGCAGCCTGAAATTCCTGGACTCAAAGGATTTTCCCACCTCACTGCTGAGAGTAGAGGCATGCCCCATCATGCCTGGCTACATCTTGTTTTTAATCTGTCACAGTCTTTTTCTCATATGTACAGCAGTTACTATGTTCTCAGGAACTGAATATTTAGTTTTCACTAAATGATAATTTTATCTATAAAATTCAGGATATAGGAAATAACAATATCCTGCAGAGAGGAAAATGTCACAATATCCCCTGCAAGAAAAGAGATAAGTTTCAACTCTCCTTCTTTCAACTGAAAAAAAAAAAAAAGAACCAGAGGTCAAAACTGACTTTTTAAATGCATAGTTTATCCAAGCGAGAGTCAGATGTGGTTATCCCTAATATAACTAATACGTTATATGCATTACGGACATTTTCTTACAGTGTTTGCTGTGTATTTTCACTGTGTTTACTTTTCCGTGAAAGGCAAAGTAAACACAGTGAAAATACCAGTTTTACAAAGAGGAAATTAATTTGCTTTAAGCTTTAGGAAAACCAGATTTTTGTTGTTTTATATTTAGATTCCAAGCAGAAGGAATGAGAAACCAAATGATGCCCTTGTACTCACATTTAAACAGAGAAACTTATTAAAATATATTAGTAGAATGACATTTATTATAGGTTTCTGAAAGATATGAAACTTGTACTAACTAATAAAATATTTGAGGAAATTAAGAGGTCAGGAAACTAATTTAACATCGTGGTCAAAAAGACTTCCTCTACATCTGGCTCATTAGTTACATGAGATGGGAGAAATAGCTTAAATATTCATCATGAGATCGGTTTAAAAGCCAAGAAGAAAAACTTGATTAAATTTGATTGCATGCAAATTCTAAATGTCTTTATTTTAAAAAAAGGCAAAGTAAACACAGTGAAAATATACAGCAAACACTGTAAGAAAATGTCTCTAATGCATGTAACTAATACAGGGTATGTATTCACAGTATGGGGATGACCACATAGTCTCTTATTTGAACAGCCCATTTGCAAAATGGGCAAAAGATCTGAATAATCACTTTATTCAAATGTCAAATACACATGATCAGATGCTCAACATTACCAGCAATTAATGACTTCCAGAGCATCAACCTATATGGTACAAGATATTAGCCAAGAACAAGAGAGGATGTTTAACAGCGAAAAATAATTTATTGTGACTTTTACAGGAGCTTGAATGCCCTCATTGGAAGAGTCAACATTAATAAAATCTGAATTATTACCATTAATATGGCCATGTCATTTTTATCGGCAGGTGCTAGAGAAATGCTACTTATACATGTAGCATTTACAATTAATATATGTAGCATTAAACAATTATCAGGAACATTCTGTCTATTAAAATGTAATCTTCCTTCAACCCTATTATCCACTTACATTTATATATTAAAACACATTATATATGACAAATTTAATACTCAGCTATTTCTTTGAAGTTTTGCTTTTATTATATAAATGTAAAATTTGCATTTCAGTCCCTAATATCTTATTGCTTAAAAATGTTTTATAGTATTTGTTATAGGGTAAAATTTATACACAAAGAAAATTCATGCAAATCTATTTGGTGGCTTCATGACCTCAGGAGTGCACACCCTGTAGTTTGAGAAGTGTAGTGTTGTACTATGCATAATAGCTAACTACTAAATATTATATTACTGTTTACAAAATGCTTTCACATGGAGTCTCAAAGATGAAAAGAAAAAACAAAACATTCAGGGACAACTACTTATCTCTGGAATGAGATGATAATTACTTTAAGTACTCAGCATGGAATGCCTGATATACACTTGCTATTTATTGTAATCTTCCAAAGATCACATTTTCAATTAGGTAGATGACTTACCTGAGGCCACACTGCTAGTAAAAGGACTGAACTCAAGTTTTCTGAATGCAGGTGCTCCGTTCTTTCTTTTGCCAACTGCCTTCTTACAATACAGAGTGCAATGGCGTTTTTTTTTTTATTTAAAAAAAAGAAATAAAGAAAAACAAGGTTGGCATTATTGGCTGTGATTTGGAAGGCACCAACCCAAACATCAAGTCCTATTATAATTGAAGTATTAGCAATTATTTTATTTTCCTAAGTCATTTATCTCTCTTCAGCTAGAATATCTGCACAGCTTGATCCCTCACTTTTTTTAGATTTCTGCTTAATTGACCACTCCTAAGCTTGACCTTCAGTGAACAAATGCTGCAAAATGGCACATGACACCATAAGTCTCTATTACCTTACATGACTTGCATTTCTTCATAGCAGTTATCTACTTGACATTATGGTATATAAGCTATTGCTATTCATTTATTTTTTAATTGGCAGCCTGCTGAAATAGAACAGATTGTGGGCAAGGACTTTGCTATTCATTTCTGTACTCCTACCACCTAGAATAGTATTGCACATACTATAGGTATTATATAAACATTTTAAAAAGAAATTTGTGTTAAATCAACTGTCTAGACATGCCTGCCTAAGAATGCAACCCTGAGAATCTCCATTTACTAGGCTTTATTGATACATTTGGTGTTAGTAATCTAGGGCCAGAGTTAGTTGAGCATGGATACCAAGTGTCTTCATTGTACATTCTCCAAGAGGGATTTCCAAGCCAGAAATAGCATAGATGAAAAACAGAACAAACCACTAAACCATGTCTACTTGTGGAATAATTTCAAAACGGAAAAAGTTGAGAAGGCTTTTCAAAATCTAAGATATTATGCCAAATATATAGCACTACACAGAATCAAGGTAGGAAGCTTAGAAACTTGTATCTCCAGAAGGAGTAATCCAACTTTCTATGGTTGCACTGTGCAAGTTACTCTAGATTCCAAGAAGGAAGTAAAACATGGTGTACTGCAGGGAAACTCAAAGTAATTGAGTTTGTTTGAATTTTCAGACTAAGCTGATAGAAAAACATGGTTTATTTTAAAGGTTCTGCTATCAGTTATTTTTTCATCATAATTTAACTGGTGAATCTGATATTTATTTAGGCTCTGAGTGTATTTTTATTCAGGTTATGCAATATGGTTTGGCAGTGTCCTCACCTAAATCTCATCTTGAATTGTAGTTCCCATAGTCCCCACATGTCATGGGAGGGACAGGATCGGAGGTAATTGAATCATGAGGGCTGTTGCCCCATGCCATTCTTGTGATAGTAAGTTCTCATGAGATCTGATTGTTATATAAGGGGCTTCCCTTTTCATCCACTCTCATTTGTCTCTCCTGCTGCCATGTGAAGAAGGATGTGTTTGCTTCCCTTTCCACCATGATTATAAGTTGCCTGAGACTTCCCCAGCCCTGTGGAACTGTGAGTCAATTAAACCTCTTTCCTTCATAAATTACCCGGTCTTGGGTATGTCCTTATACCTGCATGAGAATGAACTATACAGAGGGTGGGGTGCTTCTATAAGGATATCTGAAAATGTGGAAGCAACTTTGGAACTAGGTAACAGGCAGAGGTTGGAAGAGTTTGGAGGGCTCAGAAGAAGTGGAAAATGTGGGAAAGTTTGGAAATTCCTAGAGACTTCTTGAATGTCTTTGACCAAAATGCTGATATAAACAATAAAGTCCAGGCTGAGGTGGTATCAGGTGGAGATGAGGAACATTTGGGAACTGGAATAAAGGTAATTCTTGCTATGCTTTACAAAGAGACTGGTGACATTTGGCCCCTGCCCTAGAGATCTGTGGAGCTTTGAAATGGAGAGAGATGATTTAGGGAATCTGGTAGAAGAAATTTCTAAGCAGCAAAGTGTTGAAGAGAAAGCAGATCATAAAAGTTTTAAAAATCTGCAGCCTGACAATACGATACAAAAGAAAAACCCATTTTCTGGGAAGAAATTCAAGCCTCCTGCAGAAATTTGCATAATTAATGAGGAGCCAAATGTTAATTACCAAGACAATGGGAAAAATGTCTCCAGCGCATGTCAGAGGTCTTCATGGAAGCCCATACCATCACAGGCCCAGAAGCCTAGTAGTGAAAAACGGTTTTCTGGGCCCCCACATCCCACTGCTCTATGCAGCCTTGGGACATGGTACCCTGCATCCCAGCTGCTTCAGCTCTAGCCATGGCTGAAAGGGGCCAATGTACAGCTCAGATCATTGCTTCAGAGGGGTCAAGCTCCAAACCTTGGCAGCTTCCATGTGGTGTTGGGCCTCTGGGTGCATGGAAGTCAATAATTGAGGTTTGGGAGTTTCTGCCTAGATTTCAGAGGATGTATGTCAATGCCTGGATGTCCAGGCAGAAGTTTACTGCAGGGGCAGAGCCCTCATGAAGAACTTCTGCCAGGGAAGCGCAGAAGGGAAATGTGGGGTCAGAGCACCCACACATGGTCCCCACTGAGGTACTGACTAGTGGAGCTATGAAAAGAGAGTTACTGTTCTCCAGACCCTGGAAAGGTAAATCCACTGACAGCTTGCATTGTGGGCCTGGAAAAGCCACACTCAATGCCAGCCCATGAAAACAGCCAGGAGTGGGGCTGTACCCTTCAAAGCCACAGGAGCAGAGCTGCTCAAAGCCATGGGAGCCCACTTCTTGCATCAGCTGACCTGGATGTGAGACATGGAGTCAAAGGTGATCATTTTGGAACTTTAAGGTTTGATGACTGCCCTATTAGATTTTGGACTTGCATGGGGCCTGTAGACCCTTTGTTTTGGCTGGTTTCTCCCATTTGGAATGGGTTATTTACCCAATACCTGTATCCACATTGTATCTAGAAAGTGACTAAACTGATTTTGATTTTACAGGCTCATAGGTGAAAGGGACATTCTTTGTCTCAGATGAGACTTTGGACTTGGACTTTTGACTTAGTGCTGGAGTGAGTTAAGACTTTGGGCGACTGTTGGGAGGGATGATTGTGTTTTGAAATGTGTCCCCACCCAAATCTCATCTTGAATTGTAGTAACCATAATTTCCATGTGTCATGGGAGGGACCCAGTGGGATGTAATTGAATCATTGGGGCAGGTTGCCCCATGCTATTCTCGTGATAGTGACTGAGTCCTCACAAGATCTGATAGTTTTATAAAAGTCTTCCTTCTTCCCTCAGCTCTCATTTCTCTCTCCTGCTGCCATGTGCAAAAGAACATACTTGCTTTCCCTTCTGCCATGATTGTAAGTTTTCTGAGGCCTCCCTGGCCCTGCAGAAATGTGAGCCAATTAAATCTCTTTCCTTTATAAATTACCCAGTCTCAAGTATTTCTTCAAAGCAGCATGAGAACAGACTAATATACTTTGTCATAATATTCTGCAATTACAAAGTCATAAACATTTAAATTACTGTCATAAAGCTAAGAAGAAATAACTTGCCATATTCCAAACTCCTGGAGGAGCTCAAGCTTTGCTTTCTAAGTAATCCCTTCTCTGCCTTACTACTGGGTGATCACTAGACTAGGATCCCTGAGTGAGATGACTCAGTTACATTTTGGCTCTATCAGCAGCCACATGGCATTGGCTAGGGAAAAATAAAGATCAAAATAGTAGGCATTTGCACCACTAATTTTCTGCCATCTTGTATTTTCATAATTTGTGATTTATTTCCCTTTCTGACACCATAAGCTAATATAGTAAACATTGAAGAATACAGGAACATTATTAACTGGGCACATAGGAGTCTTTTTCCTTGTACCAAACATTCTCAAGCACTAAATCCAAAACTTAAAATGCAATAAAATCCATATACCACTTACTCATCACTCATAAATTATTTTTCTCTTCTTCACATGTTAACACCCAAAATCAAGCAAAAGCTATTAATAAATCTAAGTTCCAGTGAAATTTGCTCGTGCTGCTGAACAAATCTAAGTTAAATTATAGATAGATATTAGTAACTTAAGGTAAGAATTCCCAAAACTAGATGTATGGGGTGAAGAGTTAACTATTGATAACAGTAGAGAATCTCATTTCCAATTTCAGGGATAAATAATATTAGGGGAAATCCTGAGAGACAACAGTGGAAGTACAGAAGTAAAGATGAGAAAATAAATTACTAACTAGGAAGATTCTTCAATGAATGCTTCCTAGAGTATGGTCTATTATAGATAAATTGAGCAAACAGAGGATGGAGATAACAGAAATTAAAGGTACAGAGTACAGTGCTATCGTTTAAATGCTTTTGTCCCCTACAAAACCAATGCTTAAACTTAGTACGCAAAGCAACAGTGTTGGCAGGTGAGGCCTAATGGGAAGTGTTTAAATGATGAGGGCTCTGCTCTTATAAATGGATTAATGCCACTATAAAAAGAGCTTGTGGGGGTGAATTAGCTATTTTTTGGCTCTCCTGTCATGTGAGGACACAGCAAGAAAGCCTCATCAGATACTGATGCCTTGACCTTGGACTTCCAACCTCAAGAATTGTGAGAAACAAATTTCTGTGCTGTATAATTACCCAGTCTATGGTATTCCATTACAGCAGCGATATGCAGACTAAGACAGTGGGAAAATATGCCTTCTTCATTGCAGAAAGGGTCAGAGAACAATAGTTTTCATTAACCAGAAATGTCATTATCTCATATATTCTCCATGTGCCATGCAATGAACATGAGATGAATGGTGCCAGTTCTGGCTATGTACAGTATATTAGAACTTGTCCATATCATCTCTGAAGTTTCCATATGAATTCACTCTCCTCTCTGGCCCCAATACTAAGTCTCTCCTTTATTCCACTACTTTCCAAAGTAGAGAAATCAACCCTAGAACTACAGAAGCCCTTTCTGCCAACAGAATTTTCTGGAGTTTATGGTATTTGTTCAGGGCAAAAGGAAAATCAGGCAAAACCACAATATAGACTACAAAATTGCAGAGGAGAACTAGGTCTGAGAAGCATTCAAGTGGGAGAGGAAGGAATGCCACAGTTGTGAAAATGTGTTCTGGGTAGGTGACTGCAAAGTGAGGGGTAGAAATGTCTAACCCAACTGGAGAAAGCCTACTGGTGCCAGAATAACTGCTGCTTCCCAGAACACCCACCCTCCCCTAGGAATGTGGAACAGACTGCAGAGCATCCAAACAATACCCTTACGCAAGAAGCAAATAGACTAAGAGTGCAACCAGATGGCTTAATAGGCCATCAGTGCCTGTTTTTACCCTCTTTTCCCATTCCCTTTTCTTCTTATGGCTTAAAAGACAAGTCATGCATGTATTGCAAAGGCAGAGATCTGCTTCTTCTTGCTATTACCCAAGATGGCCTCACATGTATCCCCTGAATAAATCTTTGACTACCTACCAATTTGGAGTGGTCTGCTCCTTTCTTTGGTCTGAGCTTGCCCTGTTCTTATGAAGGGTAGATCTTGATCCAGCAGGGAGTTTTCCCAACAGTCACCTTGTTATTTAACTATATTCACTCACTGTGCAAGTATCCCACCTCCATTATTCCAACTTGTTTACAGAATTCAACTCTCTTTAAAACCTATTATATACATAAATCACAATGTATATGCATTAAGTAGAACACACTCTATGAAATACAGAATAACATGGAAAAAATTGATATAGTGGGGAAAATAAAGCATAATAACAAGATTGAGGAAGGAGATAAGCTTTGACTCCTAGTTTCAACAGTTCAGTGAAACAAAGATCAAAGCTGATATCTGACTTTCATAGTTTCATTCAGATGGGAGTCGGATAGACAAGTGTTAGCTTTGCAAAGGATAAAATAATTTAGTTTAGGCTTTGGAAAAATCAGATTCCTGTGTTTTAACATAAAATGTTCAGCCCAAGCAGGAAGCATGAGAAACCAATCAATGCCCTTGTGCTAATATTATAAGTGGCAAGGCTCTGGAATAAGATAGACCTTGTTTGAATCTGGCTCCAACCCTAACTAGTCACATAATTTTGGGAAAATAGCTTAAATGGTTGCTACAGACTGAATTGTGTCACCCAAATTCATATGATGAAGCCCTAACCCCCAGTGTGATGATATTTGAAAATATGAAGCCTTTGGGAGATAATTCTTTTATGACATCAGGGTCTTCATGATGTGATTGGTCCCTTTTAAAGAAAAGGCATCAGATCTCTCCCTGTCTCTCTGTGTCTGTCTCTGTCTCTCTCTCTCTCTCTCTCACACACACACACACACACACACACACACTCTCTCTCTCTCACTCACTCTCTCTCTCCCTCAACGCCCACCAAGTAATGACTCAGTATGAATATGGCTGTCTGCAAGCCAGAAAGAGGGCCCACACCAGAAACTAAGTTGGCTGGCACCTTTATCTTGGAACCCCAGCCTCCAGAACTGGGGGAAATGCCTGTCATTTAAACTACCCAGTCTATGTTATTTTGCTATAGTATTCTGAGACTCAAGTCGACTAAGACAATAGTCTTCTCTAAAATGGGGAAACTCTGCCTCATAGGGTTGATTTGAAAATCTAGTGACATAAAGCACATACATTATATTTTACAGTCTTCTAGTGCATCATGAGAAATCAATATGCGGTAGGAATCATTGTTCTTAGCAAGATAAAGACATTTAAATTATTGATACTATTGAGTATCAGTAGTATCAATAGCATTGAGAACTATTTCACACTATTGAGTATTTAGGACATCAAGGTCTTCAGGATGTGATTGGTCTCCTTTAAAGAAAAGGCACCAGATCTCTCTCTCTCAAAAGTGTGAAATAACTTTTCACGCTTCTCAAGATACTCAAAAGTGTGAAATAACACAAATAGTTCCACACAACTGAAACTTTGGTATATGCAGAAGGGTATGGAAAATGAGGTCAGAATGGTAAAACAGTAAGCTACCTTTTTTCATAAAGGGAGGAATGGAAGTTTCACTGTGAAAAAAACAGGTACATAATTGGGAGATTTTATGCAATAAGAGGATGAATTGAAGGCAGCACACTCATTCCTCAGCTAGAAATTAGAAAAAACAGATGATGATGATGATGATGATGATGATCTTTATTATTATTATTATTTTGAGATGGAGTCTTGCTCTGTTGCCCAGGCTGCAATGCAGTGGTGCAACCTCAGCTCACTGCAACCTCCACCTCCCAGGTTCAAGTGATTTTCCTGCCTCAGCCTCCTGAGTAGCTGGGACTACAGGTGCCTGTCACCACACCTGGCTAATTTTTGTATTTTTACTAGAGATGGGGTTTCACCATGTTGGCCAGGCTGATATCGAACTCCTGACCTCGTGATCCACCCGCCTCAGCCTCCCAAACTAGAAAAAAACAGATTATTAAGTATTAAGGAATTTTTCTGCTGGTTGTCAAATATTTTGCATTATAAAGGCAGCAGAGGAGGTGATATTTATACCACAGGAATCGGCAATTGCTACAAATCAGAGCTCTTCTATAGTTGTTATAGTTAGATTAATATCTACGGTTTTGCAACTACGTTCTATTTGTTACATTTGTTCTTTGTTTCTTTGCCCCTCTTTTCCTGCCTTTTATGGTTTTAACTGAGCAATGATTTTTTTCTTTTCTTCTCAACATATGAATTATACTTTTTAAAAAGTTTTTTATTGTTTGGCTTAGAGTTTCAAAAATATAGCTTTAACTAACTTAAATCTATCTTTAAATATTACTATATTGCTTTATGTATACAACACATACCATATAACAGAAAATCCCCATTCCTCCATTTTTTCCCTGGCTCATTTCTTGTATTTATATACTATAATGACTGAATACATCATTACTATTATTACTTTAAAGAAAGTTATCTTTTAAATCAATTCAGAATCAAAATTTTTAAAATTTAATTGACTTGCATTTATGCCTTCTCTGATGGTTTTCTTTTCTTCATGTAGATCTGATCTCCTTCACTTTTGAATAATAATTTTGCCAGATATAGAATTCTAGATTGCCATGTTTTTTCTTTCAATACATTTAAGCATTTCATTTTATATTCTTCTTTCTCTTATTGCCTCCAATGTTTCTGACAAAAACTCCACAGTGATTCTTGGAATTGTTTCTCTATATATAATACAATATTTTACTTTCCTGACTTTGATCAAGATTTTTCTTTGACTTTTCTGCAGTTGAAATATAAAATGTCCAGATATGATTTGTTTTTCAGCATTTGTCACAGTGGATAATATCTGAGCTTCCTGCATCTGAGGTTTTGGCTCCGGTTGGTTTTAAATATTTCTTGGCAATTATTTCTCCAAATACTGATACAGGAGATAGAAAGAAATTATCTTAGGCAGATAGTGAGGGCAAAAGAGTCCTTGGCAGAACTTCCCTTCTAACAAAAAGAAGCCCAAAAATCACTTATTTTCTAATAAAGAGCAGCCTGAAAGATCGAACTGCAAACATAGAGAAGGAAGCTGGGAGCCTGCATGGGGGGATGCTGGCAGCTGCACCAATAGAAAAGGCTACCTGGTACCAGGCGTGTTCACCATGGGGTTCCACCTTTCCTTTTTTGTTAGCATGTGTACAGTAAGAAAGAAATAAGCAACATGGAGTAGCTACCCACCTGCATAATAAAAGATGGGGGTAGGGGCAGCCAGAGATTTGGGCCCTATGCAGATGGCACAGCTGGTCCTAACCAGTTTTTCACACCCTGCATAGATCAGACACCGTCTCCCCACTAGCTCATCTATAAAAATCTCTGCATTTCACAGCAGATCAGCAACCATTTTTCCAGGAATCCTCTCTGTAGCAGAGAGCTATTCTCCTTCTTTTGTCTATTAAAATTCAGCTCTAAACCTCACACTTTGTGTGTGTCTGCATCCTTGATCTCTGTGGCCATGTGACCAAGAACCTCAGGTGTCACACCAGACAAAGAGACCATTTCAGTACTTTTTATGCTTCCTTCTTTCTTTCTTTCTGGCTTTTCGATTATGTATTTGCTACATCTTAAGATATCCCACCACAGTTATTAGATATTCTGTGGGCTGGAGGGTTTAATATTTTTTTCCTTTGCATTTAGTTTTGGAAATTTCTATTGATCTATCTTCAAGGTAACATTCTTTTCTAGATTATGTCTGGTCTATTGATTATTTTCAATTTCTGTTACCATTGTTTCACTTCATACATTTTTGTTTGATTTATCTCTTAGTGTTTTCTTCTCTCTGCTTATGTTACCCATCTGTTCTTGTATGCAGTCTACTTTTTCCATTAGAGCACTTAACACATTAATCATAGTAATTTTAGATTCCCTGTCAGCAAATTTCCACATGAGGATCATATCTGAGTCTGCTTCTAATGGTTCTTTTGACTCTTGAGACTCTGTTTTTCCTTGTCTTTAGCATAACTTGCTTTTTCTTTCTTTCTTTTTTTTTTTTGTCAAAAGGAAGACATATATGATCAGGTAATAGGAACTGAAATAAACAGACCTTTAGTATGAGATTTTTTGTTAGTCTGGCTAGTTGTTAAAACGTTATTTACTTTTTGTCCTAAATGTCGGTGCCAAAGGCTTCAGAATCCTTTACTGTCCTTTTTGTCTCTCCTCTTGCCTTTGAACTTCCCTGAGCATCCTCCTCAGAGAGTCTACCAAGAGTAATCAAGAAAAATAAGGGAGGATAATATAAATGGCCAGTATCAGGAATGTAAAGGGATGGCACTACAGATATTAAAATGGTAATAAAAAATTATGAAAAATATTATGCAAATAAGTTTACTTACGTAATTCCTGTAAAACAAAAATGTATTACAAAAAAAATCCTGTGAAACACAACTTACCAAAACTGTCTTGTAAGGAAATAAAACAACTAAATATTTTTATATCTATTAGAGAAAGAGAAGTTGTAACAAAAATCTTTCCGTAGTGAAAGTTTTGGGAATAGACACTTTATGAATTCCATCAGACATTTGAGGATAAAAGTTTACCATGTCTATACAATCTGTTTTAGAAATGCCAGTTTGCTGTCACACCAAAATTAAAGATATTACACAGAAACTAAACAAAAACCAACTCTCACATGAAAATAAATGCAAAAACACTTTTAAAATATTGAAAAATTATACTTACCAATATACTTATCAATATGACAGAAACTAAACAAAAACCAACTCTCACATGAAAATAAATGCAAAAACACTTTTAAAATATTGAAAAATTATACTTACCAATATACTTATCAATATGACAGAAACTAAACAAAAACCAACTCTCACATGAAAATAAATGCAAAAACACTTTTAAAATATTGAAAAATTATACTTACCAATATACTTATCAATATGATAAATTATAATGCATCATTAAAAGTGTTTTATCTCAGGGATATAAGATTGGTTCAACATTTAAAACTCAATCACCTTTCCCTCTTCCTTGAGAAAGAGAAATCTATTTACTTGAGAGACAAAAGGAGAAGGCACCTGATTGAGGTGGCTGATGGCCATGAATGCATAAAGCAATCTTGCTAACTGAGGCTCTCAACAAATGGGTTTTGTTCTGACTCTTAGGGATAATTAGAGAAAGGTTTTAACACTCTCCATTTCCATTTTCCTCTCTGAGATCACAATAATTATTACAAGGCTTTATCCAGGGGTTTACAATGGACTTTAAAAGTCCCAAACGTGGTTTCTTGGTGTGATTGTGTAAGAGAAAAGCTTCAGCTGACTTAAATTTAAAAGAGTTTAACTGAGCAGTGAATGTTATTCAGGCAGCCTCCCAAGCCAGAGTAGGCTCAGAGACTCCAGCACAGCCACATAGTGGAAGATTTATGAAGAGAAAAAGAAAAGTGAGATACAGAAAATGGACATGAGATAAAGAGCTGGATTGGTTATAGCTCGGAGTTTGCCTTATTTGAACGCGGTTTGAACAAGTTGGCCACATTTGATTGGCCAAAACTTGGTGATTGACACAAGCATATACTACAGTCTGTTTACACTTCCATTTAGGCCATCATTCACGCTGTATGAGAAACCTTTAGGCTGAACTTAGAATATGTAAGAAGGCAGCTTTAGGCTAAACTTGATTTAACATTGCTTTTGATTTAACAAAGCAAAAATAAAAATAAGTAATTATTTTTGCTTTTCTCCTTAGAGGCTTTCTGCCGTCTCCTAGACTGACGACTGGGTACAGATTGACAAACGTTTTCTATAATAAGCCATACAGCAAAATCTTTACACTCTGCAGCCGGATGGACTCTGTTGCTAGTCAACTCTTCATTGCACCATGAAGTAGATATTGACAATGCATAAGTGAGTAATCACAGTTGTGTTTCAATAAAATTTTACTTACAAAAGTGGATGGTGTGTTAGTATTGTCCCACAGGCAGTAATTTACTAACATCTTGGTTAGAACATTAATCGGGTGGGAACTTTTCCTGAGGACTTTGAATGAGCATCGGAATTAGTACTTCAGATGATAAAAAGTCATGAAGGTCCATCCAAGACTTTTACCCCCTTATCAGGAGCTCTCGTATGTTCTATTAGTGAGCTTTCTGTGTGATGGCACAAATTGCAAATTATTGCCCACTGCTTCAGAATCAGCACAAATGCACATTTTTAAAGCATTTCTTTGCTTCATCTATTACAATTTTATCTGCACAGTATGGATTATGGAGCAATGTTCTGAATTGTCTTCATTGGTGACAGTAATTTGTATGTTGTATGCTGGAGTCCTAACCAAAGGCATTACTCTACATGAAATGATTACCAAAAAGGGGAAACAAAAATGTCCTGAAACATGGTAATTTCTACCAAGTTTCCTCTACTCTCTGACCTTTGAATTGGGGTAACCTGACCTTCCTAATATCCCTCTCTACCTACTATCTTAAGACCAACTTAGTGTCTCTACATTAACAGCAACGTAAACCTATAAAAGAAAACCATGAACACTCGAAGGTATTTTTGTGGCCATCCTTCCAGATCCTCCTTGCTTTTTCTTAACTTACTTTTGCTTTGATAAAATTATCATATGGCTCCAAATCCAGACATCAACTATCCTCTCCATGACCCTAGTTTGTACTAAGGCGATCAGCTTTCTTCTGTTCTGTAGATGGCCTCAGATCATTTGTATTATTTGTGAAGGAAACCAAAAATACTTCTCAAAATACTTAGGACTGTTAAGTTAAAGACAGAAAATGGAGGGGAACATGCTGCCTCAGGCACTATTTGCCTGATGGCAGGACATAAATCCGTATTTACTGGAGAAAGCACTTGCTTTTCAGCCCGGAGAAGGCGCCACCAGGAACCTGAGGAATCTGGGAACAGATTTTACTACCTTCCCACGTTTTCCCACCTTTTAAATGACTGGAACTGCTTTCTCCTTTGCTTTTCACTATATAGAACGTATGGCTCTTTATTGAAATACTATTTAAACAAGGTTTCTAAGCCACAGCCTGGAGAGAGAAATACTTTTGAACTGAGGCCTATCCCTTGTGATGAGTAGAGCACACATTAATAAACTGCTTGTTTTTCTTTTGTTAATTTGACGTTTGTTTTCAGGAGAGTGTCAACTAATAACCTAAAAAGGGAAATTTAAAAAAAACTTGTTTTCTCCCCTACAGCTGTATTTCGGGCCCCATTTTCCACTCATGGCCACATCCTGCTTGCAGATCTGCTGCTGGGTTAACACAACATCATCTGCCAGTTGGTGTCGTTTATTTGACATCTTGGGGTTTTAGTACTCTGAAGGACACCCACTGCCCTTAACAGAAAAAATACTGCTGAGCAAAGGGTTTAACAGGACTCTCGGTCTACCAGAAGTTCAGTGCATTTTCCAGGATTTTCAAGGCTTCGATGCTGTCATGTTGTGAGCCCACTATCCACTTGTGTTTTTCCATGAATAATGAAGGAAACCTGAGGAATCATGAATGTAATCATTGAGGTAAAATAACCTAGTCATAGTCAAGAGGACAGCTAGTGTTAAACTCCTTTATATATATTTGAGAAAGGATTTATATATTCATAATAACTTTCTGATCTGGAAAGCCCTAGGTTTGTCAACTATTAATAACTGGGTGAATGCTTCAGGTAGTATTTAAACCAACTGCTATTTCATAGCAGACATTCTCCCATGCAGGAGATGCAGTAAAGTACTGGTAGCAATAGATGCTCCTACCAAGATCTCCCCCTGCAACCGCACAGGAAAGGAGGGAGAAGAAACCACCTTGCTTCTCTCATATTTGACAATCATTCATCGGAATAGAGGTCCCTAATGTCCCACATGTAAGTCTGCTGGTTAAGAAAGTTCTAAGATTGGAACTCCATTCAGATATCAACATTTGTAAGAAAAAAAATTTTAAATATAACTTTGATACAAATTTTACTTTGATTAAGATACCTACAGGAAAGAAACTGTTCATTTTCTCTAACAGGATGGAAAGCAAAAAATATGGGTGGGAGGAGTCTGCACGTTGTTTCACAACTTCTCTCTCCCCAGGGCAAAGCAGAGTATGAGGAAGCCAGCACTAGTCAAGTGACTCTAAGAAGGGCCATTTTCCCTTGTTGTCTTTGAAAATACTTCATTTTCTTAGCATTTCAGGAGATTATAACATCCTGTATTTCAGTTTCTGAGAGCTTTACTGACTGATTTCCCTATTCAAAACAATCCTCATTTCCTACATTTCTGAAGATCTCAAGATCTGGACTACTGTTGAAGAAATTCCCAGTAAGGTGAGTACTGTGGGTATTTTTTATAGAAAAGATCTAGATGCTTCCTTGAAAGCCACAAAATCACAAGGGAAAAATCGATATTGGTTCTTCAGGGCAGTGGGGTGAGGGCAGTAGGGCTGGTATCAACTATATTCAGAAAAGTGAAAACTGCAGTTAATACTTCCAATTCTTTACTTACTTCAAAGATAGTAGATATCCTTTATTCTACAACTGGGGCATGAATGAAGGAATATGCATTTTGACCATTGCAGATTTTAAAACAAATTCTCTGAGTATATATTCTCTGAGGTTAGAAAGCTTGGTGGCCATTGGGGTCTGGGCAAAAGACAAGATAATGATTTCATTCTTTTTTATGGATGCATAGTATTCCACGCTGTATATGCATAACATGGATACGGCTAGAGAACATTACCCTAAGTGAACTAACACAGGAATACCAAATACTGCATGTTCTCACTTATAAGTGGAAGTTAAACATTGAATCCATATGGGCACAAGATGGGAACGGTAGACGCTGGGGACTGCTTGAGAGGAAAGGTGGGAGCAGTATGTGGGTTGGAAGGCTATCTATCTGGTACTATGTCGCTACCTTGGTGATGGGATCACCAGACAACAAGCCTCAGCGACACACAGTTTACTCATTTAACAAGCCTGCACATGTACCCTCTGAACCTAAAATGAAAGTAGAAGATAAAATAAGACAAGATAATGATGTGCACAAAGTATCAGGAAATAATATTAAGTAAAAAACACATCTAGACATACAGCTGTATTTTACGGTATCTCAATTTTACAAAACATGTTCTCACACAAAAACATATGTGAGAACATTTTGTAAATAATATTATTCTACAAGTGCAAACACATAGTAGAAAATGTATCCATTTTGCAAACACAATTATTCAAATAATTCAAATAATTCAAATGTGTCAATATTTTCATAAGTATGTTTAACTTTTACATTAGCATCATTCTATACCAGATGTGAAAGGCAGTTTTTTATTCATTTTAAGATTACTTCCTGCCCTCCTGAAAGTTAATGATGTTTTATTTTTCTAGTGGCAATGTATAGGGGAGAGGCATGGAAGTCAATTTGAAATAGATTTATATTGTCAAAGTTCAGAATTTTTAGAAGACTTTCTGTATAGCCTGGTGCAATATCTCAGTGTACTTGACTAGAATATGAGATTTTAAATGTTGATTTCAGGATTTATATATGTTAGATAAATATTGCTATCAATTATGTTGCTCAAATTTGTAAAAATGTTTTTTTACCTTGTTCATTTAGTATTGGAAGATATAATATAGAACCTCCTATTATAAGACGGTATTTTCTTGTACTCCTCTCAAATTCATATATATAATATATAGATATGCTCACATGCATAGTTGTATAATGTATATTATGTGTGTATGTGATCATGCATACATGTTTCCAAACATAAACATACACATATAAATATATATATTTGTGGCACCGTGTACATATGTGTGTATATGAAGATAAATATATTATATAACATTATATTATCATGAAGGACTATACAATAATGAAAAATAATATACATTTATTATTATTAGATAAATCTATAATTTAAATTATTGTATCTTCCCAGGAATTCAACCTTTTACCATGTGGTATCTGATAATACTCTTTGTCTTAAGATCTTTTAAAAATGATTCTAGCATAGATAAGCTGGCTTTCTTCTAGTTTCTCCTTGCATGATAATTTAAATTTTTTTTCATCTTTCAGTGATCTTTTACTGACAACATACATATAGAAATTTTAAATCAAATTTGATAAAAGTTGTCATTTAACTAGTTAACCTCTTTATGTATAGGCTAATAATTAACATATTTTGGCCTGCTTCTGCTATCTTCACTTCAATTTATAACACTTCTATATTCTCCTACTTGTCTGTTTTTAAAACTTATATTTCCATCTCACCCTTTAAGACAATTACATTAGTAAACTCATATTCTTTTTCTTCCCTCCCTCCACCATGTTGGTATACTTTCTGTTTCTCTTTTCTTTGATCAGGGCTTTCTTTTTAAGTCATAGGCACACATAATCAAGTTCGTTTTTCATTCTTACTTGTCTTTTGGCCTGCAGCTTTTTAAAATTTTTTTTTAATTTTCTATTGAAAAGTACTTCCAAAAATGTTTCTGTGTGCATCTTTGTCTGGAAAAACTACTGAGGCCTTCAGGTTCAGAGAATAGTTTTTGAGGATCTTATGTTTAAATATCACTTTGTTTAGATTGAAATTCTAGTTTTAAAATTATTTTTTCCTTCAAGACAAGATGAGAGCATTTCTTTTGTACCTGGGGGGCTCGGTATGTTTTGAAAATCAGAACTTGGAGGTTTATAAAGATTACTTAATGCACATTTTTCTAGAAACCCCAGTGTTATCAGTGTCATTACTACAAAAGCAAAAGCACTAATATTTCAGCATCAAAACATATGAATATTTGTGTTTAAGTGGAATAAATAAAAATCATACATAGCCTTCTGTAAGCTCACATCTGGTTTCATTTTGCAAATAAATCGTGTTGTCATACTCACAAAACAAATCAAAACTTCCCATTTCTAAACTTTTTGTTTAGCAATTTATATGGGACTTTGGGCCAGCATTATATAAAAATGATTCCATTCTCCTCTTTCAAGTAGATTTGTTGTTGAGAATCAGTTTCAATCTAATTTTTGGATCTTTGCAGGTGATCTAAAGCCTTCATTCTCGGAGGCTTATGGAGTATTTATTTGTTTTTTATGTTCTTCAGTTTCACTATATGTCTTTGTATATATTTTTTCCTTCATTCTATGCTTATCAATCTGAGGACACTCATGTTCTCTCAAGAAGAAAGCAATTAACAGCCCCAGGAATTTAAATATCTAAATTACACAAGAGGTACACAAATACATGTTTTCTATAATTAAAATATTTGTTTTTGTATTTATTTTTATCGAGGTGGAGTTTTGCTCTTGTCACTCAGGCTGGAGTGCAGTGGCATGATATCTGCTCACTGCAGACTGCACCTCCCGGGTTCAAGCAATTCTGTTGCCTCAGCCTCCTGAGTAGCTTGGATTATGGATTACAGGCACCCACCACCATGCCTGGCTAACTTTTGTATTTTTAGTAGAGACGGGGTTTCACCATGTTGGCCAGGCTGGTCTTGAACCCTTGACCTCACATGAACTGCCTCCCTCAGCCTCCCAAAGCGCTATGTTAATTTAAAAAGGAAACAGGAATCCATAGCATGCTTTGAGTGTCATCATGTGCTAAAGTGCACTGGTGCTAAAGAGGTCCAGAGGAGTAACACTCTGTCCATAAGGGCACTCTGAAAATTTCTAGAAGACAAACTCTCAGTTGAGTCTAAAATGTTGTAGGAGAGGCAGTCAGATAGAGGAATGTGGGAATGGCTTTCCAGGCAATGAGAAGAGAATTAGCAAAGTCATGAAGCATGAAAATGTTTTATACTTCTGAAATGTAAGATATAAGGAACACACAAGTGCCAGAGGTTAAAAAAAAAAAAAAAAAGAATGCAGATTATTCAAAGTCTTCTGAAACAATACAAGAAGCAAGGAATGTATTGAAAAGAAAATGGGCAAATATTGAAAGATTTCAGTGGGATAAAAATGTGGTTTATAGAGAGAAATGTGGATCTGTGAAATGAAAATGAATTAGACAAATCAAGCCTAAAAGAAAAATCAAGCAACTATTGAAATATTCCAGCCAATAAATCCTGTGTTCCTGCAATAGAGAAAATGTAGATGTTCAGGAAAGTGATAGTTTTATGGGCACAGAGGACAAATATGGCAGGGTCCAACACCAAGGAAGAGGATACTGATGAGAGCTGACAAGAGAAGAGTTAAGGAGAATAGGGTCGGCGCCCCAGCATGAAACTGTAGTGCTGCGGCAGAAAGTTATTCATATAAGGTGGGAGGCTGCAGCCCATTTACACCTAGGCCACTCCAGTCATAGTGGTGGGTGTGGGAAGATTTAAGAAACAACAGGCAGGTTTTGGGGGATAGGCTCCAGCCCCAGTAAAGGATGGGAAGAGCAACCAAGCACTTTGACACTCCACAGCCCATACTCTAAACACTGAGACAATTGCTTGTTCACAGACCTCCCTCTAACACCTGGACCCAATTCAACTATCCTCATTCAATGGGATGAATTACTTGGACATTCCTAAAGCAAAAGTTCTTCACTCAATTTCTACAGTAACTCATTTGGTCATTAAGTCCTTCTTTATCACACATATTCATGGACAACTCTTTCTTTTATTATTATTATTATTATACTTTAAGTTTTAGGGTACATGTGCATAACGTGCAGGTTTGTTACATATGTATACATGTGCCATGTTGGTGTGCTGCACCCATTAACTCATCATTTAGCATTAGGTATATCACCTAATGCTATCCCTCCCCCCTCCCCCCACCCCACAACAGTCCCCAGTGTGCGATGTTCCCCGTCCTGTGTCCATGTGTTCTCATTGTTCAATTCCCACCTATGAGTAAGAACATGCGGTGTTTGGTTTTTTGTCCTTGCGATAGTTTGCTGAGAATGATGGTTTCCAGCTTCATCATCCTGATACCAAAGCTTGGCAGAGACACAACAAAAAAAAGAGAATTTTAGACCAATATCCTTGATGAACATTGATGCTCAATAGAATACTGGCAAACCAAATCCAGCAACACATCAAAAAGCTTATCCACCATGATCAAGTGGGCTTCATCCCTGGGATGCAAGGCTGGTTCAACATACAAAAATCAATAAACGTAATCCAGCATATAAACAGAACCAAAGACAAAAACCAAATTATTATCTCAATAGATGCAGAAAAGGCCTTTGACAAAATTCAACAACCCTTCATGCTAAAAACTCTCAATAAATTAGGTATTGATGGGACGTATCTCAAAATAATAAGAGCTATCTATGACAAACCCACAGCCAATATCATACTGAATGGAGAAAAACTGGAAGAATTCCCTTTGAAAACTGGCACAATGAACAACTCTTTCTTATGGGCCACTTATTCACATAGGCATACATCTTCTTTTAAATTCTCTGTATACATGTGTAACACTATATACCATTTTTCTCTTGCAGGCTCACTTATATCTTTAGAGATGGCAAATAACTACAAGAAAATTGTTCTACTGAAAGGATTAGAGGTCATCAATGATTATCATTTTAGAATTGTTAAGTCCTTACTGAGTAACGATTTAAAACTTAATCCAAAAATGAAAGAAGAGTATGACAAAATTCAGATTGCTGACTTGATGGAGGAAAAGTTCCCAGGTGATGCCGGTTTGGGCAAACTAATAGAATTCTTCAAAGAAATACCAACACTGGGAGACCTTGCTGAAACTCTTAAAAGAGAAAAGTTAAAAGGTAATTGGGAAGAGGGAACACCCACTCCCTGCAATGATCCCCACCCTTCCCAACCTTGATTAGAACGCCACCTTGGTCGTAGCTGATACATCCTTTTCCCAATTTGTGACTCACTGGCCATGGCAATGTTGGTACTTCAGATGCCAACAAGTTGACAACTTATGGCATTCCATTACTAAAGTGGATTGACGTATATCGGAGTTGAGGTGCAGTAAAAGAACAAAAAGGAGAGGGAGTTGAAGAGAGACTGAGACTTCTAGTACATTCGAAAGATTACATAATGACAAAATAAAATTATAAAAATTGTTGTTTATATCTGAGATATGTACATTTAGTCAATTAATGTGTTCATTCTATTGAGAATATTCAACACACCATCATCCTTTATAATACAAAAGATAACAATACTTAAATGTAAGCATTGCTCCCGGAAGTGTGAAGACCTCCCCTCTTGTCATGTTATTGAGTTAAAATAATTAAAACAAACTCAGCCTGGCGCTGTTGCTCACGTCTGTAATCCCAGCACTTTGGGAGGCTGAGGTGGGTGGATCACGAGGTCAGGAGATCGAGACCATCCTGGCTAACAAGGTGAAACCCGTCTCTACTAAAAAATACAAAAAATTAGCCAGGCGTGGTGGCAGGCACCTGTAGTCCCAGCTACTCGGAGGCTGAGGCAGGAGAATGGCGTGAACCCGAGAGGCGGAGCTGGCAGTGAGCCGAGATCGCGCCACTGCACTCCCGCCTGGGCGACAGAGCGAGACTCCGTCTCAAAAAAAAAAAAAAAGAAAAAAAGTCAAAACTCACCATATCTCACCTCACAAACCTATTTAACATCTCCTTTCACTAGTTTCTGTAATTTAAATAGATTATCTGGAGAATATGACTAAGCAGTCAGCATCATGAGAACCTTACATTTTAAAAGGAAATGATAGAATAGGATTGGGAAAGGGTTTGACTGAGCACATGGAGTTCAGAGGACAGGAAGGATGTTCTCACTGCACAGGGGAGGAGTGATGAAAGCACTGAGGAGTGTGAGTCAGTGTTTGTGCCTTTGTTTCTCCTGCTGGCCTCCTGGAAGCCAGACTAGGCTAATGCAATAGAGATAGACTAAAATACACCTGAACCCTCAAGCAGGAGCTAAGAGCAAATAGTATTGAAACTGCTTCGGGTGTCCCCGATCATCTGCTCTGGGTTTATACATCTTCCTTTTTTCTGCATTAGTTGCAAATAAAATTGAATCCATTCCAGTCAAAGGAATAATCCCATCTAAAAAGACGAAACAGAAAGAAGTGTATCCTGCTACACCTGCATGCACCCCAAGCAACCGTCTCACAGCTAAAGGAGCAGAGGAGACTCTTGGACCTCAGGTAAGCTTCAGGAAGAGGAGCAGGCTTCAAGTCTCACAGTGGAAGCTCTGCTGTGGCTGTTCCACTCAATCTGTCCAGCAGGCAGTTATTTCTTCATATGTTTCCCATCAAGTTTCAGATTTATCAAATTACATAATAATTGATCATCTTTCTGCAAGGCAACAAGTTAAACGCTTTAGTAAACATAATGTAAATATACATAAAATAAATATAATATTTTCATCTCCAATAGAGAAGGATGTTAACTTGAGAGTCAGATAAAAAAACGTTTGCCTATGTTTACAAAAGCCTAGTTTCTTAACTGCAAGTCAGCATATCCCAAAACACAAGTAATTAAGGAATGATGTGTGTTACTTTCTCTGCTCCCTTTTTAAAAATGAAACCATCTATGCCATGTTCTTTCAATTGGCCTGGGGATGTACTTAAGTTTCCAAGAAAAACAATTTATATACAATAAATATATTACCTTGTAATGAAAATGTGCTCTGCTTCATTTGACACTGAAAGTAATTAACAAGAAAAATAAACTACTTGTAGAAAAGAAAAAAACCATCTGAAGAAGAGACTGGAACCAAAAGGAGTAAGATGTCCAAAGAGCAGACTCGGCCTTCCTGCTCTGCAGGAGCCAGCACGTCCACAGCCATGGGCCGTTCCCCACCTCCCCAGACCTCATCATCAGCTCCACCCAACACTTCCTCAACTGAGGTACACTCTTCCTGGTCCCCTTTTGATTCATTTTCTTCAACCCAAAATGTAGGAATCTGATTTCATCTTCTACTGAAAAATGACATCAATCATCAGCCAGTAAATCAAATGTATAGACTGAGAATTCACTGCATTTTAATCTTTTGCTTCCACAGGCATATTTGATGAACTTGACATTATCTCTGACTGCAGGAAGTTTTCTGTCCTGTGCTGTTTGGGGAAGAGACAGAGAACTGCGGAATCTGGAACTTTCAGCAACAGACTCACTGTCTACTGCCCCCATCTATTATACACCCATTCCCTTTGCTCACTAATTTGTTCAAGTTTCTCTGACATACACCATGCTCCTTTTTCCTTTAGGATTTTCACACACCATATTTCTTTCACCTTTAAACTCTTACCTGGCCAACCCTATCCACCCTCTGGATCCCAATATTGAGATCTTATCCTCAGGGAATCCTCACTTAGACCCCTGTAACAGGTTAAATCTTCATGGTGTTCTGTTTCCTAGGAACTTCTTTCTTTTCTACTGTTTATGACAACTGAAGTTAATAAGTGTTTATCTTTCCCACCTACTCAAAGTAGTTCCAAGATTAGGGCTAGTTTGTAATTCTGTGGACCACTGTAAACGAGGGCCTAGTTCAGTGTCTGCCTCATGGGAAGCTTCCAATAAATACCTTTGCTCAACGAAAAAATGAAAACCCAGTGGCTCACGCCTGTAATCCCAGCACTTTGGGAGGCCGAGGCAGGTGGATTGCCTGAGGTCAGGAGTTTGAGACTAGTCTGGCCAACATGGTGAAACACTATCTCTACTAAAAATACAAAAAAATTAGCTGGGTATGGTGGCTTACGCCTATAATCCCAGCTACTCAGGAGGCTGAGGCAGGGGAATTGCTTGAACCAGGGAGGTGGAGGTTGCAGTGAGCTGAGATCGCACCACTGCACTCCAGCCTGGGTGACAGAGCGAGACTCCATCTCAAAATAAAAAAGTAAAAAAAAAAAAAAAAAAGGAAACCATATTCTAAGATATGAACCACTACAGCTAAGCAAATGACAAATAAAGGTCATCTGACTCAGTCAAAGATACCTATTGTGAGGCCAAAAGGTTGTAAAAACAAAGGGAAGTGATGGAATAGGGAAGAGAGCTCAGGAGTTTGGGAAAATGTAGGCAGGCAGAAGACGATACACCAAGACTTACAAATGAAAGAAAGTAAATTACAATTAATAATTGCATGATTCTGATAATCCTTATAATGCTGTACTCATCTCAAATTTGGACAGGTCAGCCTTACTATATGCATGTATCAGCAATAGTCTAAAAACTAATTGAAACTCTAATGAGCTTTATTATTAAAAAAATGTTCTATATTTCTGATACACAATAAAGGGGATCAATTATGAAGGGCAACAAGTGATGAAACCACACCACCAACCTTAATTTGCTCTATTCCCTTTTTTCTTACATTTGATTTTGTATTAATGTAAGACTATTTCAGAAAAAAAGGAATAAATGCAGACAAACCAGATCAAACTTAATTAACTTTACGTGAAATTCCAGCATCCATAACATGCCACATTTCTCTATATACCCTCTCATATTTACTCCTATGTATACACATATTTTTTCTGAAAATATCATCATACAATGTAATGTCCTATTATGTCTCTCTGAGCAGTTATATGATCCCCTTCATGCAGGTCTTGTATTCATGTGGCTCCTTGTGATGTTGCATATCAGTTACTATTAATATTCTCATGGATGGATCTACGGTTACTGATTAACTTGTGTTGGGAAAGGACTTTTCTGTTTTAGGCTGAATGGGTCACATGGATGAAAAGTCAGATCAAATAAAGTCCAGTCACTCACAGATGATCACTGTATATGGTATTCCAGATCAGACCACTCCAGGAGCTGCTGGTTTGTGAATGAAACAAACCTACCTATTCCTCCAGTGCTTTTTCTTGAAATTGAACAACTTTCCCTTCATTAATGTGTTCTGCTGCAAATTAAGGAAACCTGGATGTTATAGAGAAAGGATATTAAAGACAATCCACTCTGATCCTTGCTTTTCTGTCAGCATGCTACCTCCTAGAGCCCTGACATTGAGAAAGACTGCAATGGTGGTAATGACACTCTGTAGAGTGTCTGTAGCCTGAACCTACTGAGATGAGGGCATTCTGAGGGGTTTAGCCCACAGGTGTTCTCACCTGCTTTAACAGCATTTATCTTAGGCAGGAAAAGTATGAGTTGTATGCTAAAAATTGCCCTGTCTACATTGGTAATAACTAAACACTGTTGATGTATGTGGTTTGTGGTGGACACCCTTTACCATTTTCAGCGCTATTCAATTGTATTTTGTCTATTTTTATGCTCTGGCATTTTAAGCTGGTAAGAGTAAAACTACAACTCATTATTTTATCCTAAATTTATTTTAAGTTAATTCATGATGATTGGCTCAGCATCCACTTGTCTTTTGTTGCTATTATATCTTACATTTTAAGGATTATTCTGTTTAAAGAAAGTCTTCTTTTACTATGTGGTCTCCTATATTACTTCCTCTGGCTATGAGACTACTTCAGAATATCCTCTCCTTCCCTGTATCCTGGCCCCAGCTCTACACATCTACAACTTTTGGGGGCCCAATGTTGTGCCTTGAGGTCACTGAAGAGCAATTCTGTATTCCTCACTCAAAAATTTCTTTTTTGTATTCCTTTTGTATCATGCGCAGAGCCTAAAACCATTGGCCAACCGTCACGCAACTGCCAGTAAAAATATTTTCCGAGAAGACCCAATAATCGCGATGGTACTAAATGCAACAAAAGTATTTAAATATGAATCCTCAGAAAATGAGCAAAGAAGAATGTTTCATGCTACAGTGGCTACGCAGACACAGTTCTTTCATGTGAAGGTTTTAAACATCAACTTGAAGAGGAAATTCATTAAAAAGAGAATCATCATTATATCAAATTATTCCAAACGTAATAGTCTCCTAGAGGTGAATGAAGCCTCTTCTGTATCTGAAGCTGGTCCTGACCAAACGTTTGAGGTTCCAAAGGACATCATCAGAAGAGCAAAGAAAATTCCGAAGATCAATATTCTTCACAAACAAACTTCAGGATATATTGTATATGGATTATTTATGCTACATACGGTAAGGCATCAAAGCTATTTTGTGGCATTTTCTACAATAACACTTGAAATTAAAAGCCCTGATGTGCTAAATGGAAGTTTGCATATTACTTAACATTAAAACTCAGGACTCTCTCAAAACTACTGACAAGTAGATAAAGTCTTCTTCGAGGTTAAGACCAGGATTAGGAGAACTATTAATGTTCTCATTCTTTCCAAAATATCACCCTGAAGTTCTTTAGTAAAACATTCACTGAGAAACCTTGAGACTTCATCAGCTGTGACTATCTATTATGAGTCATAACGATCAAAGATAGTGAGGGATCTAGATCCATACAAACATAATACTAAACTTATTTCTTTGATTATAATCTCAATTGTAGCAAAAATCACATTGTTTTCATTTTGAATACAGTATTGTTCTTTGAGGCTTGAGTTCCAGTTTTGACAATCAGGGCAAGAAATGAATTGACTGTTTATACCTGGAAATCAATTGCAGTAAACAGGTAGGACAATGTTCTGACCAAATGAAATGCATTCATCAAAAAGTATTGAAGGGCTGAGAAATATAAATTTGGGTGATACTTGGAGAATCAGGTAATCTGTACTCGTATATTAGATATGTCGCAAAAAAAGAGCAGAAAAAATTTTCTGATATGTTACTGTCAAAATTCACGAAACTAGTTAGCTTGAGACATTCCAACTCAGAAAACCATCTATACCTGGCTATTGAGTCCAGTAATTTCTTAGATGACTGACAGCTCATGATCTGTTATATTTATTTTCTAGAATGACCTCTTATTTTACCAGCATTGCTTTCTGTACACACTCTTAAAGAAATTCTTAGAAATACACATCCAGAACGATGAGTAATAGCCTTGATGAGCAAGAAATTGGAATGTTTGAGCTTAAGGACCTGAGTTCAGGATGGGAGCAGATGTTGAAAGAGATTCAGTAAATGGAGAAAGTCAAAAAAGTAATTAGATAGTTACTAGAAGCTTGTTTTTTATTACAGATTCCTCATAACATAGTGAATGATGAGTTGTGACAGATGCCCATTCTTTTTGCATAGGGGCAGAGGCCAAATAAGCCTACCAAGGACTTCAGTTTCCTTTGTATCAAGGTGCTTTGGGAAGCATAGCAGTCTTGGAGGTGAAAGAAGTTGAAAATGGGAAGATAACTCATTGCTCTAGAACTGTAATAGAAATACTTAGAACATTAAGGACTTAAACAAAAAGGATATTGAGGGAGAGCTCTGTGAGATGGTCTAGACTAAGGCATATGTATTGTATGTCGATACAGTACTAGGAGTTGCTGTCTTGCATCTTGTTTTTAATCTGTCACAAGAGACTTTCCTATATGCACGGTAGTTACTATGTTCTCACAAACATGATATTAATTTTTTGTTGCAGAAAATTGTAAATAGGAAGACGACAATCTATGAAATTCAGGATAAAACAGGAAGTATGGCTGTAGTAGGAAAAGGAGAATGCCACAATATCCCCTGTGAAAAAGGAGATAAGCTTCGACTCTTCTGCTTTCGACTGAGAAAGAGGGAAAATATGTCAAAACTGATGTCAGAAATGCATAGTTTCATCCAGGTGAGAAATAAAGAAACAAATATTAGTTTTCCAAAGATGAAAATCATTTGCTTTAAGTTTTAGGAAGCCATACTTCTGTTGTTTTACACTTAAAATTCTGCAGAGTTCATGAGAAACCAAATAATGCCCTTGCGCTTACATTTAAATAGAGAAAATTATTAAAATATATTAAGAGATGGACAATTATCTTCTTCAAAAAGACATGAAACTTGTGCTAAATATTAAAATATTTGAAGAAACTAGGAGGCCACGGGCCTAATTGCAGTTAGTTATCAAAACCAAGTTCTTTGCAGTAAGATAGGCTTGGTATATATCTTGCTCATTGGTTGCATGATATTGGAGAAATAGCTTACATGTTCCTCACACAATTGGTTTGAAAATTAAATGAGATCATGGATATACATTTTGTAGCCCATTGCCTTCCTTGTACCTTGTGACAAACCAGTATGCACTAGATACTACTGCTCTTAACAAGGTAAAGACAGACATTGGAAAGACTTCAGGCAGAGAAAATGTTGCATACAAACATTAAAAGTGAGAAAAAGCATAGTGAGTTCTGTACAACTTTGGCATATGTGGAAAGGTATGAGAAATTCATGCAAGACAGGTAACAAGCAGCCCTTTTCTCATCTGTCTTATGCCATAAAGACAAAAATGGATTTCATTTTAAAAAATAAGTGAATAAAGATTTTATTTTACTAAGAATGTTAGATCATTTTACATTTTAGCAAAAAAATATATTGGCAGTTGCCTGGAGGAATACATTAGATAGAGGCAATCTTTGAAGGTAATGACATCTATTAGAATTTAATAAAGGATGATATTCTCACATATTTAAAGATGTTTTGCTTTCCCTAATATTAAAAAACATTAAACAAAAAAATGAATACTTTCAGATACAGAAAAATACAAACCAGAGAAGCCATGACTCCAGGAGCATGGCACTACCCCAGGAACAGAGTCAGCATCCAAAACCTTCAGAGGCCAGCACAACCCTACCTGAAAGCCATCTCAAGACTCCTCAGATGCCACCAACAACCCCATCCAGCAGTTCCTTCACCAAGGTACAATATCCTGGGTCCCATGACTCTTATCTCCCAAATATAAATTACAAGGATCATTAGATTGTTGAAAGAGTTTCTCTTCTAATCCCTAACTGTGTACAATCTCTAGATAAAATTAAATCACCCATGTATTTATTGAATGCATACAGTGAGATACTACCACATGATAGTCTTTGCTATCTAAAAGATATTTATTTGTGCAACGATTGCTGACCACAAGAGGGCTAGTATCTTGTCTTGCTCCACCTATGGGAGGGGTAATGGCCAGAGAAGTAGAGATGAAGACAAAGAGTGTGTTATGACCCACATTCCAATTTCTTTCACAACTTTCCCCTTTGCTTATTGGTATTATTTCTGAATTTATTTTCAGCATTCCAAGTTGAAATAAATATTCGAAGTATATATTTGGAAACATGCTATTTCATTGTTGGGAATCTATTTCTCCCATCTCATCACTGGCAAGAATTTCCTTAAATTTCAGACACCAACTTAAGTATTTTCCTCTGGCAAGTCCTCAATGATACAAGATAGCAGAACTGTTGAGTCCTCCTATTGTTTGCTTTTACAGGGCCTCCTGTCAATGAGAGTAAAGTACTAATTTCACAGAAGTGAACAGAGAGGCTTATCATATAAGATGTTTTCCATACTTCCTTGATCTGGGGTTTCCCTTAATAGGGTCAGTGTAGCACATGATATATTTGTAGAAAAGAAAAAAACTACAAGTCCCAGCATAGAACATGTAACGACAATGTTCTGTGTTTGAGCATTTAACTAGGTGTTTGGTCTTACATGTTGTTCCTGATGTACATTATCTCATTCCTTCTTCATAACCATCAAGAGGATGCTACTTTCTGTCCCAATTGACATAGAAGAAAATAGACACACTCAAACATAAAAAAAAAGTCTTCCTCAAGTTCTCAAAGACAGTGTTAGAGTCAGGATTCATATCCAGCCCTATTGAAATGTAAAACTTGAACAATTTATGATTATATGGGGCTTTAGATTAAAAGTTGAGATATACTAATGTCAGCAATTTATTTTACAAATTTCAGAATTGACAGTGTCATTTAATGAATATGTTTGCATAGCCCAGGCTCTGCAGGGCTTCTCAAAAATAATGAGGTACCCAGAATGAACAAAGTGTACTGTCATACAGAAGCCACTCTCCAGAATTAGAGTCCTCTCATTCTTCTCTATAACAGAGTGCTTTTTATATATTACATAACTGAATTCTAGAAGTGGTAGAACTATGGAAAGTAACCTATTAATGAATGGTAAAAAAAATCAGTGAAAATAGAGAAAATTATATGATTGAGGAGACCTATGTCCTTGCTTTTGGAAAAAAATGTTAAAAAACATTTACTGCAAATGCTCAAGTAGATTGTTAAGTATTTCTAAATATGATTAACAGCCCTGAGGATTCTGGCTAACTTATGCAGACTACAAAACAGCAGAATTCTGCATCTGGAATTGTGGATTTGAAAGAATCCTTCTAGCACAGTGATTAGATAGATAGATAGATAGATAGATAGATAGATAGATAGATAGATGAAACATAAAGCTGGATTTCCTACAATCTAAAGAACAGACAACAGGTACCCATTTGTGTATTTCCTTGACTAGAAAGACTTAGTTAATAAACACCCATCAGACATTTTCAGAGTGAAGTTTGTAATTCCGGTTTCTGTGTATGCAGAAGAGGAGATTTAGGGAATTTACATTTATACAGATATTCCAGAGAACATTCACAAAGAGAGGGTCCTGTTAAAATGGATAAAATATTTATTATGTTGTGACTCATATTGAAAATTATTGACCAGAAAAAAATAATCTATTTTCCTCCCAACAATTAAGGACACAAACACTGAAACTCCTGACCTCAATCTCCTAATTCAGCCCCAGAGCAGAGTGAGCCTCAGCAAACTGCAGTGAAGAACTCATTTCCATATGGGTTCCAGCATCAGGTTTCTCAGTTATGCCCAAAAACCACATCATGCAGTTTCTTACACAAGATACTATCTTGTATTTCCCATTCCTGTGCTTCACAACATCATAATTACTAGGGTGATTGGATCATGACAGGTAACTCATTGATCCCAACTGAATACAATCTTTTTAATAAAATTTATTATCATTAGTTAAGTATATTCTTTGAGACCTTATTAGATTTTGTCTTTTGGTGTTTACAAAGTATATGTTCATGAAATCATTCCTGACTCAAGAGGATTACTGTCTTTTGTTGGTCCAGGTGTAGAGAGAGATTGTGGGGATATAGCCAGATAAAGGAAGATGAATACAAGAATGTGTTCATTACCTATATTCCAGTTACCTTTCATCCTTTCACTTTGTTTATGGCCATACCTCAGGTTTTATTTTAAACTATCCATGGTCTTTTCCAAATCAGAAGCTTTGACAAAGATTGCTTCCTTTGCTGGGATCATTTTCTCCAGTCTCTTCTCTAACCCACCTCTCCAGCCTAAATCCCTTCCTAGGACAAGTTCTCACTGGTACCTGTGGGGGTTTGTCCTGCAGACCCTGACCCAACAACAGATGAATAACATACACTGACACAGATATTCTGCCTGTCAGTTCGGCTAAGGGTCCAGACCCATCACAGACACCAAAGAAGGTGCTGTAAAGAGTAGCAGCCACAGCCTCCACTAGCCAGCCCTGCGGGCATTTATTTAGCACAGATTTAATTGACAAAGGCTTTGAGTCAACACACCTGTAGGTAATTAATCTGATCACCAACCCCCAAGTAAAGAGCGATTATGCACCCACAGTTGATCAAAGGTTGGTCTTAAGACCACAGAAGTAAACAAGCTATTTAGATAAACTACCTCCTTTGTACCCACTTTAAGCTATTTACTCAAGGTAAGGATTAGGCTGCTTTCAGCCATAGCCCTATCTTGAGACTTTTACAAAACCTTCCAGCCTTCCAAGAAGATTTGTGTCTATGTCCTAGAACTTCATCTTAAAATTTTTCCACCAGCCTGACTGAACTACAACATGTCCCCCTTTTCTGTTTTCTGCATCAGGTTCTCTTGACTGAAGCATACAGATGTGTGCAGCAACAAGTCTGTTGGGTGGGGCGGTCATTGCTATTATTCTGGCTTTGCATCCTAGAATTAGCAAATAACATAAGATAATCATGAATATAATTAGCAGCATTCTTTTCCAGTCAGAGTGACCCCCAGGAACAGGTGTCAAACCAGTAGAGATAATCTTGCACACCCTTCCATATGGCTGTTTGTTGGGTGTGTGGATCTATAGTGTGAAAGGATTCTAAAATTTTAGTTTTAAGTTGCTTTATGTCTGCTGCCAAATTGTCATGAAAGGTTTCCCAGAGGTGTTGTTTCACCTCATTCCAACCATGTATTGATTGATTCCATGGTAGAGAAATGATACAGATATGTTTATGCCCCCAGTTGCAGTTTCATTGCTGTTGGAATGCCAGTGCGTCTTGTTGCTCCCCCACATATTCTAAGGCAGCCTCGAGGGATTGCAGTAGTGCAAGAATCTTTTGATCTATACCTTGCTGTAAGAGAAGTTTATTAGACACATTTCTGGCCATATTATCTATAAAAGCAGCTGTTTGTACTGATTCAGTAATAGATGCAACAGCCATACTAGCAGTTGCCAGGATGACTATGGCTGAGACCATAAAGGCTATAAGTGTGCCTACGAATCTTTTGAGTCTGACCTGGGACAGGGGACGTTCTAAGGTGGCAAGGGCAGAGGAACCTTGCCAATCATGTGTCAAATTGACTGGTAGGAATGCCTCAGATTGTCTCCTTAATATCATAACACTAGCAATATTTAAATTAGATATATTGTCATTAGTGATACATGAGGCAAACCAAGCCTGTCCCTGCACCTGGGTCACAAAGGCGGAGTTTTGGGGTGTCATGGAAATATCAGTTCCCATAAGGAAAACATATGGATGGGGAGTGCAAATTAGGCACTGATCAGTGTGATTACAAGTGAAGGCTATAGTGTAATTGTGACTGGAATTATGATATGTCCCATGCCAGGTGTCAGAGGAGGTGCTAAGATGTCCTAGGCACCATAAAGTGTCATGGGGTGGCAAGGACTTTACTTGGGGTCTGGGATAACCCATCCCCCCATCAGCCCAAATCACAGGGGAACGTGATGAGGTTACAAAACTGTGATTGATGCCATGATGGATGAGGACATCAGTAAGGCTGCCCTGCAAACAGCTGTGTGGGCTCCAGTCTAAGATGTTATAATTGCCTAGTTGGAGGCTATAGGCTTGTTCCCCATGACAGACCTCCCAGCTAAAGTGGAATTCATTACTTTCCTGGCTTTTTTTGTTTTGTTTTGTTTTTATTATTATACTTTAAGTTTTAGGGTACATGGGCACAATGTGCAGGTTAGTTACATATGTATACATGCGCCATGCTGGTGCGCTGTACCCACTAACTCGTCATCTAGCATTAGGTATATCTCCCAATGCTCTCCCTTCCCCCTCCCCCCACCCCACAACAGTCCCCAGAGTGTGATGTTCCCCTTCCTGTGTCCATGTGTTCTCATTGTTCAATTCCCACCTATGAGTGAGAATATGCACTGTTTGGTTTTTTGTTCTTGCGATAGTTTACTGAGAATGATGATTTCCAATTTCATTCATGTCCCTACAAAGGACATGAACTCATCATTTTTTATGGCTGCATAGTATTCCATGGTGTATATGTGCCACATTTTCTTAATCCAGTCTATCACTGTTGGACATTTGGGTTGGTTCCAAGTCTTTGCTATTGTGAGCACAGGAAGGAATGTTTGGGAAAGCGGCATTAATTGCATTACCCAGTTTGAGGCTGCCTGCAGCTAAGACTGTTAAGGCATTTCTTTTGCCATGATGTAGCCACAATTGGGTTTGGGCAGGTACACATTAAGGGTTAGAACCTTTATAACTTACACACAGTGGAAGGATAGTGGAGTGATATGTAGTGTTATCTGGCACCTTAGTCCAATGTGTGCCATTATTGAGAGACCCCATTGGGTGTAAATCTAACCCTCCTAGCCAAGCAATCACGTTATTAAAGGCTGGAAAGGGAGTGTCTGCCCAAGTGACAGGGCGAAAGAGAGGCAGATCTAAGATATGAGCCCAGTAGAGTTTAGCAGGTACAGGTTGCAGACAAAGCGAGAGCATAAAAAAGGAACAATACCCTAAGTGATTTGCAATGTACAACAGAAAGCATAGCAAGAAGCAAATTATCTGGAGTGAATGGTGTCTGTGTCAGGAGCAGGATTCATTCAGCCTCCTGAGTTGTCCTCTTCAGCATCCCCCAGGTAATGTCCGGGGCTTGTGTCATCCGAGGAAGCCACATTGTCCAGGGCTGCGGGTCCTGCAGGGTTAGTTCCTTCATTTCTGGTACCAGGTTGGGTCCTAGCCACGCTGTGATATGGTTTGATGTGTCATGCTGGAATCCAAAGAGGACCTGAGGGTGTGTGGACACAAGCATACCCTCTTCCCCACGTTAATAATTCACTTGGACCACACCGTACATTACCGTTGACATCTTTCCATAAAACTGAAGGTTTTATGCCTAGAGAGGTTTCAGCAAAGTGCTTTTCTACAGCTGATTGAAATGTGTCATCTCAATTTTTAAAATTAAGCATAAATAAGGCTTGTGCCAATAGCGTGGCAGGGTATTTACCCATACTCCCCCTTTTCTGTTTCTTGAGCATATTTTTAAGGGTGGAGTCGGCACGTTCTACCATGGCTTGTCTTTGGGGGTTATATGGGATGCCTGTGGAATGTTGGCTATTCCACATGTGACAAAATTGTTGAAATTGTGAGCTGGCATAAGCTGGACCATTATCAGTTTTAATTTTTGTGGGCTGTCCCATAAGTGCAAAAGTTAATGACATCTCCAGTGGATTTTCCAGGAAGAACGTGTGCACTAATTAGATGAGTGTTAGTATCAACGGATACATGTACATATCTTAGTTTTCCAAATTCAGGGATGTGTGTAACATCTGTTTGCCATAACTGATTAGGTTCTAGTCCTCTAGGGTTAACACCTGTTGAAGGAGGAGATGTGCCTGTGAGCTCGAAATCTGGGCATTGTAGGATAATTTGTTTAGCCAGTCTCTGGGTAAGTTGAATTTGCTTAGATAAGTTTCTCCAATTTTGGTGGAAAAATTGATGCCATTAGGTGGCTTTGTCAAGCAGTGATGTCATAACCTGAATGTCTGCTTGTTCATTGCCATAAGCCAATGGGCCAGGCAGTGAGCTGTGGGCTGGAATGTGTGTAATAAAAATAGGATGTGTACGTTGATCTAGCAATTGCTGAAGTCAGAGAAAAACAGCATACAGGGCGGGCTCCAGAGTGGACTTAATTAGAGCTGTCTCAAGGTTCTGCAATAAATAGAGTAAGCAGAATCGCTAACTATATTGATGGGCTGAGTGGAAAAAGTTTCCAAGGACAATATCAGAGCCCCAATCTCAGCTCTCTAAGTGCTAGTAAACCCAGATCGAGTGATTGAATTACGTGGTCTCCACCAGACTAGCGCTTTTCCATGTTTACCCAAACCATCAGTAAACAGTGTTAAAGCATTAGGTGTGTGGGGAGTGAACTACTTTTGTAGTTAAAACATTTACTAGACTTTTTGGGAATGATGAAAATGGGTGAATCTCAAGGACTATTAAGAGAGTATCATCCATAAAATGAATAACCTTGCAATCAGGAATTTTTTTTTCTACTGGGGAGCAAAGTTTGCTCTTAATTGCTCCTTAACTAACTCATGGGCCTTTTGTGATTTTTCTCCCTTTAGAGGTTACCGTTTTACTTAAATTGGATTTGGAGAGAGTCACGTTAGGGGTAAGAGAGAGATAACAGTGGCCATTATTAGAAAGAAGTTTTTTAAATTTTAAATTTTTTCTTAAATCTTAGCATAGAATTATAATCTGGGATGTCGCTTGTATACAAGGAGCACATGAAATTTTGCTGTGGTCCGCCTGCGGAGCTGGAGAGCTAAGCAGGTGGGCCCCAGGGTGGTGGCTGCGTTGCGCTTGCCTAGGCGCCGCTTTTGCCTGTGTCGGTTTTTTTTTTTTTTTTTTTTCCTGTGCCGCTCCCTCCCGCTGCCTGTTGGGTGGACCTTTCTGCAAGTGCCTCCTGCCCCTCCCCAGCAGTCTAGCTCCTGCAGCTGGGCCTGGCTTCCTGTCGCAGCAGCTGTGCAGGCTGAGTTCCTAGGAGCATTAGCTGGCTGCGGATTTGTGAGCTTCCCCGCTGCCGAGCCTTTCTTTCTACCTACTGCTTGCTTGGCCGCACAACTCTGGCCTCTGATGCTTTTCAAAATCTTTTTATAAGCGTTAAAAAAAAAAAATGGGTTTATGATTGCCTCGTTGATCTTGCATTACTGGGCAGGTGAACGGCTCCCCTTTTAATGCCGCTTAAGACAGGGTTCCATACCTAGAGCATATCCCATTTTTTTTCCCATCTATTGGAGGAGGGAGCTCAGGCAAAACCTCCATTCATCTTTGTTATTTTGGCTTGGTGATATTGGGGCTGAGGGAAGAGGAAGTGGTAAGGCAGGTGATGGTTCCTCCTCCTTCCCCTTTTTAGGCTCTTCTGGTTGCAATGAACCAGAGCCGCTCTAACTAAAGCCCATAGCGTTAGGGCTGTTACTGGGACCCATTGCCCTTGAGCATAATGTTGTTTAAGATTTCTCCCAGAGGGAGGAGCCAAGATGGCCGAACAGGAATAGCTCCCGTATACAGCTCCCAGCGTAAGCGACGCAGAAGATGGGTGATTTCTGCATTTCCATCTGAGGTACCGAGTTCATCTCACTAGGGAGTGCCAGACAGTGGGCGCAGGTCAGTGGGTGCACGCACCATGCGCGAGCCGAAGTAGGGTGAGGCATTGCCTCACTTGGGAAGCACAAGGGTCAGGGAGTTCCCTTTCCGAGTCAAAGAAAGGGGTGATCGACGCACCTGGAAAATCGGGTCACTCCCACCCGAATATTGCGCTTTTCGGACCGGCTTAAAAAATGGCGCACCAGGAGATTATATCCTGCACCTGGCTCCGAGGGTCCTACGCCCACGGGTCTCGCTGATTGCTAGCACAGCAGTCTGAGATCAAACTGCAAGGCAGCAGTGAGGCTGGGGGAGGGGCGCCCGCCATTGCCCAGGCTTATTAGGTAAACAAAGCAGCCAGGAAGCTCGAACTGGGTGGAGCCCACCACAGATCAAGGAGGCCTGCCTGCCTCTGTAGACTCCACCTCTGGGGGCAGGGCACAGACAAACAAAAAGACAGCAGTAAACTCTGCAGACTTAAATGTCCCTGTCTGACAGCTTTGAAGAGAGCAGTGGTTCTCCCAGCACGCAGCTGGAGATCTGAGAACGGGCAGACTGCCTCCTCAAGGGGGTCCCTGACCCCTGACCCCCGAGCAGCCTAACTGGGAGGCACCCCCCAGCAGGGGCACACTGACACCTCACACGGCAGGGTACTCCAACAGACCTGCAGCTGAGGGTCCTGTCTGTTAGAAGGAAAACTAACAAACAGAAAGGACATCCACACCAAAAACCCTTCTGTACATCACCATCATCAAAGACCAAAAGTAGATAAAACCACAAAGATGGGGAAAAAACAGAACAGAAAAACTGGAAACTCTAAAACACACAGTGCCTCTCCTCCTCCAAAGAAACGCAGTTCCTCACCAGCAACGGAACAAAGCTGGATGGAGAATGACTTTGACGAGCTGAGAAAAGAAGGCTTCAGATGATCAAATTACTCTGAGCTATGGGAGGACATTCAAACCAAAGGCAAAGAAGTTGAAAACTTTGAAAAAAAATTAGAAGAATGTATAACTAGAATAACCAATACAGAGAAGTGCTTAAAGGAGCTGATGGAGCTGAAAACCAAGGCTCGAGAACTACGTGAAGAATGCAGAAGCCTCAGGAGCCGATGCGATCAACTGGAAGAAAGGGTATCAGCAATGGAAGATGAAATGAATGAAATGAAGCGAGAAGGGAAGTTTAGAGAAAAAAGAATAAAAAGAAATGAGCAAAGCCTCCAAGAAATATGGGACTATGTGAAAAGACCAAATCTACGTCTGATTGGTGTACCTGAAAGTGATGGGGAGAATGGAACCAAGTTGGAAAACACTCTGCAGGATATTATCCAGGAGAACTTCCCCAATCTAGCAAGGCAGGCCAACGTTCAGATTCAGGAAATACAGAGAACGCCACAAAGATACTCCTCGAGAAGAGCAACTCCAAGACACATAATTGGCAGATTCACCAAAGTTGAAATGAAGGAAAAAATGTTAAGGGCAGCCAGAGAGAAAGGTCGGGTTACCCTCAAAGGGAAGCCCATCAGACTAACAGCGGATCTCTCAGCAGAAACCCTACAAGCCAGAAGAGAGTGGGGGCCAATATTCAACATTCTTAAAGAAAAGAATTTTCAACCCAGAATTTCATATCCAGCCAAATTAAGCTTCATAAGTGAAGGAGAAATAAAATACATTACAGACAAGCAAATGCTGAGAGATTTTGTCACCACCAGGCCTGCCTTAAAAGAGCTCCTGAAGGAAGTGCTAAACATGGAAAGTAACAACGGGTACCAGCCGCTGCAAAATCATGCCAAAATGTAAAGACCATCGAGACTAGGAAGAAACTGCATCAACTAACGAGCAAAATCACCAGCTAACATCATAATGACAGGATCAAATTCATACATAACAATATTAACTTTAAATGTAAATGGACTAAATGCTCCAATTAAAAGACACAGACTGGCAAATTGGATAAAGAGTCAAGACCCATCAGTGTGCTGTATTCAGGAAACCCATCTCACATGCAGAGACACACATAGGCTCAAAATAAAAGGATGGAGGAAGATCTACCAAGCAAATGGAAAACAAAAAAAGGCAGGGGTTGCAATCCTAGTCTCTGATAAAACAGACTTTAAACAAACAAAGATCAAAAGAGACAAAGAAGGCCATTACATAATGATAAAGGGATCAATTCAACAAGAAGAGCTAACTATCCTAAATATATATGCACCCAATACAGGAGCACCCAGATTCGTAAAGGAAGTCCTGAGTGACCTACAAAGAGACTTAGACTCCCACACATTAAAAATGGGAGACTTTAACACCCCACTGTCAACATTAGACAGATCAATGAGACAGAAAGTCAACAAGGATACCCAGGAATTGAACTCAGCTCTGCACCAACCGGACCTAACAGACATCTACAGAACTCTCCACCCCAAATCAACAGAATATACATTTTTTTCAGCACCACACCACACCTATTCCAAAATTGACCACATACTTGGAAGTAAAGCTCTCCTCAGCAAATGTAAAAGAACAGAAATTATAACAAACTATCTCTCAGACCACAGTGCAATCAAACTAGAACTCAGGATTAAGAATCTCACTCAAAACCGCTCAACTACATGGAAACTGAACAACCTGCTCCTGAATGACTACTGGATACGTAGTGAAATGAAGGCAGAAATAAAGATGTTCTTTGAAACCAACGAGAACAAAGACACAACATACCAGAATCTCTGGGACGCATTCAAAGCAGTGTGTAGAGGGAAATTTATAGCACTAAATGCCCACAAGAGAAAGCAGGAAAGATCCAAAATTGACACCCTAACATCACAATTAAAAGAACTAGAAAAGCAAGAGCAAACACATTCAAAAGCTAGCAGAAGGCAAGAAATAACTAAAATCAGAGCAGAACTGAAGGAAATAGAGACACAAAAAACCCTTCAAAAAATTAAGGAATCCAGGAGCTGGTTTTTTGAAAGGATCAACAAAATTGATAGACCGCTAGCAAGACTAATAAAGAAAAAAAGAGAGAAGAATCAAATAGACACAATAAAAAATGATAAAGGGGATATCACCACCGATCCCACAGAAATACAAACTACCATCAGAGAATACTACAAACACCTCTATGCAAATAAACTAGAAAATCTAGAAGAAATGGATAAATTCCTCAACACATACACTCTCCCAAGAGTAAACCAGGAAGAAGTTGAATGTCTGAATAGACCAATAACAGGAGCTGAAATTGTGGCAATAATCAATAGTTCACCAACCAAAAAGAGTCCAGGACCAGATGGATTCACAGCTGAATTCTACCAGAGGTACAAGGAGGAACTGGTACCATTCCTTCTGAAACTATTCCAATCAATAGAAAAAGAGGGAATCCTCCCTAACTCATTTTATGAGGTCAGCATCATTCTGATACCAAAGCCTGGCAGAGACACAACCAAAAAAGAGAATTTTAGACCAATATCCTTGATGAACATTGATGCACAAATCCTCAATAAAATACTGGCAAAACGAATCCAGCAGCACATCAAAAAGCTTATCCACCATGATCAAGTGGGTTTCATCCCTGGGATGCAAGGCTGGTTCAATATATGCAAATCAATAAATGTAATCCAGCATATAAACAGAGCCAAAGACAAAAACCACATGATTATCTCAATAGATGCAGAAAAAGCCTTTGACAAAATTCAACAACCCTTCATGCTAAAAACTCTCAATAAATTAGGTACTGATGGGACGTATTTCAAAATAATAAGAGCTATCTATGACAAACGCACAGCCAATATCATACTGAATGGGCAAAAACTGGAAGCATTCCCTTTGAAAACTGGCACAAGACAGGGATGCCCTCTCTCACCACTCCTATTCAACTTAGTGTTGGAAGTTCTGGCCAGGGCAATTAGGCAGGAGAAGGAAATAAAGGGTATTCAATTAGGAAAAGAGGAAGTCAAATTGTCCCTGTTTGCAGACGACATGATTGTATATCTAGAAAACCCCATTGTCTCAGCCCAGAATCTCCTTAAGCTGATAAGCAACTTCAGCAAAGTCTCAGAATACAAAATCAATGTACAAAAATCACAAGCATTCTTATACACCAACAACAGACAAACAGAGAGCCAAATCATGAGTGAACTCTCATTCACAATTGCTTCAAAGAGAATAAAATACCTAGGAATCCAACTTACAAGGGATGTGAAGGACCTCTTCAAGGAGACCTACAAACCACTGCTCAAGGAAATAAAAGAGGATACAAACAAATGGAAGAACATTCCATGCTCATGGGTAGGAAGAATCAATATCGTGAAAATGGCCATACTGCCCAAGGTAATTTACAGATTCAATGCCATCCCCATCAAGCTACCAATGACTTTCTTCACAGAATTGGAAAAAACTACTTTAAAGTTCATATGGAACCAAAAAAGAGCCCGCATTGCCAAGGCAATCCTAAGCCAAAAGAACAAAGCTGGAGGCATCACACTACCTGACTTCAAACTATACTACAAGGCTACAGTAACCAAAACAACATGGTACTGTTACCAAAACAGAGATATAGATCAATGGAACAGAACAGAGCCCGCAGAAATAATGCCGCATATCTACAACTATCTGATCTTTGACAAACCTGAGAAAAACAAGCAATGGGGAAAGGAATCCCTATTTAATAAATGGTGCTGGGAAAACTGGCTAGCCATATGTAGAAAGCTGAAACTGGATCCCTTCCTTACACCTTCTACAAAAATCAATTCAAGATGGATTAAAGACTTAAACGTTAGACCTAAAACCATAAAAACCCTAGAAGAAAACCTAGGCATTACCATTCAGGACATAGGCATGGGCAAGGACTTCATGTCTAAAACACCAAAAGCAATGGCAACAAAAGACAAAATTGACAAATGGGATCTAATTAAACTAAAGAGCTTCTGCACAGCAAAAGAAACTACCATCAGAGTGAACAGGCAACCTACAAAATGGGAGAAAATTTTCACAACCTACTCATCTGACAAAGGGCTAATATCCAGAATCTACAATGAACTCAAACAAATTTACAAGAAAAAAACAAACAACCCCATCAGAAAGTGGGTGAAGGACATGAACAGACACTTCTCAAAAGAAGACATTTATGCAGCCAAAAAACACATGAAAAAATGCTCATCATCACTGGCCATCAGAGAAATGCCAATCTAAACCACAATGAGATACCATCTCACACCAGTTAGAATGGCAATCATCAAAAAGTCAGGAAACAACAGGTGCTGGAGAGGATGTGGAGAAATAGGAACACTTTTACACTGTTGGTGGGACTGTAAACTAGTTCAACCATTGTGGAAGTCAGTGTGGCGATTCCTCAGGGATCTAGAATTAGAAATACCATTTGACCCAGGCATCCCATTACTGGGTATATACCCAAAGGACTATAAATCATGCTGCTATAAAGACACATGCACACGTATGTTTATTGCGGCATTATTCACAATAGCAAAGACTTGGAACCAACCCAAATGTCCAACAATGATAGACTGGATTAAGAAAATGTGGCACATATACACCATGGAATACTATGCAGCCATAAAAAATGATGAGTTCATGTCCTTTGTAGGGACATGGATGAAATTGGAAATCATCATTCTCAGTAAACTATCGCAAGAACAAAAAACCAAACACTGCATATTCTCACTCATAGGTAGGAATTGAACAATGAGATCACATGGACACAGGAAGGGGAATATCACACTCTGGGGACTGTGGTGGGGTGGGGGGAGGGGAAAGGGATAGCATTGGGAGATATACCTAATGGTAGATGACGAGTTAGTGGGTGCAATGCACCAGCATGGCACATGCATACATATGTAACTAACCTGCACAATGTGGCCATGTACCCTAAAACATAAAGTATAATAAAAAAAAAGAAAAGAAAAAAAATAAATTAAAAAAAAAAAAAAGATTTCTCCCTACTTGCTCCCAGAGCTCTACATCTAGCATGCCTTCTTTTAAGAACCATGGATTATGGGTAACAACAGTTTGCATTAGTTCCCTTAATTGAGCCTGTGAAACTGAGGCTCCGCTAGCCTTAAGCGGCTGTTTCAATACTTTTATATACTGTTTCTGTTGAGCTGATAAGTGTTGTCCAGTGATGAAACCCTGGTCTGAACAATCCCCACCCCCACCAAACTTGGAAATCCCAAGCGGGCACTAATGACTTACTGACTCACTGACCGTGCAGTTTTTTTCACCTTCGTTTTTGGGAGGTCCGTTGCACTCCCTTTGCAGCGTTCCTCACACAGGGCACCAGCTGCAGGGGTCCATCCTGCAGACCCTGACCCAACGACGGATGAATAACAGACACTGACACAGATATTCTGCCTGTCAGCTGAGCTAAGGGTCCAGGCCCCTCAAAGACACCAAGGAAGGTGCTGTAAAGAGTAGCAGCCACAGCCTCGACTAGCTGGCCCTGTGGGTATTTATTTAGCAGAGACTTAATTGACAAATCCTTTTGAATCAACAAACCTGTGGGTAATTTGGTTGCCGACCGGACCCTTTAGAGAGCAATTATGCACCCGCGGTTGATCAAAAGTTGGCCTTAAGACCACATTAGTAAACAAGCTATTTAGATAAACTACTCTACCTTCCTTTGTACCCACTTTAAGCTATTTACTCAAGGTAAGAAGTAGGCTGCTTTCAGCCATAACCCTATCTTGAGACTTTTACAAAACCTTCCGGCCTTCCAAGAAGATTTGTTATAACTTCATCTTAAAATTTTTCCTACCAGCCTGACTGAATTACCACAGGTACCCACGTTTCAGATTAGATGAGGTCCTCCCATTGTTGGTTCTCTCAGGTCCTTCATTTATGAGTTTCCTAGCACCCTTTACTTTTCATGATAGCGTTTGAACAACTGGAGTGAAGGAGTGATTTTCCCCCTTTCTATACCATAAGCTCAGATGGTAGGTAGAGTCTACCCCAGAGCAACAGAATACAAGAGGGGAAAGGTCAGTTCATGCTATGTGCATCAATTCTTATTCCAGATTACCTTTTCCTCTGACATGATGGGGTACTTACCTGCACTCAGGGTTCAGAAGCCTGTATTTATGGTGAAAGGGCAGGAAACTTGGAGGAAAAGCAAAAGAATTAAATCACTATTTTTACATTCATTTCTCACCCAAGCCCTAAGCTGCATTCTGACCCAGCAACAGACACCTCCACCACCTTATATACACCCTGGAAGATAAGCTTCCTATATACAAGCTCTCTATTTTGTTTTCATTGTTATCATTGTAGTTCTTAGTTTTAATTAACTATATTGCCTCAATAGTTTATTCAAGTATTATTTGAGCTAGCAGCCTGTGTCTTTTTGCCAACTTGGCACAAGTGGCTATGAATGGAGCCCTTGCTCAATCATTGCAACCGCAGATCCATATTCTCTTGGCCACTTCAATATCCACTTAAATGAACATCTCCAGACAACAATGCCTTTCTCACTTACACTGATTGAATGGGATTATGTAGGAATTTCTAAATCTTACCTGCCAAAATCTTAATCACAACCCTTGCTAAAGCTGTACAGATTATTCTGCTGTACATGAACATCTGTAGAGCACAGCAATCCCAGGAGGATATTATGCCTTTATGGCCTCAAATACCTAAACACATCATGCAGCCATTTATTCTTGGGTGTCCAACTACCACCCGAAAAAAAGAGTATCCAACTACTTACTTATGGCTCACTAGGTGAGCAGGAAAGTCTTGTGCCACTCATCATGGGTTTGCCAAAAGATTTTGTCTGATATAGGTTCTATATGGATTGGGACTTAAAACAAGAAGCAGCCTATTCTTATCATTGATGTCTTATGTTATGTTAACCTAAAGCCAAAAACTCAAATTGACATGAATCAGGACCAGGGATGGTAAGGAAAAGAATTACTCTGAGAAAATTTTTTTAATAATTTAAAATACTAGTCAACCAGAGTATATATTTTCTCATCTAAATTCCACCATTGTGATGGACTGTTTTATTTGGCTGTTTTTGAGAAGATAGTAACTCAAGATGTTTTTGTCAATAAGTGGTAGATATGAATAAAGAAGTTTCTTTAATAAAATACTTTCTATACCAATTTGATCTAGGGTTTCCATGAGAAAGGTAAACAGGGAGTATGAGACATAAGTGATCAGAGTAGACATCCAAATCCCTGCAGAATGAGTATGATACCAATCATAAATGATATTCTACTTTCTGAGTATTTACAGGGTACTGGTTTTTAAAACCTGCATTCTATATGTATATGTATATTATCACATCTCTTTTTCATAACACAGTCATGAGAATGCTACTCACAGCCTTATACATAAGAGAAAACTGAAATACATAGGATTTAAAAATATTCCCCAAGTTCACAAAGATAGTGAGTGTGCTAAATGTAAATTATATGTACTTTATGTATCTTTTCTTATTTGTTCTTCCTTACACTAACTTGATGATGTCATTATTAGTCACATTTCATATTTCTAAATACTGAGGAAATGAGAGGTTAAATCTTCATTTAAGATACTGCTTTTGAGGGCCAAGATGACTAGCTAGAAACAGGTAGTGTGTACCACTCTTGTAGAGAGAAGAGAGTAGCAAGTAAATGCTAGATCTTCAACTGGAACATCCAGGTGGACCATTGAGATCCACCGAGAAAACAACTTTACCCATGGAGAATAGAGAAGAGTGAGACAAGACAATTGCTCACCTGGGAATGGCACGGAGCCAGAGGAGGCTTCTCCACTGCAGGGAAATGGTGAGTGAGTGAGAGTCTCTGGGGACCCATACTTCTGCCACGGACCTTTGCCACCCTGGGCTCAGGAGATACCCCTATGAGACCACCCCACTGGAGCCTTCAGATTGAGAGGGAAAGCTAAGTGGAGCCTGGGCAGAGCCACCACTCAGGCATACAAGGAACCCTTGGAGCCTTGGATCCAAGTATCCTGGAATTAGCGGCTGCAGCTCTGGCAATAGGGGAGGTCAGGCTGCCTCACAGGCCTTCAGAAAAGGAGCTGAATCCAGGGGACTAAGCAGCACTGGACTCTAAGCCTCGCCTCCACTGCACCTCACAGGATAAAGTCCACTAGCCTAGTACTCCAGCCACCCCCCTGCCTGAGCTCATGGGCCGGTAGCAGCTCTGCACTTCCCTGGGTTGGAGCCCCCAGAGGGAGAGGAAGCCCACCATTTTTGCTGTTTCACAGCCATTGTCACGGCTGCCTTCAGGCCCTGGAGAGTGTGTGGTGATTAGGGACTGGCTGGATCCCCAGCACAGCACAGATGCCTCATGAAAAAGTGGCCAGACTGTTTTATACGTGGATTCCCGATGCCAGTTCTCCTCACTGGGCAGGACCTCCTGACTTCAGACTCCAGTTACTCCCTACCTGGGCTTTGGTGACTATAGCATCTCTATACTTCCCTGGGATGGAGCTCCTAGAGGGAAAGGTAGGCTGCCATTTTTTCTGTCTTGCAGCCCTTGCACCAGTTGCCTTCAGGTTCTGAAGGATGGGCAGTGATTAGTGATGGGCGGATCCCCAACACACTGGAGCCACCCCACGGAGAAGTGATCGGACCGTTGTATCCGTGGGTCCCTGTTCACATTTCTCCTCACTGGGTGGGGCCTTCAGGCCTAGGACTCGAACACAATTACCCTGCCCCCTCCTGAACACTTCAGTGGAAAGCAGCTTTGCATTTGTCTCAGGAGAAAATCTCAGAGACAACCCACAACTCCTCCACCATTGCAGCTGCAGTGGCACTGCCCTAACTGCTCTCGAGCTGGGAAAGAAACAAAGGGCCTGGTCACTACACTGGCACCTCCAGCACACAGCAGCGAGCATTGGAGAGGAGTCCAGTCTCTCTTCCCTATGAGCTCCCAGCCCTACTCTTCATCAGACAGGGCTCCTGGCTTTGAACTGCAAAACAGCTGCCCCACCCATGGCTAAGCATACGGTCTGCTAGTAACTCTGTGTTTCCCTGGGGAGGGGGTCCCAGAGGCAACTGACAGCCCCACTGCAACGGCCACAGCAGTGGTTCTGCCCCTGATCCCCTTAGTTCAAGGAAGAAACAAAGACCCCGAGAGTTTCACCTGCGCTTCCAGCACACCACAGTCACCATACAGGCAGCAAAGCACAGTCCCTCCTCCCTATGAATCCTCAGTGCCCCACTCCTCAACGAGCTGAGCCCCTAGTTGTGGCCAGCAATGTAACTTCCCATTCTCTAGCTGAACATTCCCAGTAGCAGCGGCTCTGCATCTCTCTGAGGTGCAGCTCCCAGAGGCAACCAAAAGCCCCTCTGCCACTGCTGCTGCAGTGGTACTGCCCTGCTGCCTTCAGACTGGGGAAGGAACTGCAGTTGCCCTAAGGAGAAGAACTCAGTCTATCTCTCTTGTGACCCACCCGTAGCCCTGCTCTTCACCAAACCGGGACCCTCTGGCTTGGGCCCACAGCACAGCTGCCCCATCTTTGGCCAATTGCACTGGCTGATAGCAGCTCCTCGTTTCTCTGGGGTGGACCACCAAGAGTCAAGTGAAAGGCCCTCTGCCATAACCACTGCTAAGGTTTCTTCTGCTGCAGCCTTCAAGCTGGCGAGGGAACATAAAATCTGAGCTCATCCCAGAGCTGCAGTGTGCCAAGCCAAGATCTGGAGCCAGTACTCAAGTGGGAAAGGAGCCCACACTTTCAGAGCACTGAGAGGGAGCATGCCCTGCATATGGCAGAGCAAGAGCCTACCTACTGGCCAATACACTTAAGCACCACCTACTGGATCACAGCCCAAAACTTCAACACCAAAAATATTTTGCTAATATAGACCCCTGTGTAACCATGGACAAGAATTTAGCTAGAAATTAAAACCCTGCACAAAGCCTCAGCTCTCTAACAACATCCAGGAAAGAAGGTTTCTAACTACTCAAAAGAAACAGTGCAAGAACTCTGGCAATTCAGAAAGCCAGAGTGTCTTGTTTCCTCCAAAAGATTGCACTAGTTCCCCAGCAAGGGTTCTTAACCAGGCTGAAATGGCTGAAATGACAGAAATAGAATTCAGAATATGGGTAGGAATTAAGATAATTGACATTCAAGAGAAAGTTAAAACTCAGCTCAAGAAATCTAAGGGTTTCAATAAAATGATACAGGAGCTGATAGAAAAAATGGCCATCATAAAAAAGAACCAAACTGATCTGATAAAGCTGAAAAATACATTACAAGAATTTCATAATGCAATTGCATGTATTAAGAGCAGAATGAAATAACCTGAGGAAAAAACCTCAGGGCTCAAAGAAATAGCTCAATCAGAAATGAAATAGAGAAAAAGGAATTAAAAAGAATGAAAAATCTTCTGAGAAAAATGGGATTATGTAAAGAGACAAAGTCTAGAACTCATTGGTGTCCCTGAGAGAGACAAGGAGAAAGCAAACACCTTTAAAACATATTTCAGGATATCATCCATGAAAAATTCCCCAACCTTGTTAGAGAGGCAAACTTTCAAATTCAGGGTACATAGAGAAATCCTGTGAGATACTACACAAAAAGACCATCCCCAAGACACATAATCATAAGCTTTTCCAAGGTCGAAATGAATTTAAAAATGTTAAAGACAGCTAGAGAGAAGGGGCAGGTCACTGGGAAGGTCACCTACAAAAGGAACCCTATCAGACTACAGCAGAACTTTCAACAGGAGCCTGACAAGCCAGAAGAGCTTGGGACCTATATTCAGCATTCTTAAAGAAAATAATTTCCAAGCAAGAATTTCACATACAGCCAAACAAAGCATCAAAAATGAAAAAGAAATGAGATCCTTTTCAGACAAGCAAATGCTGAGGGAATTTGTTACCACCAGACCTGCCTTATAAGAGATACTGAAAGGAACACTAAGTATGAAAAGGAAAGAACATTACCAGACACTACAGAAACACAATTAAGTACACAGAATAGTGACACTATGAAGCAACCACAGAAACAAGTCTGCATAATAATCAGCTAACAACACAATGACAGGATCAAATCTGCAGATGTCAATATTAACCTTTAATGTAAACAGGCTACACACTCCACTTAAAAGTCACAGAGTGGCAGGCTGGATAAAGAAGCAAGACCCAATGGTATACTGTCCTCAAGAGACCTGTCTCACATGCAATGACACCCATTGGCTCAAAATAAAAGGACAAAGAAAAATCTACCAAACAAATAGAAAGCAGAAAAAAAAAACAGAGGGTGCCATCATAATTTCAGAAAAAACAGACTTTAAACCAACAAAGAGTTAAAAAGACAAAGAAGGGCATTTCATAATGGTAAAGGCTTTCATTCAACAAGAAGACCTAACTACCTTGAATATATACACACACAACACAGGAGCACCTAGACTCATAAAACAAGTTCTCAGAGACCCACAAAGAGACTTAGAGTCACATACAATAATAGTGGGAGACTTCAATACCACACTGGCAGTATTAGATCGATCATTCAGGCAAACAAAAAAAAATAGCAAAGATATTCAGGAACTGCACTCAATACTTGACAAGATGGACCTAATGGACATTTATGGAACTCTCAACCTAAAACAATGGAACACACATTCTTCTTACTGCCACATAGCACACACTCTGAAGTCGACCACACGATCAGATATAAAACAATCCTCAGCAAATTCAAGAAAACAGAATCATACCAACCACCTTCTCAGAACACAGTGCATAAAAGTATAAATCTATAGTAAGAAAATGGCTCCAACCATACAATTACATGGAAATTAAACAGCCTTCTCCTGAATGACTTTTGGGTGAATAATAAAGGCAGAAATAAAGAAATTCTTTGAAACTAATGAGAACAAAGATAAAATACATCAGAATCTCTGGGACATTGCTAAGTCAGTCTTAAGAGAGAGGTTTGTAGCACTAAGCGCTCACATCAAAAAATTTAAAAGATCTCAAATTAACAACCCAACATCACAACTAGAAGAACTAGAAAAGCAAGAACAATCAATCCCCAAGCCAGCAGGAGAAAAGAAATAACCAATATCAGAGCTAAACTAAAAGAAATTGAGATGTGAAAAAAACAGACAAAGATCAACGAATCCAGGAGTTCATCTGTTGAAAAAATTAATAAGAAAGATTGCTAGATAGACTAAAAAAAGAGACAAGATCTAAATAAACACAATTAGAAATGACCAAGGGAAATTACCACTGACCCCACAGAAATACAACAATCCTTCAGAGACTACTATAATCACCTCTATGCACACAAGCTATAAAACCTAGAAGAAATGGATAAATTCCTAGACACATACAACCTCTGAAGACTAACCCAGGAGGAAACTGAATAACTGAATAGACCAATAACAAGTTCTGAAATTGAATCAGTAAGAAAAAGTCTACCAACTAAAAGTAGCCCATGACCAGATGGATTCACAGCCAAATGCTATCAGATGCATAAAGATGAGCTGGTACCATTCCTACTAAAACTATTCAAAAAACTGGGGAGGAGGGACTCCTCTCCAATTCATTCTATGAGGCCAGCATCATCCTGATAACAAAAGGCAGAGACACAACAAAAAAAGAAAACTTCAGGTGGTTATTCTTGATGAACATACATGCAAAAATCCTCAAAAAAATACAAGTAAACAAAATCTAGCAGTACTTCAAAAAGCTAGTCCAACACAATCAAGTAGGCTTTATCTCTGGAATACAAAGTTACATATACAAAACAATAAATGTGGTTCATCACATAAACAGAACCAAAAAGCTACATAATCATCTCAATCGATGCAGAAACAGCTTTCAATAAAATGCAACATCCCTTCATGTTAAAAACCCTAAATACTCTAGACATTGAATGAACATACTTCAAAATAATAAGAACCATTTCCAACAAACCCACAGCCAACATCATACTTTATGGACAAAAGCTAGAAGCACTCCCCTTGAAAACTGGAACAAGACAAGGATGGCCTCCCTCACCATTCCTATTCAATAGAGTACTAGAAATCCCGGCCAGAGGAATCAGGCAAGATAAAGAAATAAAAGGCATCCAAGTAGGAAAAGAGAAAGTCAAACTATCACTTTTTGCAGATGACAAAATCCTGTATTTAGAAAAACCCATAGTCTCTGCAGAAAAGCTCTTTGATCTCATAAACAACTTCAGCAAAGTTTCAGGATACAAAATCAATATACAAAAATCAGTACACATTCCTATAAACCAACAACATCCAAGCTGAGAGTCAAAACAGGAATGCAATTCCGTTCACAATTGCCACAAAAATTGACAAAAGGATTTATTGTATTCATCAAGGTTGGAAATCACCATACTACATTTTTTTCTAGAGCAGGCTATTTGTGGGATGAGAGGGTTTTCTTAGAATGTAGTCTGTTTTGTATATTGTGTCTTATGTGACAGGCACTGTGTACATCACTTTGGATCCATTTTTCTCATAATCTTCAAATCAAAATAATGAGGCAATCATTTCATTTTTTACATAAGGAAACTGAAGCTTGGAGAGGTTAGGCAATCACAGAGAGGCTAACCAAGGAGGTAGTTATTAACAATAAGAATTACAAAACACTGCTCAAAGAAATGAAGGAACACAAACAAATAGGAAAAGTTCCATGCTCATGGATAGGAAAAATCAATATTATTAAAAATGGCCAGATTTCCCAAAGCAATGTACAGATTCAATGCTATTCCTATCAAACTACCAATGACATTCTTCACAGAATTAGAAAACACGATTTTAAAATTTATATAAAACCAAAAATGAACTTGAATAGTCAAAGCAATCCTAAGCAAAAAGAACAAAGCTGGAGGTATCACTTGACCCAACTTCAAACTATACTGCAAGGTTACAGTAACCAAAAGAGCATAGTACTGGTACAAAAACAGACACATAGACCAATGAAACAGAATAGACAGCCCAGAAATAAGGCCGCCCACCTACAATCACTGGATCTTTGACAAAGTTGACAATGACAAGCAATGGGATAAGGACTCCTTTTTCAATAAATGGTGCTGAGATAACTGGCTAGCCATATGCAGAAGATTAAAACTGGACCCCTTCCTTACACCATATACAAAAGTCAATTCAAGATGAATTGAAGGCTTCAGTGTAAAATCTAAAACTATAAAAACCCTGGAAGATGACCTAGAAAATACCATTCTGGATATAGGGCCTGGAAAAGACTTCGTTTTGAAGATGCCATAAACAATTACAACATAAAGAAAAAATGACAAATAGGACTTCATTAAACTAATGAACTTCTGCACAGCAAAAGAAATTACCAACAAAGTAATCAAACTATCTACAGAATGAGAAAAAAAAAATTGCAAACTTTGCATCCAACAAAGATCTGTTATCCAGAATCTATAAAGAATGTAAACCAATTTACAAGAAAAAAATGAGCCACCCCATTAAAAAGTGGGCAAAGGATGTGAACAGACCCTTCTCAATAGAAAACATACACATGGCCAACAAACATGAAAAAATGCTCAACATCACTAATTATTAGAGAAATGCAAATCAAAACCACAATGAGGTAACATCTCACACCAATCAGAATGACTGTTATTAAAAAGTCAAAAAATAACAGATACTGGTGAGCTTGCAGAGAAAAGGGAACACTTATATACTGCCAGTGGGAGTGTTAATTAGTTCAGCCATTGTGGAAAGCAGTGTGACAATTCCTCAAAGAACTTAGAACAGAACTCCCATTTGACCCAGCAATCCTAGTACTGGGCATATGCCCAAAGGAATATAAATTATTCTACCACAAAGACACATGCATGCATATGTTCATTGCACCACTATTCACAATAGCAAAGACATGGAATCACCCTAAATGTCCATTGACGTTAGACTGGATAAAGAAAGTGTGGCACATGCACACCATGGAATACTACACAGCCACAAAAAACAATAAGATCATGTCCTTTGCACCAACATGAATGGAGCTGGATGCCATTCTTATAAACAGAGCTAAACAATGAGAGAACACACGGACCCAAAGAGGAGAACAACAGACACTGGCGCCTACTTGAAGATGGAGGATGGGAAGAGGGAGAGGATGAAAAAACAATTCTTAGTGGGTATCAAGCTTAATACCTGGGTGATGAAATAATCTGTCCACCAAACCCCTGTGACATGCAGTTTACCTATGTAACAAACCTGCACATGTACCTCTGAACCTAAAATAAAAGTTAAAAAAATAATTTTTGGTCTTACAGTCAACATTCAAATCCAGCCTTAATGAACTCTAAAACTTAAGTATTTCATGGTCATATATTGCTTCCAGAGTCAGAATGTAGATGTTAAAATTTCTGAAATATTTTTCTATATATTTAAAGTCAGACATCGTTATGGTTTGAGTTTGTTTCCATAATTCAGGTTCTGCAAGGCTTCGCATGAGAAATTAGGTAACTGTGACTCACTATTTCGTTCTTTCTCTTTCACTGCCATGTTAAGGCCTATGAATCAGATGCCTATATCTTCAGTAAATGGGCAGGCAACTTGAAGCTAAGGTAAAAGGAAAACTGAGTCACTATCTTCCAATCTAGTATCTTACCCATTACCATATTGCACTCTGACCAACCTTCTTTCTGCATCACTAATACATGTGTACCAGTTGAAGACAGGACTCCTATGTAAGGAGTTCTCATTTTTACATTTTGTTTTGTTGCTGCTTTTGTTCTTTTTGACTGGTGAATTCCAATAATTCATATTTCTCTGTACACTTTCTAAAATTACTATTTGTGGATAGTGCTATCAATCTAACCTATTTGCCATCTTACTTCAGGTGGTTAGATGGAGCCCATTCCTGGTCATTATCAGCTCTGATCCATTTACTCTCTGCTACTTCAAAGACAAACATTTAAAGACAATCCATTTTCTGACGCATAATGGCTTAGACAAAATGGAGTGACAGTTTCTAAGTTCTTTTGTCTAAATATGTAATACAGCCATTTCTACATTCATAGGAATTATTCTGCTGTACATAAACTCCCTTAATACAATAATTTTAGAAAGAGGCATGTATCTCCATGGCCACCTACACCTAAATGTATCATGGACCTTTTCTGCTTTGGTGACCCACTCCAAGGTTGTCTCACCACTCAATCTATGATTCACCAGGTGAGCAGGAAAGCCTTGCCCATTTACTCATCAAGGGTTCACTCAAAAATTTGTGTATGATATAGGTTCATTATGCTTTGGGATCTAAACCCCGAAGAAGACAGAAGCATGACCATCTGTCATGACTCATCTAAAGCATAGATCACAGAATGGCATGAGTCATGATCAGGGATGCTATTAGGGAGAAATTACTATGAGGAAAATAATCAGCAATGATTTAAATTAATATTCAACCAAAGCTAAGATCTTAGGCATCCAAATTCTGCTTCTGTAATGAAAATGTTTTTGTTTATATTTTATTATGTATATTTGTTAATGATTTAGGGGGTACAAGTGCAGATTTGTTACATGGTTAAATTGCGCAGTGGTGAAGTTGGGACTTTTAGTGTATCCATCACCTGAATAGTGTATGTTGTACCCATTAGATAATCTCTCATCCCTCACCCTACTCCCACACTTCCACCTTTCTGAGTCTCCAATGTCTATTATCACATCCCCTCTACGTCCAATATCACTTCTTGGCCTTTCCACTAAGATAACTGTAATATCTGATCTTATCAGTTTTGACTTATTTTGAAGAGATACTTGTTCAATTCACTTTTATCAATGAGATTAGACTACTAGCTTTGGTAGAAGGGAATAGAGACTAGCTTATTTAATATTTTACCCATACCTCCTCAATGAGATTTTCTACAACTGGGTCAACATAAAGCATAAAATATCTGTGAATAGAGCAAACACACAAACACTGCATATACTATAACAATGAAAATAATAATGATATTTCTTCTTATTGAGCATTTACTGGATTCTGAAGTAAAGCTGTGTTTATTATAAAATGTATAGCATATATTCTTTATTGCATATCCATGAAGATACAACCTATATCTCATTTCACATATGAGAATCATGAGGTTCAGAGAAGTTAGAAATCTCTCCCAAGCTAATAAAGATAATTAGTATTAGTTGAAAGATTCATATTCAACTTAGTCAACTAAAAAGTTTTTGTAGTTGAGGGAGTATGTTTCTTCCAGTGAGAGAGAGTAGATATTAAAATATCTGTAATATATCAATAAGCATTTCAAATAGTGTTGAATTTTACATTTGTTTTTATAATCCAGACTCTTCAAGCTTCTAAAACAGGATGAGGTGCACAAGATGGCTAGGGTTTGTTGTCCTCACTTGGAAACCCTCATAAGCAAACTGATCTTTCAGCACTTTCCTTCCATCTCCTTAAGGACAAAAGAAAAATATTATGGAAATCTACAAATAGAAATGAATGAGAGTGATTTGATATTGGAAGTAGAATGTCCTTAATTATTTTCCTTAGTAAAGAGAGTGATTTGATATTGGAAGTAGAACGTCCTTAAGTGCTTTCCTTAGTGCTTAGAGAGAATCACATGTGATTTTCCAGACACCCATTATCCTTACATTAACAAGATATATATATATATATAAAGACATGTTCTGGGAATGCCCTAGTGAAATCTGAAACGGTTGTGATTGCTGTTGGGAATCCTGAAGGATTTTGGATACCTGATGCAAATCACTGGATAAACAGAATCCTGACTGGAACTGTGCTTTCAGAGAGTGCTGATAGCAAAATGAAGATCAGTATCCCCAAACAACTGACAACTGATTTTTCTGGGTCCTGAAGTGCAAACTACAGGAATCCTTTGTGTATTTGCTTGATGAAAATGGCTTTCATCCATTTGGCTAACATTGTTCTGAAACTTACTACCCTTATAACTTAGGAGCATTACTTAACAAAAATAACTCCAGCAGAGGTGCTTGACCAAGTTAGCCTAGATGAGTTTTCACCAGAAACAGAGCCAGGACCCAATCACACACCTACAGAATTTCAGTCAATAAAACGAAGGCCAAAATGCCATTTGTGAATGTGCAGGTGAAGAGGTTAGGATATCTAAAGTTATGCTGCTAGCCAGAGAAAATGCAAGAAGGAAGACAATGTAAAAAGAATAAAAGAAAAAAATAAATTAAAAAATCAAACCAGATAGATGATGATATAGATACGTATAGATATAGAGGCAGATACATAATCAGGCTTCATCTCATAGTGAAACCATTAATCAGAAAAGTCGATCTTTTCTTCAGAACACAGATGCCAGAATCACCCAAACATATGACTCCAATAAGATAGTATCCTTTCAAAGTGTATAGTCTGCATAGGTAAAATTCAGTCATCGGAGAACCTCCAACTCTGAACCATCCTCAGATGTCACAGAAAATGTCACAAACCCCATCTGGTAGTTCTTTAACCAAAGTACCAACTTCTTGTTGCCATTCTTTGTGCCTCCCTTTATTATACTTAAAGGGATAATCAGTATCTTGACAGAGCTTTTCAATCAATCTCTGACTAAATAGTTTTTTATTTTACTATATTTCTCATTCATTTATTAAGTATATAATCAGAGATGCTACTAGATTCTAGGATTTTTATGATTTACAAGGGATACATTGATAAAATCATTCCTGACCTAAAGACATTATTGTGATTTATGATCCAGATATAGAGAAAGAGTGGAGGAGAGTACACAAAGATGAAGAAATACAAGAGTGTGTTCCTCTCTTACATTTCATTGTTCATTCACAGATTTCCCTTTTGCTTCAGAACCATAACTCACAGTTTATTTTCAACATTCTTACTCTTTCCTACATGTTTTTGTTTCATACATGGTACTCCCTTTGTCTGGAATCTTTTTCTCCTATTCCTTCACTGGCCTTTATATATTTTTGGGCCAGCCTAAAACTGTCTTCAAGCAAGACCTCCTGATAACCCCATCCAAAAATAAGACAGATCATCTCTTTGTGTCCTTCACATGTCCATTTATTTCCTTTATAATACTTGTCACCACAGTAATTATAGTATATTTTCAACCCTGTAAGTAATTGAGATTATATATGCTACCTGCTCAGGTAAGTAAAAACAAAGGTCCATGAATGAGTTTATATCTGTGTGTATGAAATCCTATTCCATGCTGCCTTTTACTTACCAGTAAGTTGGACTGTGTAGTCACCTGCCTCTGTGCCACAGCACCCTCTATCAGCAGTGAACAAGAAGTCAACTTAGAGAAAGAAAAGGGGAGTATTAAGTCTTTATTCTCTCATCTAGTTTTTCACCCAGGCCCCAAGATCCACACTGACCCAGCCTACAGCCTCAGTGACTCCCCCACACCTATGAGTTGAAGACAGACTTATTCTTTACAGGAGTTTGCTATATGTGACTGGATTTTTCTTTATTATTTTGTTATTGTTACCCAAAGTTCATATTTTCCTGAAGAGTGTCTACAGATTTTATCTGGTGGATCAGTAAGCAGGCAGTCATCTTGGCAGAAGTGGCCTCAAATAGACCCCATGCCTAATCATTTCCAGCTCAGATCCATTTTCTCTTATACTATATGCTAGTTTCTGTGTATGCTGAAATGTGGGTTAAGAAAACTAAATGTATGCCAGCATCCAGAGAGATTAGCAGAGGGAAGATTCTATAAAAAGGGATTTTCACACACACACACACACACACACACACACACATATACACACATGTATTACATCCAACTTATATAGGAAAATATTAAGCAGAAAAAACCAGTTCTTTCTGTCATAAAGTGAAAGACTAAATTACCCAAATTTATGACTCCAGAAGGATGAAACCCACCCAGGAGCACAGTCATCGCCTGCAAACTTTAGAATCACCTCACCAACTGTGGCCCCTCCTCTTTCTTCTGACACTTCCACCAACCGCCATCCAGCAGTTCCTTAAATAAGGTACCACCTTTCTATTTGCATTGCTGTACCTCTAAAATATAATTGTAGGGGTAATCAGAGTCTTCAAAGGGATTCTCATTTAAATTCTGACTATATATTATTTCATTATTTTACTACATTTCTCATTCATTTATCAATATATAATTGGACATGCCACTGGATTCTAAGTCCTTCAATACTCACAAAATATGCATTCATGAAATCATTTCTGTCTTCAGGAAGATTACTGTTTTTCATTGGTGCAAATATGGTGTATGTGAGGAGGTATCCAGACAAGGAGAGATGAATACAACAGTATGTTCGTACCTTCTATTCCAGTTTCCTTTCACAATTTTCCACTACGACTAATGACCATAACTTAGGATTGATATTCAAAATCCCTGTTTCTTTCCATAGCTAGTGTCTTGGCATATGCTACTTCCTTTTTTTAGAATCCCTTACTCTCATCTCTTCATTTGCCCCAATATATTTCTGGGCCAACCAAAATCCCCCTTCCTCAGAAAAATACTGCACTGATATTCTCCTCCTGCCATAGAACACATCATGCCAAGGTGTCCTGAACATTTCTCTTTATTTTATTTAGAACATTTATTAAAATTCTAATAATAAAGTGTTTTTCAACCACACTTGATAATAAGTACAGTTTATAGATTTCTTGTCCAGAGAACATCAGACAAAGGTGAACTAATGAATTTATATCTAAGTGTTCCAATTGAATCCCAGCCTGCTTTTGGTCATGATATGACCAGTGGAGTCACCTCCACCTAGGGAACAGAAGACTATGATCTACAGTGAGAGGGAAGGTGATGAAAGAGAAAGGCAAGAGGAGAATCATGTCACCACTCTTTTAGTTGAAGACATGTCACCATACAGACTAGTTGAAGACAGATTACCTATATACAGGAGTTCTCAATTTGTGGTCGTTTTTTGGTTTGTTTATGTTTTTGTTGTTTTTGATAAGCCCGAGAATCACATTTTCCTCAATAAATTATATGTAATTTATTTGAGAGTCAAAGCTAGCACGTCCTCTTTAGCCATCTTGGCTTAGGTGACCATGGATGGAACGCATATGTAGTCATTACCAGCTCAGACCCACTTTTCTGTTACTTAATAGACATAATTGAACATCCCAGGACAACATTCTGGAAAAGAACTTATTTTTCCTGCATTTTGGCTTTGAAGGGACTACGCAAAGTTTGCCTAGGTTCTACCATTTTAAATACGCATTATGGTCTGTTTCTATAGCCGTTAGATTTATTTGACTGCATCTAAACCTCCCTTAGCCCAGGAATCTCAGCTAGGGTCCTATGTCTCCTACACCTAACCTCCCATATAGCCATTTCTTCTTTGATATCTAGCACTTCCACAGGATGCCTGGAAAATACATCCTGTTACTTCCTCTGTGATTCACTAGCTCTGAAAGAAGTCCTTGCTTTTGTATATCATAGATCATCCCAATAATACTGTGTTTGTATTAATTATTAATTTGTATAAATTTTTCTATGCTTTTGGATTTAAAGTCAAAAGCAGACCATTCTTATTTTTCATCTTTTGTCATGACTCTCCTAAATCAAAGAGCCCAGAATGGTTGGGAAAACAAATGGAGATATTACTGGCTCAGAATTACTATATGGGAAAAAACGAAGCTATTAGTTTTATTCCCAATCACTACAACTTTATCTGGGTTTTCCACAAGAGGATCAACATAAATCATAATTCATTTCTGGATCAGGCTGACATAAAAAACTTGCATAGTCTTTAAATAACAATGAAAACAATATTTTTCTAACTGAGCTTCTACTGGGTAAAGCTGGAAGTGAAAGTTATGTTTTTATGTATATGATTGCATTTACTCTTCAATACACCTCTTATGAGCACAGTAGAAAGACCATGTTCCAGGGAAAAAACGTGTTCTGCTCTAGACAAGTTAAGTTTGAGATTCCCACAGGACATCTAAGAATTATCCATCTGATATATAGAGCTTAAACTTGGGTAATTTTGGCTGGGCCTTTTACTGAATTACATCAATAGAGACATAGTTGTTAAAACAGTGGATGTGACTAAAAGTACCTAATAGAATGGAAATAATGATGTCTCTCATTTACTGAGTATGCAGAATGACTCAGACTATTCTAAGGGTTTTTCAATAATTATCTTCATTAATCCTTTATAATCCAATTGTTTCACATATTAGCTCATTCAATTATTTGTGGTACACAATGAACAGAAGAGGGAGTTAAATTTGAGGGTGGCCAACATACCTCATAACAGTCCTAAATTACCAAGGATGTCCCTAAGCAAATCAGAACACAAAGGTAGCTGTCTTTTGTGAGAAACATCTCTGTGTAGACAGAGATGGTTGGATCTACATGACAAAGTTTATGCTGTTTGTCACATATATTCATGTGGGATTCTTGGAACAAATAAAGGCTAATATTGGAATGCAAAAAGATCAGAATAAAGGCTAACACATTCAGACACACAAAAATGCAAAGGCTTTCTGATTGCTCCAGTTCTCAGGGCCATTAGTCAAAAGTCCCAAGCCTTCCTTGACAGCAGTTGCACCAGGAATACATTTTGTACGCTCCTCCTACCTTTCTGCCCAATGAGAAGTTTCCCTTTAGCCCTTGTCGTTGGACACACCAGCTCCTTTCTCTATCTTATTGTTCCCTGACATCTCCTGCCCTTTCACGTGGGCTCATGCTGGGTAGGAGTGAATATCGCATTTCATGGTCCCAACAGAGGGGGAAGATGTGACTCCAAGGACAGGATTCATTAAAGGAGATAGATGAGAATGAGAAAAGAGTGCTTCAGATGGAAATAGAAGAAGAGATGTGGCTCACAGGGAGGAGAGGCAGTGTGATTGAAGAAAGAAATGTATGACTCCCTGCATCTCAACGGGTTTATTTTTATCTCTTTATGCTTCAAGGTCACCAAGGACAAGGATATCAAATAACTACTGTTCAATCTTTACTCAAGTGTGGAAATTTTGCCTGAAGTCCTCCACCTAAAAACCTGATGCCATTGGTAATGATGTTTATGAAGATAAGATCAAAGCACAGAAAATAATATATGTATATATATCTGGTTGAAATACTATATATATATATATATATATATATATATATATATATATATATATATACCAGCTATTAATTCTAGGAAATGGAGTATTAAGGGTGCATTTTATTTCATTAGTTTTACTTTTATGCATTTTCTTCATATCATATTTTGCATTCAGAATTTTCATAATTTGAAAAAAAATAAACTTTTTTTTCTTAAAGAGTGCTTCCATAGGAGTTTCTTTAATCTATCTGTGAGTTATGTAAAAGCAAATAAACTGTGGCCTGCAAGTCAGGGTGGGGCACACAGATTTATAGTTTGGATGGGATCTTTAAGGAATAGGCCCTGGTTAAGACTGAACTGACTGTGCCCTGCCCAAAGAATCCAGACCAAGGGGCAGGTAGGGGTGAAATCCAGCCTGTGATTCTGTTGCAAGCACTGTGTCCTGGGAAGGAGTTGCTCTAGCCAAAACTAGAGATATCTTTTCAGAATTGGACTCCTGGAGGGGGAATAATTGGGTAATTTTCTTGCCAAACCAGGCACTTTCTGGTGATGTGCATGAAGGCACTTGCCTATGTTAGAGGAATTCCTGGCCCTGTTTGATGTAAATTATCTGGTTCTATACATTTCCTTCAGCACCAACAGCTCCTCAGGAGCTCTCCCACCATATTCCCTCTTCTCACATTCCACTATATGAATCCATCAGAAAGTTGCCCAGGCAGACAGTTAACTTAGGCAAACTGAAGAATAATTAATTTATTTTAGAGTAGAATGGCAGAAAGTCAGTATCTAAAACTTACAATGTATTTATGGATCATATATTTGGCACCTGGTGTAATTATTTTGTGTCATTTAATCTTCACCGTAGCTCTAGAAGGTTGACAGTTTTCTCCTTTTTACTCTCCATATATAAAGAAAAAAGGGCACAGAAAGCAAATTTACTTTCGAAGTGACACTTAGGTGGTCTTATATAGTCCTTGATTTAACATCCAGGTCTGTTGTTCTGGCTTGGGTTAGGTGTGCTAATGTTAGGAGAACAGGGATAAGATGCAAATTAAACAATGAATAAGACGGATTCCACCTAAGATGGAGAAAGCTGAAAAGAGCCTCACTCTCACCCTTAAAATTATGAAAAAGTAGATAAATGCAAAATAGCAATCTTCTGTACTCATCAGAGAACTGTGGTGATCTGAAGCTATATATGCCCAATTAATCTAAGGAAAAGAGGCATTAAAGTTCTGCCTTTATGGTTTGGACCAACAATCCAAGGAATAAATGTAGTTTTTTTTTCCTCTTGCCCTGCACCTTTCCGATTATGTCTTTTATCAGACATAAAGGTAAGAAAGTATGATAGATTCAGATACCATGAATAAGTTTTTTCAGACATTCTTTATTGCCAAATATCATTGCTAATATTCATATGTGTGTGTGTGTCTATACATATATATATATATATATATATATATGATAATTTGGTTCACTTGGGAAAATCAAATTTTGAAGGATGTTTTGAAGCCACCGAATTTTTTCCTCATGTGCAGTGAAAAAACTGAAATTCAGAGATTGAGTGAAGTGGTCAAAATCACATCATTCAGCTAGTTAGGAAACAGATTTCATCTTGAGAAGATGTCACAAACTGCTAAAACATCCTCCAAATTCAAATTTGACTTATGGACACTGAGAAAATAACTGCTTTATATGCAAATGATATTGGTATTCTGAGCTACTCAAATACATAATATTCATATTACTTTACATAAACTAGGTATAATGGACCACTCTTGAGTATGTAGATGATGGTAATTAACAGTTAGAGAATGGGTCATTTAGGTGCTTTGTCTAATGTGTTTGCTGATTTCTCCCTGAAATTTTAACTTCTAAGGACAGTCATGTCTGTAAATGAGATAGGAAAGAAATTATCTTCCACCCGAAAGAATTAGCCTGTTCACTGTGTTTTAATTTAAACAGCGTCAACCTCTAATGCCTTGACCCCACTCTATCTTATATTTTTATATCTTACTACACATCAGAGCTCCTACTTGGGACCACAAGTAGGTGAGAATCTGGGGCTTCCCCTAACTTTGAAATGTGTGAACCAAAGAGAAAGACAGAACAGCTCACAGAGATCTAACCTACCCTCATAGACATCTTAGAGATCAGTTTGTACCAAGTGGTTCTCTGCAAGAGGCAGTGAAATAGCTCTGAGAGGATCTCTAGTGTATTAGCAAATGATTATGATTGGAAGAGGCAAATCCAACACTGTTAGCAACATTATTTCTCTAAAACCACATAGTGAGGCATGTATTAGAATTTTATGATGATAAGAGCACGTGAGATCAACCACTTAACAAATTTCAAGTTTACAATACAGTATTAGGAACTATAAGCACAGTGTTGTGCAGCAGATCTACAGAGCTTATTCATCTGGCATATCTGAAGTTGTATACCCATCGAATAGCAGCTTCCATTTCCCCCTTCCTCCAGCCCCAGCTAACCACCATTTTATTTTCTGCTCCTGTAAGTTTGGCTATTATAGATACTCTACATAAGTGGACTCATGCAGTATTTATTCTCTTATGAGTGGCTTATTACACTTAGCATAATGCCCTCAAGTTTTATTCATGCTGTAACTATTGCAGAATTTCATTCATGCTGTAACTATTGCAGAATTTCCTTCATTAAGAAAGAATAACATTCCATTATATATACACACCACATTTTCTTATCTATTCATTCAAAACTGGGACATTTAGGTAGTTTTCACATCTTGTCTATTTTGAATAATACTGTAATGTACATGGGAGCGCTAGTAATATCTCTTCAACTCCTATTTTAATTATTTTGCATAAATACCAAGAAGAATAAATCTTGGGTCATATGGTATTCATATTTTTTTCTTCCAACTTTTATTTTAGATTTAGGGGCTACATGTGCAGGTTTGTTACATCAATACATTACATGTTGCTGGGATTGGCATACAAATGATTTTGTCACCTAGGTAGTAAGCACAGTACCTGATAGGTAGTTTTTCAGTCTTCACCCTCCTCCCACCCTCGACCTTTAAGTAAACCACCAGTGTCTATTGTGCTTCTTTTTGTGTCCTTGTGTACTCAATGTTTAGCTCCTACTTATTAGTAAGAACAAGTGGTATTTGGTTTTCTGTTCCTGTGTTATTTTGCTTCAGATAATGCCTTGCAGCTGCATCTATGTTCCTGCAAAGGACATGATTTGTTGCAGGAAGTCAGGGACCCCAAATGGAGGGACTGGCTGGAGCCACAGCAGAGGAACATAAATTGTGAAGATTTTGTGGACATTTATCAGTTCCCAAATAATACTTTTATAATTTCTTATGCTTGTCCTTACTTAAATCTTTTAATCCTGTTATCTTCATAAGCTGAGGATGTATCTTATCTCAGGACCACTGTGATAATTGTTAACTGTACAGATTGATTGTAAAACATGTGAGTTTGAAAAATATGAAATCAGTGCATCTTGAAAAAGAACAGAATAGTAGCGATTTTTAGGGAAGACAACCGTAAGCTCTGACTGCCTGCGGGTTTGGGCAAAACGAGCCGTATTTTTCTTCTTGCAGACAGCCTATAAATGGATGTGCAAGTAGGAAAGATATTGCTAAATTCTTTTCCTAGCAAGGAATGTTAATATTAATACCCTGGGAATGGAATGCGTTCCTGGGGAGAGATCTATAAATGGCTGCTCTGGGAATGTCTGACTTGTGCAGTTGAGATAAGGACTGAGATACACCCTGGTCTCCTGCAGAACCCTCAGGCTTACTAGGGTTGGGGAAACTCTGCCCTGGTAAATTTGTGGTCAGACCGGTTCTCTGCTCTCGAACCCTGTGTTCTGTTGTTTAAGATGTTTATCAAGACAATACATGCACCGCTGAACATAGACGCTTATCAGTGGTTCTGCTTTTACCCTTTGTCCCGTTCCCTCAGAAGTATGTGATCTTTGTTAGACCTTTACTAGTGGTTCTGCTTTTTGCCCTTTAAAGCATGTTATCTTTGTACCTACTCCCTGTTCTTACACCCCCTCCCTTTTGAAACCCTTAACAAAAACTTGCTGGTCTGAGACTCAGGCGGGCATCATGGTCCTACCGATACATGAAGTCACCCCTCGTGGCCCAGCTGTAAAATTCCTCTTTGTACTGTCTTTATTTCTCAGCTGGCTGACACTTGTGGAAAATAGAAAGAACCTACATTGAAATATTGGAGTCAGGTTCCCCCAGTAATGATTTTGTATTTTTATGGCTCCGTAGTGTACCATGTTGTATACGTACCACATTTGCTTTATCTAAACCACTGTTAATGGCCATCTAGATTGATTCCATGTCATTACTATTATGAAAAGTGCAATAAGCATACACATGTACTTTGGGAGGCTGAGGTGGGTGGATCATCTGAGGTCAGGAGTTCGAGACCAGCCTGGCCAACATGGTGAAACCCTGTCTCTACTAAAAATACAAAAACTTAGCCTTTTGTGGTGGCAGGCACCTGTAGTCTCAGCTACTTGGGAGCCTGGGGCAGGAGAATCGCTTGAACCTGGGAGGCAGTGGTTGCAGTAAGCCAAGATTGTGCCATTGCACTCCAGCCTGGGGGACAAGAGCGAGACTCTGAATCAAAAGATAAAGAAATAAATAAACAAACAAACAAAGAAACCATATACAAGCACGTATCTTTTAGTAGAACAATTTATATTCCTTTGGGTATATACCAGTAATGGGATTGCTGGGTCAAATGTTAGTTCTGTTTTAAGTTATTTGAGAAATCTCCAAACTGTTTTCAACAGTCGCTGAAGTATTCAGCAAATAGCATCAGGATCACTGGCTAGCTGTATGAAGAAAATTAAAACTGGACCTCTTCCTTTCACCATATAAAAAAATATGGCATATAATTGGCATTTCCACCCTCAATGTATAAATGTTCCCTTTTCTCTACAACCTCACCAGCATCAGTTATTTTTTGACTTTTTAATAGCAGCTATTCTGACTGGTGTGAGCTGGTATCTCCCTGTAGTTTTGATTTGCATTTCTCTAATGATTAGTGATATTGAGCATTTTTCACATGCTTGTTAGTTGCATGGATCCTCTTTTGAGAAAGATCTATTCATGGCTTTTAACCATTTTTAATGAAACTGTTTGGTTTTTGCTTGTTGATTTAAGTTCCTTATAGAGTCTAGATATTAGACCTTTCTCAGAAATCATAGTTTGCAAATACTTTCTCCCATTCTGTAGACTATCTTTTTATTCTGTTGATAGTCTAATTTGCTGTACAGAAGATCTTTAATTAGATCTCACTTGTCAATTTTTGTTGTTGTTGCTACATTTGCTTTTGGAGTCTTTGTCATGAAGTCTTTGCCAAGGCTAATGTCCAGAATAGTATTTCCTAGATTTCTTCTAGGGCATTTACAGTTTTAGGTTTTACATATATAAGTTTTTTTTAACTTTATATTGAGTAGATTTTTTATATGGTGAAAGGAAGGGTTCCAGTTTTAATTTTCTGTATATAACCAGCCAGTTATCCTGACACTGCTTGTTGAATAGGAAGTACTGTTTCCATTACTTGTTATTGTCAACTTTGTTGAAGATCCAATGGTTGTAGGTGTGCAGCTTTATTTCTGGGTTCTCTAACCTGTTCCATTGGTCTATGTATCTGTTTTGTTCTAGCACCATGCTACTTTGGTGACTGTAACTTTGTAGTATAGTTTGAATTTGGATAGTGTGATGCCTCCAGCTTTGTGGTTTCTGCATAGGATTATTTTGGTTATTTGGGATCTTTTTTGGGTTCCATATAAATTTTAGAATAGTTTTTCTAATTCTGTGAAAAATGACATTGGTAGTTTGATCAGAATAACATTGAATCTGTAAATTGCTCTGGAGAATATAGCCATTTTAACAATATTGATTCTTCCTATCCATGAGAATGAAATGTCTTTCCATTTGTTTGTATCATCTCTAATTTCTTTTAGCAGCATTTTGTAACTCTTGTTGTAGAAATCTTTTACCTCCCAGGTTAGCTGTATTCCTATGTGTTTATTCTTTGTGTGGCTATTGTGAAAGGAACTATGTTCTTGGTTTGGCTTTCAGCTTGGGTATTATTAGTTGTATAGAAATGCTACTAATTTTTGTACATTGATTTTGTATCCTGAGACTTTGCTGAAGTTGTTTATAATTTCTGGGAAATTTGGGGCAAAGGCTATGGGGTTTTCTGGGTATAGAATCATATTACCTGCAAAAGGAGGTAGTTTGACTTCCTTTCTTTCTATTTGGACGTCTTTTATTTTTTTTTCTCTTGCCTGACTGCTCTGGCTAGAACTTCCAGTGCTATGTTGAACCAGGAGTAGTGAGAGTAGGCAACTTTGTCTTGTTCTGGTTCTCAAGAGGTATGATTTCAGCTTTTGCCTATTTGTGATATGATGTTGGCTGTGGTTTTGTCATAGATGTCTCATTTTGAGGTATGTTCCTTTGATACCTAGTTTGTTGAGGGTTTTTAACATGAAAGAATGTTGAATTTATTGAAACCTTTTCTGCATCTATTTAGATAATCACGTGATTTTTGTTTTTAGTTCTGTTTATGTGATAAATCACATTTACCAATTTGCGTATGTTGAACCAACTTTGCATTCCAGGGGTAAAGCTTACTTGATCATGGTGGCTTAGCTTTTGCTGTGCTGCTGGATTTAGTTTGCTAGTATTTTTTTTTGAGGACTTTTGCATCAATATTTATCAGGCATATTGTCCTGAATTTGTTTTTCCTTTGTGTTTCTGTCAGGTTTTGGTATCAGAATAATGCTGACCTCATAGAATGATTCAGGGCAGAGTCTCCGCTCCTCAATATTTTGGAATAATTTTGGTAGGATTGGTATCAGCTCCTCCTTATCTATCAGGTAGAATTCAGATGTGAATCTGTCTGATCCATGGCTTTTGTTGGTTTGTAGGTATTTTATTATGGATTCAATTTCAGAACTTGTTATTGATCTGTTTAGGTATTCAATGTCTTCCTGGTTCAATCTTGGCAGGTTGTATGTTTTCAGGAATTTATCTGTTTCTTCTAGATTTTCTAGTTTTTCAGCATAGAAATTGTTCATAATGGTCTTTGAGAGTTTTTGTATTTCTGTGGGTTCCATGGTAATGTCCCCTTTGTCATTTCTAATTGTATTTATTTGGATCTTCTCCTGTTTTTTTTTTTTTTTTTGTATATTAATCTGGCTAGTGGTCTATATATCTTATTCTTTCAAAAAACCAATTTTTAGTTTTCTTAATTATTTTTGTGAATTTTCACATCTCAATTTTATTTGGTTCAACTTAGATTTTGATTATTATTTTTCTTCTGCTAGTTTGGGGGTTGGTTTCCTTTTGTTTTTTCTAGTTCCTGTAAATGTGATGTTAGGTATAAATTTAAGATATTTCTGACTTTTTGATGTAGGCCTTTAGTGCTATAAACTTTTCTCTTAACACTGCTTTAGCTGTGTCCCAGAGACTCTGATATATTGTATTTTTGTTTTCATTAGTTTCAAAGATTTCTTGATTTCTGCATTAATTTAATTTATTACCCAAAAGTCATTCAGGAGTAAGTTGTTTAATTTCCAAATACTTCTATGATTTTCAGAGATCTTCTTGGTATTGATTTGTATTTTTGTTGCACTGTGATCTGAGAGTGTGGTTGATATAATTTCTGTTTTTTGAATTTCCTGAGCATTGCTTTATGGCCAAGCATGTGGCCAAGCATGTGGCACAGAGTATGTGCCATGTGCAGATGAGAAGAATGTATATTCTGTTGTTGAGTGGAATGTTCCTTATATGTCTGTTAGGTCAATTTAGTCAAGTGTGAAATTTTGTTCCTGAATATCTTTGTTAGTTTTCTCCCTCAATGATTTATCTAACAATGTTAGTAGGGTGTTGTATTCTCCCACTATTATTGTGAGGTTAGCTAGTTCTCTTCATAGGTCTCTAAGAACTTGTTTTATGAATCTGGTTGTGCCAGTGCTGAATGCACACATCTTTAGGATAGTTAAGTCTTGTTTGTAGAATTGAACTTTTTATCATTATGTGATGCCCTTCTTCATCCTCTTTGATAGCTTTTGGTTTAAGGTCTGTTTTTTTTTTCCTGAAATAAAAGAGCAACCCCTGCTCTATTTTGTTTGTTTTCCATTTGCTTTATAGATATTCCTCCATCCATTTAATTTAAGCCTGTGTCTTTACATGTAAGGTGGGTCTCTTGAAGACAGCATGTAATTGAGTCTTGCTTCTTTATCCAACTTACCATTCTGTGCCTTTTAAGTGGAGTGGTTAGCCTGCTTATGTTCAAGGTTAATATTGATATGTAAGGATTTGATCCTGTCATAGTGTTATTAGCTGGTTGTTATGTAGACTTGATTGTATAGTTGCATATTGTGTCAGTGGAATATTTACTTAAGTGTGTTGTTTTGTGGCAGGTAGCAGCCTTTTGTTTCCATGTTCAGCACTCCCTGAAGGACCTCTTATAAGGCAGGCCTAATGGTAACAAATTCGCTTAGTGTTTGTTTGTCTGAAAAGGATTATGTTTCTTTTTCACTTACAAAGCTTGGTTCGGCTGGATATGAAATCATGGTTAGAATTTCTTTTGTTTAAGAATGCTGAATGTAGGCCTTTAATCTTTTCTGGCTTGAAAAATTTCTGCTGAAAGGTCCACTGTTAGTGTGATAAGGGTTCCCTTTGTACATGATCTGCCTCTTCTCTTTTGCTGCCTTTCATATGTTTTATTTACCTTGATCTTGGAGAATTGGATAACTATGTGTCTTAGGGATTGTCATCTTGTGTAATATCTTGCTGGGGTACTCTGAATTTCCTGAATTTACATGTCAACCTCTCTAGCAAGGTCAGGTAAATTTTCAGGGACAATATCTTCAAATATGTTCTCCAAGTTGCTTGGTCTCTCTCCCTCTCTTTCTGTGATGCAAATCAGTTGTAGGTTTGGTCTCTTTACATAAACTCATATTTCTTGAAGTTTCGTTCATATTTTATTATTTTTTCCTTTATTTTTATCTGACTGAGTTGATTTGAAGAACTGATCTTCAAGCTCTGAGATTTCTTTCCTCAGCTTTCCTCAGCTTCTGCTGTTAGTACTTCCAATTATATTATGAAATTTTTGTAGTGAGTTTTCAGCTCTAGTAGGTTAGTTTGGTTCTTTCTTAAAATGGCTATTTTATCTTTAAGCTTTTGTATTATTTTATTGGATTTCTTAGATTCCTTTGATTGGGTTTCTGCTTTCTCCTATATTTCAAGAATCTTCATTGCCATCTAGACTTTGCTGGGTAGGTAGCATGGTAGTTTGGAGGTAAGACACTCTGGTTTCTACAGTGCCAGAGTTCTTGCACTGGTTCTTTCCCATCTGTGTGGGCTAATATTTTGCTAGTCTTTGCAGTTGCTGTTCTTTGGATGGGGCTCTTTTATTTTATATTCTTTGATGTCCTTGAGTGTCTAGCTGTGCTATAAGTTGGGTTTAGTTGATCGGCTTTGTTTCTGGATAATTTCATGGGTCCAAGGATCAGCTCAGCACTGTTAGGCTGTGTGCTCTACCCCTAGGGGTCTGAAACTAGGCCAACACCTTTTTTTCTGACCACTTGAGGTAAAGGACCTGCTGCACTGAAGGGGCTGAGGTGTTCTCAGTCTACTGTCTAAACCATCTATGTGGGGACATGCTGGCAAAAATGCTTTGGTGGGACAGCAATTGTGGGTCAGTGCTGCCAAGGCCATGCTGAAAGTTGGTGCAGCGAGGCAGAAACTCTGAGAGAGGCCAGCAGATGGGGACACTCTGATCAAACCAGCCCCACCCTTTGAGCAGATAGTTCATTTCTATCCAGCCCTTGCAGCCAACAAAGGCTAAAGCCACCTAGAGGAGTATGGCAAGACTTAAGGGATGGGCGTCCATGTCCATGCTCCACTGCAGCCATTCCTGTGCCAAACCCTCTGTCTGCGCAATCTGGAGTTCTGTCTCTGCCAACTCTCTTGGCACTTTTAGCCAGCTCAGATGTCTGTGGGAGTTATGGGATCTCCTACAGCTAGGATTCTGGAAGTCCATGGTGAGAGTGGGCCACTCTACACCTATTTCATGCAACACTTTCCCACATTTTTAATTTTTTAAGAAACCTCTATAATGTTTTCCTTAGTGATTATACCATTGTGCATTCCCATAAATAGCATATAAGGGTTACAATTTCTCAACATCCTTACCAACACCTGTTATCTTTTTTGTTTGTTTGTTGATACTAGACATCCTAACAGTTGTGAGGTGATGGGATATTGTCAGAAAGTCTTCCAAAGTGGCTACAACAATTTACATTGCCACAAGCAGTGTAGAAAAGTCCTAATTTCTCCACAACCTCATCAACACTTGTTATTACATAATTTTTTATTCTAGTCAGCCTAGTGGGTATAACCAACCCAGTGGGTATAAAGTGATTTGCATTTCCCTGATGACTAATAATGTCAAGCATTTTCAAAAATACTTATTGGCTGTTTGTATATCTTCTTGGAGAAATTTCCTATTCAGAGTCTTTGCCTATTTTTTATTTAGGTGGTCTTTATTATTAAGTTGTATAGTTCCTTATAAGTCCCTTATTGAATATATGATTTGCAAATATTTACTTTTATTCCACTGGTTGTCTTCTCATATTCTTGATAATGTTATTTGATACGTAAAAGTTTTTAATTTTAATAAAGTCCAATTTATATTTTTTTGCTTGTGCATTCGATATCATATCTTAGAATCTATTGCCAAATCCAAGGTCATGTGGATTTACACCTATGTATTATTCTAAGATGTATATAATTGCAGTTCTCACATTTAAGAGTTTTGATCCATTTTGAACTAATTTTTTCATATGATATGAAATAATGAATCCAGTTTATTCATTTGTATGTGACTATCTAGTTGTCCCAGTATAATTTCTTGAAAATGACTAGTCTTTTCTTTCTAGAGAGAAAGCTGCAATACCTGTGGATTTTAAAATAGTGTCTTCCTGGCAAAGCTAATTCAGATAAAGTCTTTACAGTGGCCTCCATTTCATATGACTATGCCTTATAAAAAGGGAAAATTTGAACACAGAGAAGGACATACTATGGAGAATACAGTGTGAACATAAAAACAGATAGTAAGGTTATGCATCTATAAGCCAAAGAACACTGAAGATTTTCATCAAACCGCTAGAACCTACGGAGTAGGCACAGGACAGATTCTTTCACAGCCATCAGAAGGAATCAAATCTGCTCATGCTTGATCTTGGACTTATAGCCTCCAGAACTGTGAAACCATAAACTTCTGTTGTTTAGGCCACCCAGTTTGTGGTATTTTCTTTTAGAGGCCCTAGAAAAGTAATAGTTTGGAAAAGTGACATGGGGTATTATTGTAACAAATACTTAAAAATGTGGAGATGGCTTTGGAATTGGAAAATTGGTATCAGCTGGAAGAATGAGGTATATAATATAATGAGTTTAAACTGGAAGAATGAGGTGTGTAATATAAAAACTATAGGTTGCCTTGAAGAGATTATTTGTAAACATGAACATTAAAGGAGGTTCTGGTATGGACTTAGAAAGAAAGAGAGGAGAGTCAAAGAGAAAGCCTCTATGATCTTTTAGAATAAACATGTCATCATCAACATCATCAACAGAATGTTGCTAGAAATATAAATGTTAAAGACGGTCTGATTAGGTCTCAGGTGGAGATGAGGTAAATGGGAAGAAAGGCAATCCTCATTATATAGTGAGAGAGGACTTGGCTCTCTTGGCTGTATTGAGTTCTGTTGAATAAAAAGTAGACTCTGTAAGTGATGAACTTGGATACTTAGCTGAGGAAACTTCTAAGCACAATGTTGAAGGAATACCCTAATTTCTTCTTACTGTTTAAAATAAAATGAGGAGAGAGATAAACTGAAGAGAAAATTTTTTGAGAAAAATAAATGAGAATTTGAATACAAGCATTTGAAAAATGCTTATTCTATTCACATTGCAGAGAGAGAGACTCTGAAGAGAATACCAAGACACACCCCCACTGGGGCTGGATAACCTCTTGCTAAAGAGCTCAGGTATATGACAAGTGGACACCATCAACCATTTCAGCTGACATGCTGTCAGCCTGTACCAAAGGATGTTGAACCTGGATCCAAAGAGCCTTAAAATCTCATATAATTTTCTCCACTGGTTTTTGGACTTGTTTGGGACCTGTATCCCTTTTCTTCTGTCTGGTTCTTCCCTTTTAAAATGGAAATTTCTATGCTATGCCTGGCAGATCATAGTATTTTAAAAGAGATAACATATTTTCTAGATTTTCAGGTTCACAGATGGAGAGGACTTTTGCCATGGAATTAATCATATCCTGAGTCTCACCCATATTTATTTTGATATTTAGTTGAGATTTTGGACTTAGTTAATTTTAATGAATGAGTTAAGACATTGGGGAATGTTGAGGTGAGGTGATTATATTTTGCATTTCATCAGGATATGAATTAGTGAAGGTCAAGAGCGGACTTCTGCTGGTTGAACTGTAACCTCCCAAAGTTTGTGTGCTCAGTTCCTCACTTCTCATACCTAAAAATGTGACTTTATTTGGAAATAGGTTCATTACTGATGCAATGAAGTAAGCTGAGAGCATTAGGCTAATTATTGTCTAATTCAATAACACTGGTGTCCTTGTTTTTTAAAAAGGGAAATTCCAGAGGCATATTTACAAGTGGAACATCATGTAACGATGAAAGTAAAGATCAGAATAATGCATTCATAAGCTAAAGAACACCAAAGATTTCTGGCAAACCACCAAAAGCTAGGGAAGATACATGAAACAGTTGCTTTCTCAGAATAAGTCAACCCTGCTGACCTCTTGATCTCAGGCTTAATTCCTCCAGAGACATGAAACAATAAATTTCTGTTGCTCAAGCCACCCAGTCAAAGGTACATTATTACAGCAACCCTTTAAAACTAATACATTCTTAAAGGACCATCTTCCTTTTCATCAGAGCATTTATCTCAGTTTATAACATTTATTAATTTCCTGTTAAAAAAAAAACTACCTTCCAAGTTCAAGTATAATTTCCATAAAACTTGTATTTGTTTTTAGTTTCCTCTTTTATCTACAGAACCTTAAAGATTCTCTGGTAGCTATTAAGAACACAATAGAATGGATAAATGCATAAATGTGTGAATGAGTGTATGGCATGCTGGCTTCTCATCAATGCTTCATGATGAATAGTCAACTTCCACTCATGATGTGAATATGACCATGTATCAAGATGGCCAAATTTAATTTTTTAAGGCACGCTGAGACAGAAGAGGATAAGAGAAATTGTTAGATATTGTTTCTGATAGAACTTGAGCAGTTCTAGGCTGAAGAAACAAGGTGATCACCTTGCATTTAATAGAAAGAAGAATGATTTAGTTATTAGATTAATTTAATATGACTGTCTAGGGGTAGAATGAGCTGTGTTATGAGATGGTGAGTTCTCTGTTGTGACCTTTCTTTTTGGGAGGCCATAATAATCTATTATTTCTTTTTTTTTAATTTTCTAAGTTGACAGACAACATTATATGTTTTTATCAGGTACAATATGATGTTTTGAAGTATATATACATTGTGAGGTGGTTAAATCTCTCTGATTAACAAATATATTACCTCACAGCCAACATTTTTGTCATGAGAAGACATAACATCCACTCTCTTTATATTTTTCAGGAATACAATATTTCATCTTTAGCTATAGTCACCTTGCTATAAAATAGATTTCTTGATATTTATTACTCCAATCTAACTATAATTATATCTTTTGACCAACATTTTCCCATTTCTCCCTCCCCTACAACATCCCTACCCTTTGTTTACCACCACTCTACTCTCTACCACTATGAGATCAACTTTTTGAGATTCTACATATGAATGAGTGATACAGTTTGGCTCTGTGTCCCCACCCAAATCTCATCTCAAATTGTAATCCCTGTAACCCCCAAGTTTTGAGGGAGGCACATGGTGGGACCAGGGGCCAGTTTCTCCCATGCTGTTTTCATGATAATGACTGAGTTCTCATAACATCTGATGGTTTTATAAGTGTTTGACAGTTCCTCCTTCACACGCTCTCTCACCTGCCATCATGTAAGATGTGACTACTTCCCCTTCTGCCATGATTATAGGTTTCCTGAGGCCTCCCCAGCCATGTGGAACTGTGAGTCAATTAAACCTCTTTTCTTTATATCTTTTTCGTATGAATTACCTAGTCTTGGAAAGTTCTTCATAGCAGCGTGAGAACAAACTAATACAATGAGATAATGTGATATTTTTCTTTCTGTGCCTGGCTTATTTCACTTAACAAAATTTCCTTCAGGTTCATCCATGTCATCACAAATGAAAGGATTTCCTTCCTTTTTATGGTTAAAAGTATTATATTTTGTATACATATTTTTTCTTTCTTGTTGTGGGGGTTCAGGGATTTTTTTTTTTTTTTTTTTGGCATTTGGGAGACATCATCTTCCTTCCCCAGGAGAGGGCAGAGAGAGTTGCCTGGATGTTTATGGGCAAATGGGTGCCCCAAAAGCCCATGAAAGCAAGTAAGATCATTGAGGATTATGCGATCTTGTGTTCAAGTCTTATGTGGTCTCCACCTTTCTGAGTTTTTAAGAATAACAGCAGAGGTTGCAGTAAGCCGAGATGGTGCCACTGCACTCCAGCTTGGGTGACAGAGTGAGACTCTGTCTCACAAAAAAAAAAGAAAAGGAAATCTTTGGCCACACATGGTGGTTCATGCCTGTAATCCCAGCACTTTGGGGGGCCAAGGCGGGTGGATCACTTGAGGCCAGGAGTTTGAGACCAGCCTGGCCAACATGGTGAAACCCCATCTCTACTAAAAATACAAAAATTGACCGGGCATGGGGCAGATGCCTATAATCCCACCTACTTAGGAGGCTGAGGAGGGAAAATCACCTGAATCTGGAAGGCAGAGGTTGCAGTGAGCCAAGATGGTGCCATTGCACTCCAGCCTGGGCCACAAGAGTGAGACACTGTCTCAAACAAACAAACAAACAAACAAAAAACCAGGATAACAAACACAAACACAAGTCTATTACATAGTCGTACATTTCTCAGCTTTGTCTTTAAATGCAAAGGCTGACCAAAAAGCTAGCAGTGCTGCAAATGTGATGCCCAGACCAGCACCTCAGGGCTCCATTCTCTGTTTCCATTATCAGCCTACACATGTGTGGACCTGCCTCACTCCATTAGGGCAATAGGAATATTCCATCCACCTGTGCTAGTTGAGTAACGCAAATGACCTCTGACCTGGTTTTCTCTACTGGCCTTTCACTTTGGAGTTCAGTAGTGTATGTCAAGTTTGTTAACTTAAACCACACACACACACACACACATACACAATTTGTCTCTGGCCAAGGCCAGAGACAGGCACTTCAAAGGAGGAGGGGTTGGGGTAAGAGCTTTATGCTGAATAGACAGGCTAAACATACATATTCAACAGGTTACAGAAAGAGCTATAAATATGCACGAAGGTGGTTGCCCAAAGCTGTGGGGTCCCATCTCTTGCTTCAGCATGACCTGGATGTGAGACATGGAGTATAACATTTTGGAACTTTAAGGTTTAACGACTACTCTATTGGATTTTGGACTTGCATGGGGCATGCGGCCCTTTTGTTTTTGTCAATATCTCTTATTTGGAACGAATGTATTTACCCAATACCTGTAGCCCCATTGTATCTAGGAAGTAACTAACTTGCTTTGGATTTCATAGGCTCATAGGTGGAAGGGACTTGACTTGTCTCAGGTGAGACTTTGAACTTGGAATTTTGTGTTAATGCTTGAATGAGTTAAGAATTTGGGGGACTGTTGGAAGGGCATGATTGTGTCTTGAACTGTGAGGACATGAGATTTGGGAGGAACCATGGGCTAAGTGATAAGGTTTGGCTCTGTGTCCCCACCCAAATCTCACCTTGAATTGTAATAATTGCCATGTGTCATGGAAGGGACCCAGTGGGAGGGTAATTGGATCATGAGGACAGTTTCCCCCATGCTGTTCTTGTGATAGTGAGGGACTTCTTACGAGATCTGATGGTTCCATAAGGGGCTTCCCCCTGTGCTTGGCACTCATTCTCTCTCCTGCTGCCCTGTGAAGAGGTGCTTTCCGCTATGATCGTAATTGTCGTGAGGCCTCCCAGCCATGCTGAACTGTGAGTCAATTAAGCCTCTTTCCTTTATAAATTACCCAGTCTTGCATATGTCTTTATTAGCAGTGTGAGAATGAATTAGTCAGTAGTCTTGACACATGCACATGCATACAGAACAAACATTCATGTAGTATATGACCCATGTTCACTTTGTGGTGTAGAGTTAATATTGAAATGTATTACAATTAGAACATATACATCAAAAGGTCTTTTCAGGACACAAAGGTACACAATTGCACAGTCTCTGCAAACTGGCCAGTCAGCCCATGTTTGGTCATCTTCTTATCAGGATAACAATATTGAAATCAGTATTTTGTCCAATCAAAGCTGTAGCTATGGCTGATGGAACAGGAGCTCAGTTAATCAGCACCTGTGAGCTGGATGAGTTGTAATTGTTTTAATATTGCTTATTTCAAGGTCAGTGCTTGTTTGGCTGCTAGATATTTAAAAAAATAACTTTGTCACACTTAGACCATAGTTTATCCTTTTTTAAACATTTATTTTAGGTTCAGGGTTACATTTGCAGGTTTGTTATATAGTTAAACTCATGTCACAGGAGTTGGTTGTACAGATCATTTTGTCACCCAGGTACTAACCCTAGTACCCAATGGTTATTTTTTCTAATCCTCTCCCTCCTCCAACTCTCTACCCTCAGGTAAACCCCAGTGTATGTTGTTCCCTTCTTTGTATCCATAAGTTCTCATCATTTAGATCCTGCTTATAAGTGAGAACATGTTGTATTTGGTTCTCTGTTACTGTGTTAGTTTGCTAAGGATAATGGCCTCCAGCTGCATTTATGTTCCCACAAAAGACATAATCTTACTCTTTTTTATGGCTGCATAGTATTCCATGGTGTATATATACCACATATTCTTTATCCAGTCTACCACTGATGGGCATTTATGTTGATTCCATGTCTTTGCTATTGTGAATAGTGCTGCAATGAACATTCACATGCATGTGTCTTTATGGTAGAATGATTTATCTTCCTTCATGTATGTACCCAGTAGTGAGATTGCTGGGTTGAATAGTAGTTCTGTTTTTGGCTGTTTGAGAAAACACCACACTGCTTTCCACAATAGTTGAACTAATTTACACCCCACCAACAGTGTATAAGCATTCCTTTTGCCCCACAACCTTGTCAGCATGTTATTTTTTGATTTTTTAATAATAACCATTTGGGCCAGGGGCGGTGGCTCACATCTGTAATCTCAGCACTTTCAGTGGCCAAGGTGGGTAGATCACCTGAGGTCAGGAGTTCAAGACCAACCTGGCCAACATGACAAAGCCCTGTCCCTACTAAAAATATAAAAAGTAGCTGGGCGCAGTGGCGGGCACCTGTAATCTCAGGTACTAGGGAGGCTGAGGCAGGAGAATTGCTTGAGCTCAGGAGGCAGAGGTTGCAGTGAGCCGAGATTTCACCACTGCATTCCACCTTGGGTGACAGAATGAGACTCCATCTCAAAAAAAAAAAAAAATTAAAAATTAAAAATAAAATAATAGCCATTCTGACTGGTGTGAGATATATCTCATTGTGGTTTTGATTTGCATTTTTCTCATGATCAGTCCTATTGAGCTTTTACTCATGTGCTTTTTGGCCACACATATGTCTTCTTTGAAAAACATCTGTTCACATTCTTTGCCCGCTTTTCAACAAGGTTGTTTGTTTTTTTCTTGTAAATTTGTTTAAGTTCCTTATAGATGCTGGATATTAGACATTTGTCAGATGCATAGTTTGCAAAATTTTCTTTTATTCTATAGATTGTCTGTTTACTCTGTTGATAGTTTCTTTTGCTGTACAGAAGCTCTTACGTTTAATTAGATTCCATTTTTCAATTTTTGCTTTTGTTATGATTGCTTTTGGCATCTTTGTTATGAAATCTTTGACCGTTCCTATGTCCAGATGGTATTGCCTAAGTTGTCGTCAGGATTTTTATAGTTTTGGGTTTTACATTTAAGTCTTTAATCCAGCTTGAGTTGATTTTTGTATATGGTATAAGGAAGAGGTCTAGTTTCAATCTTGTTCGTATGGGTAGCCAGTTCTCCTAGCACCATTTATTGAAAAGGGAGTCCTTTCCCCATTGCTTGCTTCTGTCAGCTTTGCCAAAGATCAGATGGTTGTAGGTGTACGGCCTTATTTCTGAGCTATCTATTCTGTTCCACTGGTCTGTGTATCTGTTTTTGTACCAATGCCATGCTGCTTTGGTTACTGTAGCCCTGTAGTATGTTTGCAGTCAGGTAACATGATGCCTCCAGCTTTATTCCTTTTGCTTAGGATTGTCTTGGCTATTCGGGCTCTTTTTTGATTCCATATTAATTTTAGAGTAGATTTTTCTAGTTCTGTGAAGAATGTCAATGGTAATTTGATAGGAATAGCATTGAATCTGTAAATTGCTTTGGGCAGTATGGACATTTTAGTGAAATTAATTCTTCTTATCCATGAGCGTGAAATGTTTTTCAATTTGTTTGTGTCATCTCAGATTTCTTTGAGAAGTGTTCTATAACCCTCAATGTAGAAATCTTTCACCTTCCTGGTTAGCTGTATTCCTGGGTATTTTATTCTTTTATTGGCAGTTGTGAATGGGATTGAATTCCTGTTTTGGCGCTCCGGTTGGCAGTTGTTAGTGTATAGGAATACTACTTATTTTTGTACATTGATTTTGTATCCTAAAACTTTGCTGAAGTTGTTTATCAGCTGATAGAGCTTTGGGGCTGAGACTATGGTTTTTTAGATATAGAATCATGTTATCTGCAAAAAAGGATAGTTTGACTTACTCTTGCCCTTTATTGTTTTTTCTCTTGCCTAATTCCTCTGGCCTGGACTGGAAGTACTAGAACATTATTTATTCTTTAAGTGTTGGAGTGCACGACTTAATCTTTGCCTGGCATGGCCCTAGGTCCTGTGTATAATTTGGTATTTTTTGGCCATGAAGAGTCTGTTCTGTCAGTTTTATGATCTCTGTTTTAACAATCCTGATCAGTTGTTGTGTCTAAACCATAAAAGGGAGGTAGGGTATAGTGAAGTGTGTCTGACCTCCCACCCATCATGGCCAGAAACTCAGTTTTAAGGTTTTCCTGGGGTCCCCTTGGCCAAGAAGGGATCTGTTCAGTCAGTGAAGGGCTTAACATTTTACTTTTCATTGATAAGCCACACGTCTTTCTCCATGCTTTTTGTATGTGTGGAACAGTCCTCAGTTACCTGGACCCAGGTGTTTCTAACTTAGGGGTTCATCAATCATGCCCTGTCAGGTTCTGTAGATTCAACTAGAACTGGCCAGAGCTGCTGACACCAGTGTGCATAGCCTTCCTTACAAAGGGCCATTTGTCTAGCCACCAAAGCCACCTTTTGCACTCAATGTGCACTGATTCTGCATGGATGTCCTTTCTACCAGGTACCGTCTTACCCAAACCACACTTTCAATTTCCCCAGCCTGCCCTGAGGGCACAGACCTGGGCTTTCTTCCTCTATAAAGAAAACACTTTTATCTTCCCAGTCAAACTGAAACACAGTTGTCTACACCCATGTCACATGTTCAAAAAAAGAGTACCTATCTTTTTGTTTGTTTGTTTGTTTGAGACAGAGTCTCGCTCTGTCGCCCAGGCTGGAGTGCAGTGGTGCGATCTCAGCTCACTGCAAGCTCCACCTCCTGGGTTCACGCCATTCTGCTGCCTCAGCCTCCCGAGTAGCTGGGACTACAGGCACCGGCCACCATGGCCGGCTAATTTTTTTTTTTTTTTTTTTTTTTTTGTATTTTTAGTAGAGACGGGGTTTCACTGTGTTAGCCAGGATGGTCTCGATCTCCTGACCTCGTGATCACCCGCCTTGGCCTCCCAAAGTTCTGGGATTACAGGCCTCAGCCACCGCACCCAGCCAGGAGTACCTATCTTAATTGAAAACCTTTGAGCAGTGGGCAGCCTTCTCACATTTTGGTGATGGCACTTGGGCTGGAACTGATTAAATTTCTGGTCTGGTGTTGACCATATGGAAAGGGTCACATGAACCTGGCAATGAAAGAATCCCATGGTCTGTTCTACATTCTTCCCTAATGGAAGTTAGCAACGCAGTCCAGTGATTTTTAGTATAAATTTAAGTGCATCTGTATGTTTGTCAGCATGTGCCTTCACATTTTCTTTATCCATTCATCCACTAGTGGACACTTAGGCTGAATCCACATCAATCAATGTGAATTGTGAATAGTGCCATTCATAACCGTGAATCGTGCTGCAATAAATACGAGAGTGTAGAGAGCTCTTCAACATACTCATTTCATTCTTCTTACTATAAGAAGTGGGACTGCTACATCATATGGTATTTCTCTTTTTAATTTTTTGAGGCGCCTCCATACTATTTCCCATAATGGCTTTATGAGTTTACATTCTCACCAACAGTGTAAGGAGCTCCTTTTTCTCCACATCCTTGCTGACATTTGTTATCTCTTGTCTTTTTGATAATAGCCGTTCAAACTGGGATGAGGTGAAATCTCATTATGGCCTTGCTTTGCATTACTCAATGTTTGGTGATGTGGAGAATTTTTCATATACCTGGTGGCCATTTGTATGACTTCGTTTCAGAAATGTCTATTCAGGCTTTTATCTACTTTGTAATCAGGTTATTTTATTTTGTTTTTGTTTATTTTATACCAAGTATTGAGTTCTTTGAATTCCTTATATGTTTTGAATAATCACATGAAGAAGAATAAAATTAGACTCTTATGTTTCACAACATGTGAAAGTCACTCAAAATGAATTAAAGACTTAAAGGTAAGATCCAGAACTATGAAACTACTAGAAGAAAACACAGAGAAAATGCCTTAGGACATTGGTATGTGTAAGAATTGTTTGAATAAGACCTCGAAAGCACAGGCAGCAAAAGCACAAATGGATAAATGAGATTACATCAAACTTAAAAACTTCTGCACAGTATACAATCAACAGAATGAAGGGACAGCTTACAGAATGGGATAAAATATTTGTAAACTATATATCTAACAATATGTCACTACATTTCAAACAATAGAAAGTCATGGACTCTGTCAGGGTTAGTGTAAAGGAATGTCTACTCTAAGAAGTAGTAAAACTAACTTTCAAAGGTAGCTTAGTTTCATGAAACTGGTTTCAGAGAGGTATGAAGATAAAGTTTCCCTTCTGTGTTGAGAGTATACGAGAAAAAACAGAGTGAAGGGAGGCCAAGGGAATCAGCCTATCATTCTACCACATCACATCAGTCATATTTCATCTCCCACACAGTGGTACCGATATTTGTGGACGAGTATGTCTGCCCACTGTAAATCTCTTTTTCATTAATAATCAGATGCAGAATTCTCACTTATTATTTCATTTATCATTTTCAACTTTCTATTTTAATCTTGCAGGACTTTTACAGAATTTGATCACAAGCTCTCTCAGCTTCCTTTTTCCAGGCTTAAGTGTCCTCATACTTTGTCATCTCTCTTTCCATCTACTGATCTTTCCCATAAAATGATTATTAACCGTCTTCATTAAAGATTTCTCCAGATCTCCTCTATCTTCCATGAGGTGAGATCGTGGGTAGAATACTGTATAGTGCTCCACATGCAGGCATAGCACTGGTTATGCAGAAAGAACTTTCAAGAAGGAATGAAAATTGAAACCTACAGAAAACACAACAAAAAACTGGTTTCCTCCAGGGACAGTTAAGGGTAGCATGGGGCACAAATAAATAAATTTGCTACTTTCAAAGTAGGCCTAGGCGTGATCTAGAATAGAAATTTAGAGCTGTAAAGGAACTTAATTGATTTCTGCAGGTCGGTTAGTTGCTTCCGCACATTATGTGAAGTTACTGCCACCTTGTGGCAATACCTAAGCACTACACTTTCTGACTTTGAATAACCTAGAAAAATATAATGCATAAGACAACAAGCCCTTTCGCTAAAGCGCCTTAAATATTGCCTAACAGTTTATATCTGTATAGATCTGTGGCTTATATTATCACTTACATGGTTTCATCTCGACTTCATAGAAATCATGTAAACATAGAAACCATGTTATCCATGTTGCGTGCCTGCGTGCGTGCGCGCGCACACACACACGGAGTAAAAGATGTCGTATAAGTTTTGCTGTTAGAGTTGAACTTAAAAATCTCTAAATTGTTACATTTGGAGGCTCTCATTTTGGGGGATCCTAGTGTGAGATGCTCCTTTGTTGGTCAATTTTAATTATACAGACATAAATAAAGGATATATTAATTATAGAGAAAAAGATCAGAAATGTAAACAAAATGCAGATAAGATGGAGACATTCAATGATTTGTCCAATAATATAAAAACAGTTTTTGTGTGCGGGTAGTTTGTTGTCATTAGTGGAAGGAAATAGAGAGAAGGATAAATAATATTTGAATTTGAAAGAGCGGATGTATGAATACAAGACTCCCTTGAAGAAGAAAGGATCGTCTGGGACCACAGCAGGCCGGGGACAGGGAGAAGAATGAGCAGGCTGTGTGGAAGAACAAAACGACCTAGTATCCCAGTTTATTTTTTTTCCAGTGCTATGATTTCTTTCCTTTATCTTAAAATCTTTGGTAAACATGTAAATGAGGTTTTGAGAAGTTAAGATTGAAATTCCATGTTCATGTTCGCTGCAATTGAACTGGAGAAGTGAAAATATGACAAATGGAAGTGGCAGCCCTAAGGGCTGGAACAAGAGATGCAAACAAAGGCTGGGATGGATTTGTGGAATTTGTAACAAACACTTCCTAGGAGTGATTTCTCAGTAAAAGGGGGCAACGAGGCTGGTGTAGTAAGTTAGCAAACAAATTCCAGCAGCCTTCCCTGGGGGACTTTCATGCTGAAATGCAATCCCTAGTGTTGGAGGTGGGGCCTGATGGGAGGTGTCTGGATCACGGGGGGTGGATCCCTCATGAATAGCTTAGTGTCATCCCGTTTCCCTCATCAACATGCATTCCCAGAAATGCCATGAAAGGAAAGACCAAGTCTTGACTGAGAAACGGACCGGGCAGATGAGGGACTCCCACATATACCTGTTTCCTGCTCTTCCCGAAGACATTTTGCCACAAGCATATAATTCAGCTTCTGAAAAATACGGTCTTCCTCACTGCAGACACCATGCCAGCGTTTTAAATCAAGTTGGCTACTCGTGCTGTTTAGAGTATGCAGTTTGCCTGTGGCAATATTAAACTCATCTGGAAGAAAGCACTTAAACCTATCCAGTTCCTCATCGGTGATGTTATCCAGGCTGGTTAGCAAGAGTATCTCCTTATATTTACTCTCCATCTCACGACTTTTCAGCTTATAAGGGATCCAAACTATGTAAGATTATACCACCAAAAGTGATTCAACATTCAAAATGAAGCAAGGTGAGCTGTTACTATTTTTTAAAGGGAAAATAAAATGTTTACAGTACAGTAAAAGAGATTTTGGTGAAATATAAGAAATAACTTTTTAAGCAAGATAGTCCTTCTTCCTGGGAAAGACATCTTCAGAGGGTATACAACCACCTCCAGAATTCTTAGAAAATGGGATCCATTTTCCTGTTATTTTTAAAACAGAGTTATTCAGGCATAACTGACATACAACACAATGCACATATTTCACATGTGCAATTTAAATTTTTTGACATGTATACAGTAGATAAAGCTCAATTTTTCAATTTCTTCTTTCATGGATCATGTTTTTGGAATCATATGGTTTGGATATTTATTTTCCCCAAATCTCATGCTGAAATGTGATTCCCAGTGTTGGAGGTGGGGCTTGACGGGAAGTGCTTGGCTCATGGGGGTGGATCCCTCATGAATGGCTCAGTGCCATCCCCTGGTTGATGAGTGAGTTCTCCTCTGAGTCACAGAGATCTGATTATTTAAAGTGTGTAGCACATTGAAGACCTAATGTGACCAGTAACCCATTAGAAGAAAACAGGATAATCTCAATATGTTGAGGTAGGGGAAGGTGTCTTAAGCACAAAAGGTGCAAGTCAGGAAGGGAAAGTTTATTAAATTTGATTGCATGTAAACTCTAAATTTCTTTATAAAAAAGAAAAATTAAACATAATACTTCCAAATCCTGAAAGAAAACATAGGCAATGTATATAATTCAGAATGTGTGTAGAACTACATATTGTCCCATTTGTACAGCCCATGTGAAAAATGGACAATAGGTATGAATAACCACGTTACTCAAATGTCCAACACACATATGAACAGGTGCTCAAAATTACCAGTATTTAGTAATTTTACTTTAAAAGTAGCAACCTATATGGTAGAGGACTTGAGCCAAGAACAAGAAAGGATGTTTATGAGCTGAAGATAACCAACTGTGACTTTTAGGGGAGGCTCCCATTGATAGAGACAATGTTAATGAATTCTGAGTTATTACTTTTAATATGAACTTATTATTTTTTCCTATAGACAGGTGATAGCTAGAGAAACCCTATTTATACATGTAGAATTTATAAGCAAAAATTGAAAGTATTTATAAAGTATTTTAAGGGACATTTTCAAAATAAGGAACACATTTCAAATACTTAAAATGATTAAACTACATGAACGCCCCTGTCTTACCAGTGAAAGAAAAGAAGGAAATTTGCATTTCCTGAGCATCTATTATATGCTAAACACAGTCAACTCAGCATGTTTCCCTACTTATCTATAAGAATGCAACCCTCCTACAACCCTATTACGTGCTAACATTCACATATCAATAACAATTTATATATAAGAAAATTAAGACACCTTTTATCACATAAATATAAAATTTACATTTTACTCCATGATATCTGTTTACTTAAAACATATTTTAAAGTATTTGCTATAGGGTAAAATGTATACCCAAAGAAAATGCAGACAATTGATTTGGTGGCTTCATGTCCCAGGGGTGTACACACTGTAGTTGAGAAGTATGGTCCTGTACCATGCATAATAGCTGACACTGGGTAGCAACTTACTGTGTACAAAGTGCTTTCACATGAAGCCTGGAAGACACAAAGAAAAGAAAATGTTGAGGGAGCATATAATCATCTCTGAATGGGGATGATAATTCCTATCTCCAGGTTGTAAATACACAGTATGGTATGCCTGATACAAAACAGCTGGCATTTATTATAGTCTCTCAATTGTTACATTTTAAATTAGGTGGCATGAGTTACCTGGAACCAAACAGCTAGTAAAAGACAGTACATATTACTGAATTCAAGTCTTCTGAATCCAGGAGCTCTGCTTTTTCTTATGCCAACAGCCTGCTTATCATACAGAGAGTATGGAATGATTCTCTGTTTAAAAAAATTAAAAAAGAAAGAAAAAAAAAACTAGTGTTATTTGCTTCGAAAACACCAACCCTCAGATATATAGTAGTGTTATAATTGAAGCATTAGCAATTATTTTCTTTGTCAAATCATTTATTTCTTTTCAACCAGAATATTGGCAAAGCTTGCTCCTTCACTCTGTTCAGATTTCTGCTTGTTTTTTTCTAAGCTCATCCTTCAATGAACACATGCTGCAAAATAGCACGATACCGTTACTATTACCTCATACCATTTGTATTTCTTCATAGAATTTATCTGCTTGTAATATATAAGCATTATATTATATATGACATTATAGTATAAATGCTGTTGCTATTTGTTTATTCTTTAATGGCCAGCCTGCTGAAATAGAAGTGCCTTGTGGTCAAGCATTTGTGTGCTGTTTATTGCTGTACTCCTACCACCTAGAGTAGTAGGTCCTCAATAAACATTTGTTAAATAAACATATGTTGAATCAACTGTCTAGGCATCCCATCTAAGACTTCAGCCCTGGGAATCTCTACTTCCTAGGCTCTATTCATCCATATGGCTTGATTACTCAAGAGCCAGAGTTACCTGAGAATGCACAGAGCAAATGTCCTCACTGCACATTCTTGAAGAGGGATGTTCAAGCCAGAAATAGCATAGATAAAAAACAAAATTATAATCAAACCATATCTATCTACTTGTAGAATGATTTCAAAAGACAGCAAGGTTAAGAAGGCTTTTCAAAATCCAAGGCATTATGCCAAATATATAACATATATTTAATAAAAGTGGAAAATTTGGAAACTTCCATCTCTGGTGGGAGTAATCCAACTTCCTATGGTTCCACTGTGCAAGATACCCTAGATTCTAAGAAGGAAGTAAAACATGGTGTATTGCAGGGAAACTTCAAGTAATTGAATTTGTGTGAACTTTCAGACTAAGCTGATAGAAAATCGCATGGTTTATTTTAATGTTTCTGCTATTAGTTATTTTTTCACGATAATTTAACTGGTGAATCCAGTTATCTATTTAGACAATAGATGTATTTTTATTCTGGCTATGTCATAATATTCTGCAATTACAAAATCACATAACACTTAAATTACTGCCGTAAAGCTAAGAAGAAATAACTTGCCATATTCCAAATTCCTAAAGGAGCTCGATCTCTGTTACCTAAGCAATCCCTCCTCTGTTTTGCTCTTTTGTGATTCTTAGGCTGGAATCACGTTTTGGCTCTATCAGCCTAAGGAGCAGTTAGCCACCTGTCACTGAGTTAGGGAACAAAAAGACCAAGGCGATAGGTATTTGCACCATAAACTTCTCCTATCTTGTATGTCCATAATTCTGTATTATTATTATTATTATTATTATGTTTTGAGACGGGGTCTCGCTTTGTCGCCCAGGCTGGAGTGCAGTGGCATGAGCTCGGCTCGCTGCAAGCTCCGCCTCCTGGGTTCACACCATTCTCCTGCCTCAGCCTCCCGAGTAGCTGGGACTATAGGCGCCCGCCACCATGCCCAGCTAATTTTTTGTATTTTTAGTAGAGACGGGGTTTCACTGTGTTAGCCAGGATGGTCTCGATCTCCTGACCTTGTGATCCGCCCGCCTCAGCCTCCCAAAGTGCTGGGATTACAGGCGTGAGCCACCGCGCCCAGCCAATTCTGTATTATTTTGCATTTCTGACACTCATGACTTGATACCTTAAACATTCAAACACATAGAAGCACTTATTTGTGTGAACAGCAGTTTCTTTCCTTGAACCAAAGATTGTCAACCCTTAATCTAAAACATAAAAGGAAATAAAATTCAAACACCACTTCTCCATTACTTGTAAATTTTATTTCTCTCTTCTTAATATATTAATACCCAAATTCCAGCCAAAATATTAAGGATGGATGTGGTGGCTTATGCCTGTAATCCCAGCACTTTGGGAGGCTGAGGTAGGTAGATTGTTTGAGCTCTGGAGTTTGAGATCAGCCTGGGCAACATGGCAAGACCTTATCTCCAAAAGAAAAAAAAAAGGTTAAGAAATCTAAATTTCAGTTAATTTTGCCCTTATTGCTAAGTAAATCTGAGTAAATTATAGATGTTAGTAATTTGGGGTAAGAATTCCCAAAACCAGCCGGGCATCGTGACTCACGCCTCTAATCCCAGCACTTTGGGAGGCCGAGGTGGGTGGGTCACTTGAGATCAGGAGTTTGAGACCAGCCTGGCCAGCATGGTGAAACCTTGTCTTTACTGAAAATACAGAAATTAGCCAGGCTTGATGGTGCATGCGTGTAATTCTGGCTACTTAGGAGGCTGAAGCAGGAGAATCACTTGAACCTGGGAGGCAGAGGTTGCAATGAGCCGAGATCGTGCCATCACAACAGAGCAAGACTCCGTCTCAAAAGAAAAAAAATTCCCAAAACCAGATGTTTAGGGTGGAGAGTTCATTACTGACAACAGTAGAGAATCTCATCTTCAATTTTAGAGATAAATTATATCAAGGGAAATTTTGACAGCCAAAGTGAAGTCCTGAAATTAAACAGAGTAAAGAAATTATCAATCTAGTAAAGATCCTCAAAGAATGCTTTCTGGAGAACAGTTTTAGATAAAATAAGCAAATAAAGAATGAAGATAGCAGAGATAAAGCCGGAGAAGTAGAAACTATCAATGTTTTTACCCCCTTCAAAAATAATGTTGAAACTTAGTACCCAATGCAACAGTGTTGGGAGCTTGGGCCAAATGGGAGGTATTTAGATCATGAGAATTTCACTCACGTAAATAGACTGATTAATGCCACTCTAACGGGCATGTAGGGGGTGAATTCGCCCCGTTTGTCATGTGAGGACACAGCAAGAAGGCCTCACCAGATACTGATGCTTGACCTTGGACTTCCACCTCAAGTACTGTGAGAAATACATTTCTGTTCTGTATAAATTACCCAGTCTATAGTATTCCATTACAGCAGCACTAAATGGACTAAGACAGTGGGAAAGTATGCATGTCCATTACAGGGAGGGTCAGAGAACAGGAGTTTTCATGAACCAGAAACTTCTTTCACTCATATTTTCTCCATGAGACATGCAATAAACAGATGAATGATGCCAACTCTGGCCTTGTACAGTATATCATGACTGGTTCACATCACTCCCCAGGTTTCCATATGCATTCACTCTCCTCTCCTGCCTCAACACTGAGTCTCTTTTATTCCACTCCAAAGTAAAGAGGTCATCCCTAGAACTACAGAAGCTCTTTCTGCCAACAGAGTTGTCTGGAGTTTATGGCATTAGCTTTGAGCAACAGGAAAAGTAGAATACAAAACTGCAATACAGAAACTACAAAATTTCAAGGAAGGACTGGCTGAGAGAAGCCTTGAGGTTGGAGGGGAAGGAATGGCATTGTTGTGAAAACGTGTTCTGGGAACTGAGCTTAAATTGAATTGTAGGAGGCTGCAGTCCCACTGGAAAATGCATACTGGCACCAAGATGACTGCTGCTTCCAGGAACATCCTCCCACTCCTTAGCAATGTGGAACAGATTGAAGGAAGCTCAAACAATCCATTTAAGCAGGAAGTAAATAGATTAAGAGAGCAACCAGATGGCCTAAGGCACTATCGGTATAGCTATCCCCACCCCTCAGCGCCCCCATCAGCTTTTCCTTCCTTGTTTCTTCTCACTGTCTGAAAGACTACTCAGGCGTGCACTGCGAGGTGGAGATCTGACTTCTCTTGTTCCCGCTTAAGACTGCCTCCTGTGTAAGTTTCTGCTATCTAGATCTTTGACTACCAACCAGCCAGGAGTGGTCTGCCTCTTCTTTGGTCTGAGCTTGCCTTGTGCTTATATTGTTGTACCCAAGCGAGTTAAGAAAATACCCCACACTTTGAGACGAATTAAGAGTCCTTTAGTAAGCCAGTGGCCAAAGAGACGGCTAATGCTCAAAATTCTCTCGGCCCCGAGGAAGGGGCTTGATTAACTTTTATACCTAGGTTTAGGAAGGGGAGGGGGACTCAAATGCAATAATTCTACAGAAGCAAAAACATGCCTTAAAAGACAAATGGTTACAAGAAGAGCAACGGTACCAGGTGCAAGGTTGTAAATCTTTCATTGTAATTAGATATAGGGTCTATGCCGGACACGAACTCAAGGTTTTATGTTGTTATCTTTTTGAGAAAAAGCCTGGGAACTTCATACATTGTTGGTGTTACTACCTTATCAGTTAATTGGGCTCTTTTGAAACGCTGAGGATCTGTTTACCCAGGCCAACTCCTTACTAAAGGGGGTTGGGTAAGGAGCCCTTAGTGTCTTGTAAATTAAGGGGTCAATTGGAGTTTGTCCGACCTTCCCAGCTAGAGAGAGTCTTATTTACATGAGAAGCAAGGCTGGGTGATTAAAGAGACAAGCAGGACAAAATTCAAAGTAACGAGTTAGAGTAAAAACAAGGTTAGGCATTTCAATATAGGGTGGTTCTTAGTCCAGCAGGGCGTTTTCCCGATAACCACCTGTTTAACTACATTCACCCTTGGTGCAAGTGCCAAAAAACAAACAAACAAACAAAAAGACCAAGGCGATAGGTATTTGCACCATAAACTTCTCCCATCTTTTATGTCCGTAATTTTGTGTTATTTCGCATTTCTGACTGTTTATAGAATTGAATTGGCCTTTACCTTATCATATAATAATATACTTTAATTTTAATCACAAATACATATGTTAAGTAGAACACAATCTAGGAAATACAAGATAATACAGAGAAAAATGGAAGTATTGGGGAAAAGGAAACAGCACAAAACCAAGTGTGACGAAAAAGATAAACTTTGACTTCTAATTTCAACTGAGAATCAATGGACAAAACATCAAAGCCATTATCTGAAATGCATGGTTCCATTCATGTGAGAGTTGGAGAGACAAATGTTAGTATTCCAAAAAAGAAAATAATTCGGTTTAGGCTTTGGGAAAATCAGATTCTGTGTCTTAACAGCAAAGGTCCAGCCCCAGCAGGAAGCATGAGAACCCAAACAATGCCCTTGTGCTAATATTGTTAAGTGGAGAATCTGTAAAGAAATAATGAAGAAAATGACATTCACACAAGCTTAAAAGGACATGGATGTTTTGCTAAAGAAAAAAATATGTGTAGAAATTAGTAAATCAAGGAAGTAATTTTGCTTAGCATTCAAGTGCATGGGCTTTGGAATAAGGTAGATCTGGTTTGAATTTGGCTCCAACACTAACTAGGCGCCTAGTTTTTAGAAAATAGCTTCAATTACTGCTACACACTGGATTATGTTATCTAAATTCATATGATGAAGCCATAACCTCCCAGTGTGATGATATTTGAAAACGAGGCCTTTGGTGGGTAGTTTATGAGGGTGGGGTCCTCATAATGTGATTAGCACCCTTATAAGAAGAGGTATCAGAGAGTGCTCTCTCTCTCTCTCAACACTAGGTGAGGACCCTGCATAAATATGGCTATGTGCAAGCCAGGAAGAGGGCTCATACCAGAAACTAAGTTGGCCATCCTTGATCTTGGAACCCTCAGCATCCAGAAGACCCAAATCAACTAAGATAGTAGTCTTCTCTAAAAAGGGGAAACTTTGCTGCATAGAGTTGATTTGCAAAACAAGTGAACAATGCATATGCCACAGTCTATTGCATCATGAAAAACCAGTGTGCAATAGGTCTTTTTGTTCTTAGCAAGGTAAAGACATTTGCAATACTGACAGGAGAAATGTCACCTACAAATACTCTAAAGTGTGAAGTGACATAAATGTTTCTGCACAGCTAAAACTTTGGTATATGTGGAACAGTATGGAAAATGAGGCCAGAAAGGTAAAATAGTAAGCTGCTTTTTGTCATAAAGAGAGAAATGGAACACTCATTGTTCAAAAATAGGTACATAATTGAGAGATTTTATTCAGAATAATGCCTGATTAATATAAATTTAGTCACTGTAATAATGTAGCTACATAATTTATATATATGTATATATATTCGCACATTTTTTGCTTTATCAGGAATTTTTGTATATTCTACTAATGACTTTTCTGTATGATAGCACAAATTGCAATTGTTGGCCACTGCCACAAAGTGGGGGAAAATGCACATTTTTAAGCATTTCTTTGCTTCATCTATGAAAATTTCATCTTTGTGGTATGAATTATGGAGCATTGTCCTGAGTTGCCCTTATAGGTGACCGCAGTTTGTGTGTTGTATGCTGGAGTCCCAATTGAGGACATTACTGCATATAAAATGATTATAAGTAAAAGGCAGAAAATGTTCTGAAGGGTCATAACTTCCAAGGGTTCTCTACCCTTTGACCTCTGGATTGGGGTTCCCAGTGACTGCCTTAATATCCTTCTCTACCTACTGCCTTAAGGCCAACTCAATGTATCCACGTAAAGAGTACCCTAAAGCCAGTAAAAGATTATCACGAACACCCAGAGATGTTTATGGCCATCATTCCAGATCCTCTTTGCTTTTTCTTGACTTACTCCTTTTTTGATAAAGTTATTCATATGGTTTCAAATCCAGAATTCAGCTATTCACTTCATGGCCCTAGTTTGGATTAAAACAATCAGCTTTCTTTTGCTCTGTAGATGGCCTTGGACAGTACATATTAACAGTCTATGGGGCCCCTTTTCCACTCATGACCACATCCTGCTTGCAGATCTGCTGCTGGGTTAACACCACATCATCTGCTAGTTGATGCCATTTATTTGACATCCTGGGGTTACAGCACGCTAAAGGGCACCCACTGTCCTTAACAGAGAAAAATACACTGCTGAGCAGAGGATTAAACAGACTCCTCACACTACCGGAAGTTCAGTGCATTTTCCAGGATTTTCAAGTCTTCGATGCTGTCATGTTGAGAGTCCACTATCCACGTTTGTTTATCCAGGAATAATGCAGAAAATCTGAGCATTCGTGAATCTAATCATTGAGGTAAAGTAACCTAGTCATGGTCAAGAGGACAGCTAGTGTTAAACTCCTTCATATAAATTTAAGGAAGGATTTACATATTCATAATGACTTTCTGATCTGGAAAGCCCAGGCTTGTCAGTTATTAATAATTGGATGAATACTTCAGGTAGTATTTAAACAAATAGCGATTTCATAGCAGACATTTCCCCAACCAGGAGATGCAGTAAAGTATTGGTAGCAATAGATGCTCCTACCAAGATCTCCTCCTGCCACTGCCACTCTGTGCACAGGAAAGGAGGGGAGAAGAAGCCATGTTGCTTCTCTTATATTTGAGCATCATTTAAGGGAATATAAGTCTCTAATGACTCACATGTAAGTCTGCTGGGTAAGAAAGTTCTAATGTTGGAACTCCTTTCAGCTATCGAATTTTGTAAGAAAAAAAACTTATTTGTGTTTATATACATTTATGAGATACAAGTGTAATTTCGTTACATGGATATATGCCATATTGGTGAAGTCAGAGATTTCAGTGTGCACATCACCCGAAAAATGTTAACTGTACCCATTAAAGTAATTTCTCATCCCCCATTTCCCCTCACCACATGCTCCAGCCCTTGCCAGGAAACTGTTCATTTTCTCTGACTAACAGAAACGAAAGCTAAAAACACTGGTGGGAGGAGTCTCCACATTGTTTCCTACTCCATTTTCTCTGGGGCAATAGCAGAATAGGAGCAAGCCAGCACTAGTCAGCTAACTAAGTGACTCAACCAAGGCCTTTTTTCCTTGTTATCTTTGCAGATACTTCATTTTCTTAGCGTTTCTGGAGATTACAACATCCTGCGGTTCCGTTTCTGGGAACTTTACTGATTTATCTCCCCCCTCACACAAATAAGCATTGATTCCTGCATTTCTGAAGATCTCAAGATCTGGACTACTGTTGAAAAAATTTCCAGTGAGGTGAGTACTGTTCCTGATTTTGTAAATATGATCTTGTTCCTTCCTTGAAGTCCCCAGAATCACAAGGGGACAATCAGTATTGGTTATTCAGGGTCATGGGATGATGGGAGTAGGGCTGAGTATTCAGAAAAGTGAAAACTGAGTTGCTTGATATGAATCCTTCATTTACTTAGGAAGATAACAGGCATCTTCTATTCCACCACAACTGAGGACTGAACAAGAGAAAATGCATTTTGACCGTTGCAGATTTTAAAATTAATTATCCGAGTGTATACTGGCATAAGTTGGTACTTAGAAGAGGGCTTCTGTTATTTTGGCTGGAAGAAGTGTTGGAAACTCGGTAGCTGTGGTGGGTTCTCAAGATAGTGACATGAAAAAAGTATCATGAAAGAATATTAAGTAAAAAACATATCTGAGCATAGAGATGTATTATATGACATCATCCCAATTTTACAAAACATAAGAACAAATGTACACAGAGTAGAAAATTTTTTTCAGTTTCACAAACACAGTTACTCAAGCACATGGTGTCTTAATATTTTCATAAGTATATTGATCCTTTACTTTAGCTCCATTCTGCACCGGGTGCTAGCGGCAGAATTTCAATCATTTTGGAATTACTCTCTGCCCTCCTGAAAGTTAATGATTTTTTTTTTCCTTGTGGCAAGGTATAGGGGAGTGGAGGGGAAGGCAGTTAGGAAAAGGTTACTATTGTTTACTTTTCAAATTTTTAAAAGATGTTTTCTATAGCCTGGTACAATATTTCATGTGTGCTTAAATGGAATGTGAGATTCTTAAATGTTGTTTTCAGAATTTTATTAGATAAATGTTGTTAATTACGTTGTTCAAATTTATTATATCATTACAGATTTTTTCACCTTGTTCATTTAGTAATTGAAGCATAAACTGAAATCTCCTATTATAAAGTTTGCTTTTTTGGCCGGGCACAGAGGTTCATGCCTGTAATCCCAGTACTTTGGGGGAGACCAAGGCGAGCGGATCACTTGACGTCAGGAGTTCCAGACCAGCCTGGCCAGCATGGCGAAACCCTGTCTCTATTAAAAATACAATAATTAGCCGGGTATGGTCATGTGTGCCTGTAATCCCAGCTACTCAGGAGACTGAGGCAGGAGAATCGCTTGAACCAGGAGGCAGAGGTTGCAGTGAGCCGAGACTGTGCCACTACACTCCAGCCTGGGTGACAGAGCAAGGCTCTGTCTCAAAAAAAAAAAAAAATTTTTTTTCTTTGTAGTGCTCTCACAATCACATACATGTTATGTGTATATATAATATACATTCACACACAAATATATGTATATATAATCATGTATACAAACAGGTACACACATATATGTGTGTAGTGATGTCTGTACATGTGTGTATATGAAGAGAAATATATACTAATTATAGTACCATGAAGCACTATAAAATAATAAATAATATCATTAGATAAATTAGATAAATTCATAACTAAAACATAATTTTCTAGGAGTTGAAACTTTTATCATGTGGTATCTGAAGTTACTTTTGGGCTTAAGGTATATTTAAAATTACACAAACATAGATAAACTGGCTTTCTTTAGTTATTCCTTGCAAGATAATTTTTAACAATTTTTTTCACCTTTTGTTAACAATATATATGTAGATTTCTTAAATCAAATTTGATGAAAGTTGTCACTTAACAGGTCAGACCTTTTAGGTATATGCTGGTAATTAACAATCTGCTGTCTTTACTTCAATTTATGACACTTCTATATCATCTCACTATCTAAGACAATTGCTTTAGTGAATTGTCATGTTCTTTTTCTTCCCTCCCTTTACCATGCTGTTGTAATTTCTGTTTCTCTTATATTTGATCAGGGTTTTCTTTGTAAGACATTAGGAACACCTAAAAAAGTTTATTTTTCACTCTTCTTATCTTTTGGCTGGCAGAATTTTTAATTTTATTCATGTTTTCCTATTAAATATTATTTTCAATAGATGTTTTCTTGTGGTATGAGTCTTTGTCTTGCAAAAAGACTGAGGCCCTGAGTATCACAAAATAGTTTTTGAGACTCTTCTATTTAAATATCATTTTGCCTAAATTAAAACTCTAAAATGTAAAATTATATTTTCCCTTAAGACAAGATGAAAGCACCTCTTCTGTGCTGTGGAGCTAGATACATTTTGAAGTTAAGAATCTGGAGGCTTCAGAAAGGCTATTTAGTGTATATATTCTAAATAGTGTCTTACTAGAAACTCCATTGGGATATAAATAATTACTCCAAAATCAAAAGCACTAATATTGCAAAACAAAACATGTGAGTGTTCACATTTCAGTGAAATAAAGATTATACATAGCCTACTGTCATCCCAAATCTGGTTTTATTTTGCAAATAAATTGTGCTGTCACACTTGTTGGAAACAAGTGCTCAGTGCCACAAAGAAAAACCAGCACTTAAACAGGAAATTTCTCAGCAAAGCATATTTGCTTCTACAGAAGGGTGCTGCCTGCGTCAGTCACAATGCACATTCTAAGCTGACCGGATTGGCTACTGCTTTAAATTCTATAGGGGTAATTAGGCGGGAAGGAAGACACTGTCCTGTACCAATTAGGCGGGAAGGCATGTCTGGGGCGGCAAAGGAAGGAAGGGTTGTTTACAGAACAGGAAAGAACAGGAAAGTTTGAAGACGAACTTATTGTTTCTAGCACACTCACAAAATAAGTCAAAACTTTCCATTGAAAATTTTTTTTGGTTTTGCAATTGATATGGAACTTTGGACCAACATTATATAAAAATAACTCCATTGTCCTGCTTCAGGCAGTTTTGATATAGAGATTCACTTTCAATTTGATTCTTGAATCTTTGTAGGTGATCTATTCCTCATTACCGAAGGCTTACAGAGTATTTTTGTTCATTATATTCTTCAGTTTCACTATAATGTGTTTTTGTATAGATTTTCCCTTCATTCTCTGGACCTTTTCAGTCCAAGGATCCTCATGTTCTCGTAAGAAGGAAGCTTTTTTTTTTTTTTTTTTTTTTTTTTGACGGAGTCTCACTCTGTCACCCAGGCTGGAGTGTAGTGGCACGATCTCCGCTCACTGCAACCTCCGTCTCCTGGGTTCAAGCAATTCTCCTGCCTCAGCCTCCCGAGTAGCTGGGACTGCAAGCGCTTGCCACCACACCTGGCTAATTTTTGGTATTTTTAGTGGAAACGAGGTCTCACTGTGTTAGCCAGGATGCTTTTGATCTCCGGAACTTGTGATTCGACCACCTCGGCCTCCCAACATGCTGGAATTACAGGCGTGAGCCACTGCGCCTGGCCCAATTAATAGCCCCTGAAATTTAGATATCTTGGTTATACACAAAGACATCATTCCTAAAATTAAAAAATTCATTAATTTAAAAGTTTTGGAATCCATACCTTGCACTGTCATCATGGAAGTGTACAGGTGTTAAGAGGTCAAGAGCAGTGACACTCTGTCCATAGGGAGACTCTGAAATCTACCATGAGACAAAGCCTCAGTTGAGTCTTAAGGTTGTATGGGAAGTAGTCAAAGAAAGAAATGTGGGAATGGCTTTCCAGGCAGTAAGAAGGAACTAGCAAAGTCATGAGGCATGAAGACACAAGGTGTCCGGCATCTTTGTGAAGCATAGATACAAGGAGTACAAAGGTACTAGAAGTAAAAAAGATGCAGCTTATTCAACACTTTCTGAGACAGTATAGGAAGCAAGGAATTTTGGGGAAGAAAAAGGAGAAATATTGAAGGATTTCAGTGGAATATAAATGTGGCTTATCGAGAGAAAACTGATTGTGCGAAAAGAAATAATTAGACAAATCAAGTCTGAAAGAAGAAAAATAAAACAACCAATAAAATCATTTCAGTGAATAAATACTGTGATGCTGCACTAGAAAGCATGCAGATTTTCAGCAAAGTTATGGTTTTATGGGTACAGAGAACAGAAGCCATGGTCTAGCACCAAAGAAGGGAGGATGCTAATGAAAGCCAACTAGGGAAGAGTCAAGGAGAATAGGGTCAGTGCCACAGCATGAAACTGTAGCGCTGTAGCAGAAAGTTATTCATATAAGGTGGGAGGCTGCAGCCCATTTACACCTAGGCCGCTCCAGTCATACTGGGTGTGGGAAGATTTAAGAAACAACAGGCAGGATTTGGGGAATAGGCTTCAGCCCCAGTAAAGGATAAGAAGAGGAACCAAGGGCTTTGACACTGCAGAGCTCATACTCTTAACACTGAGGCAATTGCTTGTTCTCAGACCTCCCTCTAACAACTGGACCCAACTCAACTATTCTCATTCAATGGGAATAATTTCTTAGACATTCCTAACCCAGCAGTTCTTCACTCAATTTCTACAGTAACACATTTGGTCGTTGAGTCCTTCTTTATCACACATATTCATGAACAACTCTTTCATATGGGCCACTCACTCACATAGGCATACATCTTTTAAATTGTCTGTATACATGTGTAACACTGTATATACCATTTTCTCTTGTAGGCTCACTTATGTCTGTAAAGATGGGAAAAAAATACAAGAACATTGTTCTACTAAAAGGATTAGAGGTCATCAATGATTATCATTTTAGAATGGTTAAGTCCTTACTGAGCAACGATTTAAAACTTAATTTAAAAATGAGAGAAGAGTATGACAAAATTCAGATTGCTGACTTGATGGAAGAAAAGTTCCGAGGTGATGCTGGTTTGGGCAAACTAATAAAAATTTTCGAAGATATACCAACGCTTGAAGACCTGGCTGAAACTCTTAAAAAAGAAAAGTTAAAAGGTAATTGGGAAGAGGGAACACCCACTCCCTGCAACCATCCCCAAACCCTCCCCAACATTGATTAGAGCCCCACCTCGGACATACTTGAGATGTGTTTTCCCCAGTTTGTGACTCAACAGCTGAGACAATGTTGGTACTTCAGAGGCCAACAAGTTGACAACTTAGTGCATTCCATTACTGGTGTAGATTGAAGTATTTCAGAATGTATATTTGGGATCAGTGAAAGAACAAAAGTGAGAGGGAGTTGAAGGGGGACTGAGACTTCCAGTACATTAGAAAGATTATATAATAATAAAATCATAAAAACTGTTTAAATTCAAGATATGTACATTTAGCCAATGAATGTATCTGTTCTATTGAGACCATTTAACCCATCACTACCCTTTATAATTTAAAAAAATGCAATACTTACATGTGAGCCTGCCTCTCAGAAGTGTGATCTCCTCTCTTGTTATATCAAGTTAAAAAAAAGGATTTGAAAAAGTCTAAGTCCAAAATCAGTATATCCTTCCTCATGGAAACCTTTGGCTGGTTTCTATAATTTGAATATCTTTACCTGGGGAATGTGACCTAGCAGTCTCCATCATGAAAACATTAGTTTTTAAAACAAAATGATCGGAGAACCGCATTGGGAAAGGGTTAACTGAAGCACATGGAGTTCAGAGAACAGGAAGCATGTGCTCAGTGCACAGGGGAGGAGTGAGGAAAGTGCTGAGGAGCATGAGTCAGTGCTTGTTCCTGTCTTGTGACTGCTGGTCTCCTTAAGGCCAGGCTGGGCTAATGCAGTAGAGCTAGACTAAAGCACAGCTGAACCCTCAAGCAGGAACTGAGAGCAAATTGTATTGAAACTGCTTCAGCTGTCGGAGATCGTTTATATGTCTTCCTTTTTTCTGCATTGGTTGGGAATAAAATTGAATCTATTCCAGTAAAAGGACCAGCCCTATCAAGAAAGAGGAAGAAGGAAGTGGATGCTACTTCACCTGCACCCTCCACAAGCAGCACTGTCAAAACTGAAGGAGCAGAGGCAACTCCTGGAGCTCAGGTAAGCTTCAGGAAGAGGAGCAGGCTTCAAGTCCCACAGAGGAAGCTCTGCTACGGCTCTTCCACTCAATCTCTCCAGCAGGCAGTTATTTCTTCATGTTTCCCATCAAGTTTCAGATTTACCAAATTGTATGATAATTGATCATCTTATTGATGCTCAAAGCAATGCACCAAACACATGAGTAAACATAATGTAAATATATATAACATAAATGTGATACCTTCATTCTAGTAGAGTGGAGTGTCAACGTGAGAATCAGGTAAGTACTTTGTCCATGTGTATAAAAACCTAGTTTCTCTAATCCCAAGTCAGCACATCCCATAACAGAAATAATTAGAGAAATAATGTGTATAACATTCTCCTCTTTCTTCGTTTAATGAAACCATCTATGCCCATCTCTTAAACTGGCGAGAGATGGGCAGCAACCTCTCAAGTTTCCAAGAAACATCTTCTTAGGAATAATAAAACTACTATCCAATAATGAAAATGTGCTCTACTTCATTTGGCACTGAAAACGAATAACAGGAAAATCAAACCACTTTCAGAAAAGAAAAAAATCAACCAAAGAAAAGGCTGGACCCAAAGGGAGTAAGGTGTCCGAGGAACAGACTCAGCCTCCCTCTCCTGCAGGAGCCGGCATGTCCACAGCCATGGGCCGTTCCCCATCTCCCAAGACCTCATTGTCAGCTCCACCCAACAGTTCTTCAACTGAGGTACACTCTTCCTGGTCCCATTTTGCTTTGTTTTTTTCAACCCAAAGTAAAGGACTGATTTCACCGGTTACTTAAAAATTGCATCGATAATTTGCTAGTTAATCCAATGTACATATTGAGAAACCACTACATTTTGATCTTTTGCTTTCACAGGGATACTTGATGAACTTGACATTATCTCTGACTGCAGGAAGTTTTCTGTTCTGTGTTGTTTGGGGAAGGGAGAGAGAGCTATGCAGTACAGAACTGTCAGCTGTGGGCTCACTGTCTACTGCTCCCATGTCCTTCATACCTCTTCCCTTGGTTCACTATAGTATTCCATGTCAGACCTCTCCAGCACCTGCTAGTTTGTGAATGAGGTTATCCATACCCTCAGCTCTTTTTCTTGTAGATTAAACAACCTCCCCTGCATTAAAACTGTTCTATCGCAGTTTAAGGAGACTGGGATGTTAAAGAGTAAAGATGTTAAAGAAAACCCTTTCTGAGCCCCAGGTTTCTGTTAGCATGCTACCTGCTAGAGCCCTGACACTGAGAAAGGCTATGGTGGTGGGAATGACACTCTGTAGAGTTTCTGCAGCCTGAACCTACTGAGATGATGGCATTCTGAGGGGTTTATCCTACTTGTGTTCTCACCTGCTGTAAGCAAACTGAATCTTGGGTAGGAACACTATGAAATGTGCTCTTTAAATTGCCCTGTCTACACTGGTGATAACTGAACACTCTTTGTGTCTATAGTTTGTGGTGGGCACCATTTTTCATTTTTTTTTTATTTTTATTTTTTTTTAGTATTTATTGATCATTTTAAATGTCATTTAACTTTGTCTATTTTTAGGCTCTGGCACTTTAAGCTGGTAAGAGAAATAGTATAAGAAATTATTTCATTCTAAAATTTATTTATTTATTTATTGTTGTTGTTGTTGTTGTTGAGACAGAGTCTCGCTCTGTCACCCAGGCTGAAGTGCCGTGGCATAATCTCGGCTCACTGCAGCCTCCACCTCCCGGGTTCAAGTGATTCTCCTGCCTCAGCCTCCCAGGTAGCTGGGATTACAAGCGCCTGCCACTACACTCAGCTGATTTTTGTACTTTTAGTAGTGCCAGGGTTTCACCATGTTGGCCAGGCTGGTCTCAAACTCCTGATCTCAGGTGATCCACCCGCCTCGGCGTTTCAAAGTGCTGAGATTACAGGTGTGAGCCACCGCGCCTGGCCCTAAAATTTATTAAGTTACTTCATGACACTGGCTTTCAGTATCCACTGGTCTTATGTTGCTCTTATGCTTTATTTCTTAAGGTTGATTCTGTTTACAGAAAGGTCATCTTTTCACTATATGGTCTCCTCTGTTACTTCATCTTGCTATTGTACCAGTTTAAGATATCTTCTGCCCTGGCTCGCAATCCCTCTCTATCCTGACTCCAGCTCTAAACATCTGTGCAAGTTTTGGGGCCCTGTGTTATACTGAGGTCACTGAATAGCAGTTCTGTATTTCTCAATTAGACATTTTTCTTTGTTCTCCTGTGCTATCATACACAGAACCCGAAAACAGTGGCCAAATGTCAGGTAACTCCCAGAAGAAATGTTCTCCAAAAACGCCCAGTGATAGTGAAGGTACTGAGTACAACAAAGCCATTTGAATATGAGACCCCAGAAATGGAGAAAAAAATAATGTTTCATGCTACAGTGGCTACACAGACACAGTTCTTCCATGTGAAGGTTTTAAACACCAGCTTGAAGGAGAAATTCAATGGAAAGAAAATCATCATCATATCAGATTATTTGGAATATGATAGTCTCCTAGAGGTCAATGAAGAATCTACTGTATCTGAAGCTGGTCCTAACCAAACGTTTGAGGTTCCAAATAAAATCATCAACAGAGCAAAGGAAACTCTGAAGATTGATATTCTTCACAAACAAGCTTCAGGAAATATTGTATATGGGGTATTTATGCTACATAAGGTAAGTCCTCAAAATTGTTTCGTTTCATTTTTCCACCAACACCTGAAATTAAAAGTCTTGATGTGTGAGATGAAGCTTTGCCTATAAACTGGATATTAGAATCCAGGACTCTGAAGACTAATGACAGGTGGATAAAGACTTCTCTGAAGATAAGACTGGGATTAGGGGACCTGTTAATATTTCTTTCCCATGTTCTCCTTCCCAGAGCATTAAACTGTAGTCTTTACAATAATGTTCACTGAGAAACCTTAAGACTTTATCAGTTGTTATTATCTATGCTAAGTGATCAAGGACATTGTGAGGTCTACATCCATACACACATGATACTAAGTTTATCCCTTTGATTATTATCTCTACTGTCATAAAAATCACATTATTTTTATTTTGAATGAAGTATTGTCCTCTGAGGCTTGAGTTCTGGTTGTGACAGTCAGAATAAGAAATAAATTGACTACTCATGGCTGGAAAACAAATGCAGAAAGTAGGTAGGACAATGTTCTGACCAAATGAAACTAATTCATCATAAAGAAATGGAACAATTGGGAAATACGAATTTGGATGATACTTGGAAAATCAGGTAATCTAAATTTGTCATTTATATATAAATAACAAAAAAAAAAAATAGAGTACAGAGTGCTTTTCCTGATATGTTCCTGTCCAAATTCATAACCAGTTAGCATGAGACATTCCACCCCGCAAAAAAGCATCTATCCTCTGCTATTGATTCAAGCAATTTATCTGATCAATACTTCATTACCCATTATATTTGTTTCCTAGAACAACTCATTAACCTGCGTTACTTTCTGTACACAGTCTTTTTTTTTTTTTTGAGACGGAGTCTCTGTCGCCCAGGTTGGAGCGCAGTGGCGCGATCTCGGCTCACTGCAACCTTCGCCTCCTGGGTTCAGGCGATTCTCCTGCCTCAGCTTCCCAAGTAGCTGGGACTACAGGCGTGTGCCATCACGCCTGGCTAAATTTTTTGTATTTTTAGTAGAGACGGGGTTTCACTATGTTAGCCAGGATGGTCTTGGTCTCCTGACCTCGTGATCTGCCCACCTCGGCCTCCCAAAGTGCTGGGATTACAGGCATGAGCCATTGCGCATGGCCTATATACACACTCTTAAAGAGATGATTCTTACAAATCCAGTTCTAGGATGATGAGTAATGAGCAAAAAGCTGGAATGTTTGAGCTCAAGGACTTGGTTTCAGGAGGGGGTACAAATATTGGAAGAGACTCAGTAAATGCAGAAAGTAGAAAAAGTAATTAGAGAGTTACCAGAAGCTTGCTTTTTCTTACAGATTCCTCATAAGTCACTGAATAAATAGTTGTAGCAGATATCCATTCTTTTTGCATGGGGCCAGAGACCCAGAAAGGCTATCAGAGATTTCAGCTTCCTCTGTATCAAGGTGCTTTGGGAAGCAAAGCTGCCCTGTAGGTGAAAGCAGTAGAAATTTGGAAGAAAACTCATTGTTCTAGAACTGTCATAGAAATATCTCAGATATGAAAGACTTAAACAAAAAGGATATTGAGGGACGGCTTTCTGCAAAGATGTGGCCTAAGATATGTGCATATCTGTACTAGGAGTTGCTGTTGTGCATCTTGTTTAACTCTCTTAGAAGGGACTTCAGCCTATATGTGGTTGTTATTAATTACATTCTCAGGAACAGAATATTAATTTTCTGTTACAGAAAACAGTAAATCAGAAGACCACAATCTACGAAATTCAGGATGATAGAGGAAAAATGGATGTAGTGGGGACAGGACAATGTCACAATATCCCCTGTGAAGAAGGAGATAAGCTCCAACTTTTCTGCTTTCGACTTAGAAAAAAGAACCAGATGTCAAAACTGATTTCAGAAATGCATAGTTTTATCCAGGTAAGAATTAAATAGGCAAATATTAGTTTTCCAAAGTGGAAATGATTTGCTTTAAGTTTTGGCAAAAACAAGTTTGTAGGTTTTTTTTACAGAGTTCAGCGGGAGGCATGAGAAAACAGATATTCTCCTTGTATTCACATTTACTTTTTTTAATTTTTTTTTTCTGGATGGAATGATGTGATAGGATACAATTTTAAAAAGAAAGAAATCTGAACTTTATCAAAAAAATTGAACTCTGAATTTTATGTAAACTTTTAAGTGATTGTAGGGTTGGGATTTAAAATTACATGTTCTCCATTTGTGAATTAGAAAACGTCGTGTGTGTGTGTGTGTGTGTGTGTGATACTTTCTAGTTTGTAACATTACAATACACATATGTGTGTATTTAGTCCATAAAAATACCTAATTTGAAACTTAAAATTATTTGCAGTGATCAAAATTATGTCCCACTGACAAAGTTTTATACAGAGGAAGCTCTCCAATTTGTTAATTTGAATTCAAATATTCACGTGTTAAGTTTCCTTACAGTACATGATTTTACGCTGTTGCCATTTTGAATGTTGTAAATTATTTTTTATTTCAGTAGGTTTTTGGGAAACAGGTGGTGCTTCGTTATAGGAATAAGTTCTTTAGTGGTGATTTCTGACTTTTTGATGCACCCATCGTCCAAGCAGCGTACACTGTACCCAGTGTGTATGTAGCATTTTATCCCTCACCCCCCTCCCACTCTTTCCCCTGAGTCCCCAAAGTCCATTGTATCATTCTTATGCCTTTGTGTCCTCATAGCTTACCTCCCACTTATGAGTGAGAACATACAATGTTTGGTTTTCCTCTCCTGAGTTACTTCACTTAGAATAATGGTCTCCAATTCCATCCGGGTTGCTGTGAATGCCGTTATTTTGTTCCTTTTTATGGATGAGTAATAGTATTCCACGGTGTATACATACCCCATTTCTTTATCCATTTGTTTACTGATGGGCATCTGGGCTGGTTCCATATTTTTGCAGTTGTGAATTGTGCTGCTGTAAACATGCATGTGCAATGATCTTTTTTTGTATACTGACTTCTTTTCCTCTGGGTAGATACCCAGTAGTGGGATTGCTGGATCAAATGGTAGATCTGCTTTTTAGTTCTTTAAGGAATCTATACACTGTTTACTATAGTAGTTCTACTAGTTTACATTCCCACCAGCGGTGTAGAAGTGTTCCTTTTCACCACATCGATGCCAGCGTCTGTTTTTTAAAATTTTTTGATTATGGCCATTCTTGCACGAGTAATGTGGCATCATTTTGTGGTTTTGATTTGCATTTCCCTGATCATTAGTGATGTTGAGCGTTTTTCCTTATGCTTGTTGGCCATTTACATATCTTCTTTTGAGAATTGTCTATTCATGTCCTTAGCCCTTAGCCCTTTTTTTTTTTTTTTTTTTTTTTTTTTTTTTTTTTTTTTTTTGAGACAGAGTCTTGCTCTTTTGCCCAGGCGGGAGTGCAGTGGCGCTATCTCGGCTTACTGCAAGCTCCGCCTCCCGGGTTCACGCCATTCTCCTGCCTCAGCCTCCAGAGTAGCTGGGACTACAGGCGCCCGCCACCGCCCCCGGCTAAATTTTTTGTATTTTTAGTAGAGACGGGGTTTCACCGTGTTAGCCAGGTTGGTCTCGATTTCCTGACCTCGTGATCCGCCCGCCTCGGCCTCCCAAAGTGCTGGGATTACAGGCGTGAGCCACCGTGCCCGGCCCTTAGCCCACTTTTTGATGGGATTATTTGTATGTGCAATGCTTGTTCCCTGGTGCCATAAATAAATAGCATTTGAATATCAATTTAATTTTTTCAGCAAGGCCATTTTTATACTTTTTGTAGAAAGGGTACACTCGCCAGCAGTTTTGCCACAAGAGTATACGGAACAAAGGAGACAGGCTCATTTATAATCTGACGCGGCCACCCTCCTGCTGCGTTCGGTTTCCATTGGCTGGGACGGGACCTCACCTTCTGTATTTGTCCCGACTGGCTAGCACTTAGAACTTTTTAAAAGAGGCAAAGGCATAGGAGAACAAAGGAAGGAGGAAGTAACTTGTGGAATATTGAGAAAGGTAAAAACACCTTTAAATAAGGAAGAGGAACAGGCTATGACCTAATGCTTGCTTGGATCAGTATAAGCATGTTAGGGCAAATATTTAGGCTAAATTGTGGGAGCTAAGAACATAAAGTATATTGATTTTTTATTATGGCTAGCAGATATTTAAGAATGTTTGTACAGGTCTTTGAATAAATTTTGCTTTTAAGAGAAGTTACTATTTATTTCTAATTAGATGGGGAGGAAAGTTTTTGAAGAGGAACCTCTACTTTTTACAATTTCCCCTCATTTCATAATTCTTCTTTAAACTTGTTTAATATGTTTTGACTTAATTTTTTTTTGTCCTTTTAAGAGAAGTAATTTTTCAGAATAGGGTGGAGGAGAATTAGGAGTTAACTCTGCAAGAGTGGCAGAGATAAGTTTTTGTATAAAATTTCAAAGGCAGGGAATAATATAACAGCCTACAAGAATAAGTACACCAATAACAAGAGCAAACGAGGTGAGAATTGAAGTTAAATTTTTTTTTTATCCGCTGAACCAATGTTTTATTATTTTAGAAAAAGAGTTATTTATTTTAGAATTGTTGGCAAGTTTATCGGATAGGGCTGTTAATCCTTGTAGCACTTTTGTTATAGTTCTATCAGGGGCAGTATTAGGAATAAAGGTATAACATTGAGTTTTAATTATGACACAAACTTCTTTTTTTGCTAATATTATATTTAAAGCTATTTTATTTTTCTAGACCATCTGGCTGGTAGGTCCTAATTGCTTAGCTTTCTCTTTGATGGCGTCCTCAGTGTAATTTATGAATCGTTGCTGATTATAGTAGATATAGTTTATTTAGTCTACTTAAAAAAAATTTATAGTTACTTAACAGAGCAACATGGATTTAAACTCTGCAGCTATTTGATTTTGTGCTTTAAACTTATTTGGCACTTCTCATAGGACCTTAATAGCATTTATGTAAACCTAACGTTTAAAGGACTCATGAGGAGTTTCCTTTGGCCTGCAGTGTCTTGTTTTTACCTTTTTTTTTTTAGGTTGGTGAAATGCCAGGGTGCAGGGGATAGCCAGTTGGATTAGAGCATAAGTACTGCTCCAATTATTTGGCAGAGTGTCTAGTAAAAGTCCTCTACAATATCACCATACATTTGCTTGGGGATGGCTAAGCGTGGACTGATGGGCAAGCTCTTGGAAAGGCTTGAGCTCCTTGCATCCTTTTATGCTTCTAAGGAACACCAAATTTTACTCTTGCCGTGAGAGGCACAAAGTAAACTTGGCATTCAGAGGTGGAAGCAGGCTTGCCCTCGGGGGCGGACCCCCGGGGTATTGAGTTTCAGGAAATAACAGATAGAGAGCTCAGCATGATGGATTATCCTAAACTGTGGGATTTTGCAAGAGAGCCACCATATGTCCATTTCTGGTCAATGAGGAGACCGTCCGAGTGGAAAGGGGATAATCTGGCCCTCTGGGCTACCATGCGTACAAGCGTGATAATAATTTTTATTTAAAGTGCGAAGGGAATATTTAATTCATTCCAGCCAGGCATTTGCATCTTGATATTTTGTCTTAATGGCTAAGGTCTGTCTTAGATGTCTTATTTTTACAATAGACAACCTAGTTTTATTATTAGATGTAGGGGCAACTGGTGTGGGATCTAGAACCGAGGCTACTGAAGAAGGGGAAGATGGGGGAATAATGCGTGTTTTAAAAACACCTAGGGGGTCTTTTTCATTTATGTCAATCCCCATGCCATCTAAGCGACCAAGGGCAGGTCTAGAGTTAGTTAAGGTGGAGGTGGTGATAAAGAGAAGGACAGAGTTACATTGATAAGGGCTGACAGTTAGAAGGGGTAGCCCTTTTGGTGAAATAGATGAAGGGTTTTAGATCTGCACAAACCTTTTTTGTGGAAGTCTAACTTTGCTCTTGAGTAGTTTAAAGGATGTAGTCCCATTTACTACAAGGTTGCCAGGCTGTAGGAGCAGAAAATCGATGCCTTGGCTGCAGGTGCTCACAATGATGAGTGCTACGGGTAATTGTGTCAATTAGAGGGCCGGGACATAAATATTTGTGTGAAAAGGCTAGCTGTCGTTAATCTTTTTTTATTTCCACAAAGTATGAGAAAACAAGCATTAAAGACAATGGTCTAAGGTGAGTTAGACTTAGTTATATTTATAACAAAGGAGCTAATAACAAAAGAAAAAAATATATAAAAGATGTATTAAAATGAAGCTTTCTTTAACTTAGAAGGGCTTAATCTTAGTACAGTAACCCATAATTCTAACGAAGAAGATGTTTTCTTGACTCAAATATGATGGGTCCATTCTTTCTCAGCTGTGCGGACGGCGGTCTCAGTGGTTAATACATAAAATAGGGTCCTTCCCAGGCTCGAGTTTTTTTTTTTAATCTTTTTTCATCTTTTAATAAGAACATGGTTTTCAGGCTGGTGCTGGTGTACTGGAAATTCTAGGGGTGGTACCTGTGCTAAAAGACTTTTAGTTCTGAGGGAAAAGAAAGTGGAAAATAAGCATATAATTTTTGTTGCATATCCTGGGGCTTGAAGCCCCATGGTGACGCCTCCCGCTCCATTCCTGCTCAGCGCCGCCCAAGGGATGCTGTGGCCCTGGCCCCTCTTGAAGTCTTGGCCTTCTTGTGGCCTTCACCACCCCCGCGTGCTATGGCCTTGGGGATGAGGGGCATTGTGACTTACCTGGCCACCCTCGGGACTTAAAAAAAAATAAACACCATTTTATATTTGACTATTTTTTGTATAATTTTATACTAAATAAGTTAAATTTTACCTTTATATTAATGTGCTATTAATGTTAAATTTAATTTTAGTAAAATATTGTAGACATTATTTATCCAATTTTAATGTCTGACCATAAAGTAAAACTTTTATAGACTCATTTTAATTTTTTATATTTGTTTTTTTCTTGATGATTTGCTTGAGTTCCTCATAGATTCTGGATATTAGTCCTTTGTCAGATGCATAGTTTGTGAATATTTTCTCCCACTCTGTGGGTTGTCTGTTTACTGATTATTTCCCTTGCTACGCAGAAGCTTTTTAGCTTAATTAAGTTCCATCTATTCATCTTTGTTTTTGTTGCATTTGCTTTTGGGTTCTTAGTCCTGAAGTCTCTGCCTAAGCCACTCTCTAGAAGGTTTTTCCGATATTATCTTCTAGAATCTTTATGGTTTCTGGTCTTAGATTTAAGTTCTTGATCCATCTTGAGTTGATTTTTGTATAAGGTGAGAGATGAGGATCCAGTTTCATTCTTCTACTTGTAGCTTGCCAATTATCCCAGCACCATTTGTTGAATAGGATGTCCTTTCCCCACTTTGTGTTTTTGTTTGCTTTGTCAAAGATCAGTTGGCTGTAAGTATTTGGGTTTATTTTTGGGTTCTCTATTCTGTTCCATTGGTCTATATGCCTATTTTTATACCCAGAACCATGCTATTTTGGTGACTATGGCCTTATAGTATACTTTGAAGTCAGGTAATATGATGCTTCCTGATTTCTTCCTTTTGTTCTTTTTCCTTAGTTTTGCTTTGGCTATGTGGTCTGTTTTTTGGTTCCATATGAATTTTAGGATTTTTTTTTCTAGTTCTGTGAAGAATGATGTTGGTATTTGGATGGGAATTGCATTGAATTTGTAGATTGCTTTTGGCAGTATGGTCATTTTCTTTATTTCTTTCTTTTTTTTTTTTTTTTGAGACGAAGTCTCGCTCTTGTCCCCCAGGCCTGGAGTGCAATGGCGCGATCTTGGCTCACTGCAACCTCTGTCTCCCGGGTTCAAGCGATTCTCCTGCCTCAGCCTCTCGAGTAGCTGGGATTACAGGTGCTTGCCACCACGCCTGGCTAATTTTTGTATCTTTAGTAGAGATGGGGTTTCACCGTGCTGGCCAGGCTGGTCTCAAACTCCTGACCTCAGGTGATCCACCTGGCTTGGCCTCCCAAAGTGCTAAGATTACAGGTGTGAGCCACTGCGCCCGGCCAATATGGTCATTTTCACGATATTGATTCTACCCATCCCCGAGCATAGGATGTGTTTCCATTTGTTTGCGTCGTCTATGATTTCTTTCAGCAGTGTTTTTAGTTTTCCTTTAGAGGTCTTTCACCTCCTTGGTTAGATATATTCCTAAGTGTTTTATTTTATTTATTTTATTATTTGCAGCTATTGTGAAAATGGTTGAGTTCTTGATTTCATTCTTAGCTTGGTTGCTGGCCGTGTATAGCAGAGCTACTGATTTTCATGCTTTAATTTTGTATCCTGAAACTTTGCTTGAAACTTTGCTGAATTCATTTACCAATTCTAGGAGCTTTTTGAATGAGTCTTTAGGGTTTTCTAGGTATACAATCATATCATCAGCAAACAGCAACAGTTTGACTTCCTCTTTGCCGATTTGGATTTCCTTTATTTCTTTTGTCTGATTACCTGGCTAGGACTTCCATTACTATGTTGAATAGAAGTGGTGAGAGTAGGCATCCTTGTCTTGTTCCAGTGCTTAGGGGGAATGCTTTCAATTTTTCCCTGACCAGTATAATGTTGTCTGTGGGTTTGTCATAGACGGCTTTTATTACCTTAAGGTATATCACTTCTATGCCAATATTGCTGAGGGTTTTAATCATAAAGTGATGCTGGATTTTGTCAAATGCTTTTTTTTTGCGTCTACTTAGATGATCCGGTGATTTTTGTTTTTAATTATATTTGTGTGGTATATCACATTTATTGACTTGTGTATGTTAAACCATCCCTGCGTCCCTGGTATGAAACCGACTTGATCATGGTGCATTATCTTGACATGCTGTTGGATTCTGTTAGCTAGTATTTTGTTGAAGATTTTTGCATCTATGTTCATCAGGGATATTGGTCTGTAGTTTTTTTGTTGTTGTTGTTATGTCCTTTCCTGCTTTTGGTATTAGGGTGATACTGGCTTCATAGAATGATTTAGGGAGGATTCTCTCTTTCTCTATCTTGTGAAATAATGTCAATAAGACTGGTACCAATTATTCTTTGAATGTCTGATAGAATTTAGCTGTGATTCCATCTGGTCCTGGGCTTTTCTTTATTGGAAATTATTTTTTATTACCATTTCAATATCACTGCTTATTATCACTCTGTTCAGAGTTTCTATATCTTCCTGGTTTAACCCAGGAGGGTTGTATATTTTCAGGTTTTCTACTTTATGCACATAAAGATGTTCATAGTTGCATTGAATGATCTTTTGTATTTGTGTGATATCAGTTGTAATATTTATCATTTTGTTTTTAATTGAACTTATTTTGATCTTCTCTCTTCTTTTCTTTGATAATTTCACTAACGGTCTATGAGTTTTGTTTATTTTTTCAAAGAACCAGCTTTATGTTTCATTTATCTTTTGTGTTGTTCTTTGTCTGTCACAATTTCATTTAGTTCTGCTTTGATCTTTGTTATTTCTTTTCTTCTGCTGCATTCGTGTTTGGTTTGTTCTTGTTTCTCTGGTTCCTTGAGATGTGACCCTAGATTATCTATTTGTACTCTTTCAGACTTTTTGATGTAGGCATTTAATGCTATGAACTTTCTTCTTAGCATCACCTTTGTTGTATCTCAGAGGTTTTATAGGTTGTTTCTCTATTATCATTCATTTCAAAGAATTTTTTAGTTTCCATTTTGATTTCATTATTGACTCTATGATCATACGGGAGCAGGTTATTTAATTTCCATGTATTTGCATGGTTTTAAGGTTGCTTACAGTTGAGTTCCAATTTTATTCCACTGTAGTCTGAGAGAGTACTTGATATAATTTCAATTTTTTTTTTAAATTTTTGAGACTTGTTTTGTGGCCTATTATATGGCCTATCTTGGAGAATGTTCCATGTGCTGATGAAAAGAATGTATATTCTGCAGTTGTTGGGTAGAATGTTCTGTAAATATCTGTTAAGTCCATTTGTTGTAGGGTATAGTTTAAGTCCAAAAATTTTTGTTTGTTGACTTTCTGTCTTGTTGGACTGTCTAGTGCTTTCAGTGGAGTATTGAAGTCAACCAGTATTATTGTGTTGCCATCTGTCTTATTTCTTAGGTTCAGTAGTAATTGTTTTATAAATTTGGGAGCTCCAGTGTTAGGATTGTGACATTTTCCTATTGGACTAGTTCTTTTAGCATTATGTAATGTCCCTTTTTGTCTTTTTTAACTGCTGTTGCTTTAAAGTTTGTTTTTTGGTGTCCATTTGCATAGTATATCTTTTTCTACCCCTTTACCTTATGTTTATATGAAACCTTATGTTTATGTGAGGCCTTATGTGTTAGGTGAGTCTCTTAAAGACAGTAAACACTTGGTTGGTGAATTCTTATTCATTTTGCTGTTCTGTATGCTTTAAGTGGAGCATTTTGGCCATTTATATTCAATGTTAGTATTGAGATGTGAGGTCCTATTTTATTCATCATGCCATTTGCTGCCTAAATACCTTACTTTTTTATTACTGTGTTATTGTTTTATAAGTCCTATGAGATTTATGCTTTAAATGTTTTATGTTCTATTTTGGTGTATTTCGAGGATTCATTTCAAGATTTAGAGCTCTTTTTAGCAGTTCTTGTAATGCTGGCTTGGTAGTGGCTAACTCTCTCAGCATTTGTTTGTCTGAAAGAGACTTGATCTTTCATTTATGAAGCTTAGTTCACTGGATACACATTCTCGGCTGATAATTGTTTTGTTTAAGGAGGCTAAAGATAGTACTCCAAACCTTTCTAGCTTGTAGGATTTCTGTTGAGAAATCTGCTTTTAATCTGATAGGTTCCTTTATAAATTACCTGATACTTTGCTTCACAGCTCTTAAAATTCTTTTCTCCGTCTTGACTTTAGAGAGCCTGGTGACTATGTGCCTAGGCGATGATCTTTCTCCAGGGTGTTCCCCGGGTGTTCTTTGAGCTTCTCGTATTTGGATGTCTAGATCTCTAGGAAAGCCAGGGAAGTTTTCCTCAATTAATCCCTCAAATATGTTTTTCAAACCTTTAGATTTGTCTTCTTCCTCGGGAACACCAGTTATTCTTAGGTTTGGTTGTTTAACATAATCCCAAACTTCTTGGAGGCTTTGTTCAGTTTTTTTTTTTTTTTTTTGAGACACACTTTAGCTCTTGTTGCCCAGGCTGGAGTGCAATGGGGCGATCTCGGAACACTGCAACCTCCACCTCCCAGGTTCAAGCAATTCTCCTGGCTTAGCCTCCCAAGTAGCTGGGATTACAGGTGCCTGCCACCACGCCCAGCTAATTTTTTGTATTTTTAGTAGAGCCAGGGTTTCACTATGTTGGCCAGGCTGGTCTCATACTCCTGACCTCAGGCGATCCACCTGCCTCAGCCTCCCAAAGTGCTGGGATTACAGGCATGAGCCACCATGCCCGGCAGCTTTGTTCATTTTTAATTCATTTTTCTTCATCTTTGTCAGATTGAGTTAATTCACAAGCCTTGTCTTCAAGCTCTGAAGTTCTTTCTTCTACTTGTTTGATTCTATTGCTAAGACTTTCCAGTGTGTTTTGCATTTCTCCAAGTGTGTTCTTCATTTCCAGAAGTTGTGATTTTTTTTTATGCTCTCTATTTTTTTGGAGATTTTTCCATCCATATCCTGTAACATTTTTTAAATTTCTTTAAGTTGGTATTCATCCTTCTCTGGTGCCTCCTTGGGTAGTTTAATAATCCACCTTCTGAATTCTTTTCTGGCAATTCAGAGATTTCTTCTTGGGTTGGATCCACTGCTGGTAAGGTAGTGTGATCTTTTGGGGCTGTTAAAGAACCTTGTTTTGACATATTACCAGGATTGTTTTTCTTCTTCCTTCTCATTTGGGTACACTATATCAGAGGAAACATCTGGGACTCAAGGGCTGCTGTTAGGATTTTTTTTGTCCCACAGGGTGCTCCCTTGATGTGGTGCTCTCCCCCTTCTCCAAAGGATGGGGCTTCCTGAGAGCTGAACTACAGTGATTGTCAACACCCAGCAGAGCTACTGTGCTCCAGGCTCCAGGCTGGTACTGGGTAGTGTCTGCAAAGAGTCCTGTGATGTGGTTCGTCTTCAGGTCTCATCCATGGATATCAGTACCTGCTCCTGTGGAGGTGGCAGGGCAGTGAAGTGAACTCCATGAGGGTCCTTGGTTTTAATTTTGTTTATTGGGATAATTTTGTGTTGGTTGTCCTCCAGCCAGGAGGTGGAGCTTTTAAGAGAGCATCAGCTGCAATAGTATAGGGAGGATACAAGCTTGCCCTAGGGTCACTTGAAATAGGATTTGAGTTTCTCAGGTGGTGGGTGGGGGGGCCACAGAGCTCCCAAGAGATTATGTCCTTTGTCTTCTGGCTACCAGGGCAGGTAGAGAAAGACCATCAGGTGGGGGCAGGGTTAGGTGTGTCTGAGCTCAGATTCCCCTTGGACAGGGAAAGCTGATGCTGCTGTGGGGGATGGGGTGTGATTCTCAGGCCAATGGAGGTATATTCCCAAGGGAATTATGGCTGCCTCTGCTGTGTCATGCAAGTTGCCAGGCAAGTTGGGGAAAGCTGGTAGTTACAGGCCTCATCCAGTTCCCACACAGCCTGAAAGGCCAGTCTCACTCCCACCATCACCCACCAACAACGCTGAGTTTATTTCCAGGCAGCAAGTGAGCAGAGCTGAGAACTTGCTACCAGCCTCCCTGCTGAGAAAGCAAGCAGGGTTTTCAGAGTTCAAGCCTCCCTGCCTGCTGTGGCTTCTGTGCTGGTGTCTGCACTCCCAGATCACCCCCACCCCTGGGTTCTGTCCAGGAAATTTTGTGTTCGGTCGAAACTTCAGCTGGAAGTTTTCTTCTCCCTGTGGTATTTCCCCAATTCTACTGGCAGCCCTCCTGAAGGACCTTTGTGAGACAAAGTCAGTAATGGCTTCCCTGGGGACTGAGAGAGCCCATAGGGCTCTTCCCGCTGCTTCCTCTACCCCTGTATTTCGCTCAGCTCTCTAAATTCACCTTAGCTCCAGGTAAGGTCAAATCCTTCACTTGTGATCCAGACCTTCAGGTTCCCCAGTGAGGATGTATGTTCATGGGTGGATGATCCCCTTTCACACTTTCACACTTTGGGCACTCACAGTTTTTCTGCTGTCTCCTGGAGCCTGCAGCAGCAGTCCGCTTTTTTTCAAACGTGCCATTTTGAATATTCCACTCACATTTAAATGGAAAAGCCTATTAAGATATATTAGGAGAATGATGTTCCTCATAGGCTTCAAAAGGATATAAAACTCGTGGTAAATAATAAAATATTTGAAGAAATTAGGAGGGTGGGGAACCAATATAATGCAGTGGCCAAAAGCAAGGACTTTGGAATAGGAAAGACTTGTTCTACATCTGGCACATTAGTTTCCTGATATTGGGAAAAATAGCTTTTAAATATTTCTCATAAGATTGGTTTAAAAATTAAATGAGATAATGGAAAAATATTTCTTATTCCATTGCCTTGTACATTATGGGAAATCAATGTGCAATAGGTCCTATTGCTCTTAGCAAGATAAAGACAAACACTGGAAAGATTTCTAGGGAGAGAAAATGTCACATGCAAATGTTAAAATGTGAAACAGCATAGTGAGTTCTGTATAAATTGGTATATGTAGAAAGGTATAGGAAAATGATGCAAGACAGGTAAAAAGCAGCCCTCCAACAAGCTGGCTTTTGTCATAAAGACAGAAATGGAGTCTCCAATGTAAAAACATCAGTAAGTAGATATTGAAAGATTTTAGGAAGAAGAGTACTTGATCATTCCACATTTTAGCAAAAAAAATATTCTGACAATTGCCTGGAGGGATACATTAGAGAGAGACCATGTTTGGAAGTAATGAGACCTATTAAAATCTAATAAAGGATGATATTCTCACAAATGAAAAGATGTTGTGCTTCCTCTAATATTGAAAACCATTAAACAGAAAATGAATACTTTCAGATAAAGAAAAAAACAAACCCGAGAAACAATGACCCCAAGAGCATGAAGCTACCCCAGGAACAGCGTCAGCTTCCATATCCTTCAGAGGCCAGCACAACCTTCCCTGAGAGCCATCTTCGGACTCCTCAGATGCCACCAACAACTCCATCCAGCAGTTTCTTCACCAAGGTACAATTTCCTGGGTCCCATGCCTCATGTCTCCCCACCATAATTTACAGGGATCATTAGACTGTTGAAAGAGCTACTGCTGTAATCTCTGTGAATGGATTGGTACAATCTTGGTATGAAATTATGTCACTCAATCATTTATTGAATTCATACAGTGAGATAGCACCACATCATAATCTTTACTATCTAAAAGGCATTCATTTATATAATGATTTCTAACTTTAAGAGGATTACTATCTTGTATTGCTCCAGTTGTAGAGAGGGTAAGAGAGAGTGGCCAGACAAGCAGAGACGAAAACAAGAATGCGTTCAGATCCTACATTCCCGTTTCTTTTACCCATTTCCCCTTTGCTTATTAGTAATATTTCTGATTTTATTTTCATAGTTCCAAGTTCCTACCCCCATTACATATTTTGACACATGGTGTTTTCTTGATGGGTATCTGTTTCTCCTATGTCATCACTGGTGAGAATCTCCTTAAATTTTACATGCCAACTTAAATGTTTTCCTCTGGCAAGTTCTCGCTGATACAAGATACTGGAACTGATGAGTCCTCCCATTCTTTGCTTTCACAGGGTCTCCTGTCAATGAGATTAAATTACTAATTTCATAGAAGTGAACAGAGAGACTTACTTTATAATGTGTTCCCCATACTTCCTTGATCTGAGGTTTTCCTTAACAGGGTCAGCATAGCTCAGGTTATATCTGTAGACCAGAGCAAACCTACAAATTCAGCTTAGAACATGGAACAACAATGACAATAATTATATTTCCACTTTTTGAGCACTTAACTAGACGTTGGTTCTTACGTGTTGTTCCTGATGTACGTTATCTCATTCTTTCTTCATAACCATCAGGAGGATGCTAATTCTGCCCCAATTCACAGAGAAGAAAATAGAGGTACAGAAAGGTTAAAAATCTTCCTCAAGCTTTCAAAGAAAATTAGAGTCATGATTCATATCCAGTCTTATTTAAACCTAAAACGTGAAAAATTAATGATTATATATGGCTTTAGATTAGGAGTTTATATATGCCATGTCAGTAATTTATTTATTAGTCACGTAACAGTTACATAGCCCACGCTTTGCAAACCTTCTGATAACAAATGTGGCCAGTGGTGATCAGAGTGTGTTCTAATAAGTAAACCACCCTCCAGAAGTAGAATCCTTTCATTCGCCTCTCTAACAGAGTGCATTTTCTATATTAAATATCTGAATGACAGAAGTGGTAGAACTATGGAAATTAAACTAATATTAATAAATAACAAAAAAGGTTAAAAATAGTCAAAATAAAGGAAGTTATACTTCCTTGCCCTTGGTAAAGAGTATTTTTAAAAAATCACTTACTTGGTAATGCCAAGGTAAGTTCTTCAATATTTCTAAATACATTTGAGAACCTTGAAGGATTCTAGCTGGCTGATGCAGACTACAAAACAGCAGAATTCTGCATCTGGAATTGTGGATTTTAAAGAATCTTTCTAGCAAAGTGATGATCAAAACATCTAAAGCAACATAAGGCTGGGTTTCCTGGAGCCTGAAGAGCTGCAGGAAAGAGAAAGAGTAATTTAATCAAGTAAAATGTATGTGATTAAATTTCTCACTATTAATTAAGTATATTCATTGAGACCCTACTAGTCTCTGTGTCTTTTGATATTTACAAGGTATGCGTTCATGAAGTGCTTCCTGACTCAAGAGGATTACTGTCTTTTGTTGATCCAGGTGTAGAGAGAGATTGTGGGGAAGTAGCCAGATGGAGGAAGATGAATACAAGAATATGTTCATTATCTTTATTCCAATTACCTTTCATCCTTTCACTTCGTTCATGACCACATTCCAGGTTTTATTTTAAAATATCGATGGTCTTTTCCAAATGAGAAGCTTTGACATATAGATTGCTTCCTTTGCTGGGATCACTTTCTCCAGTCTCTTCTTGAACCCAACTCTCCACAGGCCCCAGCCTAAATCCCTTCCTAGAGCAAGTCCTCACTGGCAACCACGTTTCAGATTAGGTGAGATCCTCCCATAGTTGGTTCTCTCTGGTCCTCCCTTTGTGAGCTTTCCTAGCTCCCTTTATTTTTCCTAATAGCATTTAAACAATTGGGGTGTGGGAGTAATTTTCTCCTTTTATATACCATAAGCTCAGATGGTAGGTAGCGTCTACCCCAGAGGAACAGAATACAAGAGGGGAAAAAGTCAGTTCATGCTATGTGCATCAATTCTTATTCCAGATTACCTTTTGCTCAGCAGTGATATGACCCTTGTAGTCACCTGCACTGAGGGTTCGGAAGCCTGTACCTGTGGTGAAGGGGCAGGAAACTTGGAGGAAAAGCAGAAGGATTAAATCATTATTTTTTACAGTTGCTTCTTACCCAAGCCCCAAGCTGTATTCTGACCCAGCAGCAGATACCTCCAGCCACCATGTACACATCCTGGAAGAGAAGCTTCCTATATTTAAGGATTCTCTATTTTGATTTTTTTTTGGTTTGTTTTCATTGTTGTAATTTTTAGCTAGCTTCAGAAAGCTGTATTTCCCTCCATAGTTTATGCAGGTGTTATTTGAAGAACAGAACCTGTGTCTTTTTGCCATCTTGGCACAGGTGGCTGTGGAAGGAGCCCTTGCTCAGTCATTGCAACCTAAGATCCATTTTCTTTGTGCCTTTTCAGTGACTAAAGTGGCATCTCCAAACAACTATGCTTTTATCACTCATATTTCTTTGAAAGGATTATGTGAGAATTTCTAAGTCCCACCTGCTAAAATATGAATCACAACCCTTGCTACAGCTGTACAAATGATTGTGCTGTATGTGAACTTCCCTGGAGCACAGGAATCCCAGGAGGATTATATGCCTTCATGGCCTCATGCACCTAAACACACTACGCAGCCATTTATTCTTGGGTGTCCACTATCGTCTGTAAATACAGTTGTCTGTCTAACTACTTTCCTAGTGACTCGCAGGTGAGTATAGTCTTGTTCCACTGATCATAGGGTTTCCCAAAGATTTTCTCTATGGTATACGCTCTATATTCATTGAGATTTAAAACAAACAGGCTATTCTTATCATTGATTTTTTTTTTTCTGTTCTGTACACCTAAAGCAAGAAACATAAATTGACATGAATCAGGAGCAGGGATGGGAGGGGAGATAATTGCTCTAAGAAAAAAAATTACATAGTGATTTAAAATATTATTCAACCAAAGATTACATTTCTCTCATCTAAATTCTACTCTGGTTATGGGACTGTTTTACTTAAATGAATTTGAGAAGATAATACTCCAAGGTACTCTCGTGAATAAGTGGCAGAAATGAATAGAGAAGTCTCTTTAATAAAAAGCTTCCCATACCAACTCGATCTAGGGTTTCTGTCAACAAGGTAAACAGAATATGAGACGGCAGTTAATCAGAACACACATACAAATCCCTGCAGAGACAGTGTAACAACAGTGACATAAATCGGATTTCTACTTCGTAAGCACTTACTAGGTGCTGGTTTTAAAACCTGTATTCTTTATGTATATTGTTGCATTCTTTCCTCATAACAGTCATGATTGATGCTATTCTCAGCCTCATTTTACATAAGAGACAACCAAGATAAATACAGTTTTAAAATATTTCTCAAAATTCACAAAGACAGTGAGTGTGCTAAATGTAAATTATGTGCACTTTATGTAGTTTTTCTTATTCATTCTTCCTTACATCACCCAGATGATGTTATTGTCAGTCACATTTCACATTTCTAAACACCAAGGATCTTAGAGGTTAAAACTTTACTCAAGCTGATAATGATTTTTAGTGTTAGAGCCAAGATTCAAATCCAGCCTTAATGAACTCTAAAGCTTGAGCATTTAATGATCATATACTGCTTCCAAAGTCAGAATATAGATGTTGAACTGTCTCATATATTTACACATATTTAAAATTAGACATTGTTTTTGTTTGGGTTTGTTTTCATAATCTAGTCTCTGCAAGGCTCCTAATGAAAAATCAGGTGCTGTAAGTCTCTGTATCATCCTATGTTTTACATTGCCACGTTAAGACCCCTGTGTTCATCTGCACCCAATAATCAGATGCTGTATCTTCAGTGTAAGTCAAAAGAAAAACTAGATGACAATTTTCCAAGTTAGTGTCTCATCTAGGTGCCAACTGCACTGTGACCACACAGTTTTCTAATCACTCATCCATGTGTACCAGTTGAAGACAGGCCTCCCATGTACAGAGTTCTCAATTTTTCATGTTGTTTTGTTGTTGTTATTGTCCTGTTTGACTGGTAAATTCCAAAATTCTATACTTTCTAAGAGTTTTATATGTCGTATAGAGCTACCTATCATGACTGTTTGCCATCTTGCTTCAGGTGGATAGACAGAGGCTATGCCTAGTGAAGTCATTATCTGCTCTGATCTTCTCTGCTATTTCAAGGACAAAATTGGACATCCCAGGACAGTCAGTTTTCTGACGCATAATGACTTGAAAGAAAGTTAATGACAGTTTCAAAGTTCCCAATTGCCTAAATATGTGATACAGCAATTTCTGCAGCCATAGGAATCATTATGCTGTGCCTAAAGACCCTAGGACAGGGATTCTAGAAAGAGGCACGTGTCTCCATGGCCGCCGATGCTTAATAACACAGTGCATTACTTCTGCTTTGGTGACCAGCCCAAAGGTTGTCTCACCACTCACTCTAAGATTCACCAGCTGAGCAGGAAAGCCTTGTCCTTACTCATCATGGTTTCTCCCGAAGATTTTGTATATGATATGCGTTCATTGTGCTTTTGGATTCAAAACCTGAAGAAGACAGAAGCATGACTTTAAGTCACGACTCCTCTAAAGCATAGATCATATAATGCCTGAATCATGATCGGGTATGGTAGCAGGGATTATTTACTATGAGAAAAACAATCAGCTACTATATTAAAATATTACTCAACGAAATCTACAATCTGCTGAAATCCAAATTCTGATCATCTAAATTCTGCTGAAATAATGAGAATATTTGTTTCAACTTATTTTGAAAAGAAAATTACTCAAGACAGTTTTATCAATGCTATTAGGCTGCCACATTGTAGAAGGGAATAAAGAGGCTTTTTTGATAATCTTCCTATACCCCCTCAATCAGGAGCTCCCTACAACTGGGTCAACATAAAGCATTAAATATCTTTAAATAGGGCAGACATTAAAAAAAATGCACAGAACATAAAATAACAATAAAAATATTGTTCTGCTTATTGAGGATTTATTGGATGCTGGTCTGTAAAAACTGTGTTTGTTACAAAATTATGCCATATATTCGTCATTGTATCTCCATAAAGATAAAATTTTCATCTCATTTCACATATGAGATTCATGAGATACAAAGAGGTTAAAAATACCATTCAGGCTAATAAAAATAATTAGTGTTAGAGTAAGGATTCATATCTAGTTTTAGTCAAGTAAAAAACTTTGGTAATCATGCAAATATGTTTCTTCCAGTATGGGACAGTATATATTAAAATTCTGTCATATATCCATAAATATTCATATATGTAGTGTTGAATTTTGCATTTGTTTTCATAATCCAGATGCCACAAGCCATAATAAGGTGCATAACGGGCCTATAGGGTTGGGTGTTCGAAACCATAACAAGCAGGTTTTATAGCCCTTTTTTCAATCTATTTAAAGACCAGAGAAATATATTTTATAGACGGGTCTCTATATATTGGAGATGGGTCTCACTCTGTCACCTAGGCTGGAGTGCAGTGGCGCAATCAAAGCTCACTGCAACCTCAGACACCTGAGCTCAAGGGATCCTCCTGCCTCAGCCTCTCAAGTAGATGGGACTAAAGGTGCACGCTACCAGGCCTGGCTAATTTTTTAAAATGTTTTGTAGAGATGAGGTCTCGCTATATTGCCCAGGCTGATCTTGAACTCTTGGCCTCAAGTGATTCTCCTGCCTCAGCCTCCTGAGTTGCTGGGGTTACATGCACAAGCCACTGCATGCAGCTTAAATGTTCTTAAAGTCTTTCATTAGTGACATTAGGGGAAGTCACACATGATTTTCCAGACACCCTCTATCCTTTCTTTAACAAGGTATAAAAAGACAGGTGCTGGGAATGCCCTAGTGCAATTTGGAATGATCCTAATTACTGTTGGGAATCCTGAAGGATTCTGAATATCTGATGCACACACACCACAGGACCAACAGAATCCCGCCCCTGGAACTGTGCTTTCAGGGAATGCTTCCAGCAAAGGGAGGATCAGTATGCCCAAACAGCCAACACGTGAGTTTCCTGGAACCTGAAGTGCAAATTACAGGAGTCAGTTTGTGTATTTGCTTGATGAGAATGGCTTCTATCACTTTGGTTAATGTTGTTCTAAAATTTGCTGCCCTTATAAACTGAGAGGGTTATTTAACAAAAATAACCTCAATGGAGGGGCTTAACCAAGTTGGCCTAGATGGATTTTCAGCAGAAATAGAGCCAGGACTCAATCACACACCAATAAAATTTCAACCAACAGGATGAAGGCTATAATACTGGTTTGTGAGTGTACAGTTGAAGGAGTTAGGATATCTAAATTGACACTCTTCTTCCATAGAAAATACCAGAGAGATGACAGTGAGAACAGAATAAAAGGAAAAATAAGAAAACCAAACCTATATAGATACAGACATGGATACATTAGGTTTTTGTTTGTTTGTTTGAGATAGAGTCTCGCTGTCACCCAGGATGGAGTGCAGTGGCATAATCTCAGCTCACTGCAACCTGTGCCTCCCGGGTTCAGGTGATTATCCTGCCTCAGCCTCCCAAGTAGCTGGGACTACAGGTGTGCACCACCATGCCAGGCCAATTTTTGTATTTTTAGTAGAGACGGGGTTTAACCATGTTGGCCAGACTGGTCTTGAACTCCTCACCTCAGGCAATCCTCCCGCCTCGGCCTCCCAAAGTGTTGGGATTACAGGTGTGAGCCACTGTGCCTGGCCGGGTTCTATCTCATTCCGAAAACCACAAGACAGAAAAGACTCAATCTTTTCCTGAGAACCTGGAGGCCAGAATCACCCCAGTTGATGACTTCAATAGAATAAAGTCTTCTCAAGACTTGAAACTGCATCTGCAAACTTCTGGCTTCAGAAAACCTCCAGGAGTGAGCCATCCTCAGACTTCACAGAAAATTACATAAACCCCATCCAGCCATTTCTTAGCCAAATCACTAGCTTACTATTATCATCCTTTGTGCCTCTTCAAAGGTGTATTTGCATTGTATAATGCAATAGGAACCATTGCTGAAGAGGTACAAATTAGTACAGACATTTTGAAAACCAATTTGGTGCTATCTTAAACCTGAAAACATGCATACTTTACCAATGCTGCAAATCCAACTGGGCATATGAATAAATAAAATGTATACAAATAGTCACAGCAGCATCATGTGAACTGGAAAAATCTTGGAAGAACCCATGACGTATGTCAAGAGAATGGGTAAATTAGGGAACATGATGTTGAATTGAAATTAAATAAGCTGCAGATGCATGCATCACAGATGCATATGAGGCATATAATAATTGGAAAAAGCAAATCACAGTAAATTTTAAATAGTATAATAACATTTTTGTAAGCTCTGAAACTAATAAAACTAAATATCATATTGCTTAAGAATAAATGCCTTGTGTGGTAAAAGCTATTTTTAGAGCTATTCATCATGATTCAAGACTGTCCTTACCTCTGGGAGCTAAAGCTGATAGAGGATGAGTTCAGAGAGAAGCATGTTGTTAATCTTTTCTTTCTTAAATTGTTTGAGTGTTTTCATAGCTACTCATGCTACGAAGTATGTAGTTTTAAACACTGAACAAAAAGTTTTATGTTCTAAATTTAGAAATATACTCCTTTCAATAAGATTCCATTAATACATGTGGCATACTTAAATAGAGAAACATTTTTAATGAAACGATTTTCATCTCACCTTGATCTGGGGTATCCATCAACAGAGTCAACATAAAGCATGGAAAATGTGTGCATCAGGCAGAAATTCAAATCCTGCACAGGCCATTATTAACAATGGCAATAATTATATTTTTGCTTGTTGGGCATTTACTAGGGTCTAGGCTCTAAACTTATTAGCTATGTATATTATGTAACTTATTCTTCATTACAACCCCATAAATATGATATTGTCAGTCTCAATTCACATATGAGAACACTAGCGTTCATAGTTTTGGAATAATGTTTCTACCAGTGTGAGAGAGAAGATTTAAATTGTCTCCAGTATATTTACATGTGTGTGTACACTAACATTTCAGAATAGACAGTGTCAGGCTTGGGTTTGTTTAATAGCCTGAACTCTGCAGCCTTTCAGTGATGGAGGAGGTCCACGAGAGTGGCCAGAGGCTGTTCTCATCAGAGAGCCACAGCACTGCAGCAGGCTCCTGCAGCCCTCTCACCTACCACTTTTTCAGCTAACGGTGCGATAGAATTATATTAGTGAAAGCCAGAAGTGAGAAAAACAGTGACAAATGGACATCACATGTAAATGGTTAGAAATGGGTTTTCACTATTATAATTAATGGTATTCAAAGTATATGATTTTGCAGACACTCTCTGTCCTCACTTGAACAAAGTGTAAGAAGCCAGCTACTGGGAATTCCCCAGGTGGAACGTGGAACCCCTGTGATTACGATTGAGAATCTTGACGATTTCAGTTTGCCTCATATAGACAGCAAGGGCAACATAATCCTGACTCTGGAACTGTAGCTTTGAGAGGATCCTCGCAGCAAAGATCAGTTTGCTGAACAAAAAGATGGAGAGGTTGGTGTACTAGAGCCTGAAGAGCAGATAACTATTACCTGTATGTGTACTCATTTGATGAGACAGGTTTACTTATAAATACTCCTCAGTTTGGCTGATTTTACTCTGAGTCATGCCCCCCTCATCACCAGGAAGAGTTATCTACCAGAAAATGACATTAAGTGGTCTCAGATCAGCATACAACACAGATAGATCCAAGAATCTAAGGCCAGTGAAAGAAACTTCAGTCATCTGAATCTTGACCATTTCAGACTGAAGACTATAATCCTGGTCCTGTGTAGGCTGAAATGTGGGCTGAGGAAACTAAAGTTATGTCAGTATCTAGACACATTAGCAGAGGGAAGAGCCTATAAAAAGGGGGATTTTGAAAAAATCATATATGGAGCCCATACCTACTCGTTAATAGTTCAGACCCATTTTTTTGTCTTCTACTTCAAAGACGTAAGTGAATATTCCTGGAAAATTCTGATTTCTCCTACATACTGGCTTAAAAGGGACATGTGATGTTTTCTTAGCTCCAACCCTTCTAAATAAGCAATGTGTCCATTTCTGTAGCCATAGGAGTTATTCTGCTGCACCTAAACCTCCCTTAGCTTAGTAATCTCAGCCAGGATCATATGTCTTCTACCTCCGGTACAGCCATTTTCCCTCTGGTGTCCAGCCAGCCCCATAGGAGGCAAAACCTGTCTGACTACCCTCTATATGATCCAGTAGCTCTGCAGGAAAGCTTTATTCTTATTGATGATAGGTTCTCTCACAAATTTTGTGTGTGATATGGATTATTCCTGGTTTTGATTGGAAACCCAAAGCATAACAATTTTATATTTGATATCTTCTGCCATGTCTCCCTTAAAATAAACAACAAAATGATTTGAATTATGAATAGGAATAATTGCTATTTTTTCCTGAATAATAAATCCCCCAGTATTACTATACCAATGTGTTCATCCTCTATATTCCAGTTTCTTTGCGATCCTTTCTCCTTTGCTCTCTCACCATACATCAGAGTTCAGTTTCCGTATCCATGCTCTTAACCACATCGGGGGTTTGGATACTTCTTTTGATGTCAATTTTTTCCATCTCAGTTCTGTCCCCAGATATCTTCAACCACAAGGTACCAGTCTAATCTATTCCTTGAGCAAGTTCTCACTAATACCCTCCTCCCAGAATAGATCATATTTTCTCATTGTTTGCCTTCATAGGTACCTTTCTATTTCTTTAGAGCATTTATCATAGCTATAATAAACCTATGACTTTCTTCCCTACTCAGCAATAAATGTAGATTATAGATACCCTTTCCTAGGGGAAGACAACACAGGGGTGGGAAAGTGAGTTTACACTTGTGTGTTGTCAACACTTACCCAGCTTGCCTTTTGTTCTGCCCTGATATCACCCCCTGTGTTACCTACAATCCAGCGTTATGGGGCCTATACCCAAGGCAAATGGGCAGGGAAGGTATGGGCAGGGAAATACTGACCCATGGCAACTTGAGGGATAGGGAACACTAAGATTTACATTATTATTCTCCAATATCATTTCTCACCCAAGCCCCAAGCTGCCCCCGGCCCAGGTTGCAGACCTGAGCACCATCACACATGTCAGTTGAGGACAGGCTTTCTACATGTGGGTTTTCTCAATTTTTTAGACAGTCATTTTTTTGGTTATTAATTTCAAGATTTCATATTTCCCCCTATATAGTCTTTCCTGGTTCTTCTTGGGCAGAACTAGCTGCTTGTAACTGTTGCCATCTTGGGACTTACCATCAAGGCCACAGGTAGAGCCCATGTGTAGTCATGAAAATCTCAGGCCCACTGTCTCTCTGTTACTGCAATGACATACATAGACATCATAAGACAACTACTCTGTCCATGCATACTGGCTTGGAAGTGACACTTTCTAAGACCTTGCCTGCCTAAATATGCAGCACAATCATTTCTACTTGCATAGGAATCATTCTGCTGCTCTGAAAGCACAAGATCCAAGGCAGACTCATCCACCTAAACATACACCACGTAGTCATTTCTTCTCTGGGATCCAGCCATCTTCACAGGAGGCCTGCAAAAATGGTGTCTGACCAATCAGTCTGTGATTCGCAACGTAAGCCGGGAATCCTTGCTCTTATACATCACAGCTTCTCCCAAGTAGTTTTTCTATAATAGAGTTCTTTCTGACTTTTTAATTCAAAGCCGGAAACAGACTATTACCTTTGATTTATGCTGTTACGTATCCTGAAGTGAACAGTACACAAGGGCATAATTCATGAACAGGGTAGGGTAGAGGAGGATTTATTCTGAGGGAAAACAAATGCTTGCACTTTTAAAATATTATTCAAACAAAGATTATAATTTCATCATCCAAACTGGGCTATTGTGATGACAGTTTAAGATTTCACTTATTTTTAAAAGATTATATCTCAAGACAATCTTGTCAATAAAATTACATTGCTACACATGGCAGATCTGAAGAGAGGGGCTTCTCTCCTATTATGCTTCCTATATTACCTCCATACAAGGTTTCCATCAACAAGGGCATCATAAAGCATGAAATATCTGTTCACCGGAGCAGACATGCAAACCCCTAATAGATCGTGGAAAAATAATAGCAACAAAGATTTATTTATTGAGCATTTACTGAGCTCTGGACTCTAAAACCCATTCTTTGTGCACATTACCTAAATTATTCTTTATAACACCATAAAAAAATGCTATGGCTAGTCCCATCTCACATGTGGGAAAACTGAGGTGCAAAGAAATCTTCCTCAGGGTCACACAGATAGTATTAGAGTCAGGATTCAAATGCAGCCTTATTGAACTTAAAATGTTAACATTTAAAATGTGAACCTTTAATGAGCATAGATTGAATCCACAGTAGGTGTGCAAATGTTAAAATGTCTGCAGTTTATTTTTAAACAATTTTGAAAATACAGTGTTTTGTTTGGGGTTTATTTCCATAGTCCAGGTGCTCAGTGGTGGTCAGAGACTGTTCTAATCAAGAAGCTGTTCTCCATGTGAGCTCACTACAAGCAGTTCTTTTGTGTACCTCTCTATCAACAATTGCCACTTAAAAAATTAGGTTACTGAATGGGAAAACTGCTAAAATAATGTGCCACATTGGCCAAATAGGATGAATATTTTTTGGACTTCCATTGGTTTAATTAAAAGTAGTCAAGGTATGTGATTTTAGAGATATTCCCCAATTTTACTTGAAAAATGTATAAAAATATAGCTAATGGGAATGCTTTAGGTGGAATATTAAATTCTTCTGAATACAGCTAAAAACTCTGAAAGATTCTGATTGCCTGATCCATACTGTAGTGATCATAGAACCTTCCCTGAGGAATTGTGAATTTGAGAGAATCTTCTTATTATGGCTATGATCAGAGATCCCTAAAGGATGGAGATCTGGGTTTCTTGTATGCTGAAGAGCACTTGAGAGAGACTGGTTTGTGTATCTAATTGATGAGAAAGGCCTAGTTAATAAATGTCCATAAATGTAGCCAACTTTATTGCAAGCCATGCTGCCCCCAAAATAGCCCTAAGAGTTGTACCTGACCAAATAACTCAGTCCAGTTTTACAGGACGTGAAGACTGAGTATTCCATCCCCAGACAATGCAATTTCAGTTATCTGAGTTTTTAATCCTGACTGGGATGAGAGAAGGCTGAGTGATAGAAGTATCTGAATATGTGGTATTATTCCTCCTGCAACTCAGGGAAAAACAGAGAAACTGGCAAAGTGAACATCCTATTTAAAAAAGAAAAAAGGAAAAGATGTGTTTCATCTGATCTTGAAAAACATTAACTAGAAAAAAAGAACAAACATCTATTTTCCTTTAGAAAAGTGAAGACACAATCTCCAAAATGAATGACTTCATGAGGATGCAGATACTGAAGGAAGGGAGTCATTTTCCAGGACCGTTCATGACCAGCATAGGCCCAGCTGAGAGCCATCCCCACACTCCTCAGATGCCTCCATCAACACCAAGCAGCAGTTTCTTAACCACGGTACAAGTTCCCTCTTCCCAATACATTCCCCTCACTACAATGTAATGACAAGGATTAACACAACCTTGAAAGCACCTCACCAATCCCCTACTACATACAATGCTTTAATTTAACCAAATCAGTCATTTATTTATCAAGTGTGTATTTTGAGGTCCTATCCAAAATTAAAATTCTATTTTTATCATCTCTATTCCATAGCAGGTATAATTAGATATCTTTTTAATTTTATTTTCCTTTTGGCTTACCTTTTTGTTTTTCCCTCAATACACCACGAAAATAATACTTTAAGGTAGAACAAGGTGGGAAAAAACAGAGCCAACCATAACACTATCACTGATTCTTTCTCTTTCATTTATTATAACTCAAATAATACCATCTTTAAAAATTTAGGAAAAGAAGGTACATAAGCAAAAATAATTAATTTTTAACTATCAGAAATCTTTATCTAATGCCACATTTCAGTACATGGTCTTTCTGACTTTACACCTTTCATTATGTATATACAAAGAGTCTTATTATATTCTCTCAGAGTAAATCACATTACGCATATTTTTCTATAACTCATGCTTTTTATTAATATATCTTGAACTGCCATTCAACCATACAATATAGATTTAAATTACTTTATTGTACCAGAAAAATTGCATGGTTATTCCATACATTATAAAATGATCCTACGTTATTTGGCTTATGTTGTTTCTAGTATTCTGTGAATTTACAATGAACATAGTAAGAACAAATGTCTCTCAGATCTTCTTTCATTACCCTCAGAGTAGCTTTATAATTATTTCCTTAGGTCCTGTGCACCTTGTGTCAGGGTACTAATGTCATGGCTATTGTAAGGTGATTTGATACTGATTAACTTCATTGGGAACGGGTTTCCTAATGTTATGGAAAATTGGCCACATTGATGAGTTTTGTGTGTGATATGCGTTATTCCTGGTTTTGATTTGAAAACCAGAAGGATAACATTTTTATATTTGATATCTTCTACCATGTCTCCCTTTAAATAAACAACATACAATGATTTGAGATATGAACAGGAATAATTGCTATTTTTTCCTGAATAACAATTCCACCAGTATTATTATTACCAATATGTTCATCCTCTACATTCCAGTTTCTTTGCAATCCTTTCTCTTTTGCTCTCTCACCATACATCAGAGGTTAGTTTCACTATCCATGCTCTTAACCACATCAAGGGTTTTGATACTTCCTTTGATATCAAATTTTTCCATCTCAATTCTGTCCCCAAATAAGTTCAACCACGAGGTACCAGTCTCATCTATTCCTTGAGCAAGTTCTCACTAATACCCTCCTCCCAGAATAGATCATATTTTCTCATTGTTTGCCTTCATAGGTACCTTTCTATTTCTTTAGAGCATTTATCATAGCTATAATAAACCTATGACTTTCTTCCCTACTCAGCAATAAATGTAGGTTATAGATACCCTTTCCTAGGAGAAGATAACACAGAGGTGGGAAAGTGAATTTACACTTGTGTGTTATCAACCCTTATCCCAGCTTGCCTTTTGTTCTGCCCTGATACCTCTGTATGACCTACAATCCAGCGCTATGGGGCCTACACCCAAGACGAATGGGCAGGGAAGGTATGGGCAGGGAAATACTGACCCACGGCAACTTGAGGGATAGGGAACACTAAGATTTACATTACTATTCTCCAATGTTGTTTCTCACCCAAGCCCCAAGCTACCCCCGGCCCAGGTTGCGGACCCGAGCACCATCCACACACGTCAGTTGAGAACAGGCTTTCTACATACAGGTTTTCTCAATTTTTTAGACAGTCTTTTTTTTTAGTTATTAATTTCAAGATTTCATATTTCCCCCTATATAGTCTTTCCTGGTTCTTCTTGGGCAGAACTAGCTGCTTGTAACTGTTGCCATCTTGGGACTTACCATCAAGGCCACAGGTAGAGCCCATGTGTAGTCATGAAAATCTCAGGCCCACTGTCTCTCTGTTACTGTAATGACATACATAGACATCATAAGACAACTACTCTGTCCATGCATACTGGCTTGGAAGTGACACTTTCTAAGACCTTGCCTGCCTAAATATGCAGCACAATCATTTCTACTTGCATAGGAATCATTCTGCTGCTCTGAAAGCTCAGGATCCAAGGCAGACTCATCCACCTAAACATACACCACGTAGTCATTTCTTCTCTGGGATCCAGCCATCTTCACAGGAGGCCTGCAAAAATGGTGTCTGACCAATCAGTCTGTGATTCGCAACGTAAGCCGGGAATCCTTGCTCTTATACATCACAGCTTCTCCCAAGTAGTTTTTCTATAATAGAGTTCTTTCTGACTTTAATTCAAAGCCGGAAACAGACTATTACCTTTGATTTATGCTGTTACGTATCCTGAAGTGAACAGTACACAAGGGCATAATTCATGAACAGGGTAGGGTGGAGGAGGATTTATTCTGAGGGAAAACAAATGCTTGCACTTTTAAAATATTATTCAAACAAAGATTATAATTTCATCATCCAAACTGGGCTACTGTGATGACAGTTTAAGATTTCACTTATTTTTAAAACATTATATCTCAAGACAATCTTGTCAATAAAATTACATTGCTACACATGGCAGATCTGAAGAGAGGGGCTTCTCTCCTATTATGCTTCCTATATTACCTCCATACAAGATTTCCATCAGCAAGGGCATCATAAAGCATGAAATAGCTGTTCATCAGAGCAGACACGCAAACCCCTAATAGATCGTGGAAAAATAATAGCAACAAAGATTTATTTATTGAGCATTTACTGAGCTCTGGACTCTAAAACCCATTCTTTGTGCACATTACCTAATTTATTCTTTATAACACCATACAAAAATGCTATGGCTAGTCCCACTTCACATGTGAGAAAACTGAGATGCAAAGAAATCTTCCTCAGGGTCACACAAATAGTATTAGAGTCAGGATTCAAATGCAGCCTTATTGAACTTAAAATGTTAACATTTAAAATGTGAACCTTTAATGAGCATAGACTGAATCCACAGTAGGTGTGCAAATGTTAAACAATTTTGAAAATACAGTGTTTTGTTTGGGGTTTATTTCCATAGTCCAGGTGCTCAGTGGTGGTCAGAGACTGTTCTAATCAAGAAGCTGTTCTCCATGTGAGCTCACTACAAGCAGTTCTTTTGTGTACCTCTCTATCAACAATTGCCACTTAAAAAATTAGGTTACTGAATGGCAAAACTGCTAAAATAATGTGCCACATTGGCCAAATAGGGTGAATATTTTTTGGACTTCCATTAGTTTAATTAAAGGTAGTCAAGGTATGTGATTTTAGAGATATTCTCCAGTCTTACTTGAAAAATGTATAAAAATATAGCTAATGGGAATGCTTTAGGTGGAATATTAAATTGTTCTGAATACAGCTAAAAACCCTGAAAGATTCTGATAGCCTGATCCACACTGTAGTGATCATAGAACCTTCCCTGAGGAATTGTGAATTTGAGAGAATCTTCCTGTTATGGCTACGATCAGAGATCCCTAAAGGATGGAGATCTGGGTTTCTTGTATGCTGAAGAGCACTTGAGAGAGACTGGTTTGTGTATCTAATTGATGAGAAAGGCCTAGTTAATAAATGTCCATAAATGTAGCCAACTTTATTGCAAGCCATGCTGCCCCCAAAATAGCCCTAAGAGTTGTACCTGACCAAATAACTCAGTCCAGTTTTACAGGATGTGAAGACTGAGTATTCCATCCCCAGACAATGCAATTTCAGTTATCTGAGTTTTTAATCCTGACTGGGATGAGAGAAGGCTGAGTGATAGAAGTATCTGAATATGTGGTATTATTCCTCCTGCAACTCAGGGAAAAACAGAGAAACTGGCAAAGTGAACATCCTATTTAAAAAAGAAAAAAGGAAAAGATGTGTTTCATCTGATCTTGAAAAACATTAACTAGAAAAAAAGAACAAACATCTATTTTCCTTTAGAAAAGTGAAGACACAATCTCCAAAATGAATGACTTCATGAGGATGCAGATACTGAAGGAAGGGAGTCATTTTCCAGGACCGTTCATGACCAGCATAGGCCCAGCTGAGAGCCATCCCCACACTCCTCAGATGCCTCCATCAACACCAAGCAGCAGTTTCTTAACCACGGTACAAGTTCCCTCTTCCCAATACATTCCCCTCGCTACTATATAATGACAAGGATTAACACAACCGTGAAAGCACCTCACCAATCCCCTACTACATACAATGCTTTAATTTAACCAAATCAGTCATTTATTTATCAAGTGTGTATTTTGAGGTCCTATCCAAAATTAAAATTCTGTTTTTATCATCTCTATTCCATAACAGGTATAATTAGATGTTTGTTTAATTTTATTTTTCTTTTGGCTTACGTTTTTGTTTTTCCCTCAATACATCATGAAAATCATACCTTAAAGTAGAACAAGGTGGGAAAAAACAGAGCCACCCATAACACTATCACTGATTTTTCCCCTTTCATTTATTATAACTCAAACAATATGTTTAAAAATTTAGGAAAGGAAGGTACATAAGCAAAAATAACTTTTAACTGTCAGAAATCTCTATCTAATGCCACATTTCAGTACATGGTCTTTCTGATTTTATACCTTTCAGTATGTATATACAAAGAGTCTTATTTTCTCTCAGAGTAAATCACATTCACATATTTTTCCATAACCCATGTTTTTTATTAATATATCGTGAACTGCCATGCAATCATACAATATAGATTTAAATTATTTTATTGTACTAGAAAAATTGCACAGTTATTCCATACATTATAAAAATGATCATTTTTTATTTGGCTTTATGTTGTTTCCAGTATTCTGTGTATTTACAACGAACATAATAAGATCACATGTCTCTCAGATCTTCTTTCATTGCCCTCAGAGTAGCTTTATAATTATTTCCTTAGGTTCTGTGCACCTTGTGTCAGGGTACTGATGTCATGGCTATTGTGAGGTGATTTGATACTGATTAACTTCATTGGGAATGGGTTTCCTAATGTTATGGAAAATTGGCCACATTGATGAGTTCATTAGAGTTAAGTCCATCAGAGTTAAAGCCATCACTCACAGGTGGCCAATATCATCTTCCAGGTCAGATCACATTGCTGGTCTGTGGAGGCAGCCGTCCTGCCTCCATGTTCTGGTCTCTAAGACTCCCTTGATCCCTTCTTGCCTCCATACCTCCTCTTCCAGATCAGCAGCCCCTCCAAGTCAAAGTGCTCTCCTACAACTCAGAAACAGTGCAGGCCACTGTGGAGACAGGAGGTTAAAGAAAAGTCCCCTCCCGCCTAATTTTTCACGTCCATGACTCTTTTTAGTTCCTGCCATTATTCAGATTGGAGAGCCTCTAACCTGGGCCCCTTCAGATTAGGAAAGTTTGTGGAGTCTTCCAGTGGCTGCCTTAATGATGTTTTTGCAACATAGTGCTGCTTCATTAGAAAGGGCTTTGCAATTTGGTTCTTTAAAATGCCCCTATCTACTAGAATGAGTTCCAACTGAAATCTCATGAAATCTAAGGTTTGTGGTTGAGACTATTCCTTACTCTGAATGCTAGTAATATGATTTTTTTCTCTATTTTTATTTTATTTGGTCACTGTCATATTAGGCAGGAGGGAACTTTTCTTTAACCTCCTCTCTCCACAGTGGCCTGCACTATTTCTGAGTTGTAGGAGAGCACTTTGAATTGGAGGGGCTGCTGATCTGGAAGAGGAAGTATGGAGGCAAGAAGGGATCAAGGGAGTCCTAGAGACCAGAACATGGAGGCAGGACAGCTGCCTCCACGGACCAGCAGTGCTCAATATGACCTGACCTGGGTAGAAAGGAGTAAAACTGAGATTCTTCTAAAATCTCATCTCTTTTGGGAGTCACTTCATGGCAGCTTTGCCTTTACCCTCTGCTTCCCCATACCTCTTGATAGGGGATATGCCTTTTCTTTATGGGTTAATTCTCATTAAAAAAGAAATATTCTTCCTTCCACTCTCATAAAACAATGAAGATAATAAAATTACTCCTTACATCTTTTTCATTTCTTCCGTTACCTAAATCATACTATCTCAGTGATCTTTGTCTAGTTTTCCCTACTTTACCCAGTTAAGGTGATACTTGAGGACCAACACTGAGGCTGAGATGACTCTCACTAGAGAATGACCCTGTTTTTCCTGTTTTAATTGTGCCTATGTTTTGGTCTCTACCTTCTAAGTTGAAACCAAGACTGAAGACTGAACCTGAAGAAGTTTCCATAGAAGACAGTGCCCAGAGTGACCTCAAAGAAGTGATGGTGCTGAACGCAACAGAATCATTTGTATATGAGCCCAAAGAGCAGAAGAAAATGTTTCATGCCACAGTGGCAACTGAGAATGAAGTCTTCCGAGTGAAGGTTTTTAATATTGACCTAAAGGAGAAGTTCACCCCAAAGAAGATCATTGCCATAGCAAATTATGTTTGCCGCAATGGGTTCCTGGAGGTATATCCTTTCACACTTGTGGCTGATGTGAATGCTGACCGAAACATGGAGATCCCAAAAGGATTGATTAGAAGTGCCAGCGTAACTCCTAAAATCAATCAGCTTTGCTCACAAACTAAAGGAAGTTTTGTGAATGGGGTGTTTGAGGTACATAAGGTAAGCCCACACCATTGTTTTATAAAATTTCTCCTGCAACCTCCAATTTTTAAAGTCTTAACTTGTCAACTGGAGTTTGGTCAACTTACTCAACACAGAAAATCAACCCCTTCACCCTTCCCCCAGCACTAGAGATAATTGAATAGAGTTCATTTCAGGATATGGGGTACGTTATATTGTAACATTCCTCTTCTTAAGGTATCATCATGCAAGTTATTTAGACAGTCACTAGGAAACTTGGCATTTTATTAGTTTTGATGATCTATTCAGAGCCACCCTTGTCCAGGACAGTGCAGAGTTTATATCAACACACATATCCTTAGGATTTTGTTTCTTTGAGTTCTTCTCCATCTGTATCAATGACAACTTAATTTAATTGTGAATAAAAGAGTTGCTCTCCCAAGCCTGAATCCTGATTGTGACAACCAGAGTAAGAAATAAAATAGACTACTCTGCTTTAGAATGCAGCTATGTCTAACAGTTAGCTAGAATTCTGATCATTTGGACTCCAAAGTTTCTTGCCTCTTCTCATTCATTAATTCATCAGGAGACTGTAGAGCAACTAACTTCTGCATTAAATAATAAGAGAAATACGAAGCAAAAAGACTAAAAAAGTCACGTAGCTTAACTGCTCAATTTATAAATGGGGCAATAAAATGCAAAAAAAAGAAAAAAAGCTTGGTGAATTCTTAGGCTTACAGTGTGCCTTTCAGTCTCTACACATCATGTAAATATTATGCTTAGCTGATTTAACTTCTTGTTTGAAGTACTGTTTCATACTCCATTATACATGTCTTCTAGGGTGGCTTACTTTTAATTGTGCTGTTTTCTCTACACTCAGTTTAAATGACTGTACATATATATGTGGTTGTAGAGTTAATGAATAATGAGCTACAAACCAGAACAATGTGACTAGATAGATAGGATGATCTAGATTTGAGATCTGGGCAGATTGGGAAAGAGTGACTATATGGAGAAGAAAGAAGTAGTTACATATTGAAATAACAGTCTACTTAATGAGGACGTGCAACATTCTTTCTCAAACTTACAAAGTGCCATAAAAAGCCTCTATTCTCTGCTCTTGGGCAGGTGTGAAAGAAACCTACCAAATTAATCAGATTTTTCTGTATCCAGGCTCCTTAAAAAATCCCAGCTGTGCTGATGTGGAAACAGGAAGAATTAGGAAAGTAATCAATTTTTTTTCCTAGAAAAAATCCAGCAGACAAAGAACTTCAACAAAAGAGGCTCAAGGGAGGAGTTGAAAGGCAGGATTCAAAGACCAAGTATCTTAAGCTATTTGGTACCTGTTATTCAGGACCTACAGCTCTGTTTACTCTATCAAAGACAAAAGTTTCCAGAAACACCCTGTATTTCTCATAGATTTGAAAATTATTGATCCAGTTTCAGAAGATAAGTGTTAATTTTCTTTTGCAGAAAAATGTAAGGGGTGAATTCACTTATTATGAAATACAAGATAATACAGGGAAGATGGAAGTGGTGGTGCATGGACGACTGACCACAATCAACTGTGAGGAAGGAGATAAACTGAAACTCACCTGCTTTGAATTGGCACCGAAAAGTGGGAATACCGGGGAGTTGAGATCTGTAATTCATAGTCACATCAAGGTTGGAACTTTATAGGAACATCATTTTTCCAAGTGGCGAATCATTTTGTTTATACTTTAAGAAGACTAGACTGCTACTATTACAGAGAGTCTAGCAAGTGGAAAAGGAACAAAGCCTTGCACTTTACTGGGTGTAAACTTCCCACCATTGTTTTTAAAGAAGGATACTTGTAATCATAATAAAAAAAATTACAGAGACTTTCAAAGGCCATGATACCTAAGTTAAATAAGAAAGAATTGGTTGCTTTTACCACAATGTGGAGATAATTTAATAAGAATTTGGGTTTGGTTAAGGCACATTTGTTTCAACTAGCTGGTTCTGTGACTTTCTAGTTGACTAAAGACTTACACTAGGAATCTCAGGTTCATCATTTGTGAAATGGGAGAAATACTGTCTACCATAGAGGGTCATCAACTTAGCTCACAGCAGCCCTGAATTACCAAGAATGCATCTGAGCAAATCAGATCACAAAGGTACCTGCCTTTAGTGAGATACATACACTGGTTTACATCAGACAGAGGTAGCTGGGTCTACATAACAAAGTCCATGCTTTTTGCCACACTGACCCATACATTCATGTGGGATTCTTGGAACACTAACAAAGGCTAATATTAGAAGGCAAATAGTTCAAAACAAAGGCTGACATATTCAGGCACACACATGCTCTCAGATTGCTCCAGTTCTCAGGACCAGCAGTCAAACATTTCAAACCTTCTTTGATAGCAATTGCACCAGGAATACCTTTTGTACTCTCCCCCTTCCTTCTGCCCAATGAAAACCCTCTCCTCAACTCTTGTCATTGGGTGCACCAGCTCCTTTCTCTCTCCTGTTGTTCCCTGACATCTCCTGCTCTTTCACTTGCACTCATGCTGAGTAGGAGTGAATATCTCATTTCACGGTCCAAATTAAACAGAGAGGCATGACTCAAAGGTCAAGAATTTATTAAGGGAGATAGATGAGAGCGAGAAAAGAATCATTTAGAAAGGAATAGGGGAAGAGATATGGTGCAGGGGGAGGAGATACAGTGTGATTGAAGGGAGAAATGTAGGATCATCAGCATCTCAACTGGTCTGTCTTTATCTCTTTCTCCTTCAAGGTCATCAAGACCAGGAAAAACAAGAAAGACATACTCAATCCTGATTCAAGTATGGAAACTTCACCAGACTTTTTCTTCTAAAATCTGGATGTCATTGACGATAATGTTTATGGAGATAAGGTCTAAGTGCCTAAAAAAATGTACATATACCTGGTTGAAATACAACACTATACATACACACCACCATATATACTAGCTGTTAATCCTATGGAATGGGGTATTGGGAGTGCTTTTTTAATTTTTCATAGTTTTTTTTTAATAAAATGGCATATTTTGCATCTACAACTTCTATAATTTGAAAAAATAAATAAACATTATCTTTTTTGTGAAAGGAATGCTTCCCCAGCAGTCTCTTTAATCCATCCATGAGTTGCTTAAAAGCAAATAGTCTGTGGTCTGCAAATCAGGGTGGGGCACACAGGCCTCAAGCAATATTTGGATTTATACTTTGGGTGTGATCTTTACCGGGTAAAGCCCTGATCAAGAATGAACAGGCTGTGTTCTGCTGAAAGAAACCAGGCTAAAGGGATAAGTAAGCGTGAAATCCAGTTTGTGGTTCAGTTGCCAAGTGCTGTGTTACTGTTTTAGCCCAGAGCAGTAGATATCTTTTCAGAATTGGTCTCCTGGAGGGGGCATAATTGGGTAATTTTTCTGCCAAATGAGGCACCTTCTGGTGATGTGCATGAAGGCACTTGTCTGTGTTAGAGGAATATCTGGGCCTGCCTGATGTGAAATATCTGGTTTTATGCATTTCCTCAAAACACCGACTGCTCTTCACGCACTTTCAAACCATATTCCCTGTTCTCGCAATCCACTATAGTGATCTGATACATTAGAAAGCTGCCCTAGGAAGAGCTGCATTAGGCAAACACTGAAGATAATTAATTTTATTCAGAATAGAATAGCAGAAAGTAAGTATCTAAAACTAAAATTTAGCTAAATTTATTGATTATATATTTGGTACCTGGTACTTGGCAATTATTTTGTGACACTTAATCTTCATATTAGTTCTAGAAGGTTGATTGTTTTCTCCTCTTTACTCACCCTATAATATGTGACAAACACGGAATAGAAAGGCAAAGTCACTTTCTTAATGACCCTTAGATGGTAAATTAGAGAGCTTGATTTAGAACCCAGGCTGCTCTTCTCGTTTGGGGTGTGTACGTTAGGAGAGGGTTGTGGGGATGTGGTGGAAGCTGTGAGGAATGGAATGGGGAAGTCTACTACTGTTGCAGGAATTTTCCTTTGTTCAGCTAAACATGGGAATCCTTATCATGGGGCCATGAAAAGTTAGGCTCGCAGACAATTTGAAGTGTGAGGAGGGCAGCGTTTATTGGGTGAAAAGGAAAAGAGGGAAACGGTCCTTCTGCAAAGCCAGACTCCCTGCTTGTGGGCTTCCCACCTGGCAGTTTGAATTTCAGGTTCCACCCAGGAAGAGGAGGGGCTGGGCTCTTCCCCACTGGAAATGGCGCAAACTTCTGTGGCTTCACCCCAGTGCACACTCCTCCCAGTGTGCAGGCTGGAGTTTCTCTGGGGACCCCTTCCCACCTGGCTGTCTCATTGCCCCCTCTAAAGAAATGCATCTAACTGCCATTAGAATAAGGATAAGGATAAGGACAAAGACCGATCTTAACTGCTTCCTGCTGACAGGGGGTGCTGTTTCGGCAAAACAGCAGTCAAAGTCCCTCAGAGGCCTATTTAAGGGTTCCCAGCAGAATGGGCCATTGTCCGCCTCTCCAGTTGCATGACTGGAGTTTGATGGCCTGAAGGCAAGAAGAGACAAATTGTGTTATTAGAAAACATGTATCTAAACAAGGGGAGGGGTAAGGACAGCTCAAAAATCCTGAGGCCTTTTATCAGTTTGCACAAGGAGAGGGAGGCCAAAAGCCCAACCGGCAAAAAAAAAAAAAAAAAAAAAAAAAAAAAAACTACCCTTTAGCTGCCATGTTGGGCTTCTGGGTTCCCTTCCCCTGAGCCCAATCCTAAGCTGACCAGTTTAAGGTTTTAAACTCTTCCCAGTTTGGAGGATGCATCTGACGGGAGTGTCCCGTAGTACGGAGACACAATTGCCTATCAGTGAAGAGAGAACTGAGGGGGGAGAAAGGAAAAATGAAAGGTGTTTTTTCAAAGGAGTCCCAAAGGTTCAGGATGCTTTCAAAAGGGGTACAGATTGAAAATGAATGGTTACTCATCTAAAAAGAGGGGAGCAGGCATCCCTGGTTCCCGTCTCTTCCTAGCAGATACCCATGGTACATGAGGGAGAGAAGGAAGAGCATCCTCTTTCCCTCTTCCATCCTCACATCCCCAAGTCCCAGCAACCTTGGCAGTCAGCACCATGGGTGGTAAAGCGGCTTGTACCCATGAAGCAGGGGAGCCTAGGGGATACCCATGTATGCCCTATTCTCCCCTGCTGTCAATAGCCTTGATTCCCTAGACCTAATTTATGAATTGAGTTTGGGACAAAATGTGTCTTGAAGGATGTTGCATGGACTCTTTATCATAAGCCGAATGCTAAACTGAAGCTGTGGAATTGAGTCCTCCTCCAACAAGGAAGAGAAAAAGATGTCTTGTGACACACCTAGATAACTGGTGGCTACAGTTAATGCTTGCTAGGATTTGGGTGCATGGTGCTTGGCTTTGGTTAGCTCCCTTGGTGTTACTTTCCCAAAGAGGAAACCTTCGAGTGATGGGCATCCTATTTATTCCCATCACCTGGCAGGATTTTGCAGGATTATTGCTCAGAACTAGGATGCTGACGGAGATTTTTACATTACCCATACCTTTTGTTCTTTCTGAGCTGTAGCTGGAGCTTGCTTGTTGGTTCACAGGAACAAGCAAGGTTCATCTAAACTGTAGGCAAAAACTTAAAAACAACTAGTGAGTTTAGAATTTAATGGCAAATGTATGATAAGTTTTGAAACACAATTTCTTTCTCTCTAGTCCTCATTTTTGGAAAAAACAAACAAAAAAACATAAATCATGATAGGACTGAGTTGTTTGCAAAATAGATTGTAGTCTTACACTTGGTCTGATTATTTGCATAAAGTGCAAGAGGAATAATTATTTCTACATAGGCCTTTTGGATTGGCTTTGATGGAACTGTTTCACAAGGAGTCTCAGATAAGACCTTTTAAAGCCAAGCCCAGTCATGGGTTTGTATCCTCAAATGCCTGTGAGTTGAGTGATTCTCTTCTCTTAAGGTCCCAAGATAAACTTGGAGTTCTTGGACCTGTTAGAAAGTGACATTCTTAGGCTGGGCACGGTGGCTCATGCCTCTAGACCCAGCATTTTGGGAGGCCAAGGCCAGCAGATCACTTGAGGTCAGGAGTTCGAGACCAGCCTGGCCAACATGGTGAAACTCCATCTCTACATACAAACATTAGCCAGGCGTGGTGGTGCATGCCTGTAGTCCCAGCTACTTGGGAGGCTAAGGCAGGACAATTGCTTGAACCCGGGAGGCGGAGGTTGCAGTGAGCTAAGATCATGCCACTGCACTCCAGCCTAGGTGACAGAGCAAGATTCTGTCTCAAAAAAAAAAAAAAAAAAGGAGTGGGGGATGAAGCTGGCCTCCTTGACCTGGGGAGGGAGAGACTTCATGGGCCCATGGCAGTAAACACAGCCATGTACCTGGGGCACCTTGGGATGTGTATCCCAGCCCCAGCAGGGAGGGGAGGGTGATGAGGAGCCACTGCTCACCGGTTCATCTGGAAAAAGGAAGTAAAAGGCCATGGAGACAGGTCGACCATCCCAACCCCTGGAAGCGACAACGGGGGTGGGGGCATGATTTCCCCTACCCTCAGAAGTCTGAGGATGAAAGGCTCAGAAAGGAGAGGGAAAAAGATTCCTTGGTTTGCAACTCACCCACCGATTCTCGAGCCCCATTTTGGGCACCAAAAATGTTGTGGGACTTTTCCTTATTTCAGCTAAAGACAGGGGTCCTTATCACATGGCCATGAAAAATTAGGGTCACAGACAACATGAAGCATGAGGAGGGCAGGGTTTTTTGGGTGAAAAGGAAAAGAGGGAAAGAGGGATGGTCCACAAAGCCAGAGTCCTTGCTAGTGCACTTCCCGCCTCACAGTTTGAATTCCAGGTTCCATCCAGGAAGAGGAGGGGCCAGGCTCCTGTCCACTGCAAATGGCGCAAACTTCTGTGGCTCCACCCCAGTGCACACTCTGCCCAGTGTGCGGGCTGGAGTTTCTCTGGGGACCCCTTCCCATCTGGCTGTCTCACTACTGCGAAGGTCCAAAGCTATCTATGCCCAATAAGGAAAAGAGACGTTAAAGTTTACCATTGTGGTCTGCCGTCAAAGAGTGAAATAATAAAAACGTACTGTTTTACACTACCTTTCTGCTTATGTGTCTTTCATTATAGTAGGCTTAGATGCCAATTAGACATTTTTATATTTTTTTGCCCAATGCTATTCTTATACACACACACACACACCAAACACACACACACACATATATATATCTGTGTATGTATATGTGTGTGTATATGTGTTTAAGATTATTTTGCTCATTTTGGGAAACCAGATTCTGAAGAAACTTCAGATGCTACAGAAGCCAGTTTTCTCATCTTTGAGAATACTGAAGTTCAGAGAGATTGAGTGAAGTGGTCAAAATCACAGTATCACTCAGCTAGTTAGGAACAGATGCCATACTAAGATGTCATAGACTGCTAAAACTGCCTCTAAATTCAAATTTGACTTAATGAACTCTAAGAAAAAGGACTGTTTTATACACAGATGATGTTTGTATTCTCAGCTAGTCTAATATTTCATATCACTTGAGGTAAGCTTTCTGTAATTGCCTATTCTTGAGTACCCTGGATGATGGTGATTTGGAGTTAGTGTCATTTAGGTGGGCTGCTACATCCCCACCTTTGCTTGCTTTCCTTAACATCATGCTGATTCCCCTTTGAACTGTACTTCCTAAGGACAATCTATCTTTAAATGAAATAAGAAAAAAATTACCCTCTGCTCAAAAGAATTTGCCTCTTCAATTTTGTTTTCACTTCAATAGCTTCATCCTCTAATGCCTTGATCGCACCGTGTCATATTTTTCCACCTTACCACATATCAGAGCTTCTCCATGGGACTCAAATCAAGCAGATGAGAAGCTGGAGCTTCCCCTAGATCTGTAGTGTGTAGACCAGAGAGGATAGAACAACTCACAGAGATGCTAATCTGTCCTCATAAACATTTTACAGACCAGTTTGTATCAAGTGGTTTTGAGGTATGCAATAGCACCAAAGCCGACATTTTAGGTTAAATACCTATATGTGGAATTACTGGGTCAAATAATATGAACATAATTACTAGTAATGTTGCCAAACTGATGTTTCAACTAACACTTCTGAGGACATTTTCCTTAATCATATCATCATCACATTCACAAATCCTGGACATTATTAACCTAACGGATAAGGAATATTCATTGTTTTAAAGTCCCTGATTTCTGTGAGTCTCTTTAAAGTTTCATCTTTCTTATTTATTATAAAAGCAATGAGTATTTATTCCAGAGAAATAAAAAAAAATCAGAATATCAAAAACATCCATAATTCTATCTTCCAACCTGATGCATGTTTTCCATGTTTATCATGGCATAATCTACAAACAATCATACTTATTTCTGTGAATTTTTACAAATGCATGTAGTCATGAAACTACCACAAAAGTTAAGATAGAGAATAGTTTCATCATAACAAAAATTTCCTTCCTGCTGCTTTGTTGCCGGCCTTCCTCTCAACTCCAAGCTCCTAGAAACCACTGATCTAGTCTTTACTATACTTTTGCCCTTTATGGAATGTCATAAAATGAAATTAAAATGTATGTAGAATTTTGAGTCTGGCTTCTTTCACTTAGAGTAAAGATCTATCCATGTAGATGTGGGTGTCAGTAGTTATTCTTTTTATTGCAGAGTACAATTCAATTATGTGGATCTACCAAAGTTTGTTTATTCATTTTTCAGGTGAGGGATAATCGAGTTTTTTGCACTTTTGCATAATTACAAATAAACTTTCATGAATATTTACATGCAGATTTTTGTGTGAACATACATAATTATTTCAAGTGGATAAAAAACTTACAGCAAGCTTGCTGTGTCATGTGGTAAGCATATGTTTAAATTTATAAGAAATTTCCAAACTCTTTTCTAATGTGACTTTTCATTCCCACCAGCAATAAGTAAGAGTTTCAATTGCTCTGTATCCTTCTCAGACCTTAGCATTGTAGATGCATATTAAGTTTTTAAAAATGGACAAACTCTTTTGCATAAAGGTTATACCATTTGACATTCCCACCAGCAGTGCACAAGAGTTTCAGTTTTTCCAAATCTTTGTCAGCACTTGGTATGGGTAATCTATTTTAATTTAAATTTTAGCTGTTCTAATAAATATATAATGGCATCTCACTGTAGTTTTAGTTTCCATTTCCTTAAAGATGAATTATGTTGAGTGTATTTTTATGTGCTTATTTGACATCCATGTATCATCTTTTTGCCCATTTTAAACATTTAATTGGTTGTTCTGCAATTATTGAATTTTGAGTGTTCTTTATAAATTCTGGATACAGGATCTTTTTGTTTTTTGAGACAGAGTCTTACTCTATCACCCAGGCTGGAGTGCAATGGCGCAATCTCAGCTCACTGCAAACTCCGCCTCCTGGGTTCAAGTGATTCTCCTGCCTCAGCCTCCCGAGTAGCTGGGATTACAGGTGCCCACCACCGTGCCCGGCTATTTTTTTTTTTTTTTTTTTTTTTTTTAGTAGAGATGGGGTTTCACCATGTTGGCCAGGCTGGTCTCAAACTCCTGACCTCAGGTGATCCACCCGCCAGGGCCTCCCAAAGTGCTGGGATTACAGGTGTGAGCCACCGTGCCTGGCCTGGATACAGGGTCTTCAGCAGCTGTGTGACTAACAAATATTAAGCCCCAATCTATGGTTTGCCTTTCAATGCTCTTAATGGTACCTTTTGAAGAACAGAAGTTCTTCATTTTGATGAAGTTCAAATTATTAAGCATTTATGTTATGTAGATTGTGCTTTTGGTGTGATATCTAAATCTTTAATCTTTGCCTACACCAAGATCACACAGATTTTCTCCCATGTTTTCTTGTAGAAGTTTTATGGTTTTAGCTGTTTATGAAAAGCCAATGATCTGTTTGGAGTTTATTTTTGTATAAAGAGTGAGGAATGGCTCAGATTCATTTTTTTAAGTATGGATATCTAATTGTTGTTGTAGCTTTTTTTTTAGTCTTTTCTCCACTGAACTGTGTTGTACTTTTGTAGAAATCAATAGACTGTAAATGTGCAAGCCTAGTTTTGGCTCTCTAGTTTTCCATTGGGCTTTATGCTTATTCTTTCTCCAATAACACAAAATTGTGTTATTATTTCTATACCTTTTAAAATATTTCTAAATCATTGCCCTATGGGACAAAATATACATCTTTAATTATTCAGTATCTACTTTCAAATAATACTGCGCTGCTTCACATGTTGTACAGGATCTTCTAACAGTGTACTCCTAATTCTTCCCTCTTGTATTTTGTGCAATTGTTGTCATATAGTTTACTTTTAAATTTGTATAAACATCATATAATACATTGATAAAGTATTTTCGCTTGAGACAAGGGATTGACAAACTAAAGGAGATAGTGGGACTGTAATGAATGAGAAACAGATGTTTATTGTGATCATCTGTTGATATTCTGAATTTGTTTATCCAGCAATTATTCTATCCTAATTTGGTGGAGAGAGGAGCCTGTGAACTGCAGCTTTCAGGTAACTTACAATCTGATTGAAGAGGCTGTATCACATATTCTTCAATTAAATGCTGCTTAGACCAGTTGGCTTGAATTGGTCCTTTTTACTTCTCTATGTTTTTTTTTTGGCCTTAATAACCTGGATGGAGAAAAAAAACATGCAGTCTGAGATGCAGTCGATGAGTGGCCCCTCCACTGTTTGCAGTCACTATGGCCTTCTGAAGTGTATGTATCATCTTCTCATAAAATTATTTTGTTCCCACCCTTCTAATACATTGGTCTGCCTTGGATCATACTCCTGAAGTGAATATCTGACCTGAGAAATACACTCCCACTTAGCAAGGTCACATACGCATATTTCTCAAATCTTGGCCTCCACTCTTACAGAGATAGCAGGCAGTGCAACCAACACTGAGACCTGGGGAAGAGCACCAAGTAGTGGCAGGACACGGGTAGGAGGGTGTGGTGGAAGGTCAAGAGTAGGGGTTTACATGGACTTAACTGCACTGGACTATGGTAGGTGCAGACGTGGTGGGACTGGCTAGGGAAATGTGTCCTCAAAGTATTTATTGTCTGTCTACTTTCAAAGACATTAGTCAGAATGACTTTTCCGACTCTGGGCAAGCTTTCTGCTTTAGACTTGTAGTATAAATAAGGAGCTCTTTTTTGGGCTCTGTGGGCACAACAATATGCGCCTCTGCCTTGAAAAGCCCATGTTCTCTTAACTGTGTATCTAGAATACATGTTTCCTAAGAGGGAGGTTCCTCAGTTCTGTGAGATGAACGTGTACTAAATATCAATGTCTTCCACTCTATATCCTGTTCAATGGCTCCAGTCCGGCTTTCTGATAGAAAACAAAAAATATCACCCCCTTGGAGAGTTGACTTTGTTCCATGCAGTTCCCACCTTTATGGTGCTATGAACTCCAGATGTCAGCTGTAGTTTTTCTCCATTTTTTGACAGTGTGAAGAATGTAAGTCGAACCTTATCTCCTTCCTTACATTTCATTGTGTCCTCGTTTCTAACCCCCAGTACTTCCATTTTCCCAGTGTTGTCACTTAGGTCAAATAATATGTTTTTCTTCTTTTCTGTTACCTATAAAAGAAAATCAACACCCAGCCTCTGATAATCGGATTAATGAATGCCGCATCAGTCACACATCAGACATGCCAGAAGAAGGCTCTAAAAAGAAATCAGTTGATTCTTGAACAACACAGATTTTACCTGTGCAGGTCCATTTATATGGGAATTTTCCTCTGTCTCTGCCACCCCAAGATGGCAAGACCAACCCTCCTCTTCCTCCTCAGTCTACTTAACATCAAGACAATGAGGATGAAGAACTTTATGATGATCTACTTCCACTTAATGAATAGTTAGTATATTTTCTTTTTTATAATTTTATTAATAACATTTTTCTCTAGCTTACTTTTTAAGAATATAGTATATAATATGTATAACACAAAAATATGTGTTAAGTGACTGCTTATGTTGTCCGTAAGTCTTCTGATCAAGAGTAGGCTATTAAGCAGTTAAGTTTTTGGGGAGTCAAAAATTATATGCAGATTATCAACTGCTCAGGGTCAGAAGCCCTAATCCCTACATTGTTCAAGGGACAACTTGAAAAAATGTTTCTGCTTTGAAACTAGCAGGTATATATCTAATAGATGTTAGCAAGTTCACACAGAGGAGGCAGACGTGTCTTACTTAGAACATGTTGTCTCCTATGCCTATCTTTCCAGTCCTAAATTCCCTTCCTTTAGGAGGAGGCCAGGGTGGCCCATAGAAGCAACAACTGCTGGATAGAGAAGATGGAGCTTCTCCAGGGCCAGCAGCCAGATTAGTCAAGGGAAAAAAGAAGACCCTGGGTTGGAAGAGAGCTATTTATTCTATTTGTTTATTTTTTGAAATGGAGTTTCGCTCTTTCACCCAGGCTGGAGTGCGATGGCGCAATCTTGGCTCACTGCAACCTCCAACGCCCTGGGTTCAAGCGATTCTCTTGCCTCAGCCTCCCGAGTAGCTGGGATTATAGGTGTCCGCCAATACACCCGGCTAATTTTTGTATTTTTACTAGAGACAGGTTTTGCCATGTTGGCCAGGATGATCTGGAACTCCTCAACTCAGGTGATCCATGCGCCTTGGCCTCCCAAAGTGCTAGGATTACAGGCATGAGCTGCCGCGCCCAGCCTGAAGAGAGCTATTTAAAACAAGTCCAGGAGAGACATGAGGTAATGATGCAAGACCCAGCCAAGAGTCTAGTAAGTAATCAAAGACAAGAAACAATTCACAATCAAGTCTAGATCCAAAGGGAACAGGAGGTTGGTCAGTTATTTAGGAGATTGATCGTATTTTAGGTTTAATTTTATGGACTAAATCAGTATATATGAGTGGATAGCTGGCCAGATTGAAAGCTGAAAACTGGGATAAAGAACATGACTTTCCTATCCAAGGTCATTTTACACTTGAGTTTTCCAGGAGGACTGGAGAGTCTTCCTATCAATTCCTTCTGAAACTAACCCAGGGCAGCAGAGGTTATTCTGAGGCTCTGAATGCAGGGGCAGCAGGTTCTCTCTCTATGGTTCTTTAGGTCCTGCCCTAGACCAGAAAAAGTCATCCCACAAGGCTAGTTCCCTGAGGCTCAGAATCATAATAAATACTTTATTATTTCTCACTTCTAATAAGTATCCTGGAGGAGCGCCTCTGCCCCGCGGCCCTGTCTGGGAAGTGAGGAGCGCCTCTGCCCGGCCGCCGTGCAACCTTCCAAGTGTGAAGTGACAGCCTTGTGTGTGATCTTTTCTGTCTTCCCCCAGTTTGCATTTTTGACATTAAAGTTTACTTTTTAATTAAAAAAAAAGTCTCCTCAGGCTAACTCTTTCTTCTGTTTTCTTCATTTAATCACAGTTCTTTAATCCTGCCTTGCGTATTGGTTTTTCAGGTCATTAATCTGGTTTATTACTCAACTACACTTACTTTGCATTCACAACAATAGTCACTTAAAATAAAGATAATCACAACTATAGTCACTTAAAATAAAGATAATATGTACAAAGTACAAAAATAATGCAGAAATAAAAATTATGTGAATGAACTAATTCCTTTTTCAGAGGCTACTGGGGTAAGTTGAAATAGGATCGTGACATTTTTGACAATAAAAACAATTTTTGAGTTTTTGTATGAATTTTGGCATGTTTACTCTGCAGCTCTTTAGAACTTTGTATTTTTTTATTTTGTCTATATAGAAAGACATTAAAACCATTTCCAAAGTTTCTTTAAGATCAGATGGGAAATACGTTATTCTTACTAATCAATATGAAATTAGATATGAAAACTTACCTTCTGGACTACAAACAAACCATTCACAATTGTTCCAAGGGGCTGAGTTTGAAGCGTGTTGATCTTCGGGGTTTCACCAGCTTTTCTGATAATGTTCAGCGGGACATTAACCTTTTGGTCAGATTCAGCATCTAACACACGTGAGGCGCTATTTACCTCTAAGAAACCACTGTGCCGATAATATCTTGCTATTATAATTATTCTCTTTGGAATGAATTTATCTTTCAGCAGTGTATTAAAAACTTTTACAAAGAAGAATTCCTTTTCTGTAGCCACTGTAGCATGAAACATCTCCTGCTTGCCTTCTTGGGTCTCAAACGTGAAGGGCTTCTTTGCTTTCAGTACCATAACTGGCAAACAGCGCTTCTGAAACCCTTCTCTGATAGATTCCTGCTGGGCCACCATCTGTTTCTGTTCAGGCTGAAGACAAGAGAAGAAAGATATCAGCTGTGAGTCAAAAAGGTACTATTGAAAGGACCTTACTTCACCTACAGTGCTAAACCTCAGAAAGCCAGCAGAAGATAGGTGGAATCAAGGGAAGAGATACAGAGGGGATACGAAGAGAGTTGAGGCCTAGAACGATCCAGATAGAACAGAGAGTGCAGAAGGAAGATTTCGACTCCTGTATTCAGATAAGACGGTGTAACACGTTTTGGAGGTAGGATCCCTGAAACCAAATCCTTGCTTTGCCATGTACTATATATAAAGACTTCATCAGATTTCTGAAATACTGCTAAGCCTCGGGGTAAATCTGACAAATCTGATTCCATCTTCTATCAATTCCATTCGGGCATGTGTCCTTGTTTCTCTATCCAATACTGTCCTAAATGTTCATTTTACTCTGGTATAAAAGTGAGGGAGCTCAGTGACCAGCACAGGGCTCCCCAAATTCCTAGGGAGCATTGTACATAACAAAATGCAGATTACATTTAATGTGAGTTAAGGGGGAGACCTAGTTCAGAGATCTTATGAGTGAGTTAAAGGAGAAATTTAAAAGGAGAATTAATACTACATTTATGGATTTACCCTTAAATAATGAATTATGCACTAAGGTTTATATTTAAAAAGTACATCTTATTATTTGAAATTATAAAAAAAGAAATAATTTAAATACCTAAAAAATAGATTTGGTTAAATAAAATAGGTATAGTCACAAAAAGATTACTGTGCAAATATTAAAAATGCTTTAGAGAAATATGATAAACTGTTATAACTGATTCAATAAAGGGAAAGGTCCTAAACAGATAAACAATCTGTTTCTTATTGGATAAATAAGCAGTTAAAGCACACACACAAACACACTAGAGAGATATTTACCAACATCAATGTATTTTTTTCCTAGACGATACAATTATAGATAATTTTATTCTCTTCTCTGTGTTTTTTATTTTTCTGAATTAACAGAGATAAGACACCTCTTTTTGGTTTGTTTTGGGAGAAAATACTACTTTTTAAAAGCCACTTGCCATTTAGAACCAAAGGGAAATACAGGGCAAAACAAACAGAGGCATAAAAAGCCAAGCGTAGGAGTCTCTGAAGGGTGTCTCTGATGTGACCTGGAGCTTGGGGCAGTGGAGCTTGGGCCAGTAAGGGGCCCTGATGGGCAGCATAACTGACTGCATTTGGATCAATGCAGGGAAAGGTCAGCTCCACTGAGGTCCACTACAGAAGTCCTTCTCTTTGGTCCATGTATCTTTATTTGGGTCTTCCAGACTGAAAAATGCATATTTTCATTACTGATGAGGGAATCACACCATTTATACTTGAACCTTGTTTTCCTGAAAAATCCAGAAGTTTCTGGGCCAAACCCAGAGGAAATGGTTCCTCTAGACAAAGAGAATGAAGTATATATCATCAGTTTTTAGAGCTCACACAGGTATAAAATAATGTAATACCTGCTTCATAGGAAATGAAACTGCATGTGTGGTGGATTCTGTGCTGGGCCTTTCTAACGTTGTCTGCCACTCCCTCAGGACTAAAGTAATCATTCTCACCAATGACACTCTCCAGCCACTACTCTCTCAGCTAAATGGGGCCACCTCACCTTGTCCATGCAGGTGTATAAAGGGCTTTTTTACATTACTTTTAAAAAAGCAATTTGCTGTCAAGAACCAAGCAGAAAACAAACAGAGGCATGCCAGACCGAGTGTCAGAGTCTCTGAATTGGATCTCTGATGTGACCCAGAGCCTGGGCCTGTACAAACCACAGACTCCCTCACAAATCTTGGGAGCCCTGAAAGACATTCTCAGCTCCCGAGCTCCCTGTAGGGTAGGCCAAGGCCTCTATTGCAACTACATTGGACTTGACATTCTTCCTCTTCTTCTCCTTTCACTTCCTCACAGATATTAATTCTGAAAGTGCTCTAAAATAGACTTCCTGTAAACAACGGTCTATCTCAGAGTTTTCTTCTTATAGAATCCAAAACATAACAAAGTGTTAATGTGTCCAGAACCTGGCAGAGATTAGAAGCTCAACAGGTGTTTAATCTGATGAATCAAAGGTAGTTCCTGTTTTTGTGACTCAGAATGCTTTTCATGCTGTGGCCTTGCTTCCCTTATTTGCATGCTGTGAGATAAAGAACAGAGAACAATATGGGAAGTGACAGTGACAGTGATGCTCTTACAAGGACAAAGACCACTCCACTCTCCTTATCCTACCTTAACATGAGGAGAGACTTTTGGTGCAGCACGTTGCTTTGCGACATCATTTCTGATGGCTGCAGATGCAGCAGGACTCATTTCAGCTTGACTTAGTGGCTTTGGTTTTGTTACCGATTTGTATTGCTTATCAACTGATTAAAAAATGAAAGACATGGCCAATAAGCATATAAACATATGAGCAGTGCACATTTTCAAATGTCACCAGGAATAAATACTAAAACCATATTAAGATATCTTCAAGAACAGCTAATTTTTCTTAAAAAAAAATCATATTTTAAAATGAAAGAAACTGGACCTGGCACAGACACCAGTAATCCCAGCACTTTGGGAGGCCAAGGCTGGAGGATCACTTGAGGCCAGGGGTTTGAGACCAGCTTAGTCAACATAGGGAGACCCTATCTTTACAAAAAATATTTTCAAAATTAGCCAGGTATAATGGCACATGTTTTTAGTCCCAGCTACTTGGGAGGCTGAGGCAAGGATAACTTAAGCCCAGGAGTTCAAAGCTGCAGTGAGTCATGATTGCACCACTGCACTCCAGCTTGGATGACACAGTGAGACCCTGTCTGTCTCAAAAAAAAAAAAAAGACAAGAAACAAAAACTATGAAGTAGTAGTCGTCTTAAATTGGTATAACACTTTGGAAAATGGTTTGGGACGCTATTTATTAAAATTCAATATCTACTTACCTTAACATCCAGTAATACCATTCACAGGTGTACAGTCAAGAGAAACACACATACAAATACAAACATACAAAGATAAGTATATAAGGCTTATAATGTACATAAATATTCATAGCAGCATTATTCATAATGGCCTCCAATGACTAAAATAACAATAAAAATACACCAATTCTCTCTCTCTATATATATGTATATCAGTTTATGTGTATATGTAATTATCAATTAAATGGAATCTTATGTAGTAGTGAAAATGAATAAACTGCTGCTATGAAACAAGGGCTGATTTCTTTCTTTTTTTTTTTTTTGAGACGGAGTCTCACTCCGTCACCCAAGCTGGAGTGCAGTGGCGCAATCTTGGCTCACTGCAACCTCTGCCTCCTGGGTTCAAGTGATTCTCCTGCCTCAGCCTCCTGAGTAGCTGGGATTACAGGCTCATGCCACCACGCCTGACTAATTTTTGTATTTTTTTAGTAAAGATGGGGTTTCACCATGTTGTTAAGGCTGGTCTTGAGCTCCTCACCTCGTGATGCGCCCACCTCAGCCTCCCAAAGTGTTGGGATTACAGGCGTGAGCCACCGCGCCTGGCCACAGATTTCTAATTATGTTCTACAAGGCCTTGCATTTTCCTTCTGTCGAGGGGACCCCATCCTGCCCTCTGAAGATTCTCTGTACTGCAGCCATACTGGCCTTCTTTCAGTCCTCAAGCAAGTCAACACCTGCTGTCAGAGGGATTTTCACACAGTGTTCCCTCTGACTGAAGGTACCTTTAACTCCTATGCATTTTTCACAGCTTAGTGCAAGTCACTTCCCCATGGAACCCGCTTTGACCAACACCAACTCTAACTCCTGGCTTATGTTAATGCTCCTTTGACACATGCTGCTGAAGAACCATCTTCCTTTCCATCAGAACATTTGTCTCAGTTAGTTACCTGTCTCAGTTAATTTGCCTGTAAGAAAAATATCTACTTTCCCTTTAGAGTATAAACTGTACAAAATTTGGATTTGTTTTTAAAACCTTGTTTTATCATAAGAACCTAAAAGCTTTCCTTGTACCTATTAGCAATTCAATGGATATTTACTGAATGGATGAAGAAATGGATGGATGGGTGGCATGTTGGCTCCTCACTAATGCCTACAAAATGCAGTCGTATACTCTGGCTGGGCTCCTCCACGTCTATGGTCAGGTTATATGTTATCGTGAAAAGCCAACTCCTACTCCTGATTTTTAAAAAGACCATGTAACAAGATGGCCATGTTTGATGACTTAAGGCACTCTCAGGCAGAAGAGGGCCTGGGAAATTATTAGATGTTATTTCTGATAGAATTTGAACAATTCTGGACTGAAATAGCAAGGCAATCACTGATTTTACTAAAAAGAGAAACGATTTAATTATTAGAGCTAAGAGTAGAATGAACTGTCTTATGAGGTAGTAGGTACTCTGTCATTACCTTTCAAAGATCAGAAAGTGGTTGACTGTCTGACAGGGATATTGTAGCAGGATCTCTGCACTAGGAAGAAGTTAAACTAACCTTCCAATGGTAAGTTAGTTCCATGAAATTGGTTTCAGAAAGGTATGCAGATAAAGTCTCTCTTCTATGTTCACAGCATCGGAGAGAAAACAGCATCAAGGGAGGCGGAAGGAATCAACCTACCATTCTACCACATCACATCAGCCATATTTCATTTCACACACTGTGGTACCAATGCAATATTTGTGGACAAGCTTGTCTGCCAATTATAAATCTCTCATTTGCCTTAATAATCAGGTGCACATTGTTACTGATTATTTCATTTATCATTTTCAGCATTTTATTTTAATCTTGCAGGACTTTTGTGGACTTTGATCACATTTTCTCTTAGCTTCCTTTTTCTACGCTTATGTGTCCTTATATTTTCTCATCTTGCTTCATACAAAAGCTTCTCCTGTCTACTAATTATTGCCTCTGTCTTCATTAAAGATTCTCCAGGTATCTTCTACCTTCCATGAGGTGAGGTCATGAGTAGAATAGCATATAGCACTCTACATGCAGACATGCAATGGCAATGGAGAAGGATCACTTAACCAAGAATGACAGATTAACTGTTCAAAAAATAAAACAAAAACTGTTTTCCTAAAATAATAGAAATAGCATGGACACACAAAAATTTCCTACATTCAAAAGCGGCCTAAGTATGTCCGTGGATAGAATTTTAGAGCTATGAAGGAACTTAACTGCCTTCTTGTATAGCATGCAAGAAGCATACTTTGTGTTTTGTTGTTGTTGTTGTTTGAGACAGGGTCTCACTGTTGTTGCCCAGGCAGGAGTGCAGAGGTGTGATCTCAGCTCACTGCAACCTCTCCCTCCCAGGTTCAAGTGATTCTCGTGCCTCAGCCTCCCAAGTAGCTGGCATTACAGATGCCCGCCACCATGCCTGGCTAATTTTTGTATTTTTAGTAGAGACAAAGTTTCACTATGTTGGCCAGGCTGATCTCGAACTCCTGAACTCAAGTGATCCACCCGCCTTGGCCTCCCAAAGTGCTGGGATTAAAGGCGTGAGCCACTGCGCCTGGCCCAAAAGCATACTTTGAATCCTACAACTGTTACATTTGGAGACTCTCATTTGGGAGAGTCCTTGGATAATCTACTCCTGAGTTTCCAAGCTAGTCCCAAACTGGATCTTTTTTAGCTAAGCAGAATAACAAAATCCCAGAATCATTAGAATAGCAAAATGGGGAGAAGATTGTAGAAGGGGAAATTTTGTTCTATCCTGGTCAAAGAGAAGAATTAATTCTTGATTTATTACCAAAATAAAAGATATTTCTAAATATCTCAGCCTATGTTTGCCAATATGCCTAGATTCCTGGCTCATCCCAGATAAGAAAAACACAGGGCAATGTTTTGGTTGGTTACTTGGAAGTAACATGTGTAGTTACTGCCATCTAAGGGCCATCTCTAAGAACTACACCTTCTAACTTAAAGCCTGGGAAAACCACCACTCCTTTCTCTTTAGTGCCTTAGAAACTACCTAACAGTTTATATCTGTATAGAATTATGAATGTACATAGTATCACTTATGTGGCTTCATTTAGCCTTCCTATAACTCATGTGTGAGAAGCCATGTCACCCTTGTTGTACACCCACAAATGCTACTAAAAGCTATTATAATTTTTGCTGCTACTGTTGTACTTTGAATCCTAAAACTGTTGCATTTGGAGACTTTCATTTTGGAGAGTCCTTGAGTGATATGCTCCTCTGTTAGCTCCTTTTTGTTCTTCAGACATAAAGCTGGGACATATCAATTGTTCTTAGTAAACAAAATCAGGAATTTAAACTAAATGTAGATAATTCAGATGGAGATGAGTGATTTATTGAATAATGTAAAAAAAATCTTTGTGTTGTGGGTAATTTATACTGTCACCTGTACTGGAGATAGAGAGGAAAGAAAATCCCTGAAGGTGGATTCTCCCTCCCTTCTGAAGAAGGAGGAGATCATCGCCTAAAGAAGGATAGTCTGGGACCACAGAAAGCTGGGGACAAGGAGAGGAATAGACAGACTGTGTGAAGGAAAAAAGGTGCTCAATATCCTGGTTTACAGTTTTCCAATGCAATAATTTATACTTTCAAGACTTCAGTAGAATGTGACAGCATTACATACTGTGTAAATGGAGTTGGGAGAAGTTAACTTTGAAATTCTACGTCCATATTCACTGCAACTGAACTGGAGACAAAGATGGGCAAGGAGAAAAGATGTTAAATGGAAGTGGTAACCCTAAGGCTGGAAGAAGAGATGCAAACAAAGGCTGGAATGGATTTGTGGAATTTGTAACAAACACTTCCTAGAAGCGATTCTCAGTAAAAGGGGGCAAAGAGACAGGTGCACTAAGTTAGCAAACAAATTCCAACAATGTGCACTGGGGGTCATATCCCAGGGATGCCATGAAAGGAAAGGCCCAGGCTTGGCAGAAAAAGGGACGGGGCAGGTGTGGAACTCCCACATTACCTTTCTCCTTCTCCTCCTGAAGACGTTTTGCCAAAAGCATATAATTCAACTTCTGAAAAATACGAATGGTCTTCATCACTGCAGACACCGCCCCAGCATTTTGAATCATCAAGGTAGCTACTTGTATTCTGTTTGCAGTATGTAGTTTGCCTGTGGCAATATTAAACTCGTCTGAAAGAAAGAACTTAAACCTATCCAGTTCCTCATCAGTGATGTTATCCAGGCCTGTTAGCAAGAGTATCTCCTTGTATTTACTCTCCATCTGACAACTTTGGGATCAGCCTATAAGGAATCCAAAACATGTAAGATTACACCACCAAAAGTGATTCTACATTCAAAATAAAGCAAGGTGAGCTATTAATATTTTTTAAAGAAAAATAAAATATTTGCAGTAGTAAAAGAGATTTGAGTAGGACATAGGTAAGAACTTCTTAAGCAAGGTGATCACTACTCCTGGGAAAGACATCTTCAGAAAGTATACAACACCTCTGGAATTCTCAGAAAACAAGATACATTAGCTGGGCGCGGTAGCTCACGCCTGTAATAATCCCAGCACTTTGGAAGGCCAAGGTGGGCGGATCACCTGCGGTCAGGAGTTTGAGACCAGACTGGCCAATATGGCAAAACCCCATCTCTACTAAAAGTACAAAAATTAGCCGAGCATGGTGGTGGGCGCCTGTAATCCCAACTACTCAGGAGGCTGAGGCAGGAGAATTATTTGAACCTGGGAGGTGGAGGTTGCAGTGAGCCAAGATCGCGCCATTGCACTCCAGCCTGGGCAACAGGAGCGAAACTTCATCTCAAAACAACAACAACAACAACAACAAAAAGGAAACAGGATACATTTTCCTGTTATTTTTAAAATAGATTTATCGAGGCATAACTGGCATACAACACGGTGCATACACTGGAAGTATACAATCTGATAAATTTTGGCATATACATATACCTGATGAAGTGCAATTAATCAATCTGTTCTTTCATGGATCATGCTTTCAGTGTCTTATTTAAGAAATCTTTTCCAATCTCAAGATTAGAAGATTTTATGTCTTCCTGTAAGAATTTTACGGTTTGATCATTTCACATTTGGCTGTATGTACTGCTTTGAGTTAATTTGTATATGATATAAGTGATGATTCAAAGTTCATTTATTTTTCATATGAATATGAATTTTCCCAGAATCATATGTTAAAAAGACTGTCATTTTTAATGATTTTTTTTTTTACCTTTGCAAAAATCAGTTGTCCAAATATGAGTGAGTCTATTTCTGGATTCTTTATTCTGTCCATCAACCTATTTTTGTAACTTGTTGCCAAAATCACGTTGTAGTAATATAGTTGTTTATGTATAGTATCCAAAATAATACACAAAACATTATAAATAATAATTCAACAGTTTATAACTATAAGATTAATATACAGAAATGCATTCCTTTATTTTAGTACCACTCCAAGAGAGAAAAAAATTACATAAAAAAAGTAATTTCCAATAGCAACAAAACTACAAAGTACATAAGAACATCGAATACAATATATTTAAGAGTTTTAAAGGGAAACTTATAAAACTTTATTGGGAGATTTAAAGGACCTACTTAAGTGGGTGTATGTCTGATATTTTAAATGGGAAGATTTGATAAAATGAAGACAGCAGTGTTGTCAAATTAATCTATAAACTCCTATCCAAAATCTCAAAGGGTTTTTCATAGAATTTATCAGAATGATCCTAAAACCTAAATGAAAAAAATAAAGACAAAAACCTGCAAAACAAGTTGAATATGTTTATCAGGATGTACTATCCCTACTACTAGGTATCAATACTTACTACAAATGTATAATTATTAAATCAGTATGGCAGTGGCGTAGAAAAAAATGAACTAATAAATAGAGTGTGGAAACAGGACCACATGTAAATTAAAGCTTGGTATATAATCAAAGTGGCATTAAAAATCACAAGGAAAGAATGGCCAACTATAAAAAGTGTTCAGACAAATGACAATACACAGGGAATGATATATTCAGCCTTTCTCTTATATCATACACAAAATATATATCTGGTTGGATTAATTATCTAAATAGAATAGTAATGATGTTGAATAAAACACAGAATTTCTCAATACATTGAAGTAGAAGGAGGTTCCTTAAATAAGGCACAAAAAGGACAAGCCAGAAAAAAAAAATTTGTCAAATGTGATTGCATGCATATTCTCAATTTCTTTGTAGGAAACACACACATCCGTGCACACACACACACTAAACAAAGTGATTATACAAGGCAAAAACTGGGCAGATACCTGCAATACACACACACACACACACACACACACACACACACACACACATATATATATGGCTATACCTGCTATATATATATATATAGAGAGAGAGAGAGAGAGAGAGAGCTAATAGAGGTTTTGCTTTTGGAATACATGGAGAACCATGTATCAATAAGAAAACAACAGTCTATTTGAAAAGTGTGCAAAAGATGTGAATGAGCAATTTGCTCAAATATCCAATAAACATAAAAAAGATGTTTGACATTATTAGCAATTAATGACTTCCAGAGCAGCAACATATAAAGTGGAAGAAATAAGCCAAAGAACAGGAAAAGATGTTTATGAGCTGAAAATAACTGATTGTGAATTTTAGGGAAGCTTGAATACCCCCATCAGTAGAGTCAATGTTAATAAATTCTAAACTATCACTGTTAATGGCCTTATAATGTTTTTTCCTATATGTTGGTAAGCGCTGGAGAAACTCTACTTATACATGTAGAGTTCATGAGTGAAAATTAAAACTATTATCAGGACCATTTTCAAAATAAGGAATACATTAAAAATATTTGCAATGATAAAGCCATCCAAATGCCCCCATCCTACTGATGAAAGCAAGGAAGGACACTACCTTTGTTGAATATCTACTGTGACAATCAGCTTGGATGATTCCTACTTTTCTACTTGTCCATAAGAAGCTAATCTTCCTATAACCCTCTTATATAATAACAATCACATTTTAATCACATTTTATGTGATTGACTCAGTTTTTTCTCTGAAGTTATGTTGCCTTATAAATGAAAAACTTGCATTTTACTTCATAATATCTGTTAACTTAAAAAATGCTTGTATTTGCTATTGGCATAAAAGTCAGCCTTACAAATAGGCTGATAGACAAACCCCAAAGGAAGCCGAAGCTTAAGGAACACCAGCTCAGAGACACCAGAGGACATGGCTAAAGTGAATAAAAGAGAAATGAACCCATCCTTTCAGAGCTGATGTCCATGTTTGCAGGTTCAGGTTCTCAGAGGTGTGCACAGCATGGCTGGCCTTTCCTCAGTTGTCTTTTTCAGCAGAGAAACGGTTAAGTCTCTCGTCTCTAACCCAGCTCCTCTATGGTGCTTACCTCCTGATCCCTGGGGCGATCAGCAAACCGGGTCTGCCACCTTCTTTTCAGAGAGCTTAACTAGCAGAGGACTCAGGAGAGCATGCCCAAATAACCTAGGTGACTTTCAAAGCTACAAAGACTCTGACACTTCTGGACGGCTTCACATGTACCCCTAATAAACACTTCCCTTCACCCCCAGGCCCAGTGTGGGTAGGAGTGACAACTGGAGCTCTAATTGGCTGAGCTGGTTTGGGTTCTCACTAGCAGCCACAGAAGAAAATGTCTATAGAAACTTGTATCTGAGTCATGCCACATAGGAACTACACTGATTGGAAACAGAAAGTGGCCTAGAAACTGTAAAAAATGACCGCAGATGACTTCTTGATACACTTTGTGACTAAGGGGCCTGGTGATGACATTTTTCTGGTATAAACAAGCACACTGATCTCAGAGGGTATCTAAAAGTGTTGCCAGTAGGGCAGTGCAGGTTCTTGTCTTCAAAGCATAAGAGAATCTGAAAATGAGACCCAAGCGAAAGTATAGACATTTTATTGTGGAGCAAAACCAACGACACCCTCAAGGGAGGAGTGCAGGCACTCAAAGATTTGAGTCACAGGCAATGTGGTTCACGTACTATATGAATAAGCACAATGAAGGTATGGAGTACTCTGTAATCAAGGGGAGGGGTTTTCTGGGAAATGGGCGGGCAATTCCCGGAATCGGGGTGCCACCCTTTTCTTGACTAAAGATGGTTAATCCGGAACTGTCATGGCGTCAGGTGCATGATGGGAGTGGGAATTTCCCCATGGAAGTTTTATGATATTAAGGGCATAATGAAGCTAAGGGTCAGCAGTCAGCCAAGTTTTCGACCATCTTGGCTTTAACCAGTTGCGGCCAGTTTCTTCTGTGTTACATTCTCATCTGTGCCTAAGTAGGAAGTTTGCAATCTGTCTTCATTGTCACAGGCTGTTGTAACAGTTCCTATCTACTAGTGGGGCAATCCCTCTGCTAACCTTTTTGACCGCATTTTTATTGCTTGTAGCCACCTGCAAGTAATCATGCCTCATTCCCTCACTGACTGCTTGCCTCAAAAGCATATATACAGTCTTTCTTCCTAACCCAGGCTCCTAACCCTAAATTCAGAGCTTGAGGGCTTGATTCTAGTCAGCAATTTACTTGAGGTTTTCCTTTCTTATTCATTGAATTAACAATTATGCACTGAACATCTAATATGATGTATTAGATTCTGAGAATATAAAAGTTAGTAAGACAAAGTTCCAGATGTTGAGCGGCTCTGCCAAGTCATGAAAACAGACATGTGATTTAATAATCACAATAGGACATGATGATAAGTGTTATAATTAAAGCATGCTCAAGATGCTCAAGGAGCAGAGGAAGAGCACCTAACCATGCCCAGGTAATCAGCCCAGAGCTGCAGGACCTCCTTCACTTTCTACTGCAAGGCTTGTTTCTACACTTTTGCCAGCTTTCAGCTCAAATAGCACCTTATCTGTGGGGCTTCTCTGACCAGCATGTTCTCTACCTCTTCCCCACATTATCTTTTCCCACACGTGTTACTGACCATCATCTGACATACGGTATATGTCATTTGTTTGTTTATTCTCTGCCTCATGCTCCTAAAATGTAAGGCACATGAGGGAAGAGATTTCTGCCCACTGGCTCACTGCATCCACTTCACCTGACACAGTGCCAGGCACAGAGAAGGTGTTCAGAAAATATTCGTTGAATGAGTGAATGCATGAATGAGTGGATCACACAAGGCGAAAGAACACCAAAGAGAACAATATGTAAGAATTAAAAAGATGTGAAGTGTATGAATTTGGTAACCTACTGAGTAAACGAGAGAAAGCTCCCTGTTGAGGAAGAACCCAACAAGCACCAACCCCAGAGAGGCGTACTGATTTGAGGCTTCAGGTCCTGTAAAAGGTGAGTTAAGTGATTAAGCTGGGAAGTGGTCTCAATGAGGAGCAGGTACACTGCTGCACCTGGGGCAGAGAGACAAGTACTCATCGTCCAGCTTTGTTTTACCAAGAAATTTAATCAGAGAGATACCCAACTTGGTGACACAAGACACAGAAGGGAAAGGAGGCAACTGTGCTGAAAAAGGAGGTTTGTTAACAGTCTCACGGAGAAAAGTGGGATCCCCAAGCCCTTTCCTCCCTGACTTCTAGAGTACTGACAGCAAGGTTTATGCCATAAGCAGAAGACTGGAGGCTCCTACTGTAGCAACTGGCCCAAGAAGGGAAAAACTCTCACCGTTACTGACATTTTGAGTTTTCCAATACAAAGACTCAGGCCCTTTCGTGCCAATCCTATAATTAAACTAACTCATAAATAAACCAGGCCAACGCAAAAAGAATTCAAGTCAGTTTTGTGTGTATACATGTATGGACATTTCTTTCTTAAATATGAGTAAACAGACATAAATAACATTCAGAAAAGCCTCCAACTTAAAAAAAAAACAGAAAACAAATCAGAAGAAGGAACTTAAGGACAAAGCAGAGGGTAGAAGAAGAAATATATATGGTCATCAGAGAGATAAGAAAAGACATTGCATCCATGAAACAAAAAGACAGTGCTAATACTTGTAAAAAATGAACAAATTACAGAAGAGATTTTATAAATATATTTTCTAAATGTGATAGCAGAAAAGTTTTAAAGCTAATAGAGTGATAAAGCTGAAGATCTCTTTCTAAAAGTATGCCTAGAAAAGAATAAAATGGAAAAACAGGAGAGAAAAAAAATAAGAAATATACAGGTTTATGCCCCGATGAATAATAACCAGCTAATAAGCATTTAAACAAGAGCGAATGGAGAAAAAAGCAAGTTATCAAATAAATACCGAATTTGATGAATGAGAAAGAACACACACAAAAGCATGTCACTTTGCATTTTTTTTCCAGTTTTTTTCTTTTTAGTAGACTTTATTTTTTAAAGCAGTTTTAGGCTCACAGTAAAATTGAGCTGAAGGTACAGGTTTCCATATACCCTTTTCCCTCACACATGCACAGCCTCCCCATTATCAACATTCCCACCAGGGTGGACTGAGCATGACACATCATTATCACCCAGACTCCAGAGTTGCCACTAGGGTACACTTGGTGTTGTACATTCTGTGGGTTTGGACAAATGTATAATGAGTATCCACCCTCACAGTATCATACAGGGTGGTTTCCCTGCCCTAAAATCCTCTGTGCTCTGTCTAGTCATCTCTCTCCCGACAAATCCTGGCAACCACTGATCTTTTTACTGTCTCTATAGTTTTGCTGTTTCTGGAATTTCATATAGTTGAAGTCATACAGTATATAGCCTTTTCAGATTGTCTTCTTTCACTTGGTAATCTGCATTTAAGATTCCTCCATGGTTTTTCATGGCTTGATGGCTCATTTCTTTTTAGCACTAAAAAATATTCCATTGTCTCCATTTATCTGTTTATCCATTCACCTACTGAAGAACACGTTGGTTGCTTCCAAGTTTTGGCAATTACGAATAAACCTTCTATAAATATCTGTGTGCATGTTTTTATGTGGACTTAATTTTTCAACTTTGGGTAAATATCAAGGAATGCAATTGCTGTGTTGTATAATAAGATATAATAAGAGTATGTTTAGTCTTGTAAGAAACCACTAATTGGTTTTTAATACAATGATTTGGTCAATAAATGTTTATGAGCAAACGAAAGGTATCTAATAAGTACTGCATTGAACAGTTTTAAGAATAAGGAGAAAATCTATGACTCTGAAGACTTTCATATCTTGTCCATAGATTTCTTAAAAAGGTATACTTTAGAAATACATCATATAAAGAATTGTTCAGACTTGTTTAGTGATGCCTCAATTTCAGAACTTTTGTAAAGAAATCACAAGTAAAAGCAAACACCTCAATGCAATTAAATGCTAATTTTAAAAAATGTATCCTTTAAACAGTGGTTTCCAAACTTTAGCATGCATTAGAATTTCCTGGGGGAAGCTTGTGAAAAATACGGATTTTAGGCCTCACCCCCAGCATTTCTGACAGGTTCCTGGGTGATTCTGATGCTGTTGGTCTTGACACAACACTTAGAGAACCACTGCTTTAATATCTAATCTCTGGCATTTAAACTAATAAGCAATGTCCATATGCCTTTGCATTTTCTAATAGTAAATAAACAAAAGAACAGTTCTGATATGCCTTCAACAAACTTTAAATCTTCAGACTCTTGAAATGTTTTACTTAAGTGGAATAGAACCTATAACTTATTCATCTTGGCTCACAGTGATTCCCATGAGTTCAAAAGACAGAGCCACAGGCCAGTCTAATACTAGATAATCTATGACTTCATGAAAGCATTTGTTCACAAAATACATAACTATTAGGGTACAGGGACCTTGCTTTTATCTTCTCCATGCATCTTCTCTACAGAAAATTCAATAAGAAATTATGAAGATTTTTATACTCATAATGATAACTCAACTTATCATGAATGTACACATAAATATCACAGTGAATCATCATACTCAAGACTCAGATTCAGGAACTTCATCATCAGGGCAACAGTAATATTCCACAAAAGATATTTGCCCCCCTTCATTCTAAAAATATACCATAATGAAAGAAATCCTGTTATTTGTGTGAATAAAATACCTTACAAGATAGGACTAACGTTTTTGTAAAGGGGATTAGCAAAGAAATAAAATCTGTTGACCTGGGTCTGATTACAATGAAATGCTTGCACCACATAAAAATCTTTGGAAGTCAAATTGCAAACTTTCTAAATTTTCAAAAGTAGATAACCTGAAATAATGCTTGTCAGGAGACATGATAATCTGTAGGACCTCAGTCGTCACATCCAATCTGGGAAATGCTTCAGAGCCCCTCTGACTGCAGAATAATTTTATTAATAACATTGGTGCTGCAGAAGTCAAAATCCAGAGGCTCCTCAGGCTCTTGAGTATTGATTTTGCAGTCTGTCACCATTCGTCTTTCTTCCAAAAATAGCATCCAAGGGTCACCATAACCTTGGTAACACATTCAAAGTGCAGTTAAAATCCCTGGCATAGGACTTGATCCAAAAATAAAAGGACAATTAAGTTAACTTTAAAAAAAGTCTAAAAGGACAATTAAGTTAACTTTAAAAGTAACAGACTCTTCCTGACACGTAAACTCTTAAAATACTCCAGCCTTTGCAGTGTGGCCCAGATGCTAGAAAGCCCTTCCCAGCCAAGTCCCTGGGGAAGTAAGCTCCAGCTCCCTGAAAACAGGAGGCAGTGAAGCACTCTTAATTTTTGTTTTCAATTTCATTGATTTCAGCTCTAATTTTTTAAAACTGTATTTTCTTATGCTTACTTTGCAGTTAATTTACTCTTATTCTTCTAGTTTCCTAATGTGGGAGCTTAGATGATTGATTTTTAGGTCTTTCTTTTTTTCTAGCCACATGCTTTTAAAATTACAAAACACCAAGGAGAGAGAAGATCCTAAAAGCTTCCTGAGAAAGAATAGATCATATCTGAGGATTAGGAATAAGAATAGAATTGGCATTCTTGACAACAACACTAGAAGCTAGAAGAGAGTGGAGCAATTCCTTTAACATTTGAGGAAAACAATTTTCAGCCTCGTCTTCTATACCTAGCTGATAATTATAATAATCACATGTACATGTAAGGAAGGAACAAAATTATTCAGGAATCTCCATGTCTCAGTTTGTTTGGGCCTCTATAACAAAAATACTATAGACTAAGTGACTTATAAACAACAATTTATATACACATTTATTTCTCACAATTCTGGAGGCTGGGAAGTCCAAGATCAAGGTACCAGCATATTCAGTACCTGGTGAAGACTTGCTTCCTGGTTCAAAGACAGCCATCTTTTTTCTTTTCTTTCTCTCTTTCTTTTTTTTAAAGGCAAGGTCTTGCCATGTTGCCAAAGCTGGACCCTAAGTCCTGGACAGCAGGTGTGCACCACCACACCTAGCAAGATGATGGCTTTTTGCTGTGTCCTCACATGGCAGAAGAGATGAAAGTGCTCCCTGGGCACTATCCCACGTAGTATAAGAGCACTAATCCTATTCACGAAGCCCATACCCTCAAGATCTAATCGCCTCCCCAAAGCCCCACCTCCTAATATCATCACATTAGGGGTTAGGATTTTAACATATGAATTTTGGGGGTAACACAAACATTCAGTCCACAAGGATGATGTCACCCCAGGATAATGGTGACCAGAAGCCCTTGAACCTTGACTTGTACACAGCTAGACTGAAACTTGTTCAAAACAGGGGGACGGAAAGCTCAAAAAAGAATATTTCCTAAGGAAAAAGTGTGTGAGATATATGTGTAAGTTTTGCAGGTAGTGGGTGGTTGCAGAGAAATTACCTGAATTTATTTTGAGAGAAATTTTACTGTTTTGGATCTTTTAAAAGAATTAGCAATAAGCACGTCAAGATGGAACAAATTATTAAAGATATGTCACTGACTTCAGAAAAAAATAAAGATGCATAAAGAAGGAATCTAAACATACTACATGGCTTAACTATTAGTTTTATTTAGATAGTTATGGTAATGTAAAACACCAAACAGTGATTTAATCAACAATTGTGAAATGACCATATTGGGAAAGTGGAAAGAGAGATGATGTACATGTATTTGTAAGATGTAGGGTTCCAACAATGTAAGAAAAGAGGTGTAAGAAAAGTAAATTTGTATCTTCTATTGCAGCAAATCAATAGATAATGGAGTGGCTAAAATTGAAAACTAGGAATGTAGCAATATTATGAAAGGTTAAAAAATGTTGCCTTGAGTGAGTGGGAATTGGGAGTGGTAAGGTATGAGGCAGGGGACTACTCTTTATTATCATCCTTGTAATATTATTGAATTTCAATCAATAGTAATATATTAACTGAATGAAAATAAATTTAAAACATAAATAGCTCTACTAAATGCTCATTGAAGTATCTTCCTATTCTAAGGATTTATATTCTATACCATTTAGCTCTACTAAATTTTAGCTCTACTAAATACTCACCCAAGTATCTTCCTATTCTAAGGATCTATATTCTATACTATCCTAAGGATCTACATTCTACACCATTAATCCAAATATGACCTATGATAAAATATAATAATATTTCAGAAATAGAATTCTTTACTTCCAGCTAAGTGAATTTGGAAAGGTCCAATTAGAGAAAAACAATAGCACTTGGACTAGTCCTATTGGAAGGAATAAGAGTTTTAACATGTGGAAATACAAAAAGTGGAATTCTAGGCCAATGGAATTGAATAGTCAATATTTATGGACCACCTATATATAACCAATTATTGATGCATTCTCTAGAGTCCCTAATTGCCTCTGGCACACAGAGCTAACCTTTACCACTCAGCCAGTAAGCCAATAAGTGAGAGATCTTTTTCACAGGCTATCTCATGTAACCCTACCACTCTATGTGGTAAATATATTAATTGAAACCCATAAGTGAGGGAACAGAGTTTAAAGAAGTTAAGTCATTTGCTCAAGGGTACCCTGCTAGTATGTGGTAGAGTCAGAATTTAAATCTGGTTATTTTCTAAAATTCCAATTCTCTTTCCATCACTCTGCCCTGCTTTTTGGCATATTTGTACATAATTTATATATTCTATATAATGTGATCAAATGAAAAAACCCTGGAGAGGCAGGGCCTTCCCTCCTCCAAGCCCACTTATTTCTGGTTCTCGCTCACCACATCCTTCCCTTCTCCTTTCACACAGCTCAAAACACAGCTAGACTTCCTACTGGAGAGAAAGCAACAATCTTGAACTGTTCAAGATTCCTACTGCAAACAACATAAGCTTCCCTTGATAGTTTAAGGAGACAGAAACTTTATTAAAAATATTAAACCCAGGCCAGGCACGGTGGCTCATGCCTGTAATTCTAGCACTTTGGGAGGCCAAGGCGGGGGAATCGCTTGAAGCCAGGAGTTCAAGTCCAGCCTGAGCAAAAAACGGCGACCTTATCTCTCCAAAGAATTTTAAAAATTAGCAGGGCTTGGTGACACATGCCTGTAGTCCCAATTACTTGGGAGGTTGAGGCAGGAGGATCACTTGATTGTCTAGGAGTTTGAGGCTGCAGTGAGTGGTGATCAAACCACTGCACTCCAGCCTGAGTGACAGAGCAAAACCCTGTCTGAAATACACACACACACACACACACACACACACACACACACATACAGACACACACACACATCCCTCAGAGATCACTGGAGAGTCTGAAGGACTGAAGGAACAAGGTCAAGACTAAACTCACAGAAAAAACAAAAATGTGTTTCCCACACCTTCTCCCTCCACCCACATACACACACACCAAACCAGGCAACAAAACTATTCTGGATAAGTTCACTGTTTCTGCTCCCTAAACATATAATGCCAAGACCTGACTACACTGCAATTGCTAAATCTACAGAACAAATGCCACTTCCGTATGTACTTCGCAATTGCTGCTATTGCCTAAAACCCAGATGTCTGAAGCCAGCCGCATCAGCAAGATGGAAACTCCATGGAGAGCCAGGTTCTCATGTTGATGACTTCTAAATCAAGCCTCCCTTGGAAGCATCTGACAGGGCAAGCCTAGGTCACCTGTGTCCATCTGGGCTGCAAGAAAAAAAAAATGAGAATCTGACTCCTGTCTTCTGAGTTGGGGACGTGAGAATTATTACATGTGAATTATTTAAAAGGTTCTGGGAAGGTACAAATGTGACACATGGCCACTAAAAACTCATTCAAGAGAGATAAGGATTCCAGAATTATTCCCAGATTTCTGGCTCAGGAAAGTAGGTGAATGATAGTGTCATTACAGAGACAGGGAGTACCCAAGGAGGAGTAGGTCAAAGTAAGTGAGGAAAATGTGGGTTTAGCGGTGGAGGTGTTGCGTTTGAGGTGCCCAAGAGATATGTAAATGGAGATGTTTAATTGAATATATAAGCCTGGAGCTTAGACGAAAGGTCAGAACTCCAGACAGTAACGTGGGCAGCATCCAAATACAGATGGCAGCTGATGCTGCAGAACAGGATGAGACTGTCAGGAGAGGCCATCATGAAGGAGAAGGGGGCAGGCCTCCAAGCCACGTAGAGCTCAGACAGCAAGTGGTTGGGCTAAAGAGGAAGAGTCAACAAGGAAGACTTACAAAGAAAGGTCAGAGCAGTAGAGAAAAGAAGCCAGACCTGGTGGAGTGCTGGAAGGCAAGGCAAAGAGTATTTCAAGGAAGATGGCACTCAGTGACGTAGTGTGTACTTGAGTATCGCTAAGAGAGTAGATCTTAAATGTTCTAACACACACACACTATGTGAGGTGGCAGACATGTTTATTAACTTTATCATTTCATAATGTACACAAATATCAAAACATCACGTTGTATACTGTAAATATACAATTTTTATTTGTTGATTATACCTCAATAAAGCTGGTGGTGGAGTGTGAGGGGAAAGAAGGATAGGGCTCAGATCTAGCAAATCCTGTTTCAGATCTAGGAAACATCCAACAGATAATTATTTGCTTCCACCAGATTTTACCCATCATTCTATGATGTTTAATTTGGTTTGCTCTACTTATATTTGATATCAATGTACTGAAACAGGGAGCAGGTAAAAAGGCAACAAGGGTGAGGCAAAAATATTAATAAAAGCCAGAGAACAGATCCTAAAGCTCTTCCAGCTTCTGAACCACCTATCTTTGTCCTCGTTGTCAGTGTCTCTCCTCTTTCCACCTCATAAACATGGATGCTTTGTTTGTGACATGAGGCTGCCTCTGTTTTCCTGTTGGCCAGCTCATCAGAGCGCTCTGGGGCCAGGCCCTTCCTGGCCTCCCTCTGCCCACATACACTAGGCTCCAGGTGAATCTGCACATACCTCGCCCTCTACTTCTCCTCCCCCATCTGGCTAATTCTTACTCACCCCCAGGTCCTTCTTTATATCTCACTTTCTCCAAAATTGTTTTCAAATCCTGCAAGCCCAAGTCTGAGCTAAGTGCTCCTGTTGTTTATTTTCCCATCATCTCCAGGACTTTCCATCACAGCAATAAAGTGGAAAGAAGTAAACTCACAGGCTTGGGCACTACACCCGTGCAAGTTAAAATCCCTGCTCCACCAACCTGTGTGGCCTTGAGTAAGTCTCTTAGTCTATTGAAGGCTGTCAGTCCCTAATCCTAGAAGGTGTTGTGAAAATTAAGAGTTTACATGTTTAAAACACTAAGCAAAGTAACTGAAAGAAAGAACTCAGTAAACTCTATCCATTATTATTATGACTATCAATATATTGTTTTATGAGGGCTAATGTCTTGTCTGCCTTTTTCAGTGAAGTGTAAACTCCTTAGGGGCAGAAACTGAATCTGTATAAAATAATTGCAAACTCAAATCACCAAGACTCACCACCTTAAAACTCCAAGTGTACATTTGAAACTTTGTGCTACACATTTTTATTTAAATACATAATGAAAAATTCAACCTCTACATATCCTAAATCATTGATTGTCTTAGGACTCTAAGTACTTTCTCATTCTTACTTCCCTTTTACTGTTAATGGAACCACAACTCTCCCACTGACCTAGGCTCCCAACCCAACAGTCTCTACTTCTTCGCTTTTCCTTGACTCCTACACTACTCAATGTCCTTTATATTGACAATACTAGTGATAGGGCTGAGTCAGGGTGATGGTAAGGATGATGGCAGTCAGGTGAGGTTGTGATAAAAAAAAAAAATGATCACCATGGCTGAGACTAAGTTAACCTTTAAGTGTCAGTGGAAGGAACCATACTTGTGCTGAACTGTGGAAGTATACCTGAAGACAAGGATGGGGGGATCAGGAGGACGATTCTGGTATTTATAGCCCACCATTTATATTAATCAATTATTAATAAATTCTTAATAACCTATGATGCCATCTGTGTGTTATAAAAAGCAATGCCAGGCTTTTTCTTTATTCTGGATAAAGTCTTTTTTTTTTTTTTTTTGAGATGGAGTCTTGCTCTGTCACCCGGGCTGGAGTGCAGTGGCGTGATCTCGGCTCACTGCAACCTCTGCCTCCTGGGTTCAAGCGATTCTCATGCTTCAGCCTCTGGAGTACCTTGGATTACAAGTGCCCACCACCACGCCCAGCTAATTTTTGTATTTTTAGTAGAGACGGGGTTTCACCACGTTGGCCAGGCTAGTCTTGAGCTCCTGACCTCAAGTGATCCGCCTATCTTGGCCCCCCAAAGTGCTGGAATTAGTTGTGAGCCACCGTGCCCAGCCAAGTCTACTTTTTTTAAATGTAATAGTGATAAGTGGCAGAGTTTGGTAGATTTCTGCATTGCCAGAGTGATCCTTTGATCCCTAAGTTTTTTTGCATAATTAAAAATTTTTCAGTTTATTCTTGCTTCTTTCCTGTTTCTCATTTAACAAAGTAGATGAAGGGAAATTACAAAATAGTGGAAAGATTTAATATAACTGGTGATAAGTTGAGTCTCTAGGTGGAACATCGGGTGGACAGAAAAAGAGGAAGAGGCATAGATGAGGCACAGGATGCTTTTGATGTTATCAGGCCTGCTTGAGGTCTGGGGGTGACTGAACTGCCTCTGGAAAATGGCTTTGAGGTATGTGACTGTGAGATGTGAGACACAGAAGTTATGTCTCTGACACTTGGATCCTACATCTTCCTGAACATGTGGCCAAGAAGTTTTTTCAATAAAAGAACATGCCTTAGAACCATGAGAGGAAGGAATGCCAGGATTCAGGAGCTGCATGAGTCAGCTGGGCCCGATGTTTGCTGCTTCATAATGCCAAGGGCATGACTTACAGCTTCAGTCTGGTTTTCCCCAATTCAATATCAAAACATATGCCTCCATGGAGGCAAATGATGTTCCTCCACCAAGAACCAGCTTCAATGAAACTGCAGTGTCTAAGTAACTGCAGCTTTTTCTTTCTATGTATTGATGTCTGACATGATTTAAATATTTGTCTCCTTCAAAACTCGTGTTGAAATTTAATCCCTGATGTGGTAATATTGACAGGTGGGGTCTTTAAGAGGTGATGAGTCGTGAGGGTTCTGCTCTCATGAATGGATTAATGGCTTAATGGACTAATAGCTTATGATGGGGTGGGGCTTGTGGCTTTAAAAGAAGAGGAAGAGAGACCTGAGCTAGCTCACTAAGCTGCCTCTCCATGTGATGCTCTCTGCTGCCTGGGGACTCTGCAGAGTCCCCACAAGCAAGAAGGCCCTCACCAGATGGGCTCCTCAACCTTGAACTTCTCGGCCTCGAGAACTGTAAAAAATACATTTTGTTTCTTTATAAATTACCCAGTTTCAGGTATTCTGTTATAAGCAACACAAAATGGACTGAAACAATGACTAAGAGCAGCTGTGTTCACAGGTATCTCCATTTTCACATTTTAACTTAGTTCATCACCAAACCCATTACATCTTACTTCCCTCCTTCATACTTTATTCAAAGAAAACACTGACGAATTTCTTAAGAAAACTTGGTTAAGGACTGTCATTTGTATGAGATGGAAAAAGAGACCATTTCTGGCAAGTGAGACGAGCTGTGAGCTTCTGACCTAGGTGCTTATAAGCATTATTTCAATTTAATATTCCTAACAATCCTGCAAAGTGAGTACCGTCATTATTCTTATTTTATAGATGAGAAAATAGAGGCTTAGCGGTGTTTGTGAATGGACTAAGGTCATACAATTAGTGAATGGTAGAAATAAGATTTGAACTTCATCTGGTGTAGCCAAAGCACATCCTCCTAAGCACTAAAAAACACTGCCTCCTGGTGGCAAGATGAAGAAGTTCAACTCCATAACCAAAAGGATAAAAACCAAGGTAGATCAGGATAGAAGCACAGAAGGTAGACATAAAGCATGTCACTTGCTTAAAGAAGCCCCTGTGTTGGATTGTTTGTTCAACCCCCTTACCTACAGGCTCCCCTGCTTAGTTTCACTATCTGGTTCTCCCTTAAGAAGTTTCTTTCCTAGTTTCACTCCTTTACTCTCAGGATAGCTGAATGCAAAACCAAACAAACAAACACAGGATCACTCTGCTTAGTTCTTTAAATTATGTACCAGTCAAAACAAAAATGGCCACTCAAAACATGTACCCTGAGTCCCAGAATCACACAATCATAAGAATATACACATGGTTTCCTACGACGAAGTTATTCTTCTAAGCTTTCCATAAATCACTGCTCTTTCATCTCTGCCCTACCTATTCTATCGGTTTTTAGTTCAGTAACTATTTGTTTTCAGTAACTGGACCCTAGACCCTTCAACCAGACAACCAAAGTGCCTATTTTCCCAGCTGCTAGAAGTGTTACAGCTGACACCTGAGTCTGTGTTCCAGGACTGCCCTATGCTGAAGGGAACTGCCTTCCCCAAGGTTGCATCCTTCCATGGAGAAAGCCTGAAGCCAAGGATTTAGGGTCTATGAGGAGGTTCAAGGTCACAGCCTTCTTGCCTCACTTAGGCATAACTAGAGGCCATCCCAGCTCTAGGGTTCCCAGGGGGATTGGCTGCAGCCCTCACTGCAATTTAACTTCTCCCTCCGCCCAACCCAGTTTCCCTCTCTCCTTTATAGGTGTTCCCAAGAGCACCCTCTAATAAACTTCTTGCAGGCAAATCTAACAGTCTGTTTCTTGGGGACCCAACATAAGACAACATTCAACTCTTAACTTCAGTCATATTCACAAATACTGTCACTTTAAATAAAGTGCAGGAATGCAGTGTAAAGATACATACACCAGAAAAAGATGTGACTATAAAGTGCAAAAATATACCAGAATGTAAAAATAATACATGAATTTAAAGTCCATGAATCAGTCTCTCTCGCATACTGCTAGAAAGCGTGTGACTGCTTCACATTTCATAATTTTGTCATTGTAATTGTCATCACGCCACTAAAATTCCATGCCTTTCAATTTTTGTTTTTGTTTCTATCTCTAAATAAAAATGTTTATTTAAATGCCTTCTATGGACACTTCAGACCAAGTCCAAAACTTTACCTTAAGGTGAAAACTCTTACTATTTTTCCTACAAGGTTGTGTTTGGGAGGTTATTCATTTGTCTTTTATTTTTTACCATGAGCTGTTTGTCTAGTCTCCTGACATGGTAACTGGAGACACAGATCCCTCTGTCAGAGTCAGCATCAAACATGTGTAAGGCATGTTTTGACTCTAGCAAACCATCAGGGAAATAATTTTTGATCGTTCTTTGAGTTAAAATTGTCTTTTACATTGATGCTAAAGACTTTCCCTAAGCAACCTCTACCACATTAGCATAAAGTGTCTGAGTTTCAAAGATTCCACCTCAAATGGCTCCCTTGTGTTCAGCACCATCACTCCCTCCTGGTATTCTTCTTCCTGAGTAACTTCCTATTGACCTCCTTTCCCTTTCAGTCTCTTGCTGAAATGGAAACATCAGAATGAAGGGGCAGGCTGTATGTGGGAAAGATGAATCACCATTAAATGAGAAACCTCAATCCTAATGCTAGTCTTGTAGAAATTGGCTTGTATGGTCCTGAGAATGGTAAAAATAATTAATACAAATAACTTTAAACATTACTTAATAAAGTAACAAATAATACAGCTAGAAAAGAGAATGATAGGATAAAGGTTACATTTTTTATATTTAGCCATTCTTGGTCTTATAAGTGTAGAAGACAGAAAAGCTTGTGTCCAATCCTATTAATACCTTAAAGCCATGTGTGGCATTACAACCACTGAAAAAATGCTGGGTAGAGTCAGTCCACAATGACATGCTTGTCACGACGTGCTTTGGCAGGTTCTGCCTTTCCCTTTACTTATTCTAGGCTGGGTCCCTTTTGACTACTGTCAGCAGTGAAGAGGAGGAGAAACTCCTCTGATTTCTGAAGATTCACAAGTTACAAGACTATCTTATATGCTTGAGGATGGCCAGCATGTAACTGGTGACAATGAACAAAATTATATACTTACAAAGTGCAATCGTTACATTATCCTGATCATCTCTTGTGTTGACAGCAATCTGTAGGATGGGATGAATCAAGGCAGCCAGCTGAAGTCCTGCCCTCTGGATGCCCTTGGGGGAAGGTATTTGGAGAGTAACTTAGGGGGTGATGTATAAAGGATGTGGTAACAAATGTTATGAGTGTGTGTGTGTTCACTGACACACCAGCAATTGCCAAAGCAAAAATGGTGGCTTCGTCCCTCTCTATTGAAAAGGGCCTGCTTAGAATGTGGATGCTTAAACTGCTGTCACCTATAAAAATATTCTAGCATGAAAGGGGCCTCAAGGATACACAAAACAGAAAGTAAATGGTATCCACTGAAGTTAGCAATGTAGCAGGGCCACAGGAAACAGAGGGTGATTGCCCAAGGGCACACACACCCTAAACATAGTCCTATTTCTAATGTTCAAATTAAGGAAAAAAACAATTAAGTGAAATCCTTAGGTGAGTCATCTTATCATGAATTAAAAATTATTGAAAAAAGAGGGCAATTATAACCTAACAATTCTAATTCCTGATATTTGCTGTAGGAAACAAATATATAAACTCATTTAAATAAATGACTATTCACAATTTTAGCAGTAAAACATGAAAATATTATCTGAACATGCAAAACTAAGAGACTAACCACCAAAGTGACTCAGGAAATGATTCACCATGTTGCATAAGCTGAAAACAATTAAGTTACTACATAATATGTAGAAGATGGCCTAAATGTTATAAATATATATATGCAGCAGGAGTTTGTAATAGCAGATAACAATTTTAGCCCTAACTATGAATAAGTTAAACTCCAAAAACATACTCCGCAATTACACAGATTAGAGACTGGCCCCTCTTCTGGACCCAGGCCCACATTATCAGACTGAAGGAGGTTAAAGCTTATTTTCTGAGGACAAGGAAGAACACGGTGAAGGGTAAGGTGGGAGAGGTGGGGAAGCATAGGCAACATCATGTCAGGAAGTGGAGAAGGAGGTGAATCCTCATGTCCTAAGTATTCTCTAGGCCCAGCCACAACTCTGGGAATAGGAACAATTGTACCTACGTTCAGACAGAGAAACCAAGATGCAGAGGAAAGAGGATAGGTTACTTGCCTGAGGTTACAAAGGTGTAAGTAGAGGAGTCAAAATTTGATCCCAGGGGCTGGACACACTGGCTCACGCCTGTAATCCTAGAACTTTGGGAGGCCTAGGTGGGCGGATCAATTGAGGTCAGGAGTTCGAAACCACCCTTGTCAACATGGTGAAACCCCATCTCCATTAAAAATACAAAAAAATTAGCTGAGTATGGTGGTGGGCACCTGTAATCCCAGCTACTTGGGAGGCTGAGGCAGGAAAATTGCTTGAACCCAGGAGGCGGAGGTTGCAGTGAGCCAAGATCGCGCCACTACACTCCAGCCTCGGTGACAGAGTGACGCTCCGTCTCAAAATAAATAAATAAAAATAAATAAATAAATAAATAAATAAATAATTTGATCCCAGAACTTTTACTTCCAGAGGCTGAAATCTTAACCCCATACCATTCTGATTTCGCATAAATAAAATACTGAAAGCACATTAACCCATACAAATACACAAACACACGCAACTTCATGACACTAATGGAAAAGAAGTACTAATGACAGCATATATATAATTCTACAAGATCTAGCATGATACTTCAATTCCCCTTCTCAGCTATACAATATTAAAAGGCATCTAAATTTCCTGAGGGTCAGTGCAGTGACGTAGCCAGAACACACTGAATTCTGGGAGAAAAATTGGATTTAATATTTCTTACAGATTAACAAATCTTATTCACTGCTGGTAGCATAGGGAGATACAACTTGTTTGGAACATAATGCTGTATTATCTATTAATTTTGAAGACACATACATCTTATGACACAGCACTCCCAGTCCCAGCAAGACTTTTAGCAGCACTGTTAAAGCCAAAAAACGGGGAAACCTGTCAAAGGGACAAATAAATTGTGGCATATTCATGGATACTCATGTGCTGGAATACATTACAGCTGTGAAAATGAACTGCAGTTATGACATAATGAAGATCAGCAAGTTACAGAGGAATGTATATAACATTTTATTTATTTAGAAAATATATATATACATATATATGTATGTGTATATATATATACAGAGAGAGAGAGAGAGAGAGAGAGACGGAGTCTTGTTCTGTCACCAGGCTGGAGTGCAGTGGCACAATCTCGGCTCACTGCAACCTCCACCTCCCAGGTTCAAGTGATTCCCCTGCCTCAGCCTCCCGAGTAGCTGGGATCACAGGCGCCTACCACCATGCCTGGATATTTTTTTTTTTTTGTATTTTAGTAGAGATGGGGTTTCACCATATTGGCCAGGATGGTCTCGATCTCCTGACCTCATGATCCACCTGCCTCGGCCTCCTAAAGTGCTGGGATTACAGGCGTGAGTCACTGCACATGGCATATTTAAATTATAAAAATTTGTAAAAACTTAATATATTGTTCATTGTTATAAAACTTAAATGAAAAGCAGAGAGATAATAAGACACAAAATTTAGTCGTAACTTCAGGGAACTGGAAAGTGGCTAGAACCAGAGGACAGACGGGAACTTCAGAAATAATGATAACACTCTATTAGGTTGGTGCAAATGTAATTGCAGTTTTTCCCATTTAAAAGTAATGGCAAATGCCACAGCTACTTGTGCACCAACCTAATACTAATATTTCATAAATTGGGTGGTAGGTACATAGCTATTCATTGAGCTGGTGTACTTTTACATCTTAAACATGTGCTTAAAAGTATTCTGTATGCAGTATTCAACAATTTTAAGAAATCAAGGCCAGGTGCAGTGGCTCATGCCTGTAATTCCAGCACTTTGAGAGGCCGAGGTGGGTGGATCACTTGAGGTCAGGAGTTCGAGACCAGCCTGGCCAACATGGTGAAACTTTGTCTCTACTAAAAATATAAAAACTTAGCTGAGCTTGGTGGCGTGCACCAGTAATCCCTGCTACTCGGGAGGCTGAAGCTGGAGAATCGCTTGAAACTAGGAGGCAAAGGTTGCAGTGAGCCAAGATTGCATTACTGCACTCCAGCCTGGGCGACAGAGCGAGACTCTGTCTCCGAAGAAAAAATGAAAAGAAAACAAATCAAATGTTCTCACTGAATTTTTTTAAGTATTGGTAACTTGACATACCATACAAATTTTTTGCAATGATTTATGAAATTTACATTTTAAAAATCAACTTTCCAAAATTGAGAATGTCATTTTACCTTTTTGCTTTGTATGTCTAATTTATTTGGGGCCAATTATTCTTAGTCTAGGCTGCTTATGCGAAAAAGGTAAAAAAAAACCCTGAATATCAAAAAAATTATTATTTCTTTTATTAAGCCCATTTCTTTTTGTCTCTGTTACAAAAGCGGGCAATTTAAATCATTACTGAAAAAAAATCCAGAAAATGTAGCCAAACAAAAGCAGACAAAGAACAACACTCATAATCCCATCATCCAGAGAGAGAAGCACTACAGGTATTAACTCTTCTGCAGAAATCCCTTCAGATCATTTTCATTGCTATCCGTAAATTAATATAATTATGGAAAGTGTTTATTTTTGTTGTACATGCTTTATCATCAAGCATTATAGTCAGTCTAAATCAAAAGGAAGAAAACATTTAAATCTATCCCTTCTCTCTGTCTCTGTATCCTAAGGGATTTGTGAAATGATTCAGCCATTTCCCCGAGGCAGAAAAAAAAATAAAGCATGATAGAGAATAGTTTTTGTTACAAATGTCAACTCGAATCAATTTGGTAGTGGTTGCATGTACTTGAGCCATGAATTCTCAGTACTGAGGGCTCAGGAAGAGAAAGGTGAAGTAAGAGCATTGAGACCTTGTATCTGCCACCCGGGCCTACAGGGCCTCTGCTTATGTGACAGCTGTTACCTCTGTTTCCCCAGCTACGTGCTCAAGAATGCTCTCTGCTATGTTCTGCACTTTTTTCTGGACCTTCCTCCTTTGCTGAAAGATACCTAGTTTACTCTGTCTGATATAGAAAATGTATGTAAATTAAGAATTTTAAGGTACCACGTTTGTCTTGAAGTGAAAAAAAAATACTCTTAAAATATTATAAAGGATGCTTGGAAATCTGTAGTGGTTAGAAGTATTTAACATTTTAGTCTCTTAATTGGCAATATCATACATTGTATATTATCAAGAGTTCCCTAAGAAGGTAAGACCACTGAAAAGGAGAGCCTCAAAATTTCAATTCAATGCTTTATACTGGTGACTATGGATGTTCATTTTTCATTTCAGGGATATTATAGTGAAAGGAGGGATCAAATTGAGAAGAAATTGCAAAGAGTATGGAATTAGACTAGGGTCTCATATATTAAATCTCAATAAAATTTGAGACATCACATAATAAAGGTCCATTTTCATAAAATCTCATGTTACCACAAGCCAGATTATAAGCTGTCTTGGTAGAGTACATCTGGGCTTTGGGATGACTCCACTACCAGAGACAAGGGTGCTGGTTCCTGATTCAACATAAACACAATGCTACTGTAGGCTGAAAAGATCCTTCTTTAATTAGTTGTCCCAGCCTTCTCCTTTGTGCTTCAAGACAGGCAACTTTGTGTAGTAGAAAAAGCAGACACTTAAAACATTTTTAATGCATCTTCAAATCCTACTTCATTCACTAGCTAGTTGGCCTTGGGAGGGTTACTTAGCCTCTCTCTCTCTGATTCTTGTCTGTAAAATAAAAATATAATGCCTATCTTGCAGTAATGTTGTGAAAAGAAACAGGATAATGTGTGAATCACCTAGCACAATGAATAGCTCATAGTCTGAGCTTAATAAATGTTGGATGTGTCATGTATACCAGGGGAATAATAATATAGTATTTAATAAGTAAATTGCTATTTATTTTCATTTTAAAAATTTTATGGATTTTGGTGCTCTATATATCCACGGGCTCCTTTTCCAGCTTTAAGAGACAATTTAAATTTATTTCTTTGTAAGACTGCCTCTCTAAACTTTTCATAATTTCTGTGGCTTGCCATTTCTTTCCTGAGGTATGATCATAGACAGAATTGCAAAAGGCACTCTCAAGGCAGACACACCATGGCTCAGTAGACTCAGAGCTGGGACCAACCAGAAGAAGAATGCCTGTAACTATTTGTAGGTACCAGCAGGCTGGAGAGCACAGGTATGACATGGGCTGCTTCAAGACTTAGAGGTAACTTTCATTCCCTGAGGGTGAAGGATGATGGGGGGAATGGGGGGTATACAGAGACTAAACTGGCCTTTAGCGACAAAAACAAACAAAAAGTATTCCCTTCATCCTTCGATATTGTCACCTGCTTGTGATCTAGGTGATTTCCTACTCATTAGGTTGCTCTGAGATTTAGGCAGCTCCAAGGCACAGAAAATCTGGGATTGTAAAAAAGAAAATAAAGTCGGGAAGTAGGCAGATCCCTACCTCTCTTTCACCCCTACAAGGGCATGAATTCTTGAGCTGCAGGAGACAGAAAAGTCTGAATTCTGCCCCAGTCTCAGGCAAACCGCTAAGTCTTGTAACTGTGTAGTCTCTGAGACCTGACATTCCTTACTAGCCACTGTGCCAATACATCAGATTCTCAGCCCCTGCTCAGGATGAAGCCCTTTCACATACATATTTTATGTCATTTTAACAATAAAATTAGGAAATATCTCCCCAAATTTCATAACAGAATAAATTAGAAGGAATTAGAAGCAGAGGCTTCTAACTCCAAGGTGAATTATTGTCCCCTGGGCCATAGCTACATCCTCCCACTCTTTATTCCTTCCAGTCCCCTCACCTCCCAGCCTGCAACCCAAAATATTATCTTTAGGAAACTTTCACCAAATGTGGACACACACAATTTCACAGCCATAATGAAGAGCAGAATTATGCTAAGAACAGAGAGATAGTACAAGATAGTACAAGTAATTATACAGTAGGCAATCCAAGTGAGAATGGATTTTGGAACCAGAATGCCTGGGCTCACATCCTCATTTCTCCACTTAACTGAGTTATCTGAGTAATCTTGGTCAAGTCCCTTCCCCTTCTATGTTTAAATTTCCTTATCTGTCAAATGGAGATAATAGTAGTACCTATTTAATGAAGTTGTTGTGAGGATCACATAAGTTAATGTACATGAAACACTTAGACGAATGCTTATTATATGACACAAACTATAAGTATTAATTCACATTACCAAATCGGCAAATCAATTTTCTAACTCAAGAATTGCAGGCACTGAAACCACTCAACCACAAAGGAGAAATAAAGTGAAAACGCCATTCTGAGACAGTGTTACATTCCCAGTAAGGGTCTTCTTCGTTTTTCTCATTTTGTACACCTCCAGAGAATTTATGAAAACACATTTTTAAAAATCTCTATGGTATAGTTCAGAGTTGAGTCAGAATAAGCAATTTCTACAGTGAATTCAGATATCTTAAGCCTACCAGCTAATGCTAGCTATGTGAAGACCTTTCACATACCCAATAATGATCATTTAAATATCTTAAATCCATCAGTGTAGATATCCAAATCCTTTTGAGACAGAATTTTTTCACATTGAACTTTCATCTCACCATGGAAAAGAATAACCACTAAGAGACACACAATCTACAGATTATGTGCCCAACTTTCTTCATATTGTCGGCACAAGCCAGGCACTGTGCTGGCCCTGAGAAATACAACAGAGAGCTATACAGACAGTCCCTTACCTCATAGAGCTGAAAATTGAGAGTCGTGTGTGCTCTCCAACAGTTGCCACTAACCGTATATGACTATTTCAGCTCAAAATTAATTAAAATTAAATATTAATAAAAGTAAAAATGTATTTCTTCAGTCATGCTAGCCACATTCCAAGTGTTTCATAGTCATATGTGCTTAGCGGCTACTGTAGTGGACAACAGAGATATAGAATATTTCCAGCGTTATAAAAAGTTCTATTGTGTATTGCTGACCTAGAGAAAGATAAAAATAAGTACACAGGCAATGAGAATACAGTGTGAAAATGCTATGACAGAAAAACACGGGATGCTGAAGGAAAAATCCATAAAGTCAGACTTGGTAAGAGATAGGGATTAGAGAAAAATTCCTAGAGTTAGTGACATCTAAGCTGAGATTGTTTGTTTAACAAACATCTTCTGAGCATGTGCCATACTCCATATGTACCATGTGCTGGAGATACAGGAAAGAATAAACAAAGGCTCTTTCTCATGGAGCTTTAGCGGAGGAAGATAATAGACAAACACACTCCTGAGATAGTTTCTGGTTATGATGAGTGCTATGGAGAAAAAAACAGGATAACAAAAAGAGACTACTTCAATCCACTGAAAAGGTAGGACTCGGTTGAGTCTGAGAGTCTTAAAAACATAGTGGCACAAGCTTCATGGTTGTGTGATTTTTTTTTTTTTTCCATCAGTGCTCAGTCACTCTGGAGAAAGTTCAAGAAAGTCAGACTGTTGGGGTCTTGTAACAGTAGAATGGTGGGTCCATAGAATTAAGAGTATGGCAAGGGTTATTAATGCTCAGGACCATGAAATCCAACTTTAACAGAAAAGGCAGTGAAGACAGGTGGACTAATACACACTGAGAAAATAGGTCGAAAATTGCAGATCTGAATGGGGCAAGAGGAGACAAAGGGCAGGGACAACTGGCCACAGGATTGAAAGGACAGTCAGAGAGCCAGGTAGGCAATGGTTAGAGAGCGAAATGTTCAAATTTTATTGTTCAGAGAAGAAAAGTTCCAGGGAGCGGCCATAGAACTGGGTGGACAAAAGAAACTAGAGGTGAAAGCAATGCAGGTGAAAATGCATAGATGTGAGATTCTGACTTGCCCCTTAAGGCACGACTCAGGATTCATTCCACAAGGTCACCATAGACCTACTTTGTTTTTTTTCCCTCCCAAAGACTACTAGACCTATCACATCACTCTGTGCCCATTTCAGGGAACAACTTTTCTTTTTTCAAGTCACCTACTTGGATTGAAAGTAGGAACATAACTACATCTGTTAATGGGCTGGTGTCTGCTCAGATCAGCAACCAAGTACCCAAATTCCCCAGCTGGAATTGATTCTCCTTGATAGAGAATGCCCTACAGCTCTAGGATCCTCCCATGATCCCAGCAAAAGCCAGAGGATCACTTATTCTTGGCTTTCAGGCCTAACCTTGCCTGTAAAAACAAGATCAGTCTAAGACAACGGAGACTCACTTAAAGAGCAGCAAGAAAATCCCCTAGCCTCAAATAATTCCCCCAACTGGGTTTACATTTGCACATTGGCTTTAATAACTGCCTTCTCTGGCCTTAAAAAAAATGAGAGCAAAATGTCATTCTTACTCCCAGCCTTTCCCCTCATTTTAGCTTCTACCGTGAGAATCGTTTGTGCTTCAGCCAAGGCTCCATAGTCTGCAACCAAATTAGGAACCCTGACACCATGCCCACAATAAGTGAACTGGCAGATAAAACCTGGCAAAATCATCATGCAAAGTAAACTTTCCAGAAACATGGTCTGCCCTTTCTCTACCTTATAATGCCTAGGGTATTCCTACTTACCCTTCCAGACCTTGCTCTTTTGACTCTCCATGTTAATGAAGACTTTTGCAACCCTTAGCCACCTTCACCTATAAAACACTTTCTCCTATATGACACTACTGTTTCTCTACTGCAACTTTAAAAAAATCTATCTGGTCACCTTATAAAACCATTTGTGTTGGGAAATGATTTTTTTAAGTTCATCTTTATTTTTCTGGTACTCTTGTAATATCTAATACATCAAATGTATGTAATGAATATTTTTGGTAGAAAAGAAGAAAAAGTAGGACCAAGGGAAAGAGGGAGGAAGGAAAGAAAGAGTGCATGAAATCAGGAAGGAGAGGAACAATGGGTCAGTTGGAGAGAAATGATGAAATTCTAGATGTTCCTATTAAAAAAGGTGGAGGCAGGAATAAGTAGAGAAGTGGCTATGAAACCTATTCTGAACCTAAGTTGGCATTAGTCTCTAGAGTCTAGAAAGTCTATAATGTTCCTTTACAACAATTGAATCTGCATTCCTGTGTTGTCTTACATTTTACCTGTAGAGGAAAGCAAAGCTTAGTGAAGAGGAAGCTAAAGTCAAAGACCTGGTTCTTGGTTGTGTGGCTAGTTGGTCCTGTGACCCCGAATGAACCACTTAAACCCCCTGAATCTCAGTGTCAGCAGGCTAGTCATATCTGCTCTATGTCCTTCTGGGGAAGTTCAAGTGAGATAATGGAAGTGAAAAATCTTTGTAAAATCTAAAGGGCACTGAGGATGGATGAAATTTCTGTCACTGGATTTATAGCTACATGGCTTCCAGATCTACTGTCCCCCAGGCTGAAGTGTAGATTCAGTTGACTCAGGCTGTCTCATCTACATACATAACAAGAAGTACACCTCACTTTCACCTCACTTTCATCACAGATAAGTTAGACAACATCACATATACTCATATGATATGGTTTGGCTCTGTGTCCCCACCCAAGACTCACCTTGAATTGTAATAAGCCCCACGTGTTGTAGGAGGGACCTGGTGGGAGGTAATTGGATCATGGGGCTGTTGGGGGCAGGGGGCGGGGGTGGTTTCTCCATGCTGTTCCCATGATATCGAGTGGGTTCTCATGAGATCTGATGGTTTTATGTGTCTGGCATTTCCCCTTCTGGCACTCATTCTCTCTCCTGCTGCACTGTGAAGGGGTGCCTTCTGCCTAGATTGTAAAATTCCTGAGGCCTCCCCAGCCATGCAGAACTGTGAGTCAATTAAACCTCTTTTCTTTATAAATTACCCAGTCTCGAGTATTTCTTCATAGCAGCATGAGTATGAACTAATACGGTAAATTGGTACTGAGACAGTGGGGCACTGCTGTAAAGATACCCGAAAATGTAGAAGCGACTTTGGAACTAGGTAACAGGCAGAGGTTAGAACAGTTTGGAAGGCTCAGAAGAAGACAAGAAGATGTGGAAAAGTTTGGAACTTGCTAGAGACTTGTTGAATGGTTTTGACCAAAATGCTGATAGTGATATGGACAATGAAGTCCAGGCTGAGGTGGTCTCAGATGGAGATGAGGAACTTCTTGGGAGCTGGAGCAAACGTCACTCTTGCTACACTTCAGCAAAGAAACTGGCAGCATTTTGTCCCTGCCCTAGAGATCTGTGGAACTTTGAACTTAAGAGAGATGATTTAGGGTATCTGGTGGGAGAAATTTCTAAGTGGCAAAGTGTTCAAGAGGAAGCAGAGCATAAAAGTTTGGAAAATTTGCAGCCTGACCATGTAGTAGAAAAGAAAAACCCATTTTCTGGGGAGAAATTCAAGCCAGCTGCAGAAATTTGCGTAAGTAATGAGAAGGCAAATGTTAATCACCAAGTAAATGGGGAAAATGTCTCCAGGGCATGTCAGAGACCTACACAGCAGCCCCTCCCATCACAGCCTCAGTGGCCTAGGAGGGAAAAATCACTTCCTGGGCTGGGACCAGGTGCCCCCTGCTCTATGCAGCCTTCGGAAATGGTGCACTGCATCCCAGCTGCTTCAGCTCCTGCTATGGCTAAAAGGGGCCATTGTACAGCTCAATCCAGTGCTTCAGAGGGTGCAAGCTCCAAGCCTTGGTAGCTTCCACGTGATTTTGGGCCTGCAGGTACGCAGAAGACAAGAATTGAGGTTTGGGAACCTCTGCCTAGATTTCAGAGGATGTATGGAAATGTCTGCGTGTCTAGGCAGAGGTGTGCTGCAGAGGCAAAGCCCTCATGGAGAACCTCTGCTAGGGCAGTGTGGAAGGGAAATATGAGATAGGAGCCCCCACACAGAGTCCCTACTGGGGCACTGGCTAGTGGAGCTGTGAGAAGAGGGCCACCGTCCTCCAGTCCCCAGAAAGTAGATCCACAAACAGCTTGCCCCATGTGCCTGGAAAAGCAGCAGACACTCAACACCAACCCGTGAAAGCACCCGGCGGGGGAGCTGTACCCTGCAAAGCCACAAGGGCAGAGCTGCCCAAAGCCATGGGAGCACACCTCTTGCATCAGTGTGCCCTGGATATGAGACATGGAGTCAAAGGAGATCATTTTGGAGCTTTAAGATTTGACTGCCCTGCTGGATTCTGGCCTTGCATGGGGCCTGTAGCCCCTTCTTTTTGGCCAATTTCTCCCATTTGGAATGAGTGTATTTACTTAATGCCTGTACCCTTATTGAATCTAAGAAGTAACCAACTTGGTTTTTTGGTTTTACAGGCTCACAGGGAGAAGGGACTTGCCTTATCTCAGACGAGACTTTGGACTTGGACTTTTGGGTTAATGCTGAAATGAGTTAAGACTTTGGGGGACTGTTGGAAGGGCATGATTGTATTTTCAAACATGAGGACATGAGATTTGGGAGGGGTCAGGGGTGGGAAGTTATAGTTTGCCTCTGGGTCCCCACCCAAATCTCATCTTAAATTGTAATAATTCCCACATGTCGTGGGAGGCACCCAGTGGGAGGTAATTGGATCATGGGAGTTGTTTCCCCCATGCTGTTGTCATGATAGTGAGTGAGTTCTCATGAGATCTGGTGGTTTTATATTCTTCTGGCATTTTCCCTGCTGGCACTCATTCTGTCTCCTGACACCCTGTGAAGAAACGCCTCCACCATGATTGTAAGTTTTCTGCGGCTTCCCTAGCCATTCAGAACTGTGAGTCAATTAAACCTCTTTCCTTTATAAATTACCCAATCTTGGGTATTTCTTCATAGCAGTGTGAGAACAGGCTAATACATCACAGTTTTCACAATTCCCACTTTTTTTTTTCCTGCATCTACTATGTTGGTATGGGTTCACAATATTCCTCAGCTTAGTGTTCATCTCAGAAAGACAGTCAGTCACAGCAGCAAAACCTGCTCCAGGTCAATCTGGAGAGACAGCCATCTCCTCTTTCCACCTCACCTAGAGAGGAATTAAAACAAGGGGAGGTGGAGGAAGATTTTCATAGTCCTCAACCCATTGCTTTTGGATCTAGGCCTGGCATACATGAGCAAGGTGACTGAAATAATCATTTTCCTTATTTTTAAGGTGGTGCTTACCATTGACTAGAATACAAGAGAGATACACTAACTCCTGAGTCTTCCCTTTTTCCACTGCCTTGCACACCTCTCCTTTCTTCTCACTTTCACTTCCATAGCCTTCCCGAATAACAAATCTGCAGTAGCAAATGAAATTCTAGGGGGAGTTTTCTCCTTTCTCTTTCTGACAAATCACTTTTCTCTCCCAAATTCACCCACGCCAGCCAAAGGAGGATGTAAGGAGATTTAAAAAGTAATTGCAGGAGCTATTTTGGAACCTCATTAAGTAATGGGGTTTGGCATAAATCTGTCTGGCTATTATTTTCCCCCAGGATGGGTCATCCCAAATTTTCTGATCTAGTAAGCAGAAATAACAGGAAAAACCTACACTTTTTTTATTTTATTTTATGAAGTTTCACTTTCCCCAAGTAGGGAGTATGGTCTGTATAAACTGGGGTATTTGAATACTAATGCTGAATATGAGGATGCCAATATTAGGGGCTAAATGTCAGAAGATCTGAAAAGCCCATGAGAAGAAGATGGAAAGAGACTATTCCAAGATAGGGGAAATGGGGGCAGAGCCACGGTGACAAGAGGGCTTCTCCCCTGATATTGAAACAATATGGTATCATGGCTGCAGGCATGGACTCCAAACCCACACTGCCCACAGCAGCAGCCATAAGCCACACATAGCTCTCAAACATCCTAAATGTGCAACTGAGGAACTGAATTTTATATTGTATTTAGTTTTAATTTAAAACTCATATTCAATTCAGTTATTGAAAATAAGTATGATTGAAATAAGTTAAATATATAAACCTTCATTTTCAACTAAATTCTATGAAATCTATATACTAATGAAATATTTCTGATTAAAATTTATCATTCAAATTGAGATGTGCTGTAAGATTAAAATACACATCAGACTTCAAAGACTTAATACAAAAAATGTGAAGTGTCTTATGAGTGATTTTTATAGTGATTACATGTTGAAGTGATAATATTTTGGATATACTGGGTTTAATCAGATATATTAAATTGACTTCGTTCGTCTCTTTTTACTTTTTTGAGGTAGCTACTGGAAAATTTTAAATTACACATGTGCTTGCATTATATTTTTATTGGACAATGCTTTTCTGGAGCATGGACTACATGAGTTCAAATTCCATTTCTACCACTTTCTAGCTAGGAGATGTGCTCAAATGTGTTTTCTGGGCCTTTTACGAAAAATGGGCCAATAATAATACCTACGACATAGAGTTGGTGTGAAATATAAGTGAATTATATGTGTCACAGGATGTTTCAGGGGTTGTTTCACCAGCCGGAAACCCCTGTGTCCAGTGGCACCTTTGCCTGAGTCTTGCTTGGGCCTGCTGGGCTCATTCCACCCACTCAGCCTGGCAGGCTGTGCTTGGCCTACACTACCAGCCCAGATCCCATGCCTGCCAAGGGTGAGCCAGGCACAGAGCAGCAAGGGGTGTGTGAGCGAGCAAGTGTGGGGTCCAGCCACTGCACACAGCCAGGCACTCCAGCTGCTGCGGCAGGGCAGGCAGCTCCAGGCGCCAGCATAGGCACTGGCTCCATGTGAGGCTACGACTGGACCAGACGTACTGCAACTGGCGTCTGGACAGGGGGAATGCAGTAGCATCCAAAAGCTTGCAGATGCCAGAAACCACAGACCTCCAAAGAGGGTGTTACAGCCCTCGCCCGTGGACCCCCTTGGTCTGGGCCGCAGCTCCTCTTTCTCATAGCCTGCAACATAGTGAGTGGGGGGGCATGTTTCTGCCCTGTTTGTGTTACAGCTCTTTCAGTCTCACCATTCAGCGGTCCTGAATTCTTGCCCCATGTCCAGGAAGAATGAACTAAGTGGACAACTGGAGGGTGAGCAAGGTAGAGAGGAGCTTTATTGAGTAACGGAACATCTTTTGGGAGACCCAAAGTGGGTAGCTCCTATACACAGGCAGGTCGTCCCGATGAGTGTCCAGCTCTTAGCAGAGAGGAGACCCAGAGTGAGTAGTTCCTATCTGGAGGCACGTCATCCTGATGAGCTGAGGAGACCCGAATTGGGTAGCTCCTTCCGCAGCTAGTAGTCCCGATGTCTATGTGAGTCTAGCTGAATCTGTGGTTTTTATGGGCTCAGAAGAGAGAAAGTGTGTAGTTATTGGTCCATGGGTAGTCATAGGTGGGCCTGAAAAAAGCACCGTAAGTTCTCACTCCAGGCTGCAGACTCCACCCAACACTGACAGCCTGGCCCCCATGCTTCGGGCCATCCTTGGTTTGAAGATGGGGCTTCACTGAGGACCCACCCCTTTCTGCCCGGGATCCTGTCTTCCTCCTGTCTCCATTAATCATGTTGTCCACAGGCACCCAGGCTGTTCATGGCAAGGTCATGACAGTGCCTGGGCTCAGCTACAACTTTGCTCCACACTGGAGCAGATGCCAGGTGCAGGGAGAGGCCAGGGAGTGAGAGCAGGCACTTCTGAGACTGCAGGGGGAGAGGGGGCTTCCAAACCCCCAAGAGCACAGCAACGCTGGGTCCGGAGCTGCAGCTGGGTGGCTGCAGCCATGCCCAGGGAGTGCCGGTCTCCCACTCCACCAACTCAGAAGCAGGCAGGGCTCCCACCTGTTCCTGGCTCCCACAGGCTCTGTGGAGCACATAGGTCCAGCCACGCCTCCCCTGCTACAGCCAGCATCTTCACAGTGGCTGCTCTAGACAGGCTTCCGCTGCTATCACATGTAAGTGTGTAATTCATGAATAGTTCATGTCAGATGGTGTGTTCAATATATGTTACCTATTATTATGCTTATAGCTGTCAAGGTTGTGGGAACAGCAAGAAACTGGAAAAAGACTGTGAAATGTGAGAAAGAAAAAATTTTTCTCTTTCTTCTGAAAGCCTTGTAGAAAATATCCATTCAGATCTGGGTGGAAAATGACTGAGACCTTGCTCCCAGGGCATACAGCTGCACACTAGGACACCACTGACATCCCCTCATGGGTTGTGGATTAGAACATTCTCTGTCTCCTGAATACTTTCCTACAAAATCCCAAAAGGAACAACTAATGCAAGGTTGCCCTGATATAATTTAGAAAGTGATATTAGTAAAAATGTGGCACTGAACCACAAGTGTGAAGGCTCTCTGCCACAACTAGCCTTATACCTTTCAGAAAGTCCTTAGTTTCTCTGGGCTCTGTTTCCTCATCAACTAAATAGAGATAATAGGAAGTGCTATTATGAGGATTAAATAAAATGGCAGGGTAGAGAGAGGTCTGTAAACTACATAGTACTGTACCAATGTCAATACCTTTTACTTTTAGAACCATTACTGCAGGACTAGCTTTCCTCCTGGACAAAACATATAGATGCTTCTATAGGATTATTTCCAGAGATCATGAAGACCTACCAGTCTTCCAAACTTTCTCTAAACTGGTCTATGGTAAAGTGGTCAAATCCTATGCTGTAGAAAGTTCCAATAGTCCTTTGGGAAACAAAAATGCAAAAGACATCCAATTTAGGGATAAACTAGTAAATCGCCATCATCTATTAACATCTTGTCTCTTTAGAGCTTGCAGTGACCTGATAAGTCTTTGAGGAAATGAGCCACAGTTTAGGTAGGTTTTCATTTATTCTTTTACTCCTTAAATCAACAGATGTACATGTGTGTATGTGTGTGTGTGTGTGTGTGTGTGTGCGCGCACTATAGCATGTTACTGAAATAAGAATTACTAAAGCAGGATACGAAAAATGGATCAGGACTGCAGGGGGGAGTGGATAATGTGATTTCAATTGGGTAGTCAGACTATGCCTCACTGAGAAGGTACCAGTTAAGCAAAGACTTGAAGGAGTTGATTATGCAGCCACCTTGGGAAGAATGTTACAGAAAGAGGAAAAAACTCTTGTGAAAACTCTAGGACAGGAGCACACCCATGACTAAATGAAATTGAAACAAAAAAATATGAAATATAAACGAAACAAAAAGCTGGTTCTTTGAAAAGATAAATAAAATTGATAGACCATTAGCAAGATTAACCAAGGAAAGAAGAAAATCCAAATAAGCTAATAAGAAACGAAATGGGAGATATTACAACAGACACCACAGAAATACAAAAGAACATTCAAGGCTACTATGGACACCTTTACGTGCATAAACTAGAAAACCAAGAAAAGATGGATAAATTCCTGGAAAGATGTAACTCTCCTAGATTAAATCAGGAACAATTAGATACCCTGAACAGACCAATAAGAAGCAGCGAGATTGAAATGGTAATTTAAAAATTACCAACAAAAAAAGTCCAGGACCAGACAGATGCACAGCAGAATTCTACCAGACATTCAAAGAAAATTTGGTACCAATTCTATTGACACTATTCCACATCATAGAGAAAGAGGGAACCCTCCCTAATTAATTCTATGAAGCCAGTATCACCCTAATGCCAAAACCAGGAAAGGACATAACAAGAAAAGAAAACTACAGACCCAATATCCCCAATGAAATAGATCCTAAAATCCTTAACAAAATACTAGCTAACCAAATCCATTAACATATCAAAAAAGTAGTACACCACGTTCAAGTGGGTTTCATACAAGGGATGAAGGGATGGAGGGACGGTTTAACATATGCCAGTCAAGAAATGTGATAAAAAACAAAAAATCACATGATAATCTCAATAGATGCCGAAAAAGCATTCAACAAAATCCAGCATCCCTTTATAATTAAAACTTAGCAAAACTGGCTTACAATGGACATACCTCAATATAACAAAAGCCATCTATGACAAACCCACAGCCAACACAATACTGAATGGGGAAAAGTTGAAAGCATTCCCTCTGAGAACTGGAACAAGAAAAGGATGCCCACTCTCACCACTCCTCTTCAACATAGTACTGGAAGTCCTAGGCAGAGCAATCAGACAAGAGAAAGAAATAAAGGTCATCTAAATCAGAAAAGAAGAAGTCAAACTGTTGCTGTTTGTGGCGATATCATAATTTAACTAGAAAACCCTAAAGACTCCTCCAGAAAGCTCCTAGAACTGATGAAATAATTCAGCAAAGTTTCGGGATACAAAATTAATGTACACAAATCAGTAGCTTTTCTATACATCAACAGCGTCCGAGCTGAGAATCAAATCAAGAATGCAACCCCCTTTACAACAGCTGCAAAATAAAATAAAATGCTTAGGAATATGCCTAACCAAGGAGGTGAAAGACTTCTACAAGGAAAACTACAAAACACTGCTGAAAGAAATCATAGACGACACACACAAATGGAAACACATCCCATGCTCAGGGATGGGTAGAATTAAAATTGTGAAAATGACCATGCTGCCAAAAGCAACCTACAAATTCAATCAATTCCCATTCAAATACCACCACCATTCTTCACAGAATTAGAAAAAACAATTCTAAAATTCATAAGGAACCAAAAAACAGCTCACATAGCCAAAGCAAGACTAAGCAAAAAGAACAAATATGAAGGCATCAATATTACCTGATTTCAAACTATACTATAAGGCCATAGTCACCAAAACAGCATACCAGTACAGCATACTCTACTGGTATAAAAATAGGCACATAGAGCAATGGAACAGAATAGAGAACCCAGAAATAAACCCAAATACTTACAGCCAACTGATCTTCAACAAAGCAAACAAAAACACAAAGTGGGGAAAGGACACCCTATTCAACAAATGGTACTGGGCTAATTGGCTAGCCACATGTAAGAGAATGAAACTGGATCCTCATCTCTCACCTTATACAAAAATCAACTCAAGATGGATTAAGGACTGAAATCTAAGACCTGAAACTATAAAAATTCTAGAAGATAACATTGGAAAAAACCCTTCTAGACATTGCCTTAGGCAAGAATTTCATGATTAAGAACCCAAAAGCAAATGCAATAAAAACAAAGATCAATAGGTGGGATTTAATTAAACTAAAGGGCTTTTGCACAGCAAAAGGAACAGTCAGCAGAGTAAATAGACAACCCACAGAGTGGGAAAACAATCTTTACAATCTATACAACTGACAAAGTGCTAATATCCAGAATCTACAATGAACTCAAACAAATCAACAAGAAAAAAAAATTCCATCAAAAAGTGGGATAAGGATATGAATAGACAATTCTCAAAAGAAAATATACAAATGGCCAACAAACATATGAAAAAATGCTCAGCACCACTAATGATCAGGGAAATGCAAATCAAAACCACAATGTGACATCACCTTACTCCTGAAAGAATGGCCATAATCAAAAAATAAAAAAATAGTAGATGTTGGCATGGAAGTGGTGAACAGGGAACACTTCTACGCTGCTGGTGGGAATGTAAACTAGTACAACCACTATGGAAAACAGCATGGAGATCCCTTAACAGAACTAAAAGTAGAACTATCATTTGATCCAGCAATCCCACTACTGGGTATCTACCCAGAAGAAAAGAAGTCATTACATTAAAAAGATACTTGCACACACATGTTTATAGCAGCACAATTTGCAATTGCAAAAACGTGGAACCAACCCAAATGGCCATCAACCAATGAGGATAAAGAGACTGTAGTATATATACACAATGGAATACTACTCGGCCATAAAAAGGAATGAATTAATGGCATTCACAGCAACCTGGACGAGATTGGAGACTATTATTCTAAGTGAAGACCAAGACCATGGTCCACATAAAACCTCTCTCAGGAGCCATCCTATGGCATCTCATTTTGAGAAAAAAATCTGAGCTATCACCAAACTTTTGGGTGTGCAGGTTATCTGACCATAGTCAGACTGATGTTTTAAAAAATTCTTTTATATTAGAAGCACCGCTAGGTACAAGAGGCCCAAATTCTATGTTCCTTTAGACCCTCTAGCTGTGCCGTTGGTATACCAGGGTCTATGGACCTCAAAGTGCCATTAAAAATATTAAGCAGATTTCAAAGAAAAAAAAACTGACACGGTCAGCCCACCTATTGCCAAAGTGTGAGAAACTGATGGAAATGACTTGATAAGAGCAATCAGTACCTTTAATAAACTGTGCTACCCAAAATCTGTTTGCCTAAAATCATAGTTAGAAAAATATGTGTTCCTTCTCTATTTCCTGCCCCTCTAGATTACATAAATGGTATCTGCACCAAGCAGACAACTGAGATCAAACCCTTCACTGCACACATATTAATTTTTTTAGTGGCTAAAGTGTCATCTGTTCACATTCCTCTCTTTTGTACATAGGTTCAGAAGTTAGAACATCTAGAGCACATCAGAGAAGGGTTTGGGGTAGGGTGAGAGTGTGGGACTCTTGCAACATCACATTCCATTTACCATCTAGGGAATTATACTTACGCTAATGTGCTCTAGGTGAGGGTAAAGGCAGGTAGAGCTCTAATAACAACGCTTATTGGGGATGGCTTTCTTCTAATCTAGTATTTAGCATCTACAATGAACAGTAAGTAGGACAAGAATCTTCTTCATTAGACAAAACCACCCTAGTTAAATACCAGCTCACAAAAACAACCACAGCAAGAACAGGTAGGACTGGGTAAAGAAATCTTCTCTTTGACCTCAAATTAGACTAATGGTTATTCTAACAGCAAAGTGAATAGGAATTAGGCCAAGGACAGTCCACATCTCCTTTGGAAAGTGCTGGGTATGTGTAGCCTTGTTCAAGAAGGCTAAAATAACCTGGCGTAGGGTCTATTAAAATGCATTACAAAGCAAAGCAAAATAGACGTTGTTATTTAAAACTAGTTAGGTGGTGGTTGCACAACATTGTGAATGTACCAAATGCCACAGAATTGCTCACTTTAAAATGGTTACTTTTACATTACGTGGGTTTCACCTCAATTAAAAAGAGAGAAAGAGAACTTGCTCCTAAACAGTTACACAAAAAAACTACATCCGGAAGCAATTTACTTGTATTTTAAGAAAATGACTTGTCCCCACAGAGTTTATGACAGGATTTATGAAACAAAAATCAAAGAAAATATATATAAAGATTGGTCCTAGAAAAGATTTTTAAAAGATGAAAGCAAACATAGAAAAAAGCAGTATAATATAAAATAAATAAGATGGGGCCAAATGCAGTGCCTCACTTTGGGAGGCCGAAGCGGGTGGATTGCTTCAGGCCAGGAGTTCGAGGCCTGGCCAACATGTTGAAACCCGTCTCTACAAAAAAAAAAAAAAAAAAAACTATCTATCTATCTATCATCTATCTATCTATCTATCTATCTATCTATCTATCTATCTATCTATCTATCTATACATATATTAGCCGAGCATGGTGGTGGGCACCTGTAAATCCAGCCACTTGGGAATTTGAGGCTCAAGAAGCACTTGAACCTAGGAGGTGGAGGTTGCAGTGAGCCAAGATTGCCCCACTGCACTCCAGCCTGGGCGACAGAGTGAGACTCTGACTCAAAAAATAAAGAAAAATAAAAAACAAGATGGTAACACCAAATCTAAATATTTCAATTACCCTGATACGTATAAATTAAACTTGCCGGTTAAAACACAATGTCAGACTGGAATAAGACATACTCCAGTTCCTATGCTATTTAAAAAAGACTTTCCTAAAGCATGAAAATGCTGAAGGGTTGAAAAGAAAAGAATGAGAAAAGACACAGCCGCCAAATACTAACCAAAAGACAGCTAGTATAGCTATATTAATAATAATCAAAGAAGACTTCAAGACAAATAGCTTCATTAAAGACAGCATTTCTATGCAATGATTAAACATTAGGCACCAAAGCAATATAACAATTCTAAACTTGCATGCACCTCATTAAATAGACTTAACAGATATAAACAAAAATTGAGAGACCTCAAGGAATAAATTGACAAATCCACCATGAGAGTGGGAGACTACAACACTCTTATTTCAATAAGTTATAATTCAAGTAGCCAAAAAGGCAAAAATATGGAAGTCGAAGAATACAATTAACAACTTTGATCTGACGGAATACTTAGAAATATTTATTATATACTCAACAGGTCTATAAAAGATGTCACAACAAATTTCAAAAGAATAGTTTTATGAATCTAATTTGTTCCCTAAACCGTAGGAATTTAACCATGGCTATGGGAAAAGTGGGGTCCAATCTTAAATGAAATGAAATAAATTTTCTGACACCTAATGGACTAAAGGAAATAGAAGTTAAAATATGTGACAGAAAAATGTTTAAAGCCACATTTCTTGAATATGGAGTTTATGGAATGAGAGTTTTTCTACTAGACTTTTTTTTAACTGCAAGAATACTGTTTTCAGAATACAGTTTTATACTCTGATGTTTCAAACCTAATATATACATACATATATATATATATATAATTTTTTTTTTGGGACGGAGTCTCACTCTGTCGCCCAGGCTGGAGTGCAGTGGCGCGATCTCGGCTCACTGCAAGCTCCGCTTCCGGGGTTCACGCCATTCTCCTGCCTCAGCCTCCGGAGTAGCTGGGACTACAGGCATCCGCCACCACGCCCAGCTAATTTTTTGTATTTTTAGTAAAGACGGGGTTTCACCATGTTAGCCAGGATGGTCTCGATCTCTTTACCTCATGATCCACCTGCCTCGGTCTCCCAAAGTGCTGGGATTACAGATGTGAGCCACTGCACCCGGCCCAAATCTAATATTACATGATAGGCATTTTGTCATATCATTGTTATCTTTTATTTAGGAACTCTTCCCCAGGCCCTACATTTCTCTCTCCTTCAGCCAGAAATCAAAAGACCTCTTCTGAATATAAATTTGTCAATTAAGATACCTGGAGACCAACACACCTAGAAAGTTATAATTCCTTTTAGACTTCATCTTGGTCAACCCGTTCAACAATATATTCTAATTCCTGATGCAGCCAAATGTACTTTCTTTTGTTTAGGTCTCAGTTGTAGTGAAATAAAAGACGACTTCTATACTTTCAGTTAACTGAGGGTTTAAAATCGGACTACCTACAGCTTTTTCTTTTCTGGAATATAGTCAATACCAGCCCTTCTTTCCATCACAGAAACCCATAATTACTATTTCCTCCTAATTTTCTGATTAGAAACTTGTTCTTTGGGCTTTTTCTAGAAAACTTCCCACAGGCCTTACCTCACTGGAATCTCCTTCCACAGCAGCCTAGTCCTTAAGTCAGAGCTTCAGGGATGACCATGTATTTTGATAGGGTAAGAACATATATCAGATAGAGTTCTTTATTGAATAGTGGTGAGGCATGATAAGAAGTTTTGAAAGTTAGCCAGGAAGAAGTGCTACTGGCTATTTTCACTTAGAAACTTGACTAGCTCTTACTGTTTAACTGTGTGCTAATCCCTGGGAAAGAGAAGGCACAAGTGTTACAGGATTTTAAGGCTCCTCCCATTAAAATCCTTAGCTTTCTGTTTCCTTTTTCTGACAAGCCTGAACAGTTTTTCTCGTATTAGCTTGAGAGTTCAGCCAAAGATTATTTTAGGTGTAGAGAAATGAAAGCAAAGAGCTCTTCCTTTGTTTCCCAGATTTCAAGGGAGTTCACAACTTAGAGTAGTGGACAAGAGACTGGGTAACAGAAAGAACTCAAGTCAAAGCAAAGGAAACACCCCAAACAGTATAAGGGACTATGCTGAGGAGTCATGAGGGACAAGCCAACAGAATGCAAATAAGGGGAAAACACATGAGTACAAAGGGTTTCAAATGGAAGAGGAAAACTGAGCCTGGGAGAAGGCAGCAGTTTGAGCTAATTAGAACAACTGTGGCCTTGAGTTTAGTGGGAAAGGGTCCAATAAAGTGACCAGTCCTGCTTGGAAAACACTAGTGTACTTCCAGTCTTCTAAAGTCACTTGGGGACGGGCATGGTGGCTCATGCTTGTAATCCCAACACTTTGGGAGGCCAAGGAGAATCACTTGAGGCCAGGAGTTTGAGACCAGCCTGGCCACCATGGCAAAACCCTGCCTCTACAAAAAAATTAGACAGGCATGATGGCGCATGCTTGTAATGTCAGCTACTCAGAAGGCTGAGGCACAAGAATCACTTGAACCCGGGAGGTGGATATTTCACTGAGCCAAGATCGTGCTACTGCACTACAGCCTGGGTGACACAGGGAGACCCTGTCAAACCCACAGCCAATATCATACTGAATGGGCAAAAACTGGAAGCATTCCCTTTGAAAACTGGCACAAGACAGGGATGCCCTCTCTCACCACTCCTATTCAACATAGTGTTGGAAGTTCTGGCCAGGGCAATCAGGCAGGAGAAGGAAATAAAGGGTATTCAGTTAGGAAAAGAGGACGTCAAATTGTCCCTGTTTGCAGATGACATGATTGTATATCTAGAAAACCCCATCGTCTCAGCCCAAAATCTCCTTAAGCTGATAGGCAACTTCAGCAAAGTCTCAGGATACAAAATCAATGTACAAAAATCACAAGCATTCTTATACACCAATAACAGACAAACAGAGAGCCAAACCATGAGTGAACTCCCATTCACAATTGCTTCAAAGAGAATAAAATACCTAGGAATCCAACTTACAAGGGATGTGAAGGACCTCTTCAAGGAGAACTACAAACCACTGCTCAACGAAATAAAAGAGGATACAAACAAATGGAAGAACATTCCATGCTCATGGGTAGGAAGAATCAATATCGTGAAAATGGCCATACTGCCCAAGGTAATTTATAGATTCAATGCCATCCCCATCAAGCTATCAGTGACTTTCTTCACAGAATTGGAAAAAACTACTTTAAAGTTCATATGGAACCAAAAAGGAGCCCGCATCACCAAGTCAATCCTAAGCCAAAAGAACAAAGCTGGAGGCATCACGCTACCTGACTTCAAACTATACTACAAGGCTATGGTAACCAAAACAGCATGGTACTGGTACAAAAACAGAGATATAGACCAATGGAACAGAACACAGCCCTCAGGAATAATGCCGCATATCCACAACCATCTGATCTTTGACAAACCTGACAAAAACAAAAAACGGGGAAACGATTCCCTATTTAATAAATGGTGCTGGGAAAACTGGCTAGCCATATGTAGAAAGCTGAAACTGGATCCCTTCCTTATACCTTACACAATTTAATTCAAGATGGATTAAAGACTTAAATGTTAGACCTAAAACCATAAAAACCCTAGAAGAAAACCTAGGCAATACCATTCAGGACACAGGCATGGGCAAGGATTTCATGTCTAAAACACCAAAAGCAATGGCAACAAAAGCCAAAATTGACAAATGGGATCTAATTAAACTAAAGAGCTTCTGCACAGCAAAAGAAACTACCATCAGAGTGAACAGGCAACCTACAGAATGGGAGAAAATTTTTGCAATCTACTCATCTGACAAAGGGCTAATATCCAGAATCTACAATGAACTCCAACAAATTTACAAGAAAAAAACAAACAACCCCATCAATAAGTGGACAAAGGATATGAACAGACACTTCTCAAAAGAAGACATTTATGCAGCCAAAAGACACATGAAAAAATGCTCATCATCACTGGCCATCAGAGAAATGCAAATCAAAACCACAATGAGATACCATCTCACACCTGTTAGAATGGCAATCACTAAAAATTCAGGAAACAACAAGTGCTGGACAGGATGTGGAGAAATAGGAACACTTTTACACTGTTGGTGGGACTGTAAACTAGTTCAACCATTGTGGAAGTCAGTGTGGCGATTCCTCAGGGATCTAGAACTAGAAATACCATTTGACCCAGCAATCCCATTACTGGGTATATGCCCAAAGGATTATAAATCATGCTGCTATAAAGACACATGCACACATATGTTTATTGTGGCACTATTCACAATAGCAAAGACTTGGAACCAACCCAAATGTCCAACAATGATAGACTGGATTAAGAAAATGTGGCACATATACATCATGGAATACTATGCAGCCATAAAAAATGATGAGTTCATGTCCTTTGTAGGGACATGGATAAAGCTGGAAACCATCATTCTTAGCAAACTATCACAAGGACAAAAAACCAAACACCGCATGTTCTCACTCATAGGTGGGAACTGAACAATGAGAACACGTGGACACAGGAAGGGGAACATCACACAACAGGGCCTGTTGTGGGGTAGGGGGAGGGAGGAGGAATAGCATTTGGAGATATACCTAATGTTAAATGACGAGTTACTGGGTGCAGCACACCAACATGGCACATGTATACATATGTAACTAACCTGCACATTGTGCACATGTACCCTAAAACTTAAAGTATAATTAAAAAAAAAAAAAGTAAAGTCACTCGGCATTAGAAATTCTTCTGAAACTGTATTAAGGTCCCCTGAATGCTACAGGGAGAAAATTCAAGAAGGAAAAGGTACTGAATTTTTTTAAGCTGCATAAAGAGAAAGATATGTGAGTACAGAAAAAAAAATTGGATTTGACTATCAAGTTATTTTTTGTGTTATTTTAGTGAGAGTTGTTTCAGAAATGAATGAGAAAAATGAGTAAGTGGCCAGAAAATGGCAATAGCTTGTATGGACTGTAGTTAGCAGAAATATAGCTGTCAAGGGAAGAACAGAGATAGGGCAAAACATCTTGGAAGGCTGTGTAGTAGCAGAAAAAAGTTATTTTAAAAACGGAGGAGACAGGTGCATTTGTGTGCGCACGAGAGAGAAAGACACAGAGAGAGGCTGAAGGCCAAGAATCGACAAAAAGTTCACAAAGAATGTAGCTTAAAAAAGATCAGATTAGGATTCTAGAGGCATCAGAAAAACATGTGCTCTGGAGAAAAGGTATAGTTAACCTTAAGGAAGAAAAACACCTCCTGAGACAGGGCAGAAGAGGTGGGAAGATAGGAAAAATAATAATATATCAAGTATAACAAATAAATTTTGTATCCAAGATTTTTTTATAAAACAGAGAAGCACCAGGCTATCCAGTAATATATGGTTTCTCCAGGAGGCTCTGAGTCAAGTAAAGTGTAATTATTGACTCTTTCTCCTAAATTAGTGGATTATTCTTTGGACAAGGAAAAAATATGGAAGACATAGAAGTTCAAGAGCAATCATTCAGGCTCAGAGCTTTTAAAATAAAATGGTTAAAAATATAAAAGAAAAGGAAAACAGCTGAGGCCATGTTGACCTTACGAGACTTCTAGATCAGGATGACATTTTAGACACAGCTTTGAATTTCACTGACACACACACACACACAAAGACACACACACACACCTTTCCCCGTGCAGTGTCTTGCTTCATTTTGTTTCCTGCTTTATTACAAACAAATTCAAATTTAAATTTGACAGAATAAGATATGTACCCATCACTTAGGTGCAATAAATGTTAACATTTTGCCTTAACTGCAAAATTGTATGTATGTTTGTGTCCCTGTATAAATTTATTGATGAAGCATTTGAAACCGGGTTAGATATCATGATATTTAACCACTAACTACATCAGCATACATCTCCTAAACTAAGAAAAATCTCTTATACAGCCTCAATGCCTTTATTATACCCAGAAACATCAAAAATATCTTGATATCCCCCAACATCCAGGCCATACTCAAATTTCCCAAACTGAACAACAAATACATTAGTAGTTAGCTTTTTCAAACTAGAATCCAATCAAGGCTTACACACTGCATGTAGTTGTTCTATATCTTTTGCTAATTTTAAACCAGAATAAAACGAAGCACAGACTGTGGTTTTGTATCCCCTTGACATGGGCATGTTAAAGAGTCTCAAACAACAGCTTTATAAAATTGTCACTTTCCTGATTTGCTGTACAGCATTGTTTAACACATACCTGTGTCTCCTGTACTCCTTATGTATTGGGAATCTGAACAAAAGTCTTGATTACACACAGATAAAACATTTGAGGTAAGGGTAATTCAAAGGCAGTGATGTTACTTCATAATGCATTACCTCAGGAGGCACACAATGTCAAGCTGTCCACTGTCAGTGAGGTGTAGTTTCATGATGACAGTTTTATTTTAAAGGGTACTTCACCCATTATAAAGAGCAAATATCTGTAGGGTGGTACTTAGGACTCATTCTAATAGAATATTAGCAAATATTCTATTTCCTAAAATGTTTTTACCTAATGGTTCCAAAATTCATTGATAATTCTTTCCTGAACCAATTATTTCAGGATATCAAAATGGTGACTTCTACTGGTATTATTCCTTCTACACTTATTTGCTGGGAATCTTCTGCAATACTCACAGAGCTCGTCCTTTAAAACACAATACAGTTGTCATTTGGGCTATTCACCAATAGTCTGGTGTTTGTGTTTTTTTTTCCTTCTGCATACATAACGGGTGTATTAATCAGTTTTTGCATCGGTAACAAACAATCCGGAATCTTAGTTGCATATAATGACACAGATTTCTTGCTCACAGGTCTGTGATTTGGCTGAGGCCCAGCTGTGGCTCTGGTGTGCTTTGTTCCAGTCCCTAGTTTGGCATTACATATCTCTCACACCAGAACTCCGAATAAAGAAGCAATGGCTCCTTGGGATCCGCTCCTCTTTTACTGGATGGTATGAGTGCCAAAGAGTGAAAGCATGAGACACCTCCCTAAGTGAGTATGACATGAATCGGAACGCTTGTAACCCCAGGAGAGACACGCAGTGAAAGTGAAAAATACACTTTTTAGCTTTGAGCCACCGAGATTTTGAGGTTGTTTGTTACTGCAGCATAACCTCTCTATCCTGACAAATACAAACAGGGTGCAGCTTAATTATTTCCTTTTAATTACTAATTTTCAGAGTAAGGAGTTGGTGTACTAATAACCTCTACTGTGGCAAATAATCTTATATTTTATCTTTCCCTTTTTCCTTTTTTTGAATGTCATTTTGGACTTGGACATTTTTGTTAATATGATCAATCACAAACATTATTTTTTTGATGCTCATATTGTCCCAAACTCAGTCAGTGACAGCCCCTTCAAGCTGTACCCTTTTGTCAAGACCCCAATTGTTCTCTAGAAACTCCTGATACAATAGGAGATCTTAAAATCACTGTAAATATTCCCTGTCTGAAACCTAGAATCAGCCAGTTCCATAAGGAGCCCTAGTTCTTTTTAGAGAGAGTGGTATTTTAGAAAACAATAACCGAATGTCAGGTGTGCTCAATACTACTGGTTCATAATGGTTTCTAAGTTCTTTCATTGGACAGAGTGGATAAAGCATGTATTTTCGTTCTCACCCCCACCCTATGTGTGTGTGTGCATGTGTTTGTGTGTGTGTGTGTGGGTGTGTGTGCCACTCTCTGTCTCTGTTTCCCTATCCCTCTCTCTTTTTCTCCACATATGCACACTCACACATACAGAGAGACTTATAGATTATATGTAGATAAATTAGAGATACATTATATAGATGAATTATATTGCATATAATACATGATATACATTATATAGATCATGTGTAGCATTATGTTATATATAATCTTATGTTCATACTAACATTTACAACTTAGATTTGATTTTATAGAGTTATCTCCCCTCCTAATTTCTTTGTTTCTATATTTATTTCTCTTTTCTCATACATTGAAAACACTGGATCCTGATGTTATTAACCTATTTATTTATTTGCTTTATTCTAGAATATACGTAAAATAATTTCAAAATTATAATATCAAGAATAAAACTACTGGGTTAAGTTTACGATTTCCTTGAGTACTTTTCATCCTGAAAAATTGTGCCACCAAAAGACGTATAGTAAAAGGTCCTGTGTGCAAAAGACACTTAATATAATTCCTTTAATTGTACAGTCATGTTATCTATTAGATATGCAATTCAGTCAATTTTTTAGCCTTTAATTAGGAAGACAAGACGTGCAATTTTTCTTACACAAGCATCCTAGGACAGCTTGTTCTCTTGCCCTTCTGTGACTGCCTGTGTCATTATCACAGCTATTGTTGTCTTTTGCTCCTAAACTGTCGTCTCGTGCCACAGAGCTGGCTGTCAAAAACGTTAAGGATTAAGTATTCTTATTCCAGTTGATGAAAATCCTTCATCATTATAACCCTTGAACCAGATCTAGAAGATTGGATTAGCATGTGTAAAACTGCCATTGAGGGGAAAGCACTCAATTGCAAGGAAAATAAGAATCAATGGAGAAATGGAGAAGGAGAAGGAATTACAGCTCCACAGAAAAGGCTAGAGCCCAGCGTGACTGTTGGAAGGAAAGGCTGGTTATGGACATCCAGTGTTGTAAATACATTCTAGAGAAGGCTGAAGGAGTCAGAAGGCATGATCAACTGTGTTCCAGTCAAACAGAAGCTCAAACAGAAGGAAATGCATTTACCCCACAACAGAAAAACAACACGGGCAACAACTGATTCTTATTTAGCAGTTACTAGTCCAATAATTTGCTTCTATTAGGTCATTTAATTCCTTTGATGAATGTATGTGGTAAGTCCTATGATTGTTTCTATTTTACCAATGAAGAAACTGAGGTAGAGAGAAATATTGTAACTTAACCAACCTCCTAAAGACTGTAAGTGGCAGAGCCAAGATTCAAACCCAGAGATTCTCAGCCAGAATCCAGCACATCATAGCAAGCTCTTTCCCCAAGAGCAAGATATTCAGCTGTGGAAAGCTAAAGAATTATTCAAGACAAATGAGTTCTCTATTGCCTGTATAAACTAGTGATGGGAAGCATTGAGGGAGCCCTCAAAAACCATGTTTTCAATTCCAGTTAAGCCACTTAATCCCTAAGTAACTGTAGAGTAATTCTTATTTAGAAGCCATCATCTTACTCAATACTACTGCTCAAATAACACACTGTGACAATTGTTTTAGGTACAAACACTACTTGATCATATTGTGAGTGTACCTGTGAACACAATTTATATAAATGTATAAATGGGAAAATTATAAGATCTCAGAGACCAGTTTGACGTGCTTTTGTAAGCATGTTTTTTTTTCCTAAATTTTTGGTTCTTTGTTTACTTATTTTGTGTGTGTAATTTGATCTACTTCAACACCTGCGCTCTCAGTTTTCTCTCCTATCCAAGTATCTATACCTAGGCTCCCAGCACATAGCTTGGTTTTAGGTAGAAACCACTCTCTGAGTGTCCTGTGCCAATGTTATAGACCAGGTAATGACTGCAGGGTGCTCCACTGACAAAGCTGACATTTCAAGGGCACTCTGCCAATTGGAAAGTCAGAACTAAACAAGAAACTGATCCTATGTATGCAAAGTGTGAGAAAGTATCCTTTCTCTTGGCTCTCAATTTAAAATCATGTCACTGAAACTTAAAAGCCTTTACTGTTTATACCTTTTCCACTTCCAGCACAGGAGTTTAAGCCCACAAACATCTGTCCTTGATTTCTACTCAGCTTCTTGGTTATTCCCATGCAGTCAAATCAAACAGAAAAATAAAATAAATTAATAAAATAATCATTACTCCTCTGTTCTCTTGCTCTTTGTTGATTTCATTATTCATTTGAAGATATGATTGCAAAGAAAGCAGAAAGAATCTGGGGAGAGAAGTTAAAGAGTAAAGGGTACAGATCAAGCAAAAAGGCCAGCAGATCTCAATTTGCAGAACACAGAGTCATCTCAGGAGAAAGTTTAGTAATATCAGTAGTTGCATTAATCTCAGTGACACTAGTTGCTATATCAACCAAAAATCCCAATGGTTTAACACTAAAAAGAAGAATGTTTTGCTCACATTCCAGTCGGATGTAAGTGCTCCTGGTTTGGTGGCTCTCTTCCAAGCAGTGACTCAGACACAGTTTCCATCATTTCTCTGGCCATCTATCTTCAAGATTTGTTTGCCAATATTGCCACTGGCATCAATATCCAGTAAGCTGACAAGAAAAAGCAGAGAAAGAGCATCTGCTTTTTAACCACCCTGGCCTATAAAAGATGTGTCACAGCCATGCCCATGCCATTGGCTTCCATTCCCAACTGGAAGCAAGGGAGTCTGAAAGCAGTGGCCCCTGGATGGGAAGCATGACTTGCTGGTGTAAAGTTAGCTGTCCAGACCACGATTGCTCTAGGAGGATTACTTGGGACACAGTCCTGGGATCCACTTGTTCAGAAAAACAATGGCACTGAGAAGGAACGCAAAGGAACAAAGATCAAAGGCTGCCATCTCTCAAAGACCTTGGTTCTCGGCAGAACAAACCAGCCTGAGTCAAAATTGTGAAGTCACCTGCAGAAGGCCTTTCCTCTCTTCTTTATGCCTTGCTCCTCTAATGTGTTCTCTTGATAGGCATTTACTATTTTCACGGTGACCCCAAGTTCTTTGGGCCACCCTATTTAGTGGCAATTCTGACCCATTCGCTTCATACATTGCTAGGTGACTAGTTAGTCAAGAGCTTAGATGTCTACAGTTGTGTTGAGCCCTGTTTTTGATAACATTTGCATCTTAATGTTCCTAAATCAATTAACCTGAGGCTATAAAAACTTTGGTCTCCATGAAAACGATTTAGTCATTTCATCATAGTCTAATTTAGGAGAAATCTGACAGGCAGAGAATCCTTTGGAAACCCCTCAAGTCACTGTACACAAGTGGCTTCCTATTATGCAGGAGTAAAGTCAACCCACAAATGAAATAGTAAGACTAATAAAATCTCTGTCATTATCATAGTTATTTATAGCTTACAAGCCCTTTAATATTTACATACAAATAAAAACACCATTATAAAAAAAATACTCTCTGCATTTCCCTGATGAGAAAACTGAGACTTGGATAATCTAAATTGCTTTCCTAAAGTCACAAGACTTGCAAGGAGTAGGCTAAAGGCTGAAGCCAAGAGACCTTAACTCATAATTCAGTGCTTCATCATAATTCTGAGGGAAGTTGGCCCTTTCTTGTGATATCCAATATTTCTAAGGTATTTAGCAGTCTCTGTCTTTCAAATTACTTCAAGCTAAAAGTATCCTGTTGTTCTGTTTTCCAACTTCGTCGTATATTTGAGATTCATTTCCTTGTTTTCTCTATTACCTCAGTCTGTGTTCAGATGTTCTTCTTTCTTCATCTGTAAATGTTTCCTGATAGTTAAGTATCTGGGAAAAAAGATTCGTAGTTTGGCAAAAGTTAGATGGCTGGTATTAGTGAATTTGCTTCACAATCCATAGAAAGCTGCCCAGATTTATTGCTGTGCATCCTTCCCACCCATCCACCAATCCTCGCCAACCTACAACAAGCGGGTGTTTCACACTTTCCATTCTTTTTAAATCACAACAGCTAACTGAACAAGTGCTAAACCACAGTGTCGGAAGGTAGCAGGAAAGCCAGTAAAGACCTACGACCTGCCACATATAGTCAAAAGAAGACTGTAGTTATAAACAAGATAACAGTAGATTTTTTTCTCAAATACCCATACAAATTCACTCTATTACACAGCAGGGCTGGGGTATATTTGCCACTAACTATGCTAAGGAGAAAATCTGCCTCATTTACTCCACTTTCCCAGATTCTTTATTTTGCTCAAGACACTGTTCCATTCTCATTCCGTATCTGTCTCTTTCTCACACCCCTAACTCCTTTCAATTACTCCCTCATAATCTCTGTCCTCCCTTTCATTTTTGTCTTCTAGAAATTCTTACCTAATTATTAATGCTTGTTCCTAATATTTCTGCTCATTGCTTACTCTCAAAATGTACCATATTACATCTCTTTTTTTAAAAAAAATGATATTTTATGGTAGTAAAACTGAGAATGAGCTTCTAGAGTTTGCCTTGGCAAACTACAAGCAAAATTCAGCCTGCAATGCAGTTCGATATGGACTCCAAGATGAAAATGTTTTTTACATTCTCAAAGAATGGTAAATAAAAACAAATAGTAATATTCGACAGAGACAGAAGGACCCAGAAAACCTAAAATATTGTTCTCTGGCCCTTTCTGGAAAAAGCGTCCTAGCCCCCGTTCTAGACTATGTAAAACCTCTGTTCTCTCGTCTATTGCTGTACTCTGTAATCTTTACTATTCTTTGGAATCCTCTCCCCGGTTTATTTACTAAAGTAGAGGCTACAGTGTTATAGGGCAACCAGATGCAAACAGGAACTGAAACGTAAGGCTCCTAATATCTTTCTTCATGTGGCATGACGATTATTAGAAGAGTTAAAAATCTCCTTTTATTTCAGTTTTCTGTTTTGAGAGTAACGTATTTTTGTTTACAGAGAACAACCCCTCAGATCACAGCCTTGACCTTCCCAGTGTTTCAGAGGTCCATTGAAGAACCACCAGCGCACCTCTCTCCCCAGCTCAGTAGAGCAGGAGGAAAACAGGTGAGATGGTGATGACGTTGGAGGCAGCAAGAAGGTTGTGCAGGAGAAAAGTCTGAATAATTTACCTTCCAGGTGCATCTTAGGTGGTGGCAAGGGATCTTTCCAAACCACATCAAGCTAGAAACTGATTTTATTATTTTTCCCACCTTCGAGTGATGCCTCCTCTCTGCTTTTGACTCCCCTGTTAGCAGGCTGAGGTGCAACTGGAGAGGTAAAGTGTCTGGGAGACAGCGATAGCAGTGTCCCCAGGGAACAGGCTATTGGCATGCTGGTTGTGCTGCCAAGCCTGACTGCTTCTCTGAGACAAGTATCAGAGCCAGAGTATGTTGTGAGTTGGTAACAGCATATCCCGGGAAAGCCTCCACTAAAAATCGTGACCATTATGAGAGGAAATATGCTCCCAGTCAGCAAAACGGTATAAAAGCAAAATAATAGATAAGCAACAATACACTGGAACATGCTTTATAGAAAAGACCTACCTAACCGTAGGCACATATTAGCTGTAGAACAAGCTAAATTCACATGCTTAGCCAGAGGCTGTGAGCTTAGATTTAGGAGACAAACATAACAACATTTCTCCTACTAGAATGTAAGTCCATATAGTGATTTTCATTTTTAAATAAACATTTATTGAGCCTACGTGAACTGTTATATTTTAATCTAAAGCTGAGACAGGGTAAGTCACTTGTTAAGCGCCACATGGTTATAAATGACAATACAAAGAATTAGAGGGCCACGGAAAGCCAGAGAGAGAGAGAACAGATGAATTTAGACAGATGTGGCTTTGACTGTCAAATCTGCTACTTAGAAGCTATGAAATTTTGTCCAAGTTACTCACTTCTCTGAGCCTTAGTTTTCCCATTTCTAATGTGGGAATAATATCTACTTTTCATGGATTTTGTGAAGATTAGAGGCTGTTTTTCTAATGTGAATGGTTCATGGCTGACCCTTTAGAGAAAAAGAGGAGAGAGGAAGGTGTTTAAGTAAAAAGTGCTTACTCCAGGAAATGCAGGGGTAAGGTCGGCCTGTGTGTCAAGGCATCAGAATTTCAGGTAGAGTTACATCCAGATTTCCATGACCTTTGTGGACAAGAGATTAGAAAACATGCAGTTCTCACAGTCACTCCTACTGTGACTATAAGAATTCATGGCTACAAAAAACACTTCCATTCTAGGGCCAGGAATTCTGAGCAAAACATTTGCAAGTCAGTCCACTCCAATCTATTGCTTGATGGCCATTCTAGACCCTCGAAAGCTGTGTGCAAAGGAATGTTCCTTCATTTCTGCCTCTAACTTGAATCTCTTGTTTTCTGACATTCTCAGCTTCTCAAAAGCCTTCTGAACACATTCATGTGATGAGAGCTATTTCCTGTCTGAGAATGGAAGTCAGGGAAGGACGAAGGAAAATGCAAGACTAAACTGCCACTGGCCTGGGAGTCTCCACCCATTTCCTGCACTGTGGCCACTGCTATAGGTAGTTACCAGGTAATATCTCTTCCTCCAGTTTGCAAAGTCTCTGGTATTATCAGTTATGAAAATGTAATCTAAAATTGATAGAATAGGCCGGGCACGGTGGTTCACGCCTGTAATCCCAGCACTTTGGGAGGCTGAGGGGGGCGGATCACGAGGTCAGGAGATCGAGACCATCCTGGCTAACACGGTGAAACCCTGTCTCTACTAAAAATACAAAAAAAATTAGCTGGGTATGGTGGCGGGTGCCTGTAGTCCCAGCTACTCGAGAGGCTGAGGCAGGAGAATGGCGTGAACCTGGGAGGCGAAGCTTGCAGTGAGCCGAAATGGCACCACTGCACTCCAGCCTGGGTGACAGAGCGAGACTACGTCTCAAAAAAAAAAAAAAAAAAATTGATAGAATTACTTTGGAAAGCAAGAAAGCATACCCTGGTGAAACCGAACAGGAATATAAACTATGACTCAGCAATCCAATTCCCAAGTGTATAATCTGAAATTGCTTGCTCTAGGAGATATAAGATTATTCCAACAGCATTGTTTATAATAGACAAAAAACCTGGAAAAAAACTGCATGTCCATCAAAGGCAGAATGCATTAATACATTGTGTTATACTCACACCATGGAGCATTATCCATTAATGAACATAAACTGTTGTATATTCAAGAACATGGACAAACCTCAAAACACAATGGTAAAGGGGCCAAAAACAACTCATATAAGAATATGTTTCCACTTACATAAAGTTTAAAAAGCAAAACAAAGTAATATATTATTTGGGGATAGCTATATGTGAAATAAAACTATAAACAAGCCAGGGGATGATTGGTTACCTACCCCTAGGGACTGAGAAAGAATGCAATTGATGAGGTTCACCCGAGAGTCTTCAAAGAACTAGTGATGTTCTCATTTTAAGCTGACTGGTAGGATCCTGAGTGTTTATTTTATTATTGTGATTATACTTTCTAAATGGTTCATATACATTCCATATACCCTAGGGTATGTATAATTTATTTCACAATAAAAAATTAATGTAACCCAAATGTGCACGGGGCCCTTAGGGTCGCCTCTGCTCTCACGCCACACTATCTTGAGTCAAGTAACAGATCAGTGTCGGCCCTGACTAGTGTTATGGTCTGAATGTCTGTGTCCCCACAAAATTCCTATGTTGAAATCCCAATCCCAATGTGATGGCATGGGGCCATTGGGAGGCAAAGTCTCTGGTATTATCAGTAATGAAAACACAATCTAAAATGGATAGTATCACTTTGGGAAGCAAGAAAGAATACCTTGGTGAAGCTGATCAGAAATGTAATCTATGACGCAGCAAAACTATTCCCTGTTGGGATCCTTAATGGGATCCCTAATGGGATTTCATAAGTGCTCTTATGAAAGAGGGACAAGGAAGTTTGTTCCTTGTTTCCACCACATGAGGACATAGCCATCTATGGGTCAGCAAGTGGGCCCTCACCACACACTGTATCTGCCTTGACCTTGGACTTCCCAAGGCTGGATTTCTCATAGCCTCCAGAACTGTGAGAAATAAATTTCTGTTGTTTATAAACCACCAGGTCTGTGGCACTTTGTTGTAGCAGCCCTTTCCCTGGAGTATTCATCTCCCTACTTCTCATGTCACCAACTGAAAGTGCCTTCTTTTTCATCTTAACCAAAGTTAGTCTGCCCATCAGTCTCTGCTGCAATCTCTTAATCTGTTCCCTTCATAACAAACTCATTACAAACTGCAACAACTTTGTTTACTTGTTTCTGTTTCTTTTCTTTTTGTCAGTCTCTCCTAGTAGAACACATGCCTCTGGAGAGTCAGGACTTTGTATGTCTTGTTTATTGCAACCTCCCCATCTCTCAGCACAGTGCTTAGTATAAAATAGTTGCCAGATATGGTGATAGGAGTGTGATAATAAAAAATGTATCATAAACCCACAATAAAATAATTGCTTTGTTATAAATTGTCATCTTATGTGCCAAGGCTTACACACACACACACACACACACACACACACCACCCCAAGCCCTGCCATTTTTCTGCATGACTCTGGGGTTACACGAGTGGCCTGTCCAGAATCCCGTCCTCTCTTTCCTTTGAGTTTTCTATCTCCATTAAACTTCTATTTGCCTTTACTGCAACCACTAATCCAGATTTTTTTGTGTGTTTAAAGTAATAAATATTCTGTACTTGGAGAATGGCCTAGTATCGTTATAGCGAGTTCACTCAGTTACTCCCACTCTTTTGACTGCTTTTGACCAAGCCAGTAGTCCTCTATCCGACTTCTTCACCTCTATGGCCTTCCATGGAAAGCCACTTGCCAGTATCCTAACCCCCTCTGCCTTTGTCCTTCCTTCCCTCCCACACCCCCTCTTTCCAGGATCTAGATACTTTAACTCTCAGCTTCCTCAGTGTTTGCACCCGGGCTGCTAATCATTGCTAGGGAAAATCACACAACTATAAATTCATGACAATAAACTTCATCTGGTTCTCCACACTGCTCCACAAACTACATTTCCTAGTCAGCTCACTCTTCATATTTTAATAATGATACTTCAAGATTTCTTCACTCCCCTTATATGTTTGATCCCTCTACATTGGGACACATTCTCAGCAAATAACCCACATTGTTACCTCACAGAAATTATCAAGTCCACTTGTCAGAAACTCATCCAATCTCCTAACTGCAGTGGATTGAACAGTGGACCCCAAAAAGACATGCCCAGGTTTTAACATTTAAAACCTATGAATGTGACCTCATTTGTAAAAAGCATCTTGCAGATGTAATTAATGTAAGGATCTTGAGATGAGATCATTGTAGATTTAGGGCGGGCCTGGAATCCAATGGCAGGCATCCTTACAGAGAAATGCAGAGAGAGATCTGAGACACAGAAAAGATGGCCAGGTAAAGACAGAGGCAGAGTTTGGAAGTATGCAGACCCAAGCTAAGAAGCTTGTTCAGAGGAGTGAAAATCTGCTTACATCTTGACCTTGATTTTGGACTTCTGGGTTCCAAAACTTTGACAGAATAAATCTCTGTAATTTCTGAGGCACCCAGTTTGGGGAAATTTGTTATGGCATCTCTAGAAAATTCATGATGCTAACTAAGCTGACAACTGCATTTGTACCTGCTCTATCCACCTTCTCTTCAGTTACAGTACTAAGGGTTGAGTCTACAGCCAGGTTGTGAACCCAACAATAGGACACTGTGGTTAATGGTGCAAGTCTCAAGCTAGATTGACTGGGTATCAATGCTGTCTCCACCACTTACTATGTGATGTTGGTTACTCAGAGTACCATTCTATGCCTCAGTTTCCTTATCTCAAAAAAACAGGATAACAATAAAAAGTACCTCTGTAGGAGAGGCTGTGTAGGAATTAAATGGAATCATGCCCTCAGAACAGTTACTGAATAAGAGGGGAACAACTTTCATTACTACTATTATCATTATCTCTGACTGCCTCCTCAAATACTAAACTATCTATTGATTACTCCTCTCTCTTGTTCCTTCAATGTTTGTCTTTATGAGATAACTTCCATGAGCATTTAAACATTCACTACCATTCCCTGTCAAACAAACCACTCCCTAAACCACACACTTCTCCCTCCAGCTCCCATCCCATCCACTAACTCCATTTCACAACAAATGTTTTAATTGTATACACTCCTTGCTTCTCCTTCCTCACTTCTCACTCACTTGGGAACTCACTAATGTCCACTTCTGTCACTCCACTGAAGCTTCCCTTGACAACCCATGTATTACCAAATCCTAAAGGAAACGTCGGCCCTTATCAGCAACATTTGACACTATGGCTCGTGCACCCTTTTTTAAAAGCATCTGTTCATTGATTCTGGCCCCAGCCCTCCTAGTTTTCTTCCTGCCTATCTGGCCAGTCTCATTTGCTCGCTTCTACCTCCTCTGATGATTCCTTAAATGATGGGTTCCTCAGGGCTTCTTCTTAGCCATTCTTCTTTTCTTATTTTACCTTCTATGAGATATTGACCACTCCCAAGACATCAATTTACTCACAACAGACTGATCATTCCTAACTTGTATTTCTGACCTAGATTTCTCTTCACAGTTCCAGGCTCATATATCTAGCTGCCCATTAGACATATCTACTGGTACATATTTGACACCTCAAATTCAACATGTCTAAAGTGGAAATACTCATCTTCCCTGGCCTTTTTGAGAATCTACTTCCACTACCTATCCCCTTTCTCATTAAAAGGCACTTCCATTCACTCATTTGCTCAAGCCAGAAAGCCGGGAATCATCCTGGGCTCTCCTTTTCCCTTTGCCTCTTACAGCTGATTTCCACTGAGTCTTATTCATTTGATATATTAAATGACCCTCAGTTTTATCCTCTTCTCTCTCTTTCTCTCCACTTCTCTAATACAAGCCAACACCATATCACATATACCCTCAAACTGTCTCCAACCTAGCTTCCCTTCAGTCTTTCTCCAAATTCTTCTGGAATAATCTTTTCAAACTGTATTCCAAACTATAAATCTAAGCCTGGTCACCACACACACACACACACACACACACACACACACACACACACACGCACGCACTCTTCAAATCTGTCATTGGCTGGTATTTTCTCTTAGGATAAAATCCTAACTCCTTAAGAAGGTTTATCAGTTCCTCCACAATCTGGCTCTCGGCATTAGATGTCAGTCTCACAGACTGCCTGGAGTGCTTTTTTTCTCTCCTTCCTTCACAGCTTAATGCCACTTCTTCCAGGAAGCCCTGATGATCCTCCAGCTTCCAGATGTTCCATGGTGTTCTCTGTACTTCCCCTAAGAGTGAACCCTCCATAATGTGTTGGGATGACCTAATCAATGTCTGTCTTCCACACTCCAGAGCAAGCAGTTTAAGACCCAGAACCATGCCTGTCTTATTCCCAATGCATCTCCAGTGCCTCTCAAAGTTCCGGACCCACAGCAGGCACTTCATAAAGACTGGATGAGTAGATGAACTAATGCTATTTTCCTTGGGGAATGATTCGGTACACTTTATACTGTGTTTCTCTAAATTCTGTGTGTATCATGACTGAATTTGTGCATATATATATGTATATGTATACATATGTGTGTGTATACATATATAATGATCATAATTAAGAGTTTTTGAATTACAGGAGAAGTAATTAGAATAATTTATCTCTGAACTTTGTCATACAGTACATTTGAAGGAAAGAAATTATTTAATGAAAATCTAGAAATTGGGAGCAGTTTAGTAGCGTGATGCAAGGATCTTAGAGGAAAAGTTTTAAAGGACACTATACTCAGGTTAAGACAAGACTATTTAAAAAAATAATTTGTAGCAGATTAGATTCCTTAGAGATCAGCTTGGAAACTATGAAGACATATTCATTTCAGTTGGAGAACCTAGAGGAGAATAACTTGGGATAGAAAGTGGGCGGACAACAAAATCCAAATTTTAGGAGACTGTTCAATAATACTGCTCAATCTACACAGTTGGATCATCTGTACTTTAAACACCTTTAACAGATAATCTATTTCTTATTAATGGTATTTCAGATAAAAGTCTGAAATTTTATTTCTCTTCTTGAATATATAGATCATGGATGAGATTTACAGACAACACATGCATTTAAACAGGCAAGACGTGGTATTTCACCAAAAGACCAAAATCAAGTCGGGAAAGAACGTATTTTAATGTTCCTGCTTTGACCCCAAAATACAGAAAATAAAATAGTATCTGAAAAACATGAAACTCAAACTTCATGGGGGCAAATGCTGTGTGTGCAAAATCACTGACTTGCCAGGCGTGGTGGCTCACGCCTGTAATCCCAGCACTTTGGGAGGCTGAGTCAGGTGGATCAACTGAAGTCAGGAGTTCAAGACCATCCTGGCCAACATGGTGAAACTCCATCTCTACTAGAAATACCAAAAAAAAAAAAAAAAAAAAGAAAATAGCTGGGAGTGGTGGCGGGTACCTGTAATCCCAGCTACTCAGGAGGCTGAGGCAGGATAATCACTTGAACCCGGGAGGCGGAGGTTGTAGTCAGTGGAGATTGCAGTGAGCGGAGATTGCGCCATCGTACTCCAGCCTGGACAACAAGAACAAAACTCTGTCTCAAAGAAAAAAAAATGACTTTACCAAGAAAAAAGATATTTTATTTAGAGTTTGCATTGGAAAAGCTGGCTGGTGACATTGTGCAAGCCTCCCAGCAGGTGGCGCCCTGAACCAATGAATGTGAAAAAGAACGGACTCAGACACACCCACATTTCAAGAATTAAAATCATCTCTTTTGCGATATATATATTCTGACCATACATTCAGTAGATTGTGGAATCCATATACCCTTGCCCTCTGTACAACACACATATACACATGCGTGTGGACACATTCCTCCACCAGAGAATAGAGTAACACCCTGTATTATGACGGCAAACATTGGCGAGCTGGACATACAAATTAAATAGACACCTATTAATATATGTATGTGAATTGCATCTGTTTATAAGAGGCAGTCCAGTACCTCCAAATGGGTCCTTAACACCGCCTAGTAAATATTCTGCATTTCTCTGCTATATTATTATCATCCTCTCACTCTCCACAGTAACTAATCCAAATTTCTCTGTTGTTTTCAAACATCCAACACCTTCTCTTTTTCTCAGTTATTCTCTGTTCAAGACATGGCTACTTACTTTAAAAGAAGAAGGATAGCCACTGTCATCAGATGGAATTTCCTCATCTTCCAGATATCAACATGCAAATCTTCATCTAAACATCTACCTTCTTTCCTTCCAAGGGTCACGGAGGAGCTGGCCCTCCAGCTACCCACTGCTAATGCCTTCTCTGGCACTCTGATCCCCTATCACATTCCCAAAAACCTTGGCTTCTATTTATGTACTTGCTCTTGTTCTCTCTCTCTCTCTCTCTTTCTCTCTCTCTTAATGATTTCCTTCCCAATAGCTTTCACAGAAACTCAAGTATCTCCCACTAAAAAAACAATTAAGATGTGTGGAACTACAGATACAAGTTTGGTCACGAGTTGATCACTGTTGAAACTGAGTGGTGGGTAAATGAGGATTCATAATGCTATTCTCTCTCATTTTATTTATGTTGGAGAGTTACCATAACGAAAAGTTTTAAAGTAAGGGAAAAAAAGATATTTTTGTTTGACTCCTCATAGCTTCCTCACCACCCTCTCTTCATGTCTTCATGCCCACACTTCTAAAAGTTGCCTATATGCATTCTTTGTTTCCTTACCTCCCACTCCCTCTGCAACTCCCTCCATCTGCTTTTTTTACCTAACACTCCAGAGAAATTAAAACAGCTATCACCCTTGACTTCCATGTCACATAATCTAGTGGATACATTTTAGTTATCATCACTACTGACTTCTCAGCAGCATAGGATACTCAAACAAGTTTCTTCTTATATACTTCTTTCCCTGGGCTTCAGAAATTATAATATTCTGCTTTTTCTTCTACCTCTCCCCACTACTTCTCCGACTCCTCTTACTCTGTTATTAAATGCTGAAGTTCCTCTTAGCTCATTCTTAGGCCCTTTCTCTTCTCACCCTGTACTTTTTCCTATGTGATCTTATTCATACTCTTGGCATTAAATTCCACCAACATGCATATGACTTCCAAAATTAAATCAGCAGTTCAGACCTGACCTGACTCTCACCTTCATACGTGTGTGACATCTCCTCTACTATATCTCAAAAGCACCTCAAAATTAGAAGCTCCAAACTGAACTCACCATTTTCTCCCCCAAACTTGGCCTTCTTCAAGTGTTTCTGATCTTAGCGAATGGTGTGCAAACCAGAAATCTTAGAGCCTTTCTTGTCAACTCTTTCCCCTTTGTACCATTTCTAATCCATCAACAAATCCTGCATGTTTTAGCTCATAAATACTTCTAAAACCCTTTTTCTTCTATATCTACCATTACCACCACCAGCACCATTATCACCCCCTTAATCCTGGCTAATATTGCTTTTCACAACAACCTCTGGTGGTAACTTCTAATTTAGCTCAAGCATCTATCCTGGCAGCCTTCCACTCTGTCCTCTGAGCAGCAGCTGGAGTAATCTTTCCAAAATGCAAATCCAATCATGTTATTCTTTGGCTTAAAATCTTTCAGTGGTTTTCCATTGTTTTTAGGATAAGGAGAGAAAAAGCTTACAGGGAATACAAGGCCCTTTGGGGCCTTGTCTCTCCAATTTCACTTCATGCGGCCTTCTCCCTCACTCTCTATTGTGAAACCAAACTCGCTTTACAGTCCTTCATCCGGCCGAGTGCGGTGGCTCACACCTGTAATCCCATCACTTTGGGAGGCGGAGGCGGGTGGATTACCTGAGGTCAGGAGTTCAAGACCAGCCTGGACAACAGGGTGAAACCCGGTCTCTACTAAAAATACAAAAATTAGCTGGGCATGGTGGCAGATGCCTGTAATCCCAGTTACTCGGGAGGCTGAGGCAGGAGAATCACTTGAGCCCGAGAGGCGGAGGTTGCAGTGAGCTGAGATCGCGACATTGCACTCCAGCCTGGGAAACGGGGCAAGACTCTGTTGAAAAAAAGAAAGAAAGAAAAAAAGCCCTTCATGCACGGCATTCTCCCTCCCTCTACAAAAGCTTCATTTATGCTGTCTCTTTATAGAAAGCCCTTTCCTTCATTCTTTGCCTAGTTATTTCCTTATCTTTCAGATTCAAGTCAAGAGACACTTCCTGGGGGAAGCTGTCCTTGATCTTCCTGAAGAGGTCAACTCTCCCAGCCACAGAACTTCTTTGCTCCATGGATCTCTCCTTCATTTACCATTGCAGCTTTACATGTTTTTCTGTGATCACCTCTGTCTCATTTGTTCATCATTGTACCTCGCTCAGTTCTTAGCACACAGCAGGTACTATAAGCATTTGTTGAGTGAGTAAATGAATTAATGATTATTATTCATTCAACTCTGTCAGTTTTCCCTCTATTTAACCTGTCTCTAGATTACTTTCACCTTCATCTCTGAGTGGATAATCAGGGACTACCCCTCATTTTTAATATTAATATAGTTCTGTGCTTTTATAATTTATGCATGCCAGGATCCCATATGTGGGGCATGCCAGGCATCACTTTTACTCTAATATTTGGAGCCAGATTATTATTTTTGTATTTTAAAAATGCAGACATAATGAAATAGAACCCTAAATCTAGAATGTAGCATAAAGTCTACGACTTCAGAGAAATGCTGTGCTTAGTACAGGCCACTTGAGGCCCGGCTTCCTGAACCTGGAAGTAAGCCATCACTCTCCTCAGCCATTAGAGACATGCTTAAGCACAAACCTTAAAAAGCACCGTTAGAAGTTTATACATAATAGAAAATTTTTTTAAGTTTCATGCTCCCTCAAAATAATATAACTTGTTCTAAGCAGTCGGATATTTTGGATGGTACCATTTCCTTATTTAAAAGTGGTCTATAGATGTAGCAAAGGAAGACAAGTTATCAGCAATTGTTAGTGATTGCCAGAAGATGCTCCCTTCAGATTCAGGACTGAGCTGGGTCCACAGCAAGGAATTCACCCAGAAAAAGATTTGTCCTGGAATACAACAGCCAAGCCCTCGTCTCCTGTCTCTTCCCAGCTCCCCAGGCATTTGTTTTTAGTCTAATTCCATCTCTGTAGACACCAACCTGCCTTCTCAAAATAGACACACTCGCCCTCATCCCAGGCTTTAAAGCCCGGCATTGCCCCACGCAGAGAAGTCCTAACACGACCCTTTCCACGGGGACTAGAATCTGAGGATTGTTGTAGGACTTCTCTGCTCGTAGCCCTAGAGAAAAATCTAGGCCTTTTACAGTGATCACTATGGGCAGAACGTACTCTTGGAGGGTAACTACTATTTAAAATACATTATGCATGTCTTGACTTCCACTAGGACTCCGCTTGAAGAAGAAGATGGTTAGAAACATGGGCCACAGATAAAATCTCTCAAGTCCTCACGCACAGCCTCCAAGAAACTAGCTTGATCCATACAATCTGAAGGTTTAGAAAGAATAACTACAAACAAGGAGGTTAGCATTTGTGTTTGCACCTCCTATGTATCTACCTCGACAATTTTACAGCTTACCCTATTTAATTCTAGGTATTAGTTAGATCATTTACTAGATGAGAAAATCAAGGGACTTAGACTTAGTGCATGTCTACATTCATACAAGTAAATAGCGAGACCTCAGATTCAGACTCAGATCTGTGTCATTACCATGAAGTTGCTGCTTCTACTATGCTCATGGTTATCAACTTCCCTTATCATAATACGCCATTTCTCACCATTCATTCTCTCAAAAGAATCATCACTGAACAATATTACCACCATGGAAGCAAAGAGATCCAACTAACTTCCAAGGAGCACATAGTTCAAAGATATTCTATTCCATTATAATTTATAGCAAGTACTAAGGACATAAACACTGCAATCATGTTTTCTGGGATAAGGTCTATTTGCTACAGCTTTACATATAAGCAAAATGAACATTTTTACCATTAGGTAATAACTATTGTAATGACAATAAATAAAAATAACTAGTTTAAAAATAAGTGATCTCGGCCAGGTAAGCTCTCCAGAGATGATAAATCACTTTTGTAGGTGGACTGTTACAAAACCCTCCACCTCTGGTGGTACAGCACTACGGCTTGGGAATCACCGTGCCACAGCTTGCTGCTTCTAAAGGCTTTGGGCCCAGGAGACCTCTAAACCTGCCTACATATCTGACTCTATTCTCTACCTGTCTATTCTATCTCTGTCTGTTCTCTACCAACAGATAAAATTTGCCTTTTAACATAGAAACCAGAACCTCCACTCAAACTCATCAGTGGTGCTCACTAACATTTAGAAAAGCCTCACCTCCAAGCCTTATGTCAGTGATTGCCAGTGGCACTAGAATTGCCCCTCAGAAGTGGTTTGAAAATTTGATGGAATAGTTTTTGTTGTTATAATGATTGGGGGCCACGGTTAGCTGTAGAGAGGAAGAGCATGCTGGACTTAAGAGTCCCAGAATGTGTAAGGGCATCTCTCACAAAGAGGAATTGACCCATGATGTATACTCCTGAATGACCTATTAAAACCTACGTGCTGGGGCTGGGCGTGGTGGCTCACACCTGTAATCCCAGCACTTTGGGAGGCTGAGGCGGGTGGATCACTTGATCTAAGGAGTTCAAGACCAGCCTGGCCAACATGGTGAAACCCCATCTCTACTAAAAATACAAAAATTAGCCGGGCATGTTGGTGCGCGTCTGTACTCCCAGCTACTCAGGAGGCTGAGGCAGGAGAATGGCTTGAACCCAGGAGGTGGAGGTTGCAGTGAGCTGAGATCATGCCACTGCACTCCAGCCTGGGTGACAGAGCGAGACTCCATCTCAAACAAACGAACAAAAATAAAACCTATGTGTTGGTATCTGAGCTTAGAGTCTAACTTGTTTTTATATGTTAGAGAGTTTTCTGCATGATTTAAAACTTCCTAAATTTTCCAGGAATGCAAAGTACTGCGCATTTTGCAAGAAGACTTACTTTGCTTTGATCAAAAATGTATCCAAAAGTGTTCACCAGTCTGGAAAACCAGGACGCTGCTGGTGAACGACATCCCTCATGAGATTTAAGTCAGCAGTGCAGCATGCCTGCACTGGTCTGCATATGTAGCTGTTGCGTTCAGGGTGGGTCTTCATATAGGTGCAAGGGTGCTGGTATGGCATTTATGTACTAAAATGTATACTATTTATTATAAGTTTATTTCTTTTTATTCCTCTCTTACATTACAATTAGGGTATTATATTGATTAGTTTTCATTATGGGCATGGGAAAGTTATGTTATCTATGAATTTCATTGCAGGTTAGTAGAGAAGAATTGAAGAAATAATGGACCTAACAAGGCAGAGTTGGATGTCATAGGGTTGAGAACATTGTCCTAGATGGTGTGCCCTGTATCAAACTCTAATCCCAACTCTTCCCATCACTCCCTCCCACTCCACCACACTGACCTGTCAGCTTTCCAATCAGGCTGGTGCCCACATCAGAGTCTCTGCTCTTGCTGTTTCTCTGTTTGAAATGCCCATCCCCTAAATCTCATTGCCCTCACTTCACTCAGGTCTTCACTCAAAAGCCACCTCCTCTGAGAGGTCTTCCACAACCATCATTCATCACATCACTCTCCATCCCCAAGCATCCTTTAAATTCCTCCATAGTACATATCACTACCTAAAATGCTATTAGCTATTATAATATTTATTTACCTGTCTGTCATTTGTCTTCATCATGGGAATATGTATTCCATGAAGAAGGTGGAATCTACTATTTTGGTGCCTGGAATAATGGGAAGTGGCATGAAGTGGGTGCTTGATGAATATTTGTTAAATAAGTGAATTAATGCCTGAAGATACTGTCTGTGCTCCTGCTCCCTGGAAGCTAGGAGTAATCTCTTTCTCTTTCCTATCTATATAATTTATAGTCAATTGAAGTCAGCATTAATTCTTTCAAATATATCCATCAAATGCCTACCATATTTCAGGCACTGAGAATACAATAATAAATAACACATATCCTGCCCGCATACTTTTCAATTAATGATCAGCTCCAGCATCTCTGAAGTATTTGAGTCCTACAGTGAAGTGACTTCATAAAAAACACACCCATTTCTATTTTACATTCTGAGTATCTTTAAAATACAGTAATTATGATATTCATAAATTAGGAGATATCCCTTATGTATTCAGAAGAAAATTGTTATCACACACAGAAGAATTTTTACTCATGTGGAAAATCTTTTCCCCAGTCCTGGTGATATCCTTCAAGTCTCCAAAACACCACCCCTCAGGATGAAGAGAGTTGAAGGCTAGGCAATAGTTAAATAAGCAGAAGCTTCTAGTTCCCTTGAGTGGGGTAGCCAGGAGGACCCTCTACCTACTTGGCTGAGATAAAGTCTCCTATCTAAGGCACAGAGGGACCACATGCTCTCTGAAGGATCCTGCCAGCTAGAAAACTCCAATCAGACCTCTTAGGGTAGCACAGGGTGGCATCTGCCCCTGCTGATGACACACAGCCACCCTGGATGTTCCAGGCAGGGGCTGAGCATTCAGACCCTTTCCTTTCCCTATTTTGTGTCCAGGTACCCTCCCCGTATGCTTAGGAGAAAGACAAAAGCAACTTGAAAACTAACATAGCCTCTATATTTGCACAGTGCTGTACAACAAACTTTTCATCCATTTTTTACACTTGTAGGAAAGACAATATACTCTTTTTTTTAATACATAAGCAAATTAAAGTGCAGATGTTCGGCAACTTGGCAAAGCTGCTTCTTATACCGAGGTCTTCTGATTCCAAGATAGGGAATAGAAATGACAAGACAAAATCAGGCTTGGGGAATTATCTGTGGATTTTAATTCTCACAGGTATAGAGCTTCACATAAAGAGCTGGCTCTATCAAATTCTGATCAAACATTTAAACAAATCCCAACACACTGTCTATTTGGGCACACATACCCGCCCTGTTTCCACCTCATCCCCAGCCCTCACAATTCCATGAAGTCTGATCATTATTTCCAGAAAGACTCTAGAAATGAGCAAACCATCGAGTGGGCCCTTGCCCCGAATTTTAACAGTGATATAGAAATAATATCCTTACCTTCTCGGAATTCTCATGGTTAAGCACCTCCATTACCATGCTATGATGGAGGGAGAATCAGGAAGATGTATGCAGTATTCTAGACTATGGTGGAAAAATGTGACATACCCCTTTCCTGAACTCCCTTCCCCTTCCCCTTCCCCCACCACTACCACACACTAATGTTTCCTTTCAGGCGAGGGCTTAAAGCAAAAATATCTAGGATAGGCTGAGTTAACAATAAACAAAAGGCTCCAGGAAAGAATGCCCAGGAACTTCTGGTCCACACCATGTCCTCCAAAGGGCATATCTATGGGACCAGTGGGAGAGAGATAACATCTGAATTGGCCTTCCACCAAGGTAACCCAGAAATGTAAAGCTATGTTAGCTCTTACTAGAAGAATTTTAAGTCTTTAAAGTACCATACTACTTCAAGAGAATTTCAAAAGTTTCCATTTGCTATAAACATGCACACATGGAAGCAGCAAACATCAATCTCCCTCCAGGGTCCTCCTATCTACACTGTCAATTCCCCTTACCTTTTGGCATGGCTGCTTTAAACTCCTCTGTGGACTTTCCCGCCTCCCCCACCTCAGCTTCCTTAGAGTGCAAGTGCACAGCTGTGTCCTCTGGTCGCCCGTCCAGAGTCCCGCATGGGAGAGATGCTGAGTCTCCCCAGCAGTCCTGGGACACGTATCTTCTCAGGTTTCCTGGGTTCACCTGAGGTGGAGGTCGGTTCCTGGCAGGGGCAGCTCCCTCTAGCTAATAAGCTAGAGGTAGCAATATGCAAGGGAGAGAGCCAGACCAGCCCAAAATAGAAATCCAAGCTACATCACACAATCTGACCAAGCTCCCAATCTGGCTAAATGTGGCCCATTAGACAAGACAAGGAGACAGCAAAAATGAACGCGGGAGGAGAGAGGTGGTGAGAACATGGCTTTTTGAAAATCAGGAATTATGGAAATAACATTCAGATACAACACTTGAAGTCTGTCCTACAAACAGAAAGGGGTACAAACTTTTCACAGTAAATAGCATTTAAGTATAAAACCTTCGAGTTTCTGGGGACAAGCTCATCCAGCTTGCTGCTGGTAATTAGTGTGTTGCTCTGTGGTTTATTCCACTGAGACAAAGAGCAATGATTACATTTCACCTGACAGATCAGAAAGTGAGTGATGAGCTTGAGCGCAAAAAGCCTCAGGAATGAAAAAGTGTAGCTGACAGACAGTGCAAGAAACTACCCTCTGCATGACCGTGTCAGGCAGAGACATCCTGACATCCACCAAATGATAACCCTGGTCAAGGAAGGTGTTACCTCAGAGGACAGTTGGACATTTTCTCATTGGCATATGGGACAATCTGCCTTTTTGTGGTCTCAGAGGTCAAAGGAGGGAATCAGAGTGGTTCCAAAACCTGTGACTTTCCGTCTTGGTCACTATGTGCCAATTATCTAACTGTGAAGTAAAGGATTCAAATGCTATGTCAGTCGGGCTGAACAGAGAGAAGCAGCAGACATCTGAGCCTCTACTAGACAATGAAAATCTGTAAGAGAGGAATACAGAAAGAATGAAGAGGGAGGGGACACAAAAAGAGAGAAGGTCCAGGATTCTCAAGGAAAAGGGTTTCCTTTCTCTCCCCTATAGCCTCCAGGGAGGAGTAAATATAATTATCAACCTAGCATGACAGTAGTCAAAATAAAAGAGGCACCTGCCAGGTGACCATCTCTGCCGGGACTCGAACCCGGAACCTCTGGATTAGAAGTCCAGCGCGCTCGTCCATTGCGCCACAGAGACCTCACCACACACACAGCATCAGCACCAGAACTGAAAAAGCACATACCTTCTGCATCACCGAGCCATCTCAGCATCCTGCTCTCTGAGCGGTGGGGGGGGACAGGGACAGCTGGAAAATCTGGAGTGGAGATCCACCAGCCGGCTTCATCAAAGCTTTTCTCAATACTCTGGGTCCGATGGTCCCCAGAGGATTGGGGGAATGTGACAGCAGTCAATTTCCCAGACTCAGAATCCCTGATGGAACAGGACAGAACTAGAGCCTTTGCTCTCCTTTCCTCTCCATCCCTTAGGGATGATACGAAAATCTCTCGATTCTCATGCTAATTAAGCAGAGTGCACCCAACCCTGCAGAAAACGCAGAAGCCATCTCTACCTCCACCCCCACTCCCTCACTGTGGTTTCATCCCAGTCCAGCTATTCTCAGACAGGGGCTGGGCAACGCTTGGGGATTCAGGAAAACCCTCGATCCCAGAGACAAAGGAGCTGCTTCCGTAAAGGAACACTGTGAACAACGGCAGCAGAGAATGGCAGCTGAGTTCTAAGAGACTGGTCTGGTTCTCAGCAATAAGAACTGTATCTGTCAAGCCCAGGCAAGAGGTACAGGGAGTCTGATGTGATGTTCCTTCAGCATCTTCACTAGAATTAAGCATGGGAGTGAAGAAAAAACAGTGTTCAGTGTGTGTGTTCAGTGTGTAAGTATGTGTGAACGTATATGTGTGAGAGAGTGTGTGTATGAGAGATAGAGGGAGGAAGAGTGGGTGTGTACACATAGGGTTGGAGGGTGAGAGTGGCAGATCTCTGATGAAGTAGATGTCCTCACACAGCCCTCCTGTATCTCTTTCCCCCACCTTGCTCAGCCCGGAATCCCTGACAGCCTTTTTCCCCAGGGCTACCTACTTTGAAGAACAAGGATTTCTCAGCTGTCTGTGCTTTTTACAACTATCCTAGTACAATCAAAGTGACCAACCCTCCATAACCATATATAAAGACCTCTATACCCAGCTCAGATCCAAGAAAATGATTTCTATTTTTAGAAGCCTCTCATAGAAGACAATTCCATAATCACCGTTGTTTATAATTTCCACTGAGCCCATTTTTCTGAATGTCTAATCCAAATCCTTCTTACCTCACTTTCAGCTCATTTTCTCCTATTTGGTTCCCAGACACATGGGAATAATTGGATTCTATGCTCCCGATGACAATGCATTGATTTAAAGACTGATTGTGTTCACCACCCCACTCCTCATCAAAAGGTTACAATAAAAGCAGGGAGCCAACTCAGATATCCCTCCTTCTCCCTCACTGTGTGTCTCCACAGCCCCCAGCTCTGGACACTGCCAGCCAACTCCAATCATACAAGATAGTTATTTCTAACCTGTGAGGCCAGGTGATGGCCAAGTAAAGAAACAATATGACTAAATGAAACAATTAGATTAGAAAACCCTTAAGGGCTTTCCGACTCTAAGAATACAATTACAACATCTCCCACTTCCCTACCCATTCATATAGCCCTAGGAATGAGACATGGCAGAGAACATAACCAAGGCAATTCAGTCAGATCAGGAATATAAGCAAAAGGCTCTTTCTAACACAAGGGGGAAAGCAGCTACTCCAACCAGGCTTGCCTTCCATCTACGACCTAGAGATGGGAGCTCAGAAAAATGAGACTGATTGTGTCTATTATAGACTTGAAACAAGAAGGCACAGAATAGACCTTTCTATCCAGAGACTGTATTACTCTGAGTGGCTAGTAACAAGGTGCTGATGAACGAGTTAGTCAAGGGGACTATATGGTTGTAAAGGGCAGGTTAACAGCACAGGCTAGCAAGGAACCATTCCAGTGTAAGGGAAAGGAAAAGCTAGACTCTCAAGATACTTACTGCCAGGCTCAGTGTGTACACACACACACACACACACACACACACACACACACACACACACACACACTGCTCTTCATAAATATATTGTCCTATATCCAAGAAATCTATCAGCCCCCTGAGTGACGTCCAAAGTATCACTGCTTCTTATAAGATCATGTGTTGTCTACAACCTGAATAAAGAGTCCCAGCTCTCCAACTCCCTCCAGGAGCTTCATTCATTATCTGTAATGTTCCCACTTGCTGCTGGGAATACAATGATGGAGAGATATATCATGGCATGGTTCTACTCTCGAGAATCCCATAGGCAAATTCCAACGTAGGAATGACCCTGAAACATGTATGGGAGAAAAGAAGGAATCAATCTTTTTACTCACCAAATAAAATAACAATTTGCAAGTCCACACAAAGGCTATAACCCTGGGAGCAGAAAGATCCATCTTCATAGGAAGTTGTATAACTTACTTGGTTTGAGACTCTGAGAAAATTGCTTAACTCTGATCTTCCATTTCTTTATTATAAACTAGGGGCACTAACATATGCTACTGATAAAGATCAGCTGAGATTTCATGAGGCAGAGTGTTTGTCCCCTTTCTTCCTCTATTCCATGAGTTAATTCTCAACTCTATTGACTGGATTGCTTCTTTCCCTTTGAATACCCTTCCTTCATCTTCCTCTCACCACTCCACAGACATCTCTTCATTCCAGCAAAAATGCCCCCCACCAACAAGTGTCTCCTTATACTTATAATGTATATCAACAAAAGTACTCTGGACTTTGTCTGAGGACTTTTTTCAAATAAGAGATGTCTCTCTGACATCTCATTTTGCTTTATCATCCATAAAACAGACAAAGCCTCTTGATAGTGTCGATAATGTCTTTAAACTAGGTTTTAATTTAAAATAAGAAGAGAAACAATCAAATAAATCTACAGTTTTAAAGGGCAGGAAGGGTGAAGTCAAGTCACTCAAAATGATTGAAGCCAGTACATCTTTTTCTTCTTTTAAACTGGCTGTATGTCATTCATGTTTACGTAAACTCTCTGGAAGAAAAGTACATTCACCTTCCAAAAAAAAAATCTGTATTGATTTAATTCTCCAAAGATCTGTGACTCAAACATTACTCATACCTCTAATTGAATACCACTTTGTGACCCTACAGACAAACTAGTGATGCTCATACACTATTTCATTCACAAGGTGTTGCTGGGATACATATGATAAATGCCCTTCAAATTTTCCCTTTGGTCCAATTAAATCCTACATCCTACTGTGGTCTTACTTACAGCTTCTCTAAAGGTTCCTATACCAACTAGTCCGTATTTTAAATTCTAAGGGCTATCGCATGGAGTAAGACAGTGAATTTGTCATTCAGATAGCACAGCCCTTACATACTATACTTTCATCTCCCAGGCCCTATGATGCCGTAAACCTTATTAATCCACATCTATTGTGAGCACAACTTCTAGAAGTGTTACCATATACCATCTTCTCATGTTCCTACCTGCTATCAGCTCCCTCTTACTATCTCACCCCTAAGGAGCTAGCCCAGGTCTTTCCTCCTGTGAGTACCTCCCAGGAAGGCTGGAAAAGGTGCTTTGCAATGTCAGGCCTATAGAGTGAGACCTACTGTGCAGATGTTCAGGTCATAACTCCTACCCCTTAAGGAAGGGTAAAATGGACATACATACCCACAATGCAAAAGCCCTTCAGTCCTTTTCCAGACACTTCATCTTCAGGAGGTCTTGCCCCATATTCATTTCTCCATGCCTATTATGCATTTTCTGACCCATCATAATAAAGCATTTATGTTCCCAAGTCTATCTTTCCTCCCTCCTAGCCTGTCAGCCTGACTGCAGATTGTTCCTTTCTCCTCAGTCCCCTTTCTCATACTTGAAGAGGGAAGAAATGAGATAATCCAGGTAACAATTCAGCATGAGAATCAAGCCAAGGAAAGACAAATACGGAGCAAATTATCCTTTCATCATCCCATCCAACTTTCAGAAACCATTCCAAGTCTAGCCCAGTCAAACTGAGCTATTGAGGCCTCTCAAGCCTTTCCAAAAGTAGACCCAGAACCAATCTATCTTAACAATGGGCTGGACCTCCAGGGCTAGTCAAGGTCACAAGAAAGTCCATACAGAGGTCAACTCCCTAAGGGAGTCTGAGAAATGCTGAGAAATCTGGAGGTAGAATCTCCCTTTCCTTATTACCTCCCACCCACCTCTGACAGATTCTCCAGGAAGCCATTTAAAGAGTTCTAGAGGCCAGGCATGGTGGCTTATGCCTGTAATCCCAGCACTTTGGGAGGCCAAGACAGGCAGATCACGAGGTCAAGAGATCAAGGCCATCCTGGCCAATATGGTGAAACCCCATCTCTACTAAAAATATAAAAAGTAGCTGGGCATGGTGGTGCGTGCCTGTAGTCCCAGCTACTCGGGAGGCTGAGGCAGGAGAATCACTTGAACCTGGGAAGTAGAGGTTGCAGTGAAGCAAGATCACGCCACTGCACTCCAGCCTGGTGACAGAGTGAGACACTGTCCCCTCAAAAAAAAAAAAAAAGAATTCTAGAGAGTGTGTCTCTAAGGACATGAAGTATCTCTTTGGTCAAGAAGGATGAGGAAACTAGTAGTGTTCAACAAATGGGAGGGCAGTAGGTTGTCATGTCCCATCAGATCTTTCTGGGAAGTTTGGGGGAAAACTTTCTGCTTCACCCAAACCCAAGAAATAAGATGATTCCTGGTGCTAACTTTCTAGCTCACTCTCCCTTATCCTCCTTAGAATCAGGACCCTCTATCCTGCTGTTTCTAACCCCAAGCCATCACCTGCTTGTGTAGATTCCCAGTCCTGTCTTCTTACATTTTCTTCTTGCCATCCCCATCAATGTCTCCTTCTTCCTTGGGGTATATAACCCTTAGTCATTTCCTGCTTTAAAATGTTCTTCTCACCTCTGTCCACGCCTTTGCTCATTTCTGTCCATTTCACTTTCCCCACTTTCTGCAACTGGCATTCCCTAATACTTTACTGTGTAATCTCTATAATGCCCAATTTATTGGCCAAGTCATTATCTGTTCTCATCTGCCCTAGGATCCATCTACACCAAACACATTGGCCAAACTCATTGTTCCCAGTCTTCCCTAGATTCAGCCCACTGCTCTTCTCTGTCTCTGCCCCCCTTAGCCATCAACCTCAAGGCACTCTGAGCTTCCCAGGCCTCTAAATTCCGCTGTCGTTAAAATCTACTGCTTGGACTTAGAGTCTTTGTTATTGTCAGCCCTTCATCCTCAGGCCTTCTTTTTCTTTTCACCAGATTTCATTCTTCAGACCACTTTACTTGCCCACCATCCTTTTAGTCTTTATCTCATCTCCTTAAATCTTCAACTTGTAGTACCCATCCTTCTAAATCTCCTTCCATCCCATCCATACAGCACCAGATTCCTGAGGCTTACCTGGAAGAACTTGCTGGTCCTTCCTTCTTCCCTACATTCATCTCCAGACGTTCTGGGTTCTGCCTGACTCTACAACACACCTATATTTGTTTTACTTCTTTGCCTGGGACTGCGTGTGCCACTGGCTTTAAAACTGGGAGGCCCTGAATAGGGCCCTGCTAATCCCCATGGCACTGAGTTGCCATGGGAATGGACTGGCAACCGGGCTTCTTAATCTTTAGCCACTATGGGGCCCCTGATCCTTAAAGGGCCAGATACCCTAGGCCAGATGCCAAAGAATTAGAAAAGAGATCCTTAAAGGGTCAAGGATTCTATGATTATAGGCCAAGGGATTCAAGAACATTGCTTTTTGCCTAATATTATAAGTAAATTAGGCTTTTGCTATTTGTCCCCTACTTCAGCCCCACTTCCCATTCAGCCTGGAAAAAGCCTTGAGGGTTACATAGTGAGGCAGACTCCTCGGCAATGGCAAGAGAAGAAAGGTGTTCATCTTTCACAGTCCATCACTTTAATTAAACCAAAGAGCGTGACCATGAAAGTTTCAATCCTAGAGACTAAACTTGTCCTTACACAAGAACCTTACGTCTGACAAATTACAGAAGGGTCTGTACATGGTCCTTATACAGCAGAAGTGGCTCTTTTCAAGTCTGTCCCTGAAGAACATCAAGTCCCCACACGGAAGACAGGGTCCAGGGGAAGCATTTTACCTTGAGTTGGCCAGCTCATCTCCTTCATGTTCTCCTCCTTTAGAAGGTAGTAGCTGAATTTCCAAGGGCTTCTCATGCTACCTATGATTCTAAGAAACAGTATCAATGATAGTAATAATGATAATAAAGATATTTTGAATTGTCTCATTTTATCATCAGAACTTTCCTAGATTGTTGGAAGAGTGATCATCATTATTTTTCTTTTACAAAAGAAGAACCTTAATCAAAGACATTAGGTGGCTTGCCCTAAGTACCTCAGCTTGTAAGAGGTGGGACTAGGGTGAGCTACCATACAGTGTCCTGACTTCTGTGACCTCTACAGGGAGGCCTCAACAGAAGGTGTCTGCTAAGAGGCACCAGCTGCCTTCATTACAATTTGTTCCAGGAAACAAAATTCTGAGACCTTTCCCCCAACTTTCTTCCCAGTCTTTGCAACCATCGAAGAGTGCCCTAAGCATAGGACAGGATGGCCAGCCAGCCCTGAGAAGGGCCACAGAGTGAGGTCAAAGGTTGTCCTGCTTAAAAGAGAACAAACAGCACAGGCAGGTGAGTAAGAGAGCTCTCTATGGGTTCTTCTTTAGTGCTCATTCTCCTCCCAGCTACCTTAAGACATAAGAAACTGATTTCCAGATTAAATAAAACAACTTGCTCAAGATCAGTCAGCTTGGCATTCACAAATCTGGTCCTCCATTCCAGGTTTTCCAACTCCTAATTTGGTGCTTTTTAAAATTTCACTACAGTGTTACTGAGTCACTCTTCTTAAATTTTTATTTTTATTTTTTTAATTGACCTATAATATTGTATGTTTTTACTATGCACAACATGGTACTTTGAAGTACATATACATTGTGGAATGGTTAACTCTAGCTAGCCGTTATGGAAAACAGTATGAAGGTTCTTAAGACATTTAAAAATAGAGCTACCATGGGATCCGGCAATCCCACTACTGGGTATATATCCAAGGAAATAAAATCAGTATGTTGAGATAATTGCTTGGAATCCCCAACATAATCTTTTTTTTAAATTATTATACTTTAAGTTCTGGGATACATGTCCAGAACATGCAGGTTTGTTACATAGGTATACATGTGCCATGGTGGTTTGCTGCACCCATCAACCCGTCATCTACCTTAGGTATTTCTCCTAATGCTATTCCTCCCCTTGCCCCCCACCCCCCAACAGGCTCCAGTGTGTGATGTTCCTCTCCCTGTGCCCATATGTCCTCATTGTTCAACTCCCACTTATTAGTGAGAAGATGTGGTGTTTGGTTTTCTGTTCCTGTGTTAATTTGCTGAGAATGATGGTTTCCAGCTTCTTCCATGTCCCTGCAAAGGACTTGAATTCATTCTTTTTTATAGCTGCACAGTATTCCGTGGTGTATATGTGCCACATTTTCTTCATACAGTCTAACACTGATGGACATTTGAGTTGGTTCCAAGTCTTCGCTATTGTGAATAGTGCTGCAATAAACATATGTGTGCATGTGTCTTTATAGTAGAATGATTTATAATCTTTTGGGTATATATCCAGTAATGGGATTGCTCGGTCAAATGGTATTTCTAATTCTAGATACTTGAGGAATCGCCACCTTGTCTTCCACAATGGTTGAACTAATTTACACTCCCACCAACAGTGTAAAAGTGTTCCTATTTTTCCACATCCTCTCCAACATCTGTTGTTTCCTGACTTTTAAATTCTAACTGGCATGAGACGGTATCTCATTGTTGTTTTGATTTGCACTTCTCTAACGACCAGTGATGATGAGCTTTCTTTCATATGTTTGTTGGCTGCATAAATGGCTTCTTTTGAAAAGTGTCTGTGCATATACTTCATCCACTTTTTGATGAGCTTGTTTTTTTCTTGTAAATTTGTTTAAGTTCCCTGTAGATTCTGGATATTAGCCCTTTGTCAGATGAGTAGATTGCAAAAATTTTCTCCCATTCTGTAGGTTGCCTGTTCACTCTGATGGTAGTTTCTTTTGCTGTGCAGAAGCTCTTGAGTTTAATTAGATCCCATTTGTCAATTCTGGCTTTTGTTGCCATTGCTTTTGGTGTTTCAGTCATGAAGTCTTTGCCCATGCCTATGTCCTGAATGGTATTGCCTAGATTTTCTTCTAGGGTTTTTATGGTTTTGGGTCTTATGTTTAAGTCTTTAATCCATCTTGGGTTAATTTTTGTATAAGGTGTAAGGAAGGGGTCCAGTTTCAGTTTTCTGCATATGGCTAGCCAGTTTTCCCAACATCATTTGTTGAATAGGGAATCCTTTCCCCATTGCTTGTTTTTGTCAGGTTTGCCAAAGATCAGATGGTTGTAGATGTGTGGCATTATTTCTGAGGCCTCTGTTCTGTTCCTTTGGTCTATGTATCTGTTTTGGTATCAGTACCATGCTGTTTTGGTTACTGTAGCCTTGTAATATAGTTTGAAGTCAGGTAGCGTGATGCCTCCAGCTTTGTTCTTTTTGCTTAGGATTGTCTTGGCAATGCGGGCTCTTTTTCGGTTCCATGTGAAATTAAAGTAGTTCTTTCTAAATCTGTGAAGAAAGTCAATGGTAGCTTGAGGGGAATAGCATTGAATCTATAAATTACTTCAGGCAGTATGGCCATTTTCACGATATTGATTCTTCCTATCCATGAGCAAGGAATGTTTTCACATTTGTTTGTGTCCTCTTTTATTTCGTTGAGCAGTGGTTTGTAGTTCTCCTTGAAGAGGTCCTTCATGTCCCTTGTAAGCTGGATTCCTAGGTATTTTATTCTCTTTGTAGCAATTGTGAATGGGAGTTCACTCATGATTTGGTTCTCTGTTTGTCTGTTATTGGTGTATAGGAATGCTTGTGATTTTTGCACATTGATTTTGTATCCTGAGACTTTGCTGAAGTTGCTTATCAGCTTAAGTTTTGGGGCTGAGACGATGGGGTTTTCTAAATATACAATCATGTCATCTGCAAACAGAGATAATTTGACTTCCTCTCTTCCTATTTGAATATGCTTTATTTCTTTCTCTTGCCTGATTTCCCTGGCCAGAATTTCCAATACTATGTTGAATAGGAGTGGTGAGAGAGAGCACCCTTGTCTTGTGCCAGTTTTCAAAGGGAATGCTTGCAGCTTTTGCCCACTCAGTGTGATATTGGCTGTGGGTTTGTCATAAATAGCTCTTATTATTTTGAGATATGTTCCATCAGTACCTAGTTTATTGAGTGTTTGTAGCTTGAAGGGATGTTGAATTTTATCGAAGGCCTTGTCTGCATCTATTCAGATAATCATATGGTTTTTGTCATTGGGTCTGTTTATGTGATGGATTATGTTTATTGATTTGCATATGTTGAATCCATCTCAAGGATGAAGCCGACTTGATCGTGGTGAATAACCTTTTTGAGGTGCTGCTGGATTTGCTTTGCCATTATTTTATTGAGGGGAATCCCCAACATAATCTTTACACAAAGAGTGCAGGGAAGGGAAGAGCAGAATGCTTTGCATTTATTCTTAACTGGTAAACTAGAAAATCAAAAGCATCAAATAACCTCTTATTGGAATCACAGAATGCTCAAAATGGAAAAGGGTTTTAAAATAATCAAGTCTCTTTTATTCATGGATCAGCTGAATTTTTGTCACATATTCTTATTACTTTTATAAATTTAGAGAAAAACTAATTTGAAGATCAAACCGATAATGCTAAGTGGGTGAATGTTTGCTCTTTATACTCTATATTTCTGTAGTCTGTAATTTTTGTCAAGCCTCTCCATCTGTAATTACATAGATTAATAAACTCAGAACCACAGAAATTAAATCATGTATCCAATATCACAAAAATAGACAAACAGTTATGATCCAATTAGAAAACTATAGACTTTCAAGTTGGGATACCCAGGGTTTGAATCTCAGCTGTGTATGATGATGGACACCTAAAGGCACCTAAATGATCTCTGAGATTCAAATTACTTATCTGATTTTAAAAATCCATAGAAGTGGCCGGGCGCAGTAGCTCACACTTGTAATCCCAGCACTTTGGGAGGCCAAGGCGGGCAGATCACTAGGTTAGGAGTTCGAGACCAGCCTGGCCAATACAGTGAAACCCCATCTCTACTAAAAATACAAAAAATTAGCCAGGTGTGGTGGTGGACGCCTGTAATCCCAGCTACTTGGGAGGCTGAGGCAGGAGAATCGCTTGAACCTGGGAGGCAGAGGTTGCAGTGAGCCGAGATCGTGCCACTGCACTCCAGCCCAGGTGACAGTGTGAGATTCCATCTCAAAAAAAAAAAAATTTACAGAAGTAATAATATCTATCTTGTAAAGTCATTATAAGAAATAAGTGTGATAAAGAAAGAGAAAATCTTTAGTAGACTAGCACCGAACGGTCTTTATTTTTAGGAAGAATAGTTAATGCTTTGGTTCTTTCCCCTTTACCCCATCCATTCCTCAACTGACTCCACTCTAGCAACTGTTAAATGTCCTCACTAAAGTCACTAATGGCTTGTTGCTAATTGTCAAATTCAATAGTTTCACTTCACGTTTCTGCAGCATTCCACACTAGTGACCCCATCTTCACCCTTAGAAATGCTGACTCCTCTTGCTTCTGGGGCATGCCACTCTCTTCTCATTCACCTCCTATCCCTCAGTCCCTCCTTCTCAATCTCTTTCACCAGCTCCTCCTCTTCCTTCTTAAATATCAGTGTTCCAAAGAGTGACACTTATCAGATTGCAAGCCAGAAGGTTAGCAGTACTTTTATATTATTAAATAGCAGAGAAAAGAGATGATAGAATAGGATATGACAGAATAGAAAAGAAAATAGCCGAGGGTATCACCCTCTAAAAAAACCATGTATTGTTTCATGAAATCTTTGTATCAGCTACATATGAATGTATATATATAGGTATATGAGTTGTGGTCAAAAACACTGCCATACATTGTACCTTGGTGCTCTTCTTTATATCTTCTTCCTGGGTGATTGTAAACGGCATATGTACCATATGTACTACCAGCTATGAGCTGAAAACCCTTAAATCTCTATCTTAAAATCAGACATATCACGTGAAATCCAGATTGGGATACTCAGCTGCCTTTAGATTGCCATCCCTATGTGACTCACAGTGATCTCAACTGCAAAATGTACAAATAAGAACTTATATTTCCCCATAAACCTGTTCTTCATAATCCACTAGTTTATTCATTTTTTTTTTTTTTGAGACGGAATCTCGCTCTGTCACCCAGGCTGGAGTGCAGTGGTGCAGTCTCAGCCCACTACAACCTCTGCCTCCTGGGCTAAGCAATTCTTCTGCCTCAGCCTCCCTAGTAGCTGGGATTACAGGCACCTGCCACCATGCCCAGCTAATTTTTGTATTTTAGCAGAGACAGGGTTTCACCATGTTGGCTGGGCAGGTCTCGAACTCCTGACCTCAGGTGATCCGCCCGCCTCGGCCTCCAAAAGTGCTGGGATTACAGGGGTGAGCCACAACACCCGGCCTAATCCACTAGTTTAATTAATGGTTACCATCATCCACCTACTCATTTATTAATTTATTTGCTCCATAAATCCATAAATACCTACTGTATAATAAGAAATGTGCTGAGTATTGGAGATATAAAGATAATGATGATATGTCTATTCTGAATAAAAATCACAGTCAAAAACAGAAAAATAAACAAAGTCATGAAACAAAGTTGCCCAACTCTAGAAATCATATGTCCAGCATGCTACAAAAACAAAAATGGGCAAATGAATCCAGTCTGAGGAGTCTAAGAACGTTTTCTAGAGCTGCAGACCTAAGCTGAGGTTCAAAGTAAGAATAGCTGTAAACAGAGCAAAAGAAGAGGTTAGGGAGGGATGGGGACAGAGATTTTGTGTGTGTGTGTGTGTGTGTGTGTGTGTGTGTGTGTGTGTGTGTTGGGGGAGCCAAGGAGATAAGACAGGAAAGCATGAGTAAAAATACAGCAAAAACCATCTTGTCTGTGTAAGAAACTACAAGAAATGAGAGATATTGCTGAAGTTCAAAATCCCAGGCAGGAAGTGACAAGGCATGTGGAAACAAAAATCAGACCATGCAGATCGACATATGTCATGTTAAAGGTCAACTGTAATCCTGTAGGAGATGCAGAGGCAGTGAAGGGTTTTAAGTAAGGGAGAACGATGATTTGATTTGCATTTTAGAAAGATCACTCTGGCTGTAGCAGATAATTTCAAGAGTGCACAGTGAAGAGGCTTTTTCAGTAGTCAAGGTAAGATATAATGGAGATCTGAACCACAGTAATAGAATTGGCTACATAACAGTAAATTGAAGGAAGATTGATTTGATAAAAACAGTTTTGGGGAGACAAAACTGGCCATCCAGTCTCTTAAGCCAGAAATGTGGAGTGAGTCAAGGCTCCTCTCCCTAAAACTTTATCTTCCAAATTTAATCAGCTACTAAGGTCTATCCACTCTGTCTCTTTAATAGCTCTCAAATGTATGCCTCACTTTCCATTCCCACTGCTCTTGGCTTAGTTCAGATAGTTTATCCTCTGTAGCCAGGACTATTTGTTTGTTTATTTATTTATTTAGTTATTTTGTTTTTTTTATTAGAGTTTAAGTTCTAGGGTACATGTGCACAATGTGCAGGTTTGTTACATAGGTATACATGTGCCATGTTGGTTTGCTGCACCCATCAACTCATCATTTACGTTAGGTATTTCTCCTAATGCTATCCCTCCCCCAGCTCCCCACCCTCTGACAGGCACCAGTGTGTGATGTTCCCTGCTCTGTGTCCAAGTGTTCTTATTGTTCAATTCCCACCTATGAGTGAGAACATGCGGTGTTTGGTTTTCTGTCCTTGTGATAGTTTGCTGAGAATGATGATTTCCAGCTTCATTCATGTCCCTGCAAAGGACATGAACTCATCCTTTTTATGGCTGCATAGTATTCCATGGTATATATGTGCCACATTTTCTTAATCCAGTCTATCATCAATGCTTATTTGGGTTGGTTCCAAGTCTTTGCTATTGTGAATAACGCCACAATAAACATACATGTGCATGTGTCTTTATAGTAGCATGATTTATAATCCTTTGGGTATATACCAGTAATGGGATTGCTGGGTCAAATGGTATTTCTAGTTCTAGATCCTCGAGGAATCGCCACACTGTCTTCCACAATGGTTAAACTAATCTACACTCTCACCAACAGGGTAAAAGCTTTCCTAATTCTCCACATCCTCTCCAGCATCTTTTGTTTCCTGACTTTTTAATGATCGCCATTCTGACTGATGTGAGATGGTATCTCATTGTGGTTTTGATTTGCATTTCTCTGATGACCAGCGATGATGAACATTTTTTCATGTGTCTGTTGGCTGCGTAAATGTCTTCTTTTGAGAAGTGTCTGTTCATATCCTTTGCCCACTTTTTGAGGGGGTTATTTTTTTCTTGTAAATTTGTTTGAGTTCTTTGTAGATTCTGGATATTAGCCCTTTGTCAGATGGGTAGACTGCAAAAATTTTTCTCCCATTCTGTAGGTTGCCTGTTCACTCTGATGATAGTTTCTTTTGCTGTGCAGAAGCTCTTGAGTTTAATTAGATCCCATTTGTCTATTTGGGCTTTTGTTGCCATTGCTTTTGGTGTTTTAGTCATGAAGTCCCTGCCCATACCTATGTCCTGAATGGTATTGCCTAGGTTTTCTTCTAGGGTTTTTATGGTTTTAGGTCTTATGTTTAAGTCTTTTAATCCATCTTGAATTAATTTTTGTAAAAGGTGTAAGGAAGGGATCCAGTTTCAGCTTTCTACACATGGCTAGCCAGTTTTCCCAATACCACTTATTAAATAGGGAATCTTTTCCCCATTTCTTGTTTTTGTCAGGTTTGTCAAAGATCAGATGGTTGTAGATGCGTGGTGTTATTTCTGAGGCCTCTGTTCTGTTTCATTGGTCTATATATCTGATTTGGTACCAGTACCATGCTGTTTTGGTTACTGTATCTTTGTAGTATAGTTTGAAGTCAGGTAGCGTTATGCCTCCAGCTTTGTTCTTTTGGCTTAGGATTGTCTTGGCAATGCGGGCTCTTTTTTGGTTCCATATGAACTTTAGTTTTCTCCAATTCTGTGAAGAAAGTCATTGGTAGCTTGATGGGGATGGCATTGAATCTATAAATTACTTCAGGCAGTATGGCCATTTTCACGATATTGATTCTTCCTATCCATGAGCAAGGAATGTTTTTACATTTGTTTGTGTCCTCTTTTATTTCCTTGAGCAGTGCTTTGCAGTTCTCCTTGAAGAGGTCCTTCACATCCCTTGTAAGTTGGATTCCTAGGTATTTTATTCTCTTTGAAGCAATTGTGAATGGGAGTTCACTCATGTTTTGGCTCTCTGTCTGTTATTGGTGGAGAATAGGAATGCTTATGATTTTTGCACATTGATTTTGTATCCTGAGACTTTGCTGAAGTTGCTTATCAGCTTAAGAGTTTTGGGGCTGAGAAGATGGGGTTTTCTAAGTATACAATCTTGTCATCTGCAAACAGGGACAATTTGACTTCCTCTTTTCCTAATTGAATACCCTTTATTTCCTTCTCCTGCCTGATTGCCCTGGCCAGAACTTCCAATACAATGTTGAATAGGAGTGATGAGAGAGGGCATCCTTGTCTGGTGCCAGTTTTATAAGGGAATGCTTCCAGTTTTTGCCCATTCAGTATGATATTGGCTGTGGGTTTGTCATAAATAGCTCTTATTATTTTGAGATACCTTCCATCAATACCTAGTTTATTGAGAGTTTTTAGCTTGAAGGGGTGTTGAATTTTGTCAAAGGCCTTCTCTGCATCTATTGAGATAATCATGTGGTTTTTGTCGTTGGATCTGTTCATGTGATGGATTACGTTTATTGATTTGTGTATGTTGAACCAGCCTTGCATCCCAGGGATGAAGCTGACTTGATCATGGTGGGTAAGCTTTTTGATGTGCTGCTGGATTTGGATTGCCAGTATTTTATTGAGGATTTTCACATCAATGTTCATCAGGGATATTGGTCTAAAATTCTCTTTTTTTGTTGTGTTTCTGCCAGGCTTTGGTATCAGGATGATGCAGCCAGGACTATTTGATATGTTAATAATCCCTCACTTGTCTACGTGTAACCATCCCTGCTGCCTTTCTGCCAATCAGCTACACCACCAACAGAGCAATTATAATTTTTCTTGAAGGCAAAACCCCTTAAAGTTCTCTCTTGTCTAAAGAAGAGACTAAAAGCCATCTGTGATCTGATTCCCGTCCATTTTTGCAACATCAGTTACTATTATCCCCCAGCCTCCCCTCTCAGCTTACATTTTACAATAAGTACTTAGAGTTCTCAAAATGAAAAAAAAAAGGTTCGTTTTCCATACTAATATGACTTGGTATGCTGCAATGGTTTCTCTTTTTGGAATGCCTTTCTCCTGTCTCCACCCTCACATCTGTCTGGAAGACTGTTCCTCCTCTTTGAAGACTCAGTTTCAATCACCTCATTTTTTATAATATCTTCCCTGACATCCACCACAACCCCAAGCAGACTGGATCACACCCATCTTCACACCATTACTGCACCCTGTGCATATGGCTATCGGAGGACTGAGCACTCTGTAACGTACTCAATTTTGTGAATCTCTGTTCCTACCAGAGAGAGAGAAACTTGAGTTTTTTTACCCTTGATAGTCTGGGCAGTGCCTGGCACATGGTAGTTGTTCAATGTATGTTTACCAAAGAAAAAGAATCAACAATCAAAACCACTAGAACAGGTCTTTGTCCTCCTAGACACATATCATCCTATAATACCACAGTTCTTGATTTTTGTAATGCAAGTATTAGATGGGAACTCTTAAAATGACACTGAGAACTTTAGGCTTCTTCTGCTGGTCTACTTCAAAGTGGTAGAACGTTCAACTTTCTCCAGAGCTCCAGTTTTCATATCCAGTCTATTCAATATTTCCTACTTGATGGGTTGCCCTCAGCTTAAACTCAATGTAATCTAACAAAATTGTTACAAATTGATTATGTCTCCTGCAAATTTAGATGTTAACACTCTAATCCCTCATGTATTTAGATGTGAGTCCTATGAGAGGTGATTTGGTCATGAAGGTGGAACTCTAATAAATGGAATTAGTGTCATTATAAGAAGAGACACAGGGAGACAATCTCTTTTTCCACCATGTGAAGACACATTGAGAAGGTGGCTGTCTGCAAACCACGAAGAGGACACTCAACAGGAATCAAATCCACCAGTACCTTGATCTTGGACTTCCCAGCCTCCAGAACTGTGAGAAACCAAAGTCTGTTGTTTAAGCCACATAGTTTATGGTATTCTGTTTTAGCAGCCTCAAGTAAGACACTAATCCTCCTTCATTCCAAAATACTAAACCCCACAAAAAGCTTCTCCTAATTCCACTATTTCTTTTCATGGTTCAGCATTTTCCAAGTCACTCAAAAGCCAAAACTGAGAGCTGCCTCAGCCTTCTCCCTCTGTCTTGCTTCCCATAACCAACACCAAACGTAGCACCTCTTTTCCATTCCCAATTCCACTGCCCTTGCTCAGGACTCTTTTACTTTGTTCCTGGATTTCTATAATCATCTTTTAACTCATATTCTTAGAATAAGCATTTAATTTAAAAAAAATTAATCATTCAATACATAGGCACACATTATAAAAATATGAAGTATATAATATGGACAATTATAGTCCCCCTTATGACTTAAGTCTCACTCCTGGCCCAGAAAATAATTTTCCAAGTTTAATATGCATCTGAACAATAGAAACACTCAAGTGCCTACTATGTGCCAGGCGCTATTTAAAGCAATTTAAATAGATTAATTTATTTAATTTTCACATCATACCACCCTAGGGGTCATGTAAAATTATCTCTATTTTCCACACAATGAAAAAAAATGCTGAGGCGGTTAAGTATCTTGCCTGAAGTCACACAGCCAGTAAGTAACTATTCATTTACTTAAACACATATTTATATGCATATAAGATTTTACATACACATATGTATATGTTTTATGCTTTTTTCCCATTTTACACAAAAGGGATAGCAGTATGTGTATTTTCTTTGTATTTTCACTGAACAACATACCTTCTGTATCTTTCTATGTTGGTAGATATAAATTTACCTCATTCTTTTTAACTGCAATGTGTTATTACAAAGTATGATATAGCATAATCTATTTATCCAATTCACTATTGATGAATATTTATGTTGTCTTCAATTTTTCACTACTGGAAAAAAATGATGTGATGCATATCTCTGCACATAAATCAGAGCACTCATGTGTGAACAGATCTATAGCATAATTTGTAGAAATAGCACTGCTGGTATTTCTATTTTTAATTCTGATGCATTCTGCCAAAATATCTCCAAAAAGGCTGTGCCAATTTACATCCTCCCTAACAATATATAAAGGTGCCTATTTCCCTAAGCACTTGCCAACACTGAGTATTATCCATCATTTTAATTTTTTAACAATCTGATGGGTTCTTTGATGCTTTTTAACAGTCTAGGATCTCTTTGGTGCTATAACTTGTATTTCTCAAAATCCAAATGCCGTTGATCATCTTTTCAAATGTTTATTAGACAACTGTATTTTTTTTCTGAGAATTCATACTCATATCCTTTGCCCAATTTTCTCTTGGACTGTTTGTCTTTTTTATGTTTATTTGCTGACTATTTTGCATGTTAGCAATTTTGATACTTTGGCATATATATTGCAAATAAAATCTTCCCAGTCTGTGACTTACTTTTACATTTTGTCTATGGGTCTGCAATTATATCAGTTTTAAAAATTATGCAGTAAATCTTATCGGTCCTTTCCTTTATCGACTCTAGGTGTTGTGTCTTGCTTAGGAAGGTCTTTCCCACTCTAAGATTAAGTATATTTTTCGACAGTTTTTGCAAACATTTTTAGTGTTGTTTGGTTTATAAAATTTAGCACAAGTCCACCTGAAATATATTGTCGTATATGGCATAAGGAAAGGCTAAACCTATCCCATACCAACTGACAAACAGATAACCAATTATTCTAATGTCTTTAAACAGTACAACCCTCTAGTCACTGATTAGAAGTGTAGTATATAATGAAGGTAGCACTCTTCATACACTAAATTTCCAAGTTGGTTTGTAACTACACTCTCTCTTCTGCTCCATGGTTCTATTTATGTATTCCTGTGCCAAGATTTCATGTTTTAATTGCTATAATTTTAAAGTTGCTTAGGATAGCTAGAAAATCATCCTCCCCCTTAGCCCCATGTGTTTAAAAAATTATGGCTATTTACTCTTGACTTTATCTTCCAAGGGAATGTTAGAATAGGCTAGTCAAGTTCCATAAAATATCTTATTGGAATTTAGCATAGTATTGCATCAAATTTATAAATTAAAAATTACCATCTTTACCACAATGAATCTTAGAATTAATATTTAAATACCAATTCAACAACATAACGTCCTGCTACAATTTTTTTTCCAACTGACATTGGGATAAAGATAAAGCTCTTCAGTGTCTAGTTTTCAAATCCCACCTCCCAAATTTGGTTTAAACTAGCCATCTCATCAAATTGATTTCCCTTATTTTTCATCCACAAAGCTTTTCAAACCAGTATACTGATTCTATCCTAAATAATCCTTCATTCCCTGTGCTAGAGATGCCATGCAATTAGGAAAGGGATAAAGCAGTTATATTCTTTGTCTACACATCCTCACTTTGAAGTGCTAACATTCTGGGTCTATCCAAGATCCATCATTACCCTTTAACAAGGCAAGAATAGGTATACTTTTCCTTATTAACTTAAACAGATTTGAGTTTGCAGGGGGAAAAATAGAGCTTTTTATGATTAAATAATCTACGACAATACAGTCATCCCTCAGTATCTGCTGGGGATTGGCTGCAGGACGCCCACACCCTTGCCACAGGATACCAAAATCTGCACATACTCAAGATCTACAATTGACCCTGTGAAAACAGCGGAACCAGCAGAACCAGGAAACTGGCATATAGAAAAAGTCTGCCCTCCCTATCTGCAGTTTGCCCATCCGGAGAATATTGTTTGGTTGCAGATATGGAGCCTGGAGATACAGAGGGCAAACTGTATTTATTGAAAAAAAAATCCATGTATAAGTGGATCCACACAGTTCAAATCCATGTTGTTCAAGGGTCAACTTGTTTTTTCGTCATTCATGGGAAAGAGAACTTGGTGTTGAGCAAGGAAACAGATAATGTGATCTGAAGCTTGAGGAGACCTCACTGGGTCCAAACTCTCAACATGCAGGAAAGAATTCATGCAGTCTTTGACAGATCGGTAAATATTAAAAAGAAGTGAGAAAAGGTTAGAAGAACTGAGATAACACTACCTGAGAAGAGAAGACTAAAATTAAACTGAAAAATGTTTCAAGTGTGTGTTAAAACTTGGAGGAGGTGGGAGTTGGGTCTGCCAAGAAGTCTGGGAGAGGCTGCATTACAGCAAAGTCACCACACTGAGGGAGCAGAGGATCAGGAATGACAAAGGGTCAGGGTGGCCACACGAGGGTAGCAGAGAGCAGGTTAACAGAGAGACCTTGGCGAAAGTGAAAAAAGTTATTGGAACTGAAAATCTAGATCCAAGCAGTGCTTTATACTCGGACAGTGAACACAGGGCAAGATTCTATGGTACACTCAGAGAAACAGAGGAACATCTCCCTGCTCTAGGGTGAAGAGGTCACAGAGAAAGGTAACTAACAAACATGTATTGGGTTCTATGCTAGGAGTTTTACATAAATGTCCTCATTTAATAATCTTTATAAGCCTACAAGATAGACAATAACAATGTCTGATGTTTAACACATGAAAAGACTGATCTCAAATGACATAAGTGGCACAGCTGGTATTTAAGCCCAGATGAGTCCACTTTCTAAATCCAGGCTTTCTCACTCTCCTGCACTCTTCTGCCTTTCCAATGAGTCAGAAGTGTCTCCTTGGAGCTGGGCCCAGAACCTGGTTAACTTTCTCAAAGCAGCACACACAGTCGTTCCTAGGCCTTCACAGTCCACATGAAAAAAAGCTATGGCCTTTTGTGAACATGGTGAGAACACCAAATGTATCTGCATCCATTCTTGGCTTAGCCACAAGGAATAGCAGCAGCAGTCATCAGCCTGACAGGTATGGGCACACAGGCACAGCGGTCCACAAGGAAGCCCTGGGACTGGAAACTGGTGGCAAACCTCAACAGATGTCACCTTGCTAGGGCATACTACTTTCAGTAATAGCAAGCTCTGGGATTTTAGGGTTTAAAAAGATTTTAAGACCAAAATGCACCACAAGAAACAGATTAAAAATAATCTGAAAAGAAACAGGTTAAAAATAAAGAACAGTAAAAAACATACAAGAGGGCATGGAATAGCATATCATAGCTTATCATGTTCAACTCATGACCATCAGCCATAGCCTCACTCACCTACTGGACCTGTCCTGAACAAAACTATTTAAGTGAAAAGGATCAGAGAAAAAGTACTAAAATGATAAAAGAAATGGCAGAAGGTTAAGAATTAGGACATTTCACCTAATGTAGAGGAGGTTAAGGGGCAATTTAATAACAGTCTTAAATCCTCTAGAGGGACATTATATAGAGGCTCATAAAAAGAAAGAGATATCTTATTTCATGAACCAGAGGAAAAAAGTCTTAAATGGCAGTAGGAGGTTTACTTTGGACCTAAGACAAAAGTTCTTGCTTGTAAAAATCAAAGTGTAAAATCAAAGAATGTGAACGCTCTTCTCTAAATAAACCAGCATTTAATAAGCACCTATTATGTGCCAGCTACTGTTATGTGCAATATCCCCTAAGTTCCTGGCAACTCGACTTTGATCAAAGTTGACAGGGTTTGTTTCCTCATGGAATTTACATTTACTGGGAGAAGGAATAAAGACAATAATAAACAAAAGATAAATTATTAGGAAAATAGAAGAAAATGACAAGTGATTGCAAGGGAATGAGATGGCCTTTTTGAGGAAGTTAATTTAGGCTGAGATGTAAAAGCAGAAGTGGCTTAGCATGAAGCAGGGCAGGAGCGTTCTGGTTCAGAAGGAAGAGCCAGTGCAATGGCATAGAATGGGAATGGGCTTGATGTGGTGGAGATACAAAAAACAAACAAACAAACAAAAAACAGATACTGTGGCCATGGGGTTACATGAGGTTAGAGAGATAGGGAAACGCCAGATTACACAGGATCTTACAAACAAGGTCAGCAATTGCTGGAGAGGAAGAGTCAAGAAAATTTGTTGAAAGACTCAGTGATATTTTTTGGTTTTACACCTTAACACAACTGTGTTCTAATGAGCTACTTACACGTATGGTTCCCTCAGGAGCTAATGAGCTCTTGTCAGTAGACCCAGGCTATGGTGAGTCATTTCTCAGGCTTGTCAGGGCATAGGAATCACCTGGGAGCACCTGTTAGCACTATGGTCAGCAATCTTTATTGTTAACCTAGAACCGAAATATCCTAAGCATCTGTATCATTTGTAACAGGTGGCTCCAGGTAACTGTTTGGATCAGGCACAGATGGGTATGCTGGTTTACTGGCATGACCAAGTTTTAGAGACACACCTAAATTAAGATCTCAGCCCCACCAGTTAAGGTGTGACTTGTAGGAAGTTACAAAATTCCTGTGCCTCATTTTCCTCATCTGTAAAATGAGAATAATACTACCTACAAGTCATGTGGTTGTGCATAAGACTAAATGATAGAGCATAAGCAAGGTGCCAAGTGCATAGTAGGCACTCCATTAATGCTGAATACATAAATACATGCATGAACATATGAAACCTATGGGTAAATAAAAAGCTAAATATATTCACATTCACTCTTTGTAATGCTTGCTGTTTTGAGCCTGCAATGTTCCTTACCACCAGAAAGAGCCCAAGATCTCAGATAATGAAGGTAGGATCCTGGATAAGAAAAAAAACCTCCACATTCTGCCTCCTACTTAGCCTTTCTTCTTCTCTCTCCTCCCATTCAATTGGCCTAGCTATTCTGACTCACCACCCCCTACCCCTTTCCCACCTCTACCCTCCCCTGAAACGGAAAAAAAAAAAACCTCACTTGGCTTTCCTCCCCCTCCAATCTGCCCTAGAGATGACCCCCAGCTCGTTGCCAGGGAGATGGTCTGGGTAACAGGTGCTACTGAGGGAAGGCTTTTTCTGTCAGGAACTGCTTAGGGTGACCAACCATCCCAGTTTGCTCAGGACTTTCCCGATGTTAGCACTGAAAGTCCTGAAAAACGACTCAGTCCCTGGCAAACTGGGACAGTGCTCATAATCCTTCACGCTTTACTCTACAAAACCTTATGTCGCTGCACACAGTTGTCAGCATCTGTGTGCCCTACAGCACTGTCCACCCTGCGTATTGGTGTCTGGGTCCTGTAACAGTGTTCTGCGTGCTATCTCTACCTTACCCATAGGAGCTAAGACAGGACCACACTCACTGGGTCCTATTTAATCTCATGGTACTGGATTTGGGTCTCCAGAAGGGTCAGGCTTCTGTATCAAATGATGCGTATCCCTCCAATCCATCCATCCACTACTGCCAGAGTTATCGCTCTAAAATGTAAATCTGGCACTGACATTTCCCTGCTTAAAATCCTTCCTTGACTCCTTGTCTGCAGAATAAAGAGCAATCTCTAGCATAAATTCCTTTCAAAATTTAGCCACAACTAACCATGCTGCTTCCTGTTTTAGTGTTTTTGCATATGCCATACCCTCTTTTGTAATGTCTTTCATCCCTTAACCTGCCCCACACCTAGTCTTAAGGTTTTTCACAAATTTACTCTTTGCCTCCTCTCTTCTCTCACTGTGCCTTATACATAATTTTACTGTAGCACTTATCACATGATGTAGTGATTGTGTGTTCGCAAGCCTATCTTCTCTACTGAACTATGAGTTCCTTGAAGGTAGATTTCATGACTTACTCATCTTTGTGTTCTCAAGTGACTAGCACCAGACGTTGACATTTTGTTGTAGCATTTTTTAACATCCACTTCTATTTTATGATTCTGAAAAGAAAACCATGACTGTCAGATTGGTCTTAATTACCAAGTATTTTGCATCCCCAAATATTATCCTATCCCCAACCCTCGCATTATCCTTCACAGCTAAAATGAGTCTCAAAAATGGGGTGGTAATTGGGAATAAGGGTAAGACCACCCGCTGAATGTTTTATTCTATATATTTTTAAAAGCTAGGAGCTTATAAATTTTTTAATAGGCTGCAACAAAACATCCAGGTCAAAACAATTTCAACTAGCATTGTGCAGGCACATAGACACGCAAAAAATAAAATGAAATAAATCGCCAGGCGTGTTGACTCACTCCTGTAATCCCAGCACTTTGGGAGGCTGAGGCAAGTGGATCGCTTGATGTCAGGAGTTTGAGACCAGCCTGACCAACATGGTGAAACCCCCTCTCTACTAAAAATACAAAAATTAGCCCTGCGTGGTGGCATCCATGTGTAATCCCAGCTACTCGGGAGGTTGAGGCAGGAGAATCGCTTGAATCCAGGGGGGCAGGAGTTGTAGTGAGTCGAGATTGCACCACTGCACTTCAGCCTGGGCAACAGAGTGAGACTCATCTCAAAAATGATAATAATAATAAATTAATATTTTTAGTAAGTAAATAGTAAATAATAAATAAAATAAAACTATAAATGAATGAATAAATGATCAAGAAGTTCTCTTCTGGACATAATAACTTTTTGTGTTCTTATACACAAACACATTTGTTTCCCAGGCATGATATAAAATTATAAGACTTTTGCTTGATTTTGTTTATACTAACAAATATACCAGAATGACGCTGCTCGGAAACTTTCTAGAACTCCTATTTGGTAACTGCCTTAAGAACCAACAAATAAGTTAGCTTATAAGTCATTTACTATTACTTTACAGCCAAGTCTTATTTGTTAATATTACACAACACGAACCACCAACTTATCCATAAGGCTTGAATCTCAAAGATGTCTGGCTATTTATTAAATTAAAAGCCAGACTCAAAGGATAAACATTCTCCACAACTGAAGTCATGCAAAAGGCTGTGGCAGGTTCTAAAATCAATTCCAAAAATTATAAAACGTACTTCAGGTAAGTGGATGAAAATATTTGTATATTAGGATCAGTTACTTTATTTTGGGGCATATTATATCAATGTGATCACATGCATATATAGCTGCAGGGGGTATGCCAATGAAGTGTAGTTATATGCATGTATGTGCTTCTGGGAATAAAATGATTTGTCAAGCCTATGTATTTACAGACATATCATTTGGGATTACCTCAGAATTAACTAAGAATCTATACTTTTTCAGTTTCTACACAAAGCACTCGGATAAATGAGATTCACAAAATATCATTCCTGCCCTCAAAGAGCACATGGAGGAGAAAAACATAGACAAATCACTGCAACACAAAGAAGTGTAACAGTGGAGATATATATTCAATACAGTGGTAGCACCTAGCAAGGAGTGATTATATGTAGATAGGAAGCTTCAAAGAGAGGCAACACCTCATCAAAGTTTGGATGGATAAACATGAGCACAAGTTTCATCAGGCTTAATGAGATGGGCAATCCAGGTATAGAAAATAGTATGTGCAAAGACACTGAGGCATGAAACAACATAGTGTGTTTGGGAAATTACAAGCCATTTGATATTGCTGGAGCACAGAATCTAAGGGAAAGAATACAGAGATATTTCGTTGGAGAAGCGACTGATAGCCATGTAACTGAAAATGTGTATTTTGGTTTGCAGATGATTATGTGTGTCTACTGTCTTTCCATAGTACATCAATCAGCCTGTAGCTGGAGGAACAGTGACACATTTATTTATTACATGATTTTATTTTTGCCTGAATTTATCACAAAAAAATGTCCCTGGTCTCTGCTCATATTTGTTTTACTCCCCCATTACTCTCTCAACTTTTACTCATTTCCCTCTGCAATCTAGTTTCTAGCTCCCTTTCCCCTTGGAGTATCTCCTTCCATATTGATCTGAGTTCATCTACAGTCTCATAGGCCATTCTCTTTTCTAGTATCATGCAACTCCCATCTTTCCTTCAGAACCAAACTTATATGACCTCTTCTCTGAGAAGCCTTCTTGGCTAAGTGTAATGACTGAAAATTTAGAGTTTGCAGTAAGACAACCTGTATTTGAAACCTGAGTCTGTCATTTACCATCTTTGTGCTCTTGTACCAGTCATTTTGCCTCTTCAAGCCTCACTGTCATCATCTGTAAAATAGGGTAATGAATACTGACCAGCATGCTTGTGAATATTAAGACGGATAATAAATGTAAAGAACTTAGTATATAATTTGACCCTTAATAGTTATTGCTAATAATAAATTTAACTTGTCTAGAAATTCTCATGCCTAAGTCATATGTATATATAGGGTGATTTAATTTGGTAGATATTTACCTTGACTTTATCTGCTTTCTGGTAAGCCGTGGGAGGCAGTGCTGCTGCTTTGCACAACTCCAATTTGAACAATGCCCCCTGGAGTTGTGCAATATGGCAACTCTGGGAAAGAGGAGGGTTTTCAGTTTGTTTCCATTTATAGTTTGAATATTTTAACTTTATAAATAAATTAATGTCTTAAAAGTGTCAGTGGGGTCTCTGGGCCAGAAGATTTGGGGGCTTTTGTTGGGTTGGTTTGTATTTTGTATCACTATTTAAAAAGAAAAAAAAGACTAAACCAATAATAACATGCTTTGAAGAAACTCAGTCTTTTAGAAGTCATTCCAATCAGTATTAGTTTTTAGTAGAAGTTCAATTAAAAAGTATTTATTGACAGAAAGAAGAATGAGCACAAGCCTTCAGGTCAAGTAGACCTGGATTTGGATTCACTATTTACAAACTACATAATCTTGTTAAACCTTTGTTTCCTTGATTTGGTAAGGGAGCTAATCATTCCAGACACACTCAGGTACTTTCTGGTACTTAAGTGAGCTACTGTGTACATAAAGTACCCAGCACAAAATCTGGCATTTGATGGGTTCTCAATAATGGTACCTATGATCATTTTTATTATGTGCAAGTTGCTGCTCTGGTTGCTGGTTTAAAACTGGTTAGAACCAAGATGCTGGTTAAAATTGGTGATTAAATTCAGGTTGGTATTAGGATTAATAGTCAGAGCCTATAATAGATTAGGATTAGGACTGAAATTACAATTCAATTAAGGTTACAATTGTAATGCATACAGGGGTTATTATTAAGGTTGGTGTTAATTAAAACTGGATAATAGAAGTAAGAAGCAGTATGAGGAGTACTGGTTTAGCTGGGTAGAAAATTGAAGAGGAAAGCAATGTGGAAACCTATGTAGAATTTACTGATACAGAAAACTCATAGAGGAGAAAAAAGGGTTAGAGTACAAAGCAGAATCTGAATGGATATTAAGCCTTCTTAATTTTTTTCCCTACAGGTGCTGTCATCTTCTCCCTGATGAATATGTAAAATTCACCCACTCAGGCTGAGTTCTTTCCCTTTTCCCTCCCGGGCAGGAGCAGCATGGGGAAAGGAATGCCCAGTGCCCACACAGCTGCGTTTAGTCCAGCACCAGTGCCAGCATCACATTCCACACCCCCAGCTACCCAGGCTGTTGCTGAGTGGACAGGGGCACCTAGGAGGCAAAACCCGCCTTCTCTTCCCTCCCCTTCCCTGCTTCCTCAGATTTTCACTGTAGCTACCAGCTTTGTAATCCCACAGACAACCTACTCCAGACTTTGTGCACGTCTCTGGGAAATGCATATTGTATGTCACAGCGTTCAGAGTGGAAAGTAACCATAGAGATCACAATCCAACATGGATACTTTTATTTTACCTATTTTCATGATGGGGTTCATCCTTGTAGGTCAATCTTTCTTTGTAAAACTATATTCCTAGTGAGTACGGTGGGCACCTGTAGGATGCTGGGTGCACATGTAAAAAGGGCATTAGAATGACTACAGGCAAGAAGTTATTCCAAATGCTAACATCCACATCAGTAGGAGAAACTACCCTTTCACTCTGAAATATGCAAGGGTGAGGAATTCCTCAAATTGGACACCGCTCCAGAGTTTTGGGAATGATTCCTCTTATCCTTCCTGCCTCCAAGGGTACTATCTCCCATTCCCCACCCAGTGGTGGCAACCCTTCTACCAGCTAGCCGTATGAACACAGAAAGTCATTTAGCTTCTCTGAGTTTCATTTTCCTCATCTGTTCAACAAGCGGTATTAATTAGATAATCTTGAAGGTCCCATACAACTCTAACATTCTTTTATTCTATAATTCTAAAAGCCAGTGACTGTTTCCTATTCCCAGGACTTAAACTGTTGCCAAACTGATGCTGATGATGCAGAAAGGAGAAGAGGAGCCAGTAGGAAAAGAGCATTCCAGAGTCTCATTTGCTAACTCTTAATACTCTCTCCAAAACAGCTTTCCTCCTTACCTCTCACCCTTGGTTCTTGTCCCATGCAGTTACAGTAGAGAGTAGGGCCAGACCAGCAAGTATTTCAGAATTAAGGGGGTCAGGCAGAAGGGGATCACTGCAGAGCAGCAGATGGAAAAGACAGATTAATTAGAAGACTATGAGACCTAATCCTACATCCTGCCCTCCCTATCCCACCCATCCCCACTCTCACTCCCCTACCCCTGCATTAACCTGTTCTCTCTTAAGCCCACTTAGATGATCTCTAAGATGTCTTCTAGCTGCAAAGATAATACTCTTTATCCACTAAGACGCTTTAACTAGGGTAGTCTGATCTTTCTCTTCTGAAGCTGATTTGTTTTGAAAACACCCACATTACTGCCTGCTCTCTGCATAACTAACTTCATGCCAACATGGCCCCACCTCTGTGGGAAAGTTCAATCTTTCCTATATCTCTCCCCCACTCCCTAGCCCAGCCTCTTCTCTCTCTTACATCCAGGTTTCCACACCCCTCAAATATAGTACCCCCTTTATTTTCACTTTTTGGAGATTCCAAGATATCAACAAACCCTAGGAGACAGAATGGTCTGGAGTCACTGAGATATATCAAGTCAGGCAAGTCAGACAGCCAAAGATGGTCAACACTTCCCTGCAAGAAAATCTTAACTATCCAGGCACTCAAGAAATGTCCAAGAGGCAGGCAGAACTCTTCTCCCAGAAACCATCAACTCTAACAACCCTAAGAGAAAAACTGTGGGGCAGCATCCTGACAATCCAGAAGGATTTCCCTGGGGAATATTTCCCCTGACCTCTCCATCATTGCTTGTAATTTATATAGGACTTTACTGGTAACCAAGTACTTTCCACACCCCTGCCCGTGAGTTTCTGGGTGACAGAGACATTAACTACATCACAGAGGGCTGAAAAACTCTGTTTTCAAGAAGGAAAGATTACCCAAACATTAAGGATTAGCCCAGTGAGACAGTCATTAGCAGACAAAGAGAGCTGGTCTAAGAGTTAGAAGACATGCACCCAAATCCCTCATCTAGGGATAAAATATTAGCCTCACAGGATTGGAAGACACTTTAAAATCATATTGTTGCACATCCCAGCCAACACTTGTGTCTTCTACTATTAACTGTCAGTGTAACCTTGGTTCAGTTAGCCTCCTTTGAGCCTCAGTTGTACCTATATAATTAAGGGGTTGGAATAGACATTTTCTAAGAATTCTTAGATATCTAATATCATTTTATTCTAGAATTCTAACATTTAGAAATGTATTTCCAAAAGCTAAGTTTCAGTAAAACTGATTTAGAAAGATCCCTTTCTGAGATATATCAAGACTCGGAGATACTCAGTCACAAAGAATGGCAAACACCAGGGACTTGGGACACTTAAGCCAAGACCAAGTACAAACACCCTGCATCTCTCATCTTGTTATATCTGGCCTCAGGATTGACAGCAGCTTTGGTCACAGACGCAGGGGTCCTTGGAGGGTTTCTAGATCAGACTCTTCATCCATGAACCTTACTAACTCAAACTTGAGATGGGCGAGATCTGCAAAAGAACAAGAAAGAAGAAAACGTATTGGAGAAAGGGACCGGGGGTTAAAGAGATGTAATAGGGAGGGTTAAGAAAGAAAACGACTGAGTTGCTTTGTTAGGCTGCCAGATTGGGCAAGAGTCTGGGGTGAAATCATGTTTTCAGAGGGTGAGTTATTTCCTTGACATGAGATTGAGGGAGACATTGGTTCCCAAGGCCTGGGAGTTTGTTGGAAAATGCCTTTCAAGGGAGATTGCCTGGGGCCACGAATTGTTGCTGGACAGATAACTATGGGCTCTTGGGTAAGAGGAATCAGGGATGTTAGGGTTTAGGAAAATGATGAGAGTTAGCAATTATCCACTGGACAGGTGTCCCTGGGTACACTGTTGATAGGGGGACCCCAGGGCTTAAGGCCAGGGGCCACAAATTGTTGCTGGACAGATAACTATGGGCTCTTGGGTAAGAGGAATTAGGGATGTTAGCGTTTAGGAGAAGGCTGAGAGTTAGTAGTTATCCACTGGAGAGATGTCCCTGGGTACATGGTTGGTGGGGGACCCCAGGGCTTAAGGGGATCCCCAGTTGCCAAAGGATGGAGGGCGGAGCTGGAGGACCTCAGGCTAGTGAGCACGCCCTTGCCCAGGCCTGCAGTGGCTGCACTCGCCAGCTGGCCCATGGCCCTGTCCGACTCCCCTCCCTCCACCCCAAGCCTAAGAGGGGTGAGCGCAGGGTCCCACTGCTGAGCCAGCTCCCTCCCTCTGATCCACACCCGAGCCCGGCTGGCCGAGCTCCCGGGGGAGAGGGTGGAAGGCACCACGAAGGCAAGGAGGGGGTGTGGGAGGCGGGGGGTGTGGGGAATGCGGCAGCCTGGCCCCCCCGCGACCAGCCCAGCCCCCCGCCAAACCCCCTCCACCTCCAACCAAATGGTTTGCTCCGAGCGCCCTATTTAATCCCCGCGACTGCAGCAGCGCCGGCTCCCTCCCGGTCCCCACCTCGGCCCCGGGCTCCGAAGCGGCTCGGGGGCGCCCTTTCGGTCAACATCGTAGTCCACCCCCTCCCCATCCCCAGCCCCCGGGGATTCAGGCTCGCCAGCGCCCAGCCAGGGAGCCGGCCGGGAAGCGCGATGGGGGCCCCAGCCGCCTCGCTCCTGCTCCTGCTCCTGCTGTTCGCCTGCTGCTGGGCGCCCGGCGGGGCCAACCTCTCCCAGGACGGTGAGTGAGGGAGGGGGCGGCGCCTGGGGAGGTGGGGAGTGACCCGAGGCGGGGGCTGGGATCGGGAGTCTCGCGGAAGGAGCCTGTTGGCTTTGTTTGGAACCGGGGTTAAAGTCACCAGCCGCTGCTAATACCCTTGTGTCTGTCTCTGAGCATCCGTGTCTCTGTGGACTGTGGGTGTGCCGGTGTGTGCACCCTTCTGTGTACACCACTGAGCGTGTGTCTGCGTGTGCACCGGGGTTTGGCTCTCGGGGCTGATGTCCGTTAGGAGCAGCCCGGGGTCTGGATGTGTTGCTGTCCGTGTGCGCGCGCGTCTGTGTTGGTGTCTGGCTCTGCGTTTCTGTGTCAGTATCTGTGTGTATGTCTGTGTCAGTGTGTGTTGGGGGCGGAGTGAGATTTGTCGCTGTTTCAGTCAGGGCGTGTGTCGGGTGTTTGTGTATGTATGTCTGTAGGGGTTGGGTAGCCAGTGCAATCCCCCAAACTGCTGTATGCAAACATTTCTGCTCCCCCGCCCGTCCCCCACCACCCGCGGCGCAGCTCCGAGTGGGCAGAGAAGGGGGCCTGGGTGAGGCTGCTGAAGGGGGCGTGGGCAAAGAAGAGGGCCCTTATCCTTGGAGCAAAACAACAACACAGGGCGGAGGGGGCCCAGGATGGCAATATCCCTGGCAGTGGTAGAAGCTGGGAAAAGAAATCCGACAGGAGCAGAGGCGGGGTGGGGGTAGGGGGGAGCGCAAAAGAAAGAATCAAGATATTTGGGGAGGAGGATGCATGAGAAACCCAAAGCTTTCCTGGGCTAAGCACTGATTTTCCCAAATTTGGGATGGGGTAGCATACCTAGCCCCTTTGCCCCAGTCTGGAACTCAAACCTTCGCTGGTTCCTAATGGTAGAGAGATGAAGGAAGGGAGTCGGGGGAGAAAGGAGGCGGGGCCAGGGGTGAGGGGACTTGGGGAAGAGCCCCTCCCGCCCTGGGCCGGGCTATGTAGGTCAGCGCTGTGGGGGCACCTCAGCTTTCTTAAAGGCTACTAACGGTTAGTGGGATGCCAGAGGGGCAGCCTGTAGGGAAACCCGGAAGGGGTCCACAGCTCCGAGCCTCAGGTCCCTGAGGAGGGAGGGCAGGCTGTGAAGAGACTGAAGGAATGCATCCTCCTCCCCCCACCGCCCTGTCGGAAGAGGAGGAGGGCTGGGATGGAGGAAGGGGGAGAGGGAACAGGACCTCTGTGGAGCAAAGGGAAGTGGGGAGAGTGAAGGGGGAGGGTGGTGGCTATGCCCGGCCAGATGCCAACGAAAAACAGAAAGAACCGCAGGGGAGGAGAAAGGGGAGGTGGCTCCTGGGCGATGGACCCAGTGGCCAGCAGGGATGGGCACAGGGCGGGGCGGGGGTGGAGAGGGGAGGGGTTGAAACTGGGAAGGATGATGTAGAGAATTTCATCTGAGGAAAACAGGCGAAGAGCCAGGGTGCTGGAGGAATAATCGCTCCACCTCGCCTGACCTCCCCCATCCCTGTCTCCATCGTGATAAAGGAGCTTCCCCTGGTATGGGGACCCTGGGGATCCCCTCCCTATAGTTGGCTGGCTGGCTTACTCCTTCTGCCCTCTACCCATCAAACTCCCCAAAGGGAGTTCCCGCCCTAGTCACCACAGAGACAGCAGCCTCTCCTTTCCCCTACGTGGAATCCCCTTCCCCAGAGGACTGCACTGATGACCCCACTCACTGAGGAGCTGAAGGGAGTCCTTGGGGAGAGCAGGCTAAGTGCACGACAGAGAGGCTGCTGGGTGTTTGTGCTTCATTAATGACCCTGCTACTAGGCCTTGACTTTCAACTGCAGCCCCTGGCCTTCCTAACCTGCTGAGTTTTATGACGAGAGGCAAATATGATCCAAACTGCAACTGTTCAGCAATGGGAACTGATGGTGCTAGGCTGGGCCCCAAAAAGAGAGAAAGACGTCATCCAGAAAGCTGTGAGCTCTTCTACTCTAAGATGTAAAAAAAAACTATAGACTAGAGTAAATCAGTATACTAGCCAAGTCTTTCTTCACCAACTACACTCTTCTTTCTTGGTCCTCAAACTGGGGGTTCAGCCCCTATTCAGGCTTAAAGTTGAGAGGAAGAGAAATGTTACATCCTCATATTTAGAAATATGCTTCAGAGCAGTGGCCTGAGAGAAACAGTGGAAAGCAGTAACTTCTGAATGGGGAATTTCTAGAGAAGAGGTGGGGAAGTGGGAGATGAACAGGAGGGGTCTGTTTCCAAAGAAGAGTCAAACCAAGCATCATTTTCCTTGAAGAGCATTATCTTTACAGATAATGGACATCTGTCTGGTGTGCAGTATCTCAGGACACACTGATGCATGAGACATAACCACCATATCTTCTGTCTTAAATTAATTCTATCTTTTAGTTTCTGGATCTAAGAAGGCCAGTGCTGATGGTGGGAGGTAAATGCATAGATTTAATGCTCACGGACAGTAATCCTGAAGACTATTTTGCACACAATCATGGACATGTGTTTCGTACCCCTGAGTTGGCCTGGGGCCCCTAGGAAGAGAACTAGGCAATATGTATATGTATCTTAACTGGTAATGTTTGACCAAAACTATGAGAGATGTGGTGGGAAGGTTTAAGGACAAGATACTCTTATGGTGATGTTTGAATTGTCAAGGGTGTTGTGGTAGCATACCTATTCCCATTTAAAATAAGGAAAACAAACTTAATGTGCTGCTGGGGCATATCATTCCCTGGAGCACAGCATAAATTTTTTAAGCTTCATAAGGCTGAACAGGGATTGAGAGGGCAAGCAGCTGATAACTAAGACTGGCCATGAGTGTTGTGGCTAGAAGTTCAGGAACAGGTAAGACATTTAGAATGTCCCATCTGCCCTTCCTTCTCACATTTCCCCACTAGTTTTCACAGTGGTTGACAATTCTGGGTTTGGAGGACATAAGTCCTGTGAACTTAATGTGTCCTCTCTCTGGTGAGCAGCTCAATATTCAACACTGTGACCAGCTTTCTTGGGCTCTTCCTTCTGAAGTTATTTCCAGCACTCTGTGACTTGGCCTAGGGTAAAGATAGATAGACGGATAGCCTCTCTTTGTTTCAGATAAGGTTATAGCAATTTAACCTTGTACTGCACTGCCCCACACATGAACATCTATTTCTTCTCAATGACCTCTGTCCACTACCATTCATTCTACAGCCCCCTGGCCAGATGCCCAGTGAGGACATCATGCCCAATGTGCCACAGAAGTCCAGCAGGCATTCACTCTAGTGCTGTCCACAGATCTGTTTGGCAGATCAACTCCATCCAGTTTCTGTTCCTAGTTGCAGCTGTAACTGTTCTGTTGCTGTTCCTGTTCTCCTCCTAGTTGCAGCTGTAACTCTTGGGAAGGATATGCTCTCCTTTTAGACATGTGCATTTTCTGGCACAGAAAAGTTAAGACCATCACAGAGACACTTGCATAGCAGAGTTTAGTTAATTCCATGAAGAATCAGTGTGTTTCATGTAGGTCCTAATGTATGTAACGTCAACTGCCTACCCAGCAGTTATGCCATTCTATTCTAAGCTTCTCCATAGATCTGGATAGCACTGTTAGTTTTAATAGTTTCCTCTAGGGCAGCAGTTTTCTCATTTGTTTTTAAAACAAAGATGTGAGACATTTTTAACAAATGAGGAAAACATATCAAAGGAGAATGCTGTTGTTGAAATGGTGAAGTAAGACCTATATCCCTTTTCCCTGTCTTACTGGCTTTTACACATTCTTATAATCCTTAAGGAACTACCTGGGGTTCTACCACACAGTTCAAAATCCTCTGTCCTAGACTGATAGAATGAGCCAGCTTACTACCCTTAGGCTCTTTCTCTTTCCTCTTCCAACTGAAGAAGAAAGAAGGTCCAAATCTAATTGCAAGAGTGCCTTGTTGGAGATATTCACTATTCACTTGGAGAGAGTGACTCATAGTTCTGCAGCCATAAAATTCCAGAGACAGCATCGCTTTGGCGTTCTGGTTACTTTGAAATAACAAACTGAGAGGTTGTGCCATTGCTCTGTAAATTCTTAGATTTGATTTTGGTACTTCTTGATGTTACTACTTTCTTGCAGTCCAAATAATATGTAAAACAGGATCAAAAGTTTATTTTCCTTAAATCACTTGGTAGGAAAAAATATCACCAGAGAAAGAAAACCCCTGGGGCTGTGACTAGTCTTATTCTTTGTTGTTTCCTACTCCAGTGGAACTGCATACTGGCTCAACAATCCCTTTTTTGTCATCTAATTCTCAGTAATGGAATTTTACCTAAGGATGGTGATCTAGGTTCCAGATTCTTGTTGAAAGCAAGCTGTGGATTGGACCAGCTACTTACTGACTACTGAGTGAAAAATTCAAAGTTATTATAAAGTTTTGGTAATTATATTTTCTTTTATTTTTCATGTTAGAATGTAATGTTTCATGTTTAACACTGACTATAGGCCCATGTACTAGAACATTTTGTTTCCTGTATGGGGTCTTGTTTTAGAGGTCCACCCTTAATCTCTGAGAATAGCAATCCCCATGGAAATGCTTACAAAAGACAGAGAGAAACAAACCATCAGAAAAGGACCCTGGAGAAGCAAGCCATCAGAAAAAGATTCTGTTTCTAAGAACTTGCTCCGATTAAGTATAAATACTTCAGGTCATCATAAAATGAAGAAGAACAAGTTTCCAGGGCTAGAGACCTGTTTCTGCCTCTGGGATCAGCAGTAGTGATGATTTTTTACAAGGTCAGAACCAGCTGGTGCCCAGGGCTCCAATAACTACCCAAGTAAAAACCCAGTCCAATTCTGTTATATATGACAAGAAGATCCATCCCTTCTAGTACAGAGAAGTCGAGCTCTCAAGAGGCTTGAACGCATGAATCTGTTGAGATTTTTACACAATAGAAGCTAAGATGCTAAGAAGTAAAGGTACATATTCTTCACTGAAGCAGCAACTACTAAAGAATCATTTCTTTCTTTACCAAAATTTTCCTAAGCCTTAAGGCCGTCATCAAATTCCTCAACTAACAGAGAAACTTCTAAATCCTGAGAACAATACTCTTCTTAAGAGGCATGATTCCATACCTCTCTTCTAGTGTGATTGTCTGAACTACTTACAGCAATTTTGGATACATTGGGACATTCTGAGTCTGATACGTCTCATACCCTACCTGACGAAAATACATATTTTGACTTTCTTGCATCCTACTGTCTCTGAGGGGGCACAGGCTCTCTGTTCCCTCTTTAGAAGATAGGCCTAATTTTACTCACGGTAAGTTGTAGCACATTAAAAGCCCCTCCATCACCACTAATATCTAGGTATTTAACATAATCACAGAAGATCATGTTGACAAACTGAGTCTGGTGGTGGTCCTCATTTTTCAGCACAGTCTCTTGACTGTGTATCAACCAGACAGGTTCAAATAAAGCACTTCAGGAGGCCTTATAGAGCAAGTGATGAGCGTAGAGTGATCCTAATAGAAGCCATGATGTCTGTTCTTTTAGTTCCTGTGCTTGAGAGCTGGCTGCCTTACCCCGTGATCCCAGTTCCCCTGTTCTTTATGGAGCAAACTATTATACCTGTGCTTTGAGCTCTCCATGGTGCTAGCCCCTGACAGTGACACTCCAGGCTTTTCTTGTTGCTCTCCATGGTCCTGTTTTACCTCCAAGTTTCATAATCTCCTTATTCTCCACAGTGCAGTCCCCAGAACAGGGCTGAAATCTCCCTCCCTGCCACCACAAACACACAGGTTCTTGGTTATGCTCCCCGACCTGTTCCACCACAAACACATGACAAAACTCTGAGATATAGATCTAGAAAGTCCTCACAGCCATCTGATCAACTGCAGAAAGGGAACAGAAGGGCAAGCAATTCTTAGGTTAAAAAAGAAGTGCTAGAAGGTTTTTGTAAGATGCTCAGGAAATTGTGGCCTACAGTGACCTCAAATGGCCTCAAAAGAACTGAATGTTTTGTCATATCTGGATTCATAGATTAAAAATACAACTATATATAGTTCTGTTTTAGATTGAGATAGTATTGCTCTTATATGATAACAATATACAGTTGTACTTTGGTATCCATGAAGGATTGGTTCCAGGACCTCCCACAGATACTAAAATCTGCAGATGCACAAGTCCTTGATATCAAATGGAGTGGCATTTGCATATAACCTATGCACATTCTCCTGTATACTTCGTTATCTCTAGATTACTTATAATACCATATACAATCTAAATGCTATGTAAATAGTTGTTTTACTGTATTGTTTAGGCAATAACGACAGGGGAAAATGTCTATACAAGTTTAGTACTGGCACAGCTTTTAAAAATATTTTCAATCTGCAATTGATTGAATCTATGGAGGTGGAACCCATGTATATGCAGGATTGACTGTATACACTATAAGTGTGGAATGTAAAATGAATCCTACCCAGTTTATAAACATGTACCTCTTAATAGCACTCTGAGCATGACAACCAACTCTAACTTTCCTGTCATGGTGCTTTTTTACCCTTTTCCCTCAACCTTAGCAAAGACAATACATAACAATGGGTTATCAGAATAGATAATGGAGGAATCCAGTAAATGAGAGGCATAGAAAGCAAGTATCAAGTGTACATCCATACCGTCCTGAACGCACCGGCTCTTGTCTGATCTCGGAAGCTAAGCAGGGTTAGGCCTGGTTAGTACATGTATAGGAGAAAACAAATATCAAAATCTTGACTTAACTTCCCCACCTTTATAACCACCTTGTACAAAACTAAATGGCTTTAAATATAACCATCTTCTCCCAGAGCACAGGTCCTTGGCCATATCTCAGTAGATGCATCTTTAAACTCTACTCTGCTATGCTTTAAGGGTACCTTCCAATAAGCTGATGATATCAAACGGCGTAGGGAGCTGAGAGTGCTCAGCCCGTCAGTCTTAGATTAGCCAGCCTGTTCTTCACATCGCATCAGAACTACACAAGCTTCTCATCCCCTAAATGCTGATTTTCCCATGTCAATTTATGGATAAGAGTTAATATAATAGTTAATACTTATGAGTGACCTACAGCAGAGTCTAGTTGGAGAGGCAGGCTTCCAGGATGAATTTCCAGGACTCCTCTTTCATTTCTTCATTTGAAACAAGGAGAAACTTCATTCCTCAAGGACAGGTAATGAGAGTGATTTATCTCTATGAGCGAGGCTTCAGCAAGACAGAATTAGGGTTATAGTAACAGCTGGAGTGTCTCCCATCTACTCATCTTCCTAAGCCCCCTGTTCTCATGAAGAGCAGGCAGGTTTCAGAAAGGACTCAAATACAGAAATCTCAACATATTTTTCAGCACATATATCATTCTTTAATGTGAACTCTTACCCCTGGGATTCTTCAAGATTCTCTTCTCTCTCTCTCTTTCTCTTGGAAGTCTCCAAGAGAACAATAAGAAAGCTAAATAACTTAAAGAACAAACTAAAATGTTGTCTTCTCTAAGGATTTATTTTCCCTTTCCCCAGCTAGACTTACACTAACTGTGTATTGATTGCTAATTATAAGCACCTTTGGCTCATTTACTTCTAGTTCAGGGTCAAGAAGGTCAGGTGCATCACCTTGCTCTAGAGAGAAAAAAGAAAAAGTAATGAAGGCTGATGTCTCAGGCACTCATCTGTAGGCTAGCCATTATTCATTTCTCCCCTTTCTTCATATACTCCCAAATACTGGCAAGGTAGGATGAAGAACTAGTACTTCTGACAACAGATTTTATTGGAAATATGCAGATTCTTGTTTCATATTTTACTTTTACCCTTCTATGACCTGGCGCTTTGCTTCCAATTCTGATTTCAGTAAGTATATCAATGAGAGGTAACTTGGAACTTAGCATAGCAGTCAGTCAGTCTGAAGAGCCTGGAGCTGAGTTCTTGAGTTATTATAAAATGAGAAGCCAGTTTTACCATCTGCTCCTAATCATTTTTTTTTTGCCCAGCAAATGCAAAAATTACAGTGAAACAATTGCACTCACTAGTTCTTGCTGTAGTTCTTAAGGATGAGATCTTTCCAAATACATATTATATGTTTCTTCCCATAACTTCTATCTGCTAATCTCACACAAATATAAAAATTACCACCACTAAGCCCCTGAGCCTCCCATATTTTGATTTATCCTCAATTGCCACTTAATGCCAACTCTTTTCTGGTTTCCAAGCCCTGGAGTCCAATGTCAGTGACAGATGGACTGAGCCTCAACCCTGGAGAGGAGAGGATTCTGGCCCTCTCCTGGGGAGTTTGAGCAGAAGAGAGAGCCTGAATTCTGCTTTGGGGAGAATCTCTGAGTTTAAGCCATATGGTATTCTGGAAGTAAGGGGTTCTGATTAATATGGGCATGTGAAAAGGGCTCTGTATCTGGGTCATAATAAAATCTGTGTGTTCATGTCAGAAAAAAACCCCAGAAATATGATTAGTGAGAATCAGAGTGTCTTGTGTGTGTGTATTGAGGGGCACATGTCAAAATATGCATCTATCTTAGGGAACAAAAATGTGTGTTTGCCCCCATCAAATAAGAGACACTCAATGGAGATTTAAGAAGAGAGATAAGAGTTCTTTATGTCAGAACAATATTATTTTCCATTTCGGGGACTGTGAGATCTGTGGACTTGGGAGAATGTATCTATTTCACAGAAGAGTGAAATTCTCACAAAGTGAGGCTAATGCGAACAATGTACCGCAATTTTAAAAATACAGATTTTTTTTTTTTTAAGTGAGAAGAGTGCAGGGAGACTAAATAGCAGTTAGGATTGGGGGAATCAGTGAAACTAGAGTAGTGTGGGTGTGTAGAGCAGAACACATTTTTCTTCATGTAATGCTCCTAACCATTGCCCTGAACCTGTCATCCACACCCAGACTCTGATCATCCAGTGAAGGGAAACAGTAAAAACAAGTCAGGAAAATCAGAACCAGCAGAGATGAGTGCTTTCTTGCTTGACTTCTAACAAATTAAACTTTTCCACAGCATTGTTATCCCACCACACCAAGCCATCAGCCTGTAATATCTAAAGTGCAACATAAGGAGCATAGGAGAATAAGACAGAGCCCACTGAGAAAGGGAATTCATCCATGCCCTCAGACAGGTATTGGGGCACTGGGATGGGTAGTGCAGAGTATGAGCAAGTTGTTGGAACCTGGGCTGAGATTTTTCATCTCCAGAGAATATATTCTTTACTTCTGATTTTCTGGGATTTCTGGCCCATTCCCAGTCTCTATTTTCCCATACCCTTCCAATGAGCTAAATTGAATTCTGCGTTTGACTCTGTTATGTTTCCTTTCTCAAGTACTTTCCTAAGATGAGGAACTTTTTCCCCCCAGTTTTATTACATATGTGTGAAAACAGCAAGATAAATTGGGGGAAAGGGTATAAAATCCCTCTACTTAGTTTAAGAGGACAACTAAGAGTTCAAAGTCTGGCCTCCTGACTGTATTGCATTAGAATGCAGATTTCAAGTCATACCTGTCCGTATGTCTAAAGTGTTTGATCATAGTGAGAAGGGAATGAGGAGATGGGATAAACAGACACTCCTAAAATGGCTCAGGGCTGTTATCATCCTGTCTTCAGGGGCCTACTCCAAAACAACTGAAGACAGTCAGTACCTGCACAGAATCTGTGCTCTAGAGGTCCTCACTGAGCCCTCCCCCGTGCTCAGTTTCACCTCACCCTCTCATCCTCTTCAGGCAGAACACTAGATGCTTGTCTAGAGCACACAGCCCAGTCCCAGAAGGAAGCAGCTAAGGCAAGGAAGAGACTCTTTCGGGATCAAATCCCCTCCCTTTTTGTCTCTCAACTGCAGTTCTCCTTGCTACAACTCAGTATTGGCTACAGAGGGGCTTGTTTTGGTTGGGGGCCAGCCCAGGGCTCCCTCCTGGTGCTAATGCACCAAGAACACTGACTCAATAGCAAATCAAAGCAACAGCTGTCCCCACCTCCTTCCCTGCCACCCACTTCCCAGTCTCTGCTCCTCGGAATCTTAACTAAGTCTCTGAAGGCCCCCCTCAGCCTACCACAAGCCCACTTCTGCCTCCAGATTTTTTCTCTCTCCAGCTCAAGAATAGGACATGTTCCTCTGCTTTTTTTCTTCTCTTCTCTTCTGGCCCCTGTCTCCTGCTTCACAATCAGGTTAGCATTCCCTCAGCTCTTCACCTTGCAGATGCCAGCAAGCACACAGACAGACACACACACACACACACACACACACACACGCACACACACATGCCACCTGTCCTCACAGTCACCCTTTTTAGCTCCAAAGGGCATGGCAGTGACTTCTGCCCAATGGCCTCTTCTTCTGTGTGAACTGGAACCTGCCGGTAAAGCCCTGAAGTGTAAGAAGATGCCATCCGCCCCATCTTCAGGGACTCCCTCTTCATCATAACCAAACTTCTCCAACCTACTGGGCATTTAGTAGACTTACTTCTCTTAAGGTCCACGGTCCTGGAGTTCCTCAGTATCATGCACAGGAGATGAGGCATAGGAAGAGTGGGTGTCAGCGGAAATATTTGACACTTAGTGTCAAATTAACCACTGAATTAGCCAGTCCACAAGGACTGCTATAAACTATCAATGAGTACAGGTCTCACTCACTGCCTGTGTGACCATGCTCAAGTTCCTAAACCTCTCTGAGCCTTGGTTCCTCATCTTTAAAATAAGAGGATTGGACCAGATGATACTTAATATCTTGTCAACTATAAAAATCTACACTTCTAAGAATCATAGAGGGGAGAATATTTTGGGCAGAATTAGGTGCAACAGAAAGAAAAAAGGAATTACTGAACTTGGACAATAGAGAGTCAGAAAGGGCATTAGTTCCATCCTTCTGTAAAATCAAAAGGATCTTAGAAATAACCACCTCTGACCCTTAGGATTCAGTAGGCTATGACCAGATACGCAAGTTGGCTGCAAGGTTTTAGGAACTATGTAAAATATATGTATTCATAATACCTTAAAGTTTGGATAGGGGAAAACATTTGAATTTTCTCTTAAACTTTGGATATTAAAAAATGTTAAGAATAATTGTTTTTCAGTGAGAACCAAGGGTTAACTCTAAGATAAGCTTTTCATTTTAACCCCACCTTAACACCCACCACAGGCAAGCTAGCTAACTATCTCAAAGATTCCCTCCTCATTCAGCCTGGAAAAGCCTAGCCACACACCATTCCCAAAGCAGAAAACAAAAGCCTTTCATTTTTAACCTGCTTAGGATGGAACCAAAAGATGTCTGCCAAGGTGTAATAATAAACCTGTTTGAGCCCAGATTGGGTACAGGTTCCTTCCAAATCTAAATCTCTTAGATAATCTAATAGTGTAGGACCCCTGGGTCCATAAATCCTGGATCTCTGGCCCAGGCTTTACCAAGCTAAGCAGCTAATACACATGTTAGGACTTCTTATAGTGAAGATTCTGTTCTCCATTCCTACTGACCATCTATCTTCACTCATATCCTGTATGCCTCCTAGGAGAGTAAAGCAAAGCTGGGACAGAGTAGTTTATCAAGAGGCTGCTTGATAAACAAGACTATAGGAGGAAAAACCAGACAGCAACAGAAATAATAGAGAGAGGAAACAAGGAGGAGCAAGGTCTCAGTAGCCCAGCCAGAAAGAGGGTGGATGGGGCAGTGAGGTGGAGAGAAGGCCTAGATCAGGGAGGTAGGCAGCTGAAGCGTGACTGAGCTCTGAAGTTCCAAAGTGGATGTGAGCTGGAACGCATTGGAACTAAGGAAAGGAGATCCTTTAGGAGACTGCTGCTTGTGAGGGGACAAGAGGCCTTTCCCTGAGGAGCAATGAAAAAGGAAAAAATAGTATCTGGAAAGAAAGAGGGTACCAGATGACAGAATAACTCCCACCCCGTATGGCTCAGCTTCTATTTGACTACACTATTATATCGTGGCCATTAGGGAATTAGGAATTTAATGGGGGACAGACAGAGTTAGAAAGGAATGGAGGGTAGGAAGTAAGAGAATATTTTGACATTCAGGCAAAGCCTTAGATTAGGAAATTACAAAGTGACTTCAGTAGATGTGACATCGCTGCTGGCTGCCCAAGAACAACCGAAGGAAGTTAACTGTACAGAGTTCCTTCTGACCAGCGTTTTGTGCTCTAAAGTCAAAGCAACTCCCCCAAATTTTGAAGTTTTCAGCTAAATCAGAATTCAGATAGAAGTGGTCTGATTTCTTCCAAATGCACAACCAAATATTCACTGTCAAAGAAAACTGTCACTCTGAGCATAAAGAAAAGCTCCAGGGGCTGAGTTCTAATCCTGATTTTGCTATGGCCAGTCTCTTGTGCATGTGATCCAACTGTACATAGAATTCACTAAGAAGCTGGGGTTAGGGAAAAATGAGAATGACATAATCTGGACAAGGAGCCCAGCAATGGATGTAGATAAACCATTCTAAAAGTGGGTCCCTTCAGTATTCTGGGCCGCAGCCCCCAATATGTTTTTCCCTTGGAGATAACACTCCTCCACCCACCTGTCATGGTAGTCGTGAGGAATAACAAGTAGGCTGGGATGAACAGTATTTTTAACTCTGGAGTTAGAGAAATGCTGAGTCATCATCATCATCATCACCATCATCATCAACTCCTACTCAGGGAGCTTTTTTTTTCTACAGTCAGGGAAGTGGGACTCTGGACTCAAGCACTGGCAAGGCCAGCAGCAGTTATTCAGGAGAGCTCTGTCCTCCTGTTCCACCATCTGACCTGTGCACCTGTGACCCTGTTTATGGCTGTAAGGCCAATATGTTATAGGTCCCCAAAACAGACACGGCAGGGACAATATATAAACCAAGCAATCCGGGGTTATACTGGCAGACTTTCATAGACTTTCCACTAAAGTTGCTTAAATTCAAGACAATACATTTTTATTTATTTGAGTTACTCATTTATTTATTCAATAAATATTTATTGAGCACTTATTATGTGTGAGACTCTGTGCTATGAGTGAAAAACTGAATAACAGGTGCTTTAAAGAAGCACATTAGTAATTCTCCAATTCCCACCTCTGCCACTCTTAATATGAACAATCAATAAGAAGAAAATCAGTGGGTGAAAGGGCTACTTTGTCCTTTAAAATGCTGGAAATCCTAAAGATACTAGAACCCATGAGCAAATAAAGCAAGAGTTAAGAAACCTCCAAAGCAATTCAGAACAGACAAGAAGATAATTCTTTAGTTTTCAGCCTAGCTGCTAGAGTGCTATGAAAACACAAGGAGATTTTTTTTTAACTAGACATGCCATTTGCTTGGTTATCTGAAGAGTCCCACACGGTAAGGCACTTAGGGGTCCATGAAATAGTCCCAAAGGTATAGGTGCAGGCACATTAAGGCATCCAAGTAAAAATGTACATTCAATGGGTACAAACCACAGGACCGTCAACACCACAGGTGCGCATTTCCAATTTGCTATACTGTCGTTTTCATCATACTGCAGGTGAATGTTGTAAATATTGTTTAGGTGAGTCACCCCTGGCCACAATGCAACAAGGAATCTTTCCCAGTTTACGCTCTACCCTACCACCACACACACAAAATACATGCTTCTGCAGAGGGGGACAGTGTAGTAAAGATGTGCAGAAAGCCTGGGCTTTGTGGTCAGAGAGGTCTAAGTTTAAAGTCCATCCTATCCCAGTACTTATTAGATACATCATAAGGACAAGTTTCTTAACTCGGCTTTAACGTGTGTGTAATAATATCTAGCTATTAAAAGGTTGTTCTGGAATAATGAATATACAGCAACTAATTTGGATCCTGACATATAGAAACTGTTGATAAATACCAATTTCTTCTGTCTTATAGTTTTCTGGGTAGTCTACCATCTCCCTTGGCCTGTTTCTTCATCTCCTGTTTGGTTTGCTATTTCCTCTCTACCGGCAGATTTTGAACCTAACTCTTACAGTAGAAGATGCTTAGTATCTGATTCATTTAATAAAGAAATATTTATTAAGCACCTTCTATAAGCAATATGCTATATTAGGGCCAATACTGGATGCAAAATGCATCAGACCCTACCTATGGAATCGTTATAATTTGGGAGGAAAGTCAAACTTGCAGTACAAAGTAGAAAGAAATGCATAATTTAAGAAAAAGCAGATAAAGTGTGTAACTCAGAGAAGTGGGGAATTATTTCAATCTGGGACAATCAGGGAAGACTTCTGGAAAGATATGCCACAAAATGTAGGCTTTATTCATAGATAAAGTTTAGACATGTGAAGATGGGTGAAGGGCATTATCAGCAAAGTTATTGCAGGCAAAGGAACGGATGCAGAAAAACAAAGCGTTCATAGAGAGAATTCCAAAAGGCTTCACATGCCTGGAATGCAGGGTGAGTGGAGTAGAGAAAACACAAAACTGAAATGAAGCTCGGCATCAGACTGTACAGGACCTTGAAGGCTAGGCTGACAACTCTGGGTATTATCTGCAGAGAGTGGAGAGTCAGTGACGGTTTCTAAGCAGGGAAAGAATATGACCGATATGACTGAAACTCTCTTCATCTGTTCTTCTACCTGAGCAACCTGGGCCTTCTCTCACTAATGGTTGTATGGTCTCAATGACAGAAGCTCCTTCCGAGCTCCTATTTCCACCTCAAATTCCATACCACCCATTCAGAGTACTCCTAAGTTTTCCCTTCCAGTCTGCATTCATTGAGAGAATTCATGCTGATGTCATAAATGACTGACACAATCTGAATCCAAAGAAGGTACAAGTCTTTCACAACCCAGGTTATAATTTCTGCTACTTATCCATGTTTCTGTTGATAGCATTATAATCACTCATCCACTCCCTGGGGAGTGGCCATTCGGAATTTATTATACAGGCTTACAATTTTATAAAATGACAGGATAACTTTCAAGCGTATTAAGAGACAGTTCTCAAGAGAAGACATGAGATTATAAGTGCATTTCAAACTTAGAGGGAGAAATGTCACCCCTGGGGGAAGAAAAAAAAAGCCACCTCTTACACAGTTTCTTAAGACACCACAAACCAGAGTGAGTGCTCTGTAAACCCATAGAGGCAATACATCATGTACATCCCAAATATGACATTTATTGGAGATCATTTGGTTATCAGTCCTCTGATCTGAACAATTCAGTTTGGTTTGAATGATCTACATCACTATTTCACTTATTCATCCTATGCAGAAAAAAGATGCCTGTGAAATGCAGGAGGAGGGGAGGGATGAAAGAAATATGAGCAAGGAGAAAAGCAACTGAGGAGGATGCAGAAAAAAGCACAGATGAAAGAAGAAGCAGCAGAGTGAAGACTAAGCCCATGCTGTTGGACAGAATACATGCTCTGCCTGATTAACAATATACATAGCACAGTGCCAAGTGTGGCTGAATGAATTACCAGAGCCAATTAAATGTACCGAGAGCCCACTAGGGGCTAAGTGCTAACGACACAACGGTGAATAACTTAAGGCTCCTGCTCTTAACCAGCTCAAAGTTTAGATGAGGAGACTGATAACTAAACAAGTAAATCACACTGGAATGCCATAAGAAACACAGAATGTCAAAAAAGCCCCCAAAGCACCATCAGAGGCAGAAGGGATTCTGGAGAGGTATGCTATTTGTGTGCCTTTAGGTAAGTAATTGAACCTCATTGTAAAAAGCAGTTCTATCTGGCTGCCTATCTCTTGAGTTTGTTTTGAGATTAAATGAATTCGTGGTTGAAAATCCACTCTGCAAACTGAAAGTCCTATACTATGGTATGAGACGGCTATTTCCTCCACTCATTTGAGCAAAGGCCTATTTAGTACTCACTGTGCACTGGATACCAATACCGAGGGACTGAGTGTGAGTCCTCTCTGTCTTCTCCCTGTCCCTCTGCCGTCCCACACCTTGGCACAACCAATTTGGTTCCCTACTGTGTGTTGACGTTGACACAGTGCACCCACGAACACACAACCGGAAAAACAATATGAGCACTCACCACCTTCAGGTTGCCTCCATCCTCCATGTGCACAGAAGGTAGTAGGGTGAGTGTGGGGCACTCAGGGAGAGCCCCTGCTGGATGTGACAGTCCTGGCCCTCTCCCCAGCCCCCTTTCCTTCTCTCATTCTCATCCTGCTTGCCTCTCTTTTATCGACAGTTCCCTTTCCCGCCTTTCCTGCCTACTTCTCTCTATTTGTGACTGTTTTTCTCTGTTTTCTCCGCTTTACTCCTTCTCAGCATTTGGGCATTAGCGCTTCTCCCATTTAAGAACAGAGTAATTCCTAAAATCTCCTGGAAGCTGTCTGTGAGGAGCAGAGAAGAGGGGAGGTGCCTCCATGGAGGCCAGGGAACCTCCGCAGCTGTCTCAGAGTCCCATTCCCATGCTAGGACTCTCTAACGCTGCCTGCTTCCTGCCTGACTCCCTCCCCTCTCCGGCCTCCCATTCTCTCCCTTCCCTCTCCACCCCCTCTTTATCCTGTACCCCTCCTCTTCTCCCTCCCCTCTCCCCTCTCCTCTCGCCCCTCGCCTCTCTTTCCCTTTGCTTCTGATTAGGCAATTCTCTCCCTAGTCCTGTCCTTTTCTTCCTCAGGGACCCTAAGCCCACGTCCCACTTTTCTTTGTAATCTCGACCTCCCGGCCCCCGCGCGCCCTCTCTCGGTCCTAGCGCCCCTTTCTCCCCTCTCCTCCCCCACCTGCCTCTCCCCAGCTGGCTCTGAGTCGCGCTGGGACGACTGGCGAAGTTCACCCGGGACTCCAAAGCCCGGACACGTAGCAGCTCTGGGCTCTGCTCAGCAGCGGATGAGCTCACTGAATTTTGCGCACTTGATTGGCTACTTCGGGGCGCTGCGGCGGGAGACCCTGAAAAGATTCGCAAGGCCGGTTTCTTTGTCCCTCCGCCTCTTCAGGTTGGGCTAGGGACTTAGGCCATTGGGTATTTCTTGGAAATGGAATTCCAGTAACCAAGAAAGGAATAGGCAGACAGGTAGGGGTAAGGTAGGTGCCAAAGGGAGCATGGAATTGATTTAAAATTGTCTGCAGGGGGATGTAGGAAGTAAGTTTCTTGGTTTCCTTAGTTTTCCTTGCAATACCTCAAGAAAGGCGTTAGGAGCCACCTTATAGGAAGAGAGGTGAGGAGGTGACGCAGGCCCTGGAAAAGGGGTTTGTTGTCCCAGAGGAAGGAGCAGACTCAGTCATTTAGAGGGGCTAAGGGTAGAGTAGGGAAAAAAGATAATTTGAGTAGCCCATAGAAGGTAGCAATCTGGGAAGACATGGTACAACTTTCAGCCCTAACCATGATCTGTTTCTTCAATGGTGGGAGTCTCACATTGAAACAAATAGAGCTTTGTATTTAAAATCAGGCATTGAATTTCTAGTCTTCATCTCCTATTTGTATGACCCTGGGCGAGTCATTTCATTCTATTTCCACTCTGCAAAATAGGAATGATAATGTCCTTGTACTTATTTTACAGGTTTATTAAGAGGGTTACATGTGAAAGTATTTTCTAATTATTAAATGTGTAGTAATTTTAGTGAATCATATGGTGGAGCAGAAAGAATTCTGGATAAGGAATGAGAAATCTTTGGTGGTCTTTCATTTTTCTCTAGTGAACTTCACCAAGTCACTTTTAACCTTTAAGGGTTTCATTGTCCTCATCTGCGAAGTGGGAGAACTAGACTGGATGAACTCTTAAGATCTCTTTGGCACTAACATTCTATGACTGACTGATAAAAGTTAGCATCCTCCTTTAATTCACCCCTTCAGAGAAAAAGTCACTTCCTTTTTCAGAACTCTAGTTAATTTCGCCCCTTGGTAAGAACCCTACCTTCTCTTAGGTATCCTGGTGAACCTATTTTTCACAGGGACCTAGCCTTTCCCACATGCCCAGCAATGAAAGTAGAGCCCCACACTGTAGCAGGATACATGTAGGGCTCATGCTTGATGGAGATTCTCTCCCCAGGCTACTGGCAGGAGCAGGATTTGGAGCTGGGAACTCTGGCTCCACTCGACGAGGCCATCAGCTCCACAGTCTGGAGCAGCCCTGACATGCTGGCCAGTCAAGGTGAGAATCCAGGCCCCCTCATCTCAATGTCCCTCAGTTCCCTCACTCATCCTCACATCCTCTCCCACTCATGTTGCCTTCACCACATGTTCTCACTCCTCTCATTACCACACAGCACTTTCTCCTTTCCATCTGACATTTTAGTTCTTAGTCTGCACCACCAAATTCTGTTGCACCTACTCCTTCTTCCCTTACTCCAGTACAGAGACCTCTGTACACCCTACACTTCTTTCCAAAAATAAAATGATTCCAGGGGAATATATTACTCAGAATAAAGAGGTTCTGGGAAGACACAATCAGGTAGAATTCTTCAAAGGGAACCAGGGACAAAGGGATGACTGGTCAAAAATTGGCACGTGGCTATGGTAAATGAAAGGTTTCTCAAACCATTTGAGAGGTTTTAGGAATATATCACTTTCAGCTTTACTCAGCCAGCTCAGTCCATGGTACACTAATCTCAAAATCATAGTTTTAATGCTCAATTTAGATGATGACTTGAGAAGCATTTCAATGTAAAGGGCACCTTATTGAAAGACACAGGAACAGAGTTCTAGTTCTAACTCAGATTAGTACAGTGAGCTTAGGCAATCATTGCATCTCCATTGCCTCATTGCCTACATTTGTAAAATGAGGGATTCCATGATCCCAAAGATCTCACTCAGTTCTACTAATTTTTACAATTCTTAATGCTGAAACTAACCACCAGGCTTGTGCTCCAATTTGGGAACAGTCACCCTGAACAGTCGATGCTATCAGTCAATAGCATCAACTCCAGCACGCACATCTTCATTCCTCAGGGCCTCTGCTCTGCTGGGAGCACCCATTGGCTATTTCTTGGAAATGGAATTCCAGTAACCAAGAAAGGAATAAGCAGACAGGCAGGGGTAAGGTAGGTGCCAAAGGGAGCATGGAATTGTTTTAAAGTTCTCTACAGGGGAATGTAGGAAATAAGTTTCTTAGTTTCCTATTCAGACATAAGCAATGTTGGTGAAACAATTTAGTGTCAAAGAACAGATTTTTGTGGATGCATTAGAATCAGACCTGGAAGGTGTTGTCTATTTTAGATTTGTTCGGTGGGGATCAGTGCTACTGAGTCACAGAGAGTCAGTTCTGAAGATGAGGGAATCAGTACAGGAAATCAGAATCCATGCTGTGGGGAACAAGGAACAACAGGAATAGTGTCATGGAGCCTGAGGGGCTCCCCGGTAGGCGTGACCAGAAGGCACAGTTGAGATTTAAATGCCTCATCCATAAGATATCTTCCTAGTCCTTTTTGTTTTGTTTTGTTTTGTTTAACTTGACTAAGGAGAGAAGGATTAGAAAGCATGTTTTCATCACATTGAAGAGAAAACCTTAATCCTTCCCTCTTTAAAATGACAACATCAGGATGGTGATTTGGGTTGTGTGTTGGGAGGCGGGTAACACTAATACCACGGGGAATATGCTAAGGGCCTTGACTGAAGGGAAGTTATTGTTAGACGAATTGAAATGTATGTAAAAATGTTTCACTTTTTAAAATATTTTGTTTGTTTTGCAGTTTTCTACCAGCTACCTCTTGTGTAAATGAATGTGCAATCCAAGAGCTGGTTTAGCCTTTTCCCCATTTTAGTTTTAGGATTATTAGTCACAACTGCTTCTCCTGTTCTTGTTCTTATATGTAGGTGGTGGCAGGAAGGCCAAACGTAGAACAACAGATATGTCTGTGTGTTTTCAGAGGTAAATGGTAGAACCATATCAGAAAAGACACATGTGGAGTGGTATGTGCAGATTTGGGGTGCCTTTACTCCTCTAAATGTTCGTGGCCCTGTCAGTTCATTCAGGAAACATTTAACAAGTGACTATTTGTTTTTCTGTGTATTCAAAGTAAGTAAAACTAAGATCTGTCTTTCCCTCCACCGCCACCACCACCTCTTTTCCTTCCCCCATGAAACCTTACGGGTACACAGAGACCTTGTGTACACAAGGGCCTTGGATGGTCTGAACTAGATGAGGTGTACTTTGGCTCAGAAATGGGAGGAGGGGCTAGGGGTCCTCAGGAAACTAACACTCTTCTACTCCTGCAGACAGCCAGCCCTGGACATCTGATGAAACAGTGGTGGCTGGTGGCACCGTGGTGCTCAAGTGCCAAGTGAAAGATCACGAGGACTCATCCCTGCAATGGTCTAACCCTGCTCAGCAGACTCTCTACTTTGGGGAGAAGAGAGGTAGTATCTCATGAGTTATCTTTCTCCGTGAAAACCATGGGCTAGAGAAGGGGACTGCAGACACCGAGGGGAACTGTTCCTGTCATCCAGAGGCTGAGAAACATGGTGGTCTGCTGTTTGAGGATGTAACAAGCCATGAGTTCCCCAACTGGTTCCAGTATTGCAGCTCTGATTTACAGCATGCATAATCTTACAGGGTTCTGGAGTGACTTCACCCCACAGGAGGAACTCTAACAGGAAGCTGAAGTCAGTGTTGCCCTAGGTATCTGACAATGAAGCTCACGAAATCCAAACTATTTTCTGAGTAGCTCTTAGGCTACTATGTCTAATGACCCAGAAAAGTGATTGAATAACTTAAAGACTGCTTAAACTCAGGAGCAGTTATTTTTTCCCCACCCACCATACTAGACCCCTTCCCCCAAAGAAGCTGGCCTGGGATTGGAAGGTAAACATGAAAGGTGCCAGTAAAATCCTAGCTTTCCATTCTCTTGATTTCCCCAGCCCTTCGAGATAATCGAATTCAGCTGGTTACCTCTACGCCCCACGAGCTCAGCATCAGCATCAGCAATGTGGCCCTGGCAGACGAGGGCGAGTACACCTGCTCAATCTTCACTATGCCTGTGCGAACTGCCAAGTCCCTCGTCACTGTGCTAGGTGAGACTCCCAAACCCCAGTGTCTCTACAGCATGCTTCCTTGCAAACAAACCTCCCTAGATGGGTCCCTGAAGCAGCTGGGAGCCAGGCAAGTCTCCAAGCACTTTAGGAAAGTTCAGCCTGTGTTCCCCTGGCAATGGGATAAAATGTAAAAAGAAATGGGTTTTAATCCTTTGTGCTCTACTTGCTGTTTGATCTAGGACAAGGTTCTTACTCTCTTTGAGTCTGAATTTTCTCTTATAACAGAGAGATGATCATACCCCTTCTACTTACCTCCCAAGATGGTGTGAGGAAAACACAAGACATGCATGTGTTATAATTTCCAAAATAAGTACCCCAGTTGCTTACATGCTCTCATCTTCATCCTATATTTCATCCTATATTTCAACTTCCTTCTTTGCGTCTCTGAGACTCACACTATTTCTGTGGCCACCCAATTGTGCTGTAAGTGGAGGGTCATATATCATGCCTGTGCTATGGCATTGCTCCTCACTGCCATGCTGTCTCCCGCAGGCCTTCCTTTCTGGTCCTCAGGGAGGAGATCAAAAAGAAAGATGATTTATCTAGTCTTCTACCCATCAGAAATTATAGTAGAACCCAGGTACGCAGAGAAGCCATCTCCACAGGGAGAGCAGAAGTGTGACCCCATGGGGCCTCTCCTTCCTATCCTGGCCATCCCCTATCCATGGCAGGAATTCCACAGAAGCCCATCATCACTGGTTATAAATCTTCATTACGGGAAAAAGACACAGCCACCCTAAACTGTCAGTCTTCTGGGAGCAAGCCTGCAGCCCGGCTCACCTGGAGAAAGGGTGACCAAGAACTCCACGGTGAGTACCTCCTGCCTTGGGGTTACAGGAGAAAGTGGTGCTGGAAAGAGAGAGAAGTGCCTGTCTGTGAACGTACACAGGAGGCATGGTATGGAAGAGAAAAGGGGAATGACATATATTTTGTGTGCACTCAAGTGCCTATGTGTGTGTTGGGGCCTACATTCTCCCTGCCACAACTTTCTAAGTTTATCTAGGTTGAGACTCACCATCTGTACGTCTACAATGAGGCCCACATGATATCTGTATGTTAGGTTTACTCTGTGTCTCTCTCTGTGTGTTTGTGTGTGTGCCACTGTTTCTGCACTCTAGGAGAACCAACCCGCATACAGGAAGATCCCAATGGTAAAACCTTCACTGTCAGCAGCTCGGTGACATTCCAGGTTACCCGGGAGGATGATGGGGCGAGCATCGTGTGCTCTGTGAACCATGAATCTCTAAAGGGAGCTGACAGATCCACCTCTCAACGCATTGAAGTTTTATGTATGTCATGGGCTTGGGGATGAAGAAGGATGAGGTATGAGATGAGGACCAGGGAGAAAGAGAATGCAGGTGACTGTGCATGAAACAACACGCACAGTTAAGTGAATAGGTAAAAAATGAAACAAAGACTGCCAGGACTAGGCCAGGGTTGGCAAACTCTTTACAGAGGGCCCAGTAATGAATATTTTAGGCTTTGAGACCCATACAGCCTCTGTGTCAACTACTTAATTCTCCGTTGTTGTAGGGACGCAGTCATAGACAATATGTAAACAAACGAGCTGGGCTGTGTTCCAGTAAAACTTTATTTACAAAAGAATGCAGGTGGCAGGATTTGGTCCAAGGGGATACCAACCCGTGGTCTAGGCCAGTATAATGTAGCCAGGCTGCAAACTGTTGTCGTAACTGTGGTAACTCAGGATTCCCAGGAAGTAGTTTCTAGTCTGCACTCCACCACTTACTAGCTGTGTGATATTCAGAAGATTACTTTACCCCACTGAGCTTGATTCTATATTTGCTAAGTGAAAGAGATGAGCGTGGGGATCACTACAGTTTTATCTTGGTTTAACAATTTATGATTTCAAGAAAATATGGGTGGTAGGAAAGCACAGTTTCCCTGGCATCATTATTCCCAGATCTTTTCCTTACTGACTGCTCTTCTATTTGCCCCAGCTCCATGTATTTTCCTGGGATTCTGACCTGAAATGGCCACTGTCACTGTCATTACTCCTGGCCCTTCCCAGGACACTCACACCCTCTGTGGAATTTGCCTTTAGTATGGTTAGGACACTTCTGAGGAAGTTTGGAAACGGGAATTTCTCATCTGAGGAAATTCAGAAATTTGTAAAGAACAGCCTCTCTGGGTGGAGGAACCAAAGGGAAAAGAATCAGCTAAAGTCCAATGGGAGAAGTTAGAGTTAGGAAATGGTGTATTTCTTGTCCTAACTTACCTAAAAGTTGGGCAGTTTTCAAAATAACCAAAGCCCTTCATCCTCTTCTTGTGGAGTCGACCTAGGCCCAATTATTTTCCTAACTTCAGTGTTATTTAATCATATCTTAGACCCATTACTCAAACTTTAACCTGAGGTAGGTTTAGGGTGCATCACTATTCATTTGGCAGACTCAATCCACAGGCCGACAATCCGGACTCTAGCCGCAGTGCTGCCGCTTACTAGCTGTGCTCCTTTGGCCAAAGCATTTCATCTTTCTGTGGCTCCTGCTTACTTTGCTGAGTTATTGTGAGGATAAATAAAACAATGCATGTGAAAGAACTTTGTAAATGTCAAAGTTCTATATTCCTATAAGGTGCTTCTCTGATTATTAGTTCCTAGTGTGAGGCCCTGACCTGGAGCTTTTCCCCCCGCCCCTTGGTCCCTGGCCAGAGCTAAAGCCTTGGTCCCCTGCCTGAGCCCCAAAGACTCCTCTGTTAGATACCAGACCATCTGGCAGTTACTCGCCAGGGACCCTTTTAGCCCAACTGTGATCAGCAGTCAGTCAACAAATGCTATGCTCCAGGCACTGTGCTAGAGGTTTCTATGGCCATGGGGTCCCAGAACGCCTATTCTTTCACCTGGCCTGATTCTCTATGTCCCATTTGATTTGGCTGAAACACGTTCATTAACTGGTTGTTAAAGTTGGCTCTATCCTTAGGGGAAGCTCAGCCTCTTTATCTGTTGTTCTCGACCAGCATCTGGTTGTATTGTTCTGAGCGGCCATCTGGACCTAGCCTCCTAAGCAGCCCTTCGGCGTCAATGGCAGATGCCATTCTTCCTTCACAGAGCCCTTCTATATTGTGTCAGTGCCTTTTTGCAGCCAAAATATGACCCTGGTCTCTTGCTGTTTCAAAGCTCTCACTTCGTGTTTGCACTGACCATTCAAAATGATGTTTTGTGTTCAAGCATTGCTTCCAGTTCTAAGCTCCCTTGCAGAGCAGAGAGAACTGAGAAGTTGTGAGCTCAATATGTGACAAGTTCAACTTTATTTGTTCTGTAAAAAATATGTATTAGGTCTTTCCTATGTGCTAGGAGGTTTGCTAGGCACAGGTAAACCACTCATTTCCCTTCTCAGCTTTCTGTTAAGACATCTCTTAGGGCCCACCAAGGACAGACCTTCCAGAATCCTATCACACAAGGTTGCAAGAGAAGTTGCTCACATATTCAATAGCAATAATGGTCCTTGTTCATGAGAAGTAGGAGAAGGAAGGTCTTTGTTGCACTTCTTGAGCTGCGGAAACATTTAGAGGTAGAAGCTGTAGTGTGCAACTAAGTGAGGGAATCTCCTAAGCCGTGTGGGGAGGTATTCATTGATACCATTTCCTTCTCCACAGACACACCAACTGCGATGATTAGGCCAGACCCTCCCCATCCTCGTGAGGGCCAGAAGCTGTTGCTACACTGTGAGGGTCGCGGCAATCCAGTGTAAGAAGATCCATTTCCTGGTCTCCTCCTTACTCTCCACATTCTCAGATTGCCTTCTTCACATAACAGCTCCTTCCTATCTCCTCTGTATTGTCTGACCTGAGCCTCTCATTTCCCTGACTGTCCAATAATGTCCGCCTGCAATTAGTTCTTCTGCAAAGCAGCACAAATGGGAAGGGGCCACTCCCTAACTCAGTCCCTGAGTTTCCCACAAAGGCCAAGTTAAAGTAAGATACAAGTCTGGAGATCTACAGCTTCCCCAGAACGAACCCCAAGAGGCCACCTGGCGTATAGCAGCTCCAGTGTCTCTGGCCCCGATAATTTCTCCAGCCTCATCAAACAGTCCTTGACATCCCTGCTCCCAGTTATTTTTTTTTTTCTTTTAGCTCCCTGGCCTATGCTCTCCTGAGCTCTTCTGATTTGTCTGCCTCGACAGCCCCCAGCAGTACCTATGGGAGAAGGAGGGCAGTGTGCCACCCCTGAAGATGACCCAGGAGAGTGCCCTGATCTTCCCTTTCCTCAACAAGAGTGACAGTGGCACCTACGGCTGCACAGCCACCAGCAACATGGGCAGCTACAAGGCCTACTACACCCTCAATGTTAATGGTAAGCCCTCCTCAGTTCTCTTCCTCCAGAATCTCCTTTCTCTGTCCATCTTATTCCCTTTTTTAAAATGCTTCCTGATAACATCCCCAAACTGTGACGGGGAGTGGAGTAAAGGAAAACCAGCCCACCACTGGGGTCCCTGAGGGCTTAGGTCCCAGGTCCACTCTAGAATGTGTAATGGCCGCTTAGTGAAAAAACATTAGAAGGGTGGGCTCTCATCTGCCTTTCTTTGGTAGTGGTGGCCTGGGTGACACCATCTTCCATCCCCTGCACTTGTCTGACAACAAGAACAATAATTCTGTGTGCAGAGGCCCCAAAGCCTCTCAAGTGCAGGCGCAGGTGCATTTCCTTCTCTAACTGGCTCTTCTCAGAGTTGCTTCTCCTAAGACTAGGTATTGGGTGCATGCAACTGCTGTCATTTTTTTTTCTGCCCACCTTAAGCACAGTGTACTGGGTCTGGACAGAAAATAGAGAGAAGCTTGTACTATGCCAAGAGACAGAATCTTTTCTCAGATGCCATATCTTCTAGAAGGACCAGGTGATGCTCCTTCTCTGAAGTTCTTCTCAAAGCTGTGACCACAAAACCCAGCTTCAGGAGTAGTGACAGGGTGACACAGAGGCCCCTTTATGGAGAGTTGACGGGCGATTTTTTTGAAGATCCCAATGGCTGTGGGTCCCGCCAGAAAGTCTTATCTTTTCTCAGAATAGGGGAAATGCATTGTCGGGGAAACATCAGAGGCTCCCTTACTTGAGACACTCATTAAAACAGTTGAGGGGATAAGAGCCAGGCCTCCCAGCGATAAGAGGTCTGAGTTCTTGGGATCAGAATGTCTGGATGGGTGATTCCCACTCCAGGGGCAGACCTCAGCATGTGGGAGCTGCCTCAGCACAACAAGGCTATTGTAGGATGCCAAGAGCAAGGACAATGCACTGAGCTCCGGTCTCTGCCCCCAGATCTCTCCAGACCAATCTGATGATGATTGGCAGTGAGAGAAAGTTCTTGTGCCCTTGTGGTTGGTATCTTGCTGATCTCCCCTCTGCTTTGTGCTCAACAGCCAGGCAGAGGGAGTCCTGTTGGACTGCGTCTGTTTCCAGTGCTGACGCCTGGTGGTAGAAGGAGCTACTGCATCTTCTTCCAGGAATATCCTTAAGTGGGCGGGACTGGAACGAAATTAAATGCAGTTCTACCTAGAGACAGGGGCCTGTAATTGATGACCCCAGAGGTCGTTTGGCCATGGAAACCTGTGCTTTTCTAAGGAACTGCCATTTCCATAGCCTGTGGAATAAGTATCCAGGATTGATTTTCCATGTGGACTGTCTCGCATACTCCCTGAGAGAGAGACAGCAGGTAACTCACTCTGCTTCCTCCAAGTTACACCATCACCTCCACCCCAATCATATCATAGATTTCCTGGACTCATCCTCTCCCTTCCTCCCAAGCAGGGCATAAAAAACCAGAACACAAATGTTTTCTTTTCAAATAAGGTGTAGACAGGCAAGGAACTGAAACGCGGGCCCAGCCAAGCCTGAGGAGACATAAGGTAGGAAAGACAAAATATGTAAGGAGTCAATGAGGCATTAAGACTCAAGCTGAGTCCATGGAAAACAGCAGCTCTCCCATGGGTGGGAGAGTTATGTCTATGGCTACATCAGAACCGTGTGCTGGGCCCGTGCGAGTCCTCAGATATTTGGGACTCTGGCTGTGGCTGCTGATGTCTTTGCCACACCCGGCCCAGTCTGTGCTGTTGATCCTCTATACAGGTTGTCAATCCTCTACATAGGTTGCCAATCCTCTACCTAGGTTGCCATGGAGGACAGATGCTATATATTCAGTGGCAGAGACATCCACTAGCATGAGAGAAAGCATCTTTTCCTTTGCACAAACACTTTGAGGGTGGCAAAGTGAAGACGGAGTCCCAGGCCTCCTCCTTGGGAAAGACTAGAGGCTTGGGGTTTCACTGGAACACTAAACTCACCTGCCACAAAGGAACAGTGTTCTTTACATAGATGATAGATTGTGGCCCCTTACATCTATCATCTTTCGTAAGGTGCTGTCAAAGTGCCTAATTCTTGGCTCTATCAGGTTTTACTGTTCCTTCCCTATCTGATCTTAGGGCAGTGGGTGAATAGGCTGAGAAGGCCCTTAGAGCTAGGGGAGCTGGCTCAGAATATCAAGCAGACAGGAGGGTAAGAGGGAATGGGGACAGAGAAGGAACACTCTGATAACCCAGAAATTAAAAAGAAAAAGAGGGAGAAAAGAAAGAAGGAAACAGGGCAGGAGGAGAGAGGAAAGAAGGAAGAGAGGCAGGAAGAAGGAAGGAAAAGAAGAGGCGGAGGGAGGGAGGAAGGAAGGAAGGAAGGAAGGAAGAAATGGAGGGAGGGAGGGAAGGAAGGAGAGGCATTAAAGCAATGATCTTTGACCAAGGCCAAGCTTCAGTGCCAAGAACTCAACTTAGATGACTAGGTATGGGCAGATTTATTTATTCATTAATCCATCAATTTGTTTTAACAAATACTATAATACAGGTGTGGCGTATAAGCACAAGATAAGGCATGATGAATGACACTGCTCCATTTTCCTGATGTTAGTACCTGTTCCCTGCTGTGTAAGACTATTCATGGCCAAGTTGGAATGCTATAAGATAAGGGCTCTCCCCAGATCTGACTGTGTGTGTTGCCCTTTCTTCCAGACCCCAGTCCGGTGCCCTCCTCCTCCAGCACCTACCACGCCATCATCGGTGGGATCGTGGCTTTCATTGTCTTCCTGCTGCTCATCATGCTCATCTTCCTTGGCCACTACTTGATCCGGCACAAAGGTCAGAGGCACAAAGAGAGCATCAGCAGAACTTGGGAGGGGCAGGGAGACCAATCAGAGGCAGGCACGAGGAGAAGCAGACAGTGGAAAGGGCCTTCAGAGACTTGTCAGCCCTTTGGAGTGTTTAGGGAATTAAAAATGGAGCCAACCCTATCATTGCCAACCCTGTGATAACTGAGCACCACCAACCCCGCAGTAAAGCCTGATCACTTGGGGATCGTCCAAGTGAAATCAAACCTTCCCACTCAGTCAGCGGTTGCTCCCATGCTGCTCTACCTCCAGGTCTCCTGCTGCAAGACAGAGAGCTCCTGAAACTGCATCTCCATCTCATTGCTTCCTGCGCTTTCTTCCTTTCTGTCTGTTTAACCTCATTTTCTTTCTCCTTTGATCTCATTGCCTTTCTTTCCTCTCCCCCTTTTCTACCTTCTCTCTTATATCCATGCCTTCTCTCTACCCTCTTCTCACATTCCTTCCTCTCAGACTTCCTGCTCTGCTATTAATTCTAGCCAGCGGCCTGACTCCATAGGCTGGTCATACATAAGCCAGATCTCAATTGCTTTGCTCATGAAGCTGACATAGCAGATCCCCCGTCACCAAGTTGCGTGCACACGCATGCATACACACACACACGCATGCGTGCAAGCACACACACACACACACACACACACACACACACACACTTCTCTTTCTTGCTTTGTATTATAGATGAGATTCTACTTAGGGGTAGGATTCATTATTCATGAAGGGTGTGGTCAGGTGAGGCATGTTGGAAGCAAAATGCGAATTAGGTAAGGTGGAGTAGAAGAGAGCTATTGGCAAGAGAAAAATTACTTGAGCAGTGTGTGAGTGGGTGGGTGAGAAAGTGGGCAGGGTGGACTCAGAGGTTGGGAAGCTGCTCCTGAGAGGAGAAGCCTCTGTCTCTACACAGGAACCTACCTGACACATGAGGCAAAAGGCTCCGACGATGCTCCAGACGCGGACACGGCCATCATCAATGCAGAAGGCGGGCAGTCAGGAGGGGACGACAAGAAGGAATATTTCATCTAGAGGCGCCTGCCCACTTCCTGCGCCCCCCAGGGGCCCTGTGGGGACTGCTGGGGCCGTCACCAACCCGGACTTGTACAGAGCAACCGCAGGGCCGCCCCTCCCGCTTGCTCCCCAGCCCACCCACCCCCCTGTACAGAATGTCTGCTTTGGGTGCGGTTTTGTACTCGGTTTGGAATGGGGAGGGAGGAGGGCGGGGGGAGGGGAGGGTTGCCCTCAGCCCTTTCCGTGGCTTCTCTGCATTTGGGTTATTATTATTTTTGTAACAATCCCAAATCAAATCTGTCTCCAGGCTGGAGAGGCAGGAGCCCTGGGGTGAGAAAAGCAAAAAACAAACAAAAAACAAAACCCTGGAGTGTTAGGAGGAGAGTGAAGGTAGAGGGGTGAGGAAGGGTAAGGGGCAGGGCTGGTTTCAGCTGGGGGCTCTCACCAGCCCTCCTTTCAGCCTCTACAACAGAGCAGCTTCCCAGACTTCTCCAGGAACCCAGAAACGGGATGGTTGTCGGCAAAGGTTGGGAGTGGCTTTTCCTCTGGTAGCCACACACCTGAGCACTACGGACAGGGAGGCAGGTGCCACCTTGACACCTCTCTTCCATAGCAATGGGAAAGTGATGAGTGCGGGAGTCCTGAGGAGATGTGGCCTGCAGACAACATGCAGCCATGCAGGGACCCAGGACTGTAACCTGGGGAGGACGCGGGTCCCTGCAAGGAAGAGTAGATTTGGAGAGGAAGGATGGAGGTGGACTCTCACCCCATTCCCCCCGGAAATGAACAAAGCCGGGCCCTTTCCATAGGAACTGCCCTTGGAGATAGCAGAGTGTGGCTGCCCCTCCTTGCTCCAGCAGCAGTGGGAGAGGCACTGCTCTGGGGCCTGAACTGCCTCTGCTTCCCCCCCTGAGGGGCCCCTCACTCTTACCCAAGACTCTGGATTGTTGCACGGCAACCACTCCTCCCATGGCATTGCTCAGCAACTACTTCTCCCTTCCCGGCCACCCTGTGCCCCCTTCCTGGTCCCAACGCCAGCCCTTCATCCTTCCTCCCTCAGCAGCCAGGCAGACATAACAACAAAACTACTAAAAGGAGCTTCACTGCAGTGAGCTGTTTCCTGCCCAAACTAAGGGAATAATGTGAACTGTGTGCATGTGTGTGGTGTGTATGCATGTGTGCATGTGTGTGTGTGTGTGTGCATGTGTGTGAGTGAGTGAGAGGCAGAGCGAGGAACTGAGGAGGAGGGCTAAGAGCCAGGGGTCCTGGGCAAGTGGACAGGGCTGTGGGACATGTTGGGGAGGCTTTGGGAATGGGGTATTCCTAGTCAGGGTTCACACCTCACCTGGGATGTTGTTCCATGCTGGTATTTCCTCTGCCACCCCCAATGCCCATCGGTCTTGGAGAAAGGAGTCCCCGGGTGTGTGTTTGCCCAGCTGTCCATTCTATCTCTCCCTTAAACACAGAGCATTCAGCCCTTCCCTGGATTTCCCTCCTCTGAGCCATGGAGTCAGTGCCACAGCCTTTGCTATGCACCTCTCAGGCCTCTCCTTGGCGTTGACCCTGGAAAGACCTACCACCACCTATTTTTTCCCATAGTCTGTACCCAGTGAGTTGAAGGCTGGGTCCCCACCCTTCCTTTTGATTTCCTGTCTTCCTTCTCGTGGCCCCAGCTGGTTGCTGTGGAGATGAGGTTCCTGGTCCTCCCTGTCCTGGCTGGACTGCCCCGCCTCAGATCCAGGATGCCCTTGGCATCGCTCCCACCCTCCCCCAGCTTTTCCTCCCTGGTCTGACAATGGGCATGCAAAAAGGGGCAGCTGCAATCTAGCAGGCCTGCCCACCCCCTTCAGTTCAGGTAATACAGTTGTGAATCTTCCAGCCGCTGGTTAGGGCCTTGGGCACCACAGGCAGCCCCTCACCTAAGCCGGGGCCTACTCCTCTTACAACAGCAAGAGAGCCCTGGGGCCCCAGGCCTGTTGAGCTTCTTGTCTCCCAGCACCCGCTTTTGGGAAAATGACTTTTCCTCTTCAAGCTGAACCACTCTGTCCATATTACACAGAAGCCATATTTGTACGGGGGGGTGGGAGGGAGAGGGGCTGTTGTGCTGTGTGTGTCTGTCCAGGGGTGGGGGGGTGGGGGAAGGGAGCAGGGAGGGGACCGTGTATCTTTATAATCTTTCTAACTCTCCTGTGCTAATCTCAGAGGGGTCACCCTCAATATATCTGGATTATCCGTGTCATTCAGCTGCCTCCTTTCTGGTCCTCTTGCTGCTGCTGGGATGTGTGTATGTGAGGGTCTTCTTCCCATACCCCTTGCACCTGGTGCCTGGTGCCTCAAAAGGTGGTGTGTCCCTTGCCAGGCCACTCTCAAGAATATCTATGTACAGCAACAATATAACTCTACAAGGGAGAGAAGTGTGTTCACTTCCTTTTGCTAAGCCCTTCCTTTCCAGAGAGTGTCTTGGGGGGCATCTGACTGCTTCCCCCCACCCTCTGCCAGGCATTGCTGGAGAATGTTAAGACGGCGATGGAGATGCCATCAACCCCACCCTGCAGAGCATCACCAGACACCACCAGACCAAATTCACTTTCCAGCCCCTTCATGTTGAACCTGAAACTTGAGCTAGTGTCTTGGGAGAAAAGGGGGAAATCTCTACGAGGTACCCATCCTTCTGCACCTTAGGTCTGAGGTGCTTGGCCCCCTAGGAAGCCCTACATGAATGGGACAGAAGGTCCTTAACAACACTGGAGATGAAGCAGCCGATGCTGTTTTGGACAAATGAAACAGCGTCCCCTAACCAGCCCTTTCTATCTCATTGTTCTGACTTGGACACGCCATGGCTCACCGCTCCCAAAGTCCCCACTATGTCTCCCTAGCTGAGGAAATAAAAGCAGAGAGGGGTGATGAAACAGTGACGATCCTGGGGAAACAGCTGAGGAGGGGAGGGAGGGGGAAGAAGCCACTAAAAAAGTGAAATGTGCTTGGGAGAATCGGCCTGCCTGCAGGGTAGATGCCCTTTCTCTCTGCTGGCCAGCTCTGCCCCTCAGTGAGAAACTTTACATATTGCTAAGATGCCTGGCCAATGAAACAGTTCCAGAGACTTTATGTCCCCCAGTAGAAATATGAATAGAAATCACCCTGTGGGCAATGGTCCCATTTTAAAATATGCTGTCCCATTGTCCCCTAGAGCCTACTTTAACTTGTCAGACCATGTATTCCACTTCATATGCAAGAGGCATGCACTGAGCCCATAGGTGGCTAGGCAAACACCCAATAGCTCCCTGAAATGGCTTCATTATGCAGCCTCGACAGCCACCCCAACCCTCCCACTCTCACACTGAAACACCCAGACCTAGAGATAGCTAGACACACCCAGACACCCGCCAAGCCCCTCACATACAGATATGTGCACAATGATACACAGCAAACGTACACAGAGTTCAGTACACACAAAGAGCTCACGCCCACGTGCACACACCCCTCAGTTGGGACAGAGTTGACCACCACCACCTTTCTCCCAAACACATGGCTTTTGAACTGCCTTTCCTTGGATCCAGTTCAAGGGGATGGAGGAGCAGTGAGAGTCAGCCGCCCTTCCACTCCAATTTCCCAGCACCTCCCTTATCTCTGCCTCACAAGTCACCCAGCCCCCCTCTCTTCCTTCCTTGTGCTTGAAGAATCTCTCCTTGCTGGAAAGCCCCCTGTTTTCTCAATCTCCCTTTCCACTTCGGTAAAATCTCTACTTGCTGGAAAGCCCCCTGTTTTCTCAATCTCCCTTTCCACTTCGGTAAAATGCCCACTTTCTGGTCCCCACCTTTTTCCTGAGTGTAGTCCCAACCAGCCAAATCCAACCTCAAAACAGGAAGACCCAAGGCCAGTGACCCCCATAGGCCTGAGGCTTGTGCAGGCAGTGGGCGTGGGGTAAGGCTTCCTGATGCCCCCTGTCCCTGCCCAGAACCTGATGGCCCTCATTAGTCCTTGGCTCTTATCTTGGAAGCACAGGCGCTGACAGCCGTCCCAGCCCTTCTGTCTGCGGGCCTGAACCAAACGGTGCCATGGGGAACTGTCTGCACAGGGTGAGTATGGGGCCAGGCCCCAGAGTCCCTTATCCCTATGCCCCTCATTTCCCCTGCTGTTTGCCCCTCAGTCTTTATATCTCTTCCTTTTCCTCCTCATCTTTTCTCCCTTCCTGCTTTTTTCCTCTTCCTTCAAAGTCTTTTTCCTTCTCTCCTTCCTATGCTAGCCTCCTAGCTCCCTCTTGTGTCCCTCCCTTTGCCTTTGAGTCAGTTCCATCCTGGTCTCTTGGTGCCTTTTCCTTCTGACCTTGCACTGCTCCTCCAGCCCCAGCTGCCCTGGCTTCCCCAGGACTGTTCCTGCTCCGGCTCTTCAGGCTCCCTGCTTTGTCCTTTTCCACTGTCCGCACTGCATCTGACTCCTGCAGAGACCTTGTTCTCCCACCCGACCTTCCTCTCTGTCCTCCCCTCCCACCTGCCCCTCAATTCCCAGGAGACTCTTCCGGTGTAACTCTGATGGCCTCCTCTGGGTATGTCCTCCAGGCGGAGCTCTCCCCCTCAACTGAGAACTCAAGTCAGCTGGACTTCGAAGATGTATGGAATTCTTCCTATGGTGTGAATGATTCCTTCCCAGATGGAGACTATGGTGCCAACCTGGAAGCAGCTGCCCCCTGCCACTCCTGTAACCTGCTGGATGACTCTGCACTGCCCTTCTTCATCCTCACCAGTGTCCTGGGTATCCTAGCTAGCAGCACTGTCCTCTTCATGCTTTTCAGACCTCTCTTCCGCTGGCAGCTCTGCCCTGGCTGGCCTGTCCTGGCACAGCTGGCTGTGGGCAGTGCCCTCTTCAGCATTGTGGTGCCCGTCTTGGCCCCAGGGCTAGGTAGCACTCGCAGCTCTGCCCTGTGTAGCCTGGGCTACTGTGTCTGGTATGGCTCAGCCTTTGCCCAGGCTTTGCTGCTAGGGTGCCATGCCTCCCTGGGCCACAGACTGGGTGCAGGCCAGGTCCCAGGCCTCACCCTGGGGCTCACTGTGGGAATTTGGGGAGTGGCTGCCCTACTGACACTGCCTGTCACCCTGGCCAGTGGTGCTTCTGGTGGACTCTGCACCCTGATATACAGCACGGAGCTGAAGGCTTTGCAGGCCACACACACTGTAGCCTGTCTTGCCATCTTTGTCTTGTTGCCATTGGGTTTGTTTGGAGCCAAGGGGCTGAAGAAGGCATTGGGTATGGGGCCAGGCCCCTGGATGAATATCCTGTGGGCCTGGTTTATTTTCTGGTGGCCTCATGGGGTGGTTCTAGGACTGGATTTCCTGGTGAGGTCCAAGCTGTTGCTGTTGTCAACATGTCTGGCCCAGCAGGCTCTGGACCTGCTGCTGAACCTGGCAGAAGCCCTGGCAATTTTGCACTGTGTGGCTACGCCCCTGCTCCTCGCCCTATTCTGCCACCAGGCCACCCGCACCCTCTTGCCCTCTCTGCCCCTCCCTGAAGGATGGTCTTCTCATCTGGACACCCTTGGAAGCAAATCCTAGTTCTCTTCCCACCTGTCAACCTGAATTAAAGTCTACACTGCCTTTGTGAAGCGGGTGGTTTCTTATTTTGTCTGGGGAGAAGAAGGAGAATGGAGAGAGAGACATTTTTATGTCAGACTTTCTTGCCAGTGTCTGCTTCTATAGCTGGCTTGGGAAGAAGGTGAATGATGAATAAATACCCTCAGGGTACACAGATGTTCTCTTGAGGTGTGGGGTCACGGCCATCTCAAGGGAGAAGAGAAGAGGAACCAGAGCATGAGGGGAGTCATTAAACCAAAAAAAACAGAAGGGATGGCTTAGCTGGAAAAAAAGCTGTTCTGGGAAGCAAATGGAATAGGAACTCAAACTGAGAGATAAACAGTGAAGAGTGATGACAAAGCCCAGAGCAATACCACCTCCCCCTGTCCAACCTGCCCAGCCTCTGTCTTCTGTCTCCTCTCTGGCTTTGTTTAGTGATTAGGACAGTGGTGGGGAAGGTGAAAGAAGCATCCCAGGGGATGTTACTCAGTTCAGGGAACATATCAAGGTAATTTAAAAAGCCACTTCCTGGGAGTCATCTCTCCCAGGTTCCTCAGCATGACCTGAATGTGCGTGCGTGTGTGTGTGTGTGTGTGTGTACACATCTGTTTCTCGATCTGTTAGAATCTACCTTTATGTTAGATGTATGCATGTAAAAACATATGTCCACCCATGAGCTTGCATCTCTGTCAGCACCTGAACTGCGCACACCTGTGCGTGTGCACTGACTTTTCTCAGGACCCAAACCCCCACTCAATTCTGCACTCATCCCTGTTCACAGGATATAGAATCGGGATTTATGACTCACTCCTTACCCAAATGAGTTTTCTTTACCCTGGTTTTTAAGCCTAGTCTTTTCTGTGTAGGATGTGTGGAGGGAAGAAAAGATCAAGAAGTTGTGAAGGGTGGAGAAACTTGAAGGGGGAGGCCCTGATTTGATTCATCTTCTGCTTGGAATTCCCCGAATTTCCCTTTCAGAATCTCAGCTTTTGAAATAAACCTTTATTTCCCACATACATCTTTCCTTCCACCTTCCACACAATACCCCAATCCCCTGGGCACCTTTTTCCCAACCCCTGATTCTCTGGCTGCTTAATCATGACCTTTGAGATTTTTCTCAGTCTCTACCTACCCAAGTTTAGATGGCTGGAAGGACAGAAACCCCTCCTCATCAGGGGCACAGCTTTTACCACCAAGAGCAAATTCACCCTCTACCCAAGAGGCTACAAAACAGTTAGTTCCTACCTCTAACCCAACTAAAGGCTGGGGAAACTTGAGCAGATACGTTCTATCAGTTTGAACCCAATTACCATCTTACCATTTTCCAAAGATATGCTATACCTGGTTTCTTTACTAAAATGTTTCTGCTTGACTCTCTGGGCTTGGGAATAGTAGGCGAGTGCGGGAGAGGTGCAGAGATGAGTTAGAATAGCTTAGGCAGGAGGGTGCAAAAGGCTTAGGGAATTTTCCTGGGTGGGTGCCACGACAAGGCCTCTAAATCTCCCACCTCCTGTCTCTTAGCAACCACCAGGTTAGCTCCTGATTGGTTCGTCCTCAATTGAAAGGCGGGATTTAGGGACCGATTGAGACGCGGGAGACATTCTGAAACAGAAAGGAAGGGAGAGAAAATGAAGAGAAAGGAAATAATTTACAAACCTAAATTATGCTCTGGTTTCCAACCACAGTTCATGAATGTGTTCTAGTATTTTTTCCCCCGCTTTTTTTTTTCCAGGCTTCTCTCAATATCCCCCTCCCGTCCTTGACCACTCTTGCAATTCTACCAGATGTTGCTGTCCTCCCTTACAAGGTACTGATTTGGAAGCTGACCTAGTTGAGGGGGAGGAGAGGGCGTTTTTGACTCCCTGAATCTTCCAGTGTCAACCTGATGCAAGGGAGGCTTAATTTAAGACCAGTAGGCTTGTCTTATCTGCCCCCAACCCTGTGCCTCTGGATAGAAATCCCTGGTCAGTCAGTCCAGTTAGAGAGAACCCCAGACTCCTGGGTAATAGCTTGGCAGCTCTCATGGCTTTCACAAGGGAAAGGCAGCTGCAGAAGCCCGAAGCTGCTAAGAGGTTAGGGTGGGCTGGAGACAGTGCCCTACCCCCGCCCCCTGCTACATCCTCCTCATCCCCACCCCCACCGGGATTGCTCCAGGCCTTTTGGGCTGCCCTTTCCCTGCCATTACCTAGGCAGCACTTGGAGAGCTCCTCCTTAAGTCTAACCCGGACCTCAGTCATTTCTTTAAAGCTTTCTTGGGGACCTGCCACCCCATGCATTTAACCCACTGCATGCCATCAACCACTCTAAAATTGGTCTGAGTCTGGCATCTTTTCTGCAACCCTTCAGGAATACAAATCCTGTCTCCTTAAAGCCCTTAAGAATTTAATCTTAGGGTTGGCAGGGACTTTAGCTGTGTATGAGATATTGGGCATCCTAGCTAAAGAAAAAAATCCTCTCAGAAAGATGAGAGCCAGGGAAGCAAGCTCTTGGGAAAACACAGGACCCTGAGGAAGGTCAGTTTGCTTTGCTTTCTAAAGGAGAGAGATCTATTATTCAAGGGAAGTTTGAACATCACATTGACGCTCATAGTTCATTTATTCCAAGCTGAGGCCCCTCCCTTAGGATTTAGAAAACAAATACTTGGTCCTCACACCCTTTTTCCATTCCTATTTCCCTATCCCCCAACCCCATCACCACCTTCCTCCCTCAGAGGAATTCTGATTGAGAACTTCACTGGGATTTCAAACCCAATTCATCGCCAACTCTAATTGCCAGAGATTTGCATGAAAACCATCGTATGCTATCTAATTATTCTGACAACAGCAGCCCGCCGTCTGGGCACAAGGAGAATCGGAGTTTTAATTAACAATAATGCACCTTGCTGACGAATGCGACTGTTTAGGTTAATTAACAAGTCCAAGTCCTTCCAAATCATCTCTAGACATCTAGGTGATTTGGGCAGGAAGGGTGTGGGGAACACAGGGAGGGATGGGGAGTGTTTAAGCATCATTTCTGCAAAAATGCACGTTAGCTTTCTTCTTTCCTGTAACTATTTGGTGAAGGGAAGAGAAACTCTCTAAGAGACTGGCTCTGGAAAATTGGTTGGGGGATTTTGAGAACATCTTCTTTTTTTTTTTTTTTTTTTGAGACAGAGTCTCACTCTGTTGCCCAGGCTGGAGTGTAGTGGTGCAATCTTGGCTCACTGCAACCTCCGCCTCCCAGGTTCAAGTGATTCTCCTGCCTCAGCCTCCTGAGTAGCTGGGATTACAGGTGTGCACCACCACGCCAGGCTAATTTTTTGTATTTTTAGTAGAGACGGGGGGGTCTCACCAGTTTGGCCAGCCTGGTCTCGAACTCTGACTTCAGGTGATCCACCTGCCTCAGCCTCCCAAAGTGCTGGGATCACAGGCGTGAGCCACCGCGCCCGGCGGGAACATCATTTTAAGGGGATGTATCAGACATCTTTATGTTGCACTTAGATTTAGGAAATCTTTTGGATACATTTTTATAAATGAGAAGATTAAGTTCTTATAGCTCTCTAGTATCTCAAAATCATTGCCTGATTGTTTGCAAACTTGGTTTCTAGCATGAAAGTCTCAACTTCCCCATCAATGCCATTTGTCCTCAGCTTTCTCTATATGTTCCTACCACATCTGTGGTCATTTAAAGTTGCCTACTGCTTGTGAACCCGGGAGGTGGAGCTTGCAGTAAGCCGAGATCGCGCCACTGCACTCCAGCCTGAGCGACAGAGTGAGACTCCATCTCAAAAAAAAAAAAAAAAAAAGTTGCCTACTGCCTTTGGTTTCCCAGATAACGTGTCAAGTTTCACCCTTGCCCTCTTCAAAGATAACTGTATTTTTTTTTCCTGGGTAGTTCTCCGTATCATGCAAAAATACATTGTATGTAGCTCCAAACTGTACCTTTCATCTTTCTAGTCTTTCTAAGAGCATGGACCTAGTCTTTTTCCTCTAAATAGGGTATTGCTAATGTTTACGGGATAGGAGGAGGGTTATAGGCCTCTTAGAAAATCCAGTGATAGTAATAAACTTACTCTTTACAAAAATCCAATATTATACCCTAAATTTGGCATCTAGTTCTTCGCTACTGCATTTAAGTTAATCCTGAGTGTTTCTGTACCCTCTGACAGCACTTCCACGATTAGCTGGTGGCCTTGTCTCCCCACAGCTCAAGAAGCTTTATGCTCACGGGTGAATTTTGTTCTTTGAAGGAGCAAATCTGTTTTCCACTCTAAGAGTCTTTGCACTTGATATCTCTTCTGCCCCAAAAGCTCCTTCCTGTGCTCTTTATATGACCAACAACTTCTCGTCCTTGGGGTCTCTGTGCAAATATCACCTCCCTCAAGAGTGACCTTCCCTGACATCCAGTGGAATGTAGCCTGGCCATGCCACACCCAATTATTCTCTACCAGTTCACCTCGGATGTTTCCACTGTAGCATTTATCACATGTTAAAATTTTATTTATTCGTTTATTTGCTTATCAGTTTACTGCTCGTCTACCTCCTCCCTCCAACACTAGAAAAGAAACTTCAACCATGCAAGAGTCCTTTCGCTGACTGGCACATGATCAGAGCTCAGGAAACATCTACTAAATACCCAAGTTAATTTCATGAATAAAGATTCATTGGCCACACTGGAACATTCACAGTCCAGAGAGGGAAGAGGAACAAGTAAGCAAATAATTGATGCAGAAAACTGACCTCTTCTCCCTAAGTCCTCCAGAGCCTCTCCCATGTCATTCCAGTGTCTGGGGGCTGAAGAGGCTGGAGAATCTTCTGTAGATTTCCGGCCTGTGAACCTGTTTTTTTGTGTCAATTCATGGCTGACTGGAGCTGAGGACTTCACCACAGTTCCTGAACCACGCATTAAAGAAACAATGCTTCCTTTCCTTTGGGATACTGCCGGGTTTTTGGCCAGCAGGGGAAAACTGGGAAAGGTTGTCATTTTTCATCTTTGCTTGAGGAAAAGTGAGTCACTGAGACTCCCCCAGAGTTCTGGGAGACAAAGTCCTTCACTGGCTCGGAATCAAATTCATAGTCCAGCCACCTCCTCAGATTGCATCATTCTCAGGGAGAGCCCACTACCCCCCTTGGACCGAAAAGTCACCATGCTGATTTTTTTTTTCTTCGGTCTTCTCTCCTTCCTTTTAGTTTCAACTTAGCTCCCCTTCCAACCCTACCCCTTCCCCACCTGTGAACGCTGGTTCCTACTCTCACCTTCTGGCCTCTGTCGCCCCCCTGTGGCAATTGATGTCTCTGCAGTTTTGGGAACAGGATCGCCCTTTAAGGCACTTAGGGGTGTATAATTAATTTCATTTAAAGAATTTGTTGAGTATCCACTACATTCAAGATGCTAGTGAAAGTACTGGAATACTTGGAAATGAATCATACACAATTATTGGCATCAGAATCTCTCTGGGCCCACCTGGTCCCCCATCCCCTTCCTTCCTTCCTTCCTTCCTCGTTTCTCAAAATTTCCCAGTCCTCTCCCAAACAACCTTGAACAAATTTGGATCCCAGAACACATAGAAGATCCACAAATCCCTCAGTCACCTAGACTTCTCAGAGCAAACTTCTATTTCACAGTCAAAGGTCCGTAGCAAATCGCACAGCCTCTAGTCAGTGAGTGTTCCTGTCTCAGTGTCATGTTCAGAAGTGTTCCTTACATGCAGACACACAGAAGATACAAGAGCAAGAAGCTCTTGCCCTTTCACACTCCTCCAGGGTGGTTGCGGTGGATTCTGGAAGCCAACGCACTGAAAGACAATTGCCCAGAGTAGAGGGAATGGGTGTGGAGCCTTGGAGAAGAAAGTTCTTTACAAATTAGTTGGCCCTTTCCTGTCTGTGACCTGATGAAGAGGGGAGGAAGAAGTGGACTGTCTGTGCGATCTGCCTGGATGCTTCCAAAAACACGACCATGCTTCTCCTCCTCCCATCATCTCCCTCAAGCCCCAGAACAGGGTTGTTCCCTTCACATACTGGGTTGATTGACGGGGGACTTCCATGGAATGCTTTGGGGAATGTGACAAGAGCAAGTGAAGGGAAGGTCACTGGGATAGCAAACATATGCAGAAATTAAATAAAGTATTATAGGGATTATGCAAAACCTGCGTTTAAAAATCAATTGCACAAAAACAGGATGGAAGATACCTGGCTCAACAGAAGTTCTTGTAAAAAAAAATTTTTAAAGACTTAGAGGTTTCACTTGGCTACAAGCTAAAGATGATTCAATAGTGCATGTGGTAGCCAAAACACTAATGCAGACTCAACTGCATTAAGAGACAAAGTGTACAGGACGAGGGAGTGCACAGCACCACCCCTGCCCTGGACAGGCCATAGTTAGAATAGAGGGCTTGGCTCTGGGTACTGCATGTTTAAAGGCCACTAACAAATGAGAGTTCTTAAAAAGGGGGTGGCCAGGCTGGGTGCAGCTGCCACGCTTATAATCGTAACATTCTGGAAGGCTGAGGTGGGCAGATTGCTTAAGCCCAGGAGTTCCAGAGCAGTCTGGTCAACAGGATTAAACCCCATCTGAAAACACACACACACACACACACACACACACACACACACACACACACACAAATAATACAAAAATTAGCTGGGCATGGCGGTGTGTGCCCGCAGTCCCAACTACACAGGGGGCTGAGGTGGGAGGATCCCTGGATTCTGGGAGGTCGAGGCTGCAGTGAGCCGTGATCGTGTCACTGCACTCCAGCCTGGGCGACAGAGTGAGACCTTGTCTGGGAAAAAAAAAAAAAAAAGTGAAGACAAGGCAGAGGGAGCTAGTGGCCAAAATGTTGACAATCTAGAGACCATGTTACTTCTACATGGAGAGACTAAAGGTGCAAGGGGGTCAGGGGTGGGGGAGATTTACACTGGAAATGTGTAGAAAATATATAGTTGTCTTTAACTCAACAGTTGTGCTGTTCAAAAAGCATTAGGCATGTATGTAGCTTCAGAATTAGAAACACTGAATGAGAAGAAGTAACAGGGAGGCTGGTTTTGGCTGAATGTTAGGAAGAGCTTTTGACAATTCAATCTGAGCCACAGAGATGGCTGTCACATTCTGGAGGGAGGGAGGGAAGAAGTGGAGGGAGGAAGGAAATGTGTATGAGCAGACCGTGTGTTATGCACTGCTCTGTGTTCTTGTTTTACAGTGGTGAGCATATCAGATGTGGGCCTTGCCTTTGTGGTGTTTGGAGACTAAAGTGAAAGGCAGTAATTAGACACATAAACACACAAATAAATTACAAATGCTGTTATGAGATAACAGCATTTAAGAGAAATGCAAATAAAAAAATTTTCATCTCTGGTGCAAATAAGAGAAAGAAAATAAGAAGGTAAAAGCAATTTGAGTTATGAGTTCATAGCTACAGAAAGGATCCAAGCTGTGGCTTGACGGTAATAAATTATCAAAATGTCACAGAAAGCATTCCCTGAATTGGGTTAAAGCTGGGACCAGTCCAGCTGCTTTCTTTCAAATTGGCAATACATTGGAATCACCTAGAGGAAGATTTTCAATAGTCCTTGATCTAATCCAAGATACCATTAATCATAATTTTTGGAACTAGAAGACTCTGAAACTCTGTGATAATATGTTAAGTGAAAGAACTAGACTAAAATGCATAATCTTTGATTCTGGTGTCTGGGTTTCACTTGTGATGACTTTAATCTCTTTGCTTGCGTTATGGAACTAAATTCCTCTGATTCAGAGCTAGGATACCTTTTCTCTTCAGGAGACCAAACAACGAAGGGATTCCTAGCCAGATATGCACCTGACCTGAATTTTTCCAAGAGGTGGGTACCATTCCAGGCACTAGCTGCTGCAGAGAAATTGTAGCTGGTGCCTGGGGTCCCTCTAGTGGTCAGAAGCTGTCACTTCAATTCGCTTCTCTGGCCCAGGTTTGGCCAGAGAATTAGAGGGATGCAGGAGTCCCGCAAAAAGCAGGCAAAGAAACCTAAATACATGTATATTTCAGAAGGTTCTTCTTTATAATTAACACTAAAAATAGAGGTGACATAACTCACGAATTTCTTTCCAAATTTTTCCTGACCCTTTTTACCTTGTCTTGGCTAATTTAAATTTAGAGAAAGAAGGGAGTTGAGAGAGATACAACTTTTAGAAACCAGAGTAGACAGCTCCCCAGGATACCAGGCCATCAGTTAGGTATTCCAAGTTTCATTTTCATTCCCTGGCAAAATGCAAAACATATCAGAGTTGGGTGGTCAGATAGAGCACTGGGTTGAGTAGGGAGACATGAGTTGTGCATTCTGAGCCGTAGCACTTCGCAGCTTTCTAAGTTTCTAAGAGAAAAAGCAGGTAATGACACCTTCCTTGCCTGGCTCACAGGTCTGATGTAAAGATTAAATGGGATGACTGACAGATGTGGAAGCTCTGAAATCAGTTACAGCTGGGAGGAAATACACTGCAATTAGTATTAAAGAAGAGTTTGCCCTGCAGGCAATTCGAAAAATGTCCATTGCCTTTTGGGGTCACTTCACCCTAAACACAAGTTCTTACAAAGGCAGGAGCACATGGGAGCTGGACTGCTAGGAGTTAGCCTTCCAGCTCTGTCTTTGGGTGTGTTCTCAGCCCTGTGACCAAAGGACTCACGGAATCTGCCTAAAACAGTGTTTCACAGGGACCTCTAAGGAAGAATTCCCTTACAACAGGGGTCAACAGGGGGCAAGGGAAGGGAGCAGGTGATAGTAGTGATGGTAATGGGAGCTGTTGGTGGGTATTTTAATGGCATTTGGGCTGGCTTTTCTGCATTATAGTATTGTTTAGAGAAGGGCTTAAAATGCTCTTGAATTGCCACAAAATCTTTGATCATACTTAACCTTATACAGGGACCCTCAAATGACCACATTGCAACTTTTCTCACAACCCTCTCCTGTGGGTTATGTTCCTTGGTGTCCTTTGGAAGCTCCTTGTTGTGGGAAGGTGGAGCGGTTGGGAGAACTCATCTGCTTATCAGCCACGGAGCTCCCCCAACTCATTGGAAATACATTAACATCACGTCATCTACTAATGCCATTCAAGTTGTGGGCTATGGATCAATATTGGCATCACTGGGGAGCTTGTAGGAAATGCAGACTTTCAAGTTCCATCCCAGATCTGCTGCTGAATCAGAAGCCGCACTTTCACAACATCCTAAGTGATTCGTTTGCACACTGCAGTTTAAGAAGCACCCCACATTTTGTTGGATATTCAAAAAAATGAGAACCTGACTTTAGGGTCTCCTCTCTCCCACCCTACCACTACCTCCAGCAGTCTCCTTGTCTTCCAGATTCCACCTTAAAATTCAGGAATCACCATGCACTGAGGACAGCCCTGCACAAACATCTAGTTCCCATGCTTTAGGAAAAGTGACAAAAACCCACACCGCCTTCCTTTCCCAGGCTCCCTCTGCCCCAGAAAAATAGAACTTCCTCAAATCTTCCCCCAAGGCCGGGTGCAGTGGCTCACACCTGTAATCCCAGCACTTTGGGAGGCTGAAGCAGGAGGATCACCTGAGGTCAGGAGTTCAAGACCAGCCTGGCCGACATGGTGAAACCCCATCTCTACAAAAGTACAAAAATTAGCTGAGCGTGGGGTGGTGCCTGTAGCCCCAGCTACTCGGGAGGCTGAGGGAGGAGAATCGCTTGAACCTGGGAGGCAGAGGTTACAGTGAGCTGGGATTGCGCCACTGCACTCCAGCCTGGGTAACAGAGAGAGACTCTTCTTAAAATAAATAAATAAATAAATCTTCCCCTAAATGGCACAGGTCTGAGCGCTGTGTGGTAATGGGGGACACAACCTTTCTACCTGTCTTTCTTTCTCCTCCTCTGGGTGGGAGGGGCCTCTGGAAAGAAAGGTGACTGTGGGGAGCCATCACTATGTCAGGTGTGATGCAAAAGTAAGGTCAGAAGTGAGTGCTGAGGGGTGCCAAAGAGCTGGGCATAGGATGGAGGAATGTGCCCCTGGAAGGTAGCAGAGAGACCACACAGAGTCACGAGGCATGTGGGGTCTCAGGCTGTGCACCCCCAGACAACAGGACAAGTGGGCACACTCACATGCACATGTGTACACAGCCACGCATGGTCTACTGCTTCTGGACTCTGTGTCCAGGTACACATCGCAGAAGGCAGGTGGAGGCCATGCCACCCCATTCCCAGTGGCCAGACCTTGTCTGTGCTCAGTGGCACAGACACCTTATAGCCCAATCCCCACACTCTGTACACACTCTGCTGATGCCTGAAATGACTGCGACGAGAGATCTCTCTCCTTGGCAAACATTGTCCGCTCTCTGTGCTCCTCTTTTAACACAGACATTTCTCCAAGAGGGGCAATGGATTAAATAACAGACACTACTTGTAAGTTAATGAATCAGAAATGTTGCCGCAGGGAGGGTCGAGGGCAACAGGAGAAAAACAGGCAGCTGAGGAGGGACAAGGAGCTGAATGAAAGAAGGAACAGGGGCACGGCAGCCGGAAGACAGATTTTACCTGCATCACAATTACGCCAAGGATCAGTGCTGGCCTGTAGTGCAGGATGGGGGCCTGGATTACACAGATCTGACTTCTCAGGGATGTATGGGGGAACTAGCATTTCCAGGCTTCTGATGGTCCTCCTGGGCTCCAGCCAGACTCACCTCAAAGCAATTCCACCTGCAGTCACAGTCAATTACACCTCAAAACAATTCCACCTGCCAATCTATCCCTATCACTCCTGCAAGTATCCGTGGCTTCCCCATCATCCTAGTGTAAAGCCAAGCTTAGCACAGCTCCCAAGGTCCTCCCGAAACTTCCCCAAACCTGTCTCTCCAGCCTCATCAATCATGCTAACTTTTAGACATGATGAATGACTAGTGGTTCCCCCAAAGCAAGCCACCTTCCCTCAGGCCTCTGTGCCTTAGTGTGGGGCTGCTCCATTGGCCTGGAAAGCTCTCAACACCTCCCCTTCATCTAGCTAATGCCTACATGTTCGAGACTTAGCTCTGGTGTTTCCTGACCTGAGCCCATCCTCTCTGTCCCCGCAAGCTGGGTTGGTGAGGTAGGTGTGACTGCTCTGTGCTCCTGAAGCACACTGGGCGTAATAATGACTATCGTGTATTATTTAACCTCTGTCCTTATGTGTTTGTTGGTCCCGCTAACCGGGTTTCTTAAGGACAAAGGTTGTGGCTTCCTTTTACTTTCCAGAACATAGCCCAGTGCTGGACAGATAGTATGCATTCCAAATGTCTGTTGTGTATGTTAATGTATGTATTGAGGATAGAAGTTAAGTACAAAACCCTTTGGGAGCTAATGGACTCTTTTTACTAAGGAGAAAAATGGGGCTCTCCAATCAGAAGCTATGCAGCTTGTCCAAGTATCAACTGTTAGAAACCAGAAAATTCTGAGATTTGAACCCAGGTCTATGTTCCAGATGAATTTAAGGTCCTTGTTCCCTTTTCTCTTATGTGCTCAGCTGGTGATAAGTCATAACAGCACTGCCCTGTTGCTGCATTTCCCATCATAAACTCAAGACATTCAGATCTAACCTTCCAGGAGGGACCTTAAAGCGAACCAGATTTTGCTTTTGTGTTTCTATTTTATTATTTATTTATTTATTTAGTGTTTTTTTTTTTTGTTTTTTTTTTGAGTATGCAGTCTCACTCTGTCGCCCAGGCTGGAGTACAGTGTCACGATCTCAGCTCACTGCAACTTCCACCTCCGGGGTTTAAGCGATTCTCCTGCCTCAGGCTTCCGAGTAGCTGGGACTACAGGCATACGCCACTATGCCTGGCTAATTTTTGTATTTTTAGTAGAGATGGGGTTTCACCTTGTTAGCCAGGTTGGTCTCAAACTACTGACTTCAGGTGATCTTCTGGCCTTGGCCTCCCAAAGTGCTGGGATTACAGGCGTGAGCCACCGCTCCCGGCCTGCCTGCTTGTTTTACAGATGGTGGCTGAGGCTCAGGGATGTGGAACGTTCCCACATTACTGTAATACTCACAGCAATATGATAATGTTATCATGTTATTACATCATGGTGGGGCCAAAATGGGATGGCAGGCACTGGGCATGAGGCAGGGGACAAGGATGAGACAGGCTGGTTTTTCTACATCAGCCCAGAATAAATCAAAGCAATGTATATTTATTGACCGTGAGCTTATCTGGGTGCCCGAGCCCCCTCCCAAACCCCAGCAATAGGAGAAAGGTGACCAGGAGAACAAAGGCGGATGTTTCTCCAGCTACCCTCTCAGGTTAGAGGGAGAACTGGACGGAATCCATCACTTGGAGACTGCTTCCTTCTGGCCTCACCACAAGGGGCCACATCCAGATGGAGAAAATAGTTAGGAGGGTCGCACATTTGCATACATTTGCATGTGTTTGCATATTCACACAGAACATGCAGCTCATTCTCAGGCAATTTTCAAGTAAATGTGATTATTGCCACCTTCAGGTTGTCAAGGATAGATTTTGCTCTTCTCACTTTCATTCTCACCCACCCACGGTCTCTGGGCCCTGATACAGGACGAGCCAGTGTGTGCGTGTCGGGGAAGGGGATACGTGAAGGCGCAGGAGCACCAGCACCAAGGAGAGGTGGCACCTGGGGCCAGGCACAAGGGCAGCACAGCAGCCTCTCCTTAGGCTGAATCCTCAAAGCACGCCATGCCGGCTGCTAGGTGACATCTGCTGTGTTCCTGCTAACAACTATGCTGATTGGAATGGACATTCTCAGCAAGTTACATGCTTTTTCACTGGTGAGGTGGCAGTGCAAGACAAAAATCTCTTTGGCACATAGGACAGTGGGCAGATGATGAACATTATATGAATATAAGCTGTGAAGTCAAACATCAAGCTCCCAGTCCCTTGAGACTCTTTTCCTCTAGAGTGTATTACCCCCCAATCCGCCTTTTCTTATAGAACCTGCTTTCCCTACTGTTTGGCTCACAGTAGGTGCTTCCCAACAGCCTTTTAATGGTTCAGGGGCTCAAAAGGCCCAGAGGGGAGCCTGTTTGTTCTTGCAGGCTGCCAGACAGTGGGCAGGCACAGCTATGTGCATGGAGAACAGAGGAAATAAAGAACAAGCCTGATCATTGCTGTTCTGCCTGGCGCTGAGAGGAGAGTCTCAGAAGCAACAGGACGTCAGGGTGTTCCTTCTTTGACTTATTAAGTCAGAGAAAAGACTCCCCTGGCTGATGATTCCTGTGAGTTTGAATACTGAGATAGCATATGAGTTAAATGAGAGAACTGTTTTACTAATCATAGATTCAAAATTCTCCTATATGAATTTGCTGACCAACTAATCAACAAATACCTTCTGTGTGCCTCAGCCAAGCTGAGTAGCTGAACTCTAGTAGGCATTCAGTAAACATCTTAATTTTTTTTTATTTATTATATTTTAAGTTTTAGGGTACAATGCAGTGTAGATATTGTACTGTTATTGTGGAATTCAGAAATGAAAAACATACAGACCTTGGTTTCTACGAACTCAGAGTCTATAAAAATTTTAATACTTGAAATATTTTATTAATATTAATAATATAATAGAAGGCATATAACACAGTTGTCTTAGTCTCTTCAGACTGCTATAACAAAATGCCATAGGCCGGGTGGCTTATGAACAACAAACATCCATTTCTCACAGTTCTCCATGCTGGAAAGTCCTAGATCAAAGTGCTGGCAGATTCGGCATCCGGTGAGGTCCAGTTTCCTGGTTCTTAGACAGTTGCCTTCTTTCATGTCCTCATGTGGCAGAAGGGACAAGGGGAGTCTCTGGGGTCTCTTTTATAATGGCACTTAAGCCTTCATGACCTAATCTTGCTCCAAAGGCCCCACCTCCTAACCATTATATTGGGGGTTAGGATTTCAACATATGAATTTTGATGGGACACAAACATTCGCTCTTACAGCAGTCGTTAAAAGTAGAGGCACTGAAGTTAGATATCAAAGTTCAATTCAGCTGTGCAACCTGAGACAAGTCACAGAACTTCTCTGAGTCTTAGTTTCCAATGAAAGTAGACCAGCAGTATCTTTTACATTGGGTTATTTGGAGCATTAAATTGACTGACATGTACAGAACTTAACACATTGCTTGGCACTGAGTAAGCTTTCAAGATGTTAGCTAAAATTTAAGAAAGGCATAATTAAGTACCAAAATACATGATTTAAAGTCGTACTATTTTTAAAATTAGAAAGAACCTTAAAAACTCTCTAATCCAATGTTTCCCAAATAATGGTCTGTGGATTGTTGCCAATTTGTGACTTTTTTTTTTTTTTTTTAACCAGTCTGTAGCAAAATGGAATACAGAAAGGCAGTGTGGCAGTAAGCTGTTCTTTCCTTGCTGTTCAGTTTCTTTTTTTTTCAGTGAGCTGACAAAAGGTAGGTGGTAAAATTGTTAATCCCATGTAAGTTCTCCATTTATTATTGTTGTTGTTTTGTTCATGAAATGTAGAAGTCTGAGAACCACTGCTCTAATAGACTAAATTTCCCATCAGTGGAATAACTTTATGTGTCATCCTGTTGGCTCCATTTGAACAGGGTCAGGGTGCTGAAAAGTTATTTATACTTTAGAGCTCAGATAGAGCTAAGAGGACAATCTAACCCCTCTTCTACATGATTGTCTTTCAGATCTTTGAAGACAGCAACAATAAGGGAGCTTGGTTATAGTGAGCAGAGCCTTTGGCTTAAACTCAGTTCCAGTTCTGCTACCATCTTGATTTCCTCCTCTGAACTTTTGTTAAATGGGCTAGGAGTATTTACTGGTGAAGAATGTTGTTGGGATCAAGGAAAATAATGCCTGTGAAAGCACTTTGTAAATAGTGAATTACCATTCAAATGTTATACCTATGGTTTTATTGTTCTTGTTGTTGTTGCTCGAGTTGGAGTTTTGCTCTTGTTGCCCGGGCTAGAGTGCAATGGCACGACTTTGGCTCACTGAAGCCTCCCCTCCTGGGTTGGAGCGATTCTCCTGCCTCAGCCTCCAGAGTAGCTGGGATTACAGGCGTCTGCTGCCACTCCCGGCTCATTTTTTTTTTCTTTGGTATTTTTAGTAGAGACGGGGTTTCACCATGTTGGCCAGGCTGGTCTCGAACTCCTGACCTCAGGTGATCCACCCACTTCAGCCTCCCAAAGTGCTGGGATTACAGGCATGAGCCACCGCACCTGACCTACACCTATAGTGATAAGACAGCCCCATTTCCACCAAGAGATCTCCACACAGCACAGTACCTATTGTTTACCATTGGTTTTTACTTCTCTGGACATGGGTGGAGTAATGATTAGTCAATACTCTCCACAAAACGTGATACCCAGAACTGAGCATAAACTTCAGATCTAGTTGGTAACATGGAGTAAAATGGGACAAAGCGCTGGCCTGCGTGGTCTTTAGGGTCTTGGCTTCCATGATATTTCCCTTTTATACCTTCTGACCTGAGCTCTCTACTTTTATGCTACAATCACAGCACAAATGTGTCTTATTTCCCTTTGGGCCAGTTAATATCTTCAAAATCCTAAAACCACTAATATTTTAGAGCAAACTGGAAGCTTTGCCTTCTTAATTTGGCTTAAAGACTACAATATTTAATCTACCTTTTCCAACTTAAAAACCTCTCTGGAGAACATGGCAAGAATTTAAGAGTTTATTAGGGTTGCTTTTTCTTTGCCATGTTTCCATTTTATCACCTCCATTTTATTCTATCATTTCTTCTTCCTTTTACATGGAATATCCCCTTTGAAAGCTATTTGAAACTATATTTTGCCAAAGCCCTATGCATTCTGCTCTGACTTGCCATACAATGTCCTGAGGAGTATTGCGAAATCGATAGAAGGAGAGCATAGAGGTTAAGAGTGTCAACTCTTGGACCAGCTTATTTAGATTAAAATCCCAACTCTGCTACTTATTGGGTTTTTGGCCTTGGGTCAGTAACTTAACCACTTTGTTTCTTAGATCTTTCATCTATAACAAGAAGATAAATATGACATCGACTTTGTCATGCTCTTCTGAGGAATCAGTTTGTTAATATATGCAAAAGTGCTGAGCACAGTTCCTGGCACATAGTGAATCCTCAGTGTATCGTGAGCATTAGTCTTATTATTGTCCTTACAGGACCATGTGAAGTTTTGGATTTGTTCTGCTATGTTCTCCTCCTTATATCTTTTGTGCAAGCCTTTATTCAATCTGAGCTCATCAAAGAGCTCTTTATGAAGCCCCATGGGTTTTGTTAGCTGCTTTCTCCTTTTTTTTTTTATCAGGATGACTCATGATTATTTTATTTGAATTTCATTTCTTAGAAGGGCCCATCCTGTTAGAGGTTGGGGCTCCATTATTAATTTTGCATCATAGGTCACAAGATCGTAATCTTTTGCTCTGAACTATTAGACATTTGTTCTCCTGGTGTCTGGGAAGTACTGATCTAAATATTTTTGTTAATTTATTCATGCACTGCTTGTTTCCCAAAAGGAATTGAGATAGTTGCCATATTTTATTATAATAAGGGGCCACCCTATCATTTATTATCAGTTTTTGGAAATGTCACAGTCACTTTCCTCCCAGTTTCTTATAACACACACATCATTATCCAGGTCTTCCTTACTGGTCATAATTAAGCCTTGACTAGCAGTTTCCTCTCATTACTTTTTCTGCCTACTGAGAGATGAAGTTGTCAGCAAGGCCAGGTAAATATTCATCAGATGTTCTGCATGAGACTTCCAGCAGATGTCCTGCTAGTTGAAGTCCCTCGTCACCACTAGATCTTGCCTCTGCCAATTTTTGCAATTCAGAGAAAAGCAACTAGAAAGATATCTGTGTACCAATTGCACATGCACGTGCCTTATCTCCTCTGTAAGAATAAAAGTTCCTGGAAGACTCCCTATTGTAAATGCCTTTCATATGTGCCTAGGGCTCTGCTGGATTATTATTATTTTTAAAATAAATTATTATCTAGACTGTAGGATTATTGCTTAATATGAAGTTCTCTTGAAAGAAATAACCGTTAAAGACCTTTTGGGATTTGATTCTGTGTGCTATCGGTCAGAGTACCCGCCACCCTTCCGCAAAGTGTGCCCCTCCTCCAGAAACCTGAGGGAAAATGTAAAATACCCTTACTTCTTGTAAACTTCTTACCAGAGACATCTAACTGACTTAAATCATCACACCTCTGGCTGGCCATTCAGCCAGTCTGAGCTGTTTGTTGTTGGTGTGCTAGACATATTTCTTTTTCTTTTCTTTCCTTCTTATTTATTTATTTATTTGTTTGTTTGTTTATTTATTTTTGAGATGGAGTCTCACTCTGTCGCCCAGGCTGGAGTGCAATGGTGTGATTTTGGCTCACTGCAACCTCCACCTCCCAGGTTCAAGAGATTCTCCTGCCTCAGCCTCCCGAGTAGCTGGGACTACAGGCATGCACCACCATGCCAGGCTAATCTTTTGTATTTTTAGTAGAGATGGGGTTTCACCGTGTTGGCCAGGCTGGTCTCAAACTCTTGACCTCAGGTGATCCATCCGCCTTGGCCTCCCAAAGTGCTGGGATTACAGGCGTGAGCCACTGCACCCGGCCTGCTAGACACATTTCTATGTATCGTTCATCTGCATAGTAATTCTTGGTGCCTCATCTAGGAGGCACCTTCCTAGGAGGCATCAGAAAAGAACCCTCAGAAAAGGATGGCTCTTTGCCATACTAATAACAAGGTTAAATTGTATATAACTTTCCTGAGGGAAGAGGTCAGCTCTCTGATTTACTCCAGCTATCAAAGGAAGTCAGTGAAATACAGTAAGACAATTACTTATTGAGCATCTACTTTGTGTCAGACACTGTTGTTAGGATAAAAAATGTAAAGATGAATAAGATCTCCCCTGCTATCAAAAAGCTCACAGATATGGTGGAAACAGGTGTATAAACAGATCATTGCAACACAATGTGGTCAGCACAGTGATGGAGATATTGGTCTGCTTATTACAAGGCACAGAGTGAAGGCACTCAGCCCAGACAGAGAGGAGTGGGGGAAGACCTGCTTGTCAGAGTGGCTTCATGTCAGCAGTGATGCTGAACTAAGTCTTAAAGCTTCATAAGAACACCCTGTTGTAAATGAATGTCATCCAATTTCATTTTTATTGGAGAAATATCATTTTGGTGCAAAATGAACCCTTATTTCCGCTTACTGGGAACATGATCAGCCTTTGGGTTTAAAGGCTGGACGGGAAATTGCTAGGTAGCTGTGGTTGGCCTATGCAATCACATGTAAATAGGCTTTGGGGCAAATATCTGGTTCCCAGTAGACCAACACCCCTATTATGTAAGGAGGCTGGACTCAGTTCTTGTTGGGAGAAGTCTGAGAGGATCTCAGGGGAACACAGGAGAAAAAAAAGCTGTTAGGGTCATGAGTCCCTGAAGAAGCCATTTAAAGAGCTAGGCAGGACACTGGACCATAAGAGGTAAAGGTTGGTGGACAAGAGAGCAGGCTGCTTGGAAGCAGTGCCTACACTAGAGGATCATTCCAGCAGTGGCTTCTAGGGACAATCTTCCTAGAAGGGCAGCTGGCCAGTCAACATCTCAAGCTCTGACCATTCCTGTTCTCTAGGGACACAGTTATCACATGCAGTCCGATCTCTGCCTCAGATACGTATCAATTCTTCAGTCAATGCAATGGGTCCAGTTATATCATGGATTCTCTGATTTGACTCACTCAAGTAATGCTCCTGGACATACTAAGATTTTAGAAAATCCCTGGTCACCTAATAGGGTAGTGGAAAAATTGTTTTGAGTTCTTTTCTATCACCATCTAGTGAATAAAGAGCTAAAAAAACCTCTTCTCAGGAGCCAGACTGAAGCAACATAGAGACAGAGGGAAGTGGATACCTCTGTTACCAAAGGACAAATAGGACCTAGGCAGGTGAGCTGAGAACGGAGGTGGGCACTTCAGAGAGAGGTGAGAATGTGAGCTAGAAGAGGGAGGAAAAATATCATGGTCGAGCAGAGAATGGCAAGCAGGTCTGTATTGTCATTGCTTGAAGTGGGAGGCGGGGAGTGACAGGGGAGGCGCACAGGCAGTAGACAATGGAGAACTTTGTAGAACAAGTTAGGGAGCCTGCATTTCATCTGGTAGGCAAAGTGGACTCATATGAAAGTTCTAAGCAGAGAAATGTAATGATATAGTTTGTTTCTTAAATGTCATACATAGATCACTTTGGAGGTTCTAGAGACAAAGGACTTGGGAGAGCAAACTGGGAAGCTGCTGTAATTGGCCAGATAAGAGAGGAAGTGACCTTAACTAAAAAAGTGATGGTAGAGTTGGGGAGAAGAGGATGGATCAGAGGAATATAGAAGTAGTAAAATCAGCAGAATGTAAATCAAAGAGGGCAGAGGAAGGAGAGGATCGTCAAGGATGGTGCTTTGGGTAAAAAGGCATTTGCACAGTCTGCCACATAATGGACATTTGATAAATATTTACACAAGTACAGTTCCCTGTCGTGATGATTGCTTTTCTATTACTACTACTGAGTGTTGCTAAAATGAGAATTCTAGTTTCAGCTTACTCACTGTGTGATCTTAGGAAAGTCATACTGTCTCTTCTATAAAATGAGAAGCTTTGAGTAGATAAATTCTAAAGTCCTTCCCATCTTTGACTTTTCTGGCAAAATATTGTGGACCAATATTGGAAACATATTATAAAGCTGATGACAATGTTTTCATAGATAGAGTTACTCCAAACTTCAAACAACCAACTTAAATGAATTTTTGGAAGAACATTCTAATTTGAGGACTGCCAGTACTCTCTTACCTCATTTCCATTTTCCCCCCGCAGGTATAATTTCTTCATGAGTATAAGTCTTGCCTGTCCAAAAAAGCTTAAGAGACTATGACATATGTTTTGGGTCTCCTATAATGGTATATATGGTATAGTGCCAGGTACATTTCATCATTCAAAATTTACTTGAGTTGAATTCAATTATGTCTCTCTGCAGGGGCTTGATCCTAAATACTTCAAGTATACACTCATTCATTCTTCTCTTCAATCAGCAGATACTTATAGAGTGCATAACCAGGTGCAAACTGAATAAGACATCAACAGTTCACTCAAGGAGTGAAGAGTGTAGCAGAGTAAATAAGATGTTTATGTAGGAAGCCATAGTGTGTGCTGGGAAGTGAATGATGGTATGGACTCTTATATGGACTCTTATGGACACTATAAAGTGATGTGGCTGCTAAAAGAAGACAGTAATTACTTCCAGTGAAAAGGAAGTGAAGGAAGATGTCTCTGGGAGATATTATAATGGCTTGTGCCCCACACTGAAAGTGATGTAGCTATTAGCACTGTCTGCTGGTCATTAAGATGAAGACTTAAAGATGAATGGCTGAGCACTGGGGTGCACTCTCACTAGGAGGCAGAGTTCGGCTGGGATGAATCTCATCAGACCAGTCAATGGTGAAATTCCAGCCATTGGCTTCACAGGGAAAGCAGAGTGTATGGAGAGATCACTAGACTTGAAATTAGAATGCCTAGGTTCCATTCTCATGACCCAACTTTCTGAATTGCGCGACCTTTGACAATCAGTGCAACTTGTCTTATCCTCCAGTTGCTTCATCTGAAGGGTCACTAGAAATGACTGTTTAGCTTTGTGAAGATCAATGGATATGATAGTTGTAATTAACATTGTAGCTAATGGTCACTGAGTGCTTGCTATGGGCTGTGCAACTGTCTGAAACACTTTAATGTATTAATTCATTTAATCCTCACAATAATCCTATTAAGCAGGTACTCTTGTATCCCTTTTTCGTATAGGTAATGTTGGAGCACCAGTAACTATCCCAAGGGCATGCAGGTAAGAAGCAGTGAAGAAGGTATCAAACCCAGTCAGTCAGGCTCTTGAGCCCACACTCTCTGATCATTATGCCCTATTGCCTGTCTTCTAGCATGACACTTTGTAAACTGTAATATGATATCTAATAGGAACAATAATATTCCTCTAATGAAGTACCCCAGTTGGTCCAGACTAAAGGTAAATAGAAACAGTAGCAAAATTTAATAGGAAAAGATGCACATTATATTATATAAAGCTTAAAAATTGGAACCAGTTCTCTTATAGTAGCTTCTGGATATGTTGTCTGCCCAGGAGATTAAATTACAAATGATATAATTTACAGAAAAGTTTAGCACCTGAAAGAAACATAGTGATTATGTAGCCTAGCCTTTTCATTGTGCTGTTAAAGACATGCCTCAGAAGTTTAAGTGACGTGACTAAGGTCACACAATTGGCAAAGTGGAGAATCAAAAACTATTTAGTAATTGTAGAATTTAGAATTAAAGGAGTGGGATGTTAGGTGCACAAAATTACCTTCCTTTTTTAGCCTTCTGTCTTGTCACCAATCATTCCTACTTGGTGGCCATATACTTGGAAAAAAAGCCGCATGATCTTTCTTGCCCCACTCAATGTCTAAGACACCCTGCTTCCTTTGCTTGCATCCCACAGACTATTTCCCTTATCCTATTTACTACAGCAAATCTCTCCTTAGTTGATGAGACTGTGTTTCTCGCTCTTTAAAACCCTACCTATCCTGAATGGTTTGTCATTGTCTGCCTTGAAAATCCCTCCTCTTTCTCTTCCTCTATTCTCTAAATAAGGATGGGGCTAAGTTATACCCAAAGCTCACTTTACAAAATATTTCCTCGGTACTTTGCAGAAAACACCGAAAAAAATGCCGTTTTAAAAGAGGTGTATTTTTTCTTTTAGAATGTGAGCTCCTCAAGAGCAGGGACAATGTTTTCTGTATGTTCTGTTGTGCCTAGTACACTGTAAATGCTCAGCAAATACTGATGATAGGAAAAAAAGTTATGCCATAAAATTTCTGTTGATTGATAAGTTGACCTTATCCTGTCAAAGTATATTTCTCCACAATTGAATTGCTTCTCTAAGTTAATGCTAGAGACATACACTCTTAATTTGTAATGCTTCCTGTAGAAGATATCATAAAGTAGAAACTTATTGCTCTGTTTGTATTCTATCAGTTGCATTATGCCATACAAAGTCTAGGAATGTGTCTTGTTTTTTTTTTTTACATTCACATTTAAAGGTAGCTACTTCCTCCAAATGTGTAAGAAGAAAATTTATCCACTATGAGTGGACTCTAGTTTTTCTGTTACATTTATTCAAAGTATTTGTCTTTTTTAGACCAGGAAATTTGAGCCTCTTACAAGCACTGTTTTGAATACTCTGCATTTTGGAGGCCAGGAAACCTCTATTTATTTACTGGGCTCCAGGGTTCTGTTACTTTGGTCTCTGTTAAATGAGTGAAGCCAATCTGATAAACTAATTTAAGCTGTGTTCCTAGCTGTTAATGGCTTTCTGTGCGATTCAGATAAGATGTGTGCTTTGACAGGAGCTTTCAGAAATAGATTTTAGGGTTTTGGGACAGAGCCCCTGTAGAGATAGGAACTTGGGGAGGGGCTTGTAAAATAAAACAACAATAAATTGAAAATAATAATAATAATAATAATATCGCAAGCAAAACTGCTATCTATGAAATGCTTGCTCTGTGCCAGGAATGTTGTGCTTTCTGAATGGGATTCCCCTAAATGTTCTTTGAGGGCATCAAAGATCAAACTTATTTGAATTATTTTCTGTTTTCAGAGTATCTATAAATGCAAGCTGGAGACAGGACTCGGTCACATAGGGCTTCAGGATGTATACGTGGTATTATATTTTCTCAAGGCATTTTGAATTTGGGAGAAAAGGAAACCTTATTTTTAGGTGAGCTAGGCTAAACATAGGCCTAAATCTTTCTTACAGGAGCCAAACATTAAGTTTAGAAGCAACCTTTTAATTCATTAACTAGTCAATGATTTGACTCTGTAACCAGATCTTCATTATACATTTTCAAGATACCAGTCATCGAGAAGGATATGTTCAAAAGAAGGCCAGTCCCTTCTCTGGATGAGACGCTATCCTGGCTCAGTCCTGGATATGCCTGAGAGCAGGGAGGTATTGGTTTTTGCCTATGAGTGCCTGGGCTGTGGGCCCATCTCCACACACAGAGAGAATCAAAGGCGTAGAGAAATGTGTTTAGTTCGATGACAGGGCTAAGGCCCACAGCTACAATTTAGTCAGGACATTGCCCTTTGGCTGCCGCTCAGTGCCCACAAATTCAGGATGTTGGCACAGAAACAGGTGGTGTCCATCTGGGCTGGTGAAAGCACATGATCTTCTCTTAACATGTGATGAAGCAGGCACCCAGAGCAGCTCCCAAACAGCAGGCTCTGTGGCCGCCTTCACTGCTGATTCCATTACCACTCCACCACAAGAGGTGAGGAGCAGCTGCCCCTCCGAAGGCCGTGCCCCAGGACCCACTTGCTTTCACCTTCACTTCTCAGCTCCAGCCCTCCCCCACAGCTGTTTCAGAGGACAAAGACACTTTATTGCAATATGCAAAGCTCTCAGGATGCAAACTATATCTGGATTAACAACTATAAGTACAGTTTTATTACTTCAGCTTGGCATTTGCTGACACAGAAAGCAAGTATTTATTGTCATCTCCATCCTGCTTCCCAGTTTTAACTTTTGTTCTCCTGCCATCCAACTCCAATTCCAGAGTTATTTTCTTTGCTTCCTCAGATTACTGAGGAGATAATGTCCTTTCTATTTGCCCTCAGGTCCACACCTCGTTTTAAAGCCAAAGCTATCACCCTGACTACTGGATTCCAATCTGATGAGTGCTTAGTTACTACCCCAAGATTTCCATGAAGAAGCTGATAAATGACACATGTTTGAGAAAGCTTTAGGGGTCTTGCAAGCACAAAGGAGTCAACTCCTGATTAGATGAGAAAGCTAACTATGCAAAAGGAAGGTGGCCAGTCTTTGTGATATTTCATTGGTCATATTCCCCCTGAAATGTTGTTTAAAAGCAAGGAACATTATCAAACCAGCATGTATGGAGAGGTTAGGAACAAGAATAGTGAAGGTCAGGAAACTACAACTAGATCGTTTAAAAATATTTATTGAAGGCCTGATAATAATTTTGAAGGCATTTTTGAGTGCTATGTGCCCATCATTATGCTAAACACTTTCTATGAACTACCTAACTTAATTTTCACAATGAATATTTGAGATAGGAATGACTGGTATCCACTTAAAAACAAAACTATCAAGGCTATGGGAATTATGTGGCTTGATCTATGAGAGTTTGCATATTATAGAGTGATCCAGGATTTGAACTAACGTAGTCTAACTTTAAGCCTATAGGCTTCACACCAGGTGCAGGGTCATGTGTTTTATACTTGACATTCAAAAAAATTAACAAACAAGACAAATAGTGTGCCTGCACTTATGGAATTTACAGTCTAATAGTAGTGAAAAATAAATAATTGTCGTGTTATGGTAAGGGCCATGAAAAGCTCATGGCTTATTCCTGTGATAGAACACCACTGGTCATTTTCCTTTCTCTTTTTCCTCTTACCAACCTGTACATAAATATCAAAGTAATCTTCCTAAGAAAATTGTCCTTCATATTCATAAGACTGCAATAACCTAAACCCTCCTCAACTGAAACATGTTTATAAGGAAGAACTGAAAGGATTAAGGAAGTCTCTTTTAGAAAAAAGAAGACTCAGGAACACAGTAGTTATTTTTTCATATAGTCAAGGAGCAAGTAATCAAAGGTTCAAAGAATTCTTCTGTAGCCTGCAGCACCTACTATGTGGCAGGGTGTGTGCTTGGTGCTGAAGATACTAAGAAGAATCATAAAAATGCTAAGAAGAAGTCCAAAAGTCAAACATGAGAATCACTACTTATTAAACTAATTGATTTGCAGACACTGGGGAGACATCAATGATCTCTTTGGGGGAAGTACGTGAAGAGATATGCTAAGCAAAGAGAATCATGGAACCGCTAAGAGACAGGCAACTGGGAGATAACTTGATTTAGAGTATCTTAAGCAAACAAATAATCCAACAACACTATTTTCGTTACTGGTGATTCATTGAGGAGGGAGAAAAGGTTTAGGTTTTTAAGTCAGTCAGTCCAGGCTCTGAATTCTGCCCCAGTTGCTAGCTAGCTATTGATTGTGGGCAAGAAACATAAACTTTATGAGCAAATTTTTCCTCATTTGTAAACATGAAAATAATACACATATCAAAGAAGTAAATGACAGATGTGATAAGTACTTCTGAATGTAGGAAAAAGCAGTAAGTCATTGTTAGCTTCATTCATTCATTTATTCAGTGTCACAGAGACTTGAATGGGAAAGTCATGTCAAATGCTGAAGTACATAAAAGAACAATACCAGAAGGCAGGTAGGAGGAAGGTTGTGTATTATTTGGAAGACATTCATTATAAATGACAAAATTTAACAAGAAGTAGATAAAAAAGAAAAGACGAGAATAAAAGGATGTGATTGCTCATGTAACTCAAAAATCCACAATAAGTGAGGTTGGATCCAGGGGCTCAAGTGAAATCATCAGATGCCATTCTCTCAGTCTTCTGGCTCTTGCTCTTCTGTGTTGTTTTTTTTTTTTTCCTCAGGTATGCAGTCTCTAGTTCACAGCAAAAATAGATTGTGGCCTCTCTAGGCTTACATGGTCTTTTGTTTTTGTTTTTGTTTTTTTGAGACGGAGTCTCCCTCTGTCGCCCAGGCTGGAGTGCAGTGGCGCGATCTCGGCTCACTGCAAGCTCCGCCTCCCGGGTTCAAGTCATTCTCCTGCCTCAGTCTCCGGAGTAGCTGGGACTACGGGCGCCCGCCACAACGCCCAGCTAATTTTTTGTATTTTTAGTAGAGACGGGGTTTCACCGTGTTAACCAGGATGGTCTCGATCTCCTGATCTCGTGATCCGCCCGCCTCATCCTCCCTAAGTGCTGGGATTACAGGCGTGAGCCACCGCGCCCAGCCGACATGGTCTTGTGTTTACAATTTTGAAGTAGAAAAGTCTTAGAGATCATATCAATCCCCCCCAAAACCCAGTCCTTGCTGGCGCCATAGGCCCATCTCTGACCTAATCATCATGTCTAGGGTGGGGAAAGCAACTTTGATGGACCATCCTGTACTACATGCCCACCCAGCGCAGTGGGTGGGACCTCATCTCTCCCAAGACTGTCATGAGCAGATGATCCAGGTTGGCCAATCAGAAAATTCCAACCCCTGGCACACCACCCAGAGGAAGTACAGTTACTAGAATAGCAGACTTTTTGGTTTTTTGTTTGTTTATTTTACCAGAGAAGGAGAAAAGGATGAAGAAAAAAAAAAGCCATCAATGTCCACAACTGGAAAGGATATTGAAATTCAAGATATATAATTAGACTACTGATAAATGTTATTGATAACATTTGAGACACAGGTAAAAAGGGAATAAGACTTCTCATCACCAATGTGCATATTAATAAGCTAAACTTATGGCATTTTATTACCATGAAAGTATTTAAAACAATTGCTAGTATCAGTAACACTCTTTGATTTGGGCAAGGAAATCCTGCCTTAGGCCTCACATTGGAGAGGGACCACTGTATTATAAACACAGCCAAAACTAAATTTATTAAAAAACCCAAAGTGGGGCCGGGCACTGTGGCACACGCCTGTAATCCCAACACTTTGGGAGGCTGAGGCGGGTGGGTCACCCGAGGTCAGGAGTTTGAGACCAGCCTGTTCAATATGGTGAAACTCGGTCTCTACTAAAAATACAAAAATTAGCCAGTCATGGTGGCACATGCCTGTAATTCCAACTACTTGGGATGCTGAGGCAGGAGAATCGCTTGAACCCGGGAGGTGGAGGTTGCAGTGAGCCAAGATCATGCCACTGCACTCCAGCCTGAGCAACAGAGTGAGACTCTGCTTCAAAAAGAATAAATAAATAAATAAATAAAAATATAAAAAAATTAAAATAAAAACCCAAAGGGGTTTCTGCCCCGAGGATCCATTGTCCAGTGCTGGCTTAAGGACATATAACCCTTACATCTGCCCTAACACCTTTCATTCCCCCAGAGAAATGCTTCTCCACATCTCTTGTCCTTTGTCCTCAAAATGAAAGACAATTATGAGAAGAGAGGATTTTAAATGTTCCCAACACAAAAAAAGGATAAGTGTTTTGAGGTGATATATATGCTAATTACCATGATTTGATCATTACACATGGTATAACTGTATCAAAGTATCATTCAGTACCCCATAAATATGTATAATTATTATGTGTCAATTAATAATAAAGTTAATTTAAGAAGCAATTGTATCCAAATACCATTAAGTTGGTGGATTGTGGCGCTAGGAGATGGATACACCCTGGCACTAGGAGGGGTTTGAATGGCAGAAGCTATTAGGACAGAAAAAAACAAATTAATTAACTTGTCAAATTTGTCCTCTAGGATAACATGAATATATCACATTCTTGTATAAAAGATTATCATTCCCCAGTAGTGCCAATTGTCCATTTTCTTGCTTCTCTTTGCATTCCAATTTGCAGTTTCACAGAGAATCATCAACTAGCACAGGTTACACATGGCAGATGAGAAATGTTTTGCAATGTTAAACAGTTTATATAACTCTTAACTTTAGACATTTGTGGCCAACATAATATGCGTAATATTAGAAAGGTATGGCCCTGATTCTTTACATTGGCAGGTACAAAGAAATTGAACTCTAGAATTGTGAACAAATTAATTTTGTAAAAATATTTGAGTTTTAAGTAAATATTGAGATTTAAGTAAAGCTTAAAAAATAAAACTTTAGCTTAAAATAATCTTGAATTCATGATATTTATTAAATACAATTCATATTTGCCTTTTTATTTGAACACATTTAAGTACTTAAAAAAACTTTCTTAAAAACATACATGTTATTTTGTTTATAAAATCTTTCATATTTATTTTAATTTGAATTTTAATGAGAATATACTCAAATCTTGTACACTTTTACAGCTATTTTTAAAATCCCTTAAATGAGAATGAGTACAAGATTGTGATATACACATTAAGAAATTTGAGCTCATGAAAGAAAAGAAGCTGTAAAGAAAAAAGAAAAAAAAAGATGAGCAATTTAGAATTATAAACAATGAAAGTAACCATACTTCTGAAATGCAATACCCAGATAAAATGTGTGATTATTACATTACAAATGTTTTATTACATAAATAATTATTTATGAAAACAATGCACATGGGCAAGAAAATTATTCCTACTAAATCTTCAACTTGAACAGGTGAAAGGAAATGCCTGCAACTTCATATCCCTTACTAAATAAAAACTTAATTACCAATAAAAACAATGAGAATGAAAAAGAGAATTTTCTTTTGTGTGTATGTGACCTTTATTATTATTATTATACTTTAAGTTCTAGGGTACATGTGCACAACATGCAGATTTGTTACACAGGTATACATGTGCCATGTTGGTTTGCTGCACCCATCAACTTGTCATTTACATTAGGTATTTCTCCTAATGCTATCCCTTGCCCCAAGCCCCTCAGCCCCCAAAAGGCCCTGGTGTGTGATGTTCCCCTCCCTGTGTCCATGTGTTCTCATTGTTCAACTCCCACTTATGAGTGAGAACATACGGTGTTTGGCTTTCTGTCCCTGTGATATTTTGCTGAGAATGATGGTTTCCAGCTTCATCCATGTCTCTGCAAAGGACATGAACTCATCCTTTTTTATGGCTGCATATTATTCCATGGTGTACATGTGCCACATTTTCTTTATCCAGTCTATTATTGATGGACATTTGGGTTGGTTCCAAGTCTTTGCTATTGTGAATAGTGCCACAATAAACATACATGTGCATGTGTCTTTATAGTAGCATGATTTATAATCCTTTGGGTATATACCCCGTAAGGGGATTGCTGAGTCAAATGGTATTTCTAGTTCTAGATCCTTGAGGAATCGCCACACTGACTACCACAATGGTTGAACTAGTTTACAGTCCCACCAACAGTGTAAAAGTGTTCCTATTTCTCCATATCCTCTCCAGCATCTGTCGTTTCCTGACTTTTTAATGATCGCCATTCTAACTGGCATGAGATGGTATCTCATTGTGGTTTTGATTTGCATTTCTCTGATGACAAGTTATGATGACCATTTTTTCATGTCTGTTGGCTGCATAAATGTCTTTTTTTGAGAAGTATCTGTTCATATCCTTTGCCCACTTTTTGATGGGATTTTTTTTCTTGTAAATTTGTTTAAGTTCTTTGTAGATTCTAGATATTAGCCCTTTGTCAGATGGATAGATTGCAAACATTTTCTCCCATTCTGTAGGTTGCTTGTTCACTCTGATGGTAGTTTCTTTTGCTGTGCAGAAGCTCTTTAGTTTAATTAGATCCCATTCATCAATTTTGGCTTTTGTTGCCATTGCTTTTGGTGTTTTAGTCATGAAGTCTTTGCCCACGCCTATGTCCTGAATGGTATTGCCTAGGTTTTCTTCTAGGGTTTTTATGGTTTTAGGTCTAACATTTAAGTCATTAATCCATCTTGAGTTAATTTTTGTATAAAGTGTAAGGAAGGGATCCAGTTTCAGCTTTGCACATATGGCTAGCCAGTTTTCCCAGCACCATTTATTAAATAGGGAATCCTTTCCTCATTGCTTGCTTTTGTCAAGTTTGTCAAAGATCAGATGATTGTAGATGTGTGGTGTTATTTCTGAGGCCTCTGTTCTGTTCCATTGGTCTATATATCTGTTTTGGTACCAGTACCATGCTGTTTTGGTTACTGTAGCCTTGTAGTATAGTTTGAAGACAGGTAGCGTGATGCCTCCAGCTTTGTTCTTTTTGCTTAGGATTGTCTTGGCTATGGGGGCTTGAAAAAAAGAATTATTAACAGCAAATTTGCAATTTGGAAACGTCAAACACAATTTTGACCTGCTCATTGAAAGATAAAGAAAGTTACATTTATAAAATTGGCAAATTCCATGACTAAAGAAGAAGCTATTAGCTTTATTATCTTGGGCTTTATTAGGTGAAGATATTAGAAAATGGTCATGATATCCTTTTGACATTGTATGAATAGTTTGAGCAAAACAGAATTCAATTCAAATCAATATATCTATCCCAAAATTTTAGCCAAAAATTCAGCAGACTTTTTGGTGCCATATACATTGCATAGTTTAAATTTGTCACTAGAGGACGTAGTCACAACTATGCCAATAGATGCGATATTCTTTGAAACAACTTAAACATTACATACAATATTTTCTGAATCTACCAAGGATAGAATAATAGAATATTTTGATGTAAGACATATCAAATTTGACCTTACAACAACTGTTAGACACCTGATGGGAATGCCAACCAAATGGTGTTAGAAACAATTAAATTTATATTAAACAAGGTAAGAGAAGATCCTTAAAAATGTCGTAAGTTATGGTCTTTAGCAGAAAACAAAATTAAGTTTAATTTGTGTTATCCACAGTCATTTATTAAGAAATGTTGCTTGCTATTAATAATGCTAGCAAAAGCTTATGAACACCACTACCAACATCAAATGAATATATTTTTTAAAGGGTAAAGGGGCTGGGTGCGGTGGCTCATGCCTGTAATTCCAGCACTTTGGGAGGCAGAGGCAGGTGGATCACAAGGTCAGGAGTTCAAGACCAGCCTGACCAATATGGTGAAACCCCATCTCTACTAAAAATACAAAAATTAGTCAGGCATGGTGGTGTGTGCCTGTAGTCCCAGCTACCTGGGAGACTGAGGCAGGAGAATTTGCTTGAACCTGGAAGGTGGAGATTGCAGTGAGCCACGGTTGTGCTGCTGCGCTCCAGCCTGGGTGACAGAGTGAGACTCTGTCTCAAAAAAAAAAAAAAAAAAAAAAAAAAACAAAAAAAAGGGGTAAAGAGATATTGCTCAAGCTTTTAGAGAAAGTGTTTTTACATATATATTTACAATGTATTCATATGTAAGTATATATATATAAAACTTGTCATTGACTTGAAGCTGAGAGAAAATGTTTCTAAGTTAAAAGAAACTGCATATGAAAACACAACAAAAGTGACATTAAAATAAAATAAAATAAACGAGAAAGAAATGAAGAGAACATTTTTATAACTCTGAAGGAAAGAATTCATACACAAAAATTTTGGTATTAATTTCTATATAGGCTATTTTTAAGACCAGTAGAGATAATAGTATACTCTCAATTAAACAGAGATAACTAGATATGGCCGTTTTTTTTCTTTATAATGTTCCAGCATTGAAATTTTGAAAGAAGAACTTAAGTAATACTGTATGTATCTATATATTGCTGCTAGAAATGGTAAAGAATTGAGATATAAGTGATAGTAATTTATATGACTAAATTTATATATTTTGTAACATACTCTGTGATAAAGGTAATTTCTTACATTTGACCCTATTACAATGTTTGAACATACTATGCAAGATTTATGGTCCATTTACATTTTAAACATTACTTTAAATATTATTTTCTTGTCAGTTCCTATTGCTATTGCCTCAGAAAGCAAATTTTCTACAAATTGAAAATAACAAAAATGGCCAGGCACAATGGCTCAGGACTGTAATCCCAGCACTTTGGGAGGCGGAGGTGGGCGGATCTCTTGATCTCAGGAGTTGGAAACCAGCCTGGACAACGTGGCAAAATCCCATTTCTACTATTAACAAAATACAAAAAATTAGGCCAGGCCCTGTGGCTTATGCTTGTAATCCCAGCACTTTGGGAGGCCAAGGCGGGAGGATCACGAGGTCAGGAGTTTGCGACCAGCCTGGCCAACATGGTGAAACTCCGTCTCTACTAAAGATACAAAGAATTAGCTGGGCGTGGTGGTGCACGCCCGTAATCCCAGCTACTCGGGAGGCTGAGGCAGGAGAATCGCTTGCGCCCAGGAGGTGGAGGTTGCAGTGAGCAGAGATCGCGCCATTGCACTCCAGCTTGGGCAACAGGGCAAGACTCCATTTCAAAACAAACAAACAAACACATACACCCCACGCCCCCACCCCCGGCCAAAAAAAAAAAAAAAATAGCCAGGTATGGTGTTGCACACCTGTGGTGCCAGCTACCTGGGTGGCTGAGGTGGGAGAATCACCTGAGCATGGAAGTCAAGGCTGCAGTGAGCCAAGATCTTGCCACTGCACTCCACTCCAGCCTGATCTACATAGTGAGACCCTGTCTCAAAAAAAAAAAAAGAAAATAACAAAAACTATCCAGACCCCATAATAATTCAAGGAAAATGATCTAATTCTAATTGAGCATTGCTTTCTATGAGGCAAATATTATGTGAAAATATTGATTAAAGGAATAAGAGATTTTTCTGAAATGAAGGCAAGGAAATAAGTGTCTTGGAATAAATAGATATCTTATGAATCATGTGTCCATTTTATTTCTTAACCAAATGTAGCCAGCTTATAAACAGAACACCAGGACATATGCAACAATAGATAATTTCAGACATCTTTGATGTTTTGACAACTTTCAGTCATATCAAAACCATAACTTTATCCATATTTTAAGTTTTGATATTATGAAGATATATTTGCCTAAGATTTTAGAACATATTTTATCTACCAATTTTTTTCACTTGACTTATATTGTATATTGATACAAATATACTCAATTTGTACTTCCCAGTAACTCACACATGTTAGGAGCAGTCATTGCTAGTACATCTCAGTGTTTAGCTGGAGTAACCATTCTTTACGAAACCCCAATTTCACAACTTACTGGAAGGCCAATGCCTGCCCATACTTTCTTTGAATGCTCAGAGGTTTATATTCTCATACTTGCCTCTTGCTCCTGCTGCATTAGTTGAGTTTCTAGACTGCTTCAAGTCCAAAACATACGTCCCCATTCATGTGTTCACCTTGGTGTGGAGACTGCATTTTTTCTGCTTCCAATTTCTCACATGTGGCATCCATCAGACTTTACTACAAGTTTGAAAAGATGATTTGCATGTTGGTCGTCCCTGCCCTAGGTTATTGTAGCCACACTGCCTTGAAAAGTAGTTCCTTTGTGGCACCTAATGGATTGCAAAGGCTTTTCCCTGTTTCAAGCTCCTTTTCCTTCCTATCTTTCTTCCCATCTCGTTCTCACTCATTTCTCTGCCATATCCGCCCTCACTCTTATGGGCTCTGAATTCTTCCCATACTATAATACAGAGCAGAGCTCTCTCTAGTCCCTACTCCAAAACTCCGTTCCAGGCCCATAGTGGTTGCACCAAAATCCATTAAGGTGAAGTCAACATTGCAGCAGAAAAGACCAGCAGAGTCCCCAAGACTATTTTTAACAAGATCCGTCCCCCAGTCCCCTTTAGAAGGCAGCTGCTGTTTTAAATAGCAGTATTCACTTTTTTTTCTCGGTTTCACCAGAAATGGTTTCATAATCACAAGAATATAGGCTTGTGACCCATCAGGACCTAAGCATAACAGCATGGCTGCTGCTAGTGGGTGTTGTATTCATTCAGAATCACACAATAATTAGATGGATAGCATAGCTTTATTCAGAGTGAAACCTTCCTTTCACAGAAGAATGAATAAAGGTAAAATAGAGGTACTCTTGTAGATCTGAAAAACAACTTTCATGGGCTAGCCCAGGGGGAATAACCACTGGGAGGAGGGGTGCTTACCTGAGTGTTAGGATGCCGGATGCCCTTGTCTGAGATTGCAGTGTGACTCATTTCCTCCCAGAGAGCTGCTAGAGATTAGGATATGGGTGACAGGAAAGCTAATTGCCTCAGCTTACCAAGTGGCTCCCCTTAAAGGAACACTTATGGCAGACAAGATCACTTTGGGGAACAATAGATCTTTCCCACTTATCCACACCATCTTGAGGAAAGGCAAGAATCTTCTGGGGACCATGCATCTATCCTGCTACCCCTTCCATCCTCAAGAAGACTCTTACTGGCCCTCATGAAAGTCCTCCCTTGTTCTCGATGCAGAGAAGTGTCTGCAGACATTTATTCCTGTAGTCTTCTGCTTCCTGCTCACCCTCTGGAACCAGAGTCAGGGGCTATTCAGATTGGCACAGCCAATGTGTTCTACTGAAGAGCTCCTCTGCTGCTGTGTTTTGAACCCATGACCCTCACCCTGAGCACAACCAATTGGCCCAGGTAAGGGTGGTGCTGATGCAAATGCAGCATCAAAAGGCTGTCCAGTCACCTCTCACCTACAGATATTAGGTTGGTGCAAAAGCAATTGTGGTTTTTTTCAATTACTGCAAGTACTTTTGCACCAGCCTAACATAATCAGTCCTAAGCCTGAGCAATTCTACTTCCTAAGTATTTCTCCCTCTTTTCTGTTCACATCTCTTCTTTTATAGCTCTTACTTGGATTGGTGGAATAGCTCAATAACAAGCCTCTTTGGATCAAGGGTTATTCCTCTTCTTCCAACTGTTCAAAGAGTGATATTTCTAAAATACCAATTGGATCACATCATTTCTATAGTTGAAAGCCTCCAGTGTCTTCCCTCCAGGAGCACTTAGGGTAAAGTTCATACTTATTGGCATAATTAAATTGTCTTTATAAGCTGGACCCTGCTTATCTTGAAGGCATTATATTTCTGTATTTCCACAAGCTCCTTCCTGCTGCCCATCATCCTGTACTCTACACTCTACTTATACCAAACTATTTTTGGTTTTCCTAACACTATGGTATCCCTCTAGGCCCTTGTGCATATTATCCCTTTTGCCTGTAACAAAGACTTGCCACAATCACCCTGCTGGTAAAGTCTTCCTTTTCATTTACTTCTCATTTTGGGTGTTACTTCCTACAAGAAGATTTTCTTGACCCCCTAGGCTGGATTAAATACTTCTTCTATGTGTTCCCATAATTATTTCTTAACTTGTCTTCCTTGGCTATGAATTCTCTGTGCAAGAAATTTTGCTTCCTTTATTTCCAAAGCCCTGCTGAAGGCTGAGCATACAGGGAGCACTCATTACAACTTTTTAAAAAATTCATTTATATTGGATATTGATAAATTATACTTGTATATATTTATGTGGTACAAAGTGATGCGATGATATATGTATGTAATGTGGAATGATTGAATCAAGCTAATTAACATATTCATCACCTCAAATACTTATTTATTCCTCCTGTGTAACTGCAACATTGTCCCCTTCGACCAACGTCTCCCCTTTTCCCTCATTTCCCAGCCTCTGGTGACCACCATTCTGCTCTTTGATGCTATGTGTTTGACCTTTTAGATTTCACATGTAAGTAGAACATGTAGTATTTATCTGTCTGTGCCTGGCTTATTTCACGTGGCATAATGTCCTCCAGGTTCATCTATGTTGCCGTGAATGATAATTTCCCTCTTTTTAAAGGCAAAATAATATTCCACTGTGTGTGTGTGTGTGTGTGTGTGTATCTTTTTTACTCATTCATCAGTTGATGGGCACTTAACTGACACAATAGTCATAACTTGGCTATTGTGAATAATGCTGCAATAAACATGGGAGTGCAGATATCTCCACAACATACTGATTTCAAATCCTTTGGATGTATAACCAGAAGTGGGACTACTGGATCATATGTTAACTCTATTTTTAGTTTTTTGAGGAACTTTCATACTGTTTTCCATAATGGCTGTATTAGTTAACTTTCCCATCAACAGCATGCTAGGGTTCCCTTTTCTCCACATCCTCATCAACATTTATCATCCTTTGTCATTTTAAAAATAGCCATTCTGAGAGGATTGAGGTGATATCTTATTGTCGTTTTAATATGAATTTCTCCAATAATTGGAAATATTGAGCAGTTCTTCATGTATCTGTTGGCCGTTTCTATGAGTTCTTTTGAAAATGTCTATTTCAGGTTCAGTGCCCATTTTAATATGGTTATTTGTTTTCTACTGAGTTGTTTGAGTTCCTTATATATTTTAAATTTTAACCCCTTATCATATACATAGTTTACAAACATTTTCTTTCATTCCATAGGTTGCTTCTTCACTTTGTTAATTGCTTTCTTTGCTGTGCAGAAACTTTTTAGTTTGATGTAATTCCATTTGTCTATTTTTGGTTTTGTTGCCTGAGCTTTTGGGGTCATATCTAAAAAATCATTGCCTAGACATATATCATATAGTTTTTAACCTATGTTTTCATCTAGTAGATTTACAGTTTCAGGTCTTACATTTAAGTCTTTAATCCATTTTGACTTAATTTTTGTACATGATATGAGATAAAGGTCCAATTTTATTCTTTAACATGTGGATATCCAGTTTTCCCAATATCCTTTATTGAAGAGACTGTCCTTTTCCCATTGTGTATTCTGGGACCCTTTCTGAAAATTAATTGACCATAATTTCATGAGTTCATTTTTTGGGCTATCTATTCTGTTCTTTTTTATGTGTCTATTTTTATGGTGATACCATGTTGTTTTAATTACTATAGTTTTGTCATGTAGTTTAAAGTCTGGTAGTATGACACCTCCAGCTTTGTCCTTTTTATGCACAATTGGTTTGGTTATTCAGGGTTTTCTGTGGTTCAAACAATTTTAGAATTTTTTCTATTTCTGTGAAAAATCACATTGGAGTTTTGATAGGGATTCCATTACATCTGTAGATCACTTTGTGTAGTATAAACATTTTAACAACATTAATCTTCCAAACCATAAACATCATATATCTTTCCATTTATTTGTTTCTTCTTCAACTTCTTTCATCAAAGTTTTGTAAATTTTAGTGTACAGATCTTTCATCTCTTTAATTAATTGTATTCCTATTTTAATTTTCTACCTATTGTAAATGGGATTTTAAAAATCTCTTCTTCAGATAGTTTGTTGATAGTATTATAGAAGCACTACTGATTTTTGCTTATTGATTTTGTATCCTAAAACTGTAATGTATTTGTTTAGTAGTTCTGACTTTTTTTTTTTTGAGACCGAGTCTTGCTCTGGCATCCAGGCTGTAGTGCAGTGGTGTGATCTCAGCTCACTGCAACTGCTGCCTCCCGGGTTCAAGGAATTCTCCTGTCTCAGCCTCTTGAGTAGTTAGGATTACAGGCGCATGCCACCACACCAGGCTAATTTTTGTATTTTTAGTAGAGACAGAGTTTCACTATGTTGATCAGGCTGGTCTTGAACTCCTGACCTAATGATCCTCCCACCTCAGCCTCCCAAAGTGTAGTTCTGACATTTTTTTGATGGAGTCTTTAGAGTTTCTCTATATAAAATCTTATCATCAATAAACAGCAACAATTTCCCTTGTTCCTTTCCAATTTGGATGCCTTTTATATCTTTCTCTTGCCTAATTGCTCTGGCAAGGACTGACAATACTATAATGAATAGAAGTGGGCATCCTCGTTTTATTTCTGGTTTTAGAGAAAAAGCTTTCAACTTTCATTGTTGAGTACAATGTTAACTGTTCTCTTGTCATATATGCTTTTATTATGTGGAGAAACATTCTTTTTATCCTAATCTGTTGAGAATTTTTATTATAAAAGAATGTTCGCATTTGTCAAATACTTTTTCCTCCATCACTCCATCAATAGGAGGACTACATGGTTTTTGTCTTTCATTCTGTTAAAGTGGTGTATCACATTTATAGATTTGCACATGTTGAACTATCCTTTCATCCCTGGGATAAATCCCACTTGATCATGTGAATAATACTTTTAATGTAATGTTGAATTTAATTTTCTAGTATTTTGTTGAGGAGTTTTACATCTACATTCAACAAGGATATTGACATGTAATTTTTTTTCTGTAATGTTCTTGCCTGGTTTTGGTATCAGGGTGATTTTAGCTTTGTAAAAAGAGTTTGAAAGTAATTTTTCTTCTTTGACTTTGGAAAAGTTTGAGAAGAACTAGTATTTGTTCTTGAAATGTTTGGTAGAATTCAGCAGGAAAGTCATCAGATCCTGGAATTTTTTGATGGGTGACTTTTTATTATTGATTCAATCTCTTTATTCAGTATTGGTCTGTTTGCATTTTCTGTTTCTTCATTATTGTGTCTTGGGTGTTATGTGTTTGAGAATTTACACATTTTCTAGGTTATCTAATTTGGTGTTGTGTAATAGTTCATAGTAATATGTTATGATCCTTTGTATTTTTGTAGCAGCAGTTGCAATTTCTCCTCTTTCATTTCTGATTCTCCTTATTTGAGTCTTCGCTCTTTCTTCTTAGTGTAGCTAACAGTTTGTTGATTTTGTTTAACTTTTCAAAAAAACAACTCTTGGTTTCATTGACTTTTTTCTGTTGTTTTTCAAGTCTCTGTTTCATTTATTTCTGCTCTAGTCTTTGTTATTTTCTTTCTTTTGTTAACTTTGAGTTTAGTTTGCTCTTCTTTTTAGTTCCTTGAGATGTATCACTAGGTTATTTGAGATGGTTCTTCAAAAAAATAGGCATTATTTGCTATAAATTTTTCTCTCAGAACTGCTTTTGCTATACCCAAAAAGTGTTGTATGTTGTATTTTCATTACCATTTGTCTTAAGATTTTTCTTATTTCCTTTTTGATTTTTTCTCTTTGACCCATTGGTTGCTCAGGAGCATGTTGTTTAATTTCCACATATTTGTGTGTTTTCCAAGATTTTCTTGTTATCGTTTACTAGTTTCATGACATTGAAGTTAGAAAAGACAGTTGATATGATTTTAATTCTCTTACATTTATACAGACTTGTTTCATGACCTACCATATGATATATCCTGGAGAATGTTTCAGGTGTGCTTGAAAACAATGTATTTTGTTGCTTTTGGATGAAAAGTTTTCTATATATCTTTTAGTACTGTTTGGTCTAAAGTGTAGTTCAAATCCTATGATTGTTTAATAATTTCCTGTCTGAATAATCTGTCTATTGTTGAAAATGAGTTATTGAAATATCCTACTATTATTGTATTGCAATTGCTCTCTCCCTTCAGATCCTTTAGTATTTCCTTTATGTATTTACATGCTCTAATATTTGGTGTATATGTCTGTACATGTATGTACAATTGTTATATCCCCTTGATTAATTGACATTTCAATCATTATATAATGACCTTTGTAATCTCTTTTTACAGTTTTTAACTTAAATACTATTTTGTCTGATATGAGTGTAGCTACGCCTTCTACCTTTTTGTTTTCCTTTACATAGAATATCTTTTTCTATCCCTTTACTTTCAGTCTGTGTGTATCCTTAAAGGTGAGACAAGTCTCTCGTAGACAGCATATATTTGGGTTTTAAAAAGTTACATTCCATCATTTTATGTCTTTTTATTGAATTATTTAATTTATTTACACTCAAGGTAACTGTTCGTAGGTAAGAACTTACTACTATCATTTTATAACTTGTTTGCTTATTGTTTGTATATACTTTCTTTCTTTCCCTGTTGCTGTCTTCCTTTTTGGTTTGATGGTTTTCTATAATAGTATGGTTTGAATCCTTTTTATTTGTGTTTTATACATCTAGTATAATAACTTTTTACTTTTTATTTACCATGAACTTTTTACTTTCTATTTACCATGAGGCTTTATTAGTATAAAACATCTTATACTAATAGCAGTCTATTTCATGCTGAAGAAAACAACTTTGACTGCATACAACAACTCTATGCTTTTACTTCTTTCCACTATATGTTTTTAATGTCAAAATTTATATTATTTTGTAATTTTTATTCCCTGACAACTAATTTCAGTTATAATTGTTTTAATAGATATATCTATTAAGCATCATACTGGAGGTAACATTTATTTACACATCACCATTTCAGTCCAAAGTATTCTGAAATATGACTCTGGCTTACTTAATCATTGAGTTTTGTGCTTTTATATGGTTTGTGTTACTAATTAGTGGCCTTTTGACACAGCTTAAAGAATTCCCTTTAGTAATTCCTGTCAGGCAGGTCTAGTGGTGGTGAATTTCTTATTTCTGAAGGATAGCTTAGCTGGGTAAAATATTCCTGTTTTTGTTTGTTTGTTTGTTTTTGTTTTGTTTTGTTTTCCCTTCAGCACTTTAAATATATCATCTCATTCTTTCCTGGCCTGCAGCGTTTCTACTGAGAAATCTGTGAAGTGTTGTATTGGGACTCCCTTGTATGTGTTTCCTATCTGTTGCTGCTTTTAGAATTTTTTCTTTGTCTTTTATTTTTGATAGTTTGATTATTATGTGTCTTGGTGAACCTTTTTATGGGTTTAATTTGTTAGTTTATTTGGGTGATGCCATGAATTTCTGATTATTTTTAATTCTTGTGCCCTTATGTTGGTGTCTGCACATTTGAAGAGACAACCACCTCTTCCAGATTTTACAAGAATTCTTTGACAGGGATAGACTTTTCCTTATTTAGTCTAACCTGTGATTTTGAATGGACCAGCTGGTAATAATCTTGTGCAGACAGAGCTTGTTTTTGAGTTCTCTAGGTAGCTGCTTGGATTTTGGGTGTGGCTGCTGGTTGGGCTAATCTGTCAGGAGAGACCACTGGCTGAGACATGCAATCAGACAGATCTGCTGGATGTACATTGCAATGATCTCAGATCAGCCTGGGCCACAAGGTGTATTCTCTGGCCAAGTGGTACTGTTGTTTGAGATCTGCAGCTGGATGGGGTTTCAGGCTTGGCTCTGAGGTTAGGCAGAGTAGCTGCTCAAATGGAGCATGCTTGAGTGTGGCAGAACTAGCCACTGCACTTTGCTGAAGTGTTCTGTTTGGTTGTCTCCATCCCTGGACAGGGTCTTGGGCAAGCTTTGAGGCTGTGCTAAATGCTGTATAAACTGGATCCCACTCTTTTCCAAATTGTGCTGGGACAAGCATCTCTCTCCCTGGGTTGAGGGCCTTGTGGTAGGGTCTGAGACTAAGCCTGGAGGCTCGCCATCTAGGGATTCAAGCTAGGTAGGACTTTCCATCACTTCTGGGAGTGACCAGCTCAGCTTTGTGGGTAGGTGATGCTGTTGGCTTGTATCTCTGATCAGGTACCACCACTGGAAGGTACACAGAGCTATCAGCAAGGTTTGTTCAGTGTTCATGCTGTTACCCGCTGTACTCCTTGTGAGGTGAGACCACAGCGGGCTTCCTGGGAAGCGTCTCAGAATTCTAGGGAAGCTGGATGTCCAACTCCAGTTCTCTTTTCCCACTGTTGAAACTGAGCCTTGGGGAATCCTCTCTGTGTGGTACTTTGCTGACTCATGGAATGGGCAGGGGTGATGGGGTGATGCAATCAGTGAGGCCATTTTACTTAACCCCTTTTGTGGTCTTTATTTAGTTCTGTTGTCCACACTGTTTTCTCAAGCTTATTCTCAAGTACTGGAGTTTTCACAAAGGCATCCTTGTCTGTGGATAATTGTTAGTTGAACTTTCTATGGGGGGTAGTGAAGCCTGTGACCTCTTATTCTGCTATCTTGCTGATGTCACCAGCTAAATCTTTATTAATTAATCAATGAATAAAATATATACAGAGTGAGACAAAGGGAAAAAATTAAGCAGAAAGTATGTAGTGAGGGGAGAAGCAAAGAGGGAAGAGTTGAGTTGCCCACATGGAAGACTTATAGAACTGCTATTAGTTTATCGCACCTACTTTGAAATGAGTACGTTTGTTGTTGTATTTTGAAGTAGTAATGAATAATGTGTCAGCCACTCGTGGGGTCCAAATGTTTGGCTGCTTTATCCTCTTCTTCCTTCTCACCTATTCTTAAAATAATAATCTATAAATTGAGGTGATCCAGACATACCTCTGTCCTGAAAACCTGATGAAGCCTCACTATCGTCCAAAAAAAAAAAAAATTGCAAAACTTGGACCACCCTAAGTATTTAATTTAATATTCCCCATTTGTCTAGTATACAGATATGATAGCACAACTAGGGATACGATGGTTGTATAAAATATTTTGCCTCCCATGAAAAGCTTATATTTAAAGAGACAGCCCATCTATCCAAAAACATTAGTCAACTATTACTAGATAGTATTTGGTTAAGTGAAAGTTGAGTGAAAAAAAAAACAACAAAAAATAGAATTTAGACCCAGACTGAAGTGAGCTCAGTGTGAGCTGAAGACTTCAAATAAAGCTTCAAAGAAGAAGTGATGTTAACAGAAACTCTGAAATTATTGTATTATTTGTATTGATTTGATATTTTTCCTTGGATTTTATTCTAAGAAAAAGCTAGCCTGTGCCAAATTGCAGAGTGCCTCACAAAGTCTGAATGTATGTACCTGCCAAATCTCATGTTGAATCATGATCCCCAGTGTTGGAGGTAGGGCCTGGAGGGAGGTGTTTGGATTGTGGGGGTGGATCCCTCATGAATGGCTTAGGCTATCCCCTTGGTGATAAGCGAGCTCTTGCTCTGAGTTCCCATGAGATCTGATCATTTAAAAGTGTGTGACATCTCCTCCCCCAGCTGACTCTCTCTCTTTTCCTCCTGCTTGTGCCATGTGGAGTGCCTGTTCCCACTTTACCTTCTGCCATAATTGTGCTTCCTGAGGCCTCCCCAGAAGCTGAGCAGATGCTAGCACCATGCTTCCTGTAAAGCCTATAGAACCAATTAAACCTCTTTTCTTTATAAATTACCCAGTCTCAGGTATTTCTTTATAGCAATGCAAGAAAAGCCTAATACAGCACCCTTTAAAAAGGTAGTAAAAAATCTGGTCTTCAAAAGTAGATTAGCTGGCTTTCAGTTCCAACATGCAAAAGCTTAGAAGTCATCAGTTCCATTCTATCAACAACAGCAACAACAAAGAAGATAAATAAACAAAATTAGCAGCTTTTCATGAATACCTCAGAAAACTGAGATTGCAGGGCAAATTGCCACCCCTAAATCTGGAAAAACAGGTGAATCCAGAGAACCACATGAAGACAGCTTACTGCTGGGGAAGCCCTGGAGCCATAAACTGGAACACTTAAACAACAATTTTGACAAATTTCAGAAGGCTAATGTGAGAATTATCCTGAGAATGAGAAACTCCTAGGTGCTGCAATCTTAGGGGCACCCACATACTTTTGTGAGTTTTATCTCCAGACACCACACAGTGTTCTTATGGTGAAGAGCGGTCAGAAAAAATTCATGGCTCAGGTAGAAGGAGGGAAAGAATAACTTGTAGAATACAACCTGACTGTTCTTCATAGCAAAGACTTACTCTCCAGGGGTAAAGATTTATCAGAGCCTTATCCCACCTAGGGGAAAATAATTTCTCTCACTCTAGCCCTCTCTAGCATTCCTATTTCACCTGAGTGAGGAGAGAGGACAAGACACCCTTGTGAAGGTCACATTCCAGGAACACAGGCCCACTAAAAGAGTGAGACTTAATAATAAGATTACAGAATGCTCCTCACTCCCACACCTTACTGTCAGATCAAAAGGACTCTGGTATAAGGGTGGGTCACAGTTAAAAGAGCTGCAAGATTTAAACTCTCTCTGAAGAGGAGTACTTAGGGAATCTCAAAGTTAACAGAGTAGAATAAACAAGGATACTAGAGGAATTTAGTCTCTGGCCTCTATCGATATAGCAAACATTAAATATAGCCCAAATCTTAGCCAGATTAACATAAAACTTCACATTAAATTCATGTTTACTTCAGTTTCTATTGCCCAATATATCATGTGCAGCTTTCAACAAATATTGCAAAATGTGCCAGAAGACAAGGAAAAATGCAGTTTGAAGAGACAAAGCAAGAATCAGAAAGAAAGTCAGATATAACATAGATTTTGGAATTATCAGATAACATAATTATCTGATAATTACCTAACATAATTAATATGTTAAGAGTTATAATGACAAAAGTAGACAACTTGCCAAACAGATGGGTAATATAAAAGCAGAGATTAAAACTCTAAGAACAATAATAGGCGATCCTAGAAATCAAAAACATTGTAACAGAGATTAAAAAAATGTCTTTGATGGTCTCATCAGTAGACTGGACATGAGTAAGAAAAGAATCAGTGAACCTAAAGATAGACCAACTTCTCATACTGAAGTACAAAGAGAAAAAAAATGAAGAAAACAAAAAACAAAACAGAACATTCAAGAACTGTGGAACGATTTCAAAAGGTATAACATATGTGTAATTGGGATATTTGAAGGAGAAGAAAGAGACAGAAATATTTGAAGTAATAATAGAGAGAATTTTTCAAAGTTAACGACAAACCTCAAACTACAGATTCAGTAAGCTCAGATAACTACAAGCTGAAGAAATACCAAAAAATATACGAGAGGTGTGCATATCATTCAGATTGCAGAAAACCAAAGACAAAGAAAAAAATCTTAGAAAAAGCCAGGAGGAAAAATCGTATCATCTGACCTATAAAAGAACATGATAAGAATTATAGCAGACTTCTTGTCAGAAACCATGCAAGCAAGAAAAGAGTGAAGACAAATATTTAAAACTTGGAAAGAAAAAAAGCCACCCAACTAGAATAATGCATTCATCAAAAATACACTTCAAAGATGAAAGATCTTTTTCAACAAAATCACAAAGAATTTATTGCCAAGAAATTGGCCCCAAAATAATTTTAAAAGCAGTTCTCTAGGCATAAGGGCAAATTATGTTTCAGGAACCGGGATCTACCTAAAAAGAGGAAGAACAGGAGGGTGGCCAAGATGGCTGACTAGAAGCAGTTAGTGTGCACGGCTTGCCCAGAGAGGAACAGAAGGGGAGAGTAAACACAACGCCTTCAACTGAAACACACAGGTACTTGCACTGGGAGTAATCAAGGAAACAACTTAACCCACGAAGAATGAAGAAAAGCAAGACAGGACAACGACCCACCAGGGAGCAGCACAGAGCCAGGGAAACTTCCCCACTCAGGGAAGTGGTGAATGTGCGACCCCAGGAAACCATGCTTCTCTCACGGATCTTTGCAACCTTCCTTGTGAGCCCATCCCAGCAGGGCCTTCAATCTGACAGACAGAGCTATATGGAGTTTAGGCAGAGCAGCCGCTGAGGCATGTGTGGAGACCCTGGTGCCTTAAATAGTCCGGCTTTCCGGCAAAAGTAGCTGCAGCTCCAGCAAAGTGAAAGATTAGACCCCCATACATACCCCTAGGAAAGAGGCTGAATCCAGAGGCTGAGCAGTGACAGCCTGCAGGCCCCACTTCCACAGCACCTCCCAAGATAAGACCCACTGGCTTGGAATTCCAGCCAGCCACTGGTAGCCGCATTGCACCTCTCTAAGAAGGAGCTGAGTTGTAGGGGAGGCTGCCATCTTCGCTGTTCCAGGGCCTTAGCCATTCTATCCTTCAGACTTTGAAGAGTCCAAGCCGACTGGGGGCAGAAGGGATCCCCAAGCACAGCACAACACAGCTGCTCTAACAAAACGTGGCCAGACTGCTGCTTTAAGTGCGTCTCCAATCCCATGCCTCTTCACTGGACAGGATCTCCCAACTGGGGTCTCCAGCCACTCCCACTCATGTTCGCCCCTCAACAGAGATTTTATTTTTTTATTTAATTTATTAATTTATTTATTTTTGAGACGGAGTCTTGCTCTATCGCCCAGGCTGGAGAGCAATGGCGTGATCTCGGCTCACTGCAACCTCCCCCTCCCGGGTTCAAGCCATTTACCTGCCTCAGCCTCCCAGGTAGCTGGGACTACAGGTATGTACCACCATGCCTGGCCAATTTTTTTTTGTATTTTTAGCGGAGATGGGGTTTCACCATGCTTGCCAGACTGGTCTCGAACTCCCGACTTCAAGTGATCTGCCTGCCTCGGACTCCCACAGTGCTGGGATTACAGACGTGAGCCACCGCACTCTGCCTCAACAGATATTTTATTCCCCCTGGGGTGGCGCTCCCAGAGGGAGGGACAGGCTGCCATCTTTGCTGTTTGGGCAACTTAGCCAATTCAGCCTTCAGGCTTTGGAGGTCTGAGCTGACCGGGGCAGAAGGGATCCTCCAGCATAGCGCAGCTGCTCTACCGAAACATGGCCAGACTGCTTTTTTAAGTGGGTCCCTAATCCCATTCCTCCTCACTGGGCAGGACCTCCCAACCAGGGCCTCCAGCCACCCCCACTGGTGTTGTCTGGCAGACAGAGATTTGTAATCTCCCTGGGACAGAGCTCCCAGAGGGACGGGTAGGCCACCATCTTTGCTGTTTGGACAACTTAGCCATTCCAGACTTCAGACTTTGGAGTTTTTAAGGTGACCAGGGGTTGAAGCAGATCCCCAGCACTGCACAGCTGCTCTACCAAAACATGGCCAGACAGTATTTTTAAGTGGGCCCCCAATCCAGTTCCTCCTCAGTGGGCAGGACCTCCCAACTGGGGTCTCCAGCCACCTCCTACAGGTGCCTTTGGGCCTGCAACCTCCCTGGGACAAAGCTCCCAGAGGGAGGGACAGGCTGCCATCTTTGCTGTTTTGTAGCCTTCACTGGTGATACTTCCAGGTAGTGGAAAATCCAAGTTGACTAGGGACTGGAATGGGCCCCAAGCATACCATGGCACCCCTGCAGAAAAGTGGCCAGACTGTTATGTGGATGCCCATTCCCATATGTCCTCACCAGGCAGGTCCACCACGCCCAGGCCTCCAGCCACCCCCCGCCAGAGCTATCGAGCCAATAACAACTTGGCAATGCTCTGGACAGAACCTCCAGGAGCAACTGAAAGCCTCTGCTACTACGTCTGCAATGGAACTGCCCTTGCCATCCTTAGACAAAGGAGCAAAGACCCTAAGTGCCTTATCCATATCTCCAACAAGCTGTGGTCAACCCAAGGAGAGAAGGCCAGTCCATCTCCCATAGGTTCCCCACACCCCTGACTGGTTGTTGTAAGTCAGGGAACCCCTGGCACACATTTCCCTCTATAACCCTCCACCTTGGGCTGATTGCACTGAGCTGTTGCTGACCTGCATCTCTCTGGGGTGGAGCCCCCAGGAGACAAGCAAATGACACTTTACAGATAGCAATGAAGAGCATTGAGATTCAGGAGATGGCAAAACCCAGTCTAAGGAAAATAAGAATCACAATAAAGCAATACAGGAGCTGAAGGATGAATAGCTGGTGTTAAAAAGAACATAACAGGTCTGACAGAGCTCCATAACACAATACAATGATTTCACAATGCAAACACACGTATTAACAGCAGAATAAACCAAGTAGAGGAAAGAACATCACTACTTGAAGACTAGTTCTCTGAAATAGACAGACAGTTCTTAAAAGTACAGTTCTTATAAGTAAGAACATGTAGCAGTTGGCTTTCTGTTAAGAAACCAAAATTTGGTTAAGAATCAAATACTGCATGTTCTTACTTATAAGTGATAGCTAAATGATGAGGACACATGAACACATAGAGGGGAACAAGGCACACTGGGGCCTACTGGAAGGCAGAGTGTGGGAGAAGGGAAAGGATGAGGAAAATCAGGAAAAATAAATAATGGGTACTAGGCTTAATACCTGGATGATGAAATAATCTGTCCAACAAAGCCCCATGACATACATTTAACTGTGTAACAAACCTGCACATCCTGCATATGTACCACTGAACTTAAAATAAAAGTTAAAAAAAAAAGAATAAAAAATAATGAACAAAAGCTCTGAGAAGTATGGGAGTATGTAAAGAGGACCATACTATGAATCATTGGCATCCCTGAAAGGGACGGGGAGAAAGCGAACAACTTGGAAAACATATTTCAGGATATCATTCATGAAGACTTCCCCAACCTTGCTAGAGAGGCCAACAGTCAAATTCAGGAAATACAGAGGACTTCTCCAAGATTCTACACAAGAAGATCATCCCCAAGACACGTAATGATCAGAAATAAAAGAATGTTAAAGGCAGCTAGAGAGAAAGGGCAGGTCACCTACAAAGGGAGCCCCATCAGGCTAACAGCAGACCTCTCACCTGAAACAAGCCAGAAGAGATTGGGAACTTTATATTCAATATTCTTATAGAAAAAAATATCTTTAACCAAGAATTTCATATTAAGCTTCCTAAGTGAAGGAGAAATAAGATGTTTTTCAGGTAAGCAAAATTGAGGGAATTCATTCTCACCAGATCTGCTTTACAAGAGATCTTGAAAGGAGCACAAAATATAGAAAGAAAAAACCACTACCAGCTAATACAAAATACACTTAAACACACAGTCTGGTGTTAACATAAAGCAACCACACAAACAAGCCAAAATAATAATCAGCTAACAGCACAATGACAGGATCAAATCCACACATATTAATACTAACCTTGAATGTAAACAGGCTAAATGTTCCACTTAAAAGGCAGAGTGAGGCTGGGTGTGGTAGCTCATGCCTGTAATTCCAGCATTTGGGAGGTTGAGGAAGGTGGATCACTTGAGGCCAGAAATTCAAGACCAGCCTTGCCAACATGGTGAAACCCCATCTCTACTAAAAGTAGAAAAAAATTAGCTGAGTGTGGAGGTGCATGCCTGAAATCCCAGCTACTAGGGAGATTGAGGCATGAGAATCACTTGAACCCAGGAGGCAGAGGTTGCAGTAAGCTGAGATCATGCCACTGCACTGCAGCCTGGGTGACAGAGTGAGACTCTGTCAAAAGAAAGAAAGAAAAGAAAAAGGCATAGAGTGACAAGCTGAATAAAAAAGCAAGACCTAATGCCAATGGTATGCTGTCTTCAGGAGATCCATCTCACACATAATGATACTTATAGGCTCAAAATAAAGGGATGGAGGAAAACTTACCAAGCAAAATGGAAAACAGGAAAAAAAAGCAGAGATTGCAATAATAATTTCAGACAAAACAAATTTTAAACCAAAAAACATAAAAGACGACAAAGAAGGGCATTACAAAATGGTTCAACTCAACAGGAGGACCTATCCTAAATATATGTGCACCCAACACAGGAGCACCCAGATTCATAAAGCAAGTTTTTAGAGACCTACAAGGAGACATAGATATCTCCTAATAATAGTGGAAGACCTCAACACTCCACTGACAGTATTAGACAGATCACTGAGGCAGAAAATTAACAAAGATATTCAAGACCTAAACTCATTAGTGGACCAGATGAATCTGATTGACCTTTACAGAACTCTCCACCCAAAACAAGAAATATATATTCTTCTCATCACCACATAACACATGCTCTAAAATCAGAGCAGAACTGAAGGAAATAGAGACACCAAAAACCCTTCAAAAAATTAAGTAAGCCACATTTTGTTTTGGTTTCTCAGTGCATATAAAAGTTATGTTTACATTATACTGTATTCTATTAGGTGTGCATTATGTCTAGGAAATGTGTATAGCTTAATTAAAATATGCATTATTACTAAAAATGCTAGCAATAATCTAAGCCTTCAGTGGATTGTTATCTTTTTGTTAGTGGAGTGCCTTGCTTCAGTGTTGATGGCTGCTGACTGATCAGAGTGGTGGTCCCTGAAGGCTGAGCTGGCTCTGGCAATTTCTTAAAATAAGACAACAATAAAGTTTGTCTCATTGATTGACTACCTTTCATGAAAGATTTCTCTGTAGCATATGATGCTGTTTGATAGCATTTTACCCACAGTAGAATTTCTTTCTAAATCGGAGTCCATCCTCTCAAATCCTGCCACTGCTTTATAACCCAAGTTTATGTACTATTCTAAATCATGTGTTGTCATTTCAACAATGTTCACAGCATCTTCACCAGGAGTAGTTTTCATCTCAAGAAACTACTTTCTTTGATCATGCATAAAAAGCAACTCTTCTTTCATTAAACTTTAGTCATGACACTGCAGCAATTCAGTCACATTTTTAGGCTTCACTTGTAATTCTTGCTGTCTTGCTTTGTCTACCACATCTTCAGTGACTTCCTCCACTGAAGTCTTGAACCTTTCAAAGTCATCTATGATGATTGCAATAAACTTCTTTCAAAATGCTATTAATGCTGGTATTTTGAGATCCTCCTCCTAATCACAAATGTTTTTAATGGCACTTAGAATGGTGAGTCCTTTCCAGAAAATTTTCGATTTACTTTGCCCAGATCTATCAGAGGAATCAGTAGCTATGGCAGCTATAACCTTACAAAATGTTTTTCTTAAATAATAGGACTTGAAAGTAAAAAAGTATTCCTTGATTCATTGGCTGCAGAATGAATATTGTGTTAGCAGGCATGAAAACAACATTAATCTCTTTGAAATGACTCCATCAGAGCTCTTGGGTAAACAGATTCATTGTCAAGGAGCAGTAATATTTTGAAAGGCATCTTATTTTTTTTTCCTGAGCAGTAGGTCTCAACAGTGGGCTTAAAATATTTAGTGAACCATGGTGTAAACAGATGCACTATTGGTCAGGCTTTGTTCCATTTATAGAGCACTGGCAGAGTAGATTTGGCATAATTCCCAAAAGGCTCTAGAATTTTCAGAATGGTAAATGAGCATTGGCTTCAGCTTAAAATCACCAGTTGCATTAGCTTCTAACAAGAGAGCTTGCCTGTTCTTGAAAGCATTGAAGTCGAGCATTAACATCTCATCTCTAGCTATGAAAGTCCTGTATTAAATTTTCTTCCCATGTAAGGTTGTTTGTCTACATTGAACATCTGTTGGTTAGTGTAGCCACCTTCAATTATTCAATTAGGTATTTTCTGGATCACTTGCTGCAGCTTCTACATCAGTACTTGCTGCTTTGTCTTGCACTTTTGTGTTATAGACACACATTGAAAAACAAACAAAAATAAAACCAGAGAGCTCCGCTGGCTTCAGACTTTCTACTGTAGCTTTCTCATCTCTCTTGGCCTTCACAGAATTAAAGTTAGGGTCTTGTCCGGGATTAGGTTTTGGCTTAAGGGAATGCTATGGCTGGTTTGATGTTCTATGTTGACCACTAAAAGTTTCTTCATATCAGCAATAAAGCTGCTTTGCTTTATTTTCATTTGTGTGTGCACTGGAGTAGCACTTTCAATTTCCTTCAAGAACTTTTTCTTTGCATTCACAACATTGCTAACTGTTTGTCACAAGAGACCTAGCTTTTGACCTGTCTTAGCTGTTGACATGCTTTCCTCACTAAGCTTAATTATTTCCAGCTTTTAAGTTAAAGTTAAAGAAGTGCTATTCTTGCTTTAACTTGAACTCTTAGAGGCCATTGTGGGGTTAATTGGCTAATTTCAATATTGTTGTGTCTCAGGAAATAAGTAGGCTGGGGGAGAAGGAGAGAGATGGGGGAAATACACACAACATTCATTGATTAAGTTTGCTGTCTTACCTGGATACAGTTCATGGTGCCCCAAAACAATTACAATAGTAACATCAAAAATCATTGATCACAGACCACCATAACAGATGTAACAATAATGAAAACATCTGAAATACTATGAGAATTACCAAAACATGAAACAGAGACATGAAGTGAGCACACACTGTTGGGAAAATGGTGCCAAAAACTTGCTTTATGAATTGCCACAAACCTTCAATTTGTAAAAAGCACAATATCTGCAAAGTGAATCACAATAAAATAAGGAATGCCTGTAATAAACAGAACCCTTTTCTAAAGGTAATAAACCCAAGATAACAATTTGATAAGCATACTATCTATATTTTATACTAGCACTTAACAACTAATTCTTGTCAATATAAAAAATGTAAAGGAACTCCCAGTAAAATAAAACAGTTACCTGATACAATGGAAGCCAATTCATCTTAACTGCAAAGCTGAATGAGAAAATGTGTGTTTAATCAGTAATTTCTATGAATTTTGATCTTACTGATAAGAAGCCTTTCATGACTCGGTTGCTACTCTACACCAACCTCATTTTGGATGATCTCTGATCCTTACTAAATACTTTCCCCTCCCATCCCTGAAGTTAATAAACTCATTTGAAACAAAAACTTTTAGTAGGAGTTTTGGATATTTGAGAGACATAGTTATCTTCAAAGTCTGGTATGCTTCTCTGTCAATGGAAGTTGGTGGCAACAGGTTTCTCTGCTTAGGACTTAATTGAGATGAAGAATCAGGAAGACCCTGAAGAATTAGCATTCTGTCTGGATAGGGGAAAAATCATATTCAAGGTAATCAAAGAATTTTTGGGGGGAAGAAAAAAAGGCAATACTTCGGAATGCCAAAAAAAGAGTGTATTATATATAGTCAGTAAGCCATGGCTATGATCAAAAACACTTACTGATGGCAGAAATAATAGACCACCTACTGAAAGCAAAATAAAACAAAAATGGATGTCCTGTAAGAAAGATAAATGGAAGGGCTCAGTCCTAAAAGGCTGGCCAGCATTTGAGAGATAGTGGTTTGAACATTTTGCGTGTAAAGAATTTAAAACATAAACTTCTCAGAGTCACTTTGTATTAATGGAAGAGCTGTCACTTGAACCAAAGTCTCCCAGCTTTTAGCATGGTACTCCTTCTACTGATAATTCTGCTTTTCCATGCTGTGGCTACTCTACATCTTTCCAAAGAGGAAGACCATTTCCTCTCCCCAATGCTCATTGATATCCCCTCTAGTACCCCAGGGAAGGTAATCTCAACATTTACTAAACTATATGCTGGTTGTTAAATGTATGCTTATTCTTTCACATACATAGTCATCACAGATGTCAGTTGAAATCAACCTGTCCTTTGACATACACATATAATTCCTTAAAATTGGTTCAAATCTACTAATCTATGTCTGATGGGAAGTAAAAAATCCTCTTATAATTTTCAAAAATTCACTAGAAGTTTTATTTATTTTTATTTTTATTTTTTAAATTATTATTATACTTTAAGTTTTAGGATACATGTGCACAATGTGCAGTTTAGTTACATACGTATACATGTGCCATGCTGGTGTGCTGCACCCATTAACTCATCATTTAGCATTAGGTATATCACCTAATGCTATCCCTCCCCCCTCCCCCCACCCCACAACAGTCCCCAGAGTGTGATGTTCCCCTTCCTGTGTCCATGTGTTCTCATTGTTCAATTCCCATCTATGAGTGAGAACATGTGGTGTTTGGTTTTTTGTCCTTACGATAGTTTACTGAGAATGATGATTTCCAATTTCATCCATGTGCCTACAAAGGACATGAACTCATCATTTTTCATGGCTGCATAGTATTCCATGGTGTATATGTGCCACATTTTCTTAATCCAGTCTATCATTGTTGGACATTTGGGTTGGTTCCAAGTCTTTGCTATTGTGAATAGTGCCACAATAAACATACGTGTGCATGTGTCTTTTGTGTGCTTCCTTCTAGTTCTGATTTCTTGATTTCACTTCACCTCCCTTCACCTTACTTCCTGCGGCTATTGTCTTTTTTTAATCCCACTCCAACACAGAAGAGGAACTCAGCCTATTTTCCTCATTTGCCACAAAGCAGCAGTCCAGCAGATACTTGTTTTTTTTTTGTTGTTGTTTTGTTTTGTTTTGTTTTTGAGATGGAGTCTCTGTCTCCCAGGCTGGAGTGCAGTGGCACGATCTTAGCTCACTGCAAGCTCCACCTCCCGGGTTCACGCCATTCTCCTGCCTCAGCCTCCCGAGTAGCTGGGACTACAGGCACCACCATGCCCGGCTAATTTTTTGTATTTTTAGTAGAGACAGGGTTTCACCGTGTTAGCCAGGATGGTCTCGATCTTCTGACCTCGTGATCCGCCCGCCTCGGCCTCCCAAAGTGCTGGGATTACAGGCATGAGCCACTGCGCCCGGCCAGATACTTGTTTTTAATAGCAGAATTTGTAGGAGGAAAGGATAAAGAAAGGTTACATTACAGCACCACACTGCAAACTGTTTCTATATTAATATCCGATAATTCTTAAAATTCTTTAACCATCACCACTCATTACAATCTCTCATTGTACCACATTTCTCCATAGGTTGTCATCTATGTCATGTTACTCAACCTCTTCCTGCAGCTCTTCCTCTCTTATTTTCTCTACTTCCAGAGGACCACCAAAATCCAGGTTAATTTTTATGCAGAGAAACTTAAAATATCTTTGCATATTTATTACTCTATAAACAAGGACCTGGGGTGTGCAGGAGGGAGAGGAAGGGGGAGCTCAACATTACAACACTGTGGCCTAAATAGGCATTTTGTTATGGAAAAGACAATTTGCTCCAAAGAGGAGGGACAAGTGGTTGAAGAAAGAAATTTATTTAAATGGCATTGTTTTTGTGATTTTTTTAAAAATATATCACATCATAAAATTCTGAGACAAGATCCTAAGATAAAATCCTAAAACCAGGATTTTTTTCTCATCAAGTAAAATAGGTAGACCAGAATTTGACTTCAGTTCTCTGTACAGGTACCTACAAAGGGTGGATTCAGATTTTGAATACATGAATATTTAGTTAGAATGAGAAAAGATGATTTTGTATAAGCGGTCTGTGCCAATGAGAGAGAAGTTTTATTAGCTTCTCATTACATCCACCTCTGAGCCTAACCAGAACCTTAAGTCTATAAGTTCATGTAAGGCTCAGCAGATGCGTACATTTAACTACAATAAAAATAAGTCATCTTCTCAACTGATCTAACCCAGGGCACCCAGGTGCCCTATTGTACTTACAGAAAGCTATTCTGTATACAACTTTGACACTGATTAATTTTTAAAAAGTAAATTAAAAATTGGCTCAGTTGGAATAGAACTTAACATTAGTACAACCCCCCTCCCCGTGCTGGCCTTGCTTTTAAAGGCCTTGTTTAGTGAACAATCTTCTTAATTAACTGATTTTCAACAAAGGTCCCAAAACAATGGAGAAAAGACAGTGCTTTCAATAAATGGGACAGGAAATACCGGAGATACATGAAAAGTAATGAAGTTCGACATCATATACAGAATTAGAATAGATGGAAGACCCAAGTGTAAGAGCTAAAACTATACAATTCTTAGAAAAAGATGAAGTAAATCTTCATAACATTGGATTAGGCAATGATTTCATAGACATGCGCTAAAAGTACAGGCAACAGAAAAGAAAACAGATAAATTGGAATTCATCAAGATTAAATACTTTTGTGCATCAAAGGACACTAACAAGAGAGTGGAAAGACAACCTACAGAAAGGGGGGAAATATTTGCATATCATACATCTCAATATCTGATAAGAGATTAATATCCAGAATATGTAAAGAACTCCTACAACTTTTTTAAAAAGCAAAAAAAATTCCAGCAGTTAATATGTGAGCAAATAACTCAAATATGTATTTCTTTAATGAAAATATACAAATAGCCAATACAAGCACATGACATGATGTGCAGCATCACCAGCCATCAGGCAAATACAAATCAAAACCACAATAAGATACCACTTCTTTGGCATTAGGATCATTATTATATTAATAGCAACAGAAACAATAGAAAATAGTAAGTGTTGGGGAGGAAGTGGAGAAATTAGAACCCTTGTGTGTAACTGATGGGAATGTAAAATGATACAGCAACTGTGAAAAACAGTCTGGTGGTTCTTCAAACAGTTAAAAATAGAATTACCATATAATTCAGCAATGCTACTCCTGGGTATATACCCAACAGAATTGAGAACAGAGAATCAAACAGACACTTGTACACCAATGTTCATAGCATACTCACAGAAGCCAAAAGGTAAAAACAACCCAAATGTCCATCAAAAGATGAACGAATAAATAAAATCTGCTACATACACAATGGAATATTATTCTACCTTAAAAAGAAATGAAATTCTGGTACATGCTGCAACATGGATGAACTCTAAAAACATTATGCTATGTGAAGTAAGCCAGACACAAAAAGACAAATATTTTATGATTCATTTAAATGAAATGTTCAGAGTAGGCAAATCCATAGAGACAGAAAGCAGGTTAGTGCTTGCCCAGGACTGGCAGTCAAGAAGAAATGGAGAGTTATTATTTAGTAGGTACACATTTTCTGTTTGAGATTATGAAAATGTTATGGAAATAGTGATGGTTATACAACACTATGAAGGTACTTAACATCACTGATGTACACTTAGAAATTGTTAAAATGATACATTTTATATTATGTATATTTTATCACAATAAAAATTAAGTATCTGGGAAGGTTTTTTTTATTTTTCCTGCCACTTTTCTGTAAATCCAAAATTATGTCAAAAGAAAAGGTCATAAGAATAAAAGAAAGCCTAATAGTTTAGGATGATGTCATCACAATAGGTGGTGCATATCTCCTTTGACAAGAGCACATAATTCTACAGGGCTAATCCCAAATCTCTCCATTAAAGGACTATCTCTACCAAACTTGCCCCCAAATGAATGCTGCTTCCACTTCAGGGTGATCTTTGTTTTCTGTTCAATTGAGTATCCCTTTCTCTCCTGGGGCTTCTCTTCTACCTAGGAGTTCTACAGTTCCTCCAGCGGGTGCACATGGATTGAAACAAGAGTCTTAGGATGGCTTAACAATGCCCTCTCCATAGCCAATAGACAGACTGTAGGCTTCAGTTTTACATGGATATAGAAAGACCTTATTGTCTTGGTCCAAGTGCTGTAGAACAAGGGGTTTTAACCATAGGTCAGGTTGATATGTAAGATTTCTCTAGAACCAGGAGAAATACTATAAAATTCATATTAATCATATGTTAACATCTGACTATCTCCGCATAGGGCTTATTACATATAGGGCTTGCAAATATGGGTTATTTACATATGATATTGCAATGAAAGATCTTATATGGTGAATTCTTTTTCCTAACTTACTTTTTTGGTTCTGTCAACTCTATTCCAGGGACATAAGAAAGGTTAGTTTATTGAGTGCAATGAGCAAAGGTTGTGAAACCCTATCTTCTTTTTTTCCTTTCATACCTAGTCCCTGGGCATTTTACCCTTATACTCAAAAAATTCTTCCTGTGGAGTTGGATGTGGCTAATGATAAATGCATTGATTATTTCTGTTGGTCTATGATTTGGTTTTCCTGAGTCTCTATCATTCCTCTTCGGGTAAGAAATAGAAAACTTGAATTAATAGGTGTAAATATTACTTTTTTGTGTCATATCCTCCCCAATCCCTGGTTATCTGTTCATAAGAAAGGGGTCAAATCCCTGTTTGTTCAATGTACTTGAAGCTGTCATCTCAGATGCTGAGGCTCAATCTCATGGACTTACCCCCTTTTAAGGCAGAGGTGGGTGTGTAATCATTTTGCGCTCATCCACTTAATTTTATTTAGTAGGAATAGAAGGAATACAACTTTCTTCCAGCCAATTGTGACTGGAAGTACACATTCATCTATAATTTGCTAAACCAACATGTTCCCTTTCAAATGAAGCATATTTAGTGAGTTTTTTCTCCTTTCCCTAAAATGAGATAATCATAGCAAGAGTTGTTTTTGAGAGAACAGAAAGTTATATTCATTATCCTGCTTTACAAACAAGAAAATTAACACAGGGAGATGAAATGACTGACTCAAGGTCACATAGTGAGTCAGTGGCAGGGCTGGAAATAAAATGCAAGTAATATAGAATAGGCATGCTATTATCCTTTCTGCTTTGAAAAATTTTTCCTCCCCTCACCTCCCTCATTTTTTATTGTACAGATTTAGGGTATACAAAAAGATATTTTGATATACATATACATGGTGAAATGATTACTACATGTACACAACTAAAGATACCCATCACCTTCCATAGTTACCTCTTTCCCGCATGCACGCGCGCATGCATGCATGTGTGTGTATGTGTGTGTAACAGCACCTAAAATCTACTCTCTTAGCAAATTTTAAATATAAAATTTAATATTATTAACTATAATCCTCCTGCTATACATTAAATCCCTAGACTTATTTATCTTACATAACTGAACGTTTGTACTCTTTGACTTACATCTCCTCATTTTCTCCCCCTCCTTTTCCCTAGTAACTAACCACTGCTCTATTCTCTGTTTCTCTGTATTTGACTTAAAAATATTCCATATGTGAGATTGCACAGTATTTTTCTTTCTGCATCTGGCTAATTTCACTTAGCATAATGTCCTCTAGCTTGATTCATGTTGTCACAAATGGCAGTATCTTTTTTTAAGGCTGAGTAATATTCTATTTTGTGTGTGTATGTGTGTGTGTGTATCACAATATCTTTATTTATCCATCGACTATTTTCGTATCTTGGTTATTGTGAATTATGTTGTAATAAACATGAAAGTGCAGGTATCTCTTTGAGGTATTGATTTCATTTCCCCTAATACCCAGAAAGGGACTGCTGCATTATATGGTATTTCAATTTTTATTTTTTTGAGGAACCGCCATACTTTTTTGCATAATGTATGTCCAAATTATAGTTCCACAAATAGTGTACAAGGGTCTTCCTTTCTCCAAATCCTCACCTCCATATCTTTCATTTTTTGGTAGTAGCCATCATAACAGATATGAAGTAACATCTCATTGTGGTTTTGATTCCCATTTCCTCAATGATTAATAATATCAAGCACCTCTTCATATACTTGCAGGCCATTTTTATGTCTTCTTTGGAGAAGTATCTATTCAGATTCTTTGCCCATTTTAAAATTGGATTTTTTTTTTGGCTAGTGAGTAGTGTGAGTTCCTTATATGTTTTGAATATTAGCCCTTATCAGATATATGGTTCACAAATATTTTCCCCCAATCCATAGGCTGCTTTTTGATTTTTTTGATTGTTTCCTTTGCTGTGCAGAAGCTTTTTTAATTTGTTGTAGTCTCACCTGTTTATTTTTGCTTTTGTTGCCTGTGCTTTTAGTGTGATATTCAAAAATATCATTGCCAAAGTCAGTATCAAGGACCTTTCCCCCTATGTTTTCTTCTAGGAGTCTTTTTTTTTTTTTTAATACTTTAACTTTTAGAGTACATGTGCACAACGTGCAGGTTAGTTACATATGTATACATGTGCCATGTTGGTGTGCTGCACCCAGTAACTTGTCATTTAACATTAGGTATATCTCCTAATGCTATCCCTCCCCCCTCCCCCTACCCCACAACAGGCCCCGGTGTGTGATGTTCCCCTTCCTGTGTCCATGTGTTCTCATTGTTCAATTCCCACCTATGAGTGAGAACATTTGGTGTTTGGTTTTTTGTCCTTGCGATAGTTTGCTGAGAATGATGGTTTCCAGCTTCATCCATGTCCCTACAAAGGACATGAACTCATCCTTTTTATGGCTGCATAGTATTCCATGGTGTATATGTGCCACATTTTCTTAATCCAGTCTATCATTGTTGCACATTTGGATTGGTTCCAAGTCTTTGCTATTGTGAATAGTCCGCAATAAACATATGTGTGCATGTGTCTTTATAGCAGCATGATTTATAATCCTTTGGGTATATACCCAGTAATGGGATGGCTGGGTCAAATGGTATTTCTAGTTCTAGATCCCTGAGGAATCGCCACACTGACTTCCACAATGGTTGAACTAGTTTACAGTCCCACCAACAGTGTAAAAGTGTTCCTATTTCTCCACATCCTCTCCAGCACCTGTTGTTTCCTGACTTTTTAATGATTGCCATTCTAACTGGTGTGAGATGGTATCTCATTGTGGTTTTGATTTGCATTTCTCTGATGGCCAGTGATGATGAGCATTTTTTCATGTGTCTTTTAGGAGTTTTATGGTGTCTCATCTTACATTTAGGGCTTTAGTCCATTTTGTGTTGATTTTTGTATATGATGTAAGATAAGGGCCCAGTTTCATTCTTCTGCATATGGAGATCCCGTTTTCCTAAGACCATTTATAGCAAGATTCTGATGAATATTTTCCACATGAAGATGAAATCAGCTCTTCTTTCCTTATCTCCTGAAAGCAGATCATCATGAGTGGTATTTTCAGAACACTCTAATTATTTTTTATGTTACTAATTGTTTCCCTGGAAGAGTTTGTGCACTGGTCAGAGTTCCCATTTGAAGGAAAGCCAGAAATGGTAGCTGTTTTGGGAAACATACCATGTGGGAAAAGAGTAGCTCATTTCTGAGCAGATAGTACAGAAATATTAAAGCTTTTAAAACTACTAATATTTTATAACTTTTAAATATCTAATGTCATAATTAATCTCATTCAACATTTATAAAACTTTATGAGGTAGCTTTCTTTTTTTTAATAAAAAATCCCATTTTACAAATGAAGAAACTGAGGCTCATGGAAGTATATAACTTCTTGACGTTCACACAGTTAGAAAGTGCCTAGCCAAGGCTGTTAGCTCTGCGGCATCATCTCTCCTTCTGGCAAATAGGCCTCGGACCTTTTCTCATTCTCATAAAGTAGGGGTGATGGTGTTCCCTTTGTGCAGGTAAACCAGCTCTCCTTTCTCTGGACCTAGGAATTTCTGGTATTTGAAAAATCATTTCTCCCATTTTCTACCACCCCTCACTCTTCCCACGCTAACTCTCTCTCCCCATAAAGAACCCTTTAGTCTATCTCTACCACTGTTTTTCTAGGTTGGGAGCATATACCTAACTGAACTCAGCAACTACTTGACTGTGCCATTCCTCCCAAGTAAACATGGAGAGCTGGGAGGACTCTTGGGGACTGCAAAAGTCCTAGAAAGGGAGAGACACCTACCACCTGGCTTCACATACTCTTCTTTGAAGGACAAAGTCTTTGTTCCAGCTGATAGGATTCAAGTTTATATATAAATGAATAGAAATGCTTTTTCCTCCTTGAGCACTTGTTTCAGGTGTTGTGACTGCACCACTTCCTGTAACTTCTCATTTCCTGTTTTCCTCTGAGAAAGCCTAACATGTTAGACAAGGAAACAGGCTCTATGTCTTCATGAGGGTACAGCCTCTCTAATACTTACTATCTGTGTTTCCAGATCTTGGGAAAAAGTGAATATGAAGGACTACTATCTTCTCAGAAAACTGACATAATTCCCTACATAAGGCCATTGTGGGCTTCGAAATGGAAGAGATAGATAAGGGCCTCCGTTTCTTGACCTTGCTCCTTTAATATGGAACCTAAAGACATCCAAGTGCATATCAGTTGAGCAAGTCTGTTAGTGGAGATCAGAAGCGCCAGCTCATGACTAAGCCACTTGGAGAGTTTACCACAGCAAGGTGGTTTTGACTGTTATACCACTTTACATGGTTTTTATTCTTATTCATACATTTGTTTCATATATGTCCATAATAGGTCATTGGTTAAGGCTACAGATCATAAAGAATATTCATGTTGAAATATAAGTTAATGAAGAGGGGCACATGTTCTCAGAACCTCCTGAGGGCTGTGTCATGGGCAAAAAGAAATATATTTTAAAGAAAAAAGTTAATAAGGAACATAAAAATGATCACTTAGAAAATCCATGTGATGATTAAAATTAAAATTAAAAATAACAATTATAAACATTTTAAATTTTCAAAAAGTTATAAAACTATATATTAGATACTACGTGTTCACCATGCCATATTTGTCATAATTGTTTCCTACCTCTTTTTTTATAAGTAGTAATATTTATAGATGTAGTCAGAAATTCACCTCCATCCTTTCCCCTTCCTTACTTCCTCCTTTCTCAGAGGTAACTACTATATTGAGTGTATATAGAGTATTCCTTTGCATGTTTATACCTTAGTACATATGTCTATATCTATAAATATTCGATCTTATTTTAAGTTTATGTATGTATTCTATTTCTAAAATTTTTCCATATTGATTGTCAAAAATATCTTAATCTAAAAAATATTTTATAGTACATCAAGATGTTAACACTTAACTAAACCCTAGTAAATTAAGCACTTGAAAACTCAGCATGAATATTATTAAATAAAATTTTGTAGGCTCTAAATGCTAGAAACAAAAATCAAAATCCTCAAAGAAATTTGTGTACATTTCTGAGATAATGCAAAGTAGTTAAATTTCAATCTTCATTTTAATGCATATATTTTTATCCCCAAACTTCACAGATACCTTATTTGAGTCCTTGATTTCCTAGCTTATGGCCCAATTCTAGGTGAAGAGCACCACATTAACTCCCAACAACCAGGAACTCCCTGTATTGAGAACTGGGCAACTTCATCTTCAAGAGCCCAAGAGCTAGATCTCCATTCTGTCATGAGCCAAGATGTCTCCATCTCACAACTATGTTGAACTCCACAACCATCTAAATCAGTTAATGTCCTTAGTCTACTGATGATACCCAAGCCCCTAAACACATGTTGGAAATTGATTCCTCCCGTGGGTCCACAAGTATGCTTATCTTATAGTCCTAACATAGACTGCCATGATTTCCTTACACACATAAGGTAATAAAATGTCCTTCAGGAGAACATAGGGCCTTTCTTTGAAGGGGAAGGGCAGTGGAGTAGGAAATAGAATAATTAAAAGAGAAAGGAAAGATCCAGTAATGAAAACAATAGATCAAAAGGTAAACAAATTAGTTTTTTAACCATATCCTGGTTCAGTTAATATTTACCATCTATAACTTTGTGTTTTGTTGCTAGAACAAAGACCTTGCCTGTAACAACACAGTATAAGAAGCCAAACAGTGAGTGTCTCTCCACTGTGATAACTGCTGCTATCCCCCTCAGTACTCCTGAAAACCCATGGAGAGTGTGATGGAGAGGCATCTTCCGGGTATCCTGCTCCTCACCACTCTCTCGAGAGGTGTGACAGTGAGGTAGGAACTGAGCTAATGAGCTAATTGGGAAGTTTCCTCCACGTCCCAAGAGAACTAGAATATAAGACCTATTGTTGGTTTTGTTGCTGCTGCTGCTACAGTTTCAGAAAGGTATGAATGAAGGTTGGCATATGAGTAACCTATTATTCCAAAACAATCTGCCACAAAATTTAACAGCTTGAAACAACAAATATTTATTAACTCTGGTTTTCTGTGGGTCAAGAAATATAGAGTAGCAGGGCTAATGATTCTGAATGAAGATCTTTCATGAAGTTGAAGTCAATAAATGAGAGCTGTAGTCTCATCTGAATGCTCGACAGGAAAAGAATCTGCTTCCAAGCTCACTTACGTGGTTGCTGTCAGGATTCAGCTCTTTATACGATGTTGGATTGAAGGCCTAATTTTATCACTTACTATTGGCCATAAGTCTCCCTTAGTTCCTGGCCACATGGGTCTTCCCATAGAGCAGCCTGCAACATGGCAGCTAGCTTCTGCAATGATGAGTGATTTGACATAGGGAGAGAAAGTGCCCAGCACAGAAGCCTCAGCCTTTTGATAATCTAATCTTAGAAATCACATACTTCATTCCTGCTGTATTCTATTCATTAGAAGTGAATCAGCCCAGCATCAGGCCAGTGCCACTCTGGAATGAAGCTTTCAGAGGAAGGAGCAGGCAGCAATCTTTGCTGTTCTGCAGCGTCTACTGGTGATACCCCGGCAAAGAGGTCTGGAGTGGACCTCCAGCAAACTGCAGCAGACAGACCTACAGAAGAGGGGCCTGATGGTTAGAAGAAAAACTAACAAACAAAGCCACAGCATCAACATCAACATTAACATCAAGGACCCCCACACAAAAACCCCATCCAAAAATCATCATCCTCAAAGATCAAAGGTAGATAAATCCATGAAGATGAGGAAAAACCAAGGCAAAAACACTGAAAATTCCAAAAACCAGAATGCCTCTACTCCTCCAAATGATCGCAAATCCTCTCCAGGAAGGGCACAAAACTGGATGGAGAATGAGATTGACGAATTGACAGAAGTAGGCTTCGGAAGGCGGGTAATAACAAACTCCTCTGAGCTGAAGGAGCATGTTCTAACCCAATGCAAGAAAGCCAAGAACCTTGATAAAAGATTACAGGAACTGTTAACTAGAATAACCAGTTTAGAGAGGAAAATAAATGACCTGATGGAGCTGAAAAACACAGCACGAGATCTTTGTAAAGCATACACAAGTATCAATAGCTGAATTGATCAAGTAGAAGAAAGGATATCAGAGACTGAAGATCAACTTACTAAAATAAGGTGTGAAGCCAAGATTAGAGAAAAAAAGAATGAAAAGGAATAAACAAAGCCTCCAAAAAATATGGAACTATGTGAAAAGACCAAACCTATAATTGATTGGTGTACCTGAAAGTAACGGGGAGAATGGAACCCAGTCAGAAAACACACTTCAGGATATTATCCAGGGGAACTTCCCCAATCTAGCAAGATGGGCCAACGTTCAAATTCAGGAAATACAGAGAACACTACCAAGATACTCCTCAAGAAGAGCAACCCCAAGACACATAATTGTCAGATTCTCCAAGGTTGAAAGAAAGGAAAAAATATTAAGGGCAGCCAGAGAGAAAGGTAAGGTGACCTACAAAGGGAAGCCCATCAGACTAACAGCAGATCTCTCTACAGAAACCCTACAAGCCAGAAGAGAGTGGGGATCAATATTCAACATTCTTAAAGAAAAGAATTTTCAACCCAGAATTTTATAGCCAGCCAAAAGCTTCGTAAGTGAAGGAGAAATAAAATCCTTTCAAGACAAACAAATGCTGAGGGATTTTGTCACCACCAGGCTTGCATTACAAGAGCTCCTGAAGGAAGCACTAAATATGGAAAGGAAAAACTGTACCAGCCACTGCAAAAACACCAAAATATAAAGACCGATGATACTGTGAAGAAACTACGTCAATTAATGTTCAAAATAACCCGCTAGCATGATGATGACAGGATCAAATTCACACATAACAATATTAACCTTAAATGTAAATGGGCTAAATACCCCAATTAAAAGACACAGATTGGCAAATTGGATAAAAAGTCAAGACCCATTGGTCAGGAGACTGATCTCACCTGCAAAGACAAACATAGGCTCAAAATAAAGGGATGGAGGAATATTTACCAAGCGAATGGAAAGGAAAAAAAAAGCAGAGGTTGCAACGCTAGTTTCTGATAAAACAAACTTTAAACCAACAAAGATCAAAAGAGACAAAGAAGGGCATTGCATACTCGTAAAGGGATCAATGCAACAAGAAGAGCTGACTATCCTAAATATATATGCACCCAATACAGGAGCACCCAGATTCATAAAGCAAGTTCTTAGAGACCTACAAAGAGATTTAGACTCTCACACAATAATAGTGGGAGACTTTAACACCCCACTGTCAATATTAGATCAACGAGACAGAAAATTAACAAGGGTATTCAGGACTTGAACTCAGCTCTGGACCAAGTGGACCTAATAGACATCTACAGATCTCTCCACCCCAAATCAACAGAATATACATTCTTCTCAGCATCACATTGCATATATTCTAAAATTGACCACATAATTGGAAGTAACACACGCCTCAGCAAATACAAAAGAACAGAAATCATAACAAACAGTCTCTCAGACCACAGTGCAATCAAATTAGAACTCAGGATTAAAAAACGCTCTCACAATGGCGCAACTACATGGAAAATGAACTACCTGCTCCCGAGTGACTATTGGGCACATAACGAAATTAAGACACAAATAAAGAAGTTCTTTGAAATCAACGAGAATAAAGAGACAATGTATTAGAATCTCTGGGACACAGCTAAAGCAGTGGGAAATTTATAGCACTAAATACCCACAACAGAAAGCTGGAAAGATCTAAAATCAACACCCTAACATCACAGTGAAAAGAACTAGAGAAGCAAGAGATAACAAATTCAAAAGCTAGCATAAGACAGGAAATAACTAAGATCAGAGCAGAAGTGAAGGAGATAGAGACACGAAAAGTCCTTCAAAAAATCAATGAATCCAGTAGCTGGTTCTTTGAAAAAATGAACAAAATAGATAGACTGCTAGCTAGACTAAAAAAGAAGAGAGAAGAATCAAACAGACAAAATAAAAAATGATAAAGGGGATATCACCACTGATTCCACAGAAATACAAAATACCATCAGAGAATACTATAAACACCTCTAAGCAAATAAACTGGAAAACCTAGAAGAAATGCATAAATTCCTGGACACATACACCCTCCCAAGACTAAATCAGGAAGAAGTCGAATCCCTGAATAGAACAATAACAAGTTCTGAAATTGAGGCAGTAATTAATAGTCTACCAACCAAAAAAAGCCCAGGACCAGATGGATTTGCAGCCAAATCCTACCAAAGGTACAAATAGGAGCTGGTACAATTTCTTCTGAAACTATTCCAAACCACAGAAAAAGAGGGACTCTTCCCTAACTCATTTTATGAGGCCAGTGTTATCCTCATACCAAAACCTGGCAGAGACACAACAAAAAAAAAAAAAAAAAAAAGGAAATTTCAGGCCAATATCCCTGAAGAACATCAATGTGAAAATCTTCAATAAAATACTGGCAAACCAAATCCAACAGCACATCAAACAGTTTATCCACCACGAACAATTTGGCTTCATCCCTGGGATGCAAGGCTGGTTTAACATATGAATATCAATAAACGTAATCCATCACGTAAATAGAACTAATGACAAAACCACATGATGATCTCAATAGATGCAGAAAAGGCCTTTGATAAAATTCAACGTCATTTATGCTAAAAATTCTCAATAAACTAGGTATGAATGGAGCATATCTTAAAATAATAAGAGCAACTTATGAGAAACCCATAGCCAATATCATATCGAATGGACAAAAGCTGGAAGCATTCCCTTTGAAAATTGACACAAGTCAAGAATGCCCTCTCTCACCACTCCTATTCAACATACTACTGGAAATTCTAGCCAGGGCAATCAGGCAAGAGAAAGAAATAAAGCATATTCAAATAGGAAGACAGAAAGTCAAATCGTCTGTGTTTGCAGACGACATGATTGTATATTTAGAAAGTCCGATCATCTCAGTCCAAAAACTCCATAAGCTGATGAGCTACTTCAGCAAAGTCTCAGGATACAAAATCAATGTGCAAAAATCACAAGCATTCCTATACACCGACAATAGACAAGCAGAGAGCCAAATCATGAGTGAACTCCCATTCATAATTGCTACAAAAAGAATAAAATACCTAGGAATACAACTTACAAGGGACACAAAGGACCTCTTCAAAGAGAAGTACAAACCACTGCTAAAGGAAATAAGAGAGGACACTAACAAATGGAAAAGCATTTCTTGCTCATGGATAGGAAAAATCAATATCGTGAAAATGGCCATACTGCCCAAAGTAATTTATATATTCTATGCTATTCCCATCAATCTATCAGTGGACTTTCTTCACAGAATTAGAAAAAACTACTTTAAATTTCATATGGAACCAAAAAAGAGCTTGTATAGCCAAGACAATCCTAAGCAAAAAGAACAAAGCTGGCGGCATCACGCTACCTGTCTCCAAACCATACTACAAGGCTACAGTAACCGAAACAGCATAGTACTGGTACCAAAACAGACACATGGACCAATGGAACAGAACAGAGACCTCAGAAATAACACCACACATTTACAACCATCTGATCTTCAACAAACCTGACAAAAAAAGCAATAAGGAAGGGATTCTGTATTTAATAAATGGTGCTGGGAAAATTGGCTAGTCATATGCAGAAAATTGAAACTGGACCCCTTCCTTACACTTATACAAAAATTAACTCAAGATGGATTAAAGACTTAAATGTAAAACCCAAAACCATAAAAATCTTAGAAGAAAACGTAGGCAATACCATTCAGGACATAGGCATGGGCAAAGACTTCATGACTAAAACACCAAGAGCAATTGCAACAAAAGCCAGAACTGACAAATGGTACCTAATCAAATGAAAGAGCTTCTGCACAGCAAAAGGAACTATCATCAGAGTGAACAGACAACCTACAGAAGGGAGGAAAATTTTTACAAGCTACCCATCTGACAAAGGTCTAATATCCAGAATCTACAAAGAACTTAAACAAATTTACAAGAAAAAAACCAACAACCCCATCAAAAAGTGGGCAAAGGATATGAACAGACACTTCTCAAAAGAAGGCATTAATATGGTCAACAAACATATGAAAAAAAGCTCATTGCCACTCATCATCAGAGAAATGCAAATCAAAACCACAATGAGATACCATCTCTTGCCAGTTAGAATGGCAATTGTTAAATGGTCAGGAAACAAGAGATGCTGGTGAGGCTGTGGAGAAATAGGAACACTTTTATACTGTTGGTGGGAGTGTAAATTAGTTTAACCATTGTGGAAGACAGTGTAGTGATTCCTCAAGGATCTAGAACCAGAAATACCATTTGACCCAGCCATCCCATTACTGGGTATATACCCAAAGGATTATAAATCATTCTACTATAAAGGCACAAACACACGTGTGTTATTGTGGCACTGTTCACAATAGCAAAGACTTGCAACCATCCCAGATGCCCATCAATGATAGACTGGATAAAGAAAATGTGGCACATATACACCATGGAATACTATGCAAGCATAAAAAAGAGTGAGTTCATGTCCTTTGTAGGGACATGGATGAAGCTGGAAGCCATCATTCTCAGCAAACTAACACAGGAACAGAAGGCCAAACACTGCACATTCTCACTCATAAGTGGGATTTGGACAATGAGAACACATGGACACAGAGAGGGTAACATCACACACTGGGGCCTATTCGGGGGTGGGGTGCAAGGGGACGGAGAGCATTAGGACAAATATCTAATGCATGCAGGGCTTAAAACCTAAATGATGGATTGATAGGTGCAGCTAAGCACCATGGCACATGTATACCTATGTAACAAACCTGCATGCTCTGCACATGTATTCCAGAACTTAAAGTAAAAAAAAAAAAAAAAAAAAAAGAAGTGAGTCAGACCACACCCAAGGGGAAGAAAATTATTTTTTGACTTATTTTTAGAACCACCACAGATGCTGTTGAATAAGGATATGCCTCACATAAGGAACTCTTACAGCTGGAGAAAGGAGAACTGGCTTTGCTTGTATGGAAATGTTATTACCTCTCAACTGAGAAAATAAGAAGAGGTATGCGGTATTGGCTGGAAAAGAGAACTTGTTACAGTGGTTAGGGCATTATCCTTCTGATCCTTCTCAAATGCTCAGTCAGGATAACGTGAGAGAAAATATGAAATCTAAAAAGTAGGTTGGAGTTTAAATCAGATAACCAGTTTCTACCAAACTGAATTGAATAATCTTTGTGAAATTGCTGAACTTTGACCCTCAGAGTCTTCATCTATACAGTGGGAATGAAAACAACATCCATTTAGCAAAGAGTTGTCATGAAGATTGGGTGAGATCAATTAAAGGCAATATGTACTTTGTGATACATACATGTTATAAAATTATTTTTTATTAGCCATAAAAAGCCTTAATGTTTCAGTACCATTTTTTTCCTTTTTATTACTGCCACTAAGGACAACCTCATCTTCTCAAGTTTGAGACAGCATTTCTTTATAGCATTACTATCAGTAATGAGTTTTTCAAAATCTCACTCTCTGGCTAAGCACGCTATTTTGCTCTAGGTTTGTATACTGACAAGCTTACAAATCACAAGCAGGTAGATAATTAGATCACAGGGTACAAATGCATGGTTTACCTTTCCATCCTCGTAGTTCCTGCTGTACTGACTAAAGTTCTCCCTCTCTTTCTCTCTATCTTTATTAAAGTGTGTCATCTCTTCCTAGCTTCCTCTCCTTAAGTGCTCTGTTAACTATTTTTCATCCAGGATGAGCATTCTAAAAAAGGCCTGTATCTAAGGAAATAGAAATTCATGCTGTTTTTCCATTTCCTGCAATGAAGCAAAACTAACTCAATTCAAGACTCCATAGTGCTTCTAGGTTCTGTCTCCCTTAATTCAGTTAGTCATTTTTCTCTAGTTTATTTTCTAGACCGTAGTATTTGTTAAATTTGCTTTCCTAAGCAAGAAAAAAAATAGTTGATTTTATAATGATTAAGCCCTTCTCTTCTCTTATGGATCTTAAGAGGAAATAAGTCAATGATAAGTAATTCCATGATCCTAGTGTTGCAGCTGCAGGTAAACAAACAGTGGAAAACTGGTCCTGCCTTAATTGGCATACAAGAGCAAACAGGGATTGGAGAAGAAGGCAAGAATACTATAAGGGTCTGGGCCATGTGGTTTGCACACTATTCTATTCCTCAGACTTGGCACTGACCACAAGTGTTGGTTCATCATTGCCAAGCCAGGAATCAAGATGAGCCATTAAAAGTCTATGTAACTTCAGCCACAACTGTGCCATGGGAGAATCTCAGAATCTGATCAGTGGTGGGAGAATGGAATACTATCCATTACACTCAATGAGTTAGCTGTGTTTCATTTTCTGTGACTGGTGTTTGCTATTTTATCTGGATAAAATCTTCAAGGAAGATGGAGCTGGGAGTTGATACAGAACATCTTTAACTTACCCTTCTAACAGGACAAGTGGACCAAAACATGGGTTTTTAACACTGGTATTTTGCTTATACGGTCATTGACATAATGCACTCACAGGTACTTTGCAAACTCTAGCATGCTAACTTCACTCTGTTAGGAGACAGCCTAGGGTCCACAGTGAGAGCAAATCCGAGTTCACTAAATTTTTTCACATTATCTTTTCTCCACAGACATGTGAGGGAAGGCATTTATTTTCCCTCAAGAATCAGCTACAGTCTATGTGTCCCTGATCCCCAAGGTGAAGAAGCCCCTGAAGAACTTCAAGCTTTGCCTGAAAACCTTCACAGACTTCACCTGCCCTTATAGCCTCTTCTACAGCACTCGGTCCCAGGACAATGAGCTGCTTCTCCTTGTCAACAAAATGGGAATGTATCTGCTGCACATTGGAAATGCTGCAGTCACTTTCAATGGCCCCACCCCCTGCCCTCGATCTCCTTATGCTTCGACCCATGTCAATGTGAGCTGGGAGTCTGCCTCTGGAATTGCTACACTCTGGGCAAATGGGAAGCTGGTGGGGAGGAAGGGTGTGTGGAAGGGGTACTCTGTGGGAGAAGAGGCTAAGATCATCCTGGGACAAGAGCAGGATTCCTTTGGGGGACATTTTGATGAAAATCAATCCTTTGTTGGGGTGATATGGGATGTGTTTTTGTGGGATCATGTGCTCCCTCCAAAGGAGATGTGTGACTCCTGTTACAGCGGCAGCCTCCTGAATCGGCATACCCTGACTTATGAAGATAATGGCTATGTGGTAACTAAGCCCAAGGTGTGGGCTTAAGTCTCATTCTCTTCGGTCATGATTTGTGTTTTGTGATAATCACATACTCTTTGAAATTAATGCATGGATTTTGTTTTCTTTTTCTGGCTCTGTTACGATAGTATAAACTATATTTTAAAAAGACAAGGGATAAGTAGGATTTCAATATACATTGTTTATTGTTGCAAAAATTATTTTGGGTGAATTGCACCATAATTTTCTGCAGTGCCAAACTACAGGAACTCAGGGGAACACACTACTTTCAGTACTGGTCACCAATCTTACAGAGCCCTGTACCACTGTGGGAGGTCCTATGGGGGTTCTGCGCACTCATATTCAGCAATCTATAAAACTGATGTGACTACTGGGAGAGGCTTTCAGAAGTGGGCTAATATAGTGAGCAGGAGCCCCAAAGAGGGAGTCTCAAAAGGGGTTTTCACAGGAGCAGGGTTGTGAGAGTATTTCCTTGGTACTCACTGCAAGCGGACTCAGAGGTCTCCTGGGAAAACACCTAGATAAAGGCAAAGATAAGCTGCCCTGGAGGTTTCTCATTATACCCACTCAGCTTGCTCTCCTGCAGGTAGTGCTCTGAAGGAGCAAATCTTTTACTGTTTCAGGCAATGTTTCATAAACATGAAGGTTTCCTTTCTTGGGCCTTCCACCTTTAGGGATTCCCAGATCCTTTATTTTACAGGCACTTTCAATACATTTTCAAAGGGGACACTTGGACAGTTTTGGTAGGTGACAGATACAGATTGATGTTTTTTAACCAGCCCTTTATGGACCGGAAGGCATATGGCAAGTTCTGTCTTTTTTTCTCCAGGCCGAATAAATCTAAAATCTTAATCCTTTCTCGCAAATCAAAATAACTTTCTCCTTTAGAAGACAATAAACTCCCAGACTCTTGTTTAGAACTGTATTTAAACTTAGAATTTAAACTAGGTACCCAACTATACACAGAAAATAAATTCATCCATGTAGAAATGAAAAGGGTTAAAGGCAAGGCATGGATTGCCTTGTAGCATGGATTTCCACGAAAAGGGTAAAGGCAAGACATGGACTTCCGTGTAGAAATGAAAAGGGTAAAGGCAAGGCATGGATCAGATTATGTTCTACACAGAGAAGAATGAAAATCATGGGCTAATTTCCAGATCTAAGTCAGCAAGCATTAGTTGGAAGGTGATAAAAATAAACTCAATTACAAAAAATCCTCAGATATCAGATATCCCTATATTTGTGAATTCAGTATAGCATGTGTTACTCCCACAGAAAGCATACATAAGCACAGTGAAATTCAGAGGTTGGATGTGACCATGTTGCTTACTAACACTGAACATACTGGTAACAGAGTCTCACCGAGGAAATAGTTCTAATGTGAGCCTCAACAAAATTGGAAAACAATTTCATGGGTCTCCAAGGCAGATGAGAATGTTTAAAGCTTATAATATTTTTTCTGGAATGTCAAGATTTGCTACTCTTGTCAATGCTTAAAGTAGAAAGTGATGATAAGTGGGAAGGTAGTTTTGACTGTTTTCAAGACACCCTGTACACCAACCATGTCCTCTTTAAAGTTTTAGAGCTCAATATCTATATGACATTTAGGTTGACCTGTCAACCTAGTACTTCCAATAGGTGTTATGCCACCCACTTTTCTGCTTTCAACAAATGATAACAATCAGCTACTCCTTGCTTACGATTCCCTACAGCTTTGCCCCTGTGTGAGCAGCAACTGACCACTCCCCTGGTGGTAACCTGTGTGGTTAGTAGAAGGTATAGGAGAATGATGGTAAAAACAAAGTCAAATCATGGAGACTCTTGGTTCCTTAATGTCGCATTACCACCAAATTTTGCAACTCTCTTTGGTTAGAGGATGAATGATAGGATTCAATTTTCTCGAGCTTAAAAAAATACCCAGACTATGACTGACTATATGTCAAACTGATGAAGATTCTAGGCAAAAGGTTTTTTGCCAATAGCACGGTGAAGGGCATTCTTGACCTCCTTGTTCCTCAAAGTGTACACAACAGGATTAAGTAGTGGAGTAAAGACGGTGTATGTCACTGAAATTAGCTGGTCCTGATCCCTGGTGTTCTCTGACTTGGGCTTGAGGTAGGCAATGGAGGCACAGCCATAGTGGATGATAACCACAGTGAGGTGGGAGGCACAAGTTGCAAAAGCCTTTTTCCGGCCCTCAGGAGAGGTGACCTTGAGGATGGTAGAGATGATGAGGATGTAGGAGATGAAGACCAAACCCAGCGGCACCACAATAACCAGGGAACTAACAACAAAATTAATTAGGTCATGTAGAGTGGTATCAACACAGGAAAGTTTCATAACTGGGTGGATATCACAGAAATAATGGGCCACCTGTTTATCACAAAAAGGCAGCCTGAACACAGATGAAATCTGAACTATGGCCACAAGCAGCCCAACACTGCAGGACCCACATACCAGCTGGACACACACTTTCTTGTTCATGATGATCATGTACCTCAAAGGGTTACAGATGGCCACATAGCGATCATACCCCATTGCTGTGAGCAGAAAGCAGTTGTTGATGGCCAAGGTAATAAAAAAAACATCTGGGTGGCACAGCCACCCAAAGAGATAGGTTGGCTTAGACTTAAGAGACTGGAGAGCATCCGTGGTACAATGACTAATGTGTAGACAGTCTCTGAAGTGGAAAGCATACTAACAAAGAAGTACATGGGGGTGTGAAGGTGACGATCAATGCTGATAATTGTCACAATTATGACATTGCCAGCCAGGGTTAAAAGACACAAGGTAAGAAATACCACAAAGAGGGTAAGCTTGTGTTCATGAAAGCTGGAGAAACCCTGGAAAACAAACTCCCTTATCACTGTGTGGTTCTCTCTCTTCGTTGGATAAATAAACAGATTGAAAGTACAGAGACTTAGGTCAATTAGTCAGAAGACATCAGTGCCCAATGCTTTGAGCAGGTGAATCATCTAAGAAGATAATAAGGATTCTGTTCGTGGATGGATGCCAAGTTATTGGGGACGACTGTTCACCTATAGATATAGACAGAAAAACACGATAAGAAAACAATTTCATGCATGACAATGTGTGTGTGTGTGTATATATATATATATGGGACTAAATAGGGATGAAAAAATGGAAGAAAAGACACCGGGGTAAGTTTGAAAAAGATTTCTTGGTGACCTAGCACATAAGTGTTAGAGAAAAACTAGGCTAAAGAAATAGGAAATGCATAGTTAAATTTGAAAGGAATTTTCTTTTATATTACAGTTTCAGATTTTGTTTACCTAAAACAAATTTTTCAACCTCTTCCACTTTGTTTAAACCACAATTTCGATTGTCTCTTTAAAGATCTTTCTTTCTGGGTTGCCAAACAAGACAATGCTCTCTGCTCCAACATAACATAAGTGTTTACTTTCTCCCTGTTGCTCCTGTCTGCTTGTTTCACAAACTCTTTTCATAAGTCATCAAACAGCTTCAAACCTGACTGTCACCCCAGATTTTTTAAAACAAGAGATGTTCCTCTCTTTTTTCAATGCTTGACTTGAGTCTCCTCCTCCTCAGAAAGTCTTCTCAGGACTAAATACAACCTGTCAATCCAATTCCCCGTAGTGTTGGTAAGTGTTTCCCAGTAGCTTGGTTCCGGGGACTGTGTTTATTTCTATGCATTTTCTAGCTTATACTTAGAGGAGAATTTTCACAGGTACTCTGCCTCACTAGTAGAGTAAACTGTCTTTTACAATTTCTTCAGAATTTTAAACTTTAGGGAACCGAGTTTACACATTTCTCCCTCTGTCCCCTATCTGGGGAGTTATTGGGCATCAAAAATCTCTCATTTTCAAAAAAAGTATAACAATAATAAATAGTTCCTATGGCACTTTTTAGTTTATAGAGTTTTTACGTGTATTATGTAGCATCATAACAATCCTGTGTTTTAGGTAATTATTATCCCTCTCTTGGTAAGACACCCAGGGTTAGATGATTGCACAAATTAACTCGATCTTTTAATTCTAAGACTAGTGTGATTTGCCCTATACCGCAAGTGCCTAAGAAGCAACATAATCACAAAATAAATGAGAAAGAAGATACTTTTTGTTGCTTTTATCAAAAAGAATTAATGCATTTCTTCTTGCTCTTGAGAATGAGATTACATTGGGAAAAAAATGAAAAACTGGAGAATCTTAGAATGCTTTCTCTAGATAAATAAATATTATTACATTAGTGACAATCCACGTCCATTCTTCTTGGCTTGATATTTTCGCTTCCAATTATTTATTTTAAGGAAATAATCAGAGATACATATTAGGATGTATATCTAAAGACATTTTTATATTATTTATTGGTGAAGTCTAGAAACAATGTAAATGAATAAAGGAATAATTGAATTAATTATAAAATATCCATCTGATGGGAGCTATGCAGCCATTAAGAATCTACAAAGTGCTGACATGAAAAAATACACTATATAAGTAGGTTGATTGACTGATTGAGAAATAAATTACAGACTGCAAGTTTGTAAAAATAAAAAGAACCAGAAAAGAGAGGCAAGGAAAAGAAAGGAAAAACATTCAATGACACATATGCCATTAAAAAAGTAAATATAACAAAATGCTAAAAATATGTCTTTCAAATAGTGCATGGAGAATCTATCGTTTATCATCTATCTATCTATCTATCTATCTAATATCTTCTCTATTATAAATACTATCATAAATACTTTTAATACATACATACTAATATATTATGAATCTAATATTTAATGAAATATTTAAACATTAAATATTAACGCAAAAATTAATAATAAACCATATTGGAAGAAAGTATTAATGCTGACTGTTAATTACTACAGTGGGATGCAAGTACTTGAGTGAAGGCAAATTTCAGAGTTTTCTTACTAAAGATTTTGAAGAACCAAAAAATATTAGTTTCAAAATGCTGAGAAAAATATGAAGCAAAATATGTGTTTATTTTCCTTGAAGATGTAGGAACGGGCCAGTTCTTAACCATTCCTATGTAACTGATATTCATGGTGTATTACTGAGCAAGATAAACCTCAAATGTCTATGTAACTAGAAAGTCAATCCTACCTACACTAAGCAGAATGAAAAAAATAAATAGGTGGCAGAAGAGAAAAGATTGCACTAAGTTTGTGCATTCCTGCAATTGCAACTCCTTTCTCATCATCCCCTTAGGTAAACAATGACTCACCAAGATAGCAAAGGTCCTCATGAGTGATAACGCTAGATTAGTAGGATCATGATAGCTGAAACAAAATGCCAACTTCCTTCTGTGGAATCCTTGTCACTGAGAAAAACGGCATTTTGCAACACTTTCTGTTCCCTTGTATTTTGGATTGTTAGCTAAAAATATCTCTCTACCCCTAAATTTTTTTTTAAATGTTCTTCTAGAGAAATCATTTTCTGCCTAGACCTGACAATGAATTCTGGGCCAGAGGTTAAAATTATTCATTTCATTGTTCAAGTCTTTCCAATTGGAAGCAAGCTAGAAAAGCCCAGGTGCTTCATAGTTTTCAGTCCTTTGAATATAACTGAATCATAGGACCTTAGCGTTAGGTGGTAATTTTAAAAGCACAGCATTTCTCATGAACAGTCCCTCAAATTCTGCTTCACTGCTTCCAATGATTGGAAATTCATTACCTTGTAAATAAGCATTTCCTCTTTTTTTTAAAGATACAAACTCTTCTTGAAAAATAAAACCAGGCTTTTTAAATTATAAAAGTGCTCATAGGGGAAAAACCGTGGGTACAGAAGGATATAAATGGAAAAGTTCATTTTCTCCTCTACATTTTCTTGGCCAGAGGTAAAGATGATTCATGGGTTTTTGTTGTTAGTATTGCTGTTTATTTCTGTCCAGAAATATTTTATGTACAATCATGCATATTTTCACATCATTTCAATTTTACGCAAATGGAATTAGGCAGTACATACCAATTCACAACTAGGGTTTCCCATATATTATATCCTGACTACTTTCCATAATAGTATTGTGATCTATCTCACTCTTTCTATTTCCAATGGTGCACATTATTTCATTATATAGATTAATATAGCTGTACTATCATCATTTCTATTTTGATTGACTTTAATTCTTAGAAAATATTAATTCCTATCAACTCAATATTTATTTGCTTGCAACTTACCACCTCCCACATCATTCCACTTTCTATTTTCTCTTCAATATGATTACACTTCAAATATTTGAAGATCATTATTACGTCTCTGCTAAATTTCATGTCCTTCAATCCATTACCACAGCAAGACAAGCATGAAGAAATGTAATATTAATGGACATGTGATTCAATATAACCAATCAAATACTGAACCATACAGGGAAAATAGTAAGATTTTGAAAAATGCACATGGTGTTTCATTTTCATTTACTTCTGCCAAAAGCACTCGCTGCTTCTGACCTTGGCAATAGGAAGGAGAAGGAAGCACTTTCCAGATAGTGATCTTTAAAAGGCATGAAAGGACTGAGTCTACTCAGAGAAAGCAGGTGAAAAAACCTTGTATTCAAGAGGCATTTACAACGGAAGCAAAAACACACAAAATGAGAAAAATCCAGTTCTCTCTAATATCAAAGAGAGCCTCAAATTGTTGCTATGTTCCTGAGGCTTGGGACATTGGCTCATTTGGCTTGAGAAGTGGCCCAGGGAAAAAAATACAGTCTCTTAAACTGCAGATTTCAAGAGCTGTGTATATTTATTTTCCCCAAGGAGAAGAGAATCCCTCTGCCCCAAGTCTCCTGAGATCATCCTTTTGAGAATTCCTCCATGCTACTAAGAGGTAAGGAAGGTAGAACCTGAAGGCTGGTCTCAAGAATTTCATTAGAAATGTGGGTCGCTGATGAAGGAGATGTTTTCATTTGCCTACTGACTGTTGGGGATTGTTGGAGTGTAGAAACTAATACTGCATTGAGTTTTAATAAAGTAAACCACGTGAATACTGGGTAAGCATACAAAGGGAGGACCTTAAATTTAAGTTTCTCAGTATTGGAGAGCAGCTAGCTTCCTGAAACTTATTTATATAAATAATATCAGGGTAATCAAAAGGTTATAGGGGCCGGGACATCTGTCATCCCACTTCAGCCTACAGCAAATTTCCTTGAGTCTCACTGACATACATCTCAGCCCTACTTTTCCATTTAGGGAGATCCATCACCCACACCACACTGGGAAAGGGGAGAAGACACTGTCAGAGCCCTTCCTTGTGCTCCCTTTGGTTCATTCTCTGATCCTGCTGGAGGGGGAATGAAACAGCCATGAACTTCCAATAAGTTTAATTTCTGGCTCAGCACATCCTTCTCCATTCATACAGTCTCTGCACCCATGTGAGATGTTTGAGTAACATTTCAGCCACTCTGTAAAAGGGGACAAGCCCACAAGGGCCTTCAACCCAAACTAAGAATTTTTAAATTCTGAGTTGGCCCTGTTTTCTCTCTGATTACAAACATAATGCTTGTTCATTATAGAAAAAACAGAAAAGGAAAAATAATGTAACGTAAATGACTTGTGATTTCCAATTTAGAAATCAACATCATTAACATTTTGATGAATAGGTTTCTAATCTTTTATGCATTCATATGTGTGCACCTGTCTATATACACATGTATTTATGTTTATGGTAAAAATGGGATGATTATTACTTTTGTAGCCTTTCTTCTTTTTAATAATATGAGATCATGCTATACAAACTTCCTTATATCCAGTTTACTTTTTCTCTTAGCAATGCATTTTGAAACTTTCGCATATCAATAAACATTTTCCTACATTATAATTTTTAAATAATTGCCTTGACTTTTATTACAGGAATGCTCTTTATAATAATATGGTTTGTTTGGATCAAGATTCAAATGAGCACTGCTTATTGCATTTGATTGTAACTCGTTAAAAGTTTTTTTGAGTCTAGACTAGGGTTTCTCAACAGTGGTGCTGTTGACACTTTGAAACTGCTAATTTTTGTTGTGTGTGTACGTGTGTGGGTGTGAGGTGAGTTAGGAGGGGAGATGGTCTTCTGTGTTACAAGATGTTTAGCAGGATCACTGGCCTCTACCCACCCAGAGGACAGATGCCAGTAGAATCCTTCTCTCTTTTCCCACTGTATTGGAAAAAATAAAAAATGTCTCTAAACATTACCAAATATTGCCTGGAGGGCAAGGGTATTTCAACATCCCATTGCCCCCATATTTTAAAAAGTCTCATTTACACATTAAAAAGCCAGGTCAAAATCTTACTTTCTAGATGGCATTTACTCATAGTATCATTAAATTTGTTATATCTTCTGTACTTTTTATAAATTGGAAATTAGTTTTAAAGGCTTAATTAGATTCAGGTTCAGCTTATTAAATTATATTAGATATATTAAACTGGATATACTATAACCTGTAATATAGTATATTAAACTATGGACTATATTAAACTATATATAAAAACACACATAAAATTTGGTGTATATATCAGTTTAATATATATATAAATTATAAATTTGATAATCAAGTAAAGTTGTCTGATTTAACAAAAATACAGGACATCCAGTTAAATTTTAATTTTAAATAAATAGCATAATTTTTAGGATAAGTATGTTACAAATATTGCATGGAATATACAAAATAAATTATTTATTGTTTTTTGAAATTCAAATTCAGTGCAGCATTCTGTATTTTATCTGGGAACTCTAATCAGGAGACACATACTGTTTTGTTGTCTTACTCTAAGCAAAGCTGATTTCAAAATACTATATTGTACCTCATAAATACAAACAATTATTATTTGTCTATTAAAAAATAAAATTTAATCCAGGCACTGTGGCTCATGCCTGTAATCCCAGCACTTTGGGAGGCCAAGGCAGCCGGATCACTTGAGATCAGGAGTGCAAGACCAGCCTGGACAAACCAGCATGGTGAAACACAATCTCTACCAAAAATACAAAAATTAGCAGGACGTGGTGGCGCGCCCCTGTAATTCCAGCTACTCAGGAGGCTGAGGCAGGAGAACTGCTTGAACCCGGGAGGCAGAGGTTGCAGTGACCCGAGATCATGCCACTGCACTCCAGCCTGAGTGACAGAGTGAGACCCTGCCACCAAAATAAATAAATAAATAAATAAATAAAATTTAAATGCATGCACAAAAGCTAACTGATCAATATTTCAGGTGGCAACAGCTTGCTCCTCCATTCAAATGGATCCCATCAACCTTTATCATTTAATTTATTGATAAATTTTGTCTAAATCATTTTTTTTTTGAGACAAAGTCTCTCTCTGTTGCCCAGGCTGGAGTGCAGTGGCGCAGTCTCGGCTCACTGCAAGCTCCGCCTCCCGGGTTCATGCCATTCTCCTGCCTCAGCCTCCCGAGTAGCTGGGACTACAGGCGCCCGCCACCACGCCCGGCTAATTTTTTGTATTTTTAGTAGGGACAGGGTTTCACCATGTTAGCCAGGATGGTCTCGATCTCCTGACCTTGTGATCCGCCCGCCTTGGCCTCCCAAAGTGCTGGGATTACAGGCGTAAGCCATCGTGCCCGGCCTAAATCATTTAAAATTAGGAGTTGCAAAACGGTGCTTTCTTAATCATGCCATTTCTTTTACATTTAGTCAATGGAATTATTTTATATAGAAGGTTTCTTTCATCATTTAGCTTGGGGTGCAAGCTAAAAATGAGTAAAATTGGAATTTAAGCCTCAATCTTCTAATTCTGATCCAGTGTATATTCTATTACATCCAGTGAAAGAAACTATTCTGACTACAAATAGTCATAATCCAGCAAGCCTATGTCCTATAATTAGCAGATATATGAGATGTCAGGAACATATTATAGGGGGAGGAGGCAGTACCTGCAAACTGAAGCAAATTTATAAGTGATTTCCTAAGTAAAAAAGATTAATTCTCTAGAAATAAGGAGTAAACGATGGTGCCCAAAAGAGAAAAGAATGATGCACAATTGAAAAATCTAGGGCATTTTTTCATTTCCCTCCATGCTGGCCACAAATTCTGAATAACGCATGTCAGAATAACCCATGCTTCCAACTACATAGCCATGCATGTGCCATGTAAAACCAAATTGCTTGTGGCTTCTGAGAGGACAAGAATTTTGGTTCACAAACACACTGTAAAAGGCAGGGCAAAGAAGACTCTCTTTTCTTCAGCCATGTGACTAAGGTGGCACAAAGAATTTCAGCTTCCTTTTACTCATTGACTTTATTATACTGTATTTCTAGTTAATTAAATTTACAGTCAAATATTCTGTGGTTAGAATTGTAGAAAGAGTATTAGAAGTCCATCTCTTTCCCATACTTTACATATTCTCAAGAGGACTGGCAGGCCATCGGTCATAAAAGAAAATATTCTGTGATACTAATTACCATAGAAATTAACTAAAGAATATGTCCTGGATGCTGGTTTTCCTAAGTACAGATGCAAAGACAAGATTGGTGGTTTCCACAAAGGATGAATAATTGGAGATAAGGAGTTGTCCAGCACCAGCATTCTCTAGTGCTCTTTTAGAAATATGCATATATAAATATGTACATGTAGATAAACATATTTATATATGTCTATATACACATTGTTATATATATTATTTCATATATTGTATATTATATATAAATATATAATGTATTATATATGTATATAGGCATATTTATATATGTATGTATATTTATATATAAATATAAAATTATATATTATATATGTGTGCAGATAGATAAAGACTTGCCTCTGAGGAAGGAAAGGATGATTTATTAGGTTGTAACATCTTGATATAATAATCAATGAATTAATTGCTCATTTGCCTCTCTAATAAATACATATTAAAAATCTAAGCATGCTCTCTGCTGTGCTGAGTATCAGATAAAGAGCAGTGAACTAAACTAATATAGTCATTGACTTCAATGAGGATGTGATAAGGAGCTAGACCAGGAAAGATGCAATTTTCATATATTGTGATACATGCTATGATAAGGTAAGAATGGAGTAATATGGGAGCAATAAGTAATCTTCTGGCATGCATTTTAATATATGAATTGCTTACATTCACCAGAAAGTGAAAGCCATATAGAAATGACTGGTCTGGTACACTTACTGTTAAAAATGAATACATTCACATACTAAGTTATTTTGTAAGTTTGAGTAATGTCTCAGAGACTGGTCAGCTCCAGTGAGTTTACCATTGAGATCTAGGGCTTGCATGGTAGAGACACAGACCCTGGATCATGGGGGCTACACCAAGATTTTTCTAATTACCAAATTCATCGGACTATTCTTGGTTCTTTCCCTACTTCATAACTGAAACATTTAACACTATTAATCACTCTCCCTCTTGAAATGCTCTTCTGCCTTGGTTTTGTGACACTACTATCTCCTGGTGTTTCTGTTAGAGTTTACTGGATGTGGTCATTTAGTGTGTAGTGTGCATCTGTCAGTCTGCACTGCAGAAGCGATGGTGAATGTCATTTACTCTGGTAATTCAGTTAACCTGGGTTATCAACAGAGCTCTACTGCACTCTTATCATTTCAGTATGTGATTAACCTAAATATTTTAACCATCCACTAACTCTATCTCATCATTCTAATTTAATTCTCTCTGTGTTACTACCTGGTATATTTTGTTCAATAATTTGTTCACTTTTTAATTGACTTTCTCCCCATGATGGACTATAATAATCCTTGAGGGCACCTGTTCTCTCATCCTTTCCTTGGTCCTGTATCTTCAACTAAAGCAGCAGCAGAAACAACAACAGGAGCCTCACAATTTAGTACTGCATTTTCCACTAATTAATTGCTTAGATATATAATTCTCACAAAACATTCTGAGGGGTTCGGGCTTCTCAATCCCTAAAATGAAGAAATTTAAATTGGTTATGACTATGATCCTTTCCTTTTTAACATTTTTCCTATACTTTAAGACTTATGATAAAAACTCATTAGGAAACTAGAAATAACATGTCTTCCCCAAGTCACTTCTAACAAATATCCCATGGTTATCGTCAGTCCTGCCATCTTTCCACTATTCTGCTTCCAACTCCTTTCTTTCTTTGACTTCCACTTTCAAATCTATCACGACCTCCTGCTGCTCTTTCTTTTCTGCCAGCTCAGAGTCAGAGGCATAGAAGGCAAGGTTACTGTAGATCTTGAACTGTCAACCTGGCAGGCAAGATAGGAGAGTGAAGGACTCATCAACTAGCCAGTAGCAGTCACTGCTCTTTAGAAGCCACCTTAGGACCAAATTGTTCAAGTAACTGAACTGTTATCTTCCTGAACTCCTGCAATTCTAATTGCCAGAAAACATCTAGATGTTGGGCCTGCAGAGGACCTTAGCACACTTGTAGTACAATCTTTCCATTTCATACACACAACTGTGTTGAAAGAAGTCTCAACTTGTGAGGTGTAAACATGAAATCATTATTTTTGAAATTACTACTACTGCTGTGGACCCATTCTTCTTGGGCAGTAGCCTCCCTTAATGACTTCTTAGACTAATTCCATAACCTTTTAATCACTTTATGCTACTAAAACAGTCTCATTGGAGTTATTAGGCACAATCAAATCTAATTAATTTTGATTTTATAAAATTAATCAATTTAATTTTATCTTCTGTTCAAAATTCTTTTCAGTCTCCAGCATCCTCCACCTGTCTACCACCGAGCATGGGGTAAGTTTATGGCTCCAGTGGCTTGTTATGTGTTGGGAGGTAAAGGGTGATGGCCACACTACTCACATCCCTCCCTCTTCCAGATATCAGCCCCTTCCTTGAGAGTAGGAAGAAGAAAGCAACTCTCCATGCTGTATTAGCTGTCGGCTCCTTGTTTTGTTTTAACTGCTATTCCTGTGTGAACACTACCTCATAAGTGGAGGTCAGATTGTGGTAGTGTAACCTTTTTGCTAGTTGTCACCATTTCTCTAGCATTATTCATTGTTCTTTCTCATTTGCAGTGATTCAAATATAGGTGCTCTCATGGGAATACCTTTGTAGGTTCTCCAGAAGAACCTATGTCCCATGCATCTGCACAGCAAAAAGAATGACCTATTAACTTATGGTTCAATCAATTCTACTTTCCTCTGCTCTCATTGCAGGCCGCCCACTCCAGAGCCTCTTGTTATTAGAGTTCCCCTCACCCAGAGAGTGTCCCCTTTGAGGGAGAGGGACAATATGGCTTAAGTTCTTGTCACTTTCCTTTATGCCCACCTAACTCAGGGGTACTTAAGTAGGTGCCACACAATGGAGGCTAACTCTAGCACCCTCTCTCTCAGGTCCATTACTTCTAACCTGCCTTTTCCTGCAAACCCTAGCAGTGTCAGATTCTCCATCAGTACCCTAGCAGTGTCAGATTCTCCATCAGTATCTTGCCTCATAAATTTTAAGTCAAAAGATGACCACAAACTCTCAACTTATTGGAGGGAATAATTAAGTTATCCCAAATGTTGTGGCCAAAGTGCTGGAGCACCTTGTTGAATGCCTTTCTTCCTCATGTTTAAGATCCCTACCATTCAGACCTCTAAGCTTCAAATCCTGGCTTTGCCATTCACTAGTTGTATAATCTAAACCTCCCTACCTCATTAAAAACAAGGATGCTGATAGTACCTGTTTCATAGGATTCCTGTGAGTATTAAATAGGATAAAGCACAATGCCTGAATACAGTCAGTGTTCAAAAAATATTAACAGTTACCTGTGCTTATATTTTTATTAGAACACATCCTAGTTTCTCCATTATTCTTCCTGCTTATGGAAATCAAGTTTTTAATAAAGTCATTGTGGTTTGGATGAACTCCCTTCTGCATTTTTGTATTCTACGCAGTATTCCACATATTGCTATGCACATGGCAACTGCTTAACAAATCAAGAAATACATTGCAGTTTCTCTGATATAATGCATTTTTCTGTAATGCAAATTAGTCTATATGCTATAGGCAAGCCAAGGAATAATGTCAATATAACATTGAAGTTGGTTGAAACAAGATTTTTTTCTAGCAAGTTAATATTTTGAACTACCAAGGAACAGCTAACACAAATCTTACTAGCACAGTAGAACATGGCAAGGAATAGAATATTCTGCACAGTAACTATTCACTTCAAGGTTTTCTCTTGGCTTAGTTTTACCACAAGTGTATCTTGAGCATGTTTGTTCTCTGGTTTTCCCCTGCTTTTGTGTATTTTCTCTTTGTCATCTTCTTCCACCAACCTTTGAAAGTGATCAAGTCCTAGATTTACTGTTAATTTTATTTATTACAAATTTAACATATCTTTTTAACTGCATAGTTCATTTGGTAGAAATACTAATGTTTATGTTACTGCTCTGATGGTAGGTTTTCATGATCTGTAACAGTCTTTTTTTCCTCTCAAAGACTTGTTAGTTTTAGTTATTTTTGCAGAATGCAAAACAATTTAAAAAAATAAATGTATGTTACATGTTATGGCAGAAACACCTGTGTTATGTTCAAGAAAGATTTAAATTGAATGAGTGAAAGCCACTTCTCTCTTCTTGATTATGCAAGGGCTTAACTTCTTCAATTATTTAACTTATACTTCCCTTATTCCCTCTCTGCTTACTGAATTATTCCTGTTAGCTAACAAATACAATCCAGCATCTTATATAAAACAAGAATCCTCCCTTAACCCCACATCTTCCTATACCACCATCCCACAGCAAAACTTCTCAGAATATTGTCCGCACATGTTGCCTATGCTTCCTCAATTCCTATTCACTTTTTTAGCCCACTTCAGTTTGCTTTTTACACATATTACTCCACTGCCATTGCTAAAGTCCCAAAAACTTCCATATTGCTAGATTCAGAGGATAATTGTATTCTCTATTTTACTTCACCTCTCAACAAGATTCAATGTAATTAACGATTTCCTCTAGAATTGTACTCTCTTCTTGGTTTTAGTGACATAATTCCCTGTGAGTTTTCTTACCTTATCAGCTGTTTTCTCTAGCCTCTGTTCTGGGTCTTCTGATACTCATCTTCAAGATATTGAAATTTCCTAGAGTTCTGCTCTGAGACTTTCTCTGTTGCTTAATTTCTTTTTCTCTCTCTTCAGCTGACCTCATCTTACTCAGTGGCTTTAAAGTATGCCAGTGATTCTCTACTTTCTCTACTTTATATCTCTAATATAGACATTTCTACTGGTCTCTCAACATTTTTTTTGTAACTGCCTATTTAGCACAGACTCTTAGATACAATAAAGATGCTTCAAACTAAAACACTTCCCAACCGGAACACTTGGTTGATTTCTCCCCCAATTCTAGTACTTCCCTTAAATATAGTACTTCCCCAGTCTTCACCATGTAATTACTGTCTACCCAGTTATTACAGCCAGAAATTTAAGAATCATATTTTATACTTTCTGTGCCCTCCAATCTGTCAGTAAGTCCCATTAATATATATACCTCAAACCCATCAACTTTTCTTTATCTATACTACCACTTCTCTAGACTATCTATCATCATATTTTGACTCTTAAGCATTTCCCAATATCTGCTCAAAAAACCTACAGATTACATGACGACATACCTATCTATATATAGATAGATCGGTAGACGTTGAGAGAATGTGGGTGTATACACATATACTATACATATACATGTCTATGGTTTGAGTGTTTATCCCCTCCAAACTTCGTGATGAAACTTAATTTCCAGTATGGCAGTATTGAGAAGCAGGACCTGTAAGAGGTAATTGGTTCATACAGATTCTGCCCTCATGAATGGATTAACCTAATTATGAATTAATAGATTAATTGAATAATGGGTTATCATGGGAGTGAGACTGGTGGCTCTAAAAGAAGTGGAAGAGAGACTAGAGCTTACAGGCTCAAGCCCCCCTTGCCATGTGAATCTCGGTGCCACCTCGGGAATCTGCAGAGAGTCCCCATTAAGAAAGAATGTCCTCACCAGATAGACCCCTTGACCTTGAACTTCACAGTCTCCAGAACTTTAAGAAATAAATTTATTTTCTTTATAAATTTCAGTCTCAGGTATTCAGTTATAACCACAGAAAATAGACTAAGACATACATGAAGAGCCATCAAACTGTATTAAGCAGGGGAATATATATACATACACACTGTGTGTGTGTGTGTGTGTGTGTGTGTGTGTGTATGTGCATTCTTTTGCTTCACACAGTCCGGTGGCTCTTTCTTAGCTTTCAAATAAAATCCCAACACTTTTTCATGTTCTTCCAGGCCCTCATGATCTGGCCCCTATGTGTATCTCCAATCTCGTTTTATGCCATTGGCCTTCTACTCGCTATGCTTCAGCCCTAATGTCCTTCTCTTAATTTCTTTTTTTTAAATTTTATTATTATTATACTTTAAGTTTTAGGGTACATATGCCCAATGTGCAGGTTAGTTACATATGTATACATGTGACATGCTGGTGTGCCGCACCCATTAACTCGTCATTTAGCATTAGGTATATCTCCTAAAGCTATCCCTCCCCCCTCCCCCCACCCCACAACAGTCCCCAGAGTGTGATGTTCCCCTTCCTGTGTCCATGTGTTCTCATTGTTCAATTCCCATCTATGAGTGAGAATATGCGGTGTTTGGTTTTTTGTTCTTGTGATAGTTTACTGAGAATGATGATTTCCAATTTCATCCATGTCCCTACAAAGGACATGAACTCATCACTTTTTATGGCTGCATAGTATTCCATGGTGTATATGTGCCACATTTTCTTAATCCAGTCTATCACTGTTGGACATTTGCAACCTACTCATCTGACAAAGGGCTAATATCCAGAATCTACAATGAACTCAAACAAATTTACAAGAAAAAAAACAAACAACCCCATCAAAAAGTGGGCGAAGGACATGAACAGACACTTCTCAAAAGAAGACATTTATGCAGCCAAAAAACACATGAAAAAATGCTCACCATCACTGGCCATCAGAGAAATGCAAATCAAAACCACAATGAGATACCATCTCACACCAGTTAGAATGGCAACCATTAAAAAGTCAGGAAACAACAGGTGCTGGAGAGGATGTGGAGAAATAGGAACACTTTTACACTGTTGGTAGGATGGTAAACTAGTTCAACCCTTGTGGAAGTCAGTGTGGCCATTCCTCAGGGATCTAGAACTAGAAATACCATTTGACCCAGCCATCCCATTACTGGGTATATACGCAAAGGACTATAAATCATGCTGCTATAAAGACACATGCACACGTATGTTTATTGCGGCACTATTCACAATAGCAAAGACTTGGAACCTTCTCTTAATTTCTACAATTCTCCAAAGTCTTTCTTTTTATGGGGACTTTCAACTTCCCACTGCTTGAAAATTCTTGTTCCAGCCTTTGTCTTGTTTCATCCTATCTCGTACTTTAAGTCTCTACTTAAAAGTCATTTTTCATCAAATGGCCTTTCTTAACCCTATTTAAAACAGATTGTCCTTGTACGTCTATGGAGCAACATTATTTACTTTTTACAAACGTTAGTCACAAGCTGTCACTGTTCTGTTTACTTATTTATTTTCTGTTTTCTCCAATAGAAAGTCTTCTCCCCAAGGGAAAAGATCTTGTCTGCTTATTATCTCTCTTGTATCACCAGCAAATGACAGAGTGCTTGGAATATAAATACTTGTTGAACAAAGAAATGAAAATATATGATGAAGAATGTTCCTATGCTGAAACTAAATTTTTGTGTTAGTTTTAGTGACAGAAAGATCAAGTAACAGGTCTGTATCCATATTTAAGCCATTTCTTTATTTGTCCATAATAATTCAAGCTCAGAGATTGCCTGTTTGGAAAAGTATATTATAAAAAACACTATTAATAAACTTCAAGACATAGTTTGCTCATTCTGAAAAATTAGAAAATATAATTAGCCAAAATTCTACCAGCAAACTATGATCAAATGCTAACTTTAATGAGATAGCCCTTGATAATTCTGAAGTTATCTTTTTTCTCTTAAAGATAAATTGGCATCATGAGATTATTGAAATATATGGTTGATTAGTATAAATTCAATTTAGGAATTGAGAATACAAAAAATTATTTATTTTACATTCTCTGCTATAGACTTCTAATTAACTCTTGCCCCTTGGGTCATGCAGAGAAGATTTTCTTCATATATCTTTCTGCAACGTGACTGTGCTATTACCTATGATAAAGAGGGTTGTTCTGTGTTTGGCAGCCTATTCTAGGGTGGGCCTTGTGTCAGTTCCTTTTTTTGTCCACCTGTCTCTGAACAACATAAAACCCTCATTCATAGGTGCAGCATGACTTAATTTGTCGGTCACTAGATGCAGTTGTAAATTGCAAACAAAAAAATGGAAATGCAGATGTTGAAATAAAGATGCAATTTTTGGTTATGAAATGGTCATCTGAATGATCCATATTTATATTCATTTATTTATTATCAATGAAAAACGTACAAATTTTCTAATTAAAAAACTTACAAATTCCTAATTATAATAAACACTATTCTACGGGAATGGCCACCAAAATGTCCCAAATTTTATGTCACTGAATCTATTTCTAATATTCGGTCTAATAGTCTAATCACAGACACTCAATATTCATTTGTTTTCTTGAACCTCTATGATAATCTGCAAGTGTTTCCCGTTTTGGAAGAGACAAAGGAAAAAGCTGTGATGAATATCACTGGAAACTGCGGATCAGGGCCCCTATTCCATGTTTCTCTGGCCCTTTTTTCTTCTTCAGAATTTAGCAGTGGTTTTCAATCCTATCAGATCACATTTGATAGCATGCATTTATTCCTGTGTTTGTAAGGCATAAACCTGTAACCACACTACAAATAGTGAGAATATTGCTGTGAAACTGCATACTCTATGCACTCCCAACAATCAATAATAGAAAATAAGTGGTGCTCAATGATGCTAGAGAAAAGAATAAATTATATTTCTAGTTTGTCTATAAAAATGATATTACAATATCTCTGTCTGAGGAAGAGGAGATCAAATAACATGTAATAACAATATTTTGAAAAGGAAGAGGATAGTGGAATATCTGTTTACTTTCTGATGAATTTTATAATGTTTATGTCATTTGTCAGCTGGTATATTTTTAACCTTTTGTGATTAACTTTCTTGTCCTAAATAGTAATTTTAATATCTAATATTGTATTCAAAAATTTCTACTGGATTTTTTAAGGAAGCCCCCTTAAACTGTTTAAGTTTCAGGGCCTCAAACTGGATCTACCTCTGCTACTTACACACACATATATTTTTTAATCAGTAAAATTCCCAGTTTTAATATAAAGAAGAAATAAAGGGAAATAACATTATAATAGGAAAATATGTCCTTCATGAATATGAGTGCTACAAAAACAGACTGATATGAGAATAAGGTATTGGTGACACAAATATCATGAACAGTGTAGCTACAGGTGATCTGATTTTCTGAAACAGTGAAAAATTCAAGGATGTTTTTCCAGTAAAAGCCAAGGATAATCTTTCCTCAATATACATGGTAGTTTCTTTTCTGTAAAATACAGTATGTATGAGAAATGCAAAAGATGCTTTTGTGTTTTTCACAGTCGTGTTTAAGGCTCAGATAATTATAAAATATCTGGCTGCACATTGAAAAGATGTGCAGAATCAGGCCAATTATTTAGTATGCAAGGCTGCCTTCAGTATTGCAGGGCATTTGTTTGCCTGCTAATGCTACAAATGTCTCCTGTATACTCATCATTGAAACAAGCAACCCTCAATACACATACATACATTCTCATGCATAAACTTACATTTCCTAAAGGCCTTTTGTAGGTGGTAACACAGAGTATGATGAGAAAGTTTCAGAATGCGTCCTGCCCCTCCCACTGTTCCCATCCTCACTCATACCCTCTTTCACGCACTAGAAACACACGGGTCACAGAACTGTTTAGCCAGAGTCCTGAAAAATTAGGTCTTCAAAAGTTGCCTATTAAAATGCAAATGTCCTGGTCTGGGCTAAGATCTCTCATCCTTGTCTGTTAACGGCCTAAAAGGATTCCTTTAAGAGATTTCTCTTTCCGTTTTGAAACTGTGTAATTCTGTAAGGAAGCATAAAATAAACCTGGCCTACACTACATTCGGCTTGAGGGCTGACTCTGCACAATGGGGATTTCTCTGTCTCGTACCACACCTGAAAATGATCTTCAAACTTCCTAACGCCACTTCTGCAGACATGCGTGTGTTGGAGGTGTGGGTGTGGTTATGTGTGTGATGATGTCTGTCTCATTGACATGATTACTGCTGTGTGATCCTGGCTGCATCCTGTGAGAACAAGGTTTTGCCTTCTGGACCCACCAGTGGCCTTCCAGGTTCTTCATCCTCAGGACAGACCAGGAGGATGGGAAAGGAGGCTCTCTCTCTGCTGCTCTCAAGTCTAACCAAAGGCTTCTTGCAAAATAATTATAGTATTCATGAAAACTAGTATATGTTCTGTTCTAACCACCTCACCACATTAACTCATTTTATGCTGATAACCACCCTTAAGGTAGGTACTATTACTATCTCCATTTTACTGGTGAGAAGGCTGAGGCAAAAAGAGTTTGAGTGGTCACAGCCGAGACTCAAACTTTAGAGCTTGTTCCTAGCCTGAACTCTTAATTAATCTTGCACTTAATTTCTTTAAATTATCTATGGCTAAACTTTTATTTTTATTCTTTTAATTTTTAAAAATTTAGTGTGATATTCTGGTATTTTTTTTAGCTGGGTATGGTGGCACATCCCCATAATCCCAGCTTCTTGGGAGGATGAGGTGGGAGGGATCACTTGAGCCTGGCAGTCCGAGACTAGCTTGGGCAGCATAGTAAAACCCAGTCTCAAAAAAAATTTTTTTTAAAGAAGGAAAACTTTTTTATACTACAACTTTCCTTAAGGATCTTCCTCAGTGGGCTTATAATATTGTTCTCCCCATTATGAAGAAAATGTCAGCTCACTTAACATCTGTATCTGTTGGAAGACATGAAGGTAAGTTTGAAGCCCTTTGGGCTTCTTGGCTGAAATATACTATTTATAAGGTAGAGGTCATGATCAATTTGTTTGAGTCCACCTTATGGTTCAGATTGTACCCTTAACTACAAGACACCACAAAGATGCTTCATCGGCAAAGTGTGAGTGGCTGATTACATATCTTGAAGACAGGCAGCTTGATATCTAGATGCCCACACCTATGCACTATAAAAGAGTGTAGATTATGCTCAGTGATACGCCTTGGATGTTTTCTCCCCTCCAAATCTCATGTTGAAATGTGGTCCCCAATGTTGGAGGTGGGGCCTAGTTGGAAGTGTTTGGGTCATGGAGGCAGATCTCTTATAAATGGCTTGGTGCCTTCCCCATGGTAATGAGTTCACATGAGAGCTGGTTGTTTAAAGGAAACTAGAACCTCCCTTTTCACTCTCTTCTTTAGTAGTCCTGGGAGTTTCCATTTATTTCCTTTGGATTTATTACTTTTAGACCCATTCAGGTCAAGACAAGAAGTAAAAAATATTAAAGTCACTGACTTTCTTGTGAAAATCTAACAGGCAGTCAGCATCTGCTATTGATGCTCTTTCTTGAGCAGAAACTCCTGTTCAGGGTAGCAAAAGAAAGTAAATGCAGCTGATATCCTCCTGGCCCTAATATAGAGGAAAAAGGAAAGAATCCCTCTCTCCTTTCTTCTTTTTAGGCATGTCCATGAAATATACATAGCTAACATACCAACAGTACCAACATTGTGTGGCTGTGAGTTGAGATGTCATGGCCTGAATTAAGAAAGGGAACTTATAGAACAGAAAGTTGGTTTAGATCAGTGATTTCCTATTTGTGGGTTATGGAACCCTTGAATCCAAGGAATTTCTGCATGAGGACTATGAATCCATGTGCACTTAATCACAAAGTGTAGACTCAATGAATAAAGACATCTTTATCTATCTATCTGTCAATCAATCATCTATCTATCTGGTCATGAGCATGTGCTCTTAAGACATATTGCCAGGTTCAAATTCTAATTCCTTTACATAGCAACTGTGTGCCCTGGGACAAGTTACTTAACCTCTCATGCTTTGATTTCCTTATTCTTAACTACATAGAGTTGGTAGTAGGAGGAAAATAGATAGGACATGTTGCATAGTTAGCCTTGTATTTGATCCTCAGGGAGAGATCAACATTTGTTAGGTACATAAATATCACGAGCAGACAGGCATTTTGCACTTTCATCGTTTCATATTCAATTTTATATGGACCTCACCTTGTTTTAGAGAACTTTGAGAGTGAGAAGGAAGCCAGCAGATTGATTTGGTTTTTCTGCTTCCCAGTTTTGGAGAAGGACATAAAGGCTAACACACTGTATAGGCTGAGCCTTGATCCTCCCTCTGCCAGGCACGTCCCGAAACACAAAAGTTCCTGCCCAAAGCCTCTCACGCTGGATCCAGTTGCAGGGGCACCTCACAGTCCTCAGGCCCTGTAGCTCATGTACAGCCATTTGTTTCATTTTTCCACTGCTACAAAATGAAATATAGATTAAGGCTCCCAACATCAAATAACAGGTCCAAGTTTGGGCATAGTGATACTCTTTGTGTATTGAGCATTCCTGTACCCAGAATCAGAAGCAAGAACTGAAATTTAGACACGCCCTATTGATTTCAGTGAACGTGTGTTCCTGATGTGGACAGGCTGGGTATGAGAAATTAGTAGCAGCCCACTCCACCCAGATAATGGATATGAAACTTGAAGGACTTTTTTTTTTATATATAAGATAAAAAACCTGTGGCATTCAACTGTGTATCAGCCCGTTCTTCCAGGGAGGAATAGAGCTCTTGTTTAATGTTAGTGTTAATGTGTTCCTTCTGTGTTCTTGTTCTGTTCTTTTGGGTACCTGTAGTTATATGCTATGGAAATTAGGGTATGGCTTTTTCTTTCCGATGCTGTTAATGGTTTGCTTTTTTGGGGTGGGGGTGGGCTGGGAAGATGGGTAGTTTGGTTGCTTTTTAGGCTTTAATGAGCTGCTTTTATTGGACTGCTACATTTTTGCTGTTACTGCTACCAAAGCACTTCCTTTATTTCAATACCGGGCACTTAAGCAAAAGCTTTAGAATGATAAATCCAAAGTTTCAGAAAGCTTTAGAAATGAAAGTGGCCTCCCTAACTCCAAAGCTTATACTCTTCGAACTAGGAATAGTACCTCTCGATGAGCCCTGCTCCATCTCCCATCTAAGTAGGAGCTATTTAGATAACGACTTCAGAGGAAGCCTTTAAATAGACTATTTGAGTCATGGTAAAATGACTCTCTCTGAGGGACAATTTGATTGTAGGTTCACTGTCCTAGGAAAAAGGAACCCAAATTTCCCCTGGCAAAGTCTCAACAAACTGGTAAAGTAGAATCTTTCCCCGTCTCTTCCAGGGCTTAGGGCTTCAAATATTGCCCTCTGACAGCACCTTAAAAACTACATCTTCCCTATTTCCTCCTCCTTCTCTTCTCCAATCCTATCCAACAACTTTCTGCATTCTGTTCTTTCCTGATTATGCTCTCTTCTTTGTGACTGTGGAGAGGATTGAGATTGCGTAGATATATTAAACTAGCATAAGATGTTGTTTATCAAATTAAACATACTATGTAGGTTGACAATAACTTTAATCCAGTCAAAATTCATATTTCTCCTATAAGTCTTTAATAAATAATGATAATAAAGAAGACAAAAAATGTATTTATTGACCATATTTCACATGTCAGATGCTGTGCAATGCATTTTACTTCTTTTTTATCTTATTAAATCTCATAATATAACCATGACCTGGATACCATTATTGTCCCTATTATACAGGTAACCTTCAATCACATAAAAATTAGGAACATTTGAATTCAGAGCTTAAAACACAAACAACTTGTACTTTTCAAAATAACTTGCTGTTACCTTTAAGGTCTGTCATTAAAACATAGCATGTCCTGGGCTCAGTACCTAATCTTTCTTATCTGAAACTTAAATTCCTATTTATTAACCTTTTTAGCCCTATATTTTCTAATTCCATAGAAAACTAAAGGTTTTGGTTAGATCTTCATGTGGAATGACTGGTTTCATTCAATAGACTTAATTCAGCAGTCTGTGGGGAAGAGCAAGGTATGATAGAATGGTTCCTCAAGTGCTTCAGATGTGAAGTGGGTTTAAATATACTGTCCCTGTCTTCTTCAGAGTTTTGGTAAAGATAAAATAGGACACTCATTTAAAAGCAATCTTTGCAAATGACAAGCCACTATAGACATTAATAGAGTTTTCATTTCCAGTATTATCATTAATATCAGATCCTGGAAGAAGGTTGAGCCTTGACCTAGAGCAAAAAAACAGAAGAATTAGTAAAGGAATCCTGGAGAAAGCCCCTGCTGTGTATTTAAAGGAGAAAGGGAGATCATGTTGGGAAATTATAATATTAAAAGTAAACAAAAGCTAGGAAGTAAAATAAAATAAATTATATGGCCTAGATCCCCATAAGTAATGGTTTAACTTCTGCCTTCCTGTGTTCTGAGCCAGATTAGGGCACAGTAGAGAAAGAGGAGTCTCTGAAAATGTTTCCAATTTCGCTGGTCAGACAGCGGATCATCAGTGAATCAGATGAAAATTTGTGGATTTATGCACTAACTGATCAGCAGGAAATTAAACAAGAAAAGCGTTGGTAGCTCTGGTGAATCCCAAAAGAATTTGGCAGTTGCTAGCCATGCTCCTGAATATGTATAAACAGTACATCATATGACTAAGAGTTTGACTTAGGGGTTAGATTTTATGTGTTTGAACCCCAAATTAGTTATTTAATAGTTGGCACCCCAAAACAAGTTACTTAACCTCACTAAGATTCAGTTTTCCTGTTTATAAAATGTAGATAGTGATAGTATGTACTTTATAGGATTATTGTGAAAAATAAATGAAATATCAGATTTATTTAGGATAACACCTGGCATATGTTTGGTATTCAGTAATTAGTTGCTGCTGTTTTATTCTGCTCTCCCTTGCATCCCACTTTTCTAAGTTGTAAACTAAATAGTTGTACACAGATTGACAGATTAAGAAAGGCTTGTGATTGTGCTAGACCTATGCCTCTCTCTCACCAGATTCCAGGTGTATATGTGGAGGTGGGATAGGGAGTGGAGTAAGTGGGTAAATATTAAATTGCCCAGTTGGGCACCATCCTGAATATTATCTCTAAAGAAAGAAGCAAAACCAGGCACAGCTGATGGGTTAACCAGATATGATACAGAAAACATTTCCTTCTGCTTTTTGGTTTTAAGCCTATATTTGAAGCCTTAGATCTCTCCAGCACAGTAAGCACCAGGAGTCCATGAAGAAGATGGCTCCTGCCATGGAATCCCCTACTCTACTGTGTGTAGCCTTACTGTTCTTCGGTAAGTAGAGATTCAATTACCCCTCCCAGGGAGGCCCAAATGAATTTGGGGAGCAGCTGGGGTAGGAACCTTTACTGTGGGTGGTGACTTTTTCTAGGACATGTGCAAACTATTGGGCATTTCCCAGGGACTCTGTAGTGGAGCCAAGCTAGAAAGCAGAGGCAAGTGGGCTGAGCAACACCTAAGGAGGAAGCCAGACTGAAAGCTTGGTTCCTTGCATTTGCTCTGGCATCTTCCAGAGTGCAAATTTCCTACCAAGGAAATGAGGGTAGAGGAGAGAAAGAAGCTCTTTCTTCCCCTGATTCTGATTCCTGAAAAGACGGTTGGTCCTTAAAATTCCATGGATGTAGATCTTATCCCCACACCCAGATTCTAGTCCTCTGGAGATAAAGAAGACTGCTGGACACTAATGTATCCTCTCTGGACTTTTGCAGCTCCAGATGGCGTGTTAGCAGGTGAGTCCTCTGTTCTTGTTCCCTTGGTGTTTCAACATGTCTGGGCATTGCTTTCCTCTCACTATTTTCTTCGTCCCATCACTTCTGCTTTCTAATGAGCATGAATCTGTTCCTTGGCCAGACTACTTTCCCTCTCCACCTTGCCTTGTCTTTCTTTTTTTCCCTGATTCATTGCATTCTCTCAAGTCATTCTCTCCTCTGTTTTAGTCAATAACCATGTCTGTTGCACATATACATGTCTCATTCTCTCTCCTAGACACTTTGGCATGATCTCGCTCAATAATTACATTATTATTATTATTGCCATTTTATAATTGAGGATGCTGAAACTCAGTGATTTTCTGGTGGTTACATGGCTAAGGAACTGGATTTCAACGTAAGTTCCTTGGATCTAAGTCCAGTTCTCTTCTGACTATATCACCCTTTTGTTATCACCATGTATCTACTTCTTTGGTCTCTGTTCAAATTTGCACTACATCCCCTTGTTCCAGGAAGCCATTCAAGACTGACTTTCTTAGTGCCTCTCACTACTTTCTGGAACTGACATATGTTTTTCACTCTGTATATACTTACAATTAAATAGTCATAAATATTCAGAGCTTGGAGAAACCTTATATTTCATCCAGTCCAGTAAATTTATCCATCCATAATTCACTCATTCATTCACATAATAAATATTTAATGTAACAATGGTTGAACATGGCAGACAGTGTTTCTACCTCAAAAGAGATTGCAGTCCTCATTTACAGATACTGAATTGAAATTAACAGAAGTAGAGTGAGTCAGCTCAAATCACATAGTGAATTGGTTTCTTTGTTTTTAAATCTCCTGCATATGTGTCCTGTCTTTCTCCCTGTGTTGGGCGTTCCCTGGGGCACCAATACTAATTTCTCCTTCCCCTAGAAATCAAAACAGGGTCTTATCACCAACAGAATAAGGACAGGTTGACCACTGATTGTCAGAATATTGCTTCGTTTGTACTTTTAAGCCTAGACAGTTTTCAATGACTTTTTTTCTCTCTACATGTCTTTTCATATTTTTATCTTCTTGAAGTCCCTCAGAAACCTAAGGTCTCCTTGAACCCTCCATGGAATAGAATATTTAAAGGAGAGAATGTGACTCTTACATGTAATGGGAACAATTTCTTTGAAGTCAGTTCCACCAAATGGTTCCACAATGGCAGCCTTTCAGAAGAGACAAATTCAAGTTTGAATATTGTGAATGCCAAATTTGAAGACAGTGGAGAATACAAATGTCAGCACCAACAAGTTAATGAGAGTGAACCTGTGTACCTGGAAGTCTTCAGTGGTAAGTTCCAGGGATATGGAAATACAGATCTCTCATGTGAGGGATGGCTCATCTGAAGATGGGAAAAAACAGGTTATTCCAAGGGTTAGGACACCAGAGTGGGATTCAAGGCCTCTCATTTTTAAGACCCCTGCATTGGCTGGGCACAGTGGCTCACGCCTGTAATCCCAGCACTTTGGGAGGCTGAGGCAGGTGGATCACGAGGTCAGGAGATCGAGACCATCCGGCTAACATGGTGAAACCCCATCTCTGCTAAAAAATATATATATATAAAATTAGCCGGGCGTAGTGGTGGGCACCTGTAGTCCCAGGTACTCGGGAGGCTGAGGCAGGAGAATGGTGTGAACCCAGGAGGTGGAGGTTGCAGTGAGCTGAGATCACGCCACTGCCCTCCAGCCTGGGCTACAGAGCAAGACTCCGTCTCAAAAAATAAATAAATAAATAAAAAAGACCCCTGCATCTCTTTTCTTCTACCCCCTTCCCTTTTGATTACTTGTATGCCTTCTTTCAATATTCTAGTCATCTCTCAATATTATTCCTCCACCCTATTTTCCTCTATCTTTTCTGCCTAGATTCAGGTATATATTATGTGGTCAAACAGCATGACATATATGTGAACATTTCAAAGAGCTGTGTATCTGGAATAGGATCAAAAGGTTTGACTTAAAGTTTTGCTCTGCATAATCCATATGGCAGGACCTGAATATTAGGTTGTACTCTTCGTTATGAAACATATCTGGGTACATTTCCTTATGTCCTCTGTTGTTACTTAAGAACACATATTTCATGCTTGTTTCATTTTTATCACTCCTACTGCCAACAAATAGCATAGCATGCTTAGGCACATGTGGCTTAATTAGCAAATGTTGAATAAACAAATTAATGATTTTGAATAGTGACCAATAGGTCTCTTTTATACTCTATATTTTTCTCTTGAGTGAAAAAAAATGTTTCAACCTCCATATGTAAATTCCAAACACAAACTAAAGCAATGTAGAATAGCTTCTTTATTCCCTGGAGTAGGTTCTAGAGAAGTCCTAAAGGATTGGTCCTAAATTAATTATGCTTATTATGCTAGCGATATTTCCTTTCAAAATTCTCCTTTAATGAATGCTTTTTAATTTTTACAAAAGCATTAACCATAGAATGTGATTCTTGTCTTTCACTGACTCATTAGTGACAAATATTTGTTGAGTACCTACCAACTCCTAAGTATTGCTACCAACTCCTAAATACTGTGTTGGGCATTCAGAATAGAATGTAGAACTAGACAGGGTCCCTGACTTCTTGGAGCACAGAGCAGTATGGGAAGAGGACATTAAATAAAGAATTACATAAGTAATTAATTTAAATTATACATGTTTTGAAGAAGTTTTTTTTTGACAACTATAATTAACACTAGAACTGGGAAGTTTCTATAAGGTAAGAGAGGACAAAATAGACACTCTCCTAAGCTAAAATTCCCAAGAAAGACTGTTTATTTTCCCCTAACTAACTAGAACTAGCAACAGAAGATCTGAAAGGAATTCTGGCTTTCAAGTGTTCCATGTATGGACTCATCAGGGAGGTCCGAGAGGCTTTGTGGCCCCAGACTGACTTTTCAGGAGGGGAAAGGATTTATCAATACACAAGACAGGCTCTAAGCATTATTTTGTGCCCTTTAAAAATCCACTTTATGAGCCAAAAAGTGAGTTAATGATAATTCATAGTTTCTGACACATGCTCTATGCGTGGCTCTCTTTTCTCTATTCATTCTCTCTCTCTTCATTTATTGTTAAATAAATAATGTAATGAATGTTCTTCAGACTGGCTGCTCCTTCAGGCCTCTGCTGAGGTGGTGATGGAGGGCCAGCCCCTCTTCCTCAGGTGCCATGGTTGGAGGAACTGGGATGTGTACAAGGTGATCTATTATAAGGATGGTGAAGCTCTCAAGTACTGGTATGAGAACCACAACATCTCCATTACAAATGCCACAGTTGAAGACAGTGGAACCTACTACTGTACGGGCAAAGTGTGGCAGCTGGACTATGAGTCTGAGCCCCTCAACATTACTGTAATAAAAGGTGAGTTGGTAAAGGAAAGGAAAAGCATCCATAGCAGGGGAAGGAAGAGAGAACTTCTGAGCCTGAGCAGTTGCAGCTTGTAGAAGGGGGGCACCTGTGATACACTGGAAAGCCTACCAGACTTGCAATGAGGAGACCTGGGTGATAGTATATATCTCAATCTCTGTTTCAAAGCCTTGACTTGTTAAATGGTGATAGTAATACCTGCTTGCACTATGAAATTTTTATGAAGATTAATGTGGTAATATTTGTGAAATGACTTTGTAAACTGTTAAGCACTACCCAAGCATAACAGATTGTGATTACTATTTTGATCTCAAAGTCATCTGTTGCTCCTGGGGGAACACTTATATTTATCAAATTGAAAAAAAGTTTCAAAGTTGAATGAAGAAAGGATATAAAGAGCTTGAGGAGCCCATTCCAGCTTAGGAGGGCTGGGAAAGGAAACCAGCAAGTCAGTAAGCTGTGTGCCTGTGTATTGAGGGAGGAGGGAATGGACTTGATATGGAGAGGGTAGGGAGGTGGACTGCCTCTATGGCCTGTAAGAAAAACTGCTCTCTCCAAACTCTTTATAAGAGAGGGAGCCTGTGAAGTATTCACTTTTGAAGGAGAAAGTTAGACTTTTCCTTCACACACTTTGTACATAATAATGTTTAAAAAAGCATGAGGTCAAAATACATAATTAAGTCCTAGCAGTTCTCTGTTAACTAATTTGAGACTGAAGTGCTATGTACTTGTCTCTAGGCTTCCAGTATCTTCATCTGTAAAACAGAATATTTGGTCTAGATTCCATTAGAATCATTTGATAACTTAAAAAATATATTGATGCTCATGTCTCATTTCTTGAGATTCTGATTTAATTGGTTTGGGGTGCAGCCTGGGTATACGTATTTTTCATAGGTCTTTCACATAATGGTAATGGGTAGCCAATATTGAGAATCACTTGTCTAGGTGATCTTTAAATGATTTCTGGATGTAATATTCTGAGGCTCTATAATTTGAGACTAATCACAAAAATCGGTACAGTTTATAAACAGACTAACAGAACCACAAAATAATAGAATTGGAAGGCAATTTAACTAGTGCAATTTCTTCATTTTGCCTAACAGGCATGTAAGAAATGATGATTGATTGAGTAATAGGCATTGATGACCCCTGTCCTCACTTTGTCCCCTTTCCACCCCTTAATTATATGTGAATTCTGGTCTTGTCATTTCGAATAAGGGGTTTATCTTTCCTATTGTCTTCCCCTCTGGGCACGGCACACTGGCTACTGGAGTTAAGAGGAAATGCTTAGGACTCCCTGTGGCTCCAGGGAGCACCAACAGAGCAACTCAACCTAGTGTTAATCTGAGTGTTTTCTCTGTGCTTCTGGATGCCACATCACGCTAAAAATGAAGGACAAAGCTTGGTCTTTCTCTTAGGGAGGATGAAACTCTGAACCTCATTTTTCAGTTCCCAAGATGAATTATGTTTCTCATTGCATCTGTGTTCCACTACAGCTCCGCGTGAGAAGTACTGGCTACAATTTTTTATCCCATTGTTGGTGGTGATTCTGTTTGCTGTGGACACAGGATTATTTATCTCAACTCAGCAGCAGGTCACATTTCTCTTGAAGATTAAGAGAACCAGGAAAGGCTTCAGACTTCTGAACCCACATCCTAAGCCAAACCCCAAAAACAACTGATATAATTACTCAAGAAATATTTGCAACATTAGTTTTTTTCCAGCATCAGCAATTGCTACTCAATTGTCAAACACAGCTTGCAATATACATAGAAACGTCTGTGCTCAAGGATTTATAGAAATGCTTCATTAAACTGAGTGAAACTGGTTAAGTGGCATGTAATAGTAAGTGCTCAATTAACATTGGTTGAATAAATGAGAGAATGAATAGATTCATTTATTAGCATTTGTAAAAGAGATGTTCAATTTCAATAAAATAAATATAAAACCATGTAACAGAATGCTTCTGAGTATTCAAGGCTTGCTAGTTTGTTTGTTTGTTTTCTACTAAAGGCAAGGACCATGAAGTTCTAGATTGGAAATGTCCTCTCTTGACTATTGCAAGTGCGATCTAGGAATGAAAAGACATAGGAGGATGCCAGTGAGGTGGATCATTTTTATGCTTCTTCTTCAGCTTACTAAATATGAACTTTCAGTTCTTGGCAGAATCAGGGACAGTCTCAAGACATAGGACTCTCAGGATGAAGTAGAGTCCAGGATTCCTCTGTGATTGTTTTGCCCCTCCCAAATTTATATCTTGAACTTATGTCTTGTATCTTTATACAGCACCTGAACCAAGCATTTTGGAGAAATTCCAGCTAATAATAATAACCAAAACCTTCGGCTCTGAAAACAGTCCAGGACTGAATAAGATCTTGGGCAAAAGAACTAGACAGTTTTGGTTTATTTTCCCTTTCATTTTATGTCTTCATCATAGTCATTGGAGGCTCATTCTTCTGTCATGGAGTAAATGGGATTAAGTTTTTACCTATGATTTATTTTTTAATTTTTTGTAGAGATGAGGTCTTGCTATTTTGCCCAGGCTGATCTCAAACTCTTGGCCTCAAGCGATTCTCCCACCTCAGCCTCACAAAGTGTGGGATTATAGGTTTGAGCCACTGCGCCTGGCCAAGTTTCTGCCTATAATAAAGCCATCCATTAGAAAGAGACTAAACCATACAGAAAAAGACATCAATTCAAATCCTGACTCTTCTACTTTCTAGATTTGTGATCTGGAAAAATTTTCTTATACCTCCATGGGCTTTAGTATTTCATTTGTGAAAAAAAGAAAAGGATAATAGTCATCCTGTCTACCTCTTAGAGTTCTTCTGAGAATCAAATAAGAGGCTGTATTTGAAAGTTCTTTGTAAATTGTAAACATTTATACAAATTTAGGAACTTTTAGCACCTACATGAGATCCAGTCTTTGCCACCACTACCCTCTACCCCCATGATCCTGCCCATAAAAATATTTATACTCAGGGCTTAGAGAAAGCACTAGGGAAGATGGGCAACATATTGCTGGTGCTGGCTGTGGATTCATGGAAATCAGTGAAAGATCAGGATGCCTATAGCTTACCCGTGCCTTAGAACAATTAATAGTATGAGGAAGTGTGGCTGGGGAGAAAACTTTTAAATATCCATGGGACCCACAAGTCCCATTTTTTCCAAGGAATGTTTTTGGGTCACAAAGAACAGGGAAATTACTGAAACATTTCTTTCCTCTTTTTTTAACTTTGGATAGGGATCTGGTATTACCTTTCTTCACACTCTCCTCCACTTAAAAAAAAATCATTTAAAAGAGGCAAGAAAAGGCCAGAATCCCAGTGAACACCCTTGTTACTTAGCTTCATGTAGTGAATAAGTCTGGCCAATGGAGAAAAGATTTCTCTTGGAGCAACAGGCCAGGCAAAGTTTCCCTAGGAGACTCCCTGGTGTTGCTTCAGGATGCTTCCTCTGCCACCTCCCCAAGGTCTATCTTATGTTTTAGCCTTGGGACCAGGCTTTCCACCACATTAACCACACCTTTCTCCCCAGTGCTCTTCACAGCACATCAGCATTTCAGGCATCAGGCTAAACAGCAATTTACCCCTCTATTTCAGACAAGGGATTGAGGCCAGTGATTCAGAGTTCAAAACTGAGAGATTTGATATGGATAGAAAGTCCGGGCTTGATCAGCTTGAGATACATTTTCTGAGAAATTTTCTAGGTTCTTGAGTATCGCATTTCACTTTTATCTCCCCTTTACCCTCACTGCAAGATTGAGGGGACTACGGATAGAACACAGATCTGGATATTCAAGCTGCTAACTAGCTGTGATTGGGCCAAGTTACTTGCCAGCCTCTGAGATTCTATTGTTTCTTTGTTAAAACTGGGAGTCTGGTGGAGGTGATCTCTAAGGTCCCTTGGAGCCCAGATATTTTGTAATTTATTACTTTAAGTTCATATGCAGTAATTATCCAGGCACTAAGGCTCAGAATGCATTCCCCAAGAAGCTCCAGTGTAAAATTTTCCTTTATCCTCCACACATTGGTCTCTTCTTTCACTGTGCTCTTCCGTGTACAGTATCTAAATTCCACATTTGTGCCAGACCTGTCTGGGTTTCTGCCCATTTATTTCTACCCATTTTCTTCTCGATAGTCATACATCTCTTGGTCCAGAGGGAATGTGGAACATAGGGTCAGGGCTTGAGTATTTTGTGGACCCCTAAAATATGGCATTTATGAAGATGGCTTTACACATGAAACATTTTTTATTATGCCAGAGATGGAGTACATGTGTTATAAAGATGATTGGAATAGAAATAATTCACTCTAGATTCACCCTTCTCACCCCCTTTATCACCTCCTGTCTCTTACCAAATTGCTCAAGGCCAGTTCATAGAGAAAAATTTGCTCTCCCATGAATTGCTGTTCCAAATTGGCAGACAAAAAATCTTTATGAATTCACAATAGTTAGGGGCTGATTTCTGAAAAGCAAGTCAGTAGCTCCCCACTGGTGGCCAATGGAAGACATACTCCTGTGACCACCTTCAGAGTGGAGACTCAGACAAATGGTGCACTTTGTCAGTATGTTGAGGAGTTGAGTACTTGAAGAAAGACTCTGATCTTTCCCTCTTCTCATTAAATGGGAAATGGTGACAACCTGGAGATGGAAGTTTTATGCTGAGGATGGCAGAGGCACCTGCCAGCCTAGGACTCTAGATAATCTTAGAGAGTCGGGCTGTCTTCCTGCCATAGCTGATCTGCCCAGCTCTGGACAGCTACTTATCAAGTCCAAGTCTCTTTCTGGAACTTCATCAATCGCTACAACATTCCCACCACAAACCGTTTACTCTATCAATGTGCTCACCACAACAATTCACTTATATATTTCACTTATGACAATGACACTCTTCCCCTTCTTGAAAATTAAATGACATAAGTCCACTTTCAGTCTTTCCTGTTATTTCCAATTTTCAAATATCATTGACAATGGTCAGCAATCTCTCTGCAAGGTAGTAGCATCAGGCTGCGATGAAATGGAAACTGCTCACAGATAATTTTTTGAAAAGAAAAGAATGACTTCCTATGGATTCTGAGAAAAGTTCAGATTTTAATTTTTTAACCAGTTTCCAAGAAGATAATACTGCACTGCTGCCAACCAAATTGAATCATAGTAAATATGGTTGAATAAATAGAAAAAAATTATTTTAAATTAAAATATAAGAGCCACTGATTTGCATTTAGTAGAATATATCAGGGCTGAAAGTTTGATTTCTCCACTTATGTTAATGGCTACTTTAGAAATGAGATCCTAAAATGTTGCAGGTTGAGGTCCCCAGAAAACAGACACTGAGACAGAGATTTGAACAAAGCAAGTTTATTAGCTCTCAGCATGTACACTTGTGAAGAAGTGAAGAAAGCAATATTGGGCAAAAACAAATAAGTTGAAATGTGAGGTAGTCAAGCTCCTTCTGGAGCTGGGAGAGCCCTTCCTACTTATCTTAAGGTGAAGCAATACCCTAAATAGTCAAACCACTGGAGGTAGTATATCCCTGGGAAGGGAGCATGATCTTGGAAGAAGCAACTATTTAACAAGAACAATTCTTGAAGAGGAACTCAACTGAGAGCCATTAGCCCAAGGCACTCCCAGCAGCTGGAGGAATGCTTGTGTGGGTCCTGAAGGAATGCAATCCAGGTGATGTGCTGCAGCATTCACCAAATACAACTTCAGATAGAAGACAGTGTGACATTGGCCAGCAGAACTTTACCTGATGGCTTCTAATTAGATTAAGCAGAACTACTAAGCAAAATCTAATTGTCTCTTGACCAACCTCACAGAAACAAACTATATCATTTCTAGAAATCTGGACACTAAAACAAAGATCTCTTTTATCTCCAGTCAGACTTCACATGACAATTTTTGTCAAAGAAAGACAGGTTAACTTGACTTAAATAATTTATTTCCAATGAATTGTCCCATTTTCAACATCCAGCAGACTTTACCACACTATCAGAAGTGATTTCTTGCCTCTACAGGTTCACCCCATTGGATTGGATGGATTCTGGATACTGTAGGACTGTATTTGAAACTCAGGGTATGCTTATTCCTCAGTATAGAAGGCCAGAGTGCAGTGGAAAGATGAGAGAGAGAACATCCTTCCTTGCACCAGAACACATATTTTCACCTTCTGTGATGCTCGGGCATAAAATGCTGTTTATAAATCAGGTTTAAAGTTGGAAGTATAGAAGAAGAAACTTCTGAAAATTCACCCCTGCAGGCTTAGGAGCTCACTGGAAAATTTTTAAGTCATGCATCAGATTTCTGTTCATTAATAATTCTTTTCAGAAGTTGTAGTTAAAGTGCTTATGTTTATAACACTATTTCAGAGAGTTTTATGTCAACCTGGCAAAAGGAACTATTCTTTTACTGATCCTTTCAACCTCCATCCTTTTTACTCTTGTGTTGAATGTATGAAAAGTGTTAGCCTTTTCAGCATGTTCGTCTTTTCAATCTGAGTTTTCTGATCCAGGCATCTCAGGAATATGGACAGTTCACGTCTGTGTTCTCTGTAGCTGATGCTGCTTTGCTCTTTCCCACATCTGCACTCTTTACTCCTAGGTCAGTTAGAGCAGTTCCATCAACTTGGAAGGTCTGCCTCTAGCTTTTTTTTTTTTTTTTTTTTACAAGAAAGCCTGCAACATCCACAGAAATGCATATGTGTGTGTGTATCTTCTAACTTATTTGCTTAAAATGTGGCACAAATTATTCTGACACCCTTAACAGTCAACTAGAAAATCTTTCTGGGATGGTTTCCAAACATTTTGCTCATTAGCTTTTTAGAACCCTGCTGGACTTTATGTTTCTTTTTTTTTTTTTTTTTTTTTTGAGACCCAGTCTAGCTCTGCCACCCAGGCTGGAGTGCAGTGGCGCAATCTCGGCTCACTGCAACCTCCGCCTCCCAGGTTCACGAGATTCTCCTGCCTCAGCCTCCTGAGTAGCTACAATTAAAGGCATGTGCCACCATGCCCAGCTAATTTTTGCATTTTTAGTAGAGATGGAGTTTCACCACGTTGGTCAAGCTTATCTCGAACTCTTGACCTCATGATCTGCCCACTTCAGCCTCCCAAAGTGCTGGGATTACAGACGTGAGCCACTGCACCTGGCCAGACTTTATGTTTTAATGGAGTTGTATAACTGAAAATATTCTCAAGGTATGTGTAACTGTGTGCATGTGTATGTGAGTGCATAATCCAGGCATGCATTTTTTTCCTACATTCATAAGTGTATGCTAAGCTATTTTCTAACTGTTCTGGAGCAGGGCGTAGAAGATCACAACAACCTCAAACAGAAACCTCCAGTTTTAGCACTCAGTTCAATTTAGTCTAGTCTTCTTGATCCCATACATAAGGGCATTATTGAAAGAGCATTAAAAATTAGTACATATTTATAAACGCAAAGGAAAAGCCTTCACAACCTCTCTTCATTAAGGAGACAGAGTTTTTTGCCCCACGGCTCTGTGCAGAGCATCTTTGACCTCCTTGTTCTTCAGGCTGTACACAACAGGGTTCAGTAGGGGAGTGATGAGTGTAGGTCACTGAGATGAGTCTGTCCTGTCCCAGGGAACTCTGGGACTTAGGCTTCAGGTAGATGATGGAGGCACAGCCATAGTGGATGATGACCACTGTGAGGTGGGAGGCGCAGGTGGCAAAGGCCTTCTTCTGACCTTCAGCTGAGGCAATCTTAAGAATGGTGGAGATGATGAGGACATAGGAGATAAAGACCAGGCCCATAGGTAGAACAAGGACACAGACGCTGACAACAAAGTTGATTATCTCATTGACAGTGGTGTCTGTGCAGGCCAGCTTCAGCAGGTGTCTCACATCACAGAAGAAGTGGGAGATGACAAAGGCATCACAGAATGGCAGGCCAAACACAGATGTTACTTGGACAATGGCCATGCCAAGGCCAATCCCCAGTGATCCAGAGGCCAGTTGGATACAGGCCCTCTTACCCATGATGACTGAATACCTTAGGGGGTTGCAGATGGCCACATAGCGGTCATATCCCATGACTGTGAGCAGGAAGCAGTTGTTGATGCCAAAGGTGAGATAGAAGAAGAGCTGAGTGGCACAGCTTTGGGTGGCAATGGGCTGATGAGGATTCAAGAGACCAGAAAGCATATGGGGAATGATGGCCACAGTGTAGCAGGTCTCAGAGATGGATAGCATGCACAGGAAGAAGTACATGGGGGTGTGAAGATGATGGTCCAGGCGAATAATGGTCATGATAATCACATTGCCAGAGAGAGTCAGCAGGTACAAAGTTAGGAAGACAACAAAGAAGACAAGTTTGTGCTGCCGCCTGAAGCTGGAGAAACCTTCAAAGAGGAACTCAGTCACAAAAGTGGAATTTAGCTTTGGCATCAAGGTAGGTCTAGGTTTGAAAGAGCTGGGCAGAGGAAAGAAACATATGATGAGTTAATCATGAAACAGAGTAGGCTGGACCAAGGCTTTCAGTAAAAAGCATGTCCATCCTCTGAGCAATGCCCTAGACCTGTTGTCTACTTGCTCAGAATAATCACCTGTCCCCACCCTCTTCTTTGGAAGCATAGAAGGCTACCCTGGGACCCTGGGATTGAGAGCAGAGATAGTGATCAGAAGGTGGTAACAAACTGAAAGAGATCTGTAGAAACAACTCCCTGGTTCCTTTTTTTAAAAATTATTATTATATACCTAGAGGTATATGATCCAGAGGTGTGCTTGCTGGATCATATGGAGGTCAGAGGAATATCCATACTGTTTTCCACAGTGGCTACATCATTTTACATTCCCACCCACAGTGCACAAGGGTTCCAATTTCTCAACATCCTCTCCAACACTTGTTATCTTTTGATTATAGATTAAAAATAAATAAATACTAGCCACCCTAACTGTTATGAGGTGATATCACATTGTGGTTATGATTTGCATTTCCCTGATGATTAGTGACACTGACCATATTTTCATATATCTGAATTAAAATCAAAATCTAGAAGAGATGTTTGCATTCCCATGTTCATTACAGCACCATTCACAATAGCCAAATTGTGGAAACAACCCAGGTGTCCACTGGTAGATGAATGAATAAAGAAAATGTGGTATTTACATAGAATGTAATGTTATTAAGCCTTAAAAAAAAAAAAGGAAATCCTGCCCTTTGCAACAACAGGGATGAGCCTGGAGAACATTATTCTAAATGGTATAAGCCAGTCACAGGAGGACAAATACTGCATGATTCCACTTATATGAGGTATTTAAAATAGTCAAAGTCATAGAAGCAGGAAATAGAATGGTGATTACTGGGGAACAAGAAAGGGGAAGTGGGGAGTTGTTGTTCAATTCATGTAAAGTTTCAATTATGCAAGATAATTAGTTCTAGAGAGCTGCTGTACAGCATAATTCTTGTAGTAAACAATATTGTAATATGCACTTAAAATTTTTTAAGATGGTATATCTCATATTAAGTGCCTTACCACAAAACAAAACAAAAAGCAAAGGGACACAAAGAAATGTTTAAAGGTGATAGATATGTTTGTTACCTTAATTATGATGATGGTTTCACAGATGTATGTATATGGCCAAACTCATTAAATTGTACACATTAAATATATGTAGTGTATTATATATCCATTGTACTTCAATAAAGCTGTTTAAAGAAAGAAAGAAACAACTACCTGGCCATTGAAGGAGTGGGCCTAGGTCAAGGAAGAAGCAGGTGATTCATCAAATGTGCCCAGCTCTACAGTTCCTTCTCAATACACTCCTGAATTACTTCTCAAGGATCCAGTGAGGAATAGTGAAGAATAGAAGATGTGAGACTGATTGATATCCTTTTCACACTGTCATCAGTTTCCAATGCCAAATGCCCTGTGAGAGTCCTGAGAATGCTTCTCCTCCCCAGAACCCTAGGTCCTGGTCTTCACTTATCTAAGCCCTGCATCTACAATACTCAGTGACCATCAAAGAGTAGAAAAGGGAACACTTCTACTGATGACTTTTTCTAGAAACCTTGTAATAAATATCACCTAGGATCATAAAAAATGGTTTGATATGGCATTGCAATATTTAGATTGTCTCCTTGAATTTTAATCAAAGGTAGAAAAGACAGCAAAATGAATCTGAGGGTGACTCTTTAAGTAAGGAATAGGTTTTTCTAGTATGAGAGCAAAGATAATATTCACTTAATCAGAGAACGATGAATCGTCCTGTTTTTTTTTTACTTCACTTATGCATATTCCAAGTTATGTTGGGGATACAAATAAGCTGATCCACCTTCCTTTTATCTTACCTCAAGTAGACCCAGCATGAGAGGTTGTACTTGCGCAGATTAACCTCGCTCCTTATACCCACATCTACTCCTGATAATACTCACCATGTTTAACCATCATCTCCATTCAGAAAGCTGAGGACTGTCCTAATCACCACCCTTCCCTTTTCCACACAAAGACATTGCCTCCTGAAATTCTCTCTTCCTGTCCCCTCCACTTCATGCTTTCTACCAACGCCCAACTACTGACTGCCATTACCATCCTCTGTGATCACCACAAGGCCTCCTAACTAATCTGTCTCCTTTTGGTTGATCTTAGTCTAAGTCTTCCTCCTGGATGTTGCCATTACACTTTTTTCAAAAACCTGTTCATGGAGCTGTCCTGCGTAAATTCCTCAATAGCTCCTCGGAATCTTAACCATAATATTTAACTCATTTGTAAGTTGAATATGTTAGTATTTCATAGAGTTGCCATGAAAATTAAATGGCTTACTTGTTTGAAGAGTTTGAAGTAGCATTTGACAAATAGGAAACCCTCAGTAGATACTAGTGTTATTAGAAGTTACAGTTATTTCTTTTTCATTTTCCCCAAATTAGCAAGTTTAAATTTCTAAGAAGATCAGGGGCAGGGGTGGAGGGGCTTCAATCTAATATTTCTGGATTTGTAAACAAGTATGTGATTATCTTAACCTTAACTTTGTAAGTATTATAATTTCCCTTCCAGTTGCTCAAACGGAATTTTTTATGCTCTTTCAAAATCTTTCTTGAAGTGCATTGACCAAATCCATGCACTGCTGCATGTATTATACTAACACAGGTGTGGATTAAGTTGAATATAATTTTCAGTTCTGCCTCTAATCCTCTAATCCCTTTCCTGAAGATGCTCAATATTTTACTTCTCCCTCCGGTCATAGTAGCTCATCCAACTAATATATCTAGAAACAATCTGCAGTGACATCTAGATCCCTTGCCTCGGTTATAATTGAATTGATAGCGTGGAGCCCATCATTGTAAAATCACAGTTTCCTTTACACTTGAATACATTAAAATTAATTCACATTATTTTCATAATGTAATTGTATTTTATTAACCAGAAGATCTTATTCAGGTCTGTGGCCTCGAATATTTGCCTCCCTCTCTTCCAGATAATTATTTAAACTGCTAACACTCCCCCAAAAATGCTATCCCAGCTCCATCTAAGAGAATAATCACTAAAGGGATGCAGAGTGGAATGCGGAAATTTAAAATGTAGGCAAGGATAGGATTACTCATCTAAAGTCTAGGAAATGTAGGTGAGGAGGAAAAACGAGAGATAAAAAAGTAGAGAGGGTACAGATAGACAGAAACCTCAAAATTCAGGTAATGTCTTTGACTTTGGAGTTTGTATTGCCTTTCCTTGCTTTCAAATAAATTACAAAAATGAGAAACAGGCCTTTTCCTGGCCCAATCCTAGATGAGTGTACTGTTTACAATTTTTCCCTGGAGAAGAAAACTTACTTATCCTCTTGTTTCCTGAATTTTTAAAAATCTCCTGTGCATTTTCATTCTATGCATGTACCCAAACATCACATGTACCCTGTAAATATGTACAACTATTATGTATAATTTTTTAAAACGAAATAAGCCAGGCACAGAAATAAAAGTATCATATGTTCTCACTTATATATGAGAGTTTAAAAAGTTGATCTCATGGAGGTAGAGAGGAGAATGGTGGTTACTAGAGGCTGGAAATGGTGAGGTTGTGGATGAAGAGAGGTTGGTTAAAAGGTACAAACATAGTTACAAGGAATCCATTCTGGTGCTTGATAGTATGGGAGGTAACTAGAATTTATTTTATATTTCAAAATTTCTAAAAAAGAAGATTTGAAGTGCTCCCAACACAAAGTAATAATAAATGTTTGAGGTGATGGATATTCTAATTACTTCGATTTTATCATTACACATTGTATTAATATATCAAAAAATCACATGCACCACACAAATATGCAGAATTATATATTAATAAAGCAAACTTTGAAGTCTAAAACAAAAAGTCTCCTGTACATTTCAATTTGCTTAAACTAAAATCGTGCTTGATTTTACCGAGCAAAACAACTTCTTCAAGAGTTCAATGTGTTGGGAAGTCACAAAGTATAAGTACTATGCTAGTGCTAGGAAAATAAAGATGACCCAATTGGTCTTTTTTTCTCATGGAGCTTAGATTCTTGGACAGCCTTTGGTATAGGATCCAATTACAGCCTTCCAAGTACTTTATGGCCCTCTTCTCTAGTCTATTCGTCTACGTTTCCAACATCTTAGAAATCACATTCTTTCTTATTAGAGCCCGTGTTCCCCCTTCTTCCATAGACTATCACTGGCTATGCAATAACAGTATACACTATCATAAACACTCCCCATCCCAGCCGTTAAGCTTCCTTAAAGGTGAGGTTAACGTTAAGCTTCCTTCAGAGTTTCACTTCTGAAACTCACCACATAGCCTGTTTCTTGAGTCTTCTAGAGAGTTGTGCTTATACCTGAATTATATCCTCCACTCTGGAAATTTGACTGCCTGCAATCATAGACTATGGATTTTTTTTTATTACTGATAGTTATACAATGTTTCCCAGATTTTTGTCAATGCCTTTTTTAAGATTATTTAAAACACATCGGTTATTTAACTAACAATCACTTTATGGAACTATGCTATTTTACTGAAGAGTCTATGAATTTCCTTAAGAGAGGGTCACTAATGTCATACTGAGCAGAGCTATAGTTTCTCCCCCTTTGCTGGCTAATCTTTAAATAACGCCAAGAATGTGATAACTAAAGGAACTATTTAGAGAGGAAGGAAATAATGCCTATCTCAGTCTTCCTGTGTCCGACACCAGAAGTGAAGTCACACTAAGTTCCCCTAGATTCTCACAAGCCCATCCACTGGAAGGATTTCATCTTTGGGTCACAAAGCATTAACTTTGGCTTAGGTGTTTTTTAATAAGATAAAAATTGTCTGTCCCCAGTGTTAGATGTCTCCATCTCCAAAACAACACTTACTACTCCCAAGTGATAATGGCAGAAGACACAATCCAAACAGCAGAGCATCTGGAGACCTCATTACTAAGGCAGCACATTTTCTAATCCTGAAAATAACACTTTGGAGAACAGAGTTGGCTTGGCTATTAGGGACAATCTCTGGGATGAAAAGGCTTATTTCCCTTATTAGCATGGGTAATAGTCCTGCTGAAATCCATGTCAGATTTTCTGTCCATTTCTTTGGAGGCCTTATGGAGTAACCCTTCACACATGAGAGAATAGAAGCGACAATTATCAAGCAGGGTTTATGCATGGAGCCCTCATACAGAGGGCTGACCTTCAGATACTCTGACACTTGAAGCAGTTTAAAGTCTCTTGAAAGAATCATCAGCACTGTTCCTGAATTCTATTGTCTGAGCTTTCATACTTTTTTTTTTTAAGGTTTTAAGGAACTGCCAGACTGTTTCCTAAAGTGGCTGAGGATTTAGCCTTCCCACCAGCAATGTTATGAGTGTTCTAATTTCTCGACATACTTGCTAACACTTATTTTCTGGTGTTTTTTTTTTTTTAATTATAGCCATCCCAGTAGGTGTGAAGTGGTATCTCACTGTGGTTTTGATTTATTTCCCTAATGACTAATGATGTTGAGCATCCTTTTATGTTCTTATTGCCCATTTGTATATCTGCTTTGGAGAAATATCTGTTCAGATTCTTTGCCCATTTTTAAATGCAGTTATCTTTTTATTCTTTTATGAGTTGTTTAAATATATTTTGGATACTAGATCCTGATCAGAGATAAGATTTACAAATATTTCATTCCCATTCTCTGAGTTGTCTTCTCACTTTTAAACTGATCTTTCTCATCTCTGCACTTCTTGCCACACACCCTATATTTATTTTGGAGCCCTCAGCTCAGTTTGTCCGAAGGCCTCAGCCTTGCCAGGGAACCTTCTGCATATTAAATCCATCTCATTATCCATAGCCCAAATAGATGGGAATAAGTGTCTATAGTTGAAAGATATGTAAAAGTTGGCACTCAATTGTCACAGATTTTTAACCAATTATTTCTTTGCATTGGTCTTAGATTGCTAATTGTCAGCTCCTTAGAAATAGAGACTCTTTGTCATCCATCTTTTTTTTCTCAGCAAACCTAGAGCTGCTACTTCTAAAAAAATTCCTATTACATGCTCTTTATTATATGCTAGGTACTAAACTATGCAATGCACACACATTAACTCATTTAATCCTAACAATGAACCTACAAGATAGCACAATTGTACTGTTTTTTTTTTTTTTAGGAGAAAACAGACACAGAGTTGTTATATAATTTCCCGTAGGACACTGAGCTGATAAATGGGAAACTAGGACTTAAACAAAGGAAATCCAGCCTCATAAGCTGGCCTATATTGGTAATATTGAATTTAATTTGAATTTGTGTTCAGTGGTGGTACTGCTAATGGTAGCAACCTAAAAAGACATCTTGGTAATGGTGAATAAAGCATTAGATTAATGATTTGGTTTACCCAGGTTTTAGTTCCATAGTTGTGACTAACTTGTCAAGTATTTAGACTGACATGTATCTGGGCCTTGGTGTGTTCATCTATAAGTGATGACATAATAATGTAGTAGTGGTGATGCTGCTGCTGATGATTTTGCCTCCTATTCTGCATCCGTCACCTTGTTTTATGTTACCTCACAATAACATGATAAAGTGGACATATACATCCACACTATTATCTCTATTTTAAAAATGAAGAAACTGAAAACAAGCGACAGAACTGGAATAAGTGACTCCTTACCAGGATTCTTTTCACCCTGCCACTATTCATACACAAAATTGAAGGATAGAATTAGTTCTCCTACACCTCTAGAATGATGCTATAGTGACCATACTATATGGATATAGCTACTAAGTCAGTGAATAATTGAGGAGCCAAGATTCTAGAAAGAAAGAATATGCAGAAATGTTAGCTCGAATCTCACTTCTTTGCAGTTTCCTTGAGGAATTGTAATTTGTTGTTTGTAGTCTTTGGTCAAAAAAACTAATAAACTGAGAAGAGTATCTGGAAATTTCCATATGCTTAAGGGTTATATTCTCTGTGAAAGGGTAAAGTGGAAATAAATGAACCCTTCACAGAGACTAAAACTTCAAATTAATTTAATTTCTAGTTAGATTAATATGATCTTGCCCCTAGTCTAATTACCTGTCGAGAAGCAAAATAAAATATTCTCTAGAGGAAGATAATATAATCTAGAGTACCAATTTGTCTTTATATTTTTTTTCATATAGTACTGGAGTAGGAAAACTACAGCCCATCAGCCCACTACATGTTTTTGCATAGCCTGCAAGGGGTATACTAGTTTTTACAATTTTAAATAATTGAAAACAAATTTAAAAAATACTTTGTGACATGTGAAAGCTATGTAAAATTCAAATATAGTAAGCACACACAAAAACCCCAAAATTTTTTGAACCACAACCCCACTCATTCACTTATGTATAATCTATGGCTTCTTTTGTGCTACTATAGCAGAATTTAATAGTTGGAACAGGGACTTATGTATGATCCACAAACCCTAAATTATTAATTACTTGGCCCTTTTCAGGAAAGTGTGAGGATTTCTGATAGAGAGTGTCCAAGATGTAATAAAAATGCACCAGACATACCAGGATAAAAAACCAAAGATCTAAGACTCAACAAATTAAAAAAAAAAACTCAATACAAACAAACCCATAAAATAATCATATTAAAGTTACAAAATACAAATTTAAGATAAATATGACTGTGGCAGACACATTCTAAGGTGACCCATAATGAGTCACACCCATGTATTCCCTTCATTTGAGTGTGGACAGAACTGTGACTTGCCTCTGTTCAATAGAATATGCCAAAGACAATGATATGTCTCACTCCCATGCTTATATAACATTATATAAGAATTTATCATAACAGAATGGAGCAAGAATACTAACTTGCTGACTTTAAAGAATTAAGTGGCCATGTTTTAAGATAACTTGTAACAGGGTGGTGTAGCAAGGAATATATGCAACTTCTAAGAACTAACAGTTTCAGCTGAAAGCCAATTCTGCCAACAACTACATGAGTTTGGAAGTGGATGCCAAACTCCATGAAGGAATACAGCTCTGCTGATGCTGATTGCAGGTGTGTGAGATCCTGAGCAGAGAACCCAGCTAAGCCATGCCTAGAACACCTGTCCAATGGAAATTTTGTGGCATTTTAAGCTACTAAACATGCTAATTTGTTATGCAGCAATAAAAACTACTATAATGATTATTATGCTGAAAAAATAATGTAAGACAAATTTTCAAATCACAGCAGAGAATGAGAAATATTATTTAAAAATAAAGTGAAAACACTAGAAGTATAAAATATAATAAGAGAAACTAAGAACTTAATAGATGTTATAACACCACATTAGAAATAACTGGAGATAAAATCAGTGAATTGGAAGATGTGTCAGTAAAAAATACCTAGATTGAAGCACAGGGAAAAAAAAGTAGTGCAATATGTATAAAAGAGCGTAAGAAGCATATAGAACCCCAGGAAAAGGTCTAGCATATGTGTAATTAGACTACCAGATTAATAGGAGAGATAGAATGTATCAGAAGCAATATACGAAGAAACAGTGGCCATGAATTTTTCAAACTTGAGGAAATCATTAAGACACAAATTCAAGAATCATCCTGAGTTGCCTACCAACAGGATAAATACATATTCAATGATACATAAAATTCATGTAGGCATATCAAATAAAACAACAGAAAAAAGAAAGATAGAAAGAAAAAGCCTTAAAAGGAGTTAGAGTAAAAGGACACGTTATTTTCAAGGACTAACTGTAAGGCTAATAATTGACCCATTAACAGCAGGAAAACAGAAATTAATGGAATGACATTTTTAACATACTGAAAGAAAACAACTACCAAGCTAGAATTCTATAATCAGGGAAAATATCCTTTCAAAAGGGAGACAAAAACAATAAGAGTTTTAGATATGCAAAAAAAAAAAAAAAAAAAAAGAGAGAGAGAGAGAATTTGTCACCAGCAAACCTGAATTAAAAGAAACATGAAGTTCACGAAAATCCACTGTTCTGCAGCCACTGCTGCTGATACCCAGGCAAACAGGGTCTGGAGTGGACCTCTAGCAAACTCCAACAGACCTGCAGCTGAGGGTTCTATCTGTTAGAAGGAAAACTAACAAACAGAAAGGACATCCACACCAAAAACCATCTGTATGGCACCATCATCAAAGATCAAAAGTAGATAAAACCACAAAGATGGGGAAAAAACAGAGCGGAAAAACTGGAAACTCTAAAAAGCAGAGCGCCTCTCCTCCTCCAAAGGAAAGCAGTTCCTCACCAGCAACGGAACAAAGCTGGACGGAGAATGACTTTGACGAGTTGAGAGAAGAAGGCTTCAGACAATCAAACTGCTCCGAGCTACAGGAGGAAATTCAAACCAATGGCAAAGAAGTTAAAAACTTTGAAAAAAAATTTAGACAAATATATAGCTAGAATAACCAATGTAGAGAAGTGCTTAAAGGAGCTGATGGAGCTGAAAGCCAAGGCTTGAGAACTATGTGAAGAATGCAGAAACCTCAGGAGCTGATGCGATCAACTGGAAGAAAGGATATCAGTGATAGAAGATGAAATGAATGAAATGAAGCGAGAAGGGAAGTTTAGAGAAAAAAGAATAAAAAGAAATGAACAGAGCCTCCAAGAAATATGGGACTATGTGAAAAGACCGAATCTACATCTGATTGGTGTACCTGAAAGTGACAGGGAGAATGGAACCAAGTTGGAAAACACTCTGCAGGATATTATCCAGGAGACCTTCCCCAATTTAGCAAGGCAGGCCAACATTCAGATTCAGGAAATACAGAGAACACCACAAAGATACTCCTCGAGAAGAGCAACTCCAAGACACATAAGTGTCAGATTCACCAAAGTTGAAATGAAGGAAAAAATGTTAAGGGCAGCCAGAGAGAAAGGTCGGGTTACCCACAAAGGGAAGCCCATCAGACTAATAGCAGATCTCTCAGCAGAAACTCTACAAGCCAGAAGAGAGTGGGGGCCAATATTCAACATTCTTAAAGAAAAGAATTTTCAACCCAGAATTTCATATCCAGCCAAACTCAGCTTCACAAGTGAAGGAGAAATAAAATCCTTTATAGACAAGCAAATGCTGAGAGATTTTGTCACCACCAGGCCTGGCCTAGAAGAGCTCCTGAAGGAAGCACTAAACATGGAAAGGAACAGCCAGTACCAGCCACTGCAAAAACATGCCAAATTGTAAAGACCATTGAGGCTAGGAAGAAACTGCATCAACTAACGAACAAAATAACCAGCTAACATCATAATGACAGGATCAAATTCACACATAACAATATTAACTTTAAATGTAAATGGGCTAAATGCTCCAATTAAAAGACACAGACTGGCAAATTGGATAAAGTGTCAAGACCCATCAGTGTGCTGTATTCAGGAAATCCATCTAACGTGCAGAGACACACATAGGCTCAAAATAAAGGGATGCAGGAAGATCTACTAAGCAAGTAGAAAACAAAAAAAGACAGGGGTTGCAATCCTAGTCTCTGATAAAACAGATTTTAAACCAACAAAGATCAAAAGAGACAAAGAAGGCCATTACATAATGGTAAAGGGATCAATTCAACAAGAAGAGCTAACTATCCCAAATATATATGCACCCAATACAGGAGCACCCAGATTCATAAAGCAAGTCCTGAGTGACCTACAAAGACACTTAGACTCCCACACAATAATAATGGGAGACTTTAACACCCCACTGTCAACATTAGACAGATCAACGAGACAGAAAGTTAACAAGGATACCCAGGAGTTGAACTCAGCTCTGCACCGAGTGGACCTAATAGACACCTACAGAACTCTCCACCCCAAATCAACAGAATATACATTTGTTTCAGCACCACACCACACCTATTCTAAAATTGACCACATAGTTGGAAGTAAAGCTCTCCTCAGCAAATGTAAAAGAAAGGAAATTATAACAAACTATCTCTCGGACCACAGTGCAATCAAACTACAACTCAGGATTAAGAATCTCACTCAAAACTGCTCAACTACATGGAAACTGAACAACCTGCTCCTGAATGACTACTGGGTACATAACGAAATGAAGGCAGAAATAAAGATGTTCTTTGAAACCAATGAGAACGAAGACACAACGTACCAGAATCTCTGGGACACTTTTAAAGCAGTGTGTAGAGGGAAATTTATAGCACTAAATGCCCACAAGAGAAAGCAGGAAAGATCCAAAATTGACACCCTAACATCACAATTAAAAGAACTAGAAAAGCAAGAGCAAACACTTCAAAAGCTAGCAGAAGGCAAGAAATAACTAAAATCAGAGCAGAACTGAAGGAAATAGAGACACAAAAAACCCTTCAAAAATTAATGAGTCCAGGAGCTGGTTTTTTGAAATGATCAACAAAATCGATAGACCTCTAGCAAGACTAATGAAGAAGAAAAGAGAGAAGAATCAAATAGATGCAATAAAAAAATGATAAAGGGGATATCACCACCGATCCCACAGAAATACAAACTACCATCAGAGAATACTACAAACACCTCTATGCAAATAAACTAGAAAATCTAGAAGAAATGGATAAATTCCTCAACACATACACCCTCCCAAGACTAAACCAGGAAGAAGTTGAATCTCTGAATAGACCAATAACAGGCTCTGAAATTGTGGCAATTATCAATAGCTTACCAACCAAAAAGAGTCCAGGACCAGATGGATTCACAGCCGAATTCTACCAGAGGTACAAGGGGAACTGGTACCATTTCTTCTGAAACTATTCCAATCAATAGAAAAAGAGGGAATCCTCTCTAACTCATTTTATGAGGCCAGCATCATCCTGATACCAAAGCCTGGCAGAGACACAACCAAAAAAGAGAATTTTAGACCAATATCCTTGATGAACATTGATGCAAAAATCCTCAATAAAATACTGGCAAACCGAATCCAGCAGCACATCAAAAAGCTTATCCACCATGATCAAGTGGGCTTCATCCCTGGGATGCAAGGCTGGTTCAATATATGCAAATCAATAAATGTAATCCAGCATATAAACAGAACCAAAGACAAAAACCACATGATTATCTCAATAGATGCAGAAAAGGCCTTTGACAAAATTCAACAACCCTTCATGCTAAAAACTCTCAATAAATTAGGTATTGATGGGATGTATCTCAAAATAATAAGAGCTATCTATGACAAACACACAGCCAATATCATACTGAATGGACAAAAACTGGAAGCATTCCCTTTGAAAACGGGCACAAGACAGAGATTCCCTCTTGCACCACTCCTATTCAACATAGTGTTGGAAGTTCTGGCCAGGGCAATTAGGCAGAAGAAGGAAATAAAGGGTATTCGATTAGGAAAAGAGGAAGTCAAATTGTCCCTGTTTGCAGATTACATGATTGTATATCTAGAAAACCCCATTGTCTCAGCCCAAAATCTCCTTAAGCTGATAAGCAACTTCAGCAAAGTCTCAGGATACAAAATCAATGTACAAAAATCACAAGCATTCTTATACAACAATAACAGACAAACAGAGAGCCAAATCATGAGTGAACTCCCATTCACAATTGCTTCAAAGAGAATAAATTACCTAGGAGTCCAACTTACAAGGGATGTGAAGGACCTCTTCAAGAAGAACTACAAACCACTGCTCAATGAGATAAAAGAGGATACAAATGGAAGAACATTCCATGCTCATAGGTTGGAAGAATCAATATCATGAAAATGGCCATACTGCCCAAGGTAATTTATAGATTCAATGCCATCCCCATCAAGCTACCAATGACTTTCTTCACAGAATTGGAAAAAACTACTTTAAAGTTCATATGGAACCAAAAAAGAGCCCGCATCGCCAAGTCAATCCTAAGCCAAAAGAACAACGCTGGAGGCATCACACTATCTGACTTCAAACTATACTACAAGGCTACAGTAACCAAAACAGCATGGTACTGGTACCAAAACAGAGATATAGATCAATGGAACAGAACAGAGCCCTCAGAAATAATACTGCATATCTACAACTATCTGATCTTTGACAAACTTGACAAAAACAAGCAATGGGGAAAGGATTCCCTGTTTAATAAATGGTGCTGGGAAAACTGGCTAGCCATATGTAGAAAGCTGAAACTGGACCCTTTCCTTACACCTTATACAAAAATTAATTCAAGATGGATTAAAGACTTAAATGTTAGACCTAAAACCATAAAAACCCCAGAAGAAAACCTAGGCAATACCATTGAGGACATAGGCATTGGCAAAGACTTCATGTCTAAAACACCAAAAGCAATGGCAACAAAAGCCAAAATTGACAAATGGGATCTAATTAAACTAAAGAGCTTCTGCACAGCAAAAGAAACTACCGTCAGAGTGAACAGGCAGCCTACAAAATGTGAGAAAATTTTGCAACCTACTCATCTGACAAAGGGCTAATATCCAGAATCTATAATGAACTCAAACAAATTTACAGGAAAAAAACAAACAACCCCATCAAAAAGTGGGCAAAAGACATGAACAGACACTTCTCAGAAGAAGACATTTATGCAGCCATAAAACACATGAAAAAATGCTCATCATCATTGGCCATCAGAGAAATGCAAATCAAAACCACAATGAGATACCATCTCACACCAGTTAGAATGGCGGTCATTAAAAAGTCAGGAAACAACAGGTGCTGTAGAGCATGTGGAGAAATAGGAACATTTTTACACTGTTGGTGGGACTGTAAACTAGTTCAACCATTGTGGAAGTCAGTGTGGTGATTCCTCAGGGATCCAGAAATAGAAATACCATTTGACCCAGCCATCCCATTACTTTGAATTGAAAAGGAGGGACTCCCCTTGAACTCATTTTATGAGGCCAGGGTCATCCTGATACCAAAACCTGGCAGAAATACTACAAAAAAATAAAACTTCAGGCCAATATCCCTGATGAACATTGAGGCAAAAATCCTTAATAAAATACTGGAAAACTGAATCAGCAGCACATCAAAAAGCTTATTCAGCATGATAACGTTGCCCTCATCTCTAGGATGCCAGGCTTGTTCAGCATATGCAAATCAATAAATGTAATTTGTTTATATGAAACAGGACTAAGGACAAAAACCACACAATTATCTCAATAGCTGCAGAAAAGGGCTTCAATAAAATTCAACATCCCTTCATGTTAAAAACTCTCAATAAACTAGGTATTGATGGAACATACCTCAAAATAATCAGACACATTTATGAAAAACCCACAGCCAATATCATACTGAAGGGGCACAAGCTGGAAGCATTCCCCTTGAAAGCCAGCACAAGATGAGGATGCCCTCTCCCATCACTCCTATTTAACATATTATTGGAAGTTCTGGCCAGGGTGAAGTGGAGGACCTCTTCAAGGAGAACTACAAACCACTGTTCAACGAAATCAGAGAGGACACAAACAAATGGCAAAACATTCCATGCTCATGGATAGGAAGAATCAATATTGTAAAAATGGCCACACTTCCCAAGGTGATTTATAGATTCAGTCCTATTCCCATTAAATTACCATTGCAATTCTTCACAAAATTAAAAAAAAATACTTTAAAATCCATATGAAACAAAAAAAGAGCCCGTATAGCCAAGACAATCCTAAGCAAGAACAAACCTGGAGGCATCACACTACCTGACTTCAAATCATACTACAAGGCTACAGTAACCAAAACAGCATGGTATTGGTACAAAAACAGACACATGGACCAATGGAACAGATAAGAGAACTCAGAAATTAGACTACACATCTACAACCATCTGATCTTCAACAAACCTGACAAAAACAAACAATGGGGAAAGGATTCCCTGTTTAATAAATCGGTCTGGGACAACTGGCTAGCCATATGCAGAAAACTGAAACTGGACTCCTTCCTTACACCTTGTACAAAAATTAACTCAATATGGCTTAAAGACTTAAATGTAAATCCCAAAATTATAAAAACCCTAGAAGAAAAGCTAAGCAATACCATTCAGGACATAGGCATGGGCAATAATTTCATGATGAAAACATCAAAAGTAATTTCAATAAAAGCAAAAATTGACAAATGGGATCTGATTAAACTAAAGAGCTTCTGCACAACAAAAGAAACTATCATCAGAGTGAACAGACAACCTACAGAATGGGGGGAAGTTTTCGCAATCTATCCACTGACAAAGTTCTAATATTCAGAATCTACAAGGAACTTAAACAAATTTACAAGAAAGAAACCAAACAACCCCATTAAAAAGTGGGCAAAGGACATGAACAGACACTTCTCAAAAGAAGACATTTATGTGGACTATAAACATATGAAAAAAAGCTCAACATCACTGATCATTAGAGAAATGCAAATCAAAACCACAATGAGATGCCATCTCACATCAGTCAGAATGGCGATTATTAAAAATTAAAACAGCCTGGGCATGGTGGCTCACGCCTGTAATCCCAGCACTTTGGGAGGCTGAGGCGGGTGGATCACCTAAGGTCAGGAGTTTGAGACCAGCCTGGCCAACATGGTGAAACCCTCTCTCTACTAAAACTACAAAAAAATTAGCCAGGCGTGGTGGTGGGTGCCTGTAATCCCAGCCACTTGGGAGGCTGAGGCAGGAGAATCGCTTGAACCCAGGAAGTGGAGGTTGCAGTGAGCCAAGACCATGCCATTGCACTCCAGCCTGGGCAACAAGAACGAAACTCCATCCCCCCAATCTACCCCCCACCAAAAAAGTCAAGAAACAACAGATGCTGGCAAGGGTGTGGAGAAATAAGAATGCTTTTATACTGCTGGTGGGAATGTAAATTAGTTCAAATATTGTGGAAGACAGTGTGGCAATTCTTCAAAGACCTAGAACCAGAAATACCGTTTGACCCAGCAATCCCATTACTGAATATATACCCCAAAGAATATAAATCATTCTATTATATAATCAGTCATGCACACATGTGTTTATTGCAGCACTATTCACAATAGCAAACACATGAAATTAACCCAAATGTCTATCAGTGATAGACTGGATAAAGAAAATGTGGTACATATACACCATGGAATACTCTGCAGCCATAAAAAGGAATGAGATCATGTCTTCTGCAGGGATATGGATGGAGCTGAAAGCCACTCTCCTTGCAAACTAACACAAGAACAGAAAACCAAACACTGCATGTTCTCACTTACTAGCTGAACAATGAGAATACATGGGCACAGGGAGGGGAAAAACACACACTGTGGCCTGTTGGGAGGTAGGGTGTCAGGTGAGGGAGAGCATCAGGAAGAATAGCTAACGCATACTAGACTTAATACCTAGGTGATGGGTTGATAGTGCAGCAAATCACCATGGCACCTGTTTACCTATGTAACAGACCTGTACATCCTACACATGTATCCTGAAATTTAAATAAAATAAAATAAAATAAAATTTAAAAATACCAAAGAATGGAAAAATATATCATGTGAGTACTAAGCAAAAGAAGACTAATGTTTTATGTTAAAATAAGGCAAAAAGATAAAAATGTATTTAGGCTTATTTTGTGGCCTGACATATGGTATTGCTTGGAGAATATTCAAAAAATACTTGAAAAGAGAATGTATTCTCTCTTTTCTTAATGGAGTCTTTCATAAGTATCAAATCTGGATGGTTTGTAGTGTTTGTTCAAGTTTTCTATATCCTTACAGATTTTTCTTGTTCTACAAATTACTGAAATAGAATCACTGAAATCTTTCATTGTTGACTTGTCTATTTCTCCTTCCAAATCTATATTTTTTTTGCTTCAGGAATTTGAGGATCTGTTCTCAGGTGTATATACACATATAATTGTGTATTTTTCCAACATATTGACTCTTTTATCACATCAAAATATATTTCTTTGTCTTTTTTTTTCAAAAAAACATAAATCTTTACTAAAATTATCAAGCATTGTCACAATGGTAATTGCCCTTGGCTAGTACTTAACCACACTTTTGTTTTTATTTCTTTTTTTATTATTATTATACTTTAAGTTCTAGGGTACATGTGCACAACGTGCAGGTTTGTTACATATGTACACATGTGCCATGTTGATGTGCTGCACATCACACATGTACTGCACACTCGTCATGTACATTAGTTATATCTCCTAATGCTGTCCCTCCCCCCTCCCCTCACTCCATGACAGGCCCTGGTGTGTGGTGTTCCCCACCCTGGGTCCAAGTGTTCTCAATGTTCAATTCCCACCTGTAAGTGAGAACATGCGGTGTTTGGTTTTCTGTCCTTGCGATAGTTTGCTGAGAATGATGGTTTCCAGCTTCATCCATGTCCCTACAAAGGACATGAACTCATCCTTTTTTATGGCTGCATAGTATTCCATGGTGTATATGTGTCACATTTTCTTAATCCAGTCTATCATTGATGGACATTTGGGTTGGTTCCAAGTCTTTGCTATTGTGAATAGCACCACAATAGACATACATGTGCATGTGTCTTTATAGCAGCATGATTTCTAATCCTTTGGGTATATACCCAGTAATGGGATGGCTGGGTCAAATGGTATTCCTAGTTCTAGATCCCTGAGGAATTGCCACACTGTCTTCCACAATGGTTGAGCTAGTTTACAGTCCCACCAGCAGTGTAAAAGTGTTCCTATTTCTCCACATCCTCTCCAGCACCTGTTGTTTCCTGACTTTTTAATGATCGCCATTCTAACTGGTGTGAGATGGTATCTCATTGTGGCTTTGATTTTTTTTTTTTTGAAATGGAGTGTGTCTCTCTGTTGCCCAGGCTGGAGTGCAGTGGCGTGATCTCCCCTCACTGCAACCTCTACCTCCTAGGTTCAAGGGGTTCTCCTGCCTCAGCCTCCTGAATAGCTGGGACTACAGGTGCCCACCACCACCCCCAGCTAATTTATATATTTTTAGCAGAGATTGGGTTTCACCATGTTGGCCAAGCTGGTCTCAAACTCCTGACCTCAAGTGATCCTTCCACCTCGGCCTCCCAAAGTGCTGGGATTATAGGCATGAGCCACTGCACCCAGCCTTATTTCTTTGTTTTGTAATATTCCATGTCTGAAAAGTCTATTTTTGTTTGATGTTAATACAGTTGACCCTTGAACAATGCAAGGGGTAGGGGCATCAACCCCCGCACAGTCAAAAATTTGAGTATAACTTTTGACTTACCCAAAACTTAACTGCTAATAGCCTAGTGTGGACCGGAAGCTTTACCAATAACATAAACAGTTGATTAACACATATTTTGGATGTTATATGTATTATATACTATATTTTCACAACAGAGTAAGCTAGAAAAAAGACAATATTAAGAAAATCATAAGGAAGAGAAAATATATTTATTATTTATTAAGTGGAAGTGGATTATCATTAAGGTCTTCACCTTTGTCTTCATGTTGATTAGGCTGAGGAAGAGAGGAGGGATTGGTCTTGCTGTCTCAGGAGTGGCAGAGGCAAAAGAGGTGAATGAAGTAGAAGGAAAGGCAAGAGAGACAGGCACACACTGTAACTTAACATAAATACATTGTAATTTCCCTCTGAATCTTCCACTTTATTTCTGTAAAAATGTTTTTATATGGTATCAATTCTTCTTCCACCTTTGCTTTAATTTCAAGGCTCCTGTTATCCATGTTGCAAAAAAAAAAAAAAAAAAAAGCAATCTTGAATCATCAGAACCCTTCTGCCAGATTGTCTAATGTCAATATGTTTTCCGGCACTAATTCCTCTACATCTTTTTCTACATCTTCTTCCTCACTGTCTGGCACTGGTTCGGAAACACTCATCTCCATTAAGTCATCTTCTTAATGGAAGACATTAATTCTGTTAATTCCTCTGATATAATGTCTATTATTTCTTGAATTTCTCCGAGATCCATATCTTGAAACCCTTCACCCTCTACCTTTTTAGTTTTTCCATATCCATAATCCCTTTCATGATTTTCTTGATTGGCTCTGTCATAAATCGTGTGAAGTCATGCACATCATCTGGACACAATTTTCTCCTGCAGAAATTTATTGTTTCAGTCTTGATGTGCTTTCATGGCTTTTTCTATAACAATGATGGTATCTTCGATGGTATAAGCCTTCCAGACTTTCATGATGTACTCTATATTGTGGTTCTCTCCCACAGCATTGAAAATCTTTTTCATAGAGCACTGCATGCAGTGAGCCTTAAATGTTCTTATGATCCCCTGATCTAGAGGCTAGAGGCTGAATTAGAGATGTTGTATTTGGGTGCAAGTTGACCACTTCTATGCCTTTTGTGTTGAACTCATGGCATTCTGGGTGGCAATGGAACTTGTCCAATATCAAAGAATTTCAAAAGGCAGTTCTTTACTGGCAAGGTACTTACTGACTTCAGAGACAAAGCATCAATAGAACCAATCCAGAAAAAGGGTTCTCATCCAGACATTCTTGTTATACAATCCAATGACTGGCAGCTGGTATTTATTTTTTCCCCAAGTCTCAGAAGCTAGCAAGCTTTATAGATAAAGGCAGTCTTGATTATAAACTCGACTGCATCTGCACAAAAAATTAGAGTATGCCCATTTCTTCCTGCCGTAAAACCTGGTGTTCACTTCTCTTTCTTACTAATAAATATAATTTGTGACCTTTTTTCAGAATAGGGTACTTTTGTTTATATTAAAAACATCTTCAGGAAGATATCCTTTCTACTCAATAATTTCCTTAACGGGATCTGGGAAATTGCTGCCTCTTTGTTGGCAGAAGGTGCTTTTCCTATTGTCTTGACATTTTTTAAGCAGAATGTCTTTTTTTCAGAAAGAGTCTCGCTCTGTCGCCAGGCCGGAGTACAGTGGCATGATCTCGGCTCACTGTCACCTCCGCCTCCTGGGTTCAAGCGATTCTCGTGCCTCAGCCTCCCGAGTAGCTGGGATTACAGGCACTCACCACCACGCCCAGCTAATTTTTGTATTTTTAGTAGAGACGGGGTTTCAACATGTTGGCCAGGATGGTCTCGATCTCCTGGCCTTGTGATCCACCTGCCTCCTCCTCCCAAAGTGCTGGGATTATATGTGTGAGCCACTGCGCCTGGCCCCAAACTTCTTTCTAAAAGTATCATACCATCCTTTGCTGGCATTAAATTCTTCAGCTTTAGATCTTCACCTTCCTTTTACTTTAAGTTGTCATATAATGACTTTGCTTTTTCTCAAATCGTATTAGAATTCATAGGTATGCCTTGATTATAATAGCAAATCCTGCCATTTCATAAAAGCTGCATTTTCAATATGAGATTAAAAAATATTTTATGAAATGTGCAAGATTTTCACACCTGCTGGTGCAGCTGTAGTGGTGGTTTCACTAATTTCCTTTTCTTACAACGTTCCTTACACTGGATTCATTTATCTCAAAATGGTGGCCAACCACAGTTGCAGACCTCAATCTATGGTACACAGCAAACAGTTCAACTTTTTCTTGTAATGCAGTGGCTTTTCTTTGTTTCTTAGAGCACACTTAGCGTTACTAGTGTCACTTGTCCCATGATTAACTATGTTACCCTAAATATGATGAAAAATACATAAGAACCATGAGAGTTTACTCTTTACTGTGTTACACAGTTTACTGGAGAAATGAACTGCTCACATGGAGATGATCAGTGTCACAGGGCAGTTTAAGCAGATACTTGGAACACTTGAGCTCACCACAAAAGCAACAGGAGGTGGCTGTGAAATTATTACAATAGTATGGTAGGTACTATGGTTAATTTTATACAGTTATGATTTAATACTGCCTATTTTCATTTGCTTATATTTCTTTCAACTGCAAATGGTGGTTTGTGTGCATAAGTTTTGGTGCATTTTAACCTTTCATAATAGGTTCATGTATATTTTACGGTAGTAAATGATAAACTAGCATTTACATATGTTTTATGCATTGATGACATAATTAACTTTTTCTTAATTATTTTGATATTTGTAGGCCACATGGTTGGTCTGCTTTATCAGGTTGCCACAAATCTGCAAATAATTTTACAATAAAAATTTACAATGTTTTTATTGGAATACAGAAAAAAATCCATGTATAAGTGGATCCACAGTGTTTAAACCCATTTTGTTCACATGTAAACTGAATAGCCACTTCAGCTCTCTTATGCTTACTGTTTGTATGATTTATTTATTTACAACCTTTCACTGTAAAAGTATTTATGTCGGCCGGGCGCGGTGGCTCAAGCCTGTAATCCCAGCACTTTGGGAGACAGAGGCGGGCGGATTATGAGGTCAGGAGATTGAGACCATCCTGGCTAACACAGTGAAACCCCGCCTCTACTAAAAATACAAAAAATTAGCCGGGCGTGGTGGCGGGCACCTGTAGTCCCAGCTACTCGGGAGGCTGAGGCAGGAGAGTGGCGTGAACCCAGGAGGCGGAGCTTGCAGTGAGCCGAGATCGCGCCACTGCGCTCCAGCCTGGGCGACAGAGCGAGACTCCATCTCAAAAAAAAAAAAAGTATTTATGTCTTTGATTCTAAAGTATATCTCTTATAGACAAAATATAGCCAGATCATGTTGTTTTATAAATCCAATCTGGTAATCTCTCTCTTTTAATTGGACCATTTAGTCCACTCACTTTTAATGTAATTTCTGATATGATTGAATCAATATCTTCCATTTTGTTATTTGTTTTCCATGTTTGATATATTTTCTATTCCTCTGTTCCCCTTTTACTGTTTTCTTTTCTGTTAAGCATATGATTTTCAACAGAAATTGAAGAAAAAATAACAGAATGCAATACATACACACACATTCCTTAATAATTACCTACTTATGTTACATAGGTAGTGTGGTGGTAAATTTTATGTGTCAACTTGGCTGAGGTAAGGGATGCCCAGATATCTGGTAAAACATTATTTCTGGGTGTGTCTGTGAGAGTGTTTCTGGAAGAGATGAGCACTGGAATCAGCAGACTAAATAAAGAAGATCACCCTCACCAATGTGAGTAGGCATCATCCAATCCATTGAAGGCCTGAAAACAACAAAAATGTGTAAGAAGTCCAAATTCCCCTCTGCTTGAGCTGGGACATCCATCTTCTCCTGCCCTTAGGCATAAGTGATCCTTGTTCTCAGACTCAGACCAGGACTTACATTTTGGCTCTTCAGATCACAGGCTTTAGGACTTGGACTGCATTACACCACCAGCTTTCCTGATTCTCCAGCTTGTAGACAGCAGATCATGGGACTTCTCTGCCTCCATAATGTGTGTGCCAATTATTGCAATATATGTCCTCTTACTTTATACTTGTAAATACATAAAGTACACAAACACACAAATACACACACATATATATTCTATTGCCTCCACTTCTCTGAAGAAAACTTACTAATATAGTTAGAATTTCTGTTTGTTGTTGTTGTTTTTCATTCTTTCTTGTAGATATGAATTACTGCCAGTTTTCACTTCCTTTCAGCCTTTAGTATTTCTTGTAAGGTAGGTCGGCTAACAACAAATGCTCTCAATCTTTGTTTATCTGGGAACATCTCTATTTTGCCTTCATTTTTGAAGGATATTGTTGCTAAATGTAGAATTATTTGTTAAAATGTTTTATTTTTTCCTTCAACAACCTGAATGCCATTTACTTATCTTCTGCTGTTAATTTTTTGTGTGTTCAAACATCAGCTGTTAATTGTATTGCTTTTACTCTGTACATGATGAGTCAGTTTCTCAGGTTGTTTTCAAGATTTTATTTTTGTATTTAGCTTTCAGTGGTTTGACTGTGATGTGTCTATATGTGATTTTCTTTGCATCACGATTTTTGGAGCTTTTTGAATCTATGTTTTTTCATCAAATTAGGAAGTTTTCAGACATTATTTTCAAATATTTTTCTACCCCTTTATTCATTTTCTGGGAATCCTTCTATGTCTATGTTTGTATGTTTTAGTTTGGCTTACAAATCTCTGACACTTCATTTTTCTTCATTCTTGTGTTTCTCTGTGTTTTTGGACTAAATAATTTATATTGATTAATCTTCAAGTTCATCATTCTTTCTTCTGCCATCTCAAATTTGCTGTTGATATCATCAAATAAAATTTTCATTTCAGTTAATTTATTTTTTTAAGTGTAGAATTTGTATTTGTTTCCTTTTGTAGCTTCTATTTCTTTTTTAAAAGTCCAAATTTTCTGGATCATTGTCATGATATTTTTCTTTTAATTTGTTGAATATAGTTTCATTTAATTCTCTAGACATTTTATAAAATCTTTTTTCCATGTCTCTGCCTGCTAAATCAATATATGGGGTCATTCAGAACAATTTCTATTGACTGCTTTTGTCCCCTGAGTTTGACTCTCACTTTTCTATGTCTTTACATGATTTATAATATGTGGTTAATAACAGAACATTTTGTAGCAACTCTGGATCTCGTTTCATGTTTTCAAATGTCATTCTTGTTGTTTGCCTTTTTTAGTTACTTTCTCCAACTTAAATGCAGAATCTGCTGAATATGGATGCTAGTGTATTCTTGGTTTTTAATTTTTTTTTAGCCTAGAATTCTAGGATTTTCCCTATGACTATATTGCTTAATGGTTAGCTATTGGGCAGATTGTAAACAAACACCTAAAGCCCATGAGGTTGCACCCCCTGTTGATCAACTTGTGTCCAAGCTGTGAATGTAGTCAAAGTTCCAGCCAGTTCTCAGGTCTCACTTGGCTTTCACTTTTAATGAGGCTTTCTCAGGTCTCTTTTGTTTAAAGCTGGAGTTTCTCATCCAACCTCCACTGCAAATTGGAATTTCTCACCCAACCTCCACTTCAAATATAGATTGACTTTTCTGACACCAAAGCTGCTGCTTTTTTTACAACCAACTTCAAGCAGATAAAACTAAAGTTTCTACCCACTGACCTCGGGGCATGAGGAAGAAGTTGGGAGCATCCCCAGACCAAAAAAACAAAAACAAAATCAAAAACAAAAACAACAACAAAAAAAAAAACAGACTCTGCTATTCTTATCTGAGGCTCTAGTTATTTTTTGAGCATAAATGTTTCTTAATTTCTTATTTGCCTTTCATCAATTTCCAGTGTCCTGAAATGGTTATTTATAATAATTTCATTCAGGTTTATACTTGTTTTGCAAAAGAGAGTTGATGACCTTTTCTGGCCACCATTACTAGAAATTCTGTCCACTTCACTCTCTCTATGGCTCCATTGCCTCCTAATCCAAAACTAGTGTTAAGTCTCAGAAGACCCCTAATTCATAGTATCAGGAACCTGGGAAATGTGTGTAAGAATTGATTCTAAATTTGTTAGACAGAAGAGGAAGAAACACAATATTGAGATAGGCAACGTGTATGGAAGTATGTACTTAGCCAGAGATTCCAGGTCCAATGTATGTGATCAAGTTTAGAGTAGCTCTTGCTGTTTGCTCAGTTGCTGAAATATGGACTCAACCAGGGGAAATCTTAACAGTAACTATTTTCTACAGACTGTAATTGAATATGTGAGATGTTGCCATTGAATGGTTCACTGATTTCAATAGGAAGAATGAAATCCCATTAAGAACCAAGTGGCACCATGTGCCTATCAGATAATAAAGAGTATATGTGGTTAATAAAATGGGTAGGAGTAGTCTTTAGAATTGTTTGCTTGCAGAACTGTTTGGTGCTACATAATTGACCATGACATTCCTGAGACTGAAATAGAATGAAAAATAGATCCATATAATAGTAATAATATGTTTCTAAAATCTCTAGGACTCATGAGCGTAATCCTGACTTGAGTCATCATAATGGAGAATTATACCTCTCATCTAATTTCCAGAGTAGCTCAAGTTTATATTCCCAGAACCTCTTGAATGGTGATATCCTCTTGAGGATGCACCCTATGACACTGCTGTACATACATAATATAAATTCTTTTTGTGGTCTTCTCTAAGACCACATTTATATTATACATAATATAAATTCTTTTATGGTCTTCTGCATCCATTCACCAAGGTAACTGATTATAAGGGTATATGCTGGAGAGATTACTGGACACTGCCTCTGAACTGACTTATCTATGGATACCAAACACAATTGTCTAGTCCATTTTCTGTTGCTATAACAGAATACCACAGACTGGGTAATTTATAAATAACAGAAGTTTGACTCACTGTTCTGGAGCTGGGAGGCCCATGAGAATGGCACTGGCATCTGACAAAGGTCAGCCCATGGTAGAATGAGGAAGCAAGCATGCATGTGAGGCAGAGAGAAAACTGGGCCACATTCATCCTTTTTATCAAGAACCTATTCCCATGATAACTAATGCACTTTGCTGATAACAGTATTAGCCCATTCACGGGAGCAGAGTCCTCATGACCTAATCACCTGTTAAAAGTCCTACCTCTCAACATTGTTACAATTACAATTAAATTTCAACCTGAGTTTTGGCAGAAACATTCAAACCATAGCAACAATGTAGCATAGAGGGTCAGGAAGGTCAACTAAAATTAGCAAATGTTGGTCTGAATTTATTTCATGACATGTCCAGTGATTCCCAAATGTATCCTATTTATTTCCCTATTTCTAAATGTATTATTTGAAATAGACACATTTGGCAACGTATTACACATCAGCTACTTCAACCCATTTCCTAAGTAATTTATGATACCATCAGTTTTGAGTAGGGCCCAAAACAAGGGAAGGCTCTGAAGTTAGTCAAGAATACAGTGTAAGCAGCTCTACCACTAAAGCCTTACAATTCAGTAGATTCCACGTGTTCAATGAGAGTTTATTTTTTATAGTGACTGATATGTGTGTTTATAATATATATTTGTGGCAATATCACAAGGTCTGTTCCTAAAGGTATATGGCCACCTCTTCATTCAAGGGTTCTAGTCTGAAATTGGGTGAGAGGCTATAATGATTCTCCATGTGGAGAATTAAGTTGGTATTCTGTGAAGCTACAATAGGAGGATTACAATGCAGGCCCTTCAGACTTCTTTAAAAAGCTGCACTTTCTCTAGACAAACATCTTTTAAGAAACGACTCAAATCACTGCTACGGCTGGTAAAGGCAGGTCTCTTGACCATGTATCCTAGGATGCCTATTGTGAGCTGGTTCTATGTGTCCCAACAAGCCAAAATCATCTTCATGTCTACTACCCTAGTTCCAGCTCTCATCATATTTCCATTGGAGAACTGCAGTATCTTCCTAATTAAATTTTCTGCTTCCAAATTTACTTCTCCAATTCATTTTTCTCATTTCAACTAGACTTTTTGAAATGCACATCTGATTGTGCTATTCACGGTTTTAAAAGCTTTGCTGGCTCCACATTGGCCTTACAAAGTGGCACAAGACTCTGTATGATCTCATCCCCTATTACCTTCTAACATCATCTCTTCCTCAGACTGTGTGTACAATTTTGCCTTCTTTCACTTCTCAGAATGAGTTATTATCATTAATCTCTCAAGTCCTTCACTCATGTTTTCTCTCTATCTTAAAATTTCTTTCTTGGTTGACCTATATCTATCTTAAATATTCCTGTTTGAACATCATTCCTCAGAAAAGTATTTAAAGTCTTCCCAGACTAGGACAACCTGCCCTCTCTGTTATATGCTCTCATAATGGCTCAAACCTTTCCTTATAGCATTTATTTTTGTTCATAATAATGTATTTACTTGTGAGATGATTTATTTGAAATATGCCTAGGTGGGAAGGCTATTCACTGGACAAGGACAAGAACACCTAATCAGGGAGAGAATGAGGGGTAAAATCTAGCTCACAGTGCACTTGACAAGCCATACATCCTGTTATAGATCTCCCTCTGTCTATAAGCAGGAGTGCCCTTTTACTAATTGTATAAATACAGTCTCTGCTCACAAAGGAGTGTGTACATTGGCTGCATCTACATGAAGAGTCTCCTTTTGCTAATTTGCACAAAGATAATAATGGATTAGCTATAGTTTTGTATGCCTCCCTCCTTGATAAGCTCTATGTGAGCAAACACCATGACTGTTTTTGTCATGCTTGTGTCCTCAATACTCAGCATAATTCATCGCACTTAAGCTCTCCATTAATATTTATTGGTTTAATAAATAAAGAAATGATCCTCAAACGTATAATAAATAGGCCATTTTATTTTGCAGGTTTCTTCTAGGTTCATTGGTTTGTTAACAAAATAGACTTTACATTCTAAGATGCAAGCTGCTTTGGTGAGTCAATAACCAAAGGCAATGAGTTTTGTTTTACTAATTGCCCAAATTCCTAATCAGATCCCTGGGATAGAGTCATACACTTTGCTTCCCTCCGTGCCCTGGAATGATTCTCAAGGGGAAGTCCCCAGAGTTCTAGAGCAGATGAAGTTGCTTCTCTTTCAGGAGTAAACAGAGTTCCTGGATTTGGGGTTGCAAGAGATTTCAACTCTGCAGGAAGACTTCCCAAGCCAGAGGAGTCAATGCTCTGGACCTTGAATTAGTCACCATACTCGAATCTTCCTTCAGACACTCAGGAAGTGCTGATCATCCAGGCTTGAAGCTTTCAATTTCTCCTACTAGACCTTTTGGAGAGGTTCTAATCTCAGGGTTTTTTTGTTGTTGTTGTTTATTTTATTTATTTATTTTCTTTTCATGTTCAAATACACCAGCTAAAAGGAGAATTTCTCTCATTTCCTCTGCCAAGTTTGCAAAAAGTAAGTGGTTATTGATAGGAAAAAAAGGAGAGGAAACTTGATTTTAAATTTTCTGATATACTTCCTTTTTCTCTTCAGTTTTCTGATTATTTTTGTGATATTAGAATTTCATAATTTCCCTGTATCTTGCATGATGGCTGATTGAGAGCTGATGACTTATAAAGTGAAATATAGTATTCTTACAAGCTTTATGTTTAAATAATAAAATCAGCTGCAGAAAATCTTGGAGGGAAGAGTGAATAAGACAACTTTCATAACTCCCAGAATTGTCATCTGTTCCTGATGTCCCTGGCATCTTTTGAGTCAATAAGGCTGAGATGCAGTTTTCATACAGCTATTGTCTCCTTCTTCTCTTACCTGAACACCTTGCCTGAAAATTCATTCAGTAGGGCATTGATCTGTTGGAAATGCATGGGATTTGGAGTTAGAAATATCTTTGTTTCACACCTGCAACTGCCAATTACTAGATCTGTGAGTCGGACTTAAGTAGCTTATCCCACTGAAGTAGCTTATCCCACTGAGCCTCAAATTCTCCACCTACCAAATGGGAGTATTTTATTTCCTTGCAGAGTAATCACTAGCCTTTAGGCTGGTGTATGTTAACCAAATGTTTGTTTCTGCATTTTATTTTCTAACTCCTCAGCCATTTAGAGTATAAGGGCTACCTTCATTTTTCCATCAGCTTTGAGAGTCTATATGCTCCGTTGACACCCCTTATCTATCATGCACAGTCCTGGTCAGATTACTGTTCCTGCCCCTTTTCAGCAACAATGCATGGGGGCATCAGGATCACTACTTTCAGAAAAATGTACTCAGCATAATGTGTGTGTGTGTGGGGGGGGGGCGGGCGGAGGGGTGTGAGAGAGAGAGAGAAAGAGAGAGAGAGAGAAAAAGAGAGAGAGATAGGTGGATGTGAATTAGACTGAGGCTAAGGATTCTAGACAGATAGATACTAGACTTGCCATAGCAGAGAACAATTAAAAGGAACACCATTTTCCTCTGAGCCTCACCCTCCTATCAGATGATAGTAGCTACGTCAGGAACTATGAGGAAATTAGGTAACAATTACACAGTCCATGTTCCTGCCTCTTCACAGAGACATCAAAAGCAACTCAGAATAAGATACAATGATTCCCTTTTTAAAAAATGTCTTCCTAAAGAAGGTTCATTCACTTCTGTATATCAGTGTTTCATGTATCAGTATCTCAGCTGAGATAAAAATATTTTTTTCTTCCAGTAATGAAATTTTTTTAATAGCAAAGGACTCAGTGTTCAGGGTCAAGAGAGCTGAGTTTCCAAGTTAGCTCTGCCATGAACTAAATGTGTGATATTCCTTTTTCCTTTTTGGAATTCAGTTTTCTCACTTTTCTACCACATAGTTATTTCTGATAGATTTATTATGACTTTGAAGAATAAAGAAAACTGTAAAATGCAAAAAACATTCATATACGTTTTTACCATCTTTTTAGAGAAAAGAGCTATTCACAAAAACTTAATTTAAGAATTGGAAAACTAACTCAGAATAATTATTCATGTCCCTTCTTAATGATAATCGTTTGTCAGCATTTAGTTTATCTCTCCATCTTTTCCTATATTGCCCTTTCATGTCTTTTAGCTCTAGCAGCTTCTCAGCTTCTGCAACTTAAAGAGCTTTGTGGATTTTATCCTTTCCTATCTATCTGTATGCCAGTTTTTCTGTCTTTCTTTTGCTTGGGTGCTTCATATGCTCCACATGCCTGCAATTTCCCTAAAGGAAGAGTCCATATTCTCTACCTCTCACTACCCTATAGTTCTATAGTCTAGATTTTCACTTAAATACATTTCTTGGTTTCTGTGTGCCCAAAGAAGTGTTTCTGTGTATATCTGGCAGAAGTGAGGGTCTCTTTCTTCAGACTAGAAGTATCTCAAGAGCATTCCCTTATTCATTAGTTCATTTAACACATACTTATCAAAAACTTAAAATGTGGCAAAAATTAGGATAGCTTTAGCGATATGGAATTGAGAATGATCTCTATAATAAGGAAGCTTAAAATGTAGTTGAAATGTCAGATAATAATTTCAATTGAATGTGACAAGTGCTATTATAGAAGGAATGAAATGCAAAGAGAACCAAGGAGGGAGGGATATCTAGATGGAAAGATGGTTGAGAGAATGGCCTCAAGAAAGGCTTAAAAATTTGAACATACCCTCAACCCCACTGCATAAGTAATACATACTTATCATGGACACTAGGGAAAAATTAGGAGACAGTGGGATCTTACCCATAATTACACCATGCAGAACCATATTCTACTAACATTTAGATCATTTACATTCAGCCTTTCTCTATGCAGATATTCATATAATTGAGATTATTTTGTACATACTATATCATATCCTGCTTCACTTACTATTTTCCACTGAATTATAAAATTATCATATGCATTATGTTTAAAGCTGCATAATACATATTTTTAAAATAATGTTGCATTACTTTTTGTTTACAAATGTTACATATATTCATTTATGAATTCTCTGAGTGTTTTTTCTATGTTCACATATTTACTTATACATGGATATATATCTTTCTTTTGTTTACAATATTGGGATCATATGACCTTTACCATTTTATAATATTTCTTCCATTTAACAATATCGTGAAGAGTTTTCTAGATGTGTAACATTATAAGTTTTATTGTAAAATATGGAATGCATTTAAAAATGTATGCAAAAACATACATTTTAAGAGGAATAACAAAACAAACACTTAGGTCCACTCTACCCAGGCTGAGAATTAGAATATCATCATGAATCTAGAAGCCTCATAAATGCTCCTTTCAGAAACTTTAAATATATGCCAACTAGTCCCTGTCATGAACTTTAGGTTACAGCATTTCCATATTTTTAAAAAATAGGGTATCCCTAAATAATAAATTATCTAATCCTGCCTTCCTTTGAATGTTAAATAAATGGGATACACACACGATGCATGCACACACACACACCATATATAATATATTGAATTTATATATAATCACTCAATCATAATCTCTCTATATAATATATAAATGATGTGCTTCCATTATTCAATATAATCATAATAACTCTGAGATTCATTCATGTTGATTTGAAAAAATGTTATTAGTCCTTTTAATTATCTTTAATATGAGTCAGCAAACTTTTTCTGTAAAGGACTAGTTAGTAATTATTTTAGTCTTCGCAGGCCATGCGGTCTCTGTTGCACCTACTCAACTCTATTATAGTACGAAAGCAGCCATACACAATACATAAACAAATTGATGTGATTGTGCTCCAATAAAACTTTATTTATAAAAACATTTGACTGCTCTGTAGGTTTTGGTTTACCCACCCCTCCTCTGTAGTAATTCACTCAATGCCCTATCACAGTTCATTGTGAAATTTTGTTTCAATTTAAATGTTCTTTCTACTTCTGAAGAACATTTGACTTGCTTCAGTTTTCCTTTTTTTCTTTTTGTTTAAACAAACAAAACTGTAAACTTTGTGCATTTGTCTTTTGAGTTTTTATGGATTAAATATCTAACGGTAGAATTCCTGGTTTATAGAACATGTTTGTTTTCAGCTGTAGCAGGTAATGTCAAACTGTTTTCCAAAATGATTGTATCAATTTACTCTCCCACCAGTAGGAGACTGGAGCTTCCCTTGCTCTATATTTGGCACAATTTTGACTATTGACCATCTTATGAGAATGAAATGGTCTATGTTCTTAATTTTTGGGGTGTGGTCTTGTTTTTCCCTGGCTACTAATGATGTTAAAGGCTTGTTCACATGTTTATATGAGATTTGTGCTTCCTCTCATATGAAATTCCTATTTATTCCTCTTATCTATCATTATATTAAACTGATTTTTTTCTCTTTGATTCTCAGAATCCATTTGATACTCCAAATACTAGTATTTTATCTAATTTTTGTTGCTAATATCTTTTCTCTATTTTTACCTTGCTTTTTTTCTTTTTTGTGATTCTGGAAAACACAAATTAATTTTTATATAATAAAGGTTGTCATTTTTTGCTGTTTTGTACCTTAAGGAATCATTTATCTCAAGTTTTAAAAATATTCTCACATAGTGTCTTCTAAATATTTAATAGAGTTTTTTGTTTGTTTATAGGTTTTTAATCCATTTGTGATTGAATTTTGTATGGTATAAGCTAACCTAATTTCATTTTTTCCTCATATGAATGACCAACTATTGCATTAATTGACTAGTCTGTGCTTTCCATCAATCAGGAATGCCAGCCCCGTTTGAATAATTTTCATATTTTAGAATTCCATTTTCTCTCATTGGTTTGAGTGCTTATCCCTGTGCCAAAACCATGCCTTCTTAATTACTACAGCTTTATTATAGTAAATGATATTTGAAGGACAAGTTCTCTCCATTTGTTTCTTTTCTTCAAGAATGTTTGGCTATTCTTCAATGTTTGTGCTTCCATATACAGTTTAATATGAGTTGTCAATCTAAAAAACAAATAACACAAAACAATCTATTTAGGATTCTGATTGAATTGCATTGAACTCATCAGTCAATTGTGCACTAATTGTAATATCATAATATTGTATCTTCGAATACATAAGCATAACCGTTTATTTCTGTCTTTTTTGTAAGGTATTGTAATTCTTGATATTGTAATTCTTAATATAAAGTTCTTTATTCATGGATACTTTATTTTTTTGAAGCTATTATAAATAATAGTGGCTTTATACTTTGCTATCATTTGTTGAAATACTGAAATAAAGTGGATTTTTACATATAAATTTTGTACCAAAAAGTTTGTTAAACTTTCTTAATAATTCTAATAATTTATCAGAAATTTATTTCAGATTCTCTGTGTATAGAGTCACATCATCTAAAAAAAAAGTGGTGTTCTCTGTATTGCCTGAGAATACTATAAACACCTCTAAGCAAACAAACTAGAAAATCTAGAAGAAATGGATAAATTCCTGGACACATACACCCTCCCAAGACTAACTAGGAAGAAGTCGAATCCCTGAATAGACCAATAACAGGTTCTGAAATTGAGGCATTAATTAATAGCCTGCCAACCAAAAAAAGTCCAGGATTAGACAGATTCACAGCTGAATTCTACAAGAGATACAAAGAGGAGCTGATACCATTCCTTCTGAAACTATTCCAAACCACAGAAAAGGAGGGAATCCTCCCTAACTCATTGTATGAGGCCATCATCATTCTGATACCAAAACCTGTCAGAGACACAACAAAAAAAGAGAATTTCAGGCCAATATCCCTGATGAACATTGATGTGAAAATCCTCAATAAAATACTGGCAAACCGAACCCAGCAGCACATCAAAAAGCTTATCCACCACGATCAAGTTGGCTTCATCCCTGGGATGCAAAGCTGGTTCAACATATGCAAATCAATAAATGTAATCCATCACATAAACAGAACCAATGACAAAAACCACATGATTATTTCAGTAGATGCAGAAAAGGCCTTCAACAAAATTCAGCAGCCCTTCATGCTAAAGACTCTCAATAAACTAGGTATTGATGGAATATATCTCAAAATAATAAGAGCTATTTATGACAAACTCACAGCCAATATCATACTGAATGGGCAAAAACTGGAAGCATTCCCTTCGAAAACAGGCATAAGATAAGGATGACCTCTCTCACCACTCTTATTCAACATAGTGTTGGAAGTTCTGGCCAGGGCAATCAGACAAGAGAAAGAAATAAAGGGTATTCAATTAAGAAAAGACGAAGTAAAATTGTCTCTTTTTTCAGATGACATGATTGTATATTCAGAAAACCCCATAGTATCAGCCCCAAATCTCCTTAAGCTGATAAGCAACTTCAGCAAAGTCTCAGGATACAAAATCAATGTGCAAAAATCACAAGCATTCCTATACACCAATAATAGACAAAGAGAGAGCCAAATCATGAGTTAACTCCCATTCACTATTGCTACAAAGAGAACAAAATACCTAGGAATACAACTTACAAGGGATGTGAAGGACCTCTTCAAGGAGAACTATGAAGCACTGCTCAAGTAAATAAGAGAGGACACAAAAAATGGAAAAACATTCCGTGTTCATGGATAGGAAGAATCAGTATTATGAAAATGGCCATACTGCCCAAAGTAATTTATAGATTCAATGCTATCCCCATCAAACTACTATTGACTTTCTTCACAGAACTGGAAAAAACTACTTTAAATTTCATATGGAATGAAAAAAGAGCCTGCATAGCCAAGACAATCCTAAGCAAAAAACAAAGCTGGAGGCATTAAGTTACCTGATTTCAAACTATACTACAAGGCTACAGTAACCAAAACAGCATGGTACTGGTACCAAAACAGATATATAGACCAATGGAACAGAACAGAGGCTTCAGAAATAACACTACACATCTACAACCATCGGATCTTTGACAAACCTGACAAAAACAAGAAATGGGGAAAGGATTCCCTATTTAATAAATGGTGTTGGGCAAACTGACTAGCTATATGCAGAAAGCTAAAACTGGATCCTTTCCTTACACCTTTTGCAAAAATTAACTCAAGATGGATTAAAGACTTAAATGTTACATGTAAAACCATAAAAACCCTAGAAGAAAACCTAGGCAATACCATTGAGGACATAGGCATGGGCAAAAACTTCATGACTAAAACACCGAAAGCAATGGCAACAAAAGCCAAAATAGACAAATGGGATCTAATTAAACTAAAGAGCTTCTGAAGGCAAAAAAAAAACTATCATCAGAGTGAACAGGCAACCTACAGAATGGGAGAAACTTTTTGCAATCTATGCATCTAACAAAGAGCTAATATCTAGTACCTACAAAGAATTTAAACAATTTTACTAGAAAAAACAACCCCATCAAAAAGGGGGTAAATAATATGAACAGACACTTCTCAAAAGAAGACATTTATGCAACCAAGAAACATGAAAAAATGCTCATCATCACTGGTCATTAGAGAAATGCAAATCAAAACTACAATGAGATACCATCTCATGTCAGTTAGAATGGTGAAAAAGTCAGGAAACAACAGATGCTGGAGAGGATGTGGAGAAATAGGAACACTTTTAGACTGTTGGTGGGAGTGTAAATTAGTTCAATCACTGTGGAAGACAGTGTGGCGATTTCTCAAGGATCTAGAACTAGAAATACCATTTGACCCAGCATCCCATTACTGGGTATATACCCAAAGGATTATAAATCATTCTACTATAAAGACACATGCACACGTATGTTTATTGCATCACTGTTCACAATAGCAAAGACTTGGAACCAACCCAAATGCTCATCAATGTAGACTGGATAAAGAAAATGTGGCACATATACTCCACGGAATACTATGCAGCCATGAAAAAGGTTGAGTTCATGTCCTTTGCAGGGATGTGAATGAAGCTGGAAACCATCATTCTAAGCAAACTAGCACAAGAACAGAAAACCAAACACTGCATGTTCTCACTCATAAGTGGGAGTTGAACAATGAGTACACATGGACACAGGGAAGGGAACATCACACACCAGGGCCTATCAGGCGGTGGGAGGCTAGGTAAGGGATAGCACTAGGAGAAATACCTAATGTAGATGACGGGTTGATGGGTGCAGCAAACCACCATGGCACATGTATACCTATGTAACAAAACTGCACGTTTGCACACGTACCCCAGAACTTACAGTATAATAAAAAATAAAATAAAATAAAGCACCAAAAAAAGAAAAAAGAAAGAAAGTGTAAAGGAATAAAATGTCCTGGAATCACTAAAATAAAAAGAAAGTTAAGTTTTATTCCTTTCTTTTCAATCCTTGTACCTTTAATGTCTTTTTATTGCTTTATTAGGCTGGCTAGTATATTCAATACAATGTCAAAGAGAAGTGGATAAAGCCGTCACCCTTGTCTTCTTCTTAATCTTAAAGATAATCATTCAATATCTTACCATTAAGTTTGATGTGGGATGTAGAATTGCATACATATGCTTTATTAAGTTAAAGAAAATATTTTAGTCCTAGTTTACTAAGGGTTCTTCTCAAAATAGACATTGAATTTTAAGAATGCTTTTGTGGCAGCTATTAAAATAATCATATGACTTTTTTGAGGTACTTTATTTGAGGAAATATATAATTGGACTGTTTAAATGTTAAACAGACTTTACATTCTGAAATAAAACCAACTTGGTCATGTACCCATTTTATTATACATTGCTGGATTTGGTTTGATAACATAGCTGTCTCTCAGTATCCATGAGGGATTGGTTCCAGGACTTCTCATGGATATCAAAATTCACAGATGTTCAAGTCCATGATACAAAATAGTGAAGTACTTGCATATAACCTATGCACATCCTCCTTATACCTCAAATCATCTCTGGCTTACTTATAGTACCTGATACAATGTAAATGCTATATAAATAGTTATTACACTGTATTGTTTAGGAAATAGTGGGGAAAATGTCTGTACACGTTCAGTACAAATGCATTTTTCCCAATATTTTTGATCCATGAAATTGCGACAAGATGAAATTTTCTGTCTTAATTATACTATAGTCTGGGAATGTGATTACCTTTTAAGAAGATCCAGTCCTTAAAAAAATGTTGGGACCAATTTCATGGACCATTGATGATCATTTTTTAAAATGACCCAGGTGTACTTAAGAAGAATGCTTTATATCAAAATTTTAAATAATAGTGCTCAAATCTTGTGTGTCTTTATTTTCAGTCCAAGGACTTAATCTGCCATGTCCCTAAAAAAGAAAGTTGATTCACTGAGTTTTGAACTGAGTCTCTGCTGTGTTGCATTTTTGCTCTCTGTAGTGTACTCCAGAGCACAGTTATTTTTTGCTAAAAGATGTTGTGGACTTTGTCTTATTCTTTCAGACCTGAGATTCTCAATGAAGAGAGCCAATCACACAGAGTTAAGAGAGTTTGTTTTCCAAGGTTTCTCCAATTTTCCAGAACATCAGCTCACATTTTTTGTGGTCTTTCTCGCCCTCTACATTCCTAACTCTGGCTGGCAATTTCATCATTCTGGCCATAATCTATGTTGACCATCACCTCCATACTCCTATGTACTTCTTTTTAAGTGTGCTATCCACTTCAGAGACTTTCTATTCCCTGGTCATTATCCCACGCATGCTTTCCAGCCTTGTAGGCCTGAGCCAATCCATTTCCCTGGAGGGCTGTGGGACTCAGATCTTTTTTTTTCTTGGCTTTGCCATCACCAACTGCCTCCTGCTAGCAGTAATGGAATATGATCACTACGTGGCCGTCTGCAACCCACTTCGATACTCAGTCATCATGAATTGGAGGGTGTGTGCTATACTGGCATCATCAGTCTGTGCCACAGGGTTCTCACTCTCACTGGTTCAGACTGTGGCCATTTTCAGGTTGCTCTTTTGCACCCCACTGATTGAGCATTTCTTCTGTGATGTTCAGCCTGTGTTGGACCTGGCCTGGGCTACCCCAATGATCAATGATATTCTGACCTTAATTATGAGCCTCCTTGCCATCACAGCCCCAGCCATCTTCCTCTTCATCTCTTATGTCCTTATTATTTCCACCATTCTCAAGATCACCTCAGCTGAAGGCGGGAAGAAGACCTTTGCCACCTATGCATCCCACCTCACTGTGGTCATTATCCACTATGGCTGTGCCTCCATTGCCTACTTCAAGCCCAATTTGGAGAATACCAAAGATCAGGATCAGTTAATCTCAGTGACCTACACTGTCATAACACCTTTACTAAACCCTGTTGTGTATGGTCTGAGAAATAAAGAAGTCCAGGATGCTCTGCAGAGAGTGCTGGGTAGGAAATTCTTCTCCTAAGACGATAATCTTTTCTTAAATAGTTATGGGTGCCTTCCAGATGGAAGCCTATTGGTAAAGTCATAGAGCCAGAATTTTATGGGATCAGTGAAGCCTCATACATCACAGTCAGTGCCAAGGCAAGAGAGAAACTAGGAGCTAGCCTCTAATAATTGAGGATCATTTTCTGAACCTCTTTCAAAACAGAATAAAAACACAGGTCACTTGAAACACCTGTAGACAGACACCCATTGGCCCTACTCAAGGAGATCATGACAAGGCCAATGTATGAGCTAGTGTTCATCTCAAGCTTAAATTTAAAGATACCAGTCCATCTTGCTGAAGTGCAAACCATATGAAATTACTCAACTGAATTTTTTGTCATAAATTGGATGCTTGAACAAGTGGCTATTACTGAAAAGGATATGTGCAAAAATCTAATTGCCTTGTGTTTTAATAAGATAAGCAAAGCAAGAACATTTTTTAAGACATGGGTTTGGAATGAGCTAAAAACTTTTTAGAAAGAACATTTTCAGGCAATCCCCTGCACATTTCCTGCCACCCACATGTGGGACTCCAAATGAAGGGGAACTAGGTGGTGAAAGTGGGGAGTAGTAAGGACATTGAGTGGAGAAGACTCCTAATCAGCATATGACAGCTATGAGACTTGAGGCTTGTGAACAGAGCACACGTAACTTGGTCTGATTCTTTGCTTCTTCTGGCTGAAGATAAGCCACATGGAGGAGAAGGCCTTGTGGGGCTGACAGAAATGCCTTCCTCATGAACAGGATCAGAAGAGGAGACGGCTCAGGAAGCAGAATGCTACAAAATGTTATGAAATTGGTTAGGAAGAAAGACACTTCAGAAGCAGATGCAGATGGGAGTGATAGATGAGAAGGGAAGGACAAGGCGAGGGTCAAAACGACCAAAAATCATTTTTAAAATCATTTCAGATTGGGTCCTCTCTTTCCCTTTGTAGGCCAAGTCACAAATGCAAAGAAAGACAATTAAATGGAAACGTGAAAGAGTCAACATAACACCTTTCTGAAAAAGTAGGTAATTTCACTACTCCCGAAAAACTGAACAAAGTCAACAGTAAGGGCTTTTGACATGAAAACTTCCATAAAGTTAAAGCAACTGAGTTAAAAGTAGATTAAAAAAAGACTATGTACTGTTCCTCACTTCAAAAAAATGTTAAAAACATTAGGGTGAATTTTAGACTCAATTTGTGGGACAAAATATGTGATGATTAAAACTATAATGATTAACAGTTATAATTACTGACCAAATTAATGTCACAATACAAAGATATTTATAAAAAGACATACAAGAAATACATGAGTACACAGGATTCTCATTGTAAAATATTTTTAAAATGCAGAAATGTCAAATAAAATGTGTAAACCAATTGTGAATTATATAGGCTATCTATGCAAGTGCATACAAAGGTTACTTTTAGAAAGTTCTGCAATTCATTTTACTTTGTAATTCTCAGCTCCGAATCTGCTTGATGAAAAAAAAAGTAATCTAAACCTTTTCATGTAAACTCAAGCAATTAATGATTAATAAGTCATGTTATGAGTAAAAACAATAACATTAAAAGTTCTGCTTCTCCCCTTTCTTCCACTTCCCCATTATCCTTGGGGTGAATCAAGTTCAGGTCAAGATTTCCAGCTTTCTGGAAGAAGAAGAACTTTATCCAGGTTCATTTCTACCTCCTCAGATTGGATTCTCTGGAGATACATGAGCCCCAATGGCTCATGTATCTGTTGCCATTAATTGAGATGAGTCCAGTCTTGCCATGGTCCTTATCAATATAGTCCCTGCACTTCATATCTTCCTTATGACCATTTTGAGGCTACTCTAGGTTCTTTGTACTTCTCTCTGCCACTTCTTGAGGGCACCTGGACATTTAACTGCACCCTTGACCCTGTAGAGGAGTGGATGAAACTCAGTGAGGTATCATTGAGCCATCACCTGCTGCCTTACTCACCCATTTCTACTCCATCAGTATTCAAGCCTTTTCTAAGAGGCTTCTCTGAAAAGTGAGGGGCATACCTTCTCTGCTTCAATCAGATTCTTTCCTTCCTTCCTTACATCAGGGTTTATTTGGGGTAGGACCAAGAGTGGGCTTTCCACAATATATAACTCTGGTGCCATCTTCTCCAAAGGCTGGATGGCTTTGTTTTATTTTGGAAAAAAAAAAAAACCTTAATTATTTCCAACTCCACAATGCACAGTTTACATTTCATATACAAAGTACTTTAGTACTTAGGCTTTTGATATTCAAAACCATTCTTTGTAAATTAAGAGGTTTTCCACTCTAGAAAAGTTTGCTAAACTTAAAAACTATTTCAGCTTTCAATACAAATGTTTCAGTTATGAGCTTTATAAACATATTTTTGAAATTCAGTTGACTTTTTCTTGCATTCTTTTGGGTTTATCCTTCACTGGGGCAAATAAATGTCCCCTGGAATAATAAGAATTTTAAAAAGAAGGAAAGCATTGGATTATTATCATATAACATTATTCCATAATATTTCTTCCAAGAGTATTTTTTGTGGAGATTCATAAAACATTTGCTTCCCCAGAATATAAAATTTGATTTCAAAATATGACTCTCCAGTAACAGATAAATCTTCAGCCATAAGGGATGGGGTTCTTACCTTCCTAGACTGGAAGATACTTATGTTTACCAGCAGTATCTACCTCCTACATAGTGGGTAAAGTTTTCACCTCCTCCTAGGGGGACATTCCTCTTTTTGCACAGGGCCAGCTCCTCAGAGTGTCCAATACAACTATTGTGAAGTTATCAAGTCCTGGGCTTTTCTTTGATAGGAGACTTGTTACTGCTTCAAAATCATTACACATTATTAGTCTGTTCAGGTTTTCTATTTCTTCATAGTTCAATCTCGGTAGGTTGTATGTGTTCAGGAATTTATGCATTTCCCCTAGTTTCTCCAATTTGATGGTGTATAGTAGTTCACAATGCTCTTTATTGATCCTTTGCATTTCTGGGTATCAGTTGTGATATTTCTTTTTTCATTTTTGATGTTATTTATTTGGGTCTTCTCTCTTCTTTTCTTGGTTATTTTAGCTAAAGGTTTGTCAATTTTATCTTTTCCACAAACCAACTTTTTGTTTTGTTGCACTTTTGGATTATTTTCCTAGTCTAAATTTCATTTATTTCTGTTAAGATCTTTATTTTTTTTCCTTCTATTTTTTTTTTATTTTTGCTTTTCTAGTTCCTTAAAGTGCATCATTAAATTGTTGACTTGGAGTCTTTCTGTTTGGGGGATGCAGGCATTTATTGCCATAAAATTCTCTCGTAGTAATGCTTTTGCTGTATCCCAAAAGATTGGGTATGCTGTGCTTCCATTTTCACTTATTTGAATAAATTTTTAAATTTCCTTCTTGGCTGGGCGCTGTGGCTCACGCCTGTAATCCCAGCACTTTGGAAGGCCGAGGCGGGCGGATCACGAGGTCAGGAGATCCAGACCATCCTGGCTAACACGGTGAAACCCCGTCTCTACTAAAAATACAAAAAATCAGCTGGATGTGGTGGTGGGCACCTGTAGTCCCAGCTACTCGGGAGGCTGAGGCAGGAGAATGGCGTGAACCCGGGAGGCGGAGTTTGCAGTGAGCCGAGATAGCGCCACTGCACTTCAGCCTGGGCGACAGAGCAAGACTCCATCTCAAAAAAAAAAAAAAAAAAAAAAAATTCCTTCTTAATGTATTTGCTGACTCATTGGTAATTCAGGAACACGTTCTTTCATTTCCACGTATGTGTACAGTTTTAAAAGTTCCTGTTATTGATTTCTAATCTTACACTGTTGTGATCAGAAAATATATTTGATATGATTTTGATTTCTTCGAATTTTTCAAGACTTGCTTTATGCTCTAATATATGGTGTCTCCTGGATAATGTTACATGTGCTGATGAGAAAAAAAATGTACATTCTGCAGCAGTTGGATAAAATATTCTGTAAATGTCTGTCAGACCCACTTAGTCCAGAGTGTAGTTTAATTCTGATGTCCATTTGTTGATTTTCTGCCTGGATAATCTTTCAAGTGCTGAAAGTGGAGTGTTGGAGTCCCCTACTATTATCGTATTATAGTCTATCTTTTAGATGTATTAATAATTGCTTTATATATTTGGGTGCTCCAGTATTGGGTACTGTATATTTATTATTGTTATATCTTCTTGCTGAATTGACTTTCTTATTATTATATAGTGATCTTCTTTGTCTCTTTATACAGTTTTTGACTTAAAGTCTATTTTATCTGATACAAGTATAGCTACTCCTGCTCTTTCTTGATTTCCATTTGCATAGAGTATCTTTTTCCATCTCTTCCCTTTCAATAAATGTGTGTCTGTATAGGTGAACTGAGTCTTGTAGGCAGGATATAGTCAGGTCTTCCTTATTTATCCTTTCAGCCACTCTATGTCTTTAACTGGAGAATTTAATCCATTTACATTCAATGTAATTATGATAGGTAAAGCCTTGCTACTGCCATTTTGTTACTTCTTTACCAGTTGTGGTGTAACTCCTCTCTTCTTTTCTAACTGTCTTTCTTTATATTGAAGTTATTTTCTCTGGTAGAGTATTTTAATTTATAGCTTTTTTAGTGTATCTATTATATGCTTTTGCTTTGTGATTAACATGAAGCTTACACAAACATCCTATAGTTATAACACACAATTAAAAACTTATTTAAACTTAGCTTTAATCACAAGAAAATAACAGTAACAAAGCAAAAACAAAATAAAAAAAAATGTGTACAGACTACCTTCTCCCCCACATATTTTGAATTTCTGATGTCACAATTTAAAATTTTTATATTGCCTATACCTTAAATTGCTGTAGCTATTGTTCTTAATTTGTCTTATTTTCTCTTTCAGTCTTCTTAGTAAAGATAGAAGTGGGTCAAACACCACAATCACAATATTAATATTAACAATCGTGTTAGCATTCTTTCCTTTGGGTTTGAAGAACTTTCTTCAGCAGAGTGCTCATTTTTCTCAAATGAACATGGAAAATTCTTTAGAATAGATCATATGTTAAATCACAAAACAAACCTTAACAAATTTGAAAAAAATGGAAACATATCAAGTATTTTTTAATACCACAATGGAATGAAATTAGAAATCAATAACAGCAATAAAATGGAAAAATTTTATATTACATGGAAATTAAACAACACACTATAACTATTGGGTCAAAGAGAAAATCAAAAAGGAATCTAAAAAATATGTTGAAACAAATGAAAACAAAATTAAAACATGCCAACACTATAGGATGCAACAAAAGCAGTCCTAAAAGTTTATGATCATAAATGCCTACATTTAAAGAAAGACAGATCTCAGATGCAGAAACCTAACTATACACCTCAAGGGACAAGAAAAAAGAAGAACAAACTACACCCAAAGTTAACAGAAAAATAAAATAATAAAGATTAGAGCAGAAATAGAGAATCGAAAAACAACAGAAAAATTAACAAACCTAAAAGTTCTTTCTATAAAAAAGATAAATTAAATGGACAACCCTTAGCTAGAATAAAAGAGAAAATAAGAGACAGAAGACTCATATAAATTTAGAAGTGAAGAAAGAGACATTACAACAGATGCCTAAGAAATAAAAAAGATCATAGAGATTTCTATGAACAATTAAAAGGCAACAAATTATATTTGTATAGCCTGGAAGAAATGGATAAATTTCTAGAATTATGCAGCCTACCAAAACTAATCAAGAAGAAATAGAAAACTTGAACAGATGAAAATAATCAGTAGATTGACTCAGTATTAGAATCCTTCCAACAAAGAAAAGCCCAGGACCAGATGGCTTTATGAATGAATCCTAGCAAACAGTCAAAGAAAATTTAATATAAGTCCTTCTTAAACGCTTCTAAAAAATAGAAGAGAAAACAGTTCTATACTCATTTGATAAGGCCAAAGCCAAAGACACCACAAGAAAAGAAAACTGCAAGTCAAAATCTCCCATGAATATAGATGAAAAATCCTGAATAAAATACCAGCTATCTAAATCCAATAGTACACCACAAAGATTATACGCCATGGCCAAATGGGATTTATCTCTGGAATGCAGGGTGAAATCAACATAAGCAAATTAATCATTATGATACATCACATTAACGGAATGAAAATAAATCACATGATAATCTCAATAGATGTAGAAAAAAGCATTTTACAAAGTTTGACATTCATTCATGATAACAACTCTCAGTAAAATATGTAAAGAAAGAAGTAACATAAACATGATAAAGGCTATTTATGAAAAACCCACAGATAATATCATAATCAATAGGGAAAAACAACTTTTTCTCTAAAATCCAATATAAGGCAAGAATGCTCACCCTTGCCACTCTATTCAACATAGTACTGGAAGTCCTAGAAAGACAAATAGAAAAGAGAGAGAAAGAAAAGGCATTGAAATTAGAAAGGGAAAAGTAAAATTATCTCCGTTTGCAGATGACATGATCCTCTATGTAGAAAACCCTAAAAACTCCATGAAAGAAAAAAAAACTGTTAGAATAAATAAATTCACTAAAGGTACAGGATACACATTCAGTGTACAAAGATCAATAGCATTACTTTGCATCAAAAATAAACTATACACGAAGAAAATTTTTAAAAATCTCATTTACAATAACATAAAAAAGAATAAATTACTTAAGAACAAATTTAACCAGGGAGGTGAAAGATTTGTATACTGAAAACCAAAAAATATTGATGAAAGAAATTAAAGAAGAAACCAATAAATGGAAAGATATCCCGTGTTCATGGATTGGAAGAATTTATATTATTAAAATGTCTATAATACCTAAAGTGATTTATAGATTGAATGTAATCTATATTTATTAGAATTTCAATTGTATTTTTTACAGAAATAAAAGGAAAAATTCTAAAAATTTGTATGGAACCACAAAAGATCCCAAATAGCCAAAGTAATCTTGAGAAACAAGAGAAAAGCTGAAGGCATCACACATCCTGATTTAAATATATTGCAAAGCTGTAGTAATCATACAGTATAATACTGGCATAAAAACAGCAACATAGACCAATGGAACAGAATGAAGAGCCCAGAAATAAAACCACATGTACAAAATTAACCAATCTTCAATAAAGGCACCAAGGACATAACATGGGGAAAAGATAATCTCTTGTTGTGTTGGTAAAATGTGATATCCACATGCAGAAGAAAAGAAAACTACAGGTTATTATTTTACAGCATACACAAAAATTAATTCAGAACAGATTGAAGACTTAAACCTAAGACCTGAAATCATAAAAATTCCTAAAAGAAAACATAGGAAAAAGATGCTTAACAGTCTTGGCAATGATTTTTTTTTCATATAACACAAAAAGCACAGGTAACAAAAGCAAAAATAAATAAGTGGGACTACAACAAACTAAAAAGCTTCTGTTTAGGAAAAAAAAAAAGAATGTTGTGTCTGTACTGAACATGCACAGACTTTTTTTCTTGTCATTATTCTCTAAGCAATACAGTACAACACTCATTTACATAACACTTACATTTGATTAGATGTTATAAGTAATCTAGAGATGATTTAAAGTAAATGGGAGGATGTGCATAGGTTGCATGCAAAGATTATGCCATTTGATATAACGGACTTGAGCATCCTCAGATTTTACTAGCCGTAGTGCATCTTGGAACAAATCTACGTGGATACTGAAGGACCACTGTATACCTTACTTTGTTTCTTACAACCAAATAAATTTCAGATGAATCAATATTGAAGCATACGAAGTATATGGGACAGCATGGTGCTTTTTAAAAATAATCTTGGAGTTAGGAAGTCCCTTTTAAGCACTAATCAAAACGCATAAGCAATAAAGTTTGATTTCAAGAGATAAATACATGAATATAATATTGCAAAAATTTCAAACACACAAATCCAGTAAAAATGATAAATGGAAGAACAATATTTGCAATATATATGATAAAAGGCATATTTTCTTATCTTAGCACTCACAAGAAAAGGACAACTAACACTATGAAAAATGAGCAAGATACGTAAATGGACATTCGCAGCATATAAAGTAGAAATTGCTAATAAGCATATGAAAAGATACTTAACCTTATTTGTAATTAAAGAAATTAAAATTCAAAGGAAAAAATAATAAACCCCTTTTACCTTTAAGTTTGCCCATTTTTTAAGGAGTTGGTAATACCCATCATTGATGAAAGTGTGGGTGAGGAAGCATTCTCAGTGTTGCCGAGTGTGTAAATGAATGTATCCTATTTTGGTTTCAGTTTGGCAATAGTTATTAAGATTTTAAAGGCACATATTACTGATCAAGGAATTTTACTTTCAGGAATGTATTCTATAGATGAGCTGCCAGAAGTACACAAATATATATGAACAATTCTATTATTCCTCAACAGTAGAATGGATTAAAAATATCGAGATATATTCACATAATGGAATAGTATAAGGCAGCTAGTGAACTATAGCTCTTTCTGGATATTATTAGTGTAACTGAATTATAAAAAGAAGCAAGTCTTAGAAAAGTGTATACAGTATTACATTTTATAAAGCTCAAAAGTAGGTATAGCTAAGTAATGTATTTTTAAACATACATACATATGTCATAAAGATATAACAATAAATAAGATACAATAAATATAAAAATTAGAATAATAGTAACCACTGGTGGGGGTGAGGGGTACAGTGTGAAGAAATAGGGAGGTGGGAAAAATGAAAAATACATAAGTGTAGCTCTTGAGTTAAGTTGAGTGATAGATTCCTAAATGTTCATCTTATTGTTATGCTCCACAACTTAAACACAGTGTTTTGTAAACATCAAGTGTTATATTAAAAATAACAAAAATATATATATTTTGTACATTAAAAAATATAATAACATATGCCAAACCTATACGTGGACACAGAATGCTTAGGCAAATCATAACTGGTGGCTTCTTGTCTGCCTAGCCAGAGCTTTGTTAACTTTGAAAGTTGTTTAGAAACTTTAGTCTTGCCTTTTACAGTTATCATCTAGTCCACTAAATGTATATCTTTTACATTTACCAACTCAAATTGATATCATCTTGAGTTTCTAATAGGTTAGCAGGTGATCTAGAACCTCCCTTTTTGGTGTCTTACATTTTCCCTTTATTTTTCTAATCCCTGTAACTTAAGTATTACAATAGACTGATGAAGTTGACATAAACACTTAAGAAGGGAGAGTCTAGAGTTTGAGTTGTCTATTTTTTTTTCCTATTTCCCTTTGAGGGCATCTAATCTAAATTGTCCAAGAGAAGATACTGGCCATCTACTAATTTACTGTGGCAGACTATATTTTCAAAAAATGGACATATCTCTTTTATTCCTCATGCTCTTCTTAGAGTGTGCCATTCCCTCATTAAGAGGTGAGGTCTGTACTCTCACCCCTTGAAACTGAGTGGACCTTTGTTACTTCTTGACTAAAGCAGTGGGGAAGCCCAGGCCACATGGAAAGATGATGTGTAGGTATTTCAGTCAATAGGCAATATCAACTGACTGGCACGTGAGTGAGCAAGTTCCATCTACCTCCTGAACAAAATTGCATGACAGACTCTAAGTGAGAATAGCCCAGTTGAAATCAATCACCCATACAGAGGTAATTACAAATGATTGTTGTTGCTTTATGCTCCTAAGTTTGGGGTACTGTGTTATGCAACACTAGACTAGAACGTCTGGGTTTCAGTACAAGCAATTATGGACATAGGCAGCTATACTTACACATGGGGACTATCCTACATACTCAGTGCTAAGCAGAGTTAGAGGCATCAAGCATAGATCCCAGAGACACTGCACTTCCTGGTTCTCAGCCCTGTCCATTGTTTATACAGCCAGATCTTGAGAAACCTGCCAACCAGGAGTTAGAAGTTATTTGACCATCAAACTCCTAACAGACCCCAGCCTACTGTCCTTCATTTTCCTGGTTATTTATAAACACAGAATTCGGCTAGATTTCATATTTAACCCTTGAAACATGAAAGGACACCCCTTTACTGGCAAATAAGGTTATTAGTACATTCACCCCCAAGATGTCCTCCTAATCTGTTGACAGGAAGTTCAGATTGCTACAATACAAAGTTCTCTCTATCCTTTTTCTGTGTTGATAAAGCTGTCCTAATTTTCTCTGCTGAAAGGGTCTTTATATCTACTTCCCGTCTAGGGGAGGGAGCCTCTTTATGCCTCAGTGCAGATTTGTGTCTTTAATGATAACTAGGGTAACAGTTTGGCCCCTCTCTCACTAGAGCAGATAAAGAAAAGTACATGTTTAATCAACAGAATGGCACAAAAATGAATGATCCAATCATAATTCGACCCCCAAGACAGTGCAGGTTGTAATGCATACGAAGGTACTACTCAGCTGCAAACAATAAGGAAAAAAGTTGGGATGTTAACTTTATCAATGATAATTTAATTACAAATATTGGAGTTTTCTCCAGTTTGGCCAATATTTTCTTATGTCTGTGAACTAATAGGAATAAAAGCAAATGTAATTAACATTCTTATATTTGCTATAAAGTTTTTGATTTTATAATTTTTTCGATCCAAAAGTTACCACAGGCTGAGTGTGGTGTCTCATGCCTGTAATCCCCAGTGCTTTGAGAGGCTGAGGCAGAAGAATCACTTGAGGCCAGGAATTTGAGACCAGACTGTGCGGTATAATGAGATCCCCTTTCTAATTTTCTTTTAGATTAGCTGAGTATGGTGGCACACACCTGTAGTCCTAGCTACTCAGAAGGCCAAGACAGGAGGATAGCTTGAGTCCAGGAGGTTGAGACTGCAGTGAGCTATGATTGCTCCACTGCACTCCAGCCTGGGCAACAGAGCAAGATTTTGTCCCTAAAAATTATTTCTTTTAAGTTATGACAAATAGGAAATATAAAATACAAATGAAAAAATCAGTATGAGGAGCATTTTTCAAGTTTATTAAGATATTAATGCAGGTACCTTATTTTTGGCCAAGTACGGAAAAATTAACTTGGAGGAGAATTGGCAGAATTCGTGATGAGATAGACATAAATTTTAAAAAAATAGAATAAAGTGCCAAGGGTTGTGGCAGGAAAACCAGTGGGAGGATAACCCCAGATTGGGCTCATGAAACCCAGTGTATTTAACTGTTTGCCAGATGGTCCCTTGGGATGAAGTCCTGGTTCATGTTTTTGGAGCTCTAAAATGGCCTCCTGGCCTTCTAGAGAGGTTTCTATTGTCTAATGAGATTTGATCTTCCCTTTCTGAATCCTACAGGACAAAAACTGGCCAAAATTGAGTTTTTTTTAGTTCAGAGAACAGAAAAAAAAGCACAGCTTATAATATTGAACAAGGTTTTTAACGATAGAAAGAGCTGCAGGGTTTCCTGGAATCCAAGACAGTGCGCTTAGCTAAAGCTCGCTTGGGCTTCGTAACCATGGTTTTCCAAGGCTCAACTGCATAAAAATAGAATATTTATTTAAAAAATAAAACATGACAAATAAGCCACTGCTGTTTCTACTTGCTGTGAAAACTGCCTCAAGTCTCCCAAAGCACAAGTCCATATCATCTGGTAAATGTGCCGCACACTTAACGAGGTCCCCTGGTACTGGCTGTCTGCTTCCTCTTAGTCAAAGGGCGACTCTCAAGAGTGCTCAGAGAATGACACTGAGAAACCCTGAAACCTTGAAAGCTGCTCATCAGAGAGCCTTTCTTTGGTATCAAAAGGTCCTCCTCAAGCTGGAGGAAATATCCAGTATCCAAAGAGCCCCCTGTAACTTTCCTTTGACCTCCATCCCTAGACTGGTCCTATGGCAGATGGAAGGCCCACATTCAGATGTCTTTTCTTCATGATCTTGATTTGTGAATACTTGTGGTCAAGGTTTCACATCTCTGACCTCTACCTCAACTTTTCGGTTGAGCCACAGATTTGCAGAAAGAGAAGTAAGTGATTTGGAAAGAGACTTCAATGGTTAGCAGAGGGAGCCTTATAAGGAATAAAATACATGCATGAAGTTTTTTTAAATCATTTTTAAAGGGCAAACTATATTAAGCTGGGAAGAATCCTGATGTCTATGAATATTTGGGTTTCCTTGATTTATTACTTTCAAGGATCTCCTGTTAATCCTAAGGAACTAAAATTTCTCAGGATTAAAGAGTGCCTTGATTAGCATGATAATAAGGAATGTGGCTCTGACACTTATCAGCTATGCATGCTCTCTTGTCTATATTCTTATCTTCAGACAATCCATGGTCCACAGAGACACAGTTTAGAAAGCTTCATAAAGAATGTTTACAGTTACTTACCATGCTGCACACATCACAAACAACTTTTCCTGTCAAGAAATGGTCTCTGATGTCTAACACAAAATTTATTTCTTGCAACCTCATCTGATTTTCTTTCATATCATGCACTGAGGAGTTGAAGCACAGCCATGCACCAATTTCTTATAAATACTCTTTGTAGATTTTCTTATGAAAAGGGGTATATTTCTGAAAAATAGATAAATTGAATTTAATTTTAAAAGCACTAAAGAAGCTTACCTTTGAAATTCACCCAATAGTAAATCATTTTGTGATGTGGATTCATTTGCTTTACTTCCAACAAATTGTACTTTTGAAGTAATTCCATCATTATATTTCTAAATTTATCTTTTTTACAATGAACCTATTATGTATTATATAGTGATTACTGATAAGGTAAAGGCTACTAGAAAAGTTTTATTACCAGTGTATTTTTCAATTACTTGTTAATAATGTCATACTTTCTTCTAGTGTTATAATTCCAGTGTTAAAATTTAGCCCAATTATTTAGTTGTTTGTTGCTATCACAGACCTAGACATCATAAAAAGTCAAAGATTAAAAACATTTATGCCTTCTCTTTGAAGAAAATATCATTGTAATGCTCTGGTATTCTACTTTCTAATGGACAATTTGTGTGAAGGAGCAATGACTCGTAATGATTCTACCAGCAGATATTTGTCCCCCATAGTGGAGTGGCCAACCTGGAGTCATAAAAAGAGGGAATACATGGTCCCTGTTCAGCTATAGAGGGGACAGTTTTATAATGCAGTTTTGTGTAGTGGAAGAAACAATGGACATAGGGTCAAAAGATATGAATTCTAGTCTTGGTTTAGTCCTTTGACCCCTGTCTGTCCAAAAATAATTGCCTAACCAGAGCTGTTCTTCAGTTTTTGCATCTAGAGAGAGACAGTTCATCTTTGTCCTCCTTGCTCTGTTGGATGGTAATAAGATTAAATAATGTATGCAAAAATATTTTGTAATCACAATTTCACTGTAAGGGGCTTACAATATAAAAATAAAAAAACACTGAACAGTTCTATGCCACCTACATGTGCAGAGACATGAGACATATAGGCCCCAGAGAGAGAGAGAGAGTAAGGAGAAAAAGATTTTTTTTTTTTTGAGATGGAGTCTTGCTCTGTTGCCCAGGCTTGAGTGCAGTGGTGCGAACTTGGCTCACTGCTATCTCCACCTCCTGGGTTCCAATGAGGAAAAAAGATTTTCTAAAGGACATGGGTTTTATTTGTCTTTGAAAAATGAGTGGTGTCTAGGGAAGAGGAGTGTAGAACAGAGTTGAGAGGAGCAATATCATCAGAGTCAAAATAATGGAATGAAAATGCAGTGTGGAAATTACAGTAACACAGGCTTTATTCAAACTTTAGAAGCTCAAAAATTATCAGGTAGCTATGAAGCCTGGAGTTCTGCATGACACCACTGAACTCGCATTTATTCAATGTTGTTTTTAAAATTCAAATATGAGTATTATAATTAGTATACAATTTTTCCATCAACAATTCTATGATGTTATCACCACTACATCCATAAAGGTGAGGAAACTGGTCTTATAAATTATAAGTCCTTGCCCAAGATAAGTTAGCATATGCAAGAAGTAGGAAATTAGTTTACAACATTTGACTTTAAAAGCCATGTACTTTCTTCTGAATGAGGAAAGAACGTTTCTCCACTCTCTACTCCTAAAAGAAATAAGTATGAATGTAAAAAAGCAGAGACCTAAGGTGTATTAATCACAGGAATTTTCCCAGCCTATTATTTGACAGAAATCATCCATCTAGGTTCCTTACATTATTTTTTTCTTTCTCAGATATCATGTGTGATTTAATGAAGAAAGAGAATCACTCTTTGATGAATGTGTTTATTTTTCAAGGTTTCTCCAGCTTCCGTGAGCACAAGCTCACCCTCTTTGTTGTGTTTCTTACGTTGTACATATTCTCCCTGGCAGGCAATGTTATCATTGTGAGTATCATTAGTATTGATCGTCACCTCCACACCCCCATGTACTTCTTCGTCAGCATGCTGTCAGGTTCAGAGACTGTCTACACCCTTGTCATTATACCAAGGATGCTGTTTAACCTCATAGGCCTGAGTCAGCCCATTTCCTTGGCAGGTTGTGCCACTCAGATGTTTTTCTTCATTACTTTGGCTATCAACAACTGCTTCCTGCTCACAGCAATGGGGTATGACCGCTATGTGACCATCTGCAACCCCTTGAGGTACTCAGTCGTCATGAGCAAGAGAGTGTGTATGCAGCTGGTGTGAGGGGCCTGCAGCATTGGCCTAATTGTAGCAATGACACAGGTGTCAGCTGTATTCAGGCTGCCTTTCTGTATTCCAAAGGTGCCTCACTTCTTCTGTGACATCCGACCTGTAATGAAGCCCTCCTGCATTGACACCACAGTCAATGAAATCCTGACTATGATCATCAGTGTGCTGGTGATCCTCATTCCCATGGGCTTGGTTTTCATCTCCTACATCCTCATCATTTCTACCATCCTCAAGATTGCCTCTGCCGAGGGCAGGAAAAAGGCCTTTGCCACCTGTGCTTCTCATATTACTGTGGTTATTGTCCACTATGGCTGTGCCTCCATTGCTTACTTCAATTCCAAGTCAGAGAACACAGAGATCAGGATCAGCTGATCTCAGTGACCTACACTGTCATTACCCCGTTACTGAACCCTGTGGTGTACACTCTGAGGAACAAAGAGGTCAAAGATGCTCTGTGCAGAGTGATAGGTCAAAAATTCTCCTAAGAGAATAGGCCCATTTCAAATAGTGTCTTAGAAGATTTTCTAGAGAAGAAACAGTGGAACAGTGTGCATGGTCAATAGAGTTAAAAATTTCAAGCCTATCAAGCAGTGGTTGGGCGAGAGGAAGAGAAAACAAAAGGATTCAGCCACTTGAGAAGGGGGAAGGTTCTCCAAAGCACAGCGGGCCTCCATCTCATAAGAGAACAGGGATTTTATAGGTTACAAATGCAGAAGAAAGAACTCAGTGGTGTTGGAAAGTAGAAGCGTTGTGTGGGCAGCCTGGGACAGAATGAAATCAGGAGAGGAGACAGAGTTAATGAGGGGAGGCTGCTCTAGGGCAAGGTTCAAGTTTTTTTTTTTTTTTTTTTTTTTTTTTGAGACAGAGTCTTGCTCTGTCACCCAGGTTGAAGTGCAGTGGTGTGATCTCGGCTCACTGCAAGCTCTGCCTCCCGGGTTCACGCTATTCTCCTGCCTTGGCCTCCCAAGTAGCTGGGACTACAGGTGCCTGCCACCATGCCTGGCTAATTTTTTTTATTTTTATTAGAGACAGGGTTTCACCGTATTAGCCAGGATGGTCTGGATCTCCTGACCTCGTGATCCGCCCGCCTTGGCCTCCCAAAGTGCTGGGATTACAGGCGTGAGCCAGCGTGCCTTGCCGGTTCAAGTTTTAAATATATTCTATAACACTGTTTTTTGGATGTGGTGTTTCCCCTTACCCATTTAGCGCTAAGTAGATTTAACACCTAATTGAATTAATTTCTTTATGGGAAATTTAAGATTTTTTAAATCGACTAGACACTATAAATAAAATGAGTATCAGAGATAATAGCAATCTATAAAATTCAGCAGCCCTTGAAATCTAGGTCTTTTTTATATAAGTTCCAAATTGACCATGTGAGAAAATGGATATCTAAGTTTTCAGGATCCTGTTTTAGAAATATTTTTGGAAAGTAACTAAAACCCCTTGGTGATAGAGTAAAAGAGGTAGCACCAAGTAATAATATTGGCATTTATTTTATGAGAATATACAAAGGTTGTTGGTGATATTGTATGTGAGTGTCTAAACCCAGGGTAAAGAAATTAAAATTTGCCTTTAGAAATCCTTGCAGAACAGAAAGAAGCAACTAGTGGATGAGAGTCAAACAGGGAATCTAGAGCATGGATTAATGGAATGAGAGGATTGGGAGGATTAAACGGGTAAGGAAAATGTAGCCATCTAGTAACTCAGTAATTCAACAAAAGAAAAAGACTCATCAAACCATCAATCCTACCATTTAAAATCCTCTAGGATGTGAACTAATACACCATGCTTCACCAGTCATCTCCACTTCCAGCAACTCCTTTCCCTACAGTCTGTCGTCCACATCCACATAGCGCACAATCCAACAATACCTAGTGACTGATCGTTTCCCATTTTATTCTTATGCCTTAATACAGCTTGTTGGTAATGAAAATCTCTTACTGATGCCCTCACTGCCCACTCATCAGAGTGTTCTCTGGTTCACTTTGAAATAACCTGAACACCTCTATTTTTATGAACCCTCTGATGAGATACCCACAAAGAAACAAAAGCACTCCTTCCACGCCTTCACATCACAACCTCCAAACACATATTGATATAAATGACCACAATGAACATTTCCCATGATGTCTTAACGGATGAAAGCATGAAATGGGTAGTGTGTGATGTTGTAACTGGGTGAAGTCTTACCTAGATGGACAGTTACACCTGCTGTTTAGTGTCTCACTTGTACCAAGTGATGAGTTTTTCATAGGACACATTCTCCTTTATGTTAATTTCAAAAGTTAGGGCTATGTTCAAATATCTTAATTTATCAAATAGTCCGTTATGGTTTAGTCTTACAAAGATTCAACTACATTTTTGAGGAAATTTATGGTGAAATCCAAGAGAATCCAAAATGAAGTTACCCTGTAATTGCCAGTGGTCGCTTTTACTTTTACTCAGTAAATAAAAATATCTTATTTTTATTTCAAATTGTAGCCTCAAAAATGCTGCCCTATACCGTCAGCCTTCTCAGTAATAGATAATCTATATTTGCAAACTTAGCTACTTAAAATATTAGGCAGAAGTTTTGAGAGAGCAGCAGAATGAAGCAGAAAGAACATAAACATTTGAAGAAAAATACTCTATTTTCAGGCCTGGCTCTATTTTTTATAAACCATATATATTTGAATGAACTATTTAATTTATTTGAGCCTCAGTTTTCTCACCTGTAAAACTTATATTCAAAGTTTGTTGTCAAACACATTAAATAATAAGTATAAAAATATTATGAAGCAGGGTCAGATATTCTTTATTCTTGTTAGAGTAAAACAGCTACACTCCCCATAAAGTGAATCTTTTCTTATCTGCAAAATGGATTTACTAATCTTTACTCTGCTTTTTTCTGTCAGGTTCTTGTAAGAATCAACCACTTTAGAATAACCACAGTAGAAACTGCTGTGATAACGCAAAAAGTGTTAAGAAATATTATGTATGATTATCATTATCGCCACTGTTATTAGCTAACATAGTCCATATATGTTTGCCTCTCTGATTTTTCTTGGCCATTTTATATTATTTTATTAATTAATTTTTGACTCTTACCTTCCTCCCACATACCTTTAAGTTCTAATTGCTATCGCATTTTTCATTAACTCTGCAGGTCATATTATTTTGGTTCCTTACAAAATAACATTTCCAAAACTTTTCATTATTATATTTTGTTAGCAATTCCAGAATTTAATGCCTATCCTCCTGCTCCAAATTGAGCATCTTTTTTCTTTCCTACTAGATCAGTGAATGTTAATCTCTTTATCATGATCCATGGCCCCCAATACAAAAATGCATGTTATCACATAACCCAGTATGTGTGTTATACACACATATACAAACTAAAATGCTACATTCACAAAACAGTACTTAGCCTTACAGCATGCAATGCATTCTGATGTTTCTCATTAAAGTCTATTCTGTTCAATTCTTTTTATTTTTGTAATAATGTTAATGAATAGAAGTGCATCTAATATACATTTTGACCAAATGCTCAATAAGTGAGAGTTAAAAATCTGTGTTCAGCTGAAGTCAGAGTTGATGCCCAATATCAGCAGACTGTTTTCCTGTGTTACTAAAATAAAATTGAAATCTTATTTTAAAACAATGAAATTTAATTATTAAACATTTAGTAATTGAGTTTAAACATTTGAATTATTTGAGGAAGAACATTTAGTCTTCATTGTCAGATTCTAGAGTCTTCTAACAGTCATTAAAACACATATTCATGATACCAGGTACATGTTCACTTTTCAACTGAGAAACTGAGATTGGTGGCACAGCAAAATATCTTGGGGGGAAATAGCTTATTTTTCTGTAGCTTTTTTTCTTCTTTTTTTTGTAAATATGGATTAAAAATAATTTATCTTGGATATTATCTTTTATGATTTTGGTGGCAAAATTAGAATCCTGTGTAAATTCATCTGGAAAAGTTGTAAAGATTCATGGCTTAAGTGGATTTAAGAAGCTAAAAATTAATACAGTGTTTAAAACTAGTTCAATATTGCCAAACAATTTTAATTTTATAAATATTTATTGAGTCTACAAGGATATAATATGCTTTCTAAAGCTATCTAATAACCAACACACTATCTCTTATATTTAAGTGAAGTAGTCATTTCTTTTCCCATTTATTTTACTACATAAAACTCTTAAGTTTGTCCAGAAAATTAACAACTCTCACAATTATCATAAATTTATTATTGCATTTTGCTCTTTCAATAATAAATATAATGTATATTTTAATTGACTGATAAAATTTCAACAAATAAAGCATATAAAGCTAACTCTAAGTGAGAGAATGACTAACTATATTTGACAATGCATGTTCAAATTTTTAAAAATCCAAATGACTCTCTTTATTCAGATTACTGATGCTGTTAGACTGATTAGAGCTAATAACCTATGGTATCACGTGATAATTTTTTCATCTAAATATTTAGAGATGCCCAAAAAATGCCACGGAAGAAGGTTTTCAGCCATTGAGTTTAAAGGGTGAAGCCAATATAGCAAACAAATAGCAGATTTTTTTCTAAATACCAAAAGCAAATTACACTGATGTATCCCTAGCATGACCCACTACATTCAAGGAAAACAAAGAATATGGACGCCGTAAGAGAATATTCCAAGTGAGTGATTCACTGAGTTGGCTGAAATGGTAGGCAAGCATCTGAGAAGTAGGCCTCCTCTTCTTTTTATTCTTTTATTCTGAAATGATGGTATATTAATCAGTATTTTTCTGATTCAAAAGCCGTACATTCTCTGTGAAAAAATTCAGACAACTGTAAGGAAGAAAATGGAAACTCTGGGCTTTGGATGTTTACTATGGCACACTGAGTACAGATATCATTTCTTCTCTCTGTACTCCCCAACCCTGCCCCTACCAAACCCTAGAAGTGATAGGAAAGATTTAAGTAGTATTTTGGCCAGTGCTTAAAAACAAAAACGGAATTCCTAATGAACCAGCAACTATGAGGTAAGAAATGAAGACTCAAAACAATGCAGTTAGATTGATGAGCCATCTCAGAAGTATATGAGAGTTAAAAGTGGAGTCCAGTAACAAAAGTTGAGGCCAACACAAAAGTTTCTTCATATCCTGAGGTGAAGAAAAATAAAAAATAATTTAGGACTCCAGGGGAAATTAACAGGGGATATTAGCCCAGAGAAAGTAGTCCTCCCCATCACATCTTGCTCCCAGACAAGCAGAAATAGACAGTGTTGGTGGTTTCCAGTTGAGAACTATGCTTGGAAAGAGGGGCATGGCAGAGCACAAGAGTTTGGCAATAACAAAGATGTAGGGGATAAAGAACAGGACAAAAATGCAGGAGAAAACAACTAGATACTAGAAGTATTGAGCTAAAAAGTATTATTATTTTATTTTTTATAAAAGTATTTGTTATAAGAAAAGTAAACTCAAATCTCTCATCCATCATAAAGCTACACATACTGGATAATACCATTATTTAGAACAAACAAAATTATAGGAATTATGTTCAATATAATTTAAAGGTAGAGAGAATTCTGATTAAATACAGATGTTAAATGCCCATTATTTGCTTCTTTTTCTTAAGAACCCTGTTAAACTTGAGTTAAGAAAGAAGATAGACTCACTTCCATAGCAAAAGAGAATAGAAGATGAAAGCAAATGGAGCTCAACAAAATTTTGGAATCTGGAAAGCCCATTAATAAACCATTATTGACTCAGCACATAGGAGAATGCTGATTAAAGCCTGAGGCAGAGAAAACAACAAAAATGCCAATTTATCACCCAGAATGCCAGAAGTATTCAAAAGCCGAAAGTAGTATCTCTGAACATAAGACTGTGCAATTGGCATAACAAACCAGAGTTGCTTGAAAGTTTTTAAGACACGTCGCACAATCAGAACCTCACCCCAACCTCAGCAGAAGGCTGGAGAGTTACTTTCCGGAAAGACTTGCAGAGATGAAGTGAAGCAGAGGGTGCTATGGAATAATAATTTTTAAAAAGGTGGAGGAGAGGTAAAAGAACACCAGCAAATCTCACAAGATACTGACAATAAGGGTTATAGCTATCAATTAGGAAAGTGAAGAATTTTGCCCTGTGGAAACCAACCCAAATGTCCATCAGTGATAGACTGGATTAAGAAAATGTGGCACATATACACCATGGAATACTATGCAGCCATAAAAAAGGATGAGTTCATGTCCTTTGTTAGGGACATGGATGAAACTGGAAACCATCATTCTCAGCAAACTATTGCAAGGACAAAAAACCAAACACTGCATGTTCTCACTCTTAGGTGGGAACTGAACAATAAGAACACGTGGACACAGGAAGGGGAACATCACACACCGGGGCCTGTTGTGGGGGTGTGGGGACGGGGGAGAGATAACATTAGGAGATATACCTAAGGTAAATGATGAGTTAATGGATGCAGCACACCAACATGGCACATGTATACATATGTAACAAACCTGCACATTGTGCACATGTGCCTTAGAACTTAAAGTATTAAAAAAAAAACTACAAAAAATAAAAATAAAAAATAAATAAAACTCAGAACACAGCCAGGCACAGTGGCTTACATTTGTAATCCCAGCACTTTGAGAGGCTGAGGCAGGTGGATCACCTGAGGTCAGGAGTTCAAGATCAGCCTGGCCAACATGGTGAAACCCCGTCTCTACTAAAAATACAAAAATTAGCTGGGCATGGTGGCACGTGCCTGTAGTCCCAGCTACTAGGGAGGCTGAGATGGGAGAATCTCTTGAACTGGGGAGGCAGAGGTTGCAGTGAGCCTAGATGGTGCCACTGCACTCCAGCCTGAGCAACAAAGGGAGACTCTGTCTCAGAAAAGAAAAAAAAAACTCAGAATACATCATCCCAAAAAAGCAATGTCACTAGCAACATGGTAAACATTAAATTCTCAATCTGTGTGTTGTGTGAAAAAAAAAGAATAAAAAATAAAAATAAATTTGCAGACTAAAAAAAAAACAACAGAATTTTGCCCTGTGGAAATTAGCATTTCAAGGGCAAAGACTTACAAATCTAGACACTTTGAAGTCCTATTTTGGAAAAGTAACCTTACCCTAATAAAACTAGCTTCATCACATTGCTTGGTTTTATCACGCTAGTAAATAAAGCCCAGCAGTCTGCATATCCCACCCCACCACACACACACATCTACATGCACACAGAGCTTTCTAACAATTTGTTAGTACATCACTCTTAGTTATTAATGGACTTGAAAGGATCACCACAATTTGAAGAAAGCCATTAACTTAAAAAAATCAATGTAATAAATAAATAACAAAGAAACGTGGGAGAATAAGCTATAGTGCATGGTATAAAGTCTTTTGAAAGATAAGTATTTAACATTTTTAAAAGGATAAGACAAGATAATGGTGAAATAAAGCAGAATATTATACAAAAGCCAAGTTCTGAGACGCAGAAAGAAATTTTACAAATTAAAAAAATACGTTAGCAGAGACAGTGTGAGGGGAAGATGGCTGAGTAGGGAGTACTAGGAAAGTGTTTTCCCACCTAGAAAACAACTATGCTGGCAGAATCTGTCTGATGTAAATATTTGGGAACTATGGCGTCTATTAAAGGCTTGCAACATCCAGAGGAAGGTATGAACTATAGTTAATTCTAGTCAATTTCAGCTTTAAGGACAGTAGCAGCTACCCACCTGCCCACAACCAGCCACCTGGAAGACAACCTTGCACCTGTGCCGGGAGCAACCTGCACACAGCTTGCAGGAGCCAGGGTTACCCTGTCTTGCAAATATCAGGGATCTGTGCTCTGATCACTGATTGTTACTTCTGATCATAGACATACAAACAAAGAAGTAAGAGTTGTTCCATCTCCCCTGTGTTATTGCAAGCTCCTCCTTCAGCTGATGTGACTTCCAGGGGATTTAAAGGGTCAGCACCTCTCCTTCTCTTTCATTTTTCTTTGTTTTTCCTTTGGAGAGTCAGACATTAAAGACTAGGGCATTCAAAACCAACTGCATTTACAGGGAAAATTAGAAAGTAATCATCCATGCTCAGGGAAGGGTGCAGGCTCAGAAAAGACTTCAGAAGACCTTAAGTTTATACCCCAGGCTGATCTTTGGGACAAAGCTTACAATAACAACAACAATAATAAAAATAACAAAAAACAGCAAACTCTGGGAAAGAAAATAGTCTAATTTCTAGAGTTACCACATTATTAGATTCATGTCCAATAATCAATAAACAATGAAAAGGCATAAAAAAACAGGAAAGTATGTCCCATTCAAAGGAAAAAAAATAATGGAAACTTTCTCTGAAAAAGACATAATGGCAGGTCTACTAGACAAAACCTTTAAAACAATTGTCTTAAACATGCTCAAAGAGCTAAAGAAAGATATAGGGAAAGTCAAAAAATGCCATATGAAAAATTAGAAATATTAAGAGAAAACCTAAAAGGAAAAAGAAATATTAGAGTTGAAAATTACAATAAGTAAAATGAAAATCCATTTGAGGAAGTAAAAGATTTGAGCAGGCAAAAGAAAGAATCAGCAACTTGAAGATAGGACAATGAAAATCACTGAGTCTGGAAAAAAAAATTGAAGAACGGTAAACAGGGCCTCAGAGTCCTATGAAACACCATTAAGTGGACCAGTATACATGCTGGGAGTTCCAGAAGGAAAATGGATAAAGGGGTTGGGGGACTATCTCAGAAATAATGATGGAAAACTTTCCAAATTTGGTGAAAGATGTTAATATAAATATCCAAGAAGCTTAAAAAAGTATAGACTCATACCAATACACATTATAATCAAACTTTCAAAAGCCAAAGACAAGACTATCTTTAAAGCAGCACGAAAAAAGCTACTGTCACATACAAACTATCCTCAATGACATTGTCATCAGACTTTTCATTAGAAACTTTGGAGGTCAGAAGGTAGTGGGCCAATATATTCAAAGGGCTAAATGAAAAGAACATCAACACAGAATTCTATATCCAGGGAAACTTTCCTTCAAAAGTAAAATAAAAAATGTTTAAAACTTTTTATTTTTTATTTCAGTACATTTTGAGGGGACAGGTGTGTTTGGTTACATGAATATGTTATTTAGTGGTGATTTATGATGTTTTGGTGCACCCATCACCTGAGCAGTGTACACTGTACCCGGTGGGTGGTCTTTTATACCTCACCACCTCCCACTCTCTCCTCTGAGTCCCCAAAGTCCAATTTATCATTCTTATGCCTTTGCATCCTCACAGCTTAGCTCCCACATATGAGTGACAACATACGATGTTTAGTTTTCCATTCCTGAGTTTCTTCACTTAGAAAAATAGTCTCCAATTCCATCGCGGTTGCTGCAAATGCAACTATTTTGTTCCTTTTTATGGCTGAGCAGTATTCCATGGTGTGTGTGTGTGTGTGTGTGTGTGTGTGTATACATAAAATATATATATATGTGTAATATAGTTTACCACATTTTCTTTATTCACTTGTTGATTGATGGCATTGGGGCTGGTTCCATATTTTTGCAATTGCAAATTATGCCACTATAAACATGTGTGTGCAAGTATCTTTTCTGTATAATGACTTCTTTTCCTCTGGGTAAATACCTAGTAGTAAGATTGCTGAATCAAATGAAAAATGTACTTTTAGTTTTTTAAGGAATCTCCACACAGTTTTCCATAGTGGTAGTACTAGTTTACATTCCCACCCACAGTGTAGAAGTGTTACCTTTTCATCGCTTCCATGTCAACATCTATTATTTTTTGAATTTTTGATTATGGCCATTATTGCAGGAGTGAAGTGGTATTGCATTGTGGTTTTGATTTGCATTTCCCTGATAATTAGTGATGTTGAGCATTTTTTCATATGCTTATTTTCCATTTGTATATCTTGTTTTGAGAAATGTCTGTTTATGTCCTTAGCACACTTTTTGTTGGGATTGTTTCTTTTATTCTTGATGATTTGTTTGAGTTCTTTGTAGATTCTGGATATTAGCCCTTTGGCTAATGTATACATTGTCAAAATTTTCTCCCACTCTGTGGGTTGCCTTTTAACTCTGCTTATTATTTCTTTTGCTGTGTAGAAGCTTTTCAGTTTAATTAAGTCCCATCTATTTATCTTTGTTTTTGTTGAATTTGCTTTGGAGATCTTGGTCATGAAGTCTTTGTCTAAGTAAATGTCTAGAAGGGTTTTTGTGATGTTATCTTCTAGAATCTTTATGGTTTCAGGTCTTAAATTTAAGTCTTTTATCCATCTTGAGCTGATTTTTTTGTAAAGTGAGAGATGAGGATCCAGTTTCATTCTTCTACATGGTGCTTGCCAATTATCCCAGCACCAGTTGTTGAGTAGGGTGTCCTTTCCCCACTTTATGTTTTTGTTTGCTTTGTCAAAGATACCCAAAGTATCAAAAGCTGAGAGAGGTGGTTGCCACTAGACTAACCTGTGAGAAATGCTCAAGGTAGTCCTATAGAGTAAAATGAAAGGAAACTAGATAGTCACTCAAAGCAAAATAATTAAAAATCTCAATAAAGGTAAATACATGGACAATTATAAAAACTATTATTTTAACAATGGTTTGTAACTCTGCTTTTTGCTATGTACATGACTTAACTAAACAATACATTAAAAAATATTTATCTGAAAGTTAGTATTATTGTATCTTTGGTTTATAACTTTGCAATTTGTTTTCCACATAATTTAAGAGACTAATGCATTTTAAATGATTATTAATTTATTGTTTTGGATACACAGTGTATAAAGATAAAATTTCATGACATCAACAGACAAAAGATTTGAAAATGGAACTGTTAAAGGAGCAGAGATTTGTATGTTATTGAAATTAAGCTGACATAGATTCAAATTAGAGTGTTATAACTTTAGGGCATTAAATGTAATCCCCATGGTAGCCACGTATCTCAGAGATATTGTGGGTTTGATTTCAGACCACTGCAGTAAAGCAAATATCACAATAAAGTGAGTCACACAAATTTTTGGCTTCTCAATGAATATAAAAGTTATGTTAAACTATACTGTAGTTTATTAAGTGTGTAATAGGATTATGTCTTAAAGACAATGTATAGACTTCAATTTTAAAATACATTACTGTTTTAAAAAATGCTAACAATCATCTGAAACTTCAGCGAATCTTTGTGCTAGTAGAACATTTTGCCTCAATGTTGATGGCTGTTACTGAGCAGAGTGGTGGTTGCTGAAGATTGGGTTTGCTGTACCAATTTATTAAAATGAGACAACAATAAAGATTACCACATCAATTGATTTTTTTTTAGAGACAAGGTCTTGCTCTGTCATCCAAGCTGGAGTACAGTGCTGTGATCATAGATCACTATAGCTTTAAAGTTCTGAGCTCAAGAGATCCTCCCACCTCAGCCTCTTAAAAAACTGGGACTACTGGTGTGAGACACCACACCTGGCCAATTTTATTTATTTATTTGTAGAAATGGGGTCTCATTACATCGCCCTGGCTGGTCTTGAACTTCTGGCTATAAGCTATCTTCCTGCCTCCACCTCCCAAAGTGCTGGGATTACAGGTGTGAATCACCTCGTCCAGGCTTAATTGACTCACAAAAGATTTCTCTGTAGCAGGCAATGCTGTTTGATATCACTTGACCTACAATAGAATGTCTTTCAAATTGGAAGTTAATTCTCTCAAACCCTGCCATTTGTTTAACAACTAAGTTTTAGGGAATATTTTAAATCATTTGTTGTTGTTTTAATAATGTTCACAACCTCTTCACTAGGAGGAGATTCTATCTCAAGAAACTACTTTATTTGCTTATCCATAAGAAGCAACTCCTCATTTGTTAAAGTTTGATTATGAGAAGGCAGCAATTCAGTTATATATTCGAACTCCACTTCTAATTCTAGTTTTCTTCCTATTTCCACCACATCTACACCATGAGAATTGAAATAAGCTTCCTCTAAACTCCTGTTAATGCTAATATTGTGACCTTTTCTCATAAATAATGAATGTTCATAATGACATATAGAATGGCAATTTCTTTTCAGAAGGTTTTCAATTTGCCTCACCCAGATCCATCAGAGGAATCATTATCTATGGCAGCTATTACCTTATGAAATGTATTTTTGAATAATAAAGCTTGAAAGTCAAAATCACTTCTTGATAGATGGGCTGAAGAATGAATATTGTGTTAACAGGCATGAAAACATTATTCTCCTACCATGACTACACCAGAACTCTTGGGTGACTAGGTGCATTGTCAATATTTTGAAAGATATCTTTTTTTTTTTCCTGAGCAGTAGATCTTAAGACAGACTTACCATATTCAGCAAACCATGGTTTAAACAGATGTGTTGTAATTCAGGCTTTGTTCTTCCATTTATAGAGCATAGGCAGAGTAGATTTAGCATAATTCTTAAGGGTGTTAGAATTTTCAAAGTGGTAAATAACCATTGGCTTCAACTTAAAGTCAACAGCTGCATTCATCCCCTAGCAAGAGAGTCAGTTGTCCCTTGAAGCTTTGAAGCCAAGCATTGGCTTCTCCTCTGTAGCTATGGAAGTCCTAGACAGCACTGTCTTCCAATGGAAGGCTATTTTTAAAATATGTTGTTTAATGTAGCCATCTTCATCAATTATCTTAGCTATATTTTCTGGATCATTTGCTCTAATTTTTGCATCAGCACTCCTGAATTACCGTGAACTTTTATGTTATGGAGACAATTTATTTCCTTAAATTTTATAAACGAAATTCTGCTAGCTTAATATCTTCTTCTGCAGTCTCTTCACCTCTCTTAGCCTTCATAGAATTAAACAGACTTAGGGTCTTGCTCTTAATTAGGCTGTAGCTTAAAGGAATGTTGTGACTGGTTTGCTCTCCTATACTGACTTCTAAAAGTTTCTTCATATCGGTAATAAGGCATTTTCACTTTCTTATTTGTGTGTTAACTGATGTAGCAAATTTAATTTCCCTCAAGAATTTTTTTCTTTGCATGCACATCTTGGCTAACCATTTGGCACAAGAGGCCTAGATTTTGGCCTATCTCAGCTTTTGACCAGGCTTCCTCACTAAGCTTAATTATTTCTAGATTTTGATTTAAAGTGAAACACACTCAACTCTTTCACTTAAACACGTAAAGTTGACTGTAGGGTTACTAATTCATCAATTTTCAATATTGTTATGTCTTAGTGAATAGGGAAGCCTGAGGAGAAGCAGAAAGATGGGAAAATGGCCAGTCAGTGGAGCAGTCAGAACACACACAACATTTATCAATTAAGTTTGCTGTCTTATATAGGTTCAAACAAAACAATTATAATAGTAACATCAAAGATCACTTATCAAAGATCACCATAGCAGATATAATAATAATGAAAAAGTTTAAAATATTGTCAGAATTACCCAAATGTGATACAGAGACATGAAGTGAGCACACACTGTTGAAAAAGATGGTGCTAATAGCCTTGCTCAATACAAGATTCACAAACTTTCAATTTATAAAAAACACAATATCTGTGAAGTGCCATAAAGCAAAGTGCAGTAAAATAAATTATGCCTGTAGTATAGAATATATACACAAATAAATGAGAAAAGAGTTTAATCATTTCACTATAAAAAATTATCTAAACACAAAAGAAGACTGCAGTGCAGGAAATGAGGAACAAAAAGCCTATAAGGCATATAGTAAACAAATAAGAAATGACAGGAGTAAGTTCCTCTTTATCAGCAATTACTTTAAATGTAAATGAATTAAACTTCCTAATCAAAAGATCAGATTGGTAGAATGGATTAAGAAAATATGCTCCAATTGTATGCTGTCTACAAAACACTCTCTTTAGATCCAAAGGCAAATATACATTAAAAATAAAATGAGAGAAAAAATATTTTATGCAAATAGTAACCAGAAGAGAGCAAATATGGTTGTACTAATTTCAGATGAAATAGACTCTAAGTAAAAAAAAAAATTACGAGAGACAAAGAAGGACATTATATATTAACAAAAGATTTAACGCAACAAGAAGATGTAACAATTATAAACATTTAAGCACCTAATGACATCTAAGCACCTAATATATATAAATATTTATGTATGAAAAGCTGATGGAATTGAAGGGAGAAATAGGGAGTTCTACAATAATAGTTGGAGACTTCACTATCCCACTGTCAAAAATAGATAGAAAAACCAGACAAAAGATAAGTCAGAAAATAGAATACTTGAACAGCACAATGAACCAACTAGATCTATCAGACATTTATGTAACACTGTACTCAACCATAACAGCATACACATTATTCTCAAGTGCAAGTGGGACATTTTCCAGATTAGAACACAAACTAAGTCTCAGTAGATTTAAAAATATAGATATCATACAATGTATCTGCTCTGCCCAAAACAGGATGAAATTAGATATCAATAACAAAAGTAAAATTGGAAAGTGCATAAATTTGTGGATATTAAAAAACGTGCTCTTAAACAATCAATGGATTAAAGAAGAAATAGCAAAGAAAATTTGAAATTACTTAGCAACAATTGAAAATGGAAACAAAACATACCAAAGTTTATGGAATGGAGCTAAAGCAGTGTTAAGGAGAAAACTTCTACCTATAAACACATTAAAAAACAAGAAAAATCTCAATCAACAATCTAACTTTACAACTTAAGGAACTAGAAAAAGAAAAACAAACAAAACTCCAAGTGAGCAGAGGAAGAAAATAATAAAGATTAGAACAGAGATCAGTGAAACAAACAATAGAAAAACAATAGAGAAAATCAATAAAATTAAAAGTTGGCTTTTTGGAAATTTAACAAAATTGACACACCTTTAGCTAGATGGACTAAGAAAAAAGGAAGAAGACTCAAGTTACTAAAAATCAAACGAAAGTGGAGACATTACTACTCATTCTATAGAAATAAAAAGGATTAGAGGTACTATAAACAATTGTACATCAACAAATTGGATAACTTAAATGAAATGGTTTGTGAACACAAAATCTATCACAATTAAATTAAAAGGAAACAGAAAATCTTATTAAAGTAAGGATATTGAAGCAGTAATCAAAGATCAACTAACACAGAAAAGCTCTGGACTTGAGGCCTTCACTACATTGGTAACTTTTTAAAGAAGAACTAAAACAAATTCTTCTCAAACTTTTTCAAGAATTTGAAAAGGAGAAAACTCTTCCTACCTCCTTCTCTAAGTCCAATTTTACCCTGATACCAAAGCCAGACAAAGACAGCAGAATAAAAGAAAACTACAAACCAATATCCTTTATTAACATTGATGCAAAAATCCTCAATAAAGTGATTACAGACTGAAATCAGCACCATGTTATAAAGATTATACAATATGACCATGTGAGATTTGTTTCTGGAATGTATAAATGGTTTAATACGTAAAAATTGATCAATATAATATAACACATTAACAAATGAATGGAAGGAAACACAAACACCTCAATTGATGAAGAAAAAGCATTTGGTAAAATTCAACACTCTTGCATAATAAAAACTTAACAAACTATTAACAGAAGGAAACTATCTCAACTTAATAAAATTTGTACGTAAAAAATCCACTGTAAACATTATCAATGGTAAAAGAGTGAAAACTTTTTCTCTAAGATCAGAAACAATGCAAGAATACCCACTTTTGACATATCAATTTAACATAGTACTAGAAGCCCTAGTCAGAGAAATTAAGCAACAAACAGAAACACAATGCATCCAAATTGGAAAGAGAGAAGTAAAATTATCTCTATTCACAGACTATATAATTGTATATGTATAAAACACTGTAGATTCCACTGAAAGCTGTCAGAACTATTAAATAAATTCTGCAAAGTAGCAGGATACAAAGTAAACACAAAAGAAGTTACATTTCTATATACTAACAATGAATAATCTGAAAAGACAATTATAAAAACAATTTCATTTACAATACCTCAAAAAGAAAAAAATACTTAGAAATTAATTTAACCATGGAAGTGAAAGACTTGTACAATTAAACTACATAATTTTCCTGAAAGAAATTAAGGACAGCATAAGTAAATGGAAACATATTCTATATTCACGAAATGGGAGACTTACTATTTTTAAGATGTCAGTATACCCAATGCCATCTACAGATTAAATGCATTTCCTACCAAAATTTCAATGGCATTTTTTGAAAAAGTAACAAAAATTCATTCTAAAATTTATATGAAATATTAAGGAACCCCAAATAACCTAACAATCTTGAAACAGAAGATCAAAGATGGAGGATTTACACATACTGATTTGGAAACTATACTACAAAGCTATAATAAAGCACTGTGGTATTGACATAATTATAGGCATACAGGCAAATGGAAGAGAATAAAGAATTCAGAAAACAGCTCCAGCATATGTAGTTGAATTTTTATAAAGATGCCAAGACCATTCATTGGGAAAAGGACAGTCTTTCCAACAGTGCTGGGAAAACTGAATTTCCACAACAAAACAATGAAGCTGAACCTTTACCTAACATTATATACAAAAATTAACTCAAAATGGATCAAAGACTTAAAGGCTTGGTGGAAGAAATTTCTAAGCAGCAAAGTATTCAGGAAGTAGCATGGCTGCTTCTAACAGCCTATGCTCAGATGTGGGAGCAAAAAAAGTAAGTTGGAAATTATATTTAAAGGGAAGCAGAGAGTAAAATTTGAAAAATTTGCAGCCTAGCCATGTGGCAGAGAAATAAAAAGCTTTTTCAGGAAAGGAGTTCAAACAGGCTCTAGAGAAACGACATTTTAGAGATATTTTCATAAATAAGAAGAAGCCAAGTGCTGATAGCCAAGACAATGGGATAAAGGACTTGAAAGGATTTTTGAAACCTTCACGTCAACTCCTGCCATGAAAGATTCAGAGGCCTAGAAGGGGAAAATGGTTTCATACACCAGACCCAGAGCCCTGCTGCCCTGTGCAGCCTCAAGAAACTGCTCTCCAAATCCCAGTTGCACTGTCTTCAGCATTGACTCAAAGGGCCCCAGATACAGACCCAGCTGCTGCTTTGGAGCATGAAAGCCATAAGCCTTGGCAGTTTCTATGTGGTGTTAAGCCTTTGGGTTTACAGAGTGCAAGAGTTGAGGCTTGGGAGTCTCTGCCTAGGTTTTACAGTATGTATGAAAAAGCCTGGGTGTCCAGGCAGAAATCTGCTGCAGGGAGCCCTCATGGAGAACCTTTACCAAAACAGTGCAGAGGGGAAATGTGGGGTTGAAGCTCCCACATAGAGTTCCCACTGGGGCACTGCCTAGTGGAGGTGTGGGAAGAGGGCCATCATCTTCCAAATCCGAGAATGGTGGATACACTCACAGCTCACACCCTTCACCTGGAAAAGCCACAGGTGCTCAACTCCAGCTCATAAGAGCAGCAGTGAGGGCTGAACCTTGCAAAGACACAGGGATAAAGTTGTCCAACGCCTTAGGAGCCCATCTTATTCACCAGTGTACCCTGGATGTGGAACATAGAGTCAAAGAAGATTATTTTGGAGCTTTAAGATTTAATGACTGTGCTGATGGGTTTTGAACACACATAGGGCCTGTAGCCCCTTTCTTTTTTCTAATTTCTCCCTTTTGGAACGGGAATATTTACCTAATGCTTATACTTCCATTATACCTTGGAAGTAACTAACTTATTTTTTATTTTACAAGCTCATAGGTAGAAGGAACTTGCCTTGTCTAAAATGCCACTTTGAATTTTTGATTTTAGAGTTAATGCTGAAATGGGTTAAGACTTTGAGGGGCTATTGGTAAAGCAATGCATTAGTCTATTCTCACACTGCTAATAAAGACATACCTGAGACTGGGTAATTTATAAAGAAAAGAGGCTTAATTGACTCACAGTTCAGCATGGCTGGGGAAGCCTCAGGAAACTTACAATTATGGTGGAAGTGGAAGCAAACATGTTCTTCTTCACATGCCAGCAGGAAGGAGAATGAGAACTGAGCAAAGTGGGAAGTCCCTTACAAAACCATCAGATCTTGTGAGAACTCATTCACTATCACAAGAACAGTATGAGGGAACATGATCCCATGATTCAATTATTTCCACCTCATCCCACACTTGATATGTGGGGATTATTACAATTCAAGATGAGATTTTGGGTGGGTACACAGCCAACTATATCAGTCAATGACTGTATTCTGAAATGTAAGGAGAACATGAGATTTGGGAGGGGCCAGGGGTGGTATGATATAGTCTGGATATTTGTCAATGGCCAAATCTCATGTTGGATTGTAATCCCTAATGTTGAAGGTGGGGCTGGATAGGAAATAATTGGATCATGGATGGGTGGATTTCTCATGAATGGTTTAGTACCATCTTCTTGGTGCTCTCATTGTGATAGTGAATAAGTTCTCACAAGATCTCATTGTTTAAAAGTGTGTGGTGTCTTCTCTCTCTTTCTCTCTCTGTGTGTGTGTGTGTATCTCTCTCTCTTGCTCCTGCCACATGGGACACCTGCTTCCCCTTTGTCTTCTTCCATGATTTTAAGTGTCCTGAGGCCTTCCTAGAAGCAGATGTCTGTGTTATGCTTCCTGTACAGCCTGTGGAACCATAAGCCAATTAATGCTCTTTTCTTTATAAAATACTGAGTCTCAGGTATTTCTTTATAGCAATGTGAGAACAGCCTAATACACTCAACATCACTAAACTTTATGGAAATGCAAATAAAAACTTCAATGAGATACTTTCTCACACCATTAGAATGACTATTACAAAAAAACAGAAAATAACAAATATTGGCAAAGATATAGAGAAATAGGACAATTTAGCACAGCTGGTGAGAATGTGATATGAGGCACCTGTTGTAGAAAGCAGTATTAAATTTCCTTAAAATTTAAAGATAGAGTTACCATATGACACAGCAATTCCACTTCAAATTATATAACCAAAAGAATTGAAAGTAGAATCCCAAAAAAACAAATGTGCATCCATGTTTACAGCAGCATTATTCACAATAACTAAAACACTGAAGCAATAAAGTGTCCATTGGTGCATGAATGGATAAACAAAATGTGTTATAGGCATATGATGGAATATCATTCAGCCTTTAAAAGGAAATTATTATTTCATTTTATTATTAAATTATTTTCTATTATTATTAAAATATTAATAACATGGATGAACCTTGAGGACATTAATGTTTAGTAACATAAGTAAGCCACAAAAAGGCACATATTGTACAACTCCACTTATGTGAGGTACTTAGAGTAGTCAAAATCATTGAAACAGAAGTAGAGTGGTGGTTCCCAGGAACTAGGGAAAGGAAGAAATGGAGTCATGTGGTTTGGCTGTGTCTCCACCCAAATCTCATCTTGAATTGTAGTTCCCATAATCTCCATATCCCATGGGAGGGACCCAGTAGGAGGTAATTGAATCACAGTGGAGGTCACCCTCATGCTGCTGTTCTCATGACAGTGAGTGAGTTCTCATGAGATCTGGTGGTTTTATAAGGAGATTTCTCCCTTTTGCCTGGCACTTCTTTTTTGCCTTCTACCATGTAAGATGTGCCTTTGCTCCTCCTTCACCTTCAGCCATGATTGTGTGGCCTCCCCAGCCATGTGGAATTGTGAATTCATTAAACCTCTTTTCCTTTATAAATTACCCAGTCTCAGGTATGACTTTATTAGCAGTGTGAGAACAGACTAATACAGTAAATTGGTGCCAGTAGATTGGGGTGCTGCTGTAAAGATACCCAAAAATGTGGAAGCAACTTTGAAACTGGGTAACAAGCAGAGGTTGGGACAGTTTGGAGGTCTCAGGAGAAGGTAGAAAAATGTGGAAAAGTTTGGAACTTCCTAAAGACTTGTTGAATGGCTTTGACCAAAATGCTGATAGTGATATGGACAATAATATCCAGGCTGAGATGGTCTCAGATGGAGATGAGGAACTTGTTGGGAACTGCAGTAAAGGTCACTTTTGGTATGCAAAGAGACTGATGGCATTTTTTCCTTGCTCTAGAGATCTGTGGAACTTTGAGCGTGAGAGAGATGATATAAGGTGTCTGGCAGAAAAAAAAAATTCTAAGCAGCAGGACATTCAAAAGAAAGCAAAAGTTTGAAAAATTTGCAACCTGACAATGCAACAAAAAATAAGAAACCATTTTTCTGGGGAGAAATTCAAGCCTGCTGCAGAAATTTGCATAAAATTTGCGTAAGTAACAAGGAGCCAAATGTTAGTCACCAAGACAATGGGGAAAATGTCTCCAGGGTATGTCAGAGAGCTCCATGGGAGCCCCCTCCATCACAGGCCTAGAGGCCTAGGAGGAAAAATGATTTTGTGGGCTGGGCCCAGGACCCCTCAGCTGTGTGGAGCCTAGGGATTTGGTGGCCTTGCATCCCAGCTGCTACTGTTGTGGCTAAAAGACACCAAGGTACAGCTCAGACCATAGCTTCAGAGGGTGCAAGCCCCAAGCCGTGGCAGCTTCCATGTGGTGTTGAGCCTGTAAGTGCACAGAAGTCAAGAACTGAGGCTTGGAAACTCTGCCTAGATTTCAGAGGATGTGTGGAAACAAGTAAATGTCCAGGCAAAAGTTTGCTAAAGGGTTGGAGACCTCATAGAGAACCTCTGCTAGGACAGTGTGAAAAAGAAATGTGGGGTTGGAGCCCCCACACAGAATCCCCACTGGGGCACTGCCTAGCGGATCTGTGAAAAGAGGCCACTGTCCTCCAGACCCCAGAATGGTAGATCCACCAACAGCTTTTACCAGGTGTCTGGAAAAGTGCAGACACTCAAGACCAGCCCATGAAAGCAGCCAGAAAGGAAGCTGCACCCTGCAAAGCCACAGGGGAGGAGCTGCCCAAAGCTGTGGGAGCCCACCACTTGCATCAGCACACTTTGGATGTGAGACATGAAGTCAAAGGAAATCATTTTGGAACTTTATGGTTTAATGACTGCCCTATTGGATTCTGGACTTGCATGAGGCCTGTAGTCCCTTCATTTTAGCCAATTTCTCCAATTTGGAATGAGTGTATTTACCCCATGCCTGTACCCCCATTGTGTCTAGGAAGTAACTAACTTGCTTTTGATTTTACATGCTCATAGGCAGAAGGGACTTTTCTTGACTCAGATGAGACTTTGGACTTGGACTTTTGAGTTAATGCTGGAATGAGTGAAGACTTTGGGGGACTGTTGGGAAGGCATGATGCTGTTGTGAAATGTGAGGACATAGGATTTTGGAGGGGCCAGTGGTGGAATGATATGATTTGGCTCTGTGTCCCCACCTAATTATCATCTTGAATTGTAGTGTCCATAATCTGCAAGTGTTGTGGGAGGCACATGGGAGGCACGATGTGATGTAATTAAATCATGGGAGAGGTTACCCCATGCTGCTGTTCTTGTGATAGTGAGTTCTCATGAGATCTGATGGTTTTATAAGGGGTTTTTCCTCCTTCTGCTCAGCACTTCTTTGTTGCCTGTTGCCATATAAGACATGCCTTTGCTCCTCCTTCACCTTAAGCCATGATTGTGAGGCCTCCCAAGCCATGGGAAACTGTGAGTTCTTTAAACCTTTTTTTCTTTATAAATTAATCAGTCTTGAGTATGTCTTTATTAGCAGCATGTGAACAGACTAATACATGAAGAGTTATTGTTCAATGGATATAGAGATTCATTTATACAAGATGAAAAGAGTTATGGAAACAAACGATGTTTGAAAGTTACACATTTGACAATGAGTTACTATCCAAAATGTATAGAAAACTCAAACAACTCAATAGCAAATAATAATAATGGTAATTTTTAAATGGGCAGACTTGAATAGACATTTCTCAAAAGAATACATAAAAATGTCCAACAAGTATATGAAAAAAATGCTAATTATCACTAATCTTCAGGAAAATGCAAATCAAAATCACAATAAGATGTTATCTTATTATATTAAAATGGTTGCTATTTAAAAAGTCAGAAATGACAAGTGCTGGCAAGGATACAGAAAACAGGAAACCCTTATACACTGAGGGTGGGAATGTAAATTAGTCTGTACAACCATTAGGGAAAATAGTTGAAAGGTTCCTCAAAAAATCAAAAATAGAACTATCATGTGATACAGCAATCCCACTACTGGGCATATAAACAAAGAAAATGAAATTAGTATGTTGAAGAGATAGCTACACTACCATGTTTATTGTAGACCTGTTCACAATAGCCAAGATATGGAATCAACTAAGTGTCCATCAATGGATAAATGGATAAAGAAAATGTGGCATATATACACAATGGAGTAGTATTCATCCATTAAAAAAAGGAAATCCTGTTATTTGCAGCAATACAGCTGAACCTGGAAGACATTATGTTAACTAAAATGAGCCAGGTACAGAAAGACAAATGCCATATAATCATTTCTGGAATCTAAAAAAATTGATCTCACAGAAGTGGATTGTAGAGTGGCTTCCAGAGGCTGGGGAAGGTGAGCTTGAAGGGAAGATGGGTAGAGTTTGGGCAAAGGATACATAAATACAGTTAGACAGGAGGAATACATTTTAAAGATCTATTGTACAGCAAGGCAACTATAGTAATGACAATTTACTGTATTCTTATATAATGCAATGAGAGAGAATGTTAAGTGTTCTCAGCACAGAAAGGATAACTGTGAGGGAATGCAACTGTTCATTAACTAAAATTACCCATTACACACGTACATATAGTACAAAACATCATGTACAAGACAAATGCCTGCGATCTACCTGTCAAATAAAAAAGTTTTAAAATTTTTTAAATTTAAGCAAAAAGAGGACATAGAAAAAGAACAAAATAAACCCAAGGTAAAATGAAATAAGATGATAAAAACATGAAAATTAATTTAATAAATAAATAAAAATTAAATAAACATACCTTAAAATAATTTAATAAAAATTACAACAAAAATAGGTCTTGAAAAGATTATTGAAATTTAACCTTCGGTAGGTATGATGAAGAGCAAATGGCAAAAGGACCACTTACAATAAAAATAAATACTTCCCAAAAATGACATAATTAATAATACAAATAAAATTTTAAAAATTGTAAGAATAGCATGGGAAGCTTTAAATCAATAAATTTGAAAATGTAGATTAAGGGGTTGTTTGTTTTTTTCTTGTAAATTTGTTGGAGTTCACTGTAGATTCTGGACATTAGCCCTTTGTCAGATGAGTAGATTGCAAAAATTTTCTCCCATTCTGTAGGTTGCCTGTTCACTCTGATGGTAGTTCCTTTTGCTGTGCAGAAGCACTTTAGTTTAATTAGATCCCATTTGTCAATTTTGGCTTTTGTTGCCATTGCTTTTGGTGTTTTAGACATGAAATCCTTGCCCATGCCTATGTCCTGAATGGTGTTGCTTAGGTTTTCTTCTAGGGTTTTTATGGTTTCAGGTCTAACATTTAAGTCTTTAATCCATCTTGAATTAATTTTTGTATAAGGTGTAAGGAAAGGATCCAGTTTCAGCTTTCTACATATGGCTAGCCAGTTTTCCCAGCACCATTTATTAAACAGGGAATCCTTTCCCCATTGCTTGTTTTTGTCAAGTTTGTCAAAGATCAGATAGTTGTAGATATGCAGTATTATTTCTGAGGGCTCTGTTCTGTTCCGTTGATCTATATCTCTGTTTTGGTACCAGTACCATGCTGTTTTGGTTACTGTAGCCTTGTAGTATAGTTTGAAGTCAGATAGTGTGATGCCTCCAGCGTTGTTCTTTTGGCTTAGGATTGACTTGGCGATGCGGGCTCTTTTTTGGTTCCATATGAACTTTAAAGTAGTTTTTTCCAATTCTGTGAAGAAAGTCATTGGTAGCTTCATGGGGATGGCATTGAATCTATAAATTACCTTGGGCTGTATGGCCATTTTCATGACATTGATTCTTCCTACCCATGAGCATGGAATGTTCTTCCATTTCTTTGTATCCTCTTCTATTTCATTGAGCAGTGGTTTGTAGTTCTCCTCGAAGAGGTCCTTCACATCCCTTGTAAGTTGGATTCCTAGGTATTTTATTCTCTTTAAAGCAATTGTGAATGGGAGTTCACTCATGATTTGGCTCTCTGTTTGTCTGTTATTGGTGTATAAGAATGCTTGTGATTTTTGTACATTGATTTTGTATCCTGAGACTTTGCTAAAGTTGCCTATCAGCTTAAGGAGATTTTGGGCTGAGATGATGGGGTTTTCTAGATATACAATCATGTCATCAACAAGTAGGCAAATGATATGAACAGACACTTCTCAAAAGAAGACATTTATGCAGCCAAAAGACACATGAAAAAATGCTCATCATCACTGGCCATCAGAGAAATGTAAATCAAAACCACAGTGAGATACCATCTCACACCAGTTAGAATGGCGACCATTAAAAAGTCAGGAAACAACAGGTGCTGGAGAGGATGTGGAGAAATAGGAACACTTTTACACTGTTGGTGGGACTGTAAACTAGTTCAACCATTGTGGAAGTCAGTGTGGTGATTCCTCAGGGATCTAGAACAAGAAATACCATTTGACCCAGCCATCCCATTACTGGGTATATACCCAAAGGATTATAAATCATGCTGCTATAAAGACACATGCACACGTATGTTTATTGTGGCACTATTCACAATAGCAAAGACTTGGAACCAACCCAAATGTCCAACAATGATAGTCTGGATTAAGAAAATGTGGCACATATACACCATGGAATACTATGCAGCCATAAAAAGGATGAGTTCATGTCCTTTGTAGGGACATGGATGAAGCTGGAAACCATCATTCTCAGAAAACTATCACAAGGACAAAAAACCAAACACCGCATGTTCTCACTCATAGGTGGGAATTGAACAATGAGAACACATGGACACAGGAAGGAGAACATCACACACCAGTGCCTGTTGTGGGGTAGGGGGAGGGGGGAGGGATAGTATTAGGAGATATTCCTAATGCTAAATGATGAGTTACTGGGTGCAGCACACCAACATGGCACATGTGTACATATGTAACAAACCTGCACATTGTGCACATGTACCCTAAAACTTAAAGTATAATAAAAAAAAGAAAATATAGATGAAATGTACAATTTATTTAAAATATAAATTTACTACATTGACCTGAGAATAATTAGAAAATGAACACGCCAATAAGCCGAAACAAATAAAAATAATAGTTAAAACATACTTTGCATACCCACTCAAGAGAAAGACATGAGAACAGATGGTTTTTCAGGCTAGTTTATCAAACCTTTCAAGAGAAAGATATGCAAATTATTTCAGGTTTCACAAAAAGAGAATAATCTCCCTAACTCAAATCATAGGGACACTAGCCTCAAAAAACCTTATATTTTACCAGAAATAGGCAGTTAAAAATAAGAAATTAAATCCTATGTCACTTATAGATTGGAGCAAATATTCTAAATAAAATTTTAACTAAAGTAATCTATAGTTAAATTAAGCATGTCCAAATGTGTTTAAGCTAGAAAGACAAGGGTGACTCAACATTTAAAAATATAGTAACATAATTTACTATGTCAAAAATTAAAGAATAAAACACGCGATTATCTCAAAGGATGAAGAAACATAAAAATATTATAGACTCAACACACAATTGATTTTAAACATTTTTACCAAACAGAGACTAGAAAGGGATTTTCTTTACCTGTGAGTAGCTATCAGAAATCTAGGCCAAATATCATACTTCATGACAAAACATTTTAAGCATTCCAACTAAAGTCAGAAAAAGACAAAAATATATATATACATGGGTAAAAAAAGACAGTATAATTTTTTTGCTACTCTTTTCTTCTATTTGATTAAAAATACAACTGCATAAAGAAATAACTACAAAGATGTGTTGATAAATTTGTATAAAGATGTTATATGTATGACAATAATTGTGCAAAGAAAGATGAGAGAATGGAGTCATATTTGAGCAGTTTTTGTACACTAAGCAAATTAATAGGAATAGGAATAAGAAATAGATTATTGTAAGGTAAAAAGTTAATTATAATCCTTGGAGCAACCACTAAGAAAATATTTAAATATTTAAATGTAGTAAAAAAGTTACTTAAAATGTGAAACTAGAAAATATCTTTTTAAATGTAAAAAAGGCAATAATGGAAGACTAGAGGAGCAAAAAGGCATGACATACAGAAAACAAATGATAAAATGGTAAATGTAAATTCTACCTGTTCAGTAACTATATTAAAGAGAAATAAGTTAAATCATCCAATTAATAGGCAGAGATTGACAGAATAGATTTAAAAATATGACTCAACTGTATGTCTGTCTACAAGAGACAGACTCCAGATTCAAAGACATAAACAGGTTATAAGTAAAAGGGTGGAATAAAATATGTCATGTAAACAGTCACTTAAAAAGATCTGTGGCTATGTATTAATATCAGACAAAATAGATTTCAAGGCCAAAATGTTATAAGAGAAAAGAAAGATACTTTATAGTTGTAAAAGTTCAATTCATCAGGAAGACTTAACGCTTGTAAATTAAATATGCACCTAAAAATAGAGCATCAAAATACATGAAACAAAAACTGACAGATTTGGGCTGGGCGGGATGGCTCATGCCTGTAATCCCAGCACTTTGGGAGGCTGAGGCGGGCAGATCACTTGAGGCCAGGAGTTCAAGACCAGCGTGGCCAACATGGCGAAACCCCGTCTCTACCAAAAATACAAAAATTAACTGGGGGTGGTGGCATGCACTTGTAATCCCAGCTACTCAGGAGGCTGAGGCAGGAGAAGCACTTGGACTCAGGAGACGGAGGCTGCAGTGAGCTGAGATTGCACCACTGCACTCCAGCCTAGGTGACAGAGATTCTTCCACAAAAAAAAAAAAAAAAAAAAAAAAAAAAAAAAAAAAAAAAGACAAACGCTTATCTAGACTAACCAAGAAGAAAAGAGAGAAGATGCAAATCACTAAAACAAGGAATTAAAGAGAGTACATCTTAAGTTTCCTGTGTGGTTACTAAAAACAAATAAGTAAATAAATACTAAAAAGTGGACATCATCTTTAAAAAATACAAACTATAGAAATACATTTAAGAAGGAATAGAAAATCTGAATAGTCCTCTAACAAGTAAAGACATTGCATCAGTAATGAATAAGCTTCTCATAAAGATAGGTCAGGCCCAGATGGCTTCACTTGCAAAGTGTAGCAACATTAAATAATTCATATCAATCCTTCATACACTCTTCCAAAAAAAAAGAGAAAATACTTCCCAACCCATCCTATGAGGCCATTATTATTTCTTGATACCAAAACCAATGACATCACAAAAAAAAAACTGTAGATCCATATTTTTTCAGAATATAGATATAAAAACTTCAATAAAATACTAGCAAACTGAACCCAGTAACAATTCCATATTTAGGCATATATCCAAAAGAAATAAAAACATACTTCCACACAGAAACTTGCAGACAAATGTTCATAGCACCATTATATTTGTAATAGCCAAAAAATGTAAACAACACAATTTTCTGACAACTGATTAATGGATAAGCAAATGTGACATATGAAAAATTATTCTGCAATAAAAAGGAATGAAATATTGATTCATGCTGCAACATGGATGAACCTTGAAAATATTATGCTAAGTGAAATAAATTAGTCACAAAGAACCATGTGTGTTATGATTCCATTTATATGAAATGTCCAGACAGGCAAATCTACAGAAACAGAAAATAGTTTAGTGTTTGTCAATGGCTGAAGGCAGGAGAGAAATGGAGGATGGCTGCTAATGGATACAGGGTGTTTTGGAGGTGGTGAAAATGTTCCGAAATTAGATAGTAGTAATAGTTATAGAACTTTGTGAATGTACTAAAAACCACTAAATTTTGCACTTTAAAAAGTTAAATGTTATGTTAGGTGAATTACAACTCAATAAGGCTATTATTTTAAAATATCCCATTTAAATAACAACAGAACACCTGAGCATCTTATGAAAACATAACAAAAATACACAATATCATTATGTAAAATATTATGTAACTTTAATGAAGGAGATAAATGAAGAGACATATCCATTGATGGCTTCTCTTTAAAGTAGACAAAGATGTCAACTCTTTCTGAATCAATCTACAAATTCAGTGCAACCCTAAAAAATAAACCATGTGAGATGTTGCATGAATACTAACTCTAAAATTAGTTCAGAAGTGTAAACTCATTCCTTTAACAAGTATTTACTGAGTACTTATACTATGTCAAGCATTATTAAAGTTGTTAAGAGTATAATAATTGAAATAATAAGCTTTCATGGAACTTATATTTAGTAATGCACTAAAATAGACAAGACTTTTAGAAAAAAATTACAATGAGTTTCTTGATCTAGCAGATATCAAGATATATATAATCAATCAATATTCATTAAAGAAGCATAAAACTGGCACAAAAATAGCCAAAATAGATTTATACAACAGAATGTAACTCAAAAACAGATGTGTACACATACACTAATTTGGCATATGAGAAAGAGAAAAGGAATATGATTAAATAGACACTGCTTTGATAAGTGCGAACATGAATCTCTCTTTGAATAGATTTTTTTAAATGAACTTTTTGGCTCTGAACTCCAGTGTGCTTAGAACATGCAACTATAAAAAAAAAAAATCCATCCAGTTGTTTATCTCCCTGCTCGACATCAGCAGTCCGAAGAAAGGGTCTCAACTGATTATCAGCTGATGCTATGAAGCAAAACGTAGACTCTAGTTTGCTGGTTGGGGTCAAGGAACAAGAGAAAATCAGCAGGAAAACAAGTTTTGGAAAGCCCAGCTCTCACTCATATACTGAGCACTAATGGGTAAGAAATCCCTCTTAGAATCTCCTGACCCAAATCCCATTTCTTCCCCATCTTCCACTCAGGCATTCTTCTTTCTGATGCTTCTTTTAACAGGCCAAGAAATGCTCAAAGACAATAGAGGTCTGTGACCTTCTTATTAGTTTTGTTTGCTCACAACTCCCAAGAAGTGATGCTTCCTCATCCCCACTTCAAGTTTTTTGCATTTTGTTTTTCTTTTCTTTTTTTTTATTCTAAAACTGAGTGTGGTCAGTGTAAAGAGTGGGAGCATTAGTAAATACAGCTCATAGCAAGCAATACACTTAAACACTAGTCTAAGTGTGCTCAAAGAGTAGTGGGAAGATCTCTTCCAGGGGGTCTATGAGATCAAACTGTTTTCATGATAATACTGATATTATTTACCTTTTTCATTCATTCTCTCATGAGACAGGAGTTTTCCAGAGGCTACATAATATGTGATATGGCAACAGATTGGATATAGAAGCGCACATAATAATCCAGCTGTCTTCTATTAAACCAGACATTAAAGAGAATTGCAAAAATGTAAAGTAGTGCCACTCTTCTAAATATTTTGTTGTTTTGGTTATTTTTCATAAAAATGTTATTTATGTTAACACATAATAGGTTCATTGTTATTTTCAAATAAATTAACAGTTTTAAAATTATCCATTTTAATTTCTACTACAGTAAAATAACATGGACAAAAGTTCATAGGGTCCCCAATAATTTTTAAGAGTTGAAAGAGTTCCCATGATCAAAATGTTGGTAGCCTTGAAGGTCTCCAACCTACTAAGAGCCAGCCGTGGCAGAGTAGCACAAACAGGTAATAAAGCCCTCAATAGACATCGCTTGGAAAACTGAGGGAATAAAATGATTAATATACTAGATTGTGGAGAATAATAGTTTAAATTAGATAATGTGTATAAAATTTCTAGCAAAGCTCTTAATGCATAGACAATAATTAATGCATAAGTGCTTTCTTCTCTGACTTTGGAATAAGAACCACCAGGCTCAGGGAGAGAGGTGGAAAAAGATGGCAGAATAGGAAGCTGCACCAATCATCCCCATAGCAAGGACAGCAAGTTAACAACTACCTTCACAGGAAAACAACACCAAAAATAAGGTGAGCACTCATAACACCTGGTTTCAACTTCATATTGCTGAAAAAAGCACTGAAGAGATAGAAAAACAGCCCTGAATCACGTATGCCACCCCTCCCCAACCCTCGCAAGCATCTCTACGTGCTGGAGGAAGAACACAATTGTGAGGCATTGGACTCAGTGCTGTTCTGTTAGAGCAGAAGGGAAAACCAACAAACTCAGCTGACACCCATACACAGAGGGAGCATTTAAACTAGCCCTAGCCAGTAGGGAATTGCCAGTCCCAGTAGTCCGAACTATGAGTGCCTGCAAACCTCACCACCAAGGGCCAAAGTGCTCTCAGTCACTAAGTAAACTTGAAAGGCAGTCTAGATCATAAGGACTGCAACATTTAGGTGAGTCCCAGGGCTGAACTAGGCCCAGAGATAGTGGACTTGTTGTGAGGGTTGGGCATGGAATAGACTGAGAGACTAGCTAAGGAAGCCAAAGGAGTGCTGGCATCATCCCTCCCCTAACCCAAGGCTGCACAGTTCATGGCTCCAAAAGACACTCCTTTCTTCCACTTAAGGAGAAGGGAGGAAAGAGTGAGGAGGACTTTGTCTCGCTTCTTGGACACCAGCTCAGCCACGGCAGGTTAGGGCACCAGTCAGTCAGGAGGCCCCTGTTTCAGACCCTAGCCCCCAGCCAACATTTCTAGACACACCCTGGTCCAGAAGGGAACCTGTTGCCTTAACGAAAAGGACCCTGTCCTGCCAGCATCCATTGACTGCTAAATAAAGAGCCCTTGGGCCCTGAATAACCAGCAGTGATACCCACGTACTACACTGAGGGCCTTAGAGAGCCTCTGAGACTTGCTGGCTTGAGGTAAAACTCAGCATGTTACTAGCTGTGGTGGCTATGGGGCAAAACTCATTCTGCTTGAGAAAAGCAGAGGGAAAAGTAAAGGGGACTTTTTCTTGCACCTTAGGTAAGAACACTGCCACAAAGGGTAAAGCACCAAGTGGAATCTTGGGGGTCCTTGATTCCAGAACTGGACTTTTGGATGGCATTTCTGGACCTGCCCTGGGCCAGAGGGGAGCCCACTACCCTGAAGGGTGAGTCCCAGGCTAGACAACATTCACCACAAGCTAACTTAAGAGATCTTAGGCCTTAAAGGAATATTGATGGTAGTCTGGCAGTACTCCTCATGGCCATGGGCGGTGGGGGCTATGGGGGTGAGATTCTTCTGCCTTTGGAAAAAGAAAGGAAGAGTGGGAAGAACTATGTCTTGTGGTTTCCGTGCCAGCTCAGCTGCAATATAATAGAATACCAGATAGTCTCCTAAGGTTTTTGACTCTAGTCCCTGACTCCTGGATGGCACTTCTGGACCCACCTGGGGCTTGAGGGACCTTGCCACCCTAAAGCAAAGGACACAGGCCTGGCTGTCTTTGCTGCCTGGTGATTATAGAGCCCCAGGGCCTTGAGTGAACATAGGCAGTAGCCAGGGACTGGCTACAGCAGGCCTTGGGCAAGCCCCAGCACTATCCTGGCTTCAAGTCTGTGCAGTCATAGTGATGGTGGCCACAGGAGTGCTTGTGTCACTACACCCCCAGCTGTAGGTGGCTCAGAAAAGAGAAAGAGACTCTGTATGTTTGGGAGAAAGTAAGGGAAGAGAATAAGAATCTCTGCCTGGTAATACAGAGAATTCTGGTAATCTTACCCAAGACCATCAAGGCAATACCATAGCAACAGTCTGCAAGAACGGCAGCATTATTGGGCTTAGGGTGACCCCTAAAGCAGAAACAGCTTAAATCACAACACCCAAGTCCTTTCAAATATCTGGAAAGCCTTCTCAAGGATGGCTGCAAATAAGCCAAGACAGTGAAGATTACAATACATACATTACTCTTTGATTCCCAGACACTGAAGAATATCTACTAGCATCAACCATCAACATTGTCCAGGAAAACATGACCTTACCAAATTAACTAAATAAGGCACTAGGGACCAATCCTGAAAAAACAGAGATATGTGACCTTTCAGAAAGGGAATTCAAAATAGATGTGTTGAGGAAACTCAAGGAAATTCAAGATAATACAGGGAAGGAATTCAGAATTCAATCAGATATATTTAACAAAGAGATTGAAATAATTTTAAGAAATCAAGCAGAAATTCCAGTGCTGAAAAATGCAATTGGTATACTGAGGAATGCATAAGAGTCCTTCAATAGCAGAATGGATCAAGAAGAAGAGAGAATTAGTGAGCTTGAAGAAAAGCTATTTGAAAATATACTGTCAGAGGAGACAAAAGAAAAAAGAATAAAAAACAATAAAGTATGCCTACAGAATCTAGAAAATAGTCTCAAAAAGGCTATTTTAGAGAATTATTATTGAGAAATGGTAAGAATTACTGGCCTTAAAGAGGAGGTAAAGAAAGAGGTAGGGGTAGAATGTTTATTCAAAAGGATTATAACAGAGAACTTCCCAAACCTAGAGAAAGATATCAATAGCAAGTGCAAGAGGGTCATAGAGCATGAAGCAGATTTAACCCAAAGACTACCTCGAGGCATTTAATAATCAAACTTCCAAAGATCAGTAATAAAGAAAAGATACTAAAAGCAGTCAGAGAAAAAAAACAAATAACATACAATTAAGCTTCACTACATCTGGCAGTGGACTTCTCAGTGGAAACATTACAGGCCAGGAGAGAATAACATGACATATTTTAAATGTTGAAGAAAAAAAAAACTGTTAAGTCTAGAATAGTATATCCAGCAAAAATATCCTTGAAATATGAAGGTAAAATGAAGACTTTTCCAGACAAGCCAAAGCTGAGAGGTTTTATTAATACCAGGTCTGTCCTGTAAGAAATTCTGGCCAGGCGCGATGGCTCATGCCTGTAATCCCAGCACTTTGGGAGGCTGAGGCGGGCAGATCACAAGGTCAGGAGATTGAGACCATCCTGGCTAACACGGTGAAACCCGTCTCTACTAAAAAATACAAAAAATTAGCCGGGCATCGTGGTGGGCACCTGTAGTCCCAGCTACTCAGGAGGCTGAGGCAGGAGAATGGTGTGAACCTGGGAGGTGGAGCTTGCAGTGAGCAGAGATCATGCCACTGCACTCCAGCCTGGGCGATAGAGCGAGATTCTGTCTCAAAAAAAAAAAAAAAAAAAAAAAAGAAAGAAATGCTGAAGGGAGTATTTCAATCAGAAAGAAAATAACATTAATGAGCAATAAATAATCACCTGAAAATAGAAAATTTACTGGTAATAGCAAGTAAACACAAAAACACAGAACATTGTAACACTGTAACTGTTGTGTGTAAGTAAACTAATCTTATACTAAATAGAAGGACTAAATGATGAACCAATAAAAAGTAATAACTACAACAACTTTTCAAGACATAATCAGTACAATAAGATATAAATAGAAACAATGAAAAGTTAAAAAGTGGGAGGACAAAGTTAAGGCAAGTTTTTGTTAGTTTTCTTTTTGCTTGTTTGTTTGTTTATGCAAATAGTGTTAAGTTGTTATCAAGTTAAAATAATGGATTATAAGATAGCATTTGTAAGCCTCATGTAACCTCAAACCAAAAAATATGCAATAGATACACAAAAAATAAAAAAGGAAGAAACTAAATTGTATCAACAGAAAAAATCATCTTTACTAAAGAAAGATAGTAATGAAAGAAAGAAGGAAGAGAAGATCACAAGACAACCTGGAAACAACAAAATGGCAAGAGTAAGTGTGCACATGTACCCTAAAACTTAAAGTATAATAATAATTAAAAAAAAGAGTAAGTTCTTACTTATCAACAATAACATTGAATGCGAATGGACTAAACTCTCCAGTGAAAATACATTGACTGACTGAACGGATGAAAAAACAAGATCCATTGATCTTTGCCTACAAAAAACACTTCACCTATAGACACACATAGAATGAAAATAAAGGGATGAAAAAAGATATTCCATCCCAATGGAAAACTAAAAAGAGCAGGAGTCACTATAGTTATATAAGACAAAATAAATTTCAAGATGAAAACTATAAGAAAAGACAAAGAGTGTCACTATATAATGATAAAGTGGTCACTTCAGCAAGGGGATATAACAATTTTCAATATAAATATTTTATAAAATTTAAATATATATTTATTACATAAAATTTAAATATAAAGTACCCAATATATAAAAGATATATAAAGAAAATACTATTAGAGCTAAAGAAAAACATAGGCCCCAATACAATAAGAGCTGGAGACTTCAGTACCCCACTTGCAGCATTGGACAGATCTTCCAGACAGAAAATCCATAAAGAAACCTCAGACTTATTCTGCACTATAGACCAAATAGACCTAATAGATATTTACAGAACATTTCATACAAGAGCTGCAGAATACACATCCTTTTCCTCAGCACATGGATCATTCTGAAGGATAGACTATATATTAGGTGACAAAACAAGTCTTAAAACATTCAAAAAATTTAAATAATATCAAGCATCTTCTCTGGCCAAAAGGGGATGAAACTAGAAATGAATAATCAGAAATTTTGGAAAATATACAAATACATAAAAGTTAAACAATATGTTCCTGAATGACCAGTGGGTCAATGAAATATTGAAAACTTCTTGAAACAAAGAATAATGGAACCACAACATACCAAAACCTATGGGATATAGCAAAAGCAGTACTAAGAGGGAATTTTTCAGCTATAAGTGCCTGCACCAAAAAAAAAAGAGAAAAAACTTCAAAAAACAATCTAACAATGCATCTTATAGAACTAGAATAGCAAGAGCAAACCAAACCCCAAAGTAGTAGAAGATAAATAATAAAGATTAGAGCAGAAATAAATAAGATTAAAATTTGCAAAACACAAAAGATCAATGTAATAAAAGTTGGGTTTTTGAAAAGTTAAACAAAATTGACAAACCGTTAGCCAGACTAACAAAGAAAAAAATAGAGAAGCTCTAAATAAATAAAATCAGAAATGAAGAAGGTGGCATTGCAACTGATACTGCAGAAATTCAAAGGATGATTAGTGGCTACTATGAGCAAGTATATGCCAATAAATTGGAAAACCTAGAAGAAATGAACAAATACTTAGGTAGATACAACCTACCAAGATTGAACCAAGAAGAAATAAAAAACCTGAGCAGATAAATAACAAGTAATGAGATTGAAGCCATAACAAAAAGTTTCCAGGAAAGAAAACCCAGGACCTGATGGCTTCACTGCTGAATTCTACCAAACATTTAAAAAACTAATACCAATCATACTCAAATTATTCCAAAACATAGAAGAGGAAGGAATACGTCAAACTCATTCTACAAGGCCAGCATTATCCTGATACCAAAACCAGACAAAGACACATCAAAAAAAGAAAACTACAAGCCAATATTTTTTATGAATATTGATGCATAAATCCTCAACAAAATACTAGCAAACAGAATCCAACAATACATTGGAAAGATCATTTATCATGACCAAGTGGGATTTAATCCTGGGATGCAGGAATGGTTCAACATTTGCAAATCAATCAATGTGATACATTACATCAAAAGAATATAGGACAAAACCATATGATCATTTTAACTGATGCTTAAAAAAGCATTTGATAAAATCCAACATCCCTTCATGATAAAACCCCTAAAAATCAGGGGATAGAAGGACCATACCAAAATGAAATACAAGCCATATATGACAGACCTACAGCTAGTACCATACTGAATGATACTAGCTGAATGGGGAAAAACTGAAAGCCTTTCCTGTAAGATCTGCAACACAACAAGAATGCCCACTTTCATCACTGTTATTCAGTATAGTACTAGAAGTCCTAGCTAGAGCAATCAGACAAGAGAAAGAAATAAAGGGCATCCAAATTGGAAAGGAAAAAGCCAAAGTATCCCTCTTTGCAGATGCTATGATCTTATATTTGGGGAAACCTAAAGACTTCACAAGACAACTATTAGAACTAATAAACAAATTCAGTAAACTTGCAGGATAAAAAATGAACACACAAAAATCAGTAGCATTTCTATATGCCAACAGTCAAAGATGTGAAAAACAAATTTTTTAAAAAAAATCCCATTTACAATAGCCACACATAAAATGAATTATCTAGGAATGAACTTAACCAAAGAAGTGAAAGATCTCTATAATGAAAACTATAAAACACTCATGAAAGTAATTGAAGAGGACACCAAAAAAAGGAAAAAGATTCCATGTTTATGGGTGGAAGAATCAATATTGTTAAACTATTTATAGTACCCAAAGCTGTCTACAGATTCAATGCAATCCCTATAAAAATACCAATGATATTCTCCACAGAAATAGAAAAACCAATCATAAAATTTATATGGAATCACAAAAGACTCAGAATAGCCAAAGCTAGCCTAAGCAAAAAGAACAAAACTGGAAGAATCACATTACCTGACTTCAAATTATACCACAGAGCTACAGTAACCAAAACAGCATACTAGTGTCATAAAAACAAACACATAGACGAATTGAACAGAATAGAGAACCCACAAACAAATCCACACACCTACAATGAACTCATTTTAAACAAAGGTACCTAGAACACAAACTAGGGGAAAAGACTCTCTTCAATAAATGGTGCTGGGAAAACTGGGTATACATATGCACAAGGATTAAACTAGACCCCTATCTCTCACCATGCACAAAAATCAAATCAAAATGGATTAAAGACTTAAATCTAGGGCCTCAAACCATGAAACTGCTACAAGAAAACATTGGGGAAAATCTCTAGGACATTATTAACCTGGGCAAAAATTTCTTGAGCAATAACCCACAAACACAGGCAACCAAATCAAAAGTGGACAAATGGGATCACATCAAGTTAAAAAGCTTCTTCATAGTAAAGTATACATTCGACAAAGTGAAGAGACAACCCACAGAATGGAAGACAATATTCTCAAACGATCCACGTGACAAGGGATTAATAAACCAAATGTGTAAGGAGCACAAACAACTCTATATGAAAACAATCTAATAATCTGATCAAAAATAGGCAAAAGATTTGAATAGACATTTCTCAAAAGAAGACATACAAATAGCATGCAGGCATATGAAAATGTGCTCAACGTCATTGATCATCAGAGAAATGCAAATCAAAACTACAGTGAGATATCATCTCACCCCAGTTAAATGGTTTATATCCAAAAGACAAGACAATAGCAAATGCTGGCATGGATGTGGAGAAAAGGGAACACTTGCACACAGCTGGTGTGAATGTAAATTAGCACAACCATTATGGAGAACTTTTTGGAGGTTCCTCAAAAAACTAATAATTAATCTACCATATGATCCAGCAATCCAACTGCTGGATATATACACAAAAGAAAGGAAATCAGTATACTGAAGAGATTGTACTCCTATGTTTGTGGCAGCACTGTTTGCAATAGCTAAGATTTGGAAGCAACCTAAGTGTCCATCGATAGATGAATGGATAAAGAAAATGTGGTACATATACACAATGTAGTAATGTTCAGCCATAAAAAAAGAATGCAATCCAGTCGTTTGCAACAACATGAATGGAACTGGAGATCATTACATTAAATGAAATAAGCCAGGCACAGGAAGACAAACATTGCATGTTCTCACTTACTTGTGGGATCTAAAAATCAAAACAATTGAACTCATGGGCATAGAGAGCAACCAGAGGCTGAAAAGTATAGCTGGCGGCTTGAGGGGGAGGTGGGGATTGTAAATGGGTATCAAAAAATATAGAAAAAATAAATAAGGCCTACTATTTGATAGCACAACAGGATGACTATAGTCAAAAATAACTGTACCTTTTGAAATAACTTGAACAGTCTCTTGAAAAGGCCTGAGTTGGAGAAACTGGAGGTGTTTCAGCCAGCAATAGAATTTAATGTCTTCCACCTTTTAGACAATCCAGGAATGAATATAGACTCCGGGAAAGGAACTAGGCACCTATTGTTTCCAGTATCCTTTTTCACACCCATCATCAGAATTGCAGCATAGGATTCTGCAGGTTGTGCAGTGCGCGACAGTGCCACATTTGTAAATGATACAGGAGTATCATTTACAGCTCAAACATCATAGGTTTGTGATAATTTATTACGAGAGGGCAGTAAAATTATTATGGCAGTTTTCAACAGAAATGTCTAGAGAAGATGCTTTTTTCCCCTAAAATGGGTAGACACGCTTCATAGAACAGTGACAGCCTTGCCTGTACTATCCAATGAAGACCATGATTTTTCTCAAGAGGTGTCGGCTTCATGTTACTCCATTCATTACAAAGAGCAAGTGACAATGATAAGAGAACTAGATCCAAATCCTATCACTACAACTGTCTAGTTTCGTGTGCCTGGGCAGATAAATTCTATCTATATGTGCTTTAGTATTTTCAGGTCTAAGATAGGGATGATAACATAATTGTTTCCCAGCCTACTCTATAGGGTTCATTAAGGATCAGGTGAAATCCTATATGTGAAACTTCCTTATAAACTATAAAGCGATGTACAAACATATAGAACTTTGTTTTCAGTGTGATAAACGGTAATTCCCCGTTTTTATACCCCATGATAATGGTGGTGCAAGACATGAGGTAGCACTATCGAGGAGAAACTGCATATACTCATGGCTCACCATGGGCTCCATAGGGTGAGGGTGATGCCTACACCAGTGAAAGAGGAACCAGTAAACTTATACCAAAGTTTGTGAACAAATAAAGACATGAGGAAAAAAGGTGGATCTAAGGGGGAAATTGTATAAGGAACAACTAAATTAACACTTTCCATTTTCACCTCTGAAGGTTCCCTAGCCTCAAAATAGAATAACACATCTGAAGCTTTTTACAAGGCATCCAACATGAATCTTCCATTTTTGTGTTATTCGGCAGGACCTGTGATGACATTCCAGGAGCAGGCCCCATAGGAGGCTCCCTGGACTGTGGAGAATCACAATATTCCTGACTGCCAAAACTTTGGAGAAGTAAGCACATGAAGGGAGGCCATCACAATCTTGATACACTGGGGGTTGAAGAGTTTCCTCTTCATGGCTCTGCACAGAGCATCTTTGAGCTCCTTGTTCCTCAAGATCTACATGACAGAGTTCAGCAGGGGAGTGATAATGGTGTAGGTCACTGAGATGAGTCTGTTCTGCCCCAGGAAACTCTGGGACTTAAGCTTCAGGTAGATGATGGAAATATAGCCATAGTGGCTGATGACCACTATGAGATGGGAGGTGCAGGTGGCACAGGCCTTCTTCCTACCCTCAGTTGAAGCAATCTTAAGGATGGTGTAGATGATGAGGTCATAGGAGATAAAGATCAGGGCAATATGTAGGACAAGGACACAGACACTGACAACAAAGTTGATTATCTCATTGACAGTGGTGTCTGTGCAGGCCAGCTTCAGCAGGGGTCTCACATCACAGAAGAAGTGGGAGATGACAAAGTCATCACAAAAGGGCAGGCCAAACATAGATGTTACTTGGACAATAGCCATGCCCAGGCCAATCCTCAGTGACCCAGATCCCAGCCAGACACAAGCCCTCTTACCTATGAATACCGTAAGGGGTTGCAGAAGACCACATAGCAATCATATCCCATGGCTATGAGAAGAAAGCAGTTGTTGATGCCAAAAGTCACATAGAAGAGCTGAGTGACACAGCCTTGCATGACAATAAGCTAGTGAGGATTCAAGAGGCGAGAAAGCATATGGGGAGTAATGGCCACCATGTAGCAGGTCTCAGAGATAGACAGCAATGCTCAGGAAGAAGTACATGGGGGTGTGGAGGTGAATGTCCAGGCGAGTAATGGTCACAATAATCACATTGCCAGAGACAGTCAGCAGGTACAAAGTTAGAAAGACAACAAAGAAGACAAATCTGTGCTGTCACCTGAAGCTGGAGAAACCTTCAAAGAAGAGCTCAGTCACAGCAGTGGACTTTGACCTTGGCACTGAAGAATGTCTAAATCTGAAGGAAATGGACAACGGAAAGACAGAGGTGAGGCTCCAACTATGTAACAGATTACACAGTTGTCTGAGCAGCATCAGTTTTTTGGATTCCTTAGATAATGTTCCAGGCACAGGGGTTATCTTTGTTCCTCTACTGATCAAGAGCTCAGCACTCTTGGGAATAAACTAAGAGACATCTAATGACCTACTGGATTAAGGGCAGAGATCAAAGGGAAGGAAATTTCAACATAATGTGAACAACAAAATTAAGAAAACAGCTACCCTACTTGACCATTAAAGAGGTGGGTCCAGGTCAGAGAGGAAGAAAATGTTGAATGGGCCAGGCACTTCAGCTTCCTCTATGCTTACCCTTAATCTGAGCCTTTGATGACACAATGAGGAGGCAGAGATAGTGAATGTTGATAAATATCTGGGTTTAATCCATTCATTTCCATCAGTATGAATTGCCAGCAAAGACTGCCCTGGGAGGATCCCAGATCAAGCATTCTTCCCAAATATTTGGAGTCCTGGGCATTACTTTCCTTAGCTCTGCTCCTTTAGATGACTAGTGCAAGGCCAGGCTGTGGGCGAGCCACCCAAACTACAATAGTGGCCATGTTTTCGGAAATAGAGGTCAATGTTTTGGTCTTTTTTTCCAGTTGTTACCATAACAAACATTTCTGCAATAGAAAACTTTGTCAGGATGTCATTTCACACATAAGTGAATAACAGGTAGTGAAAAAATGCAGAGTCAAAAGTTATGAGCATCTTCAACTTTGATAGAGTGCCATGTTTTTCTCTATAAAATTTTTACCAAGTGATCTCTCACAAAGAATGTATCAAAATGCAATTTTCCATTGTTATGGCTCAAAGAAGAAATAGAGTGTAATGGGAAGCAGTATGTACTCTGAAGCCACACTGCCCAGAATTTAATTTTGGTTCCACCAGGTCATAACTATGTAACTGTGGGCAAGTTATTTAACTTGTCTGTGTCTCAATTGCTTTATCTCTAAAATGAGCTTAATGATAGCAACTTCTTTACAGAGTCATTGTGAGGATTAAATCCATTAATATCTCAAAGTGCTTAGAAAAGTCTCTGGCACCTAGTGAATGCTATATGGTACTCTAAGTGTACATAAAATCTGAAACATTCCATCAGCAGAGATATTAAAGGAGATGTGTTTAACCAGGAAGAATTCCAATGATGATTTTAGAAAGAATTGGAAGCTAAAGACAAAGGACAGTAATTACAGAAACTGTGCATGAATACAATCAATTTTATAACTTATTCAATGTGGTTATGTAGTTAATTCTTATATTTCTCTATGAAATCAGTGATAAAATTCACAACTGATCTTAAAGGGAGAAGAATCCCAAAGAAGAGCATTACTTAATTTATTTATTCATCAAATATTTCTTATTCCCATACTATGTGTCAAGGTCTATGAATTCAATAGCTAGTACATTTTAGTTTCTTGTTAATTATTTACTGAGTGAATAAAGCATGGGAAAGAGTCCCTGATGTTAAATAACTCACAACATCAATAGAAAAGAAAGGTAAATGGGAGTAACAATGTAGAGAGTAAGGGGTGCTATGATAGAGCTTAGTGTAGGATGATATGGAAACATGAAGAAGGGTTCCTAACTCAGTCTTAGGGTCAAAGAATACTATAAAGGAGGTATTGTCCAAGATAGTAAAGGAAAAGTGAATAAGGCTTATGTTGCAGGCAGCATCAAGTATGAGGGCCCAGCATTTCTAAGATCCAGATGAAGCAGCATGAGAATCTCTGTAGCTCAGTGGTTACATATGGAGGACCCAGAAACAGAATAGCAAAGACTTGGAACCAACCCAAATGTCCAACAATGATAGACTGGATTAAGAAAATGTGGCACATATACACCATGGAATACTATGCAACCATAAAAAATGATGAGTTCATGTCCTTTGTAGGGACATGGATGCAATGGGAAATCATCATTCTCAGTAAACTATCGCAAGAACAAAAAACCAAACACCGCATATTCTCACTCATAGGTGGGAATTGAACAATGAGAACACATGGACACAGGAAGGGGAACATCACACTCTGGGGACTGTTGGGGGATGGGGGGAGGGGGGAGGGATAGCATTGGGAGATATACCTAATGCTAGATGACGAGTTGGTGGGTGCAGCGCACCAGCATGGCACATGTATACATATGTAACTAACCTGCACATTGTGCACCTGTACCCTAAAACTTAAAGTATAATAATAAAAAAAAAAGAAGGCCTGGTGATAAATTCTCATTCCACCTGGGCAAAGTCTGAACCTGTCTGTAACACAAGTTCCTCATCTATAAAATGGGTAATGTTAGTACTTAACTCATAAGAATATTGTGAGGCTCAAATGAGTCAATACATAAATCATTGAGCAAGGTGACTGACAAATAGTAACATCCCGAAAAATTTTGGCCATAATTATTATTATCATGATTAGAGAAGATTATTATGTCATGTTTAGGGAATAAAAGAGTGGTTCTGAATGGATCTAGGACTTTGTGCTTCATAGCAACATTAAAGAGGCTGAGTCCTTGGGAACTGCTATAAGGAAGAAAGAGAAACCAAGCTATGACCCTGGGATTGAAAAGCACCATGGTGTGTGGGATTTTCCAAAACACAAATGATGAATTTGATATGTCCGTCATGTACTTCCTAGTATTGTGTGAGCTGAATGAGCCTATATTGCTCTGTGCACTCCATTCGTAACTGTATTTAAATGAATCACATCCCTTCTCTGCTTCTTTTACTGTAGACTTCAGAGTCTCTTCTTATCAGATAACTTGCACACTGGAGATCTTGAGACTCTCACCAGGGCATTTCCGCAGCTATTCTCTGAATCTTCTGCAGTAGTGTGAATGAGAAATTTACCTGCGCTGCATGAAGCTGACCAAGGATTTGCATAAGGATTCTTTTCTTTTGACTGCTCACCGATTAAACCCATCTCCGCTTTGTTTTTAACTTTTTAGGCCTGTATACTTAGGAATAGCCTATTGTGGCATCAAATTCCACTTTCTTTTTAATTAGTAAGTCAGAACATTGTGCTTTAAGCATACTCCGTACTCTCTTTTTCTAATACATTATTTTGCAATTTCTCACTGAGACTTACCTGCCTCTTCCAACCAGCTGCAAAGAGATTTTGGTCATTCATTTCCATTGATTTTATATCTTCACAAACTTTGAGGAGTCTACCTATACATTTCCATCAAGATAATTAACCACTTAACTTTACATGTATTATCTATCTCTAATCTATCCATAATGATAAAGTCTCTCCATTATTTTAATGGCTCAAATGTTGAAGACAGCTTTTCCAATTTTTTAAAAATTATATTGAATAGGAGTGGTGAGAGAGGGCATCCCTGTCTTGTGCCAGTTTTCAAAGGGAACGCTTCCAGTTTTTGCCCATTCAGTATGATATTGGCTGTGGGTTTGCTATAGATAGCTGTTATTACTTTGAGATACGTCCCATCAATACCTAATTTATTGAGAGTTTTTAGCATGAAGGGTTGTTGAATTTTGTCAAAGGCCTTTTCTGCATCTATTGAGATAATCATGTGGTTTTTGTCTTTGGTTCTGTTTATATGCTGGATTACATTTATTGATTTGTGTATATTGAACCAGCCTTGCATCCCAGGGATAAAGCCCACTTGATCATGGTGGATAAGCTTTTTGATGTGTTGCTGGATTCATTTTGCCGGTATTTTATTGAGGATTTTTGCATCAATGTTCATCAAGGATATTGGTCTAAAATTCTCTTTTTTGGTTGTGTCTCTGCCCGGCTTTGGTATCAGGATGATGCTGGCCTCATAAAATGAGTTAGGGAGGACTCCCTCTTTTTCTGTTGATTGGAATATTTTCAGAAGGAATGGTACCAGTTCCTCCTTGTACCTCTGGTAGAATTTGGCTGTGAATCCATCTGGTCCTGGACTCTTTTTGGTTGGTAAGCTATTGATTATTGCCACAATTTCAGAGCCTGTAATTGGTCTATTCAGAGATTCAACTTCTTCCTGGTTTAGTCTTGGGAGGGTGTATGCGTCAAGGAATTTATCCATTTCTTCTAGATTTTCCAGTTTATTTTCGTAGAGGTGTTTGTAGTATTCTCTGATGGTAGTTTGTATTTCTGTGGGATTGGTGGTGATATCCCCTTGATCTTTTTTTATTGCATCTATTTGATTCTCCTCTCTTTTTTTCTTTATTAGTCTTGCTAGCAGTCTATCAATTTTGTTGATCCTTTCAAAAAACCAGCTCCTGGATTCATTAATTTTTTGAAGGGTTTTTTGTGTCTCTATTTCCTTCAGTTCTGCTCTGATTTTAGTTATTTCTTGTCTTCTGCTAGCTTTTGAATGTGTTTGCTCTTGCTTTTCTAGTTCTTTTAATTGTGATGTTAGGGTGTCAATTTTGGATCTTTCCTGCTTTCTCTTGTGGGCATTTAGTGCTATAAATTTCCCTCTACACACTGCTTTGAATGTGTCCCAGAGATTCTGGTATGTTGTGTCTTTGTTGTCATTGGTTTCAAAGAACATCTTTATTTCTGCCTTCATTTCGTTATGTACCCAGTAGTCATTCAGGAGCAGGTTCTTCAGTTCCCATGTAGTTGAGCGGTTTTGAGTGAGTTTCTTAATCCTGAGTTCTAGTTTGATTGCACTGTGGTCTGAGAGACAGTTTGTTATAATTTCTGTTCTTCTACATTTGCTGAGGAGAGCTTTACTTCCAACTATGTGGTCAATTTTGGAATAGGTGTGGTGTGGTGCTGAAAAAATGCATATTCTGTTGATTTGGGGTGGAGAGTTCTGTAGATGTCTATTAGGTTCACTTGGTGCAGAGCTGAGCTCAATTCCTGGGTATCCTTGTTAACTTTCTGTCTCGTTGATCTGTCTAATGTTGACAGTGGAGTGTTAAAGTCTCCCATTTTTATTGTGTGGGAGTCTAAGTCTCTTTGTAGGTCTCCAAGGACTTGCTTTATGAATCTGGGTGCTCCTGTATTGGGTGCATATATATTTAGGATAGTTAGCTCTTCTTGTTGAATTGATCCCTTTACTATTATGCAGTGGCCTTCTTTGTCTCTTTTGATCTTTGTTGGTTTAAAGTCTGTTTTATCAGAGACTAGGATTGCAACCCGTGCCTTTTTTTGTTTTCCATTTGCTTGGTAGATCTTCCTCCATCCTTTTATTTTGAGCCTATATGTGTCTCTGCACATGAGATGGGCTTCCTGAATACAGCACACTGATGAGTCTTGACTCTTTATCCAATTTGCCAGTCTGTGTCTGTTAATTGGAGCATTTAGCCCATTTACATTTAAAGTTAATATTGTTATGTGTGAATCTGATCCTGTCATTGTGATGTTAGCTGGTTATTTTGCTCATTAGTTGATGCAGTTTCTTCCTAGCCTCGATGGTCTTTACATTCAACATAGTGTTGGAAGTTCTGGCCAGGGCAGTTAGGCAGGAGAAGGAAATAAAGGGTATTCAATTAGGAAAAGAGGAAGTCAAATTGTCCCTGTTTGCAGATGACATGATTGTATATCTAGAAAACCCCATTCTCTCAGCCCAAAATCTCCTTAAGCTGATAAGCAACTTCAGCAAATACTCAGGATAGAAAATCAATGTACAAAAATCACAAGCATTCTTATACACCAATAACAGACAAACAGAGAGCTAAATCATGAGTGAACTCCCATTCACAATTGCTTCAAAGAGAATAAAATACTTAGGAAGCCATCTTACAAGGGACGTGAAGGACCTCTTCAAGGAGAACTACAAACCACTGCTCAGTGAAATAAAAGAGGATACAAAGAAATGGAAGAACATTCCATGCTCATGGGTAGGAAGAATCAATATCGTGAAAAAGGCCATACTGCCCAAGGTAATTTACAGATTCAATGCCATCCCCATCAAGCTACCAATGACTTTCTTCACAGAATTGGAAAAAACTACTCTAAAGTTCATATGCAACCAAAAAGAGCCCGCATCGCCAAGTCAATCCTAAGCCAAAAGAACAAAGCTGGAGGCATCACGCTACCTGACTTCAAACTATACTACAAGGCTACAGTAACCAAAACAGCATGGTACTGGTACCAAAACAGAGATATAGATCAACGGAACAGAACAGAGCCCTCAGAAATAATGCCACATATCTACAACTATCTGATCTTTGACAAACCTGAGAAAAACAAGCAATGGGGAAAGGATTCCCTATTTAATAAATGGTGCTGGGAAAACTGGCTAGCCATATGTAGAAAGCTGAAACTGGATCCCTTCCTTACACCTTACACAAAAATTAATTCAAGATGGATTAAAGACTTAAATGTTAGTCCTAAAACCATAAAAACCCTAGAAGAAAACCTAGGCGTTACCATTCAGGACATAGGGATGGGCAAGGACTTCATGTCTAAAACACCAAAAGCAATGGCAACAAAAGACAAAATTGACAAATGGGATCTAATTAAACTAAAGAGCTTCTGCACAGCAAAAGAAACTACCATCAGAGTGAACAGGCAACCTACAACATGGGAGAAAATTTTCACAACCTACTCATCTGACAAAGGGCTAATATCCAGAATCGACAATGAACTCAAACAAATTTACAAGAAAAAAACAAACAACCCCATCAAAAAGTGGGCAAAGGACGTGAACAGACACTTCTCAAAGGAAGACATTTATGCAGCCAGAAAAACACTTGAAAAAATGCTCACCATCACTGGCCATCAGAGAAATGCAAATCAAAACCACAATGAGATACCACCTCACACTTGTTAGAATGGCAATCATTAAAAAGTCAGGAAACAACAGGTGCTGGAGAGGATATGGAGAAATAGGAACACTTTTACACTGTTGGTGGGACTGTAAACTAGTTCAACCATTGTGGTAGTCAGTGTGGCGATTCCTCAGGGATCTAGAACTAGAAATACCATTTGACCCAGCCATCCCATTACTGGGTATATACCCAAAGGACTATAAATCATGCTGCTATAAAGACACATGCACACGTATGTTTATTGTGGCACTATTCACAATAGCAAAGACTTGGAACCAACCCAAATGTCCAACAATGATAGATTGGATTAAGAAAATGTGGCACATATACACCATGGAATACTATGCAACCATAAAAAATGATGAGTTCATGTCCTTTGCAGGGACATGGATGAAATGGGAAATCATCATTCTCAGTAAGCTATCACAAGAACAAAAAACCAAACACCAAATGTTCTCACTCATAGGTCGGAATTGAACAATGAGAACACATGGACACAGGAAGGGGAACATCACACTCTAGGGACTGTTGTGGGGTAGGGGGAGGGGGGAGGGATAGCATTAGGAGATATACCTAATGCTAAATGATGAGTTAATGGGTGCAGCACACCAGCATGGCACATGTACACATATGTAACTAACCTGCACATTGTGCACATGTACCCTAAAACTTAAAGTATAATAATAATAAAATAAAATAAAAAAGTAAATAAATAAAAATAAAAAAATATATTGCTTGTTTTTATTAATCTTTCTTAAATGTATGTATAGTTCACACTTATTTAATGGGTTTTTTAGGTTTTTAAATTGGCACATAATATTTTACATATTTATGGGGTACATGTGAGTATTTGTTACATGCAGTGAATGTATAATGATCAAATCAGCGTATTTAGGGTATCTATCACCTTCAGTATTTATCATTTCTATGTGTTGGAAACATTTCAAGTCCTCTCTTCTAGCTACTTTGAAATTTACAATACGTTGTTACTAGCTGCAGTCACCCTAACCTGCTGTGGACCATGAGAATTTATAACTTCTAACTGTATGTTTGTACCCATTGACCAACTTCTCTTCATCACCACCCTCCTACCCACACACCATTCCTAGGCTTTCGTGTCTACCGTTCTGTTCTCTACCTCGATGAAATCAACTTTTGTAGCTCCCACATATGAGAGAGGACATGTAAAATTTTTCTTTTTGTGTCTGGCTTATTTCACTTAATGACCTCCAGTTCCATCCATGTTGCTTCAAATGATGGGATTTCATTCTTTTTATGGTCAAACAGTATTCCATTGTGTTTACATACCACATTTACTTTGTACATTTGTCAGTTGATGGCCACTTAGGTGAATTCCATATCTTAGCTATTTTGAAGAGTGTTGCAATAAACATGAAAGTGTAGATATCTCTTCAATATATTGATTTCCTTTCTTTTGAACATATACCCAACAGCAGAATTGCTGGATCATATGGTAGTTCTATTTTTAGCTTTTGAGAAATGTCATACTGTTTTCTATAGCAACTGTACTAATTTACGTTCCCACCAATATTGTATAAGAGTTCCCTTTTCTTGGCATCTTCTGTTATTTATTAATTTTAGTAATAGCCATTCTAACCAGGGTAAGATGATATATCTCATTGTGGTTTTGATTTGAATTTCCCTGATGATTAGTGATATTAAGCATTTTTTCATGTATGGTTGGTCATTTGTATATCTTCTTTTGAAAAATGTCTATTCTTGTCCTTTGCCCACTTTTTAATTGGATTTTTATTTTTACTGTTGAGGTGAGTTCCTTGTATATTCTGGATATTAGTCCCTTGTGGGATGAATAGTTTGCAAATATATACTCCCATTCAATGTGTTGTTTCTCAACTTTTGATTGTTTCCTTTGCTGTGAAGAAGCTATTTAGTTTAATAGAGTTCAATTTATCTGTTTGTTTTTATCTATGCTTTTGCGATCTTCATTATACATAAATCTTTGCCTGCATCAGTATTCTGAAGGGTTTTCCCTACGTTTTCTTCTAGTTATTTCATAGTTTTGGGTCTTACATTCAAGTCTTTGATCCATCTTGAGTTGATTTTTTTATATGGTGAGAGATAGAAGCCCACTTTTATTCTTCTGCATATGGACATCCAATTTTCCCAGTACCACTTATTGAAGAAGGTATCCTTTTCCCAATGCATGTTCTTAGTGCCTTTGTCTAAAATCAGTTGACTGTGAATAAATGAATGCATTTCTGAATTCTCTATTCTGTTTCACTGGCCTGTGTGTCTGTTTTTATACTAATACCATGCTATTTTGGTTATGATAGCCCTGTAACACATTTTGAAGTCAGGTCAGGTGATGCCTCTAGCTTTGTTGTTTGTGCTCAAGATTGCTTTGGCTATTCAAGCTCTTTTTTGGTTCCATACAAATTTTTGGATTGCTTTTTCTAATTCTGTGAAATATGACATTGATATTTGAATGGAGATTGCATTGGATCTATAGATCACTTTGGGCAATATGGTAATTTTAATGATATGAATATGGTAATTAATTTTAAACGATATGACTAATATTCACTTTTAGTAATATGTTAATGATATTAATTATTTTAAGAACATGAAAATATTAATGTGATTAATTATTTAATGATAATTAATTGTTTAATTTATGAACGAGACATCTTTTCATTTGTTGTGTCCTCTTAAATTTCTTTCATCAATGTTTTATAGTTTTTCTTGCAAAGCTCTTTCACCTCCTTTGTTAAATTTATTCCTAGTTTTTTTTCAGTTATTGTAAATGGGATTGCCTTCTTTATTAAAGAAATAAAGAATTCACTAGGTCACTATTCATGTATAAAAATGCCATTGATTTTTGTGTGTTGATTTTGTATCTTACAACTTTACTAAATTTATTTGTAGATTTAAGAGGTTTTTTTTGGTGGAGTCTTTAGGTTTTTCTAGATGTAAGATTATATCATCAGCAAAGAGTGACAATTTGATTTATTCTTGTCCAGTTTGAGTATCTTAGTTTTCTCTTGTTTGATTGCTCTGGCTGCGACTTCTATTACTACATCAAATAAGAACGGTGAAAGGGAGAATCCTTGTCTTGTTCCAGTTCTTAGATAAAAGGCTTTCAGGTTTTCCCCATTCAGTACAATGTTAGCTGTGGGTTTGTCATAAGTGGCCTATATTATGCTCAGGTATGATCTTTCTTTGCCTAGTTTCTTGAGACTTTTTTTATCATGGGGGAATATTGCAAAATAATTTTTCTTCATCTATTGAGATGATCATATTGTTTTTGTCCTTTTTTTTTTTTGATGTGCTGTTGGTTTTGGTTTGCTAGTATTTTGTTTAGAATTTTTGTATCTGTGTTCATCAGGAGCATTTTACTGTAGTTTTCTTTTTTGTTGCATCCTTGTCTGGTTTTAGTATTAGGGTAATGCTGCCTCATACAATGAGTTAGAGAAAATTTTCTCTTTTAATTTTTTTGAAATAATTTGAGGAAATTGATGTTAGTTCCTTTTTGAAAGTTTGGTGGTATTTTTCAGTGAAGCCATCCAATTCTGGGATTTTCTTTGTTAGGAGGCCTGTTATTGTTGATCCAATCTCATTACTCATTATAAGTGTGTTCAAGTTTTTTATTTCTTCCTGATTCAAGTCTTGGTAGGTGATATGAGTCTAGAAATTTATTCATTTCCTCTAGGTTTCCTATTTGTTAGTGTGTATTGCTCATAATAGTCTCCAATAATCTTTTCTAATTCTGTGGTATCAGTTGTAATGTCTCCTTTTTCATTTCTGATTTTATTTATTTGGGTCTTCTCTCTTTTTCTCTTGGTTAGTCCATCTAGCAGTTTATTGATTTTGTTTATCTATTAAAAACATTTCATTTCATTGATTTTTTGTTTTTTAGGTCTCTATTTCATTTAGTTCTGCTTTGATCTTTATTATTTCTTCTACTAATTTTGAATTTGTTTTGTTCTTGTTTTTCTAGTTCATTGAAGTAAATCATTAGATTGTTTATTTAAAATCTACTTTTTTCTATATGTGTTTATTTCTATAAAATTCCCTCTTAGCACTGCTTTTGCTGTCTCCCACAAGTCTTGGTATGTTGTGTTTCCATTTTATTTCTTTCAATAAATCTTATTTCCTCCACAATTCCTTTCTTGATCAAATGGCCTTTGAGGAGTGATATGGTTTGACTCTGACCACACCCAAATCTCATCTTAAATTGTAGTTCCCATAATTCCCACACGTCATGGGAGAAACATGGTGAGAGGTAATTGAATCATGGGAGCAGGTCTTTCTCATACTCTTCTCATAATAGTGAATAAGTCTTACGAGATCTGATGTTTTTAAAAGTGGAAGTTGTCCTGCACAAGTTTTCTCTCTTGTCTGCTGTCATGTAAGACATGCCTTTCACTTTCTGCCTCCTCAGCCACGTGGAACTATGAGTCCACTAAACTTCTTTTTCTTTATAATTAACCAGTCTCAGGCAGTCTTTATTAGCAGTGCAAGAAAAGACTAACAGTAAATTGGTACCAGGAGTAGGGTGCTGCTGTATAGATACCTAAAAATGTAAAAGCAACTTTGGAACTGGGTAACAGGCAGAGGTTGGAACAGTTTGGAGGGCTTAGAAGAAGACAGGAAAATGTGGGAAAGTTTGGAACTACCTAGAAACATATTGACTGGCTTTTACCAAAATTCTTATAATGATATGGACAATGAAATCCAGGCTGTGGTGGTCTCAGATGGAGATGAGAAACCTGTTGGGAACTGGAGTAAAGGTGATTCTTGTTATATTTTAGCAAAGAGACTTGCATCATTATGCCCCTGCCCCAGAGATTTGTGGAACTTTGAACTTGAGGGAGATGATTTAGGGTATCTCGTGGAAGAAATTTCTAAGCAGCAAAGCATTCAAGAGGTGACTTTGGTGCTGTTAAAAGCATTTAGTTTTAAAAGGGAAGCAACATAAAAGTTCAGAAAATTTGCAGTCTGACAATGCAATAGAAAAGAAACTTCCATTTTCTGAGGAGAAATTCAAGCCAGCTGGAGAAGTTTTCTTAAGTAACAAGGAGCCAAATGTTAATTGCCAAGACAGTGGGGAAGATGTCTCCAGGACATGTTAGAGACCTTTGCAGCAGCCCCTCCCACCACAGGCCAGGAGGCTTAGGAGGAAAAAGGGGTTTCCTGGGCCAGCTCCAGGGACCCCTGTTATGCACAGTCTATTGGTGCCCTGAGTCCCAGCCACCCTAGCCATGGTTAAAAGGGACCAAGGTACAGCTCAGGTCATAGCTTCAGATGGTGCAATCCCCATACCTTGGCAGCTGCCATGTGGTGTCGAGCCTGCAGGTGAACAGAAGTCAAGAATCGAGGCTTGGGAACCTCTGCCTAGATTTCACAGGATGTACAGAAACACCTGGATATCCAGGCAGAAGTTTGCTGCAGGGGTGGGGCCTTCACAGAGAACCTCTGCTTGGGCAGTGTGGCAGGAAAATGCGTGGTTGAAGCCCCCACACAAAGTCCTTACTGGGACACTGGCTAGTGGAGCTATGAGAAGAGGGACACTGTCCTCCAGACCTCAGAATGGTAGATCTACCAACAGCTTGCACTGAGCACCTGGAAAAGCCACAGACCTTCAACACCAGCACGTGAAAACAGCTAGAAGGGAGGTTGTACCTTGCAAAGCCACAGGGGTGGAGCTGCCCAAGATCATGGGAACCCACCTCTTGCATCAGTGTGACCTGGATGTGAGACATTGAGTCAAAGTAGATCATTTTGGAGCTTTAAGATTTGACTGCCCCATGGGATTTCAGACTTGCATGGGGCCTGTAGCCCCTTCATTTTGGCCAATTTATCCTATTTAGAATGAGTGTATTTACCCAATGCTTGCAACCCCATTGTACCTAGGAAGTAACTAACTTGCTTTTGATTATACAGGCTCACAGGCAAAGGGGACTTGGCTTGGCTCAGATGAGATTTTAAGCTGTGGACTTTTGAGTTAATGCTGAAATGAGTTAAGACTTTGTGGAGCTGTTGGGAAGGCATGATTGGTTTTGAAATGTGAGAACATGAGATTTGGGAGGGTCCAGGGGCAGAATGATATGGTTTGACTCTGACCCTACCCAAATCTTAGCTTAAATTATAGCTCCCATAATTCCCATGTGTCATGGGAGAAACCCAGTGGGAGGTAATTGAATCATGGGGGTGGGTCTTTCCCATGCTGTTCTTGTGATAGTGAATAAGTCTCATGAGATCTGATGGTTTTATAAATGGGAGTTTGCCTGCACAAGTTTTCTGTCTTGCTTGCTGCCATGTAAGACATGCCTTTCATTTTCTGCCATGATTGTGAGGCCTCCCCAGCCACATGGAACTGTGAGTCTATTAAACCTCTTTTTCTTTATAAATTACCCAGTCTCAGGTATGCCTTTATTAGCAGAGTGAGAACATACTAACACAAGGAGCATGTTGCTTAAATTACATGTATTTGTACAGTTTCCAAAGTTCCTCTTGATTTCTAGTTTTATTCCACTGTAGTCTCAGAAGACATTTGATATGATTTCAGTATTATTCAATTTGTTGAGACTTGTTTTGTGTCCTAACATATGATCTATTTTGGAGAATGTTTCTTGTGCTGATAAATGGAATGTGTATTCTGTAGTTGTTGGATGAAATGCTTTGTAAATGCCTTTTCGGTTCATTTGGTTAAATATGCAACTTAAATTCATTTTTTATTTTTACTTTTCCTTCTGGATGATCTATCTAATGATGAAAGTAGGGCGTTGAAGTCTCCAACTACTATTGTATTGGAGTCTCTCTCTCTCTTTAGATGTAATAATATTTTTTGTATATGGATGCTCTGATGTTGGTGCATATATGTTTATAATTTTTATATCCCATTGCTGAATTTCTCTGTTGTTATTATATAATGACCTTCTTTGTCTCTTTTTACTGTTTTTGACTTAAAGTCTGTTTTGTCTGATATAAGTATAGTTTTTTCCTGCTCACTTTGGTTTCCATTTGCCATAGAGTATATTTTTCTATTCCCTTACTTTCAGTCTACACGCTTCTTTCCTGGTAAGATAATTTTCATAGGCAGCATATCATTGGGTCATATTGTTTATTCTACTCAGCTAGTCTATATCTTTTAAGTGGGAAGTTCAATGTATTTACATTTAAGTTTATTATGGATAGATGAGGGCATATTCCTGTAATTTTATTAATTGATTTCTGGTTGTTTTGTATATTCTTTGTTTCTTTCTTTCTCTCTTGTTGTTTATTATTGTGGTTTGCTGGAATTTTGTAGTGGTAACATTTGAATATTTTCTCTTCCTTATTTGTTTGCTAAATCAGTGGTTTTTACATTTTCATGTATTTTAGTGACAGTAATCTTTCTTTTGCTACCAGGCATAGGACTCCCATAGGACTCCCTTAAGCATTTCTTGTGGGATCAGTCTAAAGGTGATAAATTTGCTTATTTGGAGAGGACTCTATTTCTCCTTTATATATGAAGGATAACTTTGTTAGGCATAAAATCCTTGGTTAGTAGGTTTTTTTTTTCAGCACTTTGAATACATCATACTATTATCTCATGGTCTGCATGGTTTCTGCTGAGAAATATGCTGTTAGTCTGATCAAAGTTCCTTTATAAGTGACTAGATGCTTTTCTCTTGCTGTTCTTAGAATTTTGTCTTTTTCTTTGACTTTTGACATTTTGAGTACAACGTGCCATGGAGACCTTCTTAAATTGTATCTATTTGTGAATCTTTGAGACTCCTGTATCTTGATGTTCCCAAATAACTTGCTAGACTTGGGAAGTTTTTAATCTATTATTTCATTAAATAGGTTTCTAAACCTTTTGTTTTCTTCTTGTCTTCTGAGATACCACAAATTTGAGTACTTGGTCACTTTCTGGTTCCCCATATGTCAGATAGGCTTTGTAATTCTTTTTTATTCTTTTAAAAAATTTTTGCCTGAGTTATTTCAAAAGGCCCATTTTTAAGTTTTGAGATTTTTTGTCTGCTTGATCTAGTCTATTGCTGAAGATTTCAAATGTATTTTGTATTTTATTTAATGAATTCTTCAATTTTAGAATTTCTGTTAGGTTCTTTTTTATGTTATCTATGACTTCAGTAATTTTAAAATTCACATCCTGATTTTTTTCTGATTTTTTATATTGTTTTCAGTCATCTCTTTTATCTCACTGAGATTCTTGAGTATCAATATTTTAAATTCTTTTTTGGGGATTTGGCAAATTTCTTTTTGATTTGGATCTCTTGCTGGAGAATTTTTATGTTCCTTCAAAGGTGTTGTATTAATTTCATGTTTCCTGTGTTCTTCCATTGATATCTGCACATCTGGTGCAATAGTTGCTTTTTCCAATTTTTTGAATTTGTTCTCATGGGTGTGGAATTTTTCCTGAAGATATATCTATGGTATTGGTTGGTTAGGGCACTGTGGCTTGGATCGTGGGTGCATACAGTGGTGTAGTGTCTCTATGACTTATTTAGCTGTACAATGTCAGTGGTTTCTGTGATTTCCTCAGTGGCTTATGGTGTAGTAGTTAGTAGAGGCTGTGGTGAAGTTTGGGTAGGAACTGGAATGCCAGGTGAGCTAGTCTTTGGGCCTGGGTGGTGATGGCAGTGGGATAATCATGCCTGTTCATGGCCCCATGGTGACGTACGCTGGCACTGATTTTAACTTGTGCAAGCAGGCTGATTCTTGGGGCTCCAGGTGACTTGCTTGGGTACCAGCAGTGGCAGGGAGGGTGGGCAGGTTCTTAAGCACCTGGGCGTCAGGCGTGGCATGGGCAATGACAGTAATAGTGGCAGGACAACCCTCTGGGACCCAAGCAGTCCACGGTGATGTTGGCAGTTGCTGCAATGCGCTGTACAGGCCTGCAGGTGGCACATTCATGTGATGCTATCTGTTGTAGCTGCAGGTTGAGTGGGCTTGACCTCAGACCCCAACAGTAGTGTGCTCAGGTGCCAAACACTGTTAGGCTGGGCTGGGTGATTTCCAGGCCTCAAACGGTGTGCCGAGTACTGGAGTTGGTGGATCTGGGCTGGGCAGTCTCCCCAGTGGTGCATTCAGGTATTGGCTTTTGTAGGGAGAGACAGGGTGATCCCTAGGCCCCCAGAAGAATGCTTAGATGGGGCAGCAGTGACTGCACTGTGGCCCTACTACTGAGGAGGGTGGAGTTGCTTTCAGTGGAAGCAACCTTAGGCATGTTGCTGGGGACTGTGCATATTGCTTGTGCCTCAACCTTGCACCAGCCTGCAATGGAGGCAGCTGCGAGCTGTGGAATTTTTCCTTGGGGCACTTAAAAGTGTGCAGCCATCCCTCCGCAGGTGAGATGCAGGGGTCTCTGCCCATGGTTCCCACCTTGATCCCAGGAGTAGCAGCGGTAGGTACAGAATGTCAGTGGGGCTTCAGGGATGTGGAGATGCAGAAGCTGTTAAGCCCTAGGGCAGGACAGAGACTGGTGGAGGCTGGGCTCTCAAAATGATGCTGTATTGCAGCTGCACAAGACTCTGGGGGTTGTGGGACCCAGCATGAGCTCCCTCTAGAGCAGTGCCTTTGTGTAGTCCCCAGGAAGTTCCCTATGTAAGTTTCGAACCTTACTAGGGTTGAGCTCCTTTCCTATGGCTAGAGTTGTAGGAGTCTTGGGTGAAAATGAGGACCACTGGGGGGCTTTTCGCTTACTCTTTCCCCACATTAGGGAACCTCTTCAGGCTGCCAGCAGATCCCAGCTGAACAGGCTACATTGCTTCCCTCTCTTTCCTTGCTTCTGGTGCTTCCTATAACTGTTCTGTTGAATTCTAGTGTTCTCAAATGAGCTATTCAAAGTAATTATATACTCACTAATTTGGTTCCTCTCCGTGGAAGAGGTGAATACCAGATGCATCTAGTCAGCCATCTTGAAGCCCCTCTTCTATTTCAATCCTTTCCAATTTTTCAAAACCGAAAATACATTTTTTTTCTTTATACAACAGATGGTTCATGTAGCCTCTTAAAGAACATATCTCCCTTATAAAAGCCATGCTGCTTTTCTCCTACAGGTGATGACAATGCTTCTACACTTTATTATAGAGGCCAATATTTACCCCATCCACTGCCACACACAATATATCTTCTTTCCCATTTAGCTTTTGGTTTACATGCTTGAATTGACTGTGACAATTCTCTGTGGGCCTCTTACATTTCTGTACATCTTGTGAGGACAGGCACTGATGATCCATTGATCTATATGATTTCAAAGATATTTGTATAGGGAACAGCCTTGAAACACAGAGACAGAGACAGTGTCTCCCTGTGGAGCAAAGAGCAGGCAGGCATACTGCATATTATAGCAGATTTAGTCTCCCTAAGCCCAGGATTGCACATTTCTAATATAACTCACTGTACTTCCCATATTCAAGTAAAATACTGCAGATTTACATTTTCCAGAAGGGTTTGAAAGTTGGAGAAGAAGTGCAGTGTAGACAATGAGGAGATTAAGAAAATTCTACAAACCATGCGGAGAGACTTTCCTCCAGTCTCCTTTTCCTTCTTTGACTCCCACAATTCTGGCAACAAGGTTTACAACCACCAGAAAGAACATTAAAGGAATTCTTCCTAGGGAAAAGAAGAATTCTGAGAGAATAAACTTATAGATACTGACGTCTGGGTGCTTCCTAATGAAAACTACTTGCCATTGTATTGCTGTCAATACAAGAAACACACCCAGAACTTTCAATTGGCTTATTAGAGCTTTTTTATTAGATATGAATGGACAGCCAAGGTGGTTTCTAACATTAAAAGCCACACTACATCTGTAATCCCAGCAGTTTGGGAGGCTGAGGCGAGTGGGTCACTAGGTCAGGAGTTCAAGACCAGCCTGGCCAAGATGGTGAAATCCCATCTCTAATAAAAATACAAAAAATTAGCCGGGTGAGGTGGCAGGTGCCCGTAATCCCAGCTACTCAGGAGGCTGAAGCAGGAGAATCGCTTGAATCCAGGAGACGGAGGTTGTATTGAGCAGAGATCATGCCACTGCACTCTAGCATGGGTGACAGAGCAAGACTCCATCTCCAAAAAAAAAAAAGCCACACTGGAACAAGCAAACAGAAAAAATTTAAAAGTTGGAAAAAAATAGAGATAATGCATTAAAGAGGAAATAATTTAATATTTATATATGTGTTAATATGCACATACATATGATTTAAATGCATGTAAATATGCATATATGTATATGTGCATATATGTGTATACATGTACATGAATATACATATATTCAAATTAAGTATGTATTATATATAAATATGTAAATATATAATATAAATATATAAGTATACATATATGTATATTGAAATACATGTATGTGTGTGTATATATACATAGGATGTGTATGCACACATGTTTAATATCCTCAATGAGATGAAAGAACTGAGTGTGTCCGTGAAATAAAAACAGGCTTCTACAAAAAGAAAACTTTGGAAAATAAGACAATTTCTTTCAATGATACATTAACAAATTGGAAGATAATTTTGAGGAAGCCTTCTAGAAAATGTAATAAAAAGATTAAAAAGTTAGGAAATAAGAGACAAAACAATGTGAAGATTGATAGAAGAGGTAGAATGTCCAACAAATATGAGTTCCAAACAGAAAAATAGAGGAAGAACAGCATCAAGGAAAACAGTATTTCAAAATACTTGAAAAATATAAATTGCCAGATTGAGTAACTAACATAGCAAGAAAGAAAATAAGAAAGGAACACACATTGAAGAGTACCATCATGTCACATCAAAATTCTAGGGATAAAGAAAAATGCTAAGAGTTTCCAGACAAAGAAAGGGAGAAAAACACATCGTGTTAAAAGACTGAGACTTTAAATGAAATTAGACTTTTCAACAATTACACTAGAATTTGGTAAACAATGAAACAATGCCTTCAAAATTGTGATATAAAATTATTTCTAAAATAGATTAATACATCCAACAAAATACAACATATGTGGATACAATAAACATATTTTTAGAGAAGTGGACGTTTCAAAAAATTTACATCCCATGTTCTTGTTCTCAGATAGTTATTGAAGAGGTTCTCCATCAAAATGAGGGATCTAGGAAGCAGGGAAACTAACACAGGTGAGAGACAAGAAAATCCCAGCATTTTGGTGAGGAAAAGCTCCAGCACTATAATCATGCAGCAGTCCTAAAGAACAATCAAATTCAGATTTCAGGAGAGTAAAGAACTTCAGAATGGTGGTATTAGGCCAAAAAGAAACAAAATAACTAGAAGGCTAAATAAATAACTAAATAAATATGACCTGGGGAGATTATCTCATGTATTTGACTGTATCTAACTGTATCTATAGAGAAAAGGCTTTATAGTTCTGATGGAGAGTTTGAGAATTGATTCAAGATACTCGAAAACTTAATAACAGAGTTCAATTACAAAAAATTAGCAAGAAAAAAATTGCAAAGAAAGAGATAGGAACTTATAGTAAGCTGCATGGCTCAGTTGTGAAAAATATGTTCATATCATAATAATGTATGTTCTGAAAATAGATTTAATTTTTACTGAAAGGATGACAGGAGAAGTATGTGGGTGTGTTTGTGTTCATGTACACAGAGATGGTGTTGTAAATGAGCTAGGAAGTCAAGAGAGAATGCCTAACATTTAGAAATCAAGAAATATCATTATGTGCATATTTTATACAATATAACAGAAACATAAAGATGCATAACATAAGAAACAGGTAAAAGAACTGAAAGTGGCTGCCTCCAAAAGGCAAGAATTATGTGTGAATAATAACTAACTTTTAAAATAATGTAGTGCTATTTCACATCTTAAATTCTATATTTGGATTATTTAGCAAAAATAAAATTAAACTGTAAAAATTAAGGATGAATGCTGGAGAAATAGAAATGGTGGATATCTAACTGCATAGTGTGCATAGTAAACAATGGAAACAAATTTTAAAAAACAATTAACCAAAAGGCTGGCTAAGAAACAAGTAGATATTAGGAAAACCTAGTAAATAAAAAATATAAAATATGGTGTAAGTAATATTCAAAAATTTATTTAATTACAATAAATATGAATGGATTAAGCTAATTAATGGAAACACAGAGGCTCTCAGACTGAATTTTAATAATCTACCACTTCAATTTTTTAAAATGTATATTAAAATGACAAAAAGTTGGAAAATAAAGAGGCTGAAAATGGTATTCGAGCAGATGAAAACAAAAAGAAAATTGTTGTAATATTGCTCATAACAAACAAAATATTATTTAAAGTGAAAACAACTAAGGAACTTATGATGTTGATAAAATAATTCACCAGGAAGATACTCCATTTATGAATGTATAAGGCCCTAACAACTTAGTTTTAAAATGTACTATGCAAAAACTGATAAAACTACTAAGATAAATTGACAAACACACAATCATAGCTGGAGACAACATTTTTTTTTTGAAACTAACAAAACATTCAATGGTTTAGTAGGACTTAAAAGAGTTGTAGCAATAATTAACAGGCCTAATCTAAAGCTCAAACCTTCATAAAGAGAATGTTCACTCTTTTGATCCCAAAGGATGTCTCAATATTGATATTATGTAAATATTTTTTTCATGGACCACAATGCAATAAAATAAGAAATCAACCAAAAAAGAAGTAGCCAAACTCTTCTCCATTAACCTTCAAAGATCTATATACATCATAGATATTTAATAAACACGTGTATAGCACTTACTATATGTTAACCATTATTCTAAGCACTTTGAAATATTTACTCATTCAGTCTTTAATACTGCTTGAGATAGGTAGTATTATTCCTCTCAGTATACAAATAAAATTGAAGCACAGAGAGACTGAGCAATATATCTAAGGTTATGTAGTTAGTGAGTGGCAGAGAGAGACAAGTGCTCTTGACTCCTGTATTAAGCTTTTTCTCTTAACATAAGCATTTAAATAAACTATGAGTTAAAGAAGAAACAAAAATAAAATTTTAAAATATATACTACTACGGCTTCACAAAAAGACTACAAAACTAATGACTTACATCCAAAGCAGTTCTCAGAACTGCTTTATATATTTACTGGAAAATAATAAATGAATATTTAAATTCAAAAAGTTTCCAAAAGAGTAGCAAATCTAGAGAAGGTAAAAACAAATAATTATGATGAATTTAAATGCAAAAATAAAGAAAACTAAAAAAATAGATATTTTATTTTTTAAGTTTGGATAGTTGAAGAGATTAATTAGAAATGAAACCCCTAACAGCCATGATCAACAAAAATCAAAGAGACACAAGAAACATTATCAAGTAGGATACAAGGACAGATACGGAGGAACAAAATACTTATAAAAGCACATTTTGAACAACTTTATACTAATTTATTTTTAAAAGGTATATAAAATGGGCAGATTTGGAGAAAAGGATATATTACCATAATTAGACAAGAAATAGAAAATGTACTAGAATAAAAACCCCATAAAACAGGAAACGCTAGTAGTGAAAAACCTACTCTTTCCAAAAAACAAAGACACAAAAAACAACATCATGCTCAGAGGATAGAAAGGTGTGAGATTTAGCCAGCATTTAAAGAGGCTGCTAATTGCAAACCTTTCATACCAAAAATAGCCAAGTTGGAAAAGATAATTATCGGCCAATAATGGATAGATGAAAAAATAGTAAACTGAATTCAGCAGTATATACAAAGATCAAGTAGGGGTTTCCGTTAAAACGTATGAATGAGCCAATATTTTAAAAATTTCTTAATGTAATTCACCCCTAACAACTTAGAGAATAAAAAGCATATGATTATGTCAATGAATGCAGAAAAGAAACTAGCTGAAAATTTAACAGACCATTTATGATAAACTTGCAAACAAACCAGGAATAGAAGGGAACTTCCTTATATCTGCCAGAGATCTATAGCAAGCATCATGTTTAATGGTTAATAAAACATGAAAAACATTTAAAGTCCGAAAAAAAGACAAAAATGTATCTATAAGTGTTAGTATTGAATATTATATTTCATAACCAAATGCAATGTGAAGAGAAATAAATGAGAGAGATAAAAATCAGAACAGAAAAGAGAAAACTGTCAAAATGTGCAGATGATGTAGTCGTCAATACATTTTTCTCCTTTGTCAGAAAAAAACCTACATTCATCCTAGATTTTCTTAGCCTTTTCTCCCTAAACCCATCTTTCTTCAGATAAACACACAATAAAACTTATATTTTAAAAAGTCAGTCACTTTTCTGTTCACAATTTCAGTATCGGGTTTCCTTTTCTTTCTCATAGGTTTCAATTCCATTCTATTTCTAATTTCAAAGAGCTACATATTTAAATAGCTACCAGGAGAACTATAAAGAAGAGACATTGACAAAAAAGGCCCAAGATTAATGATTATTTCAAGGTCTCGATAAGACTTGCTGCCCAACTTTAAGCCTTCCTTTAGCTGCTCCCTAAAGGATTTCAAACAGTCCTAACGAAGTTATGCACTGGCCATTCTCAAGCAGTGATAAATATGCCGTAAATTCATCTCTTGCCTGTGGGACTTTGGATCTTAATAGCTTATGAGCTCAAGTACTTCCAGTTTCTGTTGGGTAAATGTTTGAGGGCCTTAAGAGAGATTATGTGGAATTGAACTGAATGCCTGGCAACTCTTCCATGCTTGTCAGTCTCTCCCAGCTTACTTGGCTTGTCAAAGACACCACAATAAACTGTCCTGCTTTCAAATATTTATTTCTCAGTATGCTGGTACTTAGAGAGTCCTTAAGAGAAAGATACAAACTGGGCACCAGAACTAGGAATTACTGAAGAGCCCAAGTCTTAGGGTATCCTGGGGGATTTGATATCCAATTCTCTTCCAACCTTCAGAAAGGCCCATCTTGGGCTCACCTTCTAAAAGGAAAGCAAGGTTGGGTCAGTTGATGGACTAAGTTCTGGAGAGAGAAAGAGGGGGCTACAGAAATTACTTCAGTAAAGCTCTTCCTTCTGATCTCCTCAAGGAGAAGGTGCTCAGCTTTTTGTGGGTAACACACAGGGGTAGCCAGGTACTGCAAAGCAGGCAAAACTGGCTTACACTACAGGTGTAGTGTTCCCAGTTTCTGCTGTATTCCATGTTCCTAGCATGTGAGAGACATTCTTTGAGTATTTGCTGAAGAAATCAGTAAATGAATGAGTCATGGTTCCCACAACATTCAAACTGAAGAGACCTCAGAGGTAGGTCCTTCAGCAGTTAGGACAGAGAGACCCTGGAGTGTGAGTGATTTGTCTCATGACGCTGCATCCTTAAACATGATTGGTTCTGAGGCCCTCCCCATAATGCGATCATGAGGCATGAGTCCTCTTCAACCACGGAGCAGTCCAGGACCTTATGCTGATGCAAAGACTTCATTCCTGTGGGAAAAACCAAGATTGTCGAAGTACTAGTTGTATGATTGTTGATGAGTCACTTTTATAATGAGTTCCCCAGACATCAGAGTGTTTGGATTGTGCTATTGCTGCCTTGCAGACAGTCACTGTGGTTTTGGGGAGAGGGACCCCAGAGTCCTAGGGCACAGGAGAATGGTCCTCTTGGGCAGCCAGCAATTCAGACTTAAAGGGACAGGGCAATGGGGAGGTGCAGGAGAGCCTGGTGCTGCTTTTTGTATGTTTGTTACTCCCAGATCTGACTGATCAGGGAGATAAATTAACTGAAAGGTCCTGGTAGGTTCTGTTTTATTTCTAGTCCTCCAGTTTGGAAGATTCTCTGTGTGCTGTGTCTGCCACAGTACAATGGGAGTCCTGGAAATTCTAGTTTCAAGCCTCACTCTCCTGAATCCTGAATAAGCCTCCATCCTGCCCAGTGATATGTAAGTCACATTTCAGGACTTGATGCAGGGATTCTTGTTCTGTAACTAAATGTGACCTCGTGGCCCTCATCTCATAACCTCATGACCCTCATCTCTCTCTTTTATCTCCTGAGATAATTATCAAGTGGAAAAAATGAATATACAGCTGTGTCACAAAACTTAGGAATCAAAAGCATAAATAGTGAAAAAAATCACCGAGAAAGGATAATCTGGGTACCAGCCTTAAGGAAGGCAAAGCTTCCAAAGCCTAAATGCCTTATCCAGCATATTCTCATTGAAATGCTGTCCAGTCTCCGCAGCCCTCAACAAACCATCTCCATCCCAGATTGTGACACTCAGCATTTCTTCATAGCAGTCTCTGAGATAGATATTAGCACAGTCTTCATCTTACAAGTGAAGAAATTGAGGCCTAGAGAGGTGATAACTGTTTCCAAGGTCATATATGAGTAAGTGGGGCTTGGGTTTGATCACAGAGGTATTTAACTCCAGACTACCCTGCCCCCAATTCCCACACATTTCAAAATCTAGAGTTGGAAGAGAAGTGAGTATGGAAAGTAAAGACCGGACCTTTCAACAGGGATTGAAGAAATTAATGACAACAACCATCCATGAACATGAAAAAAAGAAAGAAAGCAAAAAAATTATGGTGTGTGTGTGTGTGTGTGTGTGTGTGTGCGCGCGCGCACATGTTTGGGTGGCCAAGCATACAAATGGAACCCAGAGTTATGGGGGGTGGGGATGGGAAGGAGACAGAAGAAGGGAGGAAAGCAGAAATTTAATTTAGTATTTGCCTGCTATGTATCAGGAACTGCACTTGGCAATTTACATACAGTAATTCATATGGTCTCCATAGTGACACTATGAAGTAGACATTATTATTCTATTTTGTAGATGAGCACATGGAGACAAATGAAACGAGCAAAGAAAATCAGGCATCCCTCCATTTACACTGGGGTTAAAGCCAGAGATTATTATGAACTTAAATATTTTGTTGTTTCTATTGCTGTTGTCTTATAGTTACTAGTGTTTTAAATCTATAAAAAACCTTCCAAGCCTACATTGTGTTTAGAGACTAAAAAATAGAAGCAGAAGCTACCCTCCACACGGAACGGGGAGACTCGGGTATTAAACGCATAATATTTGGGGATATTGGAAGAAAGCAGGACTGAAAAGAGAAGTGGCTACGCACCACAGAATGTTCTAGGTCAGCACACTGGACTATCCACACGGGAGAAAAGGAGTGTCTCCTCTCACTTCCTTATTCCAGACACTGGCCACTGTGAATTTGAACCTTGAGAGAAGGCAGTGCTTTCTACCTTGACTTACCAAATGGAAGCCCTTCTGAACAGAGATGGAGCAAGTTTTGAGGAGAGGGACTCCAGAGTCCTGGGACACAGGAGAATGGTCCTCTCTTGACTTCCCAGGAGTGCGCCTCACACAGCCATCTGTCCTTGGCTTGAACTCATTCACTCTTTAGGTATGTCCCTTTGCACTGGCCTTTGACGAGCAATGTGCCATTGGTGATTTAAACCAGGTGAGTCTGAGTAGAGTTTCAGGCCTGGGCACAGGTATTCAGTACTTTCTCTGGTCTACATCTACTTCTAGTCAAACCAGTTAGGGGTCTCCAATACATACAGTCGCTGACTTTATAATAGTGCGAGAGTGATATGCATACAGAAGAATTTATACTTCAAGTACCTATACAACCGTTTGGTTTTTCACTTTCAGTACAATATTCAAAAATTACCTATGATATTCAACACTTCATCATAAAATAGACTTTGTTTTAGGTGATTTGCCCAGTTGTAGGCTAATGCAAGTGTTCTGAATACATTTAAGGTAGGCTAGGATAAGCTATGATGTTCAGTCAGGTGTATTAAATGCATTTTTAACACGATATTTTCAACATATGATGGGTTTATCAGGATGTAGCCTCATCATACATTGAAGGGCATCTGTACTCCCTTTACACATTTACTTCCTGTCAACAGACACATACTACATCTGTCCCCCAGTCTCAGGGCCCAGAGAACCTTGATGGGTCCTTCAGTACTTGCCTGTGTCTGAATGTTGAGAGCATCTGAAACCCAGAGCTACATGCCATTTCAGTGCCTGCACATGGCTGATGACGATCCTGGACCAGCCTACTGTTTCCAGCCTGGATGCTCAACATTCCCACTTCATCTCTTTCAGACTCAGATTCTCCTCAATGCCAAGGCCCAATTTCATGGCTGTGACAGAGTTTACATTTGAGGGTTTCTCCATTTTTGAGTGGCATCACAGACTCATCCTCTTTGTGATCTTTTTGGTCTTGTACGTTTTGACCCTTGCCAGCAATGCTATCATCTTGATAGTTATCCGCCTTAACCATCAACTTCACACGCCCATGTATTTCTTCCTGAGTGTGCTGTCTATTTCTGAGACCTATTATACCGTGGCCATCAACCCCCAAATGCTGTCCGGTCTCCTCAGTCCTCAACAAACCATCTCCATCCCAGGCTGTGCCGCTCAGCTCTTTTTCTATCTCACTTTTGGTGTCAATAAATGCTTCCTGCTCACAGCCATGGGGTATGACCACTATGTGGCCATCTGCAACCCTCTACAGTATTCAGTCATCATGGGCAAAAAGGCTTGTATACAACTGGTCAGTGGATCCTGGAACATTGGCCTGAGCACAGCTATCATTCAGGTGTCTTCTGTATTCAGCCTTCCCTTCTGTGATGCTAATCTCATCTCCCACTTCTTTTGTGATATCCGGCCCATAATGAAGCTTGCCTGTGCAGACACTACTATCAAGGAGTTATTACTTTGCTCATCAGTCTCTGTGTCCTTGTTCTGCCCATGGTATTGATCTTCATCTCCTATGTCCTAATTGTCACCACCATCCTCAAGATTGCATCAGCTGAGGGCAGGAGAAAGGCCTTTGCTACTTGTGCCTCACACCTCACAGTGGTCATTGTCCACTATGGCCGTACTTCTTTCATCTACCTAAAACCCAAATCCCAAAATTCCCTGCAGGACAGACTTATCTCTGTGACATACACTGTTATTACTCCTCTGCTGAACCCTGTTGTATACAGCCTGAGGAACAAAGAGGTCAAGGATGCCTTGCTCAGAGCTTTGGGCAGAAAGCCTCTCTCTTAGGTGCTGGTCAGTTCAATAACAATCAAAGAAAAAGAGTTTGATGAGGTGTCACAGTGAGAGGGACAATAAGATGAGAGATACTGTGAAAGCACCAGGTGGCTGATCTAGGCAGCATCTAGGAATCTATTCCCCTCATAGATTGAAAAAAGAAAGAAAAATATTAATGAAAAAAAGAAATAGATGGATTTGCCAAGTCAGATATATGGGTTTACCAAGCTTGATGAAAATCAAATAAGATAAAGCATATCCATGCACTGCACTATAATGTTAGACATTATTCCTGTTACTCTTGTCATAAGGTATTGTAAACCAGCAGGGAGAATAGGAAGAATATATACTATCATATCATAGGAGTTTATGTAAGGTGAACTTGACTTCATGAATGACACAAAGGGTACAAAAGGCCACCACCACCCCTTGTCTGAAGATGGGACCAACTCTAGGGCACAATTCTAGATCCCTCCATTAGATCAGGCTGAAGTTATGCTCCAGCTAAGACTGTGTTCTTGCATAGTGATTCCCCTGCCCCATCCTGCTTCTCTCATTCCCTTTCCTCTGAGGGCACTCCTTAGTCAATCACTGTACCCAAAACCTTATTTTAGGCTCTGCTTCTGCGGAACCTGACCTAAGCAAGGTGGTACCTATGTCTATGGGGCAATTATTCAGACTTCACTGCGAGTGCTCTTTTTGCATCTGTTGCATGTAGAACAGTGTCTGGTGCATAGTAGATGTTAGATATTTATTAAAAGGAAGAAAGAAGGAAGGAAGGAAAGAAAAAGCAAAGAAGACTGCTGTGAGAAGCTAAAATACATTAGAAGGTAGCTCTTCTCTCATTTTCCTTCTATTATTTTAACACTTTCAGGCTGTTTGTCCCTCTTTGTGACATCTCCTTTTGGTACATTTATTGAATGTATCCTAGATAGTAGTCATTATTTTAAGTATGTTATTAATTTAATCTTCACTATAAATCTATGAGATAGATATTTTATTATTCTTTTTTATGGATGAGGAAACTGAGACCTCAAATAAGTTAATTCCTCAAGGCAGAATCAGGATTTAAACACGTGCAACCCAGCCCTGAAGTCTGTAGTTGCATTGTAAGCTCATGATATTCATTTTAACCAGCTTTCTCCTCCATAATAACTAACTTATACTGTTCCATACTCCTAGGAAAAGGAGAAGGCTCCACCCCATCCCAAATTGTGGATTTACACATATCTCAGATCCTATTCATGATATCTTGGACTTTGGAATCAGTCTGGAAGTTTAGGAATAGTGTATTATAATACACTCCTTTTCATAAAATACTTTGGTGCATCCCTTTTTCACTCAGCACAACCCCAAAGAGGAAAATAGGAAAGGAAGTCTAAAGTGGGCCAACAACTACTGAAGAACAGTTATTGTTTACCCTGAACCCCAACTCTAAGAACCAATGACCTTGAGTAGGAG